>NC_000003.12:35010000-36260000 GCF_000001405.40 Homo sapiens | reverse complement strand
TTGGAGATTTTGGGTCCCCACTACCCTGGGGATACCAACTAGAGGCTTTGTTTTCTTGCTGCTTGCTCTGTTTCTATCCATGTCTTGGGGTCCCAACCCCTAGGTCCTATCCTTGGGCTGATCATGTGAGCTCTTTACTAATGGGAAGTTACTGCCCTGGCTCCCAGATTTATGCAGGGAGCTCAGGCAGTCAGCTCCTAACCTGACTGACTCCTTCTTGACTGCCATATCCCTACTGCCTCCCTGAGGATTTTTTTTTAATACCCAACCTCTCAGGCCTATACCCCTTTACTGATTTGTTTACTTTGACAAATTGCACAAGTTTCGTTTTAAGCACAACTGAAATGTTTTCCCTCTAAATATTTGGCACTAGCGAATGTCGTTTAAAAATTTTGAGCATGGCTTCCTACTTGAAATTTAAAAATGGTATTTCATTTGCACATAGTATGCATGTGTGTGTGTGTGTATGTGTGTGTGTGTCTGTGTTTGTGTGTTGTTTTGGAAAAAGCCTCATCAAACATAGTTCTCTTGAGTTTTCTTTATCTGTGTATGTGGGGAAAAATTAAAAAGCATAACACAATGAATGACAATTGGTATTAGGTAAATGGATCTTATAAAATGTTTGAAGTTACTTTTAAAAAACTTGTTTTTTGTAAGTACTTGATATATTCTAAAATCGTGTTCATAGTAGCACTCTCTAATACTTATTCAGAAGGATAAAAGTGCATCAGGGCCCTCTGGTAATAAATTTTGACTTAGTAGAATTTCATACTAAAATCAGAGAGCCATAAAATACTAGAAATTTAGTTTGAGAATAAGTTTTTTATAGAAAACACAATGATACTATCTGAAGAAGGGGTTATGAATTTTATATAACAGATTTTTTTTCAGGGAGAAAAGGATATTTTTGTAAATATAATGTTGCTTCTGCTAAAAATTATATCATTCTTGTTTAGAAAATGAATTCTCAATAAGTATTTGAAATATGTATTTAATGAGTTTACTGAGGATGGAACTTGAAATCTTGGATGAGAATACATTGTGGAGATAATGATTTTAAGTTTGAGGGAAAAAATCTAGTAACTGGAGAAGAGCCTTATGATGCTCCCCTCCTTCTCAGAATTTTCTGATTATTTCAAATGTTTTATGTATTGTGTTTCCTAATATTTAAAGAAAAATCAAATGTTCTTTTCTTTTTACCAAAATGCAGGGGAAAATGTGTCATGTCTTTGTCTCCTATCTCCTTCAGACACTGAAACACAAAGACTGTAGTTCTAGTTTCTACCCAGGGAAAAACCTGAAAAGGTCTTGGCTGGCTATATCCTAGCATTATGAAAAAGTCCCAGATGTGCTATCCAAGACCATATTTCTATTCCAGCTCTGGGAATTTAAGCAAATATCTTTCATTATTTAGAATTCCATTATAATTCTGTCATTCCTTGAGACTATAAGCCTAGCAACCTAATACGAGGCCAGTCTGCAAACTGGAGGCCTGTGGTAGTGAAGAGCTTTCCCATCAATATTTGTGATATTTTTGTTTTGGTTGAAAACCAACTGGATAAGTGTAGAGAGATCTAAAAAATCAGAATAAGAGAACAATAAAAGTAATAGTTTCTTCCTGAAGATCACCATTCTCTGCTCAGCTATTTTACATTTAAAGAATGTGATTGCCCCTTGGCTTGTGAAGCAATATAGGAAGGTAGGCGGGTGTAGGTCCTGAAATCGATGGACTTGATTTGAATTGACCAGGTCTAGGGTCTTGAATTCATTATATGTAAATAGGGAATAAGAATCCATCCTTGTTGAGTCCTCATTAGCATCAAAAATAACATGGCCAGCATGCAGCACACTGTACAACCTCAGTAAAAGTTAGCTGTATTTATATAGTTTTTCCTGGTGTTTCCAGAGACAAAAGTAATCTAACTTTGGACATACTTGGACAAAAAAAAAGTGAGCTATGCTCACCCTCCAACATGAACAGCAATTAAAGTTAGCAGATTCTAATCTTGGAACAATTTTGGACAAAAGGATAATAATCTGCCTCTAGAAACAAGATGATCAGTTCTTGTATTAAAAGAAAAAACCTTGCAAATAATATGGATTCAGAGTATTACACCTTAGTCACTTGTGAGTAAAAACAGGGGAACCAAGATTTTTATTTTTCTTTCAGAAAATAAAATTAAACAAAAATTTAAAACCCCCACAGCAGAAACAACAGGCAGTGCAAAAGAGCATTATAATCTTTCTCCTTGGATGAAGGTGGGGCAAAAAAATAAAAAAGACCAGGATATTTAAAGACTTGATGCATAATTTATGTGCAGGGCTATTTTTGCAGGCTTTTGTAATAGCAAAGGAGATGAGATGGCATCAGCAAAAATCAAATGAAAGTGGAGCTTAGATTAATCTCAAAATAAGTTCCCCCAAAAGAAGCCCATGAATATATGGTTCCTCCCTCAACAATTATGGGAAGGTATGACTAATTAAAAGCCCTAAAAAACTGGTGGAAAAAAATTCAGGCAAAACCTGATTTCCCCTTCAGATGAGGTCATTGTAAATGTCAATATTTCCATCAGCATCAGCAATTGCAGTTTGGAGTTGGAACATCCTGAAGCAGAACTCTAGAGTGCTTCACTCTAGGAGCTAACGTTTGACGAGTGCGGTATACTGGTTTTTTGCAGTATCACATAGAATTTGTTAATGATTAATTTAAAAATTACTCAGTGATGTTAAAAGAATAGTCAATAATTTATCTTCCTTGTGATGTAATAAATGAGTTACAACTGGGCTCTGAAGCAACAAATACTTGAGCACCTGATGTGTGCTAGAGAGTGTTCTAGGCTTCAGGCATTTGATAGTAATCATTCAAAGTCCCCTGGCTTCTCTTCTAGCTCTGGAGGACAGGCAATAAACAAGTAAGCAACTCTATGAATAAAATAACTTTAGGAAGTGAAAAGTTCTATGAAGTCATTAAAATCAGGCACAAGATGGGGAATGCCTAGATAATGAGAGCACCTTCAGCCAGGTCAGGCAGAAGGCTGCAGAGTAGAAGTGGCCTTTGAGCTAAATCCTGCATCATGAGAAAAAGGGAGGTGTAGAATACAATTCTATGCAGTAAGTAGCAAGTATGAAGACCCTGACACCAGAATAAGGCTAGCATGTTCTAAGGACTGAGAATAGACCAGTATGGCTGGTGCATGTGGGAGGAAGGAGCAGTAAATAGAAAATAAGGTCAAGGAGGATGTGTGTATACTTGTCTATGAACTGCAAATATACACAAAGATGGATTTTAAGGGTAAAGCATCATGACTATTTATAAAACAACTAGGGAGAGGCTTGTGGGCTTTTAAAAAACTTTACATGTGATTTATTTAAATAGTAATGATCCCTACCTAACTAGAGAAAAGGAATGTAACTAATTATGTACTGTGTATTTTATAATATATTCTTTGATTTTCCTAATCACTCTTATTTTCCAGAGTATGATATTGAGGCTTACTGATGTTAAAGGATTGTCCAAGGTCATAAAGCCAGGGTTATGAACTCTAGCAGGTGTCAGTCCCCTCATAGAGAATAGCTATGCACCAGGGACTGGCTTCCCCTGCACCCATGTTATGGATGGCAGAGCGATTTTACTATGCATGATTGCATAGCCCTTTCATGTCTTATAAAGTAAACTATTTATAAAAGCAGAAATATACCAGCAACGCTCACAACATCTGCAACGACCTCACATTTCCAGTGCAAATTGTCCTTATAATATGATCATTTCAAAAAGAAGAAAGTATGAACCATAGTATTTGTTCGAGCAAGTAACATATCAAATGCTGCGCAAAGGACAAAGAAGATATGTCTCTAAAAATTCACTCATCGGAGCTAGGTGTGGTGGCATGTGCCTATAGTCCCAGCTACTCTAGAGGCTGAGGCAGTACAATCACTTGAGCCCAGGAGTTTGAGGCCAGCCTGAGCAACACAGGGAGAAACCTGTTTCTAAAAATAGAACAAAAATTTCACACATTAAAAAATAAGCATTTATAGTTAGCAGAAATGACCCCACAGTGTTTGAGAACACGAATAGTGTTAGAAAGAAATTTGATATTTCATTTCAATAGTTATAAAACTGTTCAATCCTTTGATGCAACAAGAATTTTACTCTTGGGAATGTAAAAAAAATTTAAATGTTAAGAACATTACTTGTACATGAATATATCATTTATGGCACTTTCTTTAATGCATAAAAAATCCTCAAACAAAGGCAAACAGACTCTTGATGAATTATTGTGCTGACATTTAAATTAATCCTTAGGAAGATGATATAGCTTCATGAAAATATTGCCTAAAATGTAACATTTGAATGAGCAGAGCAGAACAGGAAAGAAGCAAGGTGGTCTTTTTTAAAAATTTAATTTAATTTAAGTTCCAGGATACATGTGCAGGATGTGCAGGTTTGTTACATAAGTAAAGATGTGTCATGGCGGTTTGCTGCACTTATGAACCCATCACGTAGATGTGAAGCCCAGCATGCATTAGCTATTTATCCTGATGCTCTCCCTCTCCTCCCTGTGTCCATGTGTTCTCATTGTTCAGCTCCCACTTATAAGTGAGAGCTGAAGTGAGAACATGCAGTATTTGGTTTTCTGTTCCTGCGTTAGGTAGCTGAGGTTGGTGACTTTGAGCTCCATCCATGTCCCTGCAAAGAACACGATCTCATTCCTTTTTATGGCTGCGTAGTATCTCATGGTGTATATGTACCACATTTTCTTTATCCAGTCTATCATTGATGGGCATTTGGGTTGATTCTATGTCTTTGCTAGTGTGAATAGTGCTGCAATGAGCACACACATGCATGTATCTTTATAATGGAATGATTATATTCATTTGGATATATACCCAGTAATGGGATTGCTGGGTCAAATGGTATTTCTGCTTCTAGGTCTTTGAGGAATTGCCACACTGTCTTCCACAATGGTTGAACTAATTTACATTCCTACCAACAGTGTAAAAGCATTCCTGTTTCTCCACAGCCTCACCAGGATCTGTTGTTTCTTCACTTTTAAATAATCACCATTCTGACTGGCATGAGATGGTATCTCATTGTGGTTTTGATTTGCATTTCTCTAACGATTATTGATGTTGAGCTTTTTTTCATGTTTGTTGGCTGCATGTATGTCTGATTTTGAGAAGTGTCTGTTCATGTACTTTGCCCACATTTTAATGGGGTTGTTTGTTTTTTTTTCTTGTGAATTTGTTTAAGTTCCTTGTAGATTTTGGATATTAGACCTTTGTCAGATGGATAGATAGCAAAAATTTTCTCCCATTTAGTAGGCTGTCTGTTCACTCTGATAATAGTTTTTTTGGCTGTGCAGGAGCTCTTTAGTTTAATTAGATCCCATTTGTCAATTTTTGCTTTGTTGCAATTGCTTTTGGCATTTCCATCATGAAATCTTTGACTGTGCCTATGTCCTGAATGGTATTGCCTAGATTTTCTTCTAGGGTTTTTATAGTTTTGGGGTTACTCCATCTTGAGTTAATTTTTGCATAAGATGTAAGGAAGGGATCCAATTTTAATTCTCTGCATATGGCTAACCAGTTCTCCCAGCACCATTTATTAAATAGGGAATCCCTTCCCCATTGCTTGTTTATGTCAAGTTTGTTGATCAGATGGTTGTCCAGTATCAGATGGTCTTATTTCTGAGTTCTGTATTCTATTTCATTGATCTATGTGTCTGCTTTTGTAGCAGTACTATGCTGTTTTGGTTATTTTAGCCTTGTAGTATAGTTTGAAGTCAGGTAGCATGATGCCTCCAGCTTTGTTCTTTTTGCTTAGGATTGTCTTAGCTTAGCTAGGTTGTCTTTGCAGATCATGTCATCTGCAAACAGGGACAGTTTGGCTCCCTCTCTTCCTATTTGAATACCCTTTATTTCTTTCTCTTGCGTGATAGTCCTGGCCATAACTTCCAATACTATGTTGAATAGGAGTGATGAGAGAGGTTATTGTTGTCTTGTGCTCATTTTCAAGGGCAAGGCTTCCAGCTTTTGCCCATTCAGTATGATATTGGCTGTGGGTTGTTCACATAAGGCTCTTATTATTTTGAGGTATGTTCCATCAATACCTAGTTTATTGAAAGTTTTTAACATGAAGTGATATTTAATTTTATCAAAGGTCTTTTCTGTGTCTATTGAGATAGTCACGTGGTTTTTGTCTTTAGTTCCATTTATGTGATGAATTATGTTTACTGATTTGCATATGTTGAACCAGCCTTGCAACCTGGGGATGAAGCTGACTTGATCATGGTGGAAAAGACTTTTGATGTGCTGCTGGATTTGGTTTGCCAGTATTTTATTGAAGATTTTTGCATCAATGTTCATCAGGAATACTGGCCTGAAGTTTTCTTTTTTTGTTGTATCTCTGGCAGGTTTTGGTATGAGAATGATGCTGGCCTCATAAAATGAGTTAGGGAGGAGTCCTTCTTTTTCAATTGTTTGGAATACTTTCAGAAGAAATGGTACCAGCTCCTAATTGTACTTCTGACAAAATTCAGCTGTAAATCTTTCTGGTCCTGGGCTTTTTTTGGTTGGTAAGCTATTTATTACTGCTTCAATTTCAGAGCTTGTTATTTTTCTATTCAGGGATTCGCCTTCTTCCTAGTTCAGTCTTGGGAGGGTGTATGTGTCCAGGAATTTATCCATTTCTTCTAGGTTTTCTAATTTATTTGCATAGAGGTGTTTATACTATTCTCTGATGGTGGTTTATATTTCTGTGGGTCAGCCGTGATATCCCCTTTATCATTTTTATTGTGTCTATTTGATTCTTCTATCTCTTCTTCTTTATTAGTCTAGCTAGCGATGTATTTTATTAATTTTTTCAAAAAAAATCTCCTGGATTCATTGATTTTTTTGAAGGGTTTGCCATCTCTCTATGTCATTCATTTCTCCTCTGATCTTGGTTATTTCTTGTCTTCTGCTAGCTTTTGGGTTTCTTTGCTCTTATTTCTCTAGTTCTCTTAGTTGTGATGTTAGGGTGTTGATTTGAGATCTTTCTAGCTTTTAGATGTGGGCAATTAGTGCTATAAATTTCCCTCTTAACTCTGCTTTAGCTGCATCCCATAGATTCTGGTACATTATATCAAATATCTTTGTTCTCATTGGTTTCAAAGAACTTCTTGATTTCTGTCTTAATTTCATTATTTACCCAGGAGTCATAAAGGAGCAGGTTGTTCAGTTTCCATGTAGTTGTATAGTTTTGAGTGAGTTTCTTAATCTTGAATTCTAATTTGATTGTGCTGTGGCCCTAGAGACTGTTATGATTTTAGTTCTTTTGCATTTGCTGAGGAGTCTTTTATTTCCAACTATGTGATTGATTTTAGACTAAGTTCCATGTGGTGCTGAGAAGAACGTGTATTCTGTTGTTTTGGTGTGGAGAGTTCTGTGATAACTGTCTGGTCCATTTGACCCAGAGCTGAGTTTAAGTCCTGAATATCCCTGTTAATTTCTGTCTCAGTGATCTAATATTGACAGTGGGTTGTTAAAGTCTCCAACTATTATTGTGTGAGAGTCTAAGTCTCTTTGTCAATCTCTAAGAACTTGTTTTACGAATCTGGGAGCTCCTGTATTAGGTACATAGATATTTAGGATAGTTATCCCTTCTTGTTGAATTAAACCCTTTACCATCATGTAGTACCCTTCTTTGTCTCTTTTGATCTTCATTGGCTTAACTGCTTTTTCTGTTTTCCATTTGCTTGGTAAATTTCCTTCATCCTTTTACTTTGAGCCTGTGTGAGTCTTTGCATGTGAGATGGATCTCTTGAATACAGCACACCAATGGATCTTGACTCTTTATGCAGCTTGCCATTCTGTGTCTTTTAATTAGGGCATTTACATTGAAGGTTAATATTATTACGTGTGAATTTGATCCTATCATCATGATGCTAGCTGGTTATTTTGCAGACTTATTGATGTAGTTGCTTCATAGTGTCGTTTGTCTTTGTACTTCAGTGTGCTTTCGTATTGGCTGGTAATGGCTTTTCCTTTCCATATTTAGTGCTTCCTTCAGGAACTCTTGCGGGGCAGGCCTGGTGGTGATGAATTCCCTTGGCATTTGCTTGTCTGAAAAGCATTTTATTTCTCCTTTGCTTATGAAGTTTAGTTTGGCCGGATATAAAATTTTGGGTTGGAAATTCTCTTCTTTAAGAATGTTGAATATTGGCCTTCAATTTCTTCTGGCTTGCAGGGTTTCTGTTGAGAGGTCTGCTGTTAGTCCAGTGGGCTTCCCTTTGTAGGTTACCTAGTCTTTCTCTCTGGCTGCCCTTAACATTTTTTCCTTCACTTCCACCTTGGAGAATCTGAAGATTATGTGTCTTGGGATTGATCTTCTCATGAAGTGTCTTACTAGGGTTCTCTGGATTTCCTGAATTTGACCATTGGCCTGTCTTGCTAGGTTGGGGAAGTTCTCCTGGATGATATCTCAAAGTATGTCTTCCAACTTGGTACCATTCTCCTCATTTATTTTAGGTACCCCAATCAGTTGTAGGTTGGGTTTTTTTTTTTTTTTTTACATAATCCCGTAGTTCTCCATGGTTTTGTTCATTCCTTTTCATTCTTTTTTCTCTAATCTTGTTTGTCTGTCTTATTTCAGCAAGATAGTCTTCAAACTCTGAAATCCTTTCCTCTGCTTAGTCTATTGACTGTTAATACTTGGGGTTGCATTGTGAAGCTCTCATGTTTTGTTTTTCAACTCCATCAGGTCATTTATTGCTCTCTCTAAACTGGTTATTCTGATTAACAGCTCCTGTAATGTTTTCTTATGGTCTTAGCTGCTTTACATTGGGTTAGAACATGCCTCTTTAGCTCAGTGAAGTTTGTTATTACCAACCTTCTGAAACTTACTTCTGTGAATTCATTCATCTGAGCCTCAGCCCAGTTCTGAGCCTTTGTTGGAGAGGCATTGTGATTATTTGGAGGAGAAGAGGCACTCTGGCTTTTTGAGTTTTCAGCACGTTTTTCATTGATTCTTTCTCATCTTCATGAGTTTATTTAGCTTTGATCTTTGAGACTGCTGACCTTTGGATGGGGTTTTTGTGGGGAATTTTTGGTTGATGCTGTTGTCGCTTTCTGTTTGTTTTTCTTTTAACAGTCAGGCACCTTTTCTGAGGGTCTGCTTCTGTTTGCTGGGGGTCCAGTCCAGTCCCTATTTGCATGGGTCCCTCCTGCACCTAGAGGTGTCACCTGTGGAGACTGCAGAATAGTAAAGATGGCTCCCTGCCCCTTCCTCTGGGATCTCCATCCCAGAGGGGCACCAACCAAATGTTAGTGGGAATGCTCCTGTGTAAGTTGTCTGGTGACCCATGTTGAGGGGATCTCATCCAGTCGGGAGGCATGACCCACTTAACAAAGCACTCTGATTTCTCCTTGGTGGAGGGGGTGCACTGCACTGGGGGGAATCTCACTCATCTAGACTACCTAGATTCTTAAGAGCCAGGAGGGGGAATGGCTAAGTCTGCTGAATCATGAAGACTGAGGCCATCCCTTCCCCCAGGGGCTCCCTCCCAGGGAGATCAGAGTTATGTCCATAAACCCCTGGCTAGCATTGCAGAAATTCCCATGGGGAGGCCCCACCCAGTGAGTAGGGATGGGACATGGTCCTGCCTAAAGGTGTAGTCTGTCCATGATCTGCCACAGCTGCTGTGCTGCACTGTGGGGGATTCCTCCTGGGTCTAAATCACCCAGTCTCCCTGACACTGGCAGGGGAATACTGCAGACTGAAACTGCAGTGATGGCAGCCACCCCTCCCCGCAGGAGCTTAGTTGTCCTAGGCAGCAGGCAGCCACAGTGATGGCAGCCGCTCCTCCCCCGAGAACTTGGTAGTCTTGGGCAGTCTCCAGCTGGGTGGCCACTGAAATTCTGCACAGCTCTGTGCTTGGGATCTAAGGCCCTGCTGGCATGGGCTCATAAGGGGGGTCTCCTGATCCATGGGTTGCACAGATCCATGGAAAAAGTGTGATTTCCTGGGTGGGGTAGTACAATTACTCACCGCCTCACTTGGCTGGGGGTGGAACAACAGCCATGTGGCTCCCAGGTGGGCTGTCACTCCACCCTATTTTTACTTGCTCTCCATGGGTTGCACCAACGGCCTAGTTAGTCCCGATTAGAGAACCTGGATACCTTGGTTTCCGGTGCAGGATTCACTCACCATTTTCATTCTTGTGGGGAGCCTCTGACTACAGCTATTTATATTCAGCCTTTTAGTCCTTTCTCCCAAGGTAGTCTTAATTGCATTTTAAGATTTGCGTCAGCACCTTCAGAAAGGCTAGAAATGAACAAAGTGTTAAAACTGGCAGTTTGTACCTATGTTGCCATTTCAATAATTTTAATTTAATATTCTCCTTCTATTTTATTTTTACAATAAATAAAATACATTTTAGCAAATAATTTGTTTGGAGATCTGCTTTCATGTTGGATGTTAAAAATTACATCCTCCCATACCAGTCCTACCTTCTGTTTACTGCTTAACCTTGCTCTGAGCTGTGGGGAAAGAGGAGAGGAAACAGCAGAGAAGGGAATCAGAGAGGTTTTCTGCATGATCTGCTCTTGCTCAGCATCATGGATGGATGCTGGTGGCAAAAGACTCTGTCCTCCTTCTGATGTGTGCCCCTGTTCATACCCAGAGAAATATTCCTCCCTTGAAGTGCACAAGGGAGTTGCTATTATGACAAAGGGTTGCAACTGGCCTTAAGTACAAAACCTTCCATCTTCAGCACTGGAGAAATTTGGAGAAACTCAGTGTCAGAAGAATTGACAGAGAAAATTCAGCAAACCAACAGAAAGGCCATGGGAGAGGTTTATTTCTCCAGCATAGAGGCACCAAAAATACTTGCACTTCCTTTCGTTGTCCAGTTCATGGTTATCAGCCCCTGTGGATGAATGATAAAAAATAACACAACATTCCTAAAGTTCCAAATGCCTCACTGTGATCATTAGCAGATTTAGCTTCCTAATGATCTTCCCACTGAAATGTCAATATAAATACAAATACACACACGAAAGATTGCAATGACATTGGTAATAAGAGCTATTGTTCAGTAATGGATTACTTTCTTGAAAAATTTCCTAAAGGAATCAAGAACTGTTGTGCACATGTACCCTAAAACTTAAAGTATAATAATAATAATAATAAAAGAAATGTTGGAAGTTCTCTCATTCCCAAACATCTCTAAATGAACAATGTATCAAGGCAAGTGAAAATGAGGAAAGGATTTTAGCTCATCCCCTGGTATATCCTCACATGAGAAACCCAGGGTCTATGCTGCTGAGCAGATATCCTGAGTAAACATCTTGCTCACTCCCCAAGTAGCAGCATCCTGAGGGGCAGTCACCTGTATTTGATCCCTCCCCACGCTCCTCCCTGACTCAGCAATGCCGCTCACCATACTTTGCAGGGACTACAACTCTCAATGGTAAAAGCAAAAGGACTAACCCATGCAACCTGAGATATAGGATTTCAGCAGCAGCTGGGGGATTGGCCAGAAGCCGCCTGGTACCAGTGTGGTAAGGGGATTTGGTATTTTCCTGTACTCCTTCTTGCACATGATTTTAAAAGTCACCTTAAAATAAATCAATTCTCCAATAGCCAGAGGCCATGTAAAAGGAGCCTCGTTCTACTGCAGCTCCCCTAAATATGAGTCAACTTGATGTTGTATTTTTGTCAGTATCTGTGCACAAAGGTTTGTTCTCAGCTCTTTATAGGAGATACTGATTCTGACAACAGCAGAAAAGATGGTGATAGGTATCACAGGAAATACGTATACCTTCTGCATTGGAAAATGCAGACCTGCTTAGTACTGTCTTCATTCAATCTGAGGACACAGAAATACAAAGTTCACATGAGGTTTAGAGAGAAAGTCTCTTATACAACACTAGGGAATGAGTTCCTTATATATGCAGAGGCAAGGTGAACCTGTGAAAATTATTTACTAAAGTTATGGAAAGGAAAACTTAGATAATGTTTACTCTTATTTCTCAATAATGGTTTATGAAATTAGAGATTAGGAAGAGAAAGTTACAAATGAAAGTTTAAGAATCAGAATGACTGGCTGGGCACAGTGGATCTCGTCTATAATCCCAGCACTTTGGGAGGCTGAGGTGGGGGGATTGCTTGAGCTCAGGAGTTCAAGCCCAGCCTGGGCAACATGGTGAAACCTCATCTCTACAAAAAATATCAAAATTAGTGGGGTGTGGTGGTGCATGCCTGTAGTTGGTGTAGGCTGAGGTGGGATGATCACTTGAGCCTGGGAGGCAGAGGTTGCAGTGAGCTGAGATTGCATTACTGCACTCCAGTCTGGGTGACAGAGTGAGACCTTGTCTCAGAAAAAAAAAAAAAAAAAAAATCAGAATGACTAACTTTGTGTTAGCATGACTGGAAAATAGAATACAATGGATCAATGCCTTTAACACACTGATAGAAAGAGATTTCTACACTCAGTCATAAAGGCATTTTTACACATAAGATCTCAAACAATGAACCTTCCCTGCACCATTTTTGAGAAGGCTACTAGTACTTTGAGCAAAGGACAGCTGTGGAAATCTAGTCTTCAGAATGCCTTGCATGGGGCTGGGGGATGTCTTTTCCCGTCTCAGGTTCTAGCTATCATTTAATAATTCCACGAAATGAAATTCTATGACATAATGAACAAAGAATGAGGTGAATTTTCATAAATTGATATAGCAAAATGCGCATCGTTTATCAATAGGTGAGAAACAAGTTGCAAAACAGTAAGTCAAATAGGCTGGGAATCTTTCATTGACCCCACCTTCTCCATTCTGCTCTATGGTCCTGAAGGCTGAGCCACTCAGACTATGTCAAACTACATCTGGTTGGAGCCCAGAAGGAGTCTAGAAAAAAGGAGTAAGGGCAGAGTTTTATTTCCCTGACCCCAACCCTGTAAGCTGGCTGTGTCCCTTGATTTAGGTTCCTGTGAAGCATCCATCTCTACATACCCTGTCTGTCTTCAGGCCTGGTAACAACACCCTCAGTCCTAGGGAGGTAAGGGCACCCACTGTGAAAGCCCTAGGGTACTGCATTTTCCCTGCATCCATGCTGCCACAACTTTATACTGAATGCAGTTATTAAGTTCTCCTCACTTTATTTCTGTATATGGTGAGTTTTCTGGAAACATGAAACTGAAGTGCAAATAGTAGTCAGCTCTAGAAAGTGAATTTGGAGGGAAGAAAAGGAAGGAACTATAACTTTCACATTATCTATTCAATTAATAGACACAAATTTTAATCTATTCAATTAATACTTTGTATTATTTGAATTTTATGATATATGTTATATAAAATATATTATAAATTTATTATAATAGGCTACTAATTTAAATAGCAAAAACAAACTAAAAAAAAGCAAAATCGACACCTAAGTTTCTGATCAGTAGACTCAGAACTTCTGAACCAGAATCTAGTTACTGAGAAAGAACTTATTTATCCTATTTCATGTCAGCAGAGTTATATAGAGTAGTAGGCTTCTGATTTCATTAAACTATGTTTTGCAAGGCATTTATCGGTTTCTCAGGATATAAGAGAGATAACTTTGTAATTGGAGAAATTTACTTGGAATTCCCCATGAGGCTTAATGGATGGAACTATTATATCGCATGACTTAAAGTTTTATTTATACTGTGTGTATATCAGCTTCCTTAATATTTCAGTAACTAATACTCTTGTTTTATTGTCCAGAAGTTTATTTTGGTTTTTGTTTTTAGCATATTCCATTATAGCATGATATCTGAGATTTGAAAGTTATTTTCATGCTGTGCCTATACTCGATTGGTGGGTTTCAGTTTTCCATGTGGAATTTCGTTTTGTGTCAGGTCTTTGGAATCAGAGGTTTTGCTACTTCAAAATATAGCACTCCTCTGGGAGTTGGGGCCATGATAGTAAAGCCAAGTGAGACACAAGTTCAAATTATTTTCCAGAAAAGCCAAATCATAAAAAAAATATGTTTTTTGACTTTCTGAATTTTACTCCCATGAAATCAACACATGTGGCAAGTTAGGCCTTTTAATTAGTAAGTTTTCTGTTGAAGACAAGTTTAACTGATAAAAAGAGCATGCAACAGTTTTGAGATAATTTATAACTGATTCTGTCCTGCTTCCACATTTGCTGAGATGAACGTGTATGTCCCTCCTGGTGGAACATAATGGGAGGGCATAATATCCCACAAGGCATATATTTGGGTTCAAGGAAGAAGGATTCAGATGCAAAAGAACATAAAAACATTTTAACAACATGTCCCATTCATTTCTTGGTAATTTAGCAAGCAGGTACACAACTTTTGACCTGAGGGACAGACAGGCAAAGACAGGCCTTGTGTTTGAGAAACTCAATATCTAATTGTTGTCACAAGAACCCCTAGAGGAGCAGTGTTTCTAAGCCCAAGGAGTGCAGACACCCCTTTGAAGGAAAACAAAGTGTTTCAGGCCCCTCAGGTTGATTTAAAATGGTTTTATTATATAATGTTACCTGCATAAATATAAACAAGTATAATTATTGAAAGTTTTATACACTCCTTAAAATTATAGCTTCGGCTGGGTGCGGTGGCTCACGCCTGTAATCCCAGCATTTTGGGAAGCCAAGGAGGGTGGATTACCTGATGTTAGGAGTTCAAGACCAGCCCGACCAACATGGCGAAACCCCATCTCTACTAAAAATACAAAATTAGCTGGACACGGTGGCGCATACCTGTAATCTTAGCTACCTGGGTGGCTGAGAATCACTTGAACCCGGGAGGCAGAGGTTGCAGTGAGCCGAGATCACGCCATTGCACTCCAGCCTGGGCAACAAGAGCGAAACTCTTTCTAAAAAATATATATATATATATATAAAACTTATGTTTATATAAAAACCAAATTTGGAAATTAAATTCTAAAAACTCTATAAATTAAAATACATGAAATTAACAAAAATTACATAAAATTTTGCAGAAAACACAACACTATATGCAGAATGAATTTGGGCCTCCCTCCTATGGAATGGTATTTTTCAGGTCAGGATTCTTTCATTCTTGTGGGCTGAATCATGACTCAGAACTGTTGTGGAATCTTCACCCTACCAACTGTCATCTCACCATTTGCCTTCACATGGCTTGAAAGCCTCTTTGAATAATAAAGTCTATCTTTACTCTTTCTTTAATAGAGCACTGTTAAAATAGTGCTGAAACATCAGTTAAGGCACAGAAATTGTGTGGAGTTCGGTTGGTCAAAAGTGGTCCAAATATAAAATGCTTAATATTTACAAATGCTTATAAAACACAACTTAAAATATCCTTGAGATATTTAAAGGCTGGGTATATACCAACATTTCCTTCAGCTATCCATAGAACCTTGAAAAGAAATATTCATCTATAGAATATAAATCAAAATATAATAATATAATTCTCAATACAATAAACATAAGAAGAACATGGTAATAGGTCAGTATAATTAGGACAGTAAAAATCATCTGAGTGACCTGCTGAAATATTTTCAGAAGGCTTTAATCAGTAAATACTTTTTAAACTTTATTGTCATAGAAGGCTGTCAGGTGGTTTTAAGGAAGAAAAGTGTTCTTTAGTGGACACTGTCAGAAATACTACAGTTTTCCACATGAATTATATGTGTTCTGAAACACTGCATTGTGAATGCCACTCTCTTCCTAGGTGGAAGCTGTGTGTGCTCTTCAGAGTTGAGTTGCACTTTGTGAGGCTTCAGTTTTTCTGATTCGTTACCAAGAGAGGTGGGGTTACTATTTCCATTAGGCCACAGCAGGTCTCTGAGACCACAGGTTAAACTCATTAAAGTGCTGGAACACAAATGCTTAGTTATTTGTTTCTTAATTGCCAATTTCAACTTCTTTATTGCCAGTTACCTGGAGCCCCACATTTCATTTCCGGAATAGCTCTCTGGGTCCCCTGCTTTCCAAACACTGGGACAGCCCTGAGCAAGAAATGCTATCATGTAAAGAAAAAAGCAAATATAATCTGACAAATGACTTGTTCAGCTAGCACAAAAAGCCTGCTGTGCCTAACTGTGCTTACTTGAAATAATTATGGCAACCAGCAGATATAAGCTTCAATGCATTAAAGAAATGAACATAGAGTATGACCCCATGCATATACCAGTATGTGGATGTGTATACATGTATATTTGCAGGGATATATTTATACGCATATAGAGCTGTCACTTGATATCTATGGGGGATTAGTTTCAGGACAACTCCCACGGATGATAACAAAATCCACAGATGCTCCAGCCTTTTATATAAAATGGCATAGTATTTGCACATAACCTATGCATATCCTCCCATGTTCTTTAAATCATCTCTAGATTACTTCTAATACCTAATACAATGTAAATGCTATGCAAATTGTTGCTTTACTGTATTGTGTGGGAGTAATGGCAAGAAAAAAAAAGTCTGTACATGTTTAATATAGACACAACCGTCCTTTTTTCCCCAAATATTTTAAATTACAGTTGGTTGAATCTACATATGTGAGGGGCTGACTATATCTGTATATTTATAAAATGCTGATTCCAAAATGAAGTAAATCTGCATCAAGTTGAGAAAATTAACTCTTGACAGGATTTATGCTTGTTGGTGATTTGGATTCTGCACATTCACTTCTACATCATAACTTATTCATCCTTTTATGCAAAACAGAGAAAGGAGAAGCAACATTTCAGTGCAATGAATAAAGACAGGATATATTATCAAAATGTTCAGTGAAAAGTGAAACAAAATGGAAAATCATACTGCACACAAAATTTTTAAATGACTAGTCAACCTGCATTAATGATAACATAGGAAAAAATGTAAAACTCATACACACACAACTGTGGGTTGTGCATGGAAAGTATCTGAGACCAACTCTACCTGCACACCTGGCCCCTGCTTTCCTGTCCAATCTCATGTCTCGTTGCTTCTCTTGCTTTCAGGCCCCTGTGGGCACAGGGATTCTCCCACAGTCACTCAAATGCTGTGTGCTCTCTTTGGCTCAGGAAGTCTTTTTTTTTTTTTTTTTTAAATCTTTTATTTTCTGTTCAGACATACATGTGCAGGTTTGTTATACAGATAAACTTGTGTCATGGGGGTTTGTGTACAGATTATTTCATCACCCAGGTATTAAGCCTAGTACCCATTAGTCATTTTTCCTGATCCTTTCCCTCCTCCCACCCTCCACCGTCTGACAGGCACCAGTGTGCATTGTTCCCCTCTATGTGCCCATGTGTTCTCGTAATTTAGCTCTCACTTAAAAGTGAGACCATGTGCTATTTGGTTTTCTGCTCCTGTGTTAGTTTGCTAAGAATTATGGCCTCCAGCTCCATCCATGTCCCTGCAAAGGACATGATCTTGCTCTTTTTTGGGACCTTTTTCTTGAAGTGCTCTCCAGTTCTCACTCCTTCATGTGGCTATATTTGAGATGTTCTTTCTAGTTTAAATGGAACTTCCACCCTGGGTTTTTTCCTCACCTTCCTGCTCTTTACTATCCCACCCTCTGCAATCCGAAGTGAGGTGTCACTCCTAGGTTGGCCCACATCACTCTGGCTGTCCCCTTATCGTAGCACCTAATTACTTTCTTATGCTTGCCTGTTTCACTGTCTGTATTCCACCCTCCACTGTCAAATCCATCTGAGCAGAGAGAGATCACGCTTATCTCCTCAACTGTTAGCCACTCTTGGTACATTTTTGGTGCTCAATGACCATTTGCTGAATGATGAAAGAGTCACCGACTGGATGCCAACACTATTTTCCTTTTTTACTCCTAACATTTGATCTTAGAAAGACTGATGTATCTTGTCACTTCAATTTTTAGTAATTTCCGTTGATTACTCTGACATCAATCTTTGTCTATATTTAGAGTATAAGCTTTTATTCTGATATTTTCTGCTTTGGATGTCACGTTTCTCTCTCAGTGCAGTCAGCCTGTGCTAGATCAACATGTTAGTATGTACTGCAATAACTATGGTCCCTTGGGCAGTGGACTCCAATACTCTGGTCCCTTGGACAAGTCAGACCAATAGAAACACCTACTCAGTGGACTTGAGTCATACTGGTCACAGACCATGGACACCTGTCATGTGGAAGACATTCATTCTGGAGCCTTTGGACCGCTCCAGCCCCCAATTATTAATATGCTGGTGTTTTCTTGAAGTTCTGCGTAGACCTGCTGTGATAAATTCAACATTTGGAATCAAGAGGAAGTACTCAAAACAGATGCATTTTAAATAAAGGGAATCCTCTATTTAAAAGAAAAAACTAATAAAGAAAAATGAGAGATAGAAAGATTTGTTAAGTAACAGAAAAATAGAAATCATTATTTATACATACAAATAATTTATACACATTTTCTTCTTACAAAAAGGATTATACTATCAGTGATACTTCATTTTAAATTTTACTTATGATGTCCTGAAAACCTCTGTAGGCCAGTACATTCAAGTGGTCTTTTCTCTTTTTAAGAGCTGCATAGAATTCTGTTGAATGGCTATATAGTATTTTTAGAGACATTTTATTATTAACATACATTTGAGTTGTCTTTAAGTTTTTATTCTTTTTATTAGAAATCATGTTATAATGAAGATCCTTGTCTTAATCTCCATGTATTGTCTTTCTTATTCCAATAGTATAAATTCCTAAAAAGTAAGATTGCTGAATAATAATAAATGAAAATTTATATTTTACTATATACTGTCAAATTGCCCTCTAAAATGATTTCATCATATTATGTTTCTATAATGTATGAGATTTCATGGTTCCCACATCATCACTATCACTGGTTCTTCTCAACTAGTTAGATAGTTGACAACTTAAATTTGTGAAAATGCAGTCTTGTTATTTAAATTTGCATTGTAATTATTATTGAGGTTAGGTATCTTTTTACATAATGATTTGCTATTTAAATTTATTTTTCAGTGGGTTGGCAATTTATAACTTTCATTGATATTCTCTTGGGTTGTCTTTTTCTTTCTGGTTTTTAGTTCTTAGCATATTAATTTTATGCCTGTGTTAACAATATTTTCTCCCATTTATGGTTTTCATCATAATTTAAATTTATTCTGTAGTCAAATCCATCTTTTTTTCCTCCCTTCTGAAACTAAGTTTTGTTTATTACCTTGGAAGTCTGATCATTCCAACACTAGAACTAAAACTTAAACTAAGATATAGAGAGATAGAGATGGAGAAAACAAGAGAGAGAAAAAGGAGAAGGAGGAGGAAGAGGAGCAGTCAAAGAAAGAGGAGGAGGAAAGGAGGAGGAGAATATTCGAATATTCCTACAGTTTTTTCTTCTAATAATGTTATTATTTTATTCTTTAGATAAGATATGTCTTTGGTTGGGTTCTTTTTCTTTTGTAATAGAGTTATGATTCTGAACATAAGTGTTCCCACTAGATAGACAACGACCCACACACATTTTATTAATTAATCCCTTCATTCTTTCCTCACTGGTTTTAAATGCAACTTTATCATATATTATAGTTCTTCTAAACTTTTACCAATTTGTTGGGTGAAACTTAGTACAGTAATATCACTAGCATTTTGATTTGCTTTACATTAATTACTAATGATGATTAAATTA
Organism: Homo sapiens; assembly: GCF_000001405.40. Taxonomy (NCBI): domain Eukaryota; kingdom Metazoa; phylum Chordata; class Mammalia; order Primates; family Hominidae; genus Homo; species Homo sapiens. The sequence goes on along the minus strand of NC_000003.12, from coordinate 36,240,394 downwards.
ATGGGTTTAAAATTTTGAAAAATGCTCTTTAGAATAAATATTAACTACAGTGAGGTTTTTAGTCTTCTAAAATATTGTTGGAATGTATTTACCTAAATTAATTTAGAAATTTTAAATTAAAATTTAAAAGTAAAATCTTCTAATAGTTTTCTTTCTACTTACTATTTTTGTTAAGTTTTAATATCAGGGTTCTATTTGTAAAGATACATTTGGAAGCCTTCCATCCCTGCCCCGTTTACTTTGGAATAGCTTAAATAGTATCTTTGAATCCTTTCTGGGACTCACAAATCCTTGAGGGCTGCTTTTTATGAAAGATAAATCTTTCAGTTTTTCCTATGTGTTCTGCTTTAAACTTTTCTAGTAAATTCTGATAATGTGTCCTTGTAATTCACACATTTAACCCCAACAATAAATTAATTATTATAGCATATTACATATTTTAAATTAAGTCTTATTATCCATATGCATATGTATGTCCTTTTTCCCTTGTTAGATTTACTTAAAAAAATACTGAGGCTTGGAGTAGTAGGTAAGTGTTTGCCCCAGGTAACACAATTTAGTAAGTGATAGATTCTAGATCACTCTGCAGGCCATGTGACTTCAGAACTTATTGTTAACCATTGCATTATGCTGTCTTCAAGGAAGCAGTCTCATTGTAGTTATTTTATTTTATGTCATTTTAATATTTCTTTATTTGATATAATAGAAACCTAGGGATTTACATAAAATATCCTGCTGGTTTTAAAAATTTTTTCTTTTTTTTTTTGTTTCAGGTTTTTTATTTTTATTTTATTTTTTTATTATACTTTAAGTTTTAGGGTACATGTGCACATTGTGCAGGTTAGTTACATATGTATACATGTGCCATGCTGGTGCGCTGCACCCACTAACTCATCATCTAGCATTAGGTATATCTCCCAATGCTATCCCTCCCCCCTTCCCGCACCCCACCACAGTCCCCAGAGTGTGATATTCCCCTTCCTGTGTCCATGTGATCTCATTGTTCAATTCCCATCTATGAGTGAGAATATGCGGTGTTTGGTTTTTTGTTCTTGCGATAGTTTACTGAGAATGATGATTTCCAATTTCATCCATGTCCCTACAAAGGATATGAACTCATCATTTTTTATGGCTGCATAGTATTCCATGGTGTATATGTGCCACATTTTCTTAATCCAGTTTATCATTGTTGGACATTTGGGTTGGTTCCAAGTCTTTGCTATTGTGAATAATGCTGCAATAAACATACGTGTGCATGTGTCTTTATAGCAGCATGATTTATAGTCCTTTGGGTATATACCCAGTAATGGGATGGCTGGGTCAAATGGTATTTCTAGTTCTAGATCCCTGAGGAATTGCCACACTGACTTCCACAAGGGTTGAACTAGTTTACAGTCCCACCAACAGTGTAAAAGTGTTCCTGTTTCTCCACATCCTCTCCAGCACCTGTTGTTTCCTGACTTTTTAATGATTGCCATTCTGACTGGTGTGAGATGGTATCTCATTGTGGTTTTGATTTGCATTTCTCTGATGGCCAGTGATGATGAGCATTTTTTCATGTGTTTTTTGGCTGCATAAATGTCGTCTTTTGAGAAGTGTCTGTTCATGTCCTTCGCCCACTTTTTGATGGGGTTGTTTGTTTTTTTCTTGTAAATTTGTTTGAGTTCATTGTAGATTCTGGATATTAGCCCTTTGTCAGATGAGTAGGTTGCGAAAATTTTCTCCCATTTTGTAGGTTGCCTGTTCACTCTGATGGTAGTTTCTTTTGCTGCACCGAAGCTCTTTAGTTTAATTAGATCCCATTTGTCAATTTTGGCTTTTGTTGCCATTGCTTTTGGTGTTTTGGACATGAAGTCCTTGCCCATGCCTATGTCCTGAATGGTAATGCCTAGGTTTTCTTCTAGGGTTTTTATGGTTTTAGGTCTAACGTTTAAGTCTTTAATCCATCTTGAATTGATTTTTGTATAAGGTGTAAGGAAGGGATCCAGTTTCAGCTTTCTACATATGGCTAGCCAGTTTTCCCAGCACCATTTATTAAATAGGGAATCCTTTCCCCATTGCTTGTTTTTCTCAGGTTTGTCATGATTGTATATCTAGAAAACCCCATTGTCTTAGCCCAAAATCTCCTTAAGCTGATAAGCAACTTCAGCAAAGTCTCAGGATACAAAATCAATGTACAAAAATCACAAGCATTCTTATACACCAACAACAGACAAACAGAGAGCCAAATCATGAGTGAACTCCCATTCAGAATTGCTTCAAAGAGAATAAAATACCTAGGAATCCAACTTACAAGGGATGTGAAGGACCTCTTCAAGGAGAACTACAAACCACTGCTCAATGAAATAAAAGAGGATACAAACAAATGGAAGAACATTCCATGCTCATGGGTAGGAAGAATCAATATCGTGAAAATGGCCATACTGCCCAAGGTAATTTACAGATTCAATGCCATCCCCATCAAGCTACCAATGCCTTTCTTCACAGAATTGGAAAAAACTACTTTAAAGTTCATATGGAACCAAAAAAGAGCCCACATCACCAAGGCAATCCTAAGCCAAAAGAACAAATCTGGAGGCATCACACTACCTGACTTCAAACTATACTACAAGGCTACAGTAACCAAAACAGCATGGTACTGGTACCAAAACAGAGATATAGATCAATGGAACAGAACAGAGCCCTCAGAAATAACGCCGCATATCTACAACTATCTGATCTTTGACAAAAATTTTCTCATTGTAATAATTTTGCTTTATGTTTCAATGGCATGCTATTTGACACAAAAAACTTCCTTTATTCTTTTGGCCTTTATGTCTGTATTTATTGGAACGTTGTAGCTATAATGCCACCTACAGAAGTTAATGTTGTGAATGTTATAGGTACATAATGTTATAGGTACATAAGTTGCTGAAGGACGCCACAGATGTAAAGTAATTGCTTTCTTAAATTTAGCCACTTTAATAATTATGTATTTTGAAGGTATATGAGAAAAAAGAACCATGTGCTTATATAGTATTTTTAAAAAGTACATACATATAATACATACTGGAAAAAATATGCCAGTATATTATGAGGAATAATTCTGGAGGATATTTTTACATTACTATTTTGTAACTTTTCAAATAATTCCGACTTTTATTTTAGATTCAAGGGGTACATGTGCAAATTTGTTACATGGGTATATTGCATGATACTGAGGTTTGGGGTATGAGTGATCCTGTCACCTAGGTAGTGAGCATAGTACCCAATAGGTAGCTTTTAAACCCTTGTCCCCCTCCCTGTCTCCCTCCTCTAATAGTCTCCAGTGTCTGTGGTTCCTATCCTTATGTCCGTTTGTATCTAATGCTTAGCTCCCACTTATAAATGAGAACATGCAATATTTTGTTATCTATTTCTGCATTAATTCACTTAGGAAAGTGGTCCCCAGCTATATCCACATTGCTGCAAAGGACATGATTTCATTATTTTTTATGGCTGTGTAGTATTCCATGGTGTATATGAACCCCATTTTCTTTATTTAATCCACCATTGATGAGCAGCTAGGTTGAGTCCATGTCTTTGCTATTGTGAATAGTGCTGTGATGAGCCTATAAATGCATGTGTCTTTTTGGTAGAACAATTTATTTTTCTTTGTGTATATACTTAATAATGAGATTGCTGGGTCAAATGGTAATTTTGTTTTAAGTTCTCTGAAGAAATGTCCAAACTGCTTTTCACAGGGGCTGAGGTAATTTACATTACCACCAATAGTGTATAAATGTTCCTTTTCTCCATGACCTTGCCAGCATCTGTTATTTTTTTACTTTTCTTTACTTTCTTTCTTTTTTTTTCTTGAGACAGAGTCTTGCTCTGTTACCCAGGCTGGAGTGCAGTGGCATGATCTCGGCTCATTGCAACCTTTGCCTTGCAGGTTCAAGTGATTCTCCTGCCTCAGCCTCCTCAGTAGCTGGGATTACAGGCACCTGCCACCATGCCCAGCTAATTTTTGTATTATTATTATTTTTAGTAGAGACGGGGTTTCACCATGTTGGCCAGGCTGGTCTCGAACTCCTGACCTCAAGTGATCTGCCCACCTCGGCCTCCCAAAGTGCTGGGATTACAGGCGTGAGCTACCGCACCCAGCATATTTTTTTTTTTACTTTTTAATAATAGCCATTGTTATGAGATGTGTGTGAGATGGTATCTCGTTGTTGTTTTGATTTGCATTTCTCTGATATTAGTAATGTTGAGCATGTTTTCATATGTTTGTTGGCTGCTTGTATGTCTTCTTTTGAGAAGCATCTATTCATGTCTTTTGCCCACTTTTTAGAGGGTTATTTGGTTTTTGCTTGTTGAATTGTTTAAGATTCTTATAGATTGTGCATATTAGACCTTTGTCAGCTGCATGATTTGCGAATATTTTCTCTCAGTTCGCAGGTTGTCTGTTTACTCTGTTGATAGTTTCTTTAGTTGTGTAGAAGCTCTTTATTTAGGTTCCACTTGTCGATTTTTGTTTTTGTTGTGTTTGCTTTTGAGGGCTTAGTCATAAATTCTTTCCCAAGGCTGATATCCAGAGTGGTACTTCCTAGGTTTTCTTCTAGAATTCTTATAGTTTGAGGTCTTACATTTAAATCTTTAATTTATCTTGAGTTACCTTTGGTATGTGGTGAGAGGTAGGTGTCTGGTTTTATTCTTCTGCAGATGGCTAGCCAACTATCCCAGCACTATTTATTGAATAAAGAGTCTTTTCCCTATTGCTAATTTTTGTCAACTTTGTTGATGATTCAATGGGTGTAGGTGTTTGGCTTCCTTTCTAGGTTCTCTACTCTATTCCATTGTTCTATGTGTCTCTTTTTATACCAGTACCATGCTGTTTTGTTTACTATAGCCTTATTGTATAGTTTGAAGTTGGACAGTGTGATATCTCTGACTTTGCTCTTTTTTGCCTAAGATGGTTTTGCCTATTTGGGCTCTTTTTCAGTTTCATATGAATTTTAGAGTGTTTTTGTCTAATTCTGTGAAAAATGACATTGGTAGTTTGATAGGAATAGCATTAAATCTGTAAATTGCTTTGGACAATATGGTCATTTTAGCAATATTGATTCTTCCAATTTATGATGATGGAATGTTTTTCCATTGTTTATGTTGTCTATGATTTCTTTCAGTAGTGTTTTGTAGTTCTGTTTGTAGAGACCTTTCACCTACTTGGTTAGCTGTATTCCTAAGTATTTTACTCTTATGTGGCTATTGCAAATGGGATTGCATTCTTGGCTTGGCTCTCAGCATGAATGCTTTTGGTGTATAGAAATGCTACTGATTTTTGTTCATCAATTTGTATCCTGAAACTTTACTGAAATTGTTCTGTTTATCAATTCTAGGAGATTTTTGGCAGAGTCTTTGGGGTTTTCTAGGTATAGAATCATATCAGTGAAGAGAGATAATTTGATTTATTTTCTTATGTATCTATTTGACTTATTTTCTAGGTGTCTTTTATTTCTTTCTGATGCTTGATTGCTCTGGCTGGGACTTCCAGTACTTTGTTGAATAGGAGTGGTGAGAGTGGGAATCCTTGTCTTGCTCCTGTTCTTAAAGGGAATGCTTCCAGCTTTTGCCCATTCATTATGATGTTGGCTGTGGGTTTTGTCATAGATGACTCTGATTATTTTTAGGTATGTTCCTTCAATGTCTACTTTATTGAGGGTTTTTATTATGAAGGGATGTTGATTTTATTGAAAGATTTCTTCATGTCTATTGTGATGATGATATGGTTTTTGTTTTTAATTCTGTTTATGTGGTGAATCACATTTATTGATTTGCATATATTAATTCAATCTTACACCCAGAAATAAAGCCTACTTGATTGTGGCAAGTTAACTTTTTGATATATTGCTGGATTTTTTTGCTAGTATTTCGTTGAGGATTTGTGCATCTATGTTCATCAGGGACACTGGCCTGTAGTTTTCTTTTGTCACTGTGCCTTTGCCAGGTTTTGGAATCAGGATGATACTGGCTTTATATAATGAGTTACGGAGGAGTCCCTCCTCCTTGATTTTTTTTTTTTTTGAATAGTAGAAGTGGAATTTTTACCACTTCTTTTTGTACATCGGGTAGAATTAGGCTGTAAATCCATCTGGTCTGGGGCCTTTTTCATTGGTAGGTTTTTTTGTTGTTGTTATCATTCAGTTTCTGAACTTGATACTGGTCTATTCAGGGTTTCAATTTCTTCCTTAGTCAATCTTGGGCAATTGTGTGTTTGCAGGAATTTATCCATTTCCTCTAGATTTTCTAGTTTGTTTGCATAGAAGCATTAATAATAGTCTGATGATCTTTTGTATTTTTGTGGGATCAGTTGTAATGTCACCTTTGTCATTTCTGATTATGGTACATAAAACGATATTTATTAGAAAGTTGTAACTTTTTCCATATAAATTACTTCTTTTTCCCATTTAATAATTATTTCGCTGAGTTATATTTTATTCATAAAAACATTGCCACCCCTTTTTAAAGGTATTAATTTTTGCCTGGTATCTATTTCTAACTTGTATGCTTTTCTAAATTACAAGTAATGGTTGTTGATTTCCTCACCTGAGAATCTTTGTCTTTTAAAGTCTTTAGATTTTTGTTACCTGCTTTTGTTATAGGACCAACAGGTTCACATGTCTGCTGCACAGTCACAGACCAATTACACTGAGAGAGTTTGCAACAGAGAAAGAGTTTAATGATCTCAGGGTGCCAAGCAAGGAGATGGGAAGAGACTGTCAAATTTATCTCCCAGAGGAGTTCTTGATGGGGGCTTTTAAGGGGATGATGGAGGGGATAGAAAATTGGGGTCGTTGATTGGTCGGGGAAGGGGAGACAAGAACATTAGGTTGTGGAAATTGCATCCTTTGTTGAGTCAGCTTCTCATGTGGTCTTTCAGAGTAGTTGGCATTGGTAGGGTACTTCAGACCAGGTGGCATCAGTAGTTTCAGTGAAAAGATATCTCAAAGGGAAAACTTAACATTTCATAATGTTCAAGTTGTTATCTAGAGAGCAGTTAAAGGGACCCATGATCTTGTAACAGGGTCTAGGAAAACAAGCACCAAACAACTATGAGGAAGCAAGTTAGAAAGCAAGCTGACTTAATGATTAATGTGGAATGTGCTGCAAGTTTGGTTATTTTCATTTCTCCCCCTCCCTCCTTCCCTGAATAATTTTATAAAGTTTACAGGGATGGTTTCATTTTTATGCCTTTTGCTTTTAATGCTTCTTTGCTCTTTCTCTGCTTTTATTTTTTCAGCTTTTCCAGATTAATTTTCCCAAATTATCTGAAAATCTTGCATGTTAATTTTTCCTTTAAAATTTGAATATTCAATTATATTCTAATGCCAATGATTCATAGTATAGAATTGCACAAAACAGACATGCTTGCACCCTATGCCTAATCCTTCTTTTTTCTTGCATAATCCTGTGTATATTTATGTGTATTTCTCCAGTCCCTTTTCTTGCACTTTACTGCTGTTTATAAGCACAGTTTTGTTTGTAGACAATATTATACTATACCTATTTTGCAGAAGCTCACTTATTCACTTAGCAAATATTTCTTGACTAGGAAATATTACCATGTTGATTTTATATGTACACAACATTCTTTTTAATGGAAACAAATAATTGCATGAATATTTTATAATTAATTTAAATTAACATTTCCTTGGGCATTAAAGTTTACATTTTTCTATTACATACAATTCTGCAATAAATATTGTTGGCTATGTAAGTTTACATATGTGTAGTAGTCAGGGTCGGCTTCATGGACTTGCCATGTATGCAGTTGCAAAAGGCTCCACACTCAAGAGCTCCCTGTTTGGTTTAATGTTCTGCTGTCACTGTCTTGAAATTCTTAATTTTTAAACAAGGGTCCTGAATTTTCCTTTTGTACTGGGTCTGGCAATTTAGGTAGCCAGTCATGGTGTAGTCTTTCTGTGAGATTGGAACAACATATCTGGATCAATAGGCATGTGCATACTACATTTGGATAGATCCTTTTGGTTGGCTTTATTCCTTACACTGCCCACCAGCATAATGTGAGATAACACATTTCTCTTTACTTTCTTTGGCTTAAATTAAATTTTTGCCAGTGTAATGTATAGACAACATTTCATTGTTAGTTTGTTTCCCCTGAATAGTAGTGAAGCTTAGCTCTTCATACAATTTGATAAATTGTCTTTAACTCCCATGTCTTAATCTTTTTTTTTTTCATTTGGAGTATTTCTCATTTCATGATATTTGGTAAGAAGAAGAAGGCATTTCCCACTGGAGAAACTGGAAATTTTAGACAACCATGTGGATAGCCTTGTGAGAAGTAGTGATGGAGCAATGTTGTATAGGGCAAATAGAAAGACTCTGGAAATTGGGATCAGATCTGTTTTTGGATGAGTTTATACACCTTTCTCAGCCTCAGTTTTCTCACATGTCAAATAGGAATAGTTGTACACCAGACCTCATAGGGGTGTTGATAAATAATATATGGTGCTGGCTTTTCCTTGAGGCCTGTGGGCATAAATAACCTTTCCTTCCCCATCTCTTAAAATGGCTAAAATTCTTACCACTTTTAAAAATATGATGGCAAAGCAAATATACATCCATCTTAGAAATAAACACAATTGATGACACAATTTCATTTTTACCTATGAGAATAGCCTCTAGGAAGTATTTATATATCGCCTAGAAAAAGATTACAATGTAGCAAGTTTTAAACCCTTTTTTTAGAAGAGCTGCAGGAGCCCAGAAAACTGCATTTTGCAAAGTACTTCAGGTGATTCTAATACAGGTGATTTATGCTCCACACTTGAGAAACACTGGCCTTAGGAACAAAGTTAAAGCTAATTTTTTTTTCTGGTGCTGTTTAATTAAAGGAAAATTATGAAGCAGGTAGTAGCATCAGAGTTGCTCTATTTTCCCTTTTCAGGTACATCAACAGATTTTCCTGTCTCTCCTCATCAACAGTTTCTTCTTATCCATTCCATATATATACTTTATCTTAATTCAGATTTTGCACCTTCATACTTTTGCTCATACTTTTTCTCTCCTGGAACATTATATCCTCCATTTCTCCTTCAGGTGATCTCCTACTCATGCAATAAAACCTACATCTCCTCTGGAGGTGTTAACTGCCACATTCAAGCAGAATGCAATGCTTTTCTCTTTGTGGGTTCACAGTGAAGAACACTTGTTCTGTGAATTAGAATCTTTGTTTACATGCCTATATGTATTAGGATTAATTCAGAGCCTCATTAAGGCCAGGGACCGTAGCCTGTTCATCTTTGCATTTCTAGTTTCTGATGCAGAAGCCTCCCACCAATACTTAGTCTTTATCTAACTGTATTGAGCTGGCTGTGTTCACTTCTCTATTTTCTGCTTCCATGGTAGGGTGCATCCTGGATCTTTCTTCTTATGCTTTAGTTACTCCTTCAATGGTTCCTCACTCTATCCTCAGTGCTTGGATGCTTACAAGTTTGTTACCACCATGGAGACTTTGGACTAGCTGTTCCCTTTGCCAGGAAAAGTTCTGCCCTTAGATCTTCAAGTGGCTTATTTCTTCCTCTTATTCCATTCAATTCTTTGCTCAAATGGTCCTTCTACAGAAAAGTCTTCCCTGAACATCCATTCCAAAGAAGTAACCGTAACCACCCTACAAGTCACTCTCTTACATTAGCATGATTAATTTTCCTCATAGTCCTCCTCAGCATCTGAAATTCTCCTGTGCATGTAGTTACTTCTTCACTTTCTGCTGGAGACATAGTGTTGCCTTTAGCCAGGTGTTAAAGGTACAATGGCTTATTCACTTTTGTAAACTTGGCATACAACAAAGACCTGGCACAGATAGGAGATCACTGTATTTTTGTTGAGTCAGTAATGTTTGCTGTTTTATGGATAGAAAGCCAAGGAATGATCAAGTTGCCAGGATGGCTATAGTAGACACTGTTGGTGCCCAGTCAGCTTCCCTTTTCTACTTCCATTCCCCCAGCTTCTCTTAGTGTAGCTATCTCTTCTCTGTAGACAGGGACCACTGAACAGGAGATTATGCATCTCTTCTGGAGCCACCATAACCATTGACTGGCTAATATGGTTGTGCAAAAGACCAACCCTCTTGCTCTTGTAGGGATACCTCTGCAGTGTAATTTATATAATTCCCCTGCAGAACAGGTTAGATTTAGACTGTTCTGAGACCATAACCGTACTCAGCTCCTTCCCCCACACTCCACCTCCACTGACACCCCTGTCCCCACTGCGTTATTCTTCTTCCTTCCCTTTCTTACAGATTTGAGAACTTTCCCTCAATAAATCATTTGTGTCTGAATCTGTCTCAGGATCTGCCTCTAAAGAGCCCAATCAAGGGCCACGTTGTTCCTTTGTGGAATGTAAGACCAATAATCTATTTCTTTACTCATAAAGGGGTTGGAAAGTAGAGCGCTCTGGCTGCCAATATGTGAGGAAAGCTACCATGATGTGAAACAGTCAGAGATTTAGGATTGGATTTTATTCACATCCTGTTGGTCAAACTTTCTGCCTCACATGAAATAAAGCAAATCTGATTCACACAGTTAAGTTCTGGTCTCTGGTATCAATTGTCAGAATGATGGAGAATTTCTTGGTTCTTCATGTGCTAAATTCCTTGGAAAAAAATTAATTCATTAGCGTATTTAGTAAGCACTACATGTCTGGCACTGTGTTAAGTGGTGTGGTTTCAACAGTGAATAAGACTGACCCCAGACAGATTATTACAGCATCAGTAATATCTACTTCACCTCAGTGCTTCCAGCATTGTGGCTATGAGTCTAGACTCTGGGGCCAGACAGTGTTGACTCTGAATCTCTGGTACTTCCCAACAATGAGAAAAATGAGTTAAATGACATGTCCTTTAATTTCTTGTGTCTCTGTTTCTCACCTAAAAACTATACCTGTTTTATAATTGGGATTCAACCACTCAGTCTGGTATTTGGTAAGTGCCAACCAGGTGCTAGCAAAGAGTGGTATCATAAAAGAGTAATTGTCTCTCAAAAAATGTGATTTATCTGTTAGTACAGTAATCTTTTCTTGTTCTAACAAATTGAGAAGTCTACACTTTGTCAGGGGACAGAACATAGGGGAGCTCTTTGAGGAATAATATGAAATATCCATAGATTAAACTTAATCTAACCAAATATATAAATTTATTCAAAAGCAGACACCATTGCATATAAATTTACTCAAAAGCAGATACTAGTACTGCTTATGGTATTGGGTATCAATATTTAAAGAAAATCTAAAGCAGGGAAATAAGATTAAAAAATAATTATGTTGCTTCTGAAAATTTGAAAAGAAAATTTTGTTATTGAACCCTACAAAATACTTAGTTCCTAAAAGATGGTTGTTTGTAGCCTTCTGATCTAGTCTACCTTGGCAGTGGCCTATAAACAACTTGAGCTTTCTTTCCTTCTGTTTCTTTCTGCAATGGAAACTAAGGACAGGGATTACATTGTTGGTTCAGATAAGTTTTACTTTATATATTAGATAAGGCCCTGGAATATTGCTGTGAATCAATGCTTTGCCAATCAGTTTCTATTTTAATTGTATGAGGAAGCTAGTGTTTAAAGAAAAGAAAAAATGTTTTGTTAAAACTTAGATAAATCAATATTTGTTTTTGCTTTCAATGAGAACAACATTTTGCCACTTTTTTCTTCTTGACTTACAACTTGTCATTTGTGGATTATCTAAATGTGTGTCTCAGAGATGATTCAGCTGGAATCTGCCCCAGAAATAGAGAAAAATAGCTTTTCAGAAGGCAGTTTGACCCAAAACCATGGACAGACTTGGATGGTGCTTATTAATTATAGGTGTATCTGCCCCATGCAACTTGTTTCCTGCATATGCCTTATTTTTTCCCTGTGAAACTACACAGAAAGTTATGATTTTGCTTAAGTGAAAGGAGTTAAAATTGACAGGAATTTTCTGCTCTCAGAAAACAAAACATCTTGTTAATACTCTAATATATCTTGCCTGTCTGTCCTCATTTCCAGATTAATAGTTTGTCCTAACTTGGGAGTCGTAATTTTTCTTTCCTCAGGGGTCTGCTCTCAACACACCCTACCTGCCTAGAGGCACCCTGTGCTAGCTACCTTGGACATAATGGCTACGTTGTGGTCACCAGGGTAAGCCTGAGCTTTCAACATCTACAAAGCAACTGTTTGCAGACTTCATTCACTTCCCTGGAGAAGGGCAGCACGCAGTCAGTTCCTAGTGTTATCTGATCTGTGTTTCTCTTTGAGGGCTTCCATCTGAGGGAAACAGCTGCTCCTTCTGCCCCATGGGCTTTGCACACAGATTAAAAGCGGAGTAGTTACAGAACAAAGATTATAGCAATAACTAGAGCCAGTGAGTTATTTAACTCAGGAGGCCAACAGTGGTCTTTGAGTTGGAATAAATTCCTAAAACTTTTAACAGGTATTCTGTTGCTTTGCTGCCTTTGGTCTTGCCTAGCAAAACACCTTTTTTTTTCTTGCTTCTTTTTTAAAAAATATATATATATATTTTTTATTATACTTTAAGTTCTAGGGTACATGTGCACAATGTGCAGGTTTGTTACATATGTATACATGTGCCATGTTGGTGTGCTGCACCCATTAACTCGTCATTTACATTAGGTATATCTCCTAATGCTATCCCTCCCCCTCCCCCCATCCCACAACAGGCCCCAGTGTGTGATGTTCCCCTTCCTGTGTCCAAGTGTTCTCATTGTTCAATTCCCACCTATGAGTGAAAACATGCGTTGTTTGGTTTTTTTGTCCTTGCGATAGTTTACTGAGAATGATGGTTTCCAGCTTCATCCATGTCCCTATAAATGACATGGACTCATCATTTTTTATGGCTGCATAGTATTCCATGGTGTATATGTGCCACACATTTTCTTAATCCAGTCTATCATTGTTGGACATTTGGGTTGGTTCCAAGTCTTTGCTATTGTGAGTAGTGCCACAGTAAACATACGTGTGCATGTGTCTTTATAGCAGCATGATTTATATTCCTTTGGGTATATACCCAGTAATGGGATGGCTGGGTCAAATGGTATTTCTAGTTCTAGATCCCTGAGGAATCACCACACTGACTTCCACAAGGGTTGAACTAGTTTACAGTCCCACCAACAGTGTAAAAGTGTTCCTATTTCTCCACACATCCTCTCCAGCACCTGTTGTTTCCTGACTTTTTAATGATTGCCATTCTAACTGGTGTGAGATGATATCTCATTGTGGTTTTGATTTGCATTTCTCTGATGGCCAGTGATGATGAGCAGTTTTTCATGTGTCTGTTGGCTGCATAAATGTCTTCTTTTGAGAAGTGTCTGTCCATATCCTTCACCCACTTTTCGATGGGGTTGTTTGTTTTTTTCTTGTAAATTTGTTTGAGTTCTTTGTAGATTCTGGATATTAACCCTTTGTCAGATGAGTGGATTGCAAAAATTTTCTCCCATTCTGTAGGTTGCCTGTTCACTCTGATGGTAGTTTCTTTTGCTGTGCAGAAGCTCTTTAGTTTAATTAGATCCCATTTGTCAATTTTGGCTTTTGTTGCCATTGCTTTTGGTGTTTTAGACATGAAGTCCTTGCCCATGCCTATGTCCTGAATGGTATTGCCTAGGTTTTCTTCTAGGGTTTTTATGGTTTTAGGTCTAACATTTAAGTCTTTAATTCGTCTAGAATTAATTTTTGTATAAGGTGTAAGGAAGGGATCCAGTTTCAGCTTTCTACATATGGCTAGCCTGTTTTCCCAGCACCATTTGTTAAATAGGGAATCCTTTCTCCATTTCTGGTTTTTGTCAGGTTTGTGAAAGATTAGATAGTTGTAGATGTGTGGTATTATTTCTGAGGGCTCTGTTCTGTTCCATTGGTCTATATCTCTGTTTTGGTACCAGTACCATGCTATTTTGGTTACTGTAGCCTTGTAGTATAGTTTGAAGTCAGGTAGCGTGACGCCTCCAGCTTTGTTCTTTTGGCTTAGGATTGACTTGGCAATGTGGGCTCTGTTTTGGTCCCATGTTAACTTTAAAGTAGTTTTTTTTCCAATCCTGTGAAGAAAGTCATTGGTATCTTGATGATTTGAAATTAGAAACAGTAGATTTCTATCTATTCCTTGGAAAGTTAGAGGCCTGGGGAATCCTACTTTATGAATTTCCATTCTTCCTCCTTTCTGTGATGAAATCTTTTCTGAATTTAAGCTGGTTTTCCCATGAAATTAATGACAAAACTTGTTTGTTCACTTATGTCATTGTAGGAAAAGATCCCTTTCACACTTGCCTCCATTTTCTCGGTTCAAAAGGTTGAAAGTCATTTGAGAACCAAGGGGTGACCTACCTTTTTATTCATCTCTTTCAATCCCCAAACCCCAATGTGTTGCTTTGAACAGAGCAGACAGCCATTCCATGGTTGAATGAATTTATAAAGGAAGGAAGGAAGAAAGAAAAAAAGGAAGAAAGATCAGTTTTTGAATAATTACTATGTGCATATCTCTGAAAAACACACAAAAAAGTCAAACTAAAACTAGCTTTATGTATTTCCTGAGGACATACTATATTGCTGGCTCATAAATGACTTGTGTGTTATTTATCCATTTAGTCATATGACACCCTTCTAAAGAAGATTCTATTATTATCCCCATTTTACAGATGAGGAAGCTGAGGACTTGAGCTAGGATGTGAAAGAGTTAGGATGGGAACATTGGCCATTTGGTTCCAGAACTCATGTTCTTAAACTTTATATTGTTTAGCAATTTGGTCTAATTTGCTTTGTCTGATTTTCAAGAATGTTTATTTTTGAGAAAACTAAAAAAAATTAATAAATGGTAATTTTGAAGATCTAGTGAATCTCTGATTAGGAAAGTGTAAGTAAACTCTTGGGTCTGAAACTATTTGTAGAGATAATGGTAGGGGCTTTTGATAATGGGCAAAGGAGTAAAAAAGAAAAAATTGGGACAATAAGGGAAAAGAACTGAAATGATTCCCTTTATTTCCATATACACTTGTTATTTCCAGGAAGGATTGGCAGGATGGACACAAAAGGATGTATAGAACTAAGAAGGCTGGGCCAGGAGCCAAAGAGTTAAACTGAAAAAGATAATCTAGTCCCAGAGTGAATGGCTGGAACAAAAGATGGCATCTGCTGACTGCAAGGTCAAATGAAATATTTTCTTGCTGGATACTTGTCTCTGAGTATCCTGTGATGTTCCTTGAGCAAGATAGTGGCAGAAGAGTTAGCTTCAGGAAAGCTGTGGGTACCAGGCCTTTGAATTCCAATTAAAGTGTTGTGACTTGGTGGGAGGTGAGATGGTGGGAGGGGATCACTATGTCATCAACACAACTGAAAGCTGAGGCTCCTACTCTAGACGTTTGAACAGCCAATAAATGGGGTTAAGGACTTCAAGGCTAAGAATGCTGAGCCTGACCCTGTCAGGGGATGGGAGGCCCTTTGCTTAGATCCAGGGCACTGAGGCTGCAGCTTAGCTATGGGAGTGTGAACTGGTAACTAGGAGCACAGAGAGACTTAGAACCCAAGCTTAAGAAAAAAAAAAAAGTTCTGAAACTCTTATGTGGGCAAACAGGCAATCCAGACCTCTGACCTAAGCTAAGGTTTTCATATTATAACATAAGAATGGCACAAAAGCAAGTGGGGTAGAAATGGAAGTAAACTGTTTTCAGGGTATTATGCTATATATGAAGTGGTATAATATTATTTGAAGGTAGATGGTGATACGTAAAAGGTACATAGTATAAAACTAAAGTGACACCCTAAAAAGCAGGAGTTATAGCAAGTAAACCAATAAAAGAGATCAAATCAAATTATAAAAAATAGTTAATACAAAAGCAGGCATTGAAAGAGGATAAAGGAAACAAAGAACAGAGGAGCAAATGGCAAAACACTAATAAAATGGTAGATTTAAATTCAAGTGTATCAATAATAACATTAAATATAAGTGGTCTGTACCACACAAGTAAAGGCAAAAATTGTCATATTGGATAAAATAGCAAGTCCCTTCTATGTGCTGCAAATAAGACATTAAATTTAAATATAAAGACACAAATAGATTAAAATTAAGAGATCAGAAAATATATACTATTCTGATACTAATCAAAAGAAAGCTGAAGTGGTTATATTAACCCATGATACGAAGTATAGTTTAAAGCAAAATATGTTACCATGGAGAAAAAGGGTCATTTCATAATGATAAAAGATCAGTTAATGAAGAGAATATAATAATCTTAAACTTTTGTGTACCTAAGAAAAAACTTCAGATGTATTAAGCAAAAAATAATAGAAGTGAAAGGAGAAACTTATAGATTTACAGATATTATTAAAGATGTTTTAACTCCCTTTTTCAAATTTTTTGGGAAAAGTAGACAGAAAATCACATGACTGTTAAAGACTTGAAGAACATGGTCAACCAACTGGACCTCATTTACATTAATACAAGAGTCTATCCAAAAACAGAACACAAAGACTTCAAGGGCACATAGCCAAATTTTGAGCCATGGAACAACACTCAATGAATTTAAAAAAAATTAAAAGCATACAAAACTACGATAGAATTAATTAGAAATAAATAACAGCTGCCTCTCTGGGAAATTCCTAAATATTTGGAAACTAAATAACATATTTCTAAATCAACTATGAGTTTAAGAAAATCAAAAGGAATATTAAAAAGCATTTTATATACCCTGAAAATGAAGACATAACACTTCAAAATGTGCAGCATGCAACTAAAGCAGTACTCAAAGGGAAATTTATAGCACTGAATGTTTATATTAGAAAAGAAAAGAGATCTTAATTCAGTGACCTCAGTTCCTACCTTAAGGAATCAGAAAAAGAAGAGCAGATTAAAACTAAAGCAAGCAGAATGAAGAAAATAATGAAAATAAGCATGGAAAGTAATGAAATAAAAACAGAAAAACAATAGAGAAAAAAATCAATGAAATAAAAATCTAGTTCCTTGAGTTCATTAAAACTGATAAACCCGTACCCAGATTAACCGGGGGCGGGGGGGAGGGGAAGACAATACACAAATTATCAACATCAGGAATGAAAGAGGAGGCATTATCACAGCATTATCACAGATGATATAGATATTGAAAGGAATATTAACAACTTTATGCCAGTAAATTTGTTGAAATTTAATGACAACTGAAATGAACACATTCCTTGAAGACACACTCTGCCAAAATTCACTCAAAAGGACCCACAGCACCTCTATATACACTAAAGAAATTGAGAACTGTAGACCCAGATGGGTTCACTGGTGAATTATACCAAATATTTAAGGAGGAAATAATGCCAATTCTATACAGCTTTTTCTGTAAAATTGAAGATAGTAGAGTACTTTGCCACTCGTTCTATGAGGTCAGTATTTTCCTGATTACAAAACAGGGCAAATGCATCACAAGGAAAGAAATCTAAGTACTAGTATCCCTCATGAACTCAAATGCACAAATTATTAGCAAAATTTGAGGAAATCAATTTGTAAAAAGTAAAGTGTTAGTGACCAGATGGGGTTTAACACAGGAAGATTAGTTGAGCAGTAATAAACCAATCACTATTCACTATATTAAGAAACTAACAAACACATGGTCATCTCAATAGAGAGAGAAAAAGCATTTAGCAAAATCTATAATACGTTCCAGATAAAAACTCTCATTAAACCAGGAAGAGAAGGAAAAGTCCATAACTTGATAAAGGGCATCTACAAAAAGCCTATCGCTAACATCTTTTGTTTTATTTTACTTAATCCTCAATGTGCTAGTAGCTAATATCTTTTTCATGGTAGAAGACTAAATGCTTTCTTTCCAGGAGAAAGAACAAAGGAAAAATGTCTTCTTTCACTACTTTTCTTCAGCATTTTACTGGAGGCTCTAGCTTGTGAGGCAATGAAAAACCACAAGAAGGGAAGCAGTAAAATTATTTTTATTTGGAGACATGATTACCTATGTACAAATTCCTACAGGATCTACTAAAAAGCTACTAAAATGAATAAGTGTATATAGTAAGGTTGCAGGATCAATAAGATCAATATAGAAAAATTAACTGTATTTCTTTATTCTGGAAACAATCTGAAAGTAAAATTTTAAAATGCCATTTATCATAGCATCAAAAACTTCAAATTCTCAGGAAAAGTTCTCCAACTACTACCTTATCTCTCCCTGAGTTAAGCACCCTGGAGAGTGAACTGTTGTCAGTGCTCTTTTCCCTAGTTCCCTGTCCACTCACCTTCTAGTCCAGAGGGCTTACATTGCTGTCCTGACAACACCAATATTGTGTTCATCCAGATCACCAGTCCCCTCTATTCTAAAAAAAGTTGCTTCATTTAAAAAAAAATTAGCTGTCTTTTTTGATCTATTTATTGCATCTCTCTCCTGGTTCTTTTAATACCACCAGAAAAAAATTTCAATGTATCACTTGGTTTACATTTCACAACTTTCCTGGTGATTCTGATGTTTCCTTTATTTACTCAATAAATATGTACAGAGTTAGCCATTGAATTATATGGATTGCATACAAAGATGAACTTATGTAGCAGAACTCCTTCTAAGGGAAATATATGTCTCCATGCAAATGGGGTAGGGTAACATGGGGCAGGGATGGAATACCATCAGACAGGAAGAGTATGAAAAAAATATGGAGACATAAAAGTAGTTATATAAGTAAAATATATGGTCTTCAGTTTTTGAAGGACTGGGCACCTAATCTGTATTCTTTCTGTCTAACTCTCTTCCTGCCATCATTCTAGATGTCAAATGTTGGAATGCATGAGTGAAAACAACATCTTGAGCTCATATTTAATAATCTACCACAGCTGTATCTTGGACCTTGCAATCACTGGGATTTTCTCCACTTCTTCTAAAGTGTAAGTTTGGGTTTTCTAGTTTCTGATCCCAGTTTCCTGTTATTTCAACATACTCATTGAGTTTCTCCCATCTTCCCTATCCTTTGAACTCATCTAACTTTCTGACCCCTTTAACTTCTCTCAATTTTGCATCTTCTCCTATCTCTACTCTCTTATCTACCCATCCTAAAATCTATAAGCTGTTGCCCCAAATCACTCTTTTGACAATATTCTCAGTTCTGTTACTCCTGTGGCCTTTTGGTGCATCTCTACGTAGGTGTTCAGACTTTTCAGCACTTTAGAACTGATCTGAATTTTGGAGAAGTAACCAAATACACATCAAATAAACTCTCACGCAGTCACAGGACAAACTAGCATGCCATCTTTGTGTGTGTATGTATGTGTGTGTGTGTGTGTGTGAATGTGTGTGATCCATGTGCAGTGCTGGAAATACTCATATCCTCAATTTGGAGTGTCTTTTCTTCCTCATATTGAGGTACCTAGAAAACCAGTTTTTAAATGGGAAGATTGGTTAGTATGATGGTGAGCAAAAGTTATAGTATCTGTGGTTATGGTGTTTTGTGCCAAGACTTGATTTTATCATCATTTCTTCAGGGCACCCACCTGCCTTGGAGAGGGCCAAATAGACACTGACAATATTTGTTTCCCTACGTGTCCTGTTTTTTCCAGTGCTTCTTAATCTAGCCATTGCTTTTCCTTGATTTTTCACATTTAATTATCTTTCCACTGTTACTCAGGATGTTGTCAAATCTTGCTGGCCTAGGAACATTACATCTTGTGAGTAACTTTTCATATTTCTGCTTTGACCCACTGCATATTGACATTTTAGTTTGGCACTTATTTTCAAATTCTGGGGTTCTCTGTCTTTACAGCTGATCTCATGTATTGACTGAATGCATACAAATGTAAACACTTACACACACGAAACATTTGCAAATCATTTTACACAAATATACTCAGTCCAAAAAGCAGCAATATTACCACTACATATTTTATGGCAGCACAGACACAGATGTCACCAACTTAGCAAAATGACAAAGTGAGTCACAAGAAACCAGTGGTACTAAAGGAAATAGAGGATATTTCATACTTTTTGACAAGCTATGATTGCAGCTCATGCTCAAATGCAGAAGGGCAATGACAGTAATATGCACAAACTGGAGGTAATGGATGCTCCCTCTTCTCTCATGGTCTCTGAGCTGCTTTATATGCAGGTGTCACTATCCATCATGCAGCAAATTAGAAGCAAGAGTCTGTTGCAAATGAATGCCTGAAGAATGTAGATAAAACTTACGACCGGAACTTCTATTCCTTAGAAGCTTTCATGTTTCAAAAAATCAGATCCTTTTGGGATTTCTGGTTCACAAGAGTTTTTAAGAATCTATTCAAATCCTCATCTGCTGAGAACCAAATAGGTGAAAGTGATGTGGCAGATACTGAAGGGGAGACTCAAATAAGTATGACTTGGTTGTTGACAGAGAAAAAGTTCACAAAGAGGTAGCTGATGAGTAAGTACTTTAAAACTCCCACTTCATATATATACCATACACATATAACTCTTCTGATCCTTGAAGAAGCACCAGATCCATACTTGCAGATTGATTGACAGTAGATGCTAGTCACTTTTCTCAGGATCTGGCCTCCAAATTTCCTCCTTTATGAATACCAAGAGAGGAGAAGCTGAAATAATTTCTCTATGCATTGACATCATCTCATATTAAGTCTCTTGGTGATTTGATAGTATATGAGCTAATCTTCAGGTACATAAGCTCTCAAATAGGGCCTTTAGGCAGCCAACTAAGTGATGAATTCCATCCTCCTCCAAGAAGCAATGGGACCATTTATAATGTGGTTTCCACCACCACTTACAAAGGAATATAGTTTTCTCTCAGCCCCATAGCTGAGAGAGCAGTTTGCAAGTTGATTTAAGAGCAGTTTGCAAGTTGAAGGGATGAATCATTCTTGTGAGAATAATAACCTGACTCCCAATGATAATATATTCTTCAAGTTCCCCTAAGCTTAGGTCATCTGAATCTCTGACATAAATGGGCATGCGAATTAAAGCAACAGAGTCTTTTCCTAGTGTATGAAATGTATCTATCTATCTATCTATCTATCTATCTATCTATCTATCTATCAATCATGTATGTATGTATGTATGTATGTATGTATGTATGTATGTATCTATCTATCTATCTATCTATCTATCTATCTATCTATGTTTCTGCATTGCTATAGAGGGTAGAGTTTAATTTCTCTTCTTTCCAGAAGAGAATGAAGAAACCTTAACTTGATTTTATTGAATTCCTCTTAAAAATCTTCATGAGAATATTGCTGGAGGCAGCCCATGAGAGGCAGTTCAATTATGCTCTTTCATTTGTTCACTCATTCATTCACTCATTCATGTGGAAATGTTCAAGATTAAGGGACAATGATACAAAAGACATAGTCTTTGCTCCTTAGTAGTTCCAAGAGTGGTGAGTTGGGCATATAAATCAATAAAAAAGCTAAGTGCAATTTTGCAGGTATTTTGATGGGATGAGATTATGAGAGTTTAGAGGAAGATCAGCTGAGCTAGAACCCCAAGTGTTAGGAAAAAGAAGATCTTCTGGGAAAAATGGTGTCTGAGATGAGTTTGAAGGAAAGGAATAGAGCCAAAGAGGTATTCTTGAAAGAAGGAGCATCAGATGCAAGGTTGTGTGACATAAACATCATGGATTATTCAGGAAACTGCTTGTATTTTGGAACCTTTGAAACATAAGAGGCCAATTGGGGACTGTTAGAGATGGTGCTGCAGTGGAAAAGTAGGGATCAGATAATTTTTTGTGTGTGATCTGATAAAGAAAAGGAATCCTTGTCAAGTGAAATATGAAGCTTGGTATGATGGGAGCTGCATTTAGAATGTTCAGTCTGGCAGCAGGGAGTTTAACAGATTGAGGACTAATGAGAGGGTAGCAGAGGGACTCATTAGGAAGCCATTACAACATCGAGGCAGGAAAGTTGGAGGCCTGAATGCAGGCAGTGATTATGGGGACAGAAAGAATCATCTTCAGGGATGTTGAGGAAGTGAAGTCAGCAGAATAAAGTGACAGATGAAAACGAAAGGAACAGATTTATAATGCTTTGACTGACAGCTGACCAGAGCACTGGCTTAATGACAGAAATTGTCTTTCTGTCACCATCCAGTGCCTAGCATGGGTTCTTACATGTAATAGGTGTGGGGAGCTGTTGAAAGTGGAAGAAGATTTTGCAGTGTACATGTCATCTAGGTACTCACGTAATTTTTAAAAGAAAACCTTTTCGGAATTATTGATATTATTGTTATCCAGTTTTCCTGATGAGAAAGGTGAGACTTGAATAGTAAATAACTTTCCCAAGGGTCAGACAGAGCTCATAACTGTACACACACTGCAAGCTATTCATTCTATTCCTGCATGAAGAAGCTTCACAAAATAATAATGGTAATAATAATAATAACTGTATACATCATAGAGAAAACATTGAGCAAAAGGCATGAGCAATTTGAAAAAGAAATATAAATGACAAATTAACATGAAAACACTTCAACCTCACTATTTAGAGTAGCACAAATTCAAAATATTTTAGTGTAGTACTCACAAAAATAAAAACTCAAAGAAAAGGAGGTATGCCTCCGTTTTCATGCATTATCAGATGGGCAAGCATCTTATAAAATGATATTTTTAACATTTTAAGAATCTGGGACTACTATATATCTTTTGGGAAAATGTTACTTTATAAAGTCAATTTTTATATTGAATTTTTATAAAAAATAATTGAACAGTGTGTGAACCATGCATAGAACAGTGTATTTCATAAAGAGAACATATTGTTCTAGCCATCACTCAGACATAAAAGCATTTCAGAAGCTACCTATCCCTCAACATCTTCTGAGCCAAAGGTAACTTCTGCCCATACTTTAACATCATATATTCATTTTGCCCATTGTGAACTTTTTGTAAATGGAATCATACAGTCTTGCTTCTTTCATTCACAATTATGTTTATGAGATTCATCCATGTTGTGTGTAGCAGTATTGTGTTTCACTCTCATTGCTGTATAGTATTTGTTTGTAGGGATATGTCATAATTGACTTAACATTCTACTGTTTGATGACATTTGGGTTGTTTTAAGATGTTTGAAGCTGTTTTGAATAACATACTGGCACAGGTTTTTGGTGAATAGTTTTTAAGATGTTTGAAGGTGTTCTGAATAAAATCCTGGCACAGGTTTTTGGTGAATAATGTTGGTTATAAAGTAGGAATTGAATTAAGGGTCTTAGGGTAGGCATATCTTGAGTAGCTACTAAATATCAACAAATAATTTTCCAATGTGATTATACCAATTTACAATCCTAACCATAAGGTGTACCATACTATTGCCAAACTTGAAACTTTAGATATAAATCTAGTAGTTACATAGTGATCTCAAATTGTTTTTAATTTGTATTTTCTTCTGGTTAATAAAATTGGACATCATTTCATATGCTTGTTTGTATTTTGGATATTATTTTTTGCAAAATGTCAGTTCAAATATTTATTTTGGAGCATGGGTCTTTTACTGATTTGTAGCATATATATATATATGCTATATATATACTGATTTGTAGTACATATATATATATATAATATATATATATATTTCCTTTTTTGGATAGATATTTCAAATATCTTCTCCCATTCTTTGTGTTACCTTTCCAATCTTTGAATGGAATCATTTAATGGACAAAATTTCTTAATTTTAACATAATCTAATTTATAATTTTTTTCTTTTTGGTAAATGCTTTTTGTTTCCTGTTCAAGAAAACAGTCTATCCCCAAGTCATGAATATAGTCTCATCATTTTCTTTCAAAACCATTATTATTTTTCCTTTCACATTTACATCAATGATCTTTATGGTATTTATTTTTGTGCATATTGTAAGTTAGGCATCAAAATGAATTTTTCCATATGGGGATACAATTGATCCAGCATATATTTTTTGAAAAGACCATCCTTCTCTCATTGCTCTGTAATACATTATTTGATTTAAAACAAATACTTATATATTTGTCTGCTTCTAGAATATTGTTTCACTAGTATTTTTGTCTGTCTTTGCACTGATAACACCCTATCTTAATTACTTAATTACTGTAGCTTTATTGCAATTCCTGACATGTGATAAGTCTTTTAAATTACACTTAGATATTTATCTTCAAGACTGTCCTTGATACTTTTGGCTCTTTGCATTTTTACATAAATATTAGAATCAGCTTGTCAACTAAAAATAACTAGCTGAGGATTTTGATTGGAACTTCTTAGAGTCTCTAGATTAATTTGAGGATAATTTACTTCATTCCAACATGAGTCTTCATAACCATGAATTTATATATCCTTCTATTTATTTAGGTGTTCTTTACTTCCTCTAAGAAATGCCTTGTACTTTTCAGTGTAATGATATTACACATCTGTTGGACTGATTTCTCGGTGCTTGTGTTTTGATGAATTATATTGAATTATATAATTTATGGAATTTAATTTTCTACTTTTTTCCTTAGAATAAAATTGATTTGGTATTTATCTTGTATCAAAGTATTTTTGCCAAATTTACTGTTAATTCTAATAGACTGTAGATTTTTTTAGATTCTCTGGGTTTTGTCTTTTGCTTTCTAATTGTTTACTGTTTTTAAATATAAGTTGATTACTTATATTTAAAATATAAGTTGATTACTTATATTTAAAATATAAGTATATAAAATATTATACAGAAATTTAATTCTATATGCATAGTACAAAAGCAATTAAGGCCTGAAAAGATTTTAAAGTTTGGATAAACAGTATAAAAACAGCATGTTGAAGATTGAAGTCTTAAAATAGTAAAACTTGAACTATCTGGCACTCTATTAAATATGTTTTTCACTGTTACTTTACAGTCTTCCATAAAACACAAGTGAAATGTTTCCAAGATATGCAGAAAGGGATTTCAAAATTTATATTGTTCTATTTTACTGGCTGATCTTTTATTTGTTCCCTGTGTGTAATTTTTGGTTACATAAGGACAGTCACTTGATGCTGAAATTTGAGACAATTATTTTTTCTTCGAATCCTTGTTGATCTATTTTACAGGAAGAGGGGCTTTATCTTTCTATGAACAGATGGTGAACAATTTGATCTGTTTGAAACCAACATTCAACTCTTGCTGTAACAAGTACTACATGGCATTTTGCAGGATGGTATATAACTAATCATCTTTTTTGCTTTCTTGAGTCATTGAGTCTATGGTGCTGATAAAATCCTAAATTTCTCACCAACAACTACTATCAGAGATTTTGATTGTGAGTTCTCAGCCTATGTTTGTGACTTTTAGTCACAGCAATACATTCTGTCCTTTCAAAAGAACGGTATATGCCAGCAGTAACCCCTAATTTCTGACTGAAATTTATTTTTTACCCAATTATTTATATTTTTTCCAAAGGTATGTCTGGAAGAAAAGGCACAGATACAGAAGGGACCTAGCATAGCATTACATGACCTAGGCACTGAGCTAACACATTGCAGATGTGTATTGCATTTCAGCTTCACAGTTTTCAAAATGAGATTGTTGACCCTTATTTTAAAAGTGAGAAAACAGAGACTCAGAAATGCTGATTATATATTTCAGATCTTTCCATTAAATGGAAACTCTGGAATTGTAACTCGGTTCTGCCTGATCCCTAAGTCCATGGACAGTCTCTGTGAAGAAGCTTTACAAGTCACAGTCACTGAGTGTCTGTACCTGGTCAGTCTGATTCTAGAACCTTTTCTTTTAGCTAATCTCTCTACTGCCTTCATTGAGAAAGGAGTCATTTGTCCTTGTTAAGTACTGGCACAGGGCCTGGTACATATTAGAGATTCTGTGTATGTTTGTCAAGAGTGGAAAATGGAATATGTTGGCACTAGCGATTTCTATTTACCCAGAATACTTTGCTACTGAAAACAGAAAAAAAGTAGGCAAATGGACATTCTAAAGTTATTTCTTTTACTTTTCTGTGTTTTGTCCGTTTTTCTTTCTGTACAATAAAAAATATGAAAGCCTAAATAGCAGCTGGACAACTTAGGAAACACGTCCAAAATGCCAAAAAAAAAAAAAAAAAAAAAAAAGCACCTAAGTACAGTAGAGAAAAATCTGCTTGGTAAAATAATGAGAATATATGAAAAAAGGGTTCTTTTTATAGATTCCTCAAAATTTAAGCATTGTAGCAAAATGTAAACACTTCTCACATTTTCAAAGTGGCTTTTCTTTAGAAAGTCAAGATAAAATAACCTGAAGCTATATTAAAGTCTTATTTAAAAATTTGAATTTTGGAATATTTTCTATTTTGGAATAGTTTTTAGGTGATATAGACTTTGAATGGAATTTCACCTGTTATACTTCATTGCCAATTTTATTCACACAATAGGAATTTTACTCTTTTAAAAAGTGTTTTAATATTTTCTACATCCTGGACTTTGCTTGTATAGTAGCCACTCAACAATTGTTTGATGACTGAGTGTTAATTTTAAAATATTTTAAAGAAGGTTACTTTCAGTATAAGGAAAAGAGAATCAATAGTAATAAATAGCTAATATTTATTGCAGGTGCCATGTATCAGGTTAATGAAAATATATCAAAAAAGGGTTATTTTTATAGATTTCTCAAAATTTAGGCATAGTAGCAAAATATAAACACTTCTTATATTTTCAAAGTGGCTTTAATTTAGAAAGTTGAGATAAAATAACCTGAAGATATATTAAAGTCTTACTTAAAAATTGTTTCTATTTTGGAATAGCTTTATAGGTGATATAGCCTTGAATGGAATTTCACCTGTTATACTTCATTGCCAATTTTATTAATTCACGTAATAGGAATTTTACTCTTTTAAAAAGTGTTTTAGTATTTTCTACATCCTAGACTTTGTTTGTATAGCAGCCACTCAACAATTGTTTGATGACTGAGTATTAATTTTAAAATATTTTAAAGAAGGTTACCTTCAGTATAGGGAAAAAAGAATCAATAATAATAAATAGCTAATATTTATTGCAGGTGCCAGGTATCAGGTTAAGGACTTTATAGGCATTATTTTATTTATTTCTCATGACATTGCTATGAAGTGGTATTGATTTTATCTTCATTTTACAGATGTGAAAACTATGGTTTAGAGAAGTTAACTGTCCATCTGCTAGCAAATAGATGTGCTAGGATTTAAACCCACGATTCAAGGCCCTCCTACTCAATGTTATGTAGGTTTCTATCTTCTATCTTTGAGAGATTTTCTCACATCATAAATTGATAAATAATTAAAAACCCAAGAAGCGTGTAGTCTCATTAATGTGGTCTTTCAGCACTTAGATCAAAAAGGCTTATGTGCCTGCAAATAATGACCAAAGATTAGGATAGGGGCTGCAATTTAGCCAAAGAGGAAATATTAAAATAAAGCCCACTGATGAGTCATATCTGGGGCATGCTGGAGTTTAAGTATAAATTTCTATCTCTGGTGTATTCTGAGAGGTTTACATTGAGTATGACATTAGTCTGACCCTGCCAATGAACTTCCCCAAATTGGTCAACAGTATTAAATCCCATGTATATATCCATCCCAGAGACAAAGTACCCCCAGGATTTGTTTGAGGGAATCATCTTTCTACCTATGCTAAATTACCAAATTATAATCTTTTTCATGCTTAGGTATTCATGTATTTATTTAAATGATATATTAGGGGTTCTATACATTCTAGGTGTTGGATATACCTTGGTGATATACACATGCATAGTTCCTGATATTATGGAATTTGTAACATAGTAAAAAAAATAAACACTAAACAAGCTATAATTACAAATGTGACTGTGAAGAGAAAAAAAAGATCAGAGTTCAGTGTTTTAAAGGGGTAACTTTAATACAAGGATTTTATGAAGATGGCAAAAGCATCGATGTATGACTCAGCTAAATACCAGCAAGGCTAAGGAGCTTGCTCAAGGTCACGAAGCTCTGCAGTTGCTAAGATGAAATCAAACATGGGTTCATTTAACTGTAAAGCTGATATTGTCTCTATGGCAGGCAGGCTGCTTCCAGCATATGTTGCAATCATCATTGAATACAGCCCCATAAAGCAGCTGTATCACAACCATGTGGAGAAATTTCTGGAATAAACACAAGTGTTTCTTTGCATCAGTAATAAACATGCTATCAAATTTTATTACCACTTATTCCCTTGGCTATATCTTCTAATATTAGACATTAATGTCTTGTCTATACTATAATTTGGCAGAATCTTTTAAAAAAGTGAACATAACGTAATAGTCCAAATATATCTGTGGAAAAACATCAGAGCTATAATCCATGCTGGTGCTTGTCAACTGTTTTGCTTTTGCAAATGAGTTCACAATTATGTGGTGCTGCCGGTAATATTTATTGTCTGATAAAAAGTCAATTTGTCTTCTGTAAGTTACTTATTTTGCCTGTTTTTCCTCCATAGGATTAGGAAATCTATTCTATCTACTAGGCTATGCTTCTGACCCAGTGTTCAATCATTTCTGCAGGGGGCTATGCTGAAAGTGAGGGTTCCAGAAATCTGAGAGCCCCCACAGAGGACTGGCCCAAGACAGAGCTGTGGCCAGGGAGGGGCATCCAAAGAAGAGCCAGATTAGAAGTGCAGGGTGACAGGGGTAAATGTTGAGGCAAGTCCACAGAGAGAGAAACCAGAAGGGTCTAAACAGGTGCCTTTGTGGGCAGGTCAGGTTAAGAATTTCAGGACTGATGTTGCTGGTAAGAAAACATATTACAGCTGATTTGGAGATGGCACATGAGGCAAAGCCCAGGGGCAGCCCTGATGGATTGGGTTCATGCTGGCTCAGAGGTCCTCTCCTGTCTGTGTAGTATCTCATGCATCCTTTTTTGAATATATTGCCCAGTAGTTGTGGACTGAACAAGAGAACAAAGATTATCTTGGCAGGTTCCCTTTTGATTTCCCACATGTCAACTGTGGTTTGCCACTAGTTGATGATTGTTATTTTTGCAACAGCTGAAACATGAAAGGAAAAATCAAAAGATATTTACTCTTCACTAGTACCAACTGCTACTCTCATGTGTGTAGGGTGCCATTTATAGATCTCCCAGGGAACAACATATTAATAGTAACTAATGCTCAACATGTGAGGATTGCTTAAAAGGTACACCCCAGTATTTGACCACGGTTGTAACTGGCTGCAGCACCACTATTAAGTTTCTAGGAACCTCAGATCTAGTCTATTTATGGACCCACCAGAGGTTATACCATAATCACCAGTTATTTGCCTCCCTCCACTGGTAGACTATATAAGTGGGCCTTATTCATTAGACTTGTGATAGATTCATGAATAAAAGAATAAACGAATGACTTCTTCGGTTTGGTCATAGATAATAACCTAGGACACTTTTAAGAGAAATGCACATGGGGAGTGAAAGTAGTGGTCAGGAGACCCACCAGCTGTTCCTGTACTATTCATGTAAATTTTGCTTTCTCTAAAAGATGCCTGAGGTTAAACATTTCAACTCTCAGAAACTGATAAATTTCCTGTTTAGAATTTTTCACCTTGGGAAAACATTTGCTGAGAGTGCTTTTGTTCCATAGACATGCTTATTTTATTTGGTGTTTCAATAAAGCCCAAATCAGGTTTATTTTTCCTAACAGATCTATTCAGTTTCTCTGAATCCTCTGATTCCCCATAAAGGTGGGCTATTTGTTAGTTTTACAATCACAGTTTCTTGTTTATAGAACTCATTATTTGTTATCTTTTAAGGGCAAGTGAATGCTTACTATCTAAAGTTTGGCATTATTATTATTAATAATTTTGAGACAGGTTCTTTCTTGCTCTGCTGCCCAGGTCAGAGTGCAGTGGCACCATCACAGCTCACTGCAACTTCGACTTCTTGGGCTCAAGCAATCCCCCTGCCCAGCCTTCTGAGCAGCTGGGACCACAGGTATGTACTACTACACCTGACTGATTTAAGATGGGGGTCTCACTATGTTGCTCAGGCTGGTCTTAAACTCCTGGGCTCAAGCCATCCTCGTGCCTCGGCCTCCCAAAGTGTCGGGATTATGGGTGTGAGCCACCACACCCAGCCAACATTATTTTTATAATGAGAAAATAGATATTCTTCTTTTGTGAGCCTAAAACTATGTTTTAGTTAAAATAACAGCAAAACTTGACAGGATCTAGAATATTGTATTTCTGACTTAATCCCAGGGTTGCAAAAATGTCAATGGGGACCCACAGATTGCTTTTGTCTGGTATGCAGAGGCATTTGTAGGTATCATTACACCTAAAAGTACAGGCAATACTTTATCTCTACTTCCAATGGCCATGTCACTTTAAAACTTACTTTTTAAATGTGTTTTTGTTTTGTGCTAGTCTTCCAGATCTTGTCCTTTTAAGTCTGCCTAGATTTTCTGTAGCTAAAGGGCTGTCCCAATCTTTAAGCAGAGGTTCCTAGTGGCTGTTGCTATGATTCTTCCATCAGCATGTTTTTGAAGACACCTCTTCTTAGGAACTTGGATCCTGATACTCTGTCGTGGAGAAACTTCAATATGCTCCAATAATTTATCTCCCTTCCTCTGAAATTCTCTTGAGCTCTGTCGACTGTTTCAAACCTCTTAAGAGCTAAGAGAACCCTCTTTTCTTCTGATGCTTCTTTAAGAGGAGTTAAACCTGGGCAGATCGACTTTCCATTTTATTTCAATCTATTATGGCCTTTAAGATCTAATTTTCCCCTTAATATCTGTCTAGATTACAAAATTTTAATGTTTCTTTTAAGAATAGCTTTTTCTTCTTCAGTTTAAACAATCCATCTTTCCTCATTCTGACACAAACTAAAGTATGACTTTTCAAAGCCTTTTTTACTACTTAATACTATGACTGATCTTAAAGTTGCAGGCATAGGTTTTGTAAATTACCCAGAATCTTTTTGTCTGCAAGAATTTCCTTAAAATGCTTCTTTCTCTTATCCCAAGAAGGTAGCATGTTACCTTTTTAATAGACTCATTTGTTTTTATTAATTTTGTAAAATAAAACTTACCATCTTTCCAAGGGTGAAGACTCAATGTGGGTATCTGAAATCTAAAGGCATCATTAGAATTCAGGTAAATACCAAATCCAAAGTCAACTTGAATAGATGTAATATGCAGTTTTTTTGAACCCATGGTCAAGGCACACACACTCCGGCCACAACTCTTTCTGTAGTCTTTTTTTTTTTTGAGATGGCATCTCGCTCTGTTACCCAGGCTGGAGTGCAGTGGCGTGATCTTGGCTCACTGCAACCTCTGCCTCCCGGGTTCAAGTGATTCTCCTGCCTCAGCTTCCCAAGCAGCTGGAACTACAGGCATGTGCCACCACACCAGGCTAATTTTTTTGTATTTTTAGTAGAGATGGGGTTTTGCCATACTGGCCAGGCAGGTCTCAAACTCCTGACCTTAGGTGATCCACCTGCCTTGGCCTCCCAAAGTGCTGGGATTACAGGCGTGAGCCATTGCTCCTGGCCTTCTGTAGTCTTAAATCCAGTATGTCTAGCAATTTGAAAGCAGACAATATTGTCAGGCTTAACGTCCTATCTCTAACTCCCCTGTAATACCAGATGAAGCTGTGATCCTTTGGTCCAAGGTCAAGAAGCTGCATCCTAAGATCCTTGCCTGACCTACAAGCCATTTGGTAAAGTCTGTGCAGGCAGCCTTGTGTGGCATTTGCTTAAAACCAGAGTGTGTTTTGTTTTATTAGATCATACATATACCCTGCCTTGGCTACTCTCCATGGGACAAAGCAGCCATAAGCTGCAGTGACTGTCCAAAGCCAGCATTTACTCAAAGTAACTTACAGCTGCCTATCTAGAACTATATGAGATTAAGAACTGTACAGATGCAATGTGAGCTCCTGCAAGCTATCAAGGTAAAAACTCACAAGGCCAATTCCACAAAAAGGCTTAATGTCTTCTGTTCCTTTGCTTCCCAAATGACACTCATTGTTTATCTTTTAAGATTCACAGCCCAATGCTTAGATCTTGGGGTGTTAGTGGAGCCATATAAATGACATCCAATGATAAAAAGAAGAGAGTCAAGGAGTAGAAATCTAAATGACATATTTTTTTTTTTTTCCAACTGATAAGGCCAAGTTAGAGTGTGGCAAGCATTTGGGTTTCCTAATACAAACCTCAGAATTAGAGATTTTTGACAGCCCAGTTGCAGTCATCATTGGGCTCACCCAAGGATTTCCCATATAGAAGTCTGTTCAGATAACTCTCCATGGGGAAAAAAAGCCAGAGCTTTTGCCTTACTCTGTATAGCCTGACTCCTCACAGAGAAGCAGAAGTGGGCTAAACTCAAGGAGTTTATAATCCATTGAAACGGCATAGGAATATTGCTTTAATTTGCATTTATCTAATAACCAATGAGGCTGACCATCACTTCCCACATAACTAATAATCTGGGAGAGAATGCTTTGACCTTGGAGAATGTCCCTTGTTTTTCCCCTGCCCATTCTTTGAGTTCGCAAACATGATTCAAGAAACACAGTATACTCATCCTTTGAACATATAGACAATTTTAATTGCTGACAATTTTTG
Source organism: Homo sapiens (assembly GCF_000001405.40). Taxonomy (NCBI): domain Eukaryota; kingdom Metazoa; phylum Chordata; class Mammalia; order Primates; family Hominidae; genus Homo; species Homo sapiens. Next base: position 36,207,908 of record NC_000003.12, on the reverse strand, counting down.
AATGGTGATATCAGCAAAATTGTATTTCATTTCTCACCCTTATGGAGCTGCAGGGTAAATTACAACTTACATTTATACATTTAATCTTACATTTACAAAGAGCTGCATGATTTAGAAGTAACTGTTACATGTATTACCTCATCCCTCACAACAAGCCAGAAAGTAGGGTACACTGTTCCCTGTTTCATAAAGAAGGGAACAGTTTCAGAACTTTGACTCTTAGCCTAATGCTATAACAGCTAGTTAAGTAGATATGGAAGAAGTAGAATCGAGGTGTTTTTCTTTTTCTTTTTTTTTAACCTGGAAGCTCATTTCTCGTTCTATTATGTCAGACACTTTTTTAAATAAAGAAACAAAAAAGACTTAAAAAACATGTGTTTGTTCACAGTTTGGAGTCATGACAAGAGGAAGAAAATGCAAAGGAGGATCTAGAAATCTCTCCTCCCCCAAAAGAGTGTTCCCCTCTTACATATGCAAAATACGGCTTATCCTAGGTTGCTGAAAGCTCAAGTCATGGATGATTTGTGAGGATACAGACCACGACTCTTGTTGTTTTCCTCTTAAATTCAAGGTGATAGTTAACACAGTTATCTAAGGGCTACAGAATAATTTCATTCCTCAGTAAACAAGTGAACTTTAACGAAGTTCAACATACTGGATTACTTCTACTTGACATAATAAGGATAATATTACCTCAGCCCTTCGGAGGATAATTTAGTGATACTTTGCCAAACATAAAGAATTCTTTTATCTGAGTTTGGTCAAAGTAATGGTTTGTTAGGACAGAAGATGTCAAATTTTAAAGGCAGAAATTGATTTATTTACAGAGCTGCTGTCAGGGTAATTCAGGATGCCTGAAAGAGCCACATTAAAGCTGCTCATAAATCAATAATCATCCTAATGAAAAGCAAAAAGAACAAAGATAACACAAAGTTTGTAAATCACTGAGGATGAAGCAGGTGATCAGAAAGACTAAAAAAAGCTTTTTAGTCTTTGCTTTGCTGCTGCTTATTTGCTCCTTGTCTAGAATTAGAGAATGTGCACTGAAAACTACACGTTTTAAAAAGAAAACAAATAATACATTCTAATTTCTTCCTCAAAGCATTTTGGTTCAAAGCCATCTGGTACTTTATGTATATGTTCTAAGGCTCTAGGCACACAGAACTACCTACCCCATTCTGTGTTTAAGATTTAGTGACTCCCCTAGACAGTTTCACACTTCCACAGCTTTTCTCATACTGTCTTCGCTGGCAATGCTTTTCTTTCATTTGTATTCATACAAGTCTTGCTCTTACTTCATGGTCTAGGGCAAATATCACCTTCTTATCTCTGATTTGCTTCTTTCAGGGAGAGTCACTGTTTCTACCTTTTTTCCTCAGCATTCTAGATACCTCTTTTGGAACACTTACCCCACTGGGACATGTTGTACCCTCCCCTGTGCTTCCTATGAGGTTCAGGGATCATAGGAAGGAAATCTTATTTATAGTTATAGTACCTAACAAAAGATCACAATTCAATCAGTGTTTTTTGGATAAAATAAACTATCTAAAAAACTGTGTTATCCCTTAAACCTCCTTTAAATATATCAGACCCCTATATGCTTTCTTATGGGAGATAATTCTGCTTAACTGCTTCTCATTCAGAAAAATGTATGTCTTGAAGAATTCCCCACTCCTTAGAATTTCAATTCTAAATTTGCCACGGAATATTAATTCAGAAGTTATAGCAACTTTCAAGAGGCAAAATCGAAACTTTGAACCAACCATTTCCTTATATTTGCATACATTTCAATTGAATTGTGAAATAAGTCAGATTAAAAAATACATAATTGGGGGTCATGTTAGTACTAGTTGGGTAAAATAATATGAAGAAACTAAATTTCTCTAAGAAGAGTTAACTTTAACAATTTTATGAGGAATATCTACATACTACCAAAAATTTAATATACTATGGAAAAATTATATTTCTTGGAGCAAATTTTTATATGCTAGGGAATTATGTCTTATTTAATCTTTTCGGTATTAGCTAGACATTTCAAAGCATTTGGTTCTGACTTCATGTCAGTTAAGAAAGCTGGAAAATGTCACTTCAACAATCTTTTCCTCTAAAAACTGCTTTAAAACTCTTACATATATTCAGCAACAGTTGACATCACTTCAAAATCACCAAGTAGAAAATAAACAAGCCGTTGTGAATGTGTTTAAGGTAACTTCTATAAATATACTTTTAAAAATCTTAATATAAGCAAAGATTTCTGCCTCTATTACCTCCACTTTGATTTTCCAAGTTGTTTGGCCATTACTGGCTAAGGTGAAAGTCAGCATTAATTCAGAGAAAGAAAAAAATTGCTTTCTCAGTCAACCTTCTAATATGACCATTTTTCATAGAGGTCAATAGTGTGTGCCAAGTTAGATATCTGTAGTGTAGAGGAATTTTATGTCATTTTCACTACTTTATTGACTTAAGCAATTTATAAATGCTTTTTCCTACCATCTGATGTTCTCTGACTTGGAATACCCTTAAAACATTTCAACTCATCTTTCTTGCCACTTCTCTCCCGCCTCCACAGCCACGGTTCACTCCTGTCTCTTTTTGGGTTTAAAAGACATTTCTGCAGAAACATGTTTCCTGATGAGTCTTTTTGAAGTAAATCCCTCTCTGGTTGGATACTGTCTCATTGTCTTATTACTCATTATAAATTACCTATTATTTCCATCAGCATATTTAATATAAATAGTAACACTGTATTTCTTCATTTGATTATTGTCTGTTACAACCACTGACTGTAAACATCATGACAGCAGGGCTCATGTCTCTCTTTGGTCACTGCAGTATCCCCAACACTTAGCAAAGTGTCAGACATATTCTAGATCAGTGCAGTTTAATAGAAATTTAACCTGAGCCACATATGTAATTTTAAATCTTCTAGAAGCCACATTAAAAAAGTAAAAAGAAACAGGTAAAACTTAATTTCAATGATTTTTAATTTAGCCTACTATATAATCTAATATTATGTCAACATGTATTCAAAATAAAAAGATTATTACTGAGATACTTGACTTTTTCTTCTTACCAAGTGTTAATAATCACTATTTATTTTACACTTACAGAACATCTCTTTCTGGAATAGCCACTTTTCAAGTGATCAGTAGTTGTGTGTGGCTAGTGACTACCATGTTAGACAGCACAATTCTAGACCCTCAATAAATATCTGTCAAATGCATGAAAGCTAAAACCTGCTGAATGTGAGTGTGTGGTTGGTTCCCCATCTAGGTTCCATCAGAATCCTGTCCTCTCTGTGTATGCATCCCCAGCTCTTGCACACTTCGTTGCTAACAGCTAGTACCTGCAGCCTTCAGAGGGTTCCCCTTAGACACTAGAGTCACCTTACTGTACAAAGAACCAGAAATCTCTAAGAATTTTATATACCCCTCTTCACAAACAATAGGCAACTTGGATAGACTATGGATGACTGGTGTGGAAATACCAAGCTCTTTTGCCTCCATGCAAGGCAAATTCTGAGGTGTATTTATACTTGTGCGCTCCCTGCAGAATTGGACTGAGCATGGGACTCTGCCTGAAATCGCCTTTTTGTTTGGCTTCTTCTCCTAGCCTATTCTGACTCCCCTGCTGCCTTGTTGATTTAAGACATTTTCTTAATAAAGCACTTGCTCCTAAATTCTTGGTTCAGAATCTGCTTCTCGAAAAACTCAATGTGCTCAAACTGTGGGATGTTCCTAATACATAGTTTTTTGTGTTGCAATGGCTTAAGCCAGAGCATGGTTGGATTCTGTGTGCATCCTGAGTAATTATAAAGGCCACTCTGTCTCACCTTGTCTCAGATACTGCATACCCCTAATAAACATTCAAACATATTAAAAATAAGGTTAAAAATGTTACTTGTCCCTTCCTTCTTTCTATAGTAACTGCTGTAAATTCTCTTGTACATCCTTGGATAAATTTCTTATGCAAATTCAGCATATATGTATAATATGTCATTATATTTATGAAATTTACTTTCTAATTTTTATACAAATTAGATTATAAATACTCTTCTGTTCATTGCTTTTCTATTAATATTTTCAAATTTTTATAAATATTTTTTCACTTTTTATATTTTAAAATATGAAATATACCTTTTACCCATTTACCTTTATGAATGCATCCCAATTTATTTTAGCACCCGCATATATTTTAAATCCCTTTTCTTCTTTGTCTATTTTAACTGTTAATTTGCTTTTAGTCCTTGATACAGACTCAAAATCTTTAGGTCTCTGGCATTCATATGTTATTCTGTTTTATTCACATATGTTATTCTTGCCAGCTGACTTTGACCAAATTTATTGAAATGGGAAGTAATTGCAAGCATGAGTCTAAACATACATCAAGGTATAGGTTCTTAATCTGGACTCCAGTGAGGACCTGACCTCGAATGCGTGTGTAGTACACATGTATATAATTCTGGGAAGAGGGATTCAGAGCTTTCACTGGAATCGCAAAGATGTCTGTGGCATTCAAATGTTAGGATTTAGTGTACAAATATAAACTATGTGATGTATTTTTTATAAATCTCTTGCAGATTTATCTTACCCACCTCTCCTCATTAGATTAGCATTTAATTAATTAGCAGCTTCTCAACTGGCATCCTGATCCTTCAGAGGGTTGGATCCAGCCTCAGCCACATTTATATCCCCTGCTACCAAGTTCAATAGTACAGTCATTAATAGTTTTTTGAAAGATGACAATGTTTTCTCTTTTGTATTTATGAATTCTCAGTGGAATAAATTTAATTTTCATCTGCCTCTGCCTTTTATTCTCTTTTGATTTGCTCTTGGGGAATTTAAGGACAAAAGATCCTGTTCTGTAGACATGAAACATAAATCATTTTGGACCAATTGCACAAACCTGAAAGTATTGAGCAAGAGCCAGCCTGGACACAAACATCTCCTACCCCTGTGTCCTCATTAGGATGTGTTTTTAGCTGCCTTGAGTTCTAGCATTATCACCTCCACTCTCAGTCAATAATTTTGGGCACATGTCTGGTTTTCCCTGTATCCTTAATCACTGATATTCTCCTGTTCAGAATTCTGAATTAATTTAGAAGTTTCTTTACATAGTGAACGACCAAGACATTTTTCTTTTATCAATGAAGTATCTTGTTTTTGGGGACACGGGAGTGACCTTCTTTCTCCATTGCCTATAAGACTATGAGGCATGTCCTGTGGTGGCTAAGCTGGGCCTGGCAGTGACTGCTGATGGTGCTGGATTGTCTTATCAGTAAACAGTGTGTTCTGCCAGGGTTGGTCACCAAAGTGCCATCTTAAATTGGACAAATTGGCAGGGGAAGCCTCAGTGTGTAAGAAACAGAAAGAGACCATAAAGACAGAATCATGCTAAGCACTGTAAACATTTCCCGGCCCAGCCTTTCCCTAATTCATGCAGTCTGCTTATTTCAGCATAGATGTTTTCGAACACAAAAGGTGATAGTTACAGGTTAGCATTAAGTTTGGGGTCATTTGACTGAATATGTCATGCTTTATTCTCTTTTTATATGAAGTCTGTTGATGTAATGAAAACAGTAGCCATATGACCTTAAGTAAACTATTCCCCTCCTCTGAATCTTAGCTTCTTAGTCTTTAAAAAAAGAGGTTGGCCTAGCTCATTGTTTCTTAAATATAGGGACATAAAAGGATATTTCAACATATGTAAGGTGTGCTTTGCACCTTGTGTGCACTTAGTAAATATTTGGGGGTTAATATTAAAAATAGTAATCATAATAACCTTAATAATAGTGATAACTATGCCCATAAAAGAGCCTTTGCAATATATACCAATTCATTTAATATAATATCTCATTTTGCAAACGAGGAAACTGAGATACACACAATTAGTAAGTAGGCTCTCTCAACTTTGGTGGCCCTAAAACTTTCTGTATTTCTAGAATTCTATTTATACTAAAGGAATAAAAAGCTGTCTTCTGTCTACAGAAGATCACAAGTTATTAGAGAGCTCTAATCCTTACTGGAAATAGATTGTTAAAAAGGAAATTATTGTCCTCAGCAGATACACTGTTTAGAGAAAATATAGCAATGATTTTGTTGCATCCTGAGTGACTGATCCTGTCTGGCATATGCACTGCTGAAACTTGACCCAAAGCCAGGACTGTAATTGTGGGGGAGGGGCATACATGGCACATCTGGGAGGTGCTGGGCCTGAAAGCCACCTATGTTTCTAATAAGCAGAGCTAGAGATATCTAGTGCAAACAGCTCTCCTTTGCAGTCCATGTTGAAAGTTCACTAGTAGCTTCATAGCATCCCCTAAAATGAGGCACAGAGCAGCCTTCACAGGCTGAAATTTGTCAGTCATTTTCAGGCAAAGCAATTAGCCCATGTATCCATCTGTAGCAACTTTCCATTACTGCTGTTGTCTCAAGAGCAACTTCACTGACCTTGCCCCACTGTTGGGAGAAAAGAATACGCAAAATTCTATCAAATGCTACAAGAGCAGACATCCACATGTGAAATTGTAACAACAGAGCATTGGATTTGTGTAAAGTTTGGCAGCTACTGATAGAATCATTGTTGTATAATTATTTTGATAATGATATTATAAATACAAGCCTAAGATAAAACTGGGTTTAAATTCCATTAGTAGATCCATGGCTAATAGTCTTGTATTCTCCAAAGTGGTTTTCTATAAGCAGAAAAAAAAATACTTAATGAGGCATATGACTCCAAAAATGCTAAACAAACAAACAAAACAGAAGGTAATGTGATGGTGATAGACTGAATTGTGTTATCCCCAAATTTACATGTTGAAGCCCTAATCCCCAATATAACTCTATTTGGAGACAGGACCTTTAAGGAGGTCATTAGGTTAAATGAGGTCATAAGGGTGGGACCCTAATCTGAGAAGACTGCTGTCTTTTAAAAAGGGGAAGAGACACCATCTCTCTCTTTCCACACATGCACAGAAGAAAGACCATGTGAAGACACAGTCCGCAAGCCAGGAAGAGAGACTTCACCAACCAACCCTGATGGCACCTTGATCTTGGACTTCCAACTTCCAGAACTGAGAGAAAATAAATGTATTTTTTTAGGCCACTCAGTTTGTGGTGTTCTGTTATGGAAGCTGGGGCAGACTAATAAAGTGGCATGCTGATAAAATAACTCAAAGCTTTTCTAGGAATCCATGTAAGCATTTCAAGATGGAGGTAATGAGGTTGTCAGAGGAGATGGATCGTGCAGACTCTGGAACTCTTTGTTTAGGAGGAAAGGCAAATTATGAAACCTCTGTTGCCTAGGGACAGAAGCAAGACCTAGATAGACAAACTTTCCATAGGAAGCTGATTTTAGCTAGGAATGAGGAACGTACAGAAAATAATTGGAATCCAAGCATAAAACTGAACAAAATATTAAATAGCAGGGTTCAGGATGAGACAGATCTGGAAATCTATGGTTATGTCTCTTCATGTGCATATATGTACATAAAAGGTGGAGAGGTACATTTTAGCTTTGATGAAATACAGTAGAACAATGCTTGGCTCTTACCCTCTAGTGTGAGGAAGGGCAGTTCAGAGAAAGCCCATTAATGAGAATAAGAGATCACCAGAAATTTCCAGCATAGTACAGTGATTCTCCAATGTCCTTTCCTTTCGGAGCGTAAGGTTCTCCCTCAGTCATGTTTCAATTTATAAGCTGTCTATGTTCAAGAAGAAATTGAAGGGAGAAAAAAGTATGTGGGGACTTTTCTCCAGAAGGCCACTCAGTAAGCTTCAATATGAACTCCAACCTTGAATTCCTCCAAAGTCCACTGTTGGGACAATGATTCTTGGTAATATTCTGAAATTTAAGAAATGAGAACTATCTCTCCTTTCATATTTTGGGGAGGAGAAAGGAAACTCAGCCAACAGCCAATTGCAGTTCTCCTTTTTTATAAAGACTAATATACATTAAAAAGTGCCCATTAGTGTATATCATACTGAAATTTCATGAACAATAAGTTTATGTATCCAGAACCCAGATCAAGAAACAGAATATTGCCAGCACAGAGCCCTCATCCCTTCTAGTCCTTATCTATACAATAGAGGGCAACTGTTATTCTGATTTTGAATAGAATAGATTGGCTTTGTCTGTTTTCATACTTTGCATAAAAAGAATCACACGATCTACCCTTTCAGGTCTTCTTCTATAGTTTACTGTTGTCTGTGGAGTTCATCCATTTAAATGAACACATTTTTGGTGATACATTCTGCCTTCCTCACTTGCCTCTTTTTCTCATGTTCCTGGGGCATTTTTAACAGCTCACCCACTCAGTGGGCATGCATTCTAGTCTTTTCTGGTTCTCCATTTCCAGGTATAATTATCTGATTTATGCCCAGAGTCATCCCGAGATGGATAGCCATTTGTATTATTCACCCTGAGTTGCTCATAAAAGCAAATTTTTCTCTGAAAGGGTAATTTTCTTTTATGTTTACAAACAGACAGTGAAAGAATGATTGAGCTAGTGATGAATGATCACACTATAGTGATAGTCATGAAGCCCTTTAATATTTTGAGCACCACATCCCTTTTTGAATGTGGATGTGTCTAATTCCATAGTGAGAAAGTGTAAAGGGTGAACATCGTGATCTTTTTTTTGTTGCTGGAATCAATTACTTAATCTTTTCCATCCTTTCCATTTCTTCCTTAGTCAATAATATTTTGATGGCAAGGATAACTCCTTATTGAGTTCTACTCTGTATAGTTTATTTTTAGACCATCACTATAAAAATGGTTCACTGCTTGGTACTAGATATTAAGAGAGAAATAAGACAGCATCAGCTCTCAGATGGCTCAAGATAGCATTGGAAACTATATCTCTTGCGATTTCTCTCAAGAGCTTCAGAAGAGGATTGTGGGGACACAGAAGAGAAAAGGACTAATCTTGTTTCTGTTTGGGGAAGATTTGGACAGAGGGAACACCTGCCCAAATGACAGACATTAAATACAGAGAAAAGTTCTTCTTTGCTGAGTGCACACAGCTTTGAGATGCTTTTCCTCTTTCCTTGTCATTGACTCCCTGGATGGTCTTGATCAAGTCTTGCATTTTATTCCCCCTATCAAGCTTCTAATGGGAGACAACAGTCACTTTTCTAACCTCATCCATCTTACAATTTCACTGCCACAGAGTACAACTATTTCTGAGAAATAAAGTATTACAGTTCCTTGAGAATCAGTCCCACTGGAAGGACAATGAACTTCTTTTTTTCTTTGCATGTCTTGGGAATTTAAAAGGATGGAATAATAAAATTCAGGTATCTTATTATAAATATATATCAGTAAAATAACAGGTAGTAAATCAATGTCCCAGAAACAAATTTCAAATAGCAGAGTCAACAGCACACCTCCAATACTAATAAGGTTTGATGAAAAGGTTTGAATTCTAAATGCAAAAGAGCTAGCAGTCTGCATGGAGATTAGCACAGCCTCACAAGGCTTGTTGCATCTCCTGCTGAGATAGAGTAATGCAAGATATGAATTAGAAACTACTCTTTTATTTTCTGGCATACCAAGCCCCTGCAGGAAGGTGGAAATAACCTTGATTTGTGACTACACCTGCCTACTTGGGAAATCCAGGAGATTCTGGACTAGTCCAACTCCATAACAAGAGGGCAACAGGTATGGTATAGGGTGCCTTAAGTTGGGTTTTCTAGAAGTAGAACCTAAGCAAGGATTTATATGCAATGTTTTATTAAGGGAGTACTTTTAGAGGGAACCAGTAAAAGAGTGGAGGAAACAAGGAAAGGAAGGAAGCCAAGCAAAGTCCCACAGAAGGTAGTTTTTAGCCTCATCCCACAGAGAAACTCTGAAGTGAAGTGTAAGCTATGCCACCATGAGGTTATGCTGCAAGGAAACCCCAAGGAATAGGAGATTGGGTTTACATATTCCTAATCCTGGTAGGCTGCCCAAGATAGGGGGAGAATGTAAATTCCTAGATACTCTGCCTTTTCTTGCTGTGAGTTGATGGGGCTACGAAAGTCTGCAGACAGTTCTCTTTGAAATGGATGTTACATCAATTGAAAGCAAAGGGATATTGAATGGTGTGTGTACATATAAAAATGGCAAAAGGGGATCCAAACAGATCTAGGTGGAGCAAAGTTATTATCTACTAAAGAGTGTTACTCAAAGGGGGTGATAAAATATCTTAACTCATAACCTGAGGAAGGAAACAGAAGTACAGAAAGCAACATGATGATGTCCAGGCTGTTAAGTGAAACAAAGACATGTTGGAGAAGGGAGCTAGGTGCTACCCACTGGGTTCCAGAAGAGAATCTAGTCCCTAATGGGGCTATTGAGAATGAGTTCAAGTGTCTCTCTCTTAGTAGACCATGAGTACTTTCTATGATGTCAAAACCAGGATAAAATGTCCACATCTAGGGCAGCAGCCCGCTGGGGTGAGGCTGAGTTACCAGAAAATGAAACTGGGCTTTTCAGGTGCCTTCCCAAGTCAGACTTGTCCCTAAGCCTGGTCAGGACTAAGTCTGCAGCCCTGGCAGTGGGGAAACAAGGGGGTGCCAGGATATTTCTGACTTACAACTGTTCACATATCTAGGTTGAGAAATAGGCAAGGTGCCCAAAAGAGCTTGTGGTAGAACCATATGCTTCTCTGTTATCCATATACAGCAAATCTTCATGATTTGGATTTTTATATTAATTGTTCCAACCTCATTTGCATTATTACCCTTTCCTTTTACTTCTGTTTTTTCTTACCCATTACTAATACACTATCTTGCTGATCTAAACATCATTATGAGTGATTTTACAATATGTAAATAAGGTTGTCTATCTTAACTTTAGGAAATTTATTCAATGCTTATTTGTCTGCTACTTCTAGATATAAAAAGTTTCATGCCAAGCACTAATAGTGGGTTCAGAAATTATTCAGCTCTGGTCATTTCCCTTAAGGAATAAATCAACAGAAGTATCTTTTTAGCTCCATCTAAAATAGAGAGCCAGGATGTCTTCTGGGGATACAGTGAATAAGGTAATTTAACAAAGATCCTCCTTAAAATAGGCTTTCCAGACAAAATACAGGACACAAATACTGCTTATGACACAGTTATACTAAACGTTATTTGTTATTTGTCTGTATTTTTATTTGCTTAATCTTGTAACTACACTAAAACGGTATGATCATGCCAGTGTTTCATCTGCAGGAAGTAGGGCTCCAGAGAGCTCACCAATCACTGGAGAGAGGTAGGGTTGGGTACTGGGGCAAGTTTAGCCAAGGGAACTATACAAACCTGCCCAGACTCAGATCCTAGCTCTGCCAGTTACCACCTGAAGGTCCCTGAGCCAGGGATTCAGCTCTTTGAGCTGTTTTTCATCTGTATAATGGGGATGAAACAACCTACTTCCCAAAGTGATTATTAGATAGCAGATATTCAGAGAAAGGTAATCTCAGCCTTCTTAAACAACAGACAGTCAGCAGAGATTCTTCACTAAAAATGTCATTCCCTCAAATGAGAAGAGAAGGAGGAAAAAGCACCAGGCAGAATTTCTAAGCCTCCTTGGATTACAATTCAATAGAAAATACCATTTGCCAAGGATGGCTGAGTGTGTTCTACATTTCACAGGTGACACACTGCATAGCTCTGGCATGGGAAGTGAAGGTTACACATGGCCACAAATAATATGACTCATGATGACCAAGTCACATATTAGATTGGTGAGAGACTATCAACAGCCAGGTCCCCTCATAACCAAAATCATTTATTCTCACAGTTATTTCTTTTAAACTCTACCTTGCTGCCCCAGGAGCTTTGATTTCTGAACTTTTCTACCTTGGGTTGGTCTTTGGCAGTGAGTGTCACACATCTGTCCTGCTGAGATGAGAAGCCGGAACCTGGGTCTCCACTGGAGCATCCCCATACCATCCTGTTACATGTTCCACCTGTTTTTTTGTATCCAGATCCACTTTGATATACTTGCCCAGGACACAGCAATTGTTAGTTAGTATGCTTGCTTTTTACCTTGTAAACAGTGTACAAATAGAGTCCAAATTTAGTATGCAAATTACAAAATAAAATGTTATTTTTATGACTGAAAAATGCAATGAACTGCACAAATTCATTATGGCAGAGCATATGAATATTCTCTTAGTGAAGCTCTTGCTTTCCTAGCTCAATCAACAATGTCCCTTCCTTACAGCTGCCAAGGAAAAAAACTTTCCCTAGATCTTTCAGCCATAGCTGGAAGCGCTGATGGCCCCTCCGTGTGTGCATTCAGATAAATTGTTAACTTAAATGGTTTTCCACTGAGAAGTGGAATCAGTAATAACTGGGAGTGCTAGATAGATTCTACTTGCCCGGGACCCTAGAGTGATAATTATTCTGTTACAATGAGGAGTAAGGCAAAATGCGGAGTAGTTATGACTGTATTTACCAATTTGTTGTGAAAAATTTATAAATATCAGGTAATACGTCAAAGGAATGAAGTATGACAGACCCCCTACCCTCAGAAAGGTTTTATTCTGAAGTATATAATACAAAGCAAAAAGCAAAAGATACTTAAGATGGGAACACTTAGAACACATTAAAATTCAGAGGTACGTGTGATTATTCCCAGCTAGAAGGAATCAGTGAAAGTTTTTGTGGAGATATCATTTAGGTGCAACACTAGTAGACTTTGTACATGCAATTGTGAGAAAGAAGAGAGTATTTAAGATGTGTACACTTCTATTAGCAGGGGCATGGGTATGTGCATAAATAACAGAGTAGTTGTGTATTTGTGAAGGAACTAGCGAGAAAAATGGACAGAAATGGAGGTTGGAATCACACTGTGGAGGGCTTAAATTCCAAGCTAAGGACTTTTCTCTTTAATTATAGGCAATTGGCAATAAGGTCATGGAAGTTTTGAACCTGAGAGTTAATATGAAAACCATGTATCATGCTTTGAGAAGACGAATCTGGTAACATCAGACAGTAAGACAATGTGGAGAGCAAGGAGAAGAGGTAAGAGCTGGCCAGGCCACCAAAGGCTATTCTTTATTCACATTCATGTTCAAGACTAATTAGACTGTGAAATCTCTCAGGGTATTGGAGAAACAGAACTGAGAGCTGGTCAGAAGCTTCACGGGATTAGTGTTCAGGCTGAGAGTGTCAGTAATGAATCCCGCCATGGGTGTGCCATGGCACTGTGGGAAAAAAAGTTCATTGTGCAGACTGTTACCTGCTGACATCAGCTGGATTAAGAGCTGACAAAGATGAATTATTTAATTTGGAAGAATCATTTTGGAATTTTCACATCAGTCTTACCTCTCCCCAGATAAGACGGATCTGAAAACAGATCAGTACTGATCAAATTTTGTATTGACAATAAACATTTTAATTCTAATGTTTTAATCTGTTTTATACATCATCTTTTAATTCATCTGCTAATCTGATTAAAAATCTGTGTAAAGATTTTACTTGCTAAATTTCATGTATGGGGATGTGAGTGATGTCAAAGGCCATTTTACCTTGACTGATTTGTTGAGGTTATTCTGATCTGGGAGACATTTTTGAATCAGCCATTTATAAATGTGTCAAAATTGTGTTATAAAACAGGAAAACCATTGTTTTAATTGCCAAGATGTATGTGCAATAGACATCCTTGAGCCTACCTATATCTGGGACCTAGAATTATCTTCAGAGCCTCAGTCACTGTCAAATGGGATGTAGATACTCATCCTGGCCTTCCCACTAATTGTTGTGAGGATCAAAAAGGCAGTTTATGAACCTTCTATGTACACAATAAAGAGCTACATAGTAGGGAATTGCTGTTACACAATGTTTTCTCTATTTCCAATTATTTATTTGATGGAGATGTTACATAAATAAGTGTGTGTCCCTCAAGGAGAGAGAGAATGATTAGGACACATTAAATGAAGAAGCTCCTTAGATGGGAGGCCAGTCCCTTCTACAGAACTTCCTGATCATGGGCCTGTTGGTTTATCAAAGATAGGGAAGGGATCTAGGTTAGTGATGATACAGAAATACAATAAATATTGGTCAATGAATGAGAGAGCCAATGAAATGGATACCCAATTTGCCAGTGTGGCTCCTTGTGAGACTTAGAGGAAAGCTTCTCTTCCTCTAGGTAAACTCAGCCCTGAGTTAGAGTGTCCTGATTGGTGAGCAAGTACAGGGTGAATTATCAACCCACTTGTCTCCTTGGCTAGGGAACCACGTGCAACGTACAACTTTCACAATATAGCATGTGAAATTATGATAATCAGCTCAGACAGAACTTCCTCCCATTGTTTTTCTTGAATGTAGACTCACAAGGCACTTCCTGTATTCCATTATCTTGCATCATTAGTCATCTTTCCATGGGTGCCTAATATCAACATCTTTGGCACAGGGTCTTGCACTTAGTGGAGCCTCAAGGCCTGTTCATTGTCAAAACTCAATATATGTTCAATACATGTTTCTTTGGGGCTCATATTTTCATGTGATATAATCAAAATAGGTATTGTCAAAGCTTTTTTAAGTTATCACCTCTTCATCCTCTTATTCCCCATCAATATTCCATATAACTTATGCCATGACATAATTTCAATTTAGACAGCAGATAATGAGAGTTGTCTTGCTTGATCAATGGGAAGAATTTTGGCTCCTGATGCAGCCAAGTTTTTTGAGCACACCTGGAAATCATATTAAAGAGGAGACCTTTTCCTGTTTTTAGTCCCTGATGATTGAACAGGAGCACAGAGCAGGTGCAGCATGCCACACAGAGCAAGAGGCAGGGATTCTCAAATAGGCTAGAGACAAAGCAATGGCCAGGTAAGGGAACATTTATTTTTAGACTGAAGAAAGCCTTTTGAGTGGGGTTTTGTTTCTCCTTCTGTACATTGTAATGCCTGCCAAGTCAGATTGCTGCAGAAGCTGTGCTTTTTAGCCAGGGGAAAATAATCCTGAATCTCAAAAACAGTGACCCAGAACCCAGAAAAGCATTTTTCATTCATATTTATCTCTATATAAAACAATAATAATGTAGTAATTCCCATTTCTCAAGTTCAAATTGGATCATAGGCTTTTAAAATTGTTCGTCTTTAACAGCCTAAACCTAACAGGATAGATTCCATGATCTTCATTTAAAGAATGAGCCAAGAGAATCTCACAAACTTACCAAATGATAGAGACTAACTTCAAGTCCAGGTCTGTCTGGCCCCAAATCCTGCATTGTCCTCATTATGCTTAATGTACTGGCTGCCATTCTGGATTTTATAAAGTCACATTTTCTGTTCATGTTAGATCATTGATTTCATTGCCCCTTCAATACTTTTATCAGTTCTTTGACAAAGGCACAGACTTGTGGTGGTTCTACCTATTGTCCAGAAATCCCCCAAAATGTTGTTTTTGTCAAAGCAGTGACACTATCAGGCAACTAGTATCTAATTTTTCACATGTAACTCTGATAGTCTTCCACTTATATGTTTATTGATAATCCTTTAATATCTACTCTGAATTTCTTATTCTGTTAGAAACTTTGAGCTACATAAAGTATCTTATGTGTTCCATATTTAAGTTCACATAGGGATTGATTGAATAAAAATAACAAAACCTTTGATAAACTCTTTGTTTATAAACTTTCTAACCACCCCTTCCTACAGTCACCTCCTCACTCACTTGTCATAACACAATAATATGGCTGAATCAGAAATAAGAAAATGGCAACACTTGAGCATAGTAATATAGTAAGCATTTAATCATGTTGAATTACATCTTCCTATACTATTCAGCAAAAGTTGTCAGAAAATAGTTTCATGTCAAGTTAAAGAATTCTGTTTGTGTTAATAGCTGACTCTAGTAAATTCACAAATTAAAAATAGCAGTATTAATAGACAAGTGGATCAGGACAGATGGGAGACAGGACTATATTACAGCTCTGAGTGGACAGACGTAGCAGCGTGTGGAGGTTCACATCATGAACTTTTGCTCCAGACTGTCTGCAGGAATAAATCAGAAAACCTGAGAGGACCCACAGACCCCCTGAAGGAAGTGGATTGTTCCTGCAGGACCCAGGAGACACCCCAAATACTGTGTTGGTATCCACAGCTGAGAGGCCCACAGATGGGTCACATCACAGGACTCTGCGCAGACAACCCCCAGTACCAGCCTGGGGCCTGGTAGGCTGCTGGGTGGCTAGATCCAGAAGAGATACAACAATCACTGCAGCTCG
The DNA here is from genome assembly GCF_000001405.40 of Homo sapiens. NCBI lineage: Eukaryota > Metazoa > Chordata > Mammalia > Primates > Hominidae > Homo > Homo sapiens. The sequence goes on along the minus strand of NC_000003.12, from coordinate 36,191,702 downwards.
GCTCTCAGGAAGCCACATCTATAGGAAAAGGGGGACAGTACTACATCAAGGGACCACCCTGTGGGACAAAAGAATGTGAACAGCCTTCAGCCCTAGACCTTTCCTCTGACAGAGACTACCCAAATGAGAAGGAATCAGAAAACCAACTCTGGTAATATGACAAAATAAGGTTTGTTAACACCCCCAAAAAATCACACTAGCTCACCAGCAATGGACCCAAACCCAGGAGAAATCCCTGATTTACCTGAAAAAGAATTCAAGAGGTTAGTTATTAAGCTAATCAGTGAGGCATCAGAGAAAGGCGAAGCCCAATGTAAGAAAATCCAAAAAAGAATACAAGAAATGAAGGGAGAAATATTCAAGGAAATAGATAGCATAAATGAAAAAAACAACCAAAACTTCAGGAATCAATGGACACATTTATAGAAATGCAAAATGTCCTGGAAAGTCTCAGCAATAGAATTGAACAAATAGAAAAAAGAAATTCAGAGCTCAAAGACAAAGTCTTTGAACCCAATCCAACAAAGACAAAAAAGAATAAGAAAATATCAACAAAGCCTACAAGAAGTCTGGGATTGTGTTAAATGATCAAACCTAAAAATAATCTGTGTTCCTGAGGAAGAAGAGAAATCAAAAGTTTGGAAAACATATTTGGGGGAATAATTGAGGAAAACTTCCCTGACCTTGCTAGAGACCTAAACATCCAAACACAAGAAGCACAATGAACACCCGAGAAATTCAGTGCAAAAGATCATCACCTAGGCACATCGTCATCAGGTTATCTAAGGTCAAAACAAAGGAAAGAATCTTAAGAGCTGTGAGACAAAAGCACCAGATAACCTATAAAGGAAAACCTATCAGATTAACAGCAGATTTCTCAGCAGAAACCCTACAAGCTAGAAGGGATTGGGGCCCTATTTTCAGCCTCCTCAAACAAAACAATTATCAGCCAAGAATTTTGTATCTAGTGAAACTAAGCTTTATATATGAAGAAAAAATAGTCTTTTTCAGACTAACAAATACTAAGAGAATTCGCCACTACTGAACCACCACTACAAGAACTATAAAAAGGAGCTCTAAATCTTGAAACAAATCCTGGAAACACATTAAAACAGAACCTCTTTAAAGCATAAATCTCACAGGACCTATAAAACAAAAATACCATTTAAAAAACAAAAACAAAAAAAGGCATACAGGCAACAAATAGCATGATGAGTGGAATAGTACCTCACATCTCAATATTAACATTGAATGTAAATGGTCTAAATGCTCCACTTAAAAGATACAGGACTGCAGAATGAATAAGAGTTCACCAACCAACTATCTGCTGCCTTCAAGAGACTCACCTAATACACAAGGACTCACACAAACTTAAGGTTAAGGGGTGGAAAAAGACATTTCATGCAAATGGACACCAAAAGCAAGCAGGAGTAGCTATTCTTATATTAGACAAAACAAACTTTGAAGCAACAGCAGTTAAAAAAGACAAAGAGGGACATTATATATTGATAAAAGGCCTTGTCCAAGAAAAAAATCACAATCCTAAGCATATATGCACCTAACCCTGGAGTTCCCAAATTTATAAAACAATTACTAATAGACCTCAGAAATGAGATAGACAGTAACACAATAATAATGGGAGACTCCAAAACTCCACTGACAGCACTAGACAGGTCATCAAAACAGAAAGTCAACAGAGAAATAATGGATTTAAACTATATTCTGGAACAAATGGACTTAACAGATATATACAGAACATTCCATCCAACAACCACAGAATATACATCCTATTCAATAGCACATGGAACATGCTCCAAGATAGAACACGATAGGCCACAAAACGAGCCTCAATTAACTTAAGAAAATTGAAATTATATCAAGCACTCTCTCAGATCACAGTGGAATAAAACTGGAAATCAACTCCAAAACAAACCTTCCAAACCATGTAAATACATGGAAATTAAATAATCTGCTCCTGAATGATCACTGGGTCAAAAATGGAATGGAGACAGAAATGTAAAAATTCTTCGAACTGAATGACAGTTGTGACACGACCTATCAAAACTTCTGGGATAAAACAAAGGCGGTGCTAAGAAGAAAGTTCAGAGCCCTAAATGCCTACATCAAAAAGTCTGAAAGAGCACAGACAGACAATCTAAGGTCACACTTCAAGGAACTAGAGAAACAAGAACAAATCAAACCCAAAACCAGCAGAAGAAAGGAAATAACCAAGATCAGAGCAGAACTAAGTGAAATTGAAATAAACAAACAAAAAACAATACAAAAGATAAGTGAAACAAAAAGCTGGTTCTTTGAAAAGATAAACAAAATTGATAGAACATTAGCAAGATTAACCAAGAAAAAAAGAGAGCAAATCCAAATATGCTCAATAAGAAATAAAACAGGAGGCATTACAACTGACACCACAGAAATACAAAAGATCATTCAAGGCTACTATGAACACATTTACATACATAAACTAGAAAACCTAGAAGAGATGTGTAAATTCCTGGAAAGATACAACCCTCCTAGCTTAAATTAGGAAGAATTAGATACCCTGAACAGACCAATAACAAGCAGTGAGATTGAAATGGTAATTTAAAAATTACCAGCAAAAAAGTCCGGGACCAGATGATTCACAACAGAATTCTACTAGACATTCAAAGAAGAATTGGTACCAATCCTATTGACACTATTCCACAAGATAGAGAAAGAGGGAAACCTCTCTAAATCATTCTATGAAGCCAGTATCATCCTAATATCAAAACCAGGAAAGGACATAACCAAAAAAGAAAACTGCAGTCTGATATCCCTCATGAACATAGATGCTAAAATCCCTAATAAAAAATACTAGCTAACTGTATCCAACAACATATAAAAAAGATAATCCACCATGATCAAGTGGATTTCATAACAAGGATGCAGGGAGGGTTTAACATACACAAGTCAATAAATGTGATACACCACATAAACAGAATTAAAAACAAAAATAACATGATTATCTCAATAGATGCAGAAAAAGCATTTGACAAAATCCAGCACCCCTTTATGATTAAAACTCTCAGCAAAATCGGCCTACAAGGAACATGCCTCAATCTAATAAAAGCCGTCTATGACAAACTCACAGCCAACATGATACTGAATGGGGAAAAGTTGAAAGCATTCACTCTGAGAACTGGAACAAGACAAGGATGCCCACTCTCACCACTCTTCTTAAACATAGTACTGTAAATCCTAGCCAGAAAAATCAGACAAGAGAAAGAAATAAAGGGCATCCAAATTGGTAAAGAGGAAGTCAAACTGTTGCTGTTTGCTGATGATATGATCATTTACCTAGAAAACCCTAAAGACTTCTCCAGAAAGCTCCTAGAACTGATAAAAGAATTCAGCAAAGTTTCCAGATATAAAATTAATGTACACAAATCAGTAGCTCTTATATACACTAACAGTGACCAAACTGAGAATCAAATAAAGAACTCAACCCCTTTCCAATAGCTGCAAAAACAAACAAACAAAACCAAAACACCAAAACAAAACAAAACAAAAAACTTAGAAATATACCTAACCAAGGAGGTAAAAGACCTCTACAAAGAAAACTACCAAACACTGCTGAAAGAAATCATAGATGACAAAAACAAATGGAAACACATCCCATGCTCATGGATGGGTAGACTCAATATTGTGAAAATGACCATGCTGTCAAAAGCAATGCACAAATTCAATGCAATTCCCATTAAAATACCACCGTCATTCTTCGCAGAATTAAACAAAACTATTCTAAAATTCATATGGAACCAAAAAGAGCCTGCATAGCCAAAGCAAGACTAAGCAAAAAGAACAAATCTGGAGGAATCACATTACCTGATTTCAAACTGTACTATAAGGCCATTGTCACCAAAACAGCGTGGTACCGGTGTAAAAATAGGCACTTAGACAAATGGAACAAAATAGAGAACCCAGCAATAAACCCAAATACTTACAGCCAACTGATCTTTGACAAGGCAAACAAAAACATAAAGTGGGGGAAAGGACACCCTTTTTAATAAATGGTGCTGGGATAATTGGTTAGCCACATGTAGGAGAATGAAACTGGATCCTCATCTCTCACCTTACACAAAAATCAACTCAAGATGGATTAAGACCTTAAATCTGAGACCTGAAACTATAAAAATTCTAGAAGATAACATTGGAAAAACCCTTCTAGGCATTGGCTTAGGCAAGGATTTTATAACCAAGAACCCAAAAGCAAATGCAATAAAAACAAAGGTAAATAGATGGGACTTAAAGAGCTTTTGCATGGCAAAAGGAAGAGTCAGCAGAGTAAACAGACAACCCACAAAGTGGGGAAACAAAATCTCACAACGTATACATCTGACAAAGGACTAATATCCAGAATCTACAATGAACTCAAACAAATCAACAAGAATAAAACGAACAATCCCATCAAAAAGTGGGCTAAGACATAAATAGACAATTCTCACAAGAAGATACACAAATGGCCAACAAACATATAGAAAAATGCTCAAAATCACTAATGATCAGGGAAATGCAAATCAAAACCACAACGTGATACCACCTTACTCCTGCAAGAATGGCCATAATCAAAAAAATAAAAAAATAGTAGATGTTGACACGGACGCGGCGAACAGGGACCACTTCTACACTGCTGGTAGGAATGTAAACTAGTACAACCACTATGGAAAACAGTGTGTAGATTCCTTAAAGAACTAAAAGTAGAACTACCATTCAATCCAGCAATCCCACTACTCAGTATCTACCTAGATGATATGAAGTCATTTATGAAAAAGATACTTGGACACACATGTGTATAGCAGTACAATTTGTAATTGCAAAAACACGGAACCAACCCAAATGCCCATCAGTCAATGAGTAGATAAAGAAACTGTGGTGTATATATACGATGGAATACTACTCAGCCATAAAAAGGAATGAATTAATGGCATTCGCAGCAACCTGGATGAGACTGGACACTATTATTCTAAGTGAAGTAACTCAGGAATGAAAAACAAAACATCTTATGTTCTCACTCATAAGGGGTAGCTAAGCTATGAGGATACGAAGGCATAAGAATGACACAATGGACCTTGGGGACTCAGGAGGAAAGGCTGGGAAGGGAGTGAGAGATAAAAGACTACAAATAGGGTGCAGTGTATGCTGCTAGGGTGATGGGTGCACCAAAATCTCATAAATCACCACTAAAGAACTTACTCATGTAACCAAATACCACCTGTTCCCCAATAACATATGGAAATAAAAAAAATAAAAAAAACCAGTATTGACAGTTTGAGAAGTCAATACAGTAGTATTTAAAAGCACAAATTCAAACATGATGGATTCAGATAAAGTCTCAACCACATACTATTGTATGAACTGAAACAAGTTTCTTCTCCAATAGATAAAATATCCTCATACATAAAATTCAAAGAATTATATTTTATAAGAATGCTATATCATAAGAATGTTTTGGAAAATATTGAAGGGTGCATGTGAATGATCTGGCACACAGTAAATGCTCACTAAATATAAGCTGTTATTTTTGTTGTAATTAAATGTACGCTTTTGCAAGTGTGATATCATGGACTCAACTTGCAATCAGTAGACTTGATTTTAATTATCAGGTAGACTTTAGAGTTTAACCGTAAGGTTCAGCTCTTTTGCTTGAGTAATAGTATTGAGTAATAGTAATACTACTGAGTAATAGAGCTGTCCCTATATATCATAGATATATTTATGAATATTAAATGAGATGACATGTAATCAGACTAAGACATTGTTGGTCCAACATTGTCAATGTTGGTGTTTGTTGAATCAGAAACCTCAATTATCTTGAAATAAACATTTTTTTCCAGTTGAAATTATTATCCTAGATTTCTGTTTCTGGAAAGATTATTAAAAACTTTAGAATAGTTTAGTAAATGTAACCAAATTTTTGTAAATGCATAAACATTGAGGTGGAGTTTTATTATCCTAGTAATTTAAAAGCTCAGGTTTCATTTTTTCCATAGTGACAGAAGATAAGGCTTTGGCCTGGAGTAGGTGGGGAACTTGAAGTAAGACCCTTTGTAAAGCTTGGGTCCCTTGGTGAGGACCTACACTGTTGGTGGAAGGAAGACCTATAATAAAATATATCACACAAATAAAAGAGAAGGAGGTTGCCCCTCTGGTTTTAACATCTAGTGAGAAGGAATTTATTTAGAAATAAAAATTCTGAGCCTATAAGTTGCTCAAGATTGTATTTGAACTAATATCTATTGGTTTGGAAACCGCCAAGTCAAAACATTTCATACATATGGCTATAGGGCTGATGATGACACCTGGAAAAAGCAAGAGTAATAGCAAATATTCTCAGGGAGAACATGCCTACCACTCAAGGGATTATCTCGGAAAAATAAAACCCAAAGTTGAGTAGGCATTATCCAGATGTAGTTGCAGGAGCAGCAGAGAGCGTTTCAGGCAGAAGGGAGGCCCGTTGAAGGCCTAGAGGTCAAAGAGCACGGAGTTAAGTGGAATTTAGTATGGGGTGACTGAAGTGTTCATTGTTAAGTGCTGGTGGTCTAAGATAAAACTAAAGAAATGAGTGGAAAAAAAAAAAGGAAAGAGGGAAGGTAAAAAGAGGGAGTAAATAATATGAAAATTAGAGCATCATTGTAGAAGATTTCAACATATGAGTTATAGGAGCCCCAGAAACAGAGAGGAGAAAAGCATTAGAGAGAACAATATTAAAGAAACAAATCAAGAAAATCTCCTAAAGCTGAAGGAGAAGATGAACTTACAGAAAGAATTGGCTCAACCTCCAGCCTGGGTGACAGAATGAGACTTCAACTCAAAAAAAAAAAGAAGAAAAAAGAATTGGCTCAACACAATAAATTAAAATTGACACTCACCAATGCATATTGTTGTTAAATTTCAAAATGCAAGGGAAGAATGGGTATGTATTTAAAAATATAGCTTTAAAATGTATAAAGCAAAATTGAAAAAAATTACTAGGAAAAATGAACAAATTTACAGTCTTCATAGTACAAGATTTTAATATACCTAATGAATAATAGATCAAAAATATAAAAATTAGAAGGGATATAGCATATTTGAACAATAGAATTAATAAGCTCGAAGTAATAGACATATATAGAATTGTGTCTAACATTAGTTAATACGTAAAGAAAATCTCAAGAAATACCTGAAAATCAGCACTATAAATATCATATCCTCAGATAACAATGAAATCAATAAATAGCAAAATTACAACTAAGAAAATCTTATGTATCTATACCTAAATAATTTATGGGTTAAAGAAGAACTCTTAATAGATATTAGAGAATATTTACATGCAAATAAAAATGAAAGCATTACACATCAAAAATGATGCCACTAAAGAAGTATGGACTGAAATCTGAAATCTTAAAATTAACATATTGGAAATAAAGAACTGACATAAATTAAATCAGCCTTTAATCCAAGAAGTTAAAATCAGGGCCGGGTGTAGTGGCTCATGCTTGTAATCCCAGCACTTTGGGAGGCCAAGATCACCTGAGGTCAGGAGTTCAAGACCAGCCTGGCTAACATGGCGAAACCCCATCTCTACTAAAAATGCAAAAATTAGCTGGGTGTGGTGGTACGTGCCTGTAATCCCAGCTACTCGGGAGGCTGAGGCAGGAGAATCACTTGAACCCAGGAGGTGGAGGCTGCAGTGAGCTGAGATCATGCCATTGCACTCCAGCTTAGGAGGAGTGCAACAAGAATGAAACTCCGTCTCAAAAAAAAAAAAAGTTTTAATCAGAAAACTGAGCAAATTCAAATAAAATAACAGATAGGAAAAGCGAATTGATTAACTGAAAACAAATTAAATCTATAGATGGGCTCACCTAAGTTAAAAATAATTTCTTTATAAAGATTAATAAAATAGACAAAGCTATGGTAACGTGAGTCAAGAAACACAGAATACAAAATAAAACCATTAGGAATAAAATAGAGGATATAACAACTTGTAGAATAGAGGTTAATAAATCACAAAAAATTAAGATCTTTATGCCAATAAATTTGGAAACTAAAAAAGTTGTTTTTAATTAAAAGGATTTTATAAAAAAATTATAAATTTCCAAAGCTGAGACAAGAAGGAATAGACAGAAAACCTGATTTAATTCAATATATCATTTTTAAAAATGAGACTTCAAGACCCACAGAACTTCACAAACCGAAAGTAAACCTTAATGAATAAAAACAAAAAAAAAAAACGAAAAATAATTAAGAGTTTGGGAGAGCCTAGGATGAAACTTAAACTTGACAGAAGATTCAAACTATATTAAAACATATGAAATAACTTCACTGAAAGAGTTGTGTTGAGAGGGGAAGCACTGACTTAGTAACTTTGGAAATGAGTGGAGACTGTAAGATAAAAGGCAAAAGGAACCATATATAATGAGGACTGTATTCTTTTTGGCAAAGTAGTTTACCATGAGGAGATATATTAACAACTCACAAATCACTATACATGCATACTGAAACTGAACAATTAAGTAAATGGATGGTGGCAGGTGGTATCCTGCTTTTTCACTGTTGAAGTGTCACAGACAAGCTAGGGGAGAAAGCCAGAATGATCTATGTGATAATGGATTAAAGGTGGAGATATTGATATGAACTCATTTATTTATGAACATATAATGAACATATAGATTAGTATACACAGGTATATTTCCTTGTTGTTGTTTTTAATCTGAGAGGACCTAGAAGCAATGGCACTCGGTAGCAATGAGCAGATCTAGTGCTCAGACACTGGTTTCTAATACTTTTCTTCAATAAAAGGAACCTGTGCACCTTGGAGAAATAGCTTACTTTAAAGCTGGGCAAGTAATATGCAAGATGAGCCTGGAGCTTCCTGTAGTATTAGAAAGCAAGGCAGTGCTAGACAAAAACCAAAAAGCCCTCACAGTTTTGGAGGCATGTCACAGGCACATAGGAGCCAACTAAAAGAACTCCCAATGGCGAAAGAAGAATTTGGGCAACAAAATAAAGTAGTATTGGGTTGTAATTCAAGGTATAAAATAAATATCCATGATCAATAGTGATATAAATAAATAAATAAGAAAGGACAGACAAATCTCCTGTGCAGAAACATTTCAAATACTTTATGCAGGTACTCTGCTCTCAAGGATGTAGGGCTTAACTCCCCACACCTTAAATACAGGCTGCACGTAATAATCTTTTTCCAAGGAGTACAGTATAGAAAGGCGAAAAGGAGTAATTTTACAGTGGAGAAACCTAACAAATACCAAGTGATCAAGGTTAACATCAACAGGGATAAGTCATGTTGCTTATATGTACCCTTGATATGACTGGATGAGAATCTTTCTTCAAAAAAAGCCATAGTTCCAGAGCAATCATGAGAAGAACATCAGATAAATCTCAAATGAGGGAAATAATACAAAATACCTGACCAGTGTTCCTCAAAACTGCCAACGTCATCAAATGTAAGGAAAATCGGATAAACTGTCACAGCCAAGAGGAATCTAAGGAGCTATGACAATTAAATGTAATTATGATATCCTGGAGTGGATTCTGCAAAAAGAAAAGGACATTAAGTAAAAACTAAGTAAATTTGAATAAAGTATGAACTTTATTTAATAATACCATATTGCTATTTGATATGGTTTGGATCTGTGTCCCTGCCCAAGTCTGAAGTACAACTGTGGTCCCCAGTGTTGGGGCCTGGTGTGAGGTGGGGCCTGGTGTGAGGTGATTGGATCATGGAGGTGTTTTTCAGGAGTGGTTTTGCACTGCCCCTTGCTGTTCTTGTGGTGGTGAGTGAGTTCTTATGAGGTCTGATTGGGGGTATGTAGCACCTCCCCGCTTGCTCTCTCTCTTGCTTCTGCTCCTGCCACGTAAGATGCCTCACTCCCCATTTGCCTTCTGTCATGATTGTAAGACTCCTGAGGCCTCCCCTGAAGCCAATCAGATGCCAGCATCATGCTTCTTATACAACCTACAGAACGATGAGCCAATTAAGCCTCTTTTCTTTATAAAGTATCCAGTCTCAGGTATTTCTTTATAGCTATGCGAGAATGAACTAATACACTATTGTTTCATTAGTTCTGTCAAACGTTGCATACTAATGGAAAATGTTGGGAAACTGGGTAGGAATTATACAGGAACTACCCATATTATCTTCACAACTTTCCTGTAAGTAAAAAATTATTCTAAAATAAAAAGTACATTTAAAAATATGTCAGTAATTAGAAATCTCTCATAGCATAATAAACTCAAAGGAGTTGACAATTCAGAAAATGGTGCTATGCAACTGCCTATCCATGGGGAGAAAAAGAAGATAAAACTGGAAACCTACTTCATACACAAAAAGAAAATCTAGGAGAATGAGAGACCTAGATGTGGGGACAAAAGGAATAATTTTATGACAAATAATCTTATTATAGTCCCTAGACTAGTGGTATCAGCATTCTAGGCGAATTTGCTAGAAATGCAAATTTGGGGGCTCAGTTCCAGACATATTGAATCAGAAACTCCATAGGTAGCATCCACCTATTCTAGTTTTAACAACCCCCTAGGAGACTGTCTTACATGTTGACATGTGAGGATCACTGGAATAGAGTAACCCTTCATAAAAAGATAAGGTAGACAAGGTATAAAGTGAAAGATTGATATAATGGCTGCACCAATATTTAAAATATAAAATATTTATCAAACCAGTCTTAGAAAGTTTTTTTTTGATTCCTATAACTGACCATAGATTAGCATATAAAATATTCAGAACAGGTTAACACAGAGCAGTGGTTCTTAATTGGGGTTGATTTTTGTTCCCCTGGGAATATTTTGTAATTTCTGGAGGCATTTTTGGTCATTAAAACAGGTTAGAGAACAGGTGCTGCCTTCATTTAGTTGGTAGGTGACAGGGATACTGCTAAACATCCTGTAACAGACAGCTCCACACAACAAAAAATTATCTAGCCCCAAATGTCAATAATACTGAGTTTGAGAAACTCTGGTATAGAAAATTTCTTCAAATCATCAAAGACAGAACAATCAATGGAGTAGTTTGTGCAGAAAAAACATTAAAATGACCAACATGCATATGAGAAGAGGCTTAAATTCATAGCAGGTAGGCAATTGAAAATATCACATCCCTCATTTCGGCAAATGAAAAACTGAGCCTTACAACGATATGTGTATTAATGGCCCATTTCTGCTGCAACAAATTACTAAATATGTGGTAGCTTAAAACAACACAAATGCATTACCTTATAGTTCTGGAGGTCAGAAGCCTAAAATCTCACTAGGCTGAAAGTGAAGGTGTCAGCAGGATTGACATCATGTGGAATGATGATCCTTTGCTACATTGTCAATATATCCCCTCCTCTGGACACTTGGATCTGCACCCCCAAACACCCCTGTGTCCTACGCACTTGATTCCCTTGAGCTCAGTGGCACCATAATCAATGAGACTAACCAGGCCTCAATTAAAAACATAGCCTACATTTTAAGATACATAAAATAAAAATGAAAAACAGGACTTAAGTATTCAAATATAGATATTCAGTATTTAGCTATTGGGGACAGGGAAATGTGTTGTACAAGAGAAAAATACATAGCTAATTTCTAAACCTGGTTTATTTGCTTTCCTTTTTTTTTTTTTTTTAACCATCCAAATAGTCATCAGGAAATCTCAGATCCAGCTTTCACTTTTTATGATTTTATGTTAATCACTTATGTGTTCTGGGATTCAGTTTCTTCACCTATAAAATGATGGCACTAAATTAATAACATCTTTAAGGGCTTTCAAGCTTTAAAATTCTGGTCTTCTCTGTTTTCTTTAAATTTGTAATCTATAAAGTCTCATTGCTAAGTGTGTTGCTGTTACTCTCTAGTTTTATCTACTAGATTCAAAAGAATTGCTTTAAAGTTAACTCACTGAGCTCTTAATTAGTTTTTAAAAGAACATTCAAATACTTAAAGGTACTTAAAGACTTTTAACAGCAGTAATATTACCAAACTATCACCAGAGATCTATCGACAGGGTGCTTAAAAATTTAATTTTAAGTAATGGGGGGAAAAACAGTGCCCTACTCTCCTTTCCAACACTTCAGCATTTTAATGTTAAAAGACCAGCCTTACCAACATGGAGAAACCCCGTCTCTACTAAAAATACAAATTAGCCGAGCGTGGTGGTACATGCCTGTAATCTCAGCTACTCGGGAGGCTGAAGCAGGGGAATTGCTAGAACCCGAGAGGCAGAGGTTGCAGTGGGCCGAGATCTCGCTATTGCATTCCAGCCTGGTCAACAGGAGCGAAACTCCATCTCAGAAAAAAAAAAAAAAAAAAAAAAAAAAGGCCAGGCACGGTGGCTCATGCCTGTAATCCCAGCACTTTGGGAGGCCGAGGAGAGCAGATCACAAGGTCAGGGGTTCAAGACCAGCCTGGCCAACATAGTGAAACCCCGTCTCCACTAAAGATACAAAAAATTAGCTGGGCATGGTGGTGCGTACCTGTAATCCCAGCTGCTCAGGAGGCTGAGGCAGGAGAATCGCTTGAACCCAGCAGGCAGAGGTTGCAGGGAGCCAAGATCATGCCATCACACTCCAGCCTGGGTGACAGGCTAAAAATAAAAAGATAGGCTGATCACTTGCTCTCTTGGCCTAGTAGTAATCCCAATGTTATTAAGATGGTCGGTATCATAGCAGCACAGGGGCTTTTGACTTCCTCCCATCCTTTCCTCTGTGTGAACACGTACACTCGTGGTCATTCTTTACATTATATAAATTCATTCATCCTCAGCCTGGGCTAGGGGTTCTACAGCACAGTACAGTTTACAAAGGCTTTCCATCTTTCTTAGGAAATGCATCTTTCTTAGCAACATGCATAAACTGTCTGCAAGCAAGGGGGTTGGTGTAACAGATAAGAATATCCTGCCAAAGACAGGAGACAAAAATTGTTTTCAACCATGTTCTCAAAGAACTTACATTGCTTATTTCAATTTATCTTCGAAATAACTTTATAAAGTTTTACATTATGATGTCCATTCACTGATCAGAAAACTGAGGCTTATGATGAGGGGCTAGGTATCTTGCCTAGGGTTACACAATTGGAACAGCCACGATTTAGACTCCAAATTCACATTTTTTCACTTGATTGTAATACCTCTCCTACCAGCAAACATGAAATATAATGGTAAACAAAATCTTGATGAGTTAAAGAAATTACAAATTGTAGAGTTGTTCTTTTTTTAAATTTTGTTTTTATTTTCTCAAGGCAAATTTTCTATTTGGAGCTTGTTAGGGATATTGAGAGAAAATACCATACTAACTAACTAATTGACATGTGTTTACTTCAAGTCGGCAGCTTTTCTTTAATTAATTTATTAAAAACATACTGACAGTACTGTTTTACCATGTGTTTGTTATTATCAAAAATAATTCAGATACTTTTAGAAAGTTATTTTACATGCCATTTAGCTATTTTCATGGAAATGAGTCACATTTGAGGAGGTCAGTTGTCATTTGAGTGAGAAAATCAAATACAGAATTGCTAACAGAAGAGAAAGAAGAAAAGCAAATTTCAGGCAATCAGGGCACAGTGAATCTTGTTTACACATATTTTGGGGGGATAAACTTGATAAGCTGTCAGCTGGCAGAGAAGGCTGTCTGGGCATTCTGTCCTTGAGCAAGCTGACTAGTGGAATCAAAGAAAGCAATTTTAGTTGGTAGTGGACTCAGCCTGCAAAAGTGTAGTTGAGAAGTATAAGTGGGTAGTCTGCCTCTGAGTAACCACAGTGGGAATGCATCCACCTGCACCTCCGCCTTGGTTAGAGTTGATCTGCACCATTCCCCTCAGAAGTAATTCTTAGTACTTGCCTGTATTCTTTCTACACAGGCACAAGGATGTCTAAGTGGGAGGTTCCTGGAAGTTTTCCCTCTTAGGGAAATTTGAGATTAGTCTTAAAATGCAGGCAAAATGAGAAGAATGGAATGGTGGCATGGATCACCATTTTAGAGATGTGAATAGTGTGACAGGATGACAGAAAACTACACGCATAAGCAAGAGGGAACACAATAGAATGCCTAACTGGTTTAGGAGCCTTCAAACCAAGGAAGGCCTTGTAGAACTCACCCACGTGTTAAGATAGTGTCTGGTGGGCAATGTGTGGCCATCACAGATTTTTCAGCAAGTTTTAGCATGTGTAGATTGGTACTTCAGAAAGTGTGGAGGCAGAGGTCAGAGGTGAGCTGTTGCAGCAGCTCACAGGTGGAGTGGTTTTTGTTTTCATCAGGGACTGCCTGGTGGTATCTCACATTTCATTCAGCTTTAAAACACACAACATTTTAAGTACGTTTTAAAATAACATCAAGCTTTAGATGTCAAAGTCTTGTGAGAGCTGAGGATGACTTCTTTTCAACTGCCTTATATTGTAAAAATTTACCCAAATATTTAAATTTTGTTTGAATTTTTAATTCAGTATGTGAAAATTCAATTTGGTATTTTAAAGACAATGACTCTTAGGCCTTAAAATTTGACAATGATTTTTCATTTAGAGGAGCCAAAGCGGTATCCCAAACAAGTGTTTGCAAGCCTTCTGTTTGATACTAAAAACAGCATTTCCAAATACACAAGAAATCCTAGGGGCTCCTTTGCCACATTCTCCATCCAGAAGCTGTATTTTGTGTAGACTTACAGGAAAGGAGCAAATTATCTCGCATATGGGTTGCTACCCTGCCTTCTAAGTGGTCTTCCTGTCTGACGTCCTGTCCTACAGCCCTCTGTGCTTAAACCAGTGTGACTTTCTGGTTGAAATACTTCGAAATCTTCCCATAGTCTTCAGGAGAAAGCCTGAACTTCTTAGTGTTGCCTACACGGGTTTTAATTATACGAGTATAGTGTGCTTTTCTTTCCATATCCTTAGCCTTGAAGACCACCTACATTTTGTTTTTTACCCATGTTTACCTTACCTCCAAACATGTTATCAAACATTGCATGATATTTTACCTCCAGGCTTTTCCAAATTCTTCTTCCTTAACCCTAAACTATCTTTTCCTAAAAAATATTTCATTCCTCCTCTCTATACTCAACCCCACTTAACAACCAATTGCATACAGACATCTCTTTTATCAGGCTGCTTTTCTCACTACTATTTCACAAAACCCAAAGAGAGCAGTGTCTGGGAGGAAGTGGAGCAAGACAGCTGAATAGAACCCTCCAGGGATTGTGCCCCCTCCCCAGGAACATCAAATTGAACAACTATTCACACAAGGAAGCACCTTCATAAAAACCAAAAATCAGGTAAGCAGTCACAGTACCTGGTTTTAACTTCATATCACTGAGGGTAGGAAGGACAGTCTTCACTTGCCAACACCACCCCTCCCCCACCCCCCAGCAGCAGCCACATGGTGAGGAAAGAGAATCTGCATTTGAGGGAGGAAAAGTGCAGTGATTGTGGGACTCTGCACTGGAACTCAGTGCTGCCTGTCACAGTGGAAAGCAACACAGGGCAGAATCCAACTGGCACCCACAGAGGAAGTATTTAAATCAGCCCTCACGAGAGGCAAATCATCCATCCCTGTGTTTGGAACCTGAGTTCTGATAAGCCCTGACACCTCAGGCTGAAGCACTCTGAGGTCCTAAATGAACTTGAAAGGCAGATTAGGCCAAAAGGAATGCAATTCCTGGGCAAATCCTGGTGCTGTGCTGTTCTTGGAGCTATTGGACTTGGGGTGCACGTGGCTTAGTGAGACACCAGCTGGGGTTGCCAAGGGAGTGTTTGTGTCACCCTCCCCCAACCCCAGGCAGTACAGATTGTAGCTCCAAAAGAAACTCCTTGCTTCTGCTTGAGGAGAGGAGAGGGAAGAGTAAAGAGGACTTTGTCTTGCACCTTGGATACCAGCTCAGCCACAGTAAAAAAAAAAAAAAAAAAAAAAGGGTAGCAGGCAGAGTTTTGAGGTCCCCATTCCAGGCCCTAGCTCCACACCATGGGCCAGAGGGAAACTCAGTGCCTTGATGAAAAGGACCCAATCCTGGCAGGATCTATCACCTGCTGACTGAAGAGCCCTTGGGCCTTGAGTAAACATCAGCAATAGTCAGGTAGTACTTATTGTGGGCCTTGGGTGAGACTCAGTGTGATGCTGGCTTCAGATATGTCCCGGCACATTTCCAGCTCTGGTGATCATTGCAGGAGAGACTCTTCCTTGAGGAAAGGAGAGGGAAGAATAAAGGGGATTTTGTCTTGCAGCCTGGGTACCAGTTCAGCCACAGTGGGGCAGAACACCAAACAGACTCCTGAACCCCCAGTTCCAGGCTTTGGCTCCTGGATGGCATTTCTAGACCTGGCCTGGGCCAGAGGGAGCCCATTGCCCTAAAGGGAGAGCCCAGGCCTGGCAGCATTTACCATAAGCTGACTGAAGAGCACTTGAGCCTTGAGTGAACATCAGCAGTACTTGCCATGGGCCTGGGGCAGTTGTAGTCATGGGGTGAGACTCATTTCACTTGACGAAAAGAAAAGGGAAGAATGGGAAGGAATTTGTTTTACAGCTTGAATGCTAGCTCAGCAGCAGTAGAATAGAGCACCAAGAAGATTCTTAAGGTTTCTAACTCAAGGACCTGACTTCTGGACAGCATTTGTGTAGCTGCTCTGGGATGAGGAGATAGAGAGATAGATATAGAGATAGAGCGAGAGAGAGAGAGAGAGAGAGAGACACTCCATTTATTTGGGGGAAATAAGAGAAGAGATTGTCTGGTAATATGGGGAATTCTCTCAGATTATACCCAAGACCACCAGGTGGTACTTCTGTGAGTTTGAAAGAGACTCAGTGTTAATGGGTATGGCTAAAGTCACCAAAAACCAAAGACTTACATCACAAGACTCAATTCCCTTTGAATACTTGGAAAGCCTTCCCAGGAAGGATGGGTACAAACAAGCCCAGACTCTGAAGACTACAATAAATACTTAACTCTTCAATGCCCAGACATTGACAAACATCCACAAGCATCGAGACCTCCCCAAAAGAATAAAATAAGGCATCAGTGACTAATGCTGGATTGACAGAGATATGTGACCATTCAGACAGAATTCAAAATACCTTTTTTGAGGAAGCTCAATGAAGTTCAAGATAACACAGAGAAGTAATTTAGAATCCTATCAGATAAATTTAACAAAGGGATTGAAATAATTTTAAAAATCGAACAGAAATTCTGGACCTAAAATATTCAATTGGTGTACTAAAGAATGCATCAGAGTCTCTCAATAGCCGAATTACTCAAGCAGAAGAATTAGTGAGGTTGAAGACATGCTATTTGAAAATAGATTCAGAGGAAACAAAATAAAAAAAATAAAGCATTGCTATAAGACCTAAAATATAACCTCAAAAGGGCAAATTTAAGAATTATTGGCTTTTAAAGAGGTCATTCAGAGATCAGAGTAGAAAGTTCATTCAAAAAGATATTAACAGATAAGTTTATAAATCTAGAGAGATATATCAATATTTAAGTACAAAAAGGTTACAGAACACCAAACAGATTTAACCCAAATAAGACAATATCAAGACATTTAATAATCAAACTCCCAAAAGACATTTAGTAGCCAAACTCCCAAAGGACAAGAATAAAAAAAAGATCCTAAAAGCAGCAAGAGAAGAGAAACAAATAGCATACAAAGACGATCCAATATGTATGGCAGCAGATGCCTCAGTGGAAATCTTACAGGCCAAGAGAGAGTGACATGACATGTTTAAAGTGCTGAAGGAAAAACAAACAAAAATCTTCTATTCTGGAATAGCATATCCAGTGAAAATATCCTTTAAATATTAGGAAGAAATAACAGCCCCCCTCCAGACAAACAAAAGCTGAGGGGGTTTCATCAATATCAAAACTTTCATATAAGAAATGCTAAAGAAAGTTTTACAATCTGAAAGAAAAGGACGGTAACAAGCAATAAGAAACCTTCTAATACAAAACTCACCAATAATAGTATGCACACAGAAAACACAGAATATTATATTACTGTAATTTTGGTGTGTAAACTATACATATTTCTTCCCTTGATTAAAGATGATACAAGTTCTATGAACTTCCTGACAGCATGGAAATCCTATTTAGGATCTGCCCTCACCTCCCCTCCAGGCCACAAGTTCAATGACCAGGATTAAGTTACAACAGAATCCAGTTGGAGTCACATTGGGTCTGAGAAGGGAGTAAAAAGACTATATTCCACAAGAGTTGCAGAACATAGCCAACTTCTACTGGTAGGAGCCTGGAACATATGTAAGGGACTGTTTGTTTGTTTGTTTGTTTGTTTTTGTTTTTGTTTGTTTTTTGAGTGTGCTGGATCCAAGAGGCAAGAATAGCAAAATCTTTAATATGGTGCTGGTGTCTCAAATAGGTAGAATACCTTGTTCTATGAACCAAGGAATGGAAGCAGAAGTACATTTCTCACTGTCACTCTCAGTAATTCCCTTAGGGGAATTTATGTTTCCTGTACCCCAAATTCTGGAATCTTAAATATGTTAGTTACCAAGGAGAAACACTTCCAACTAGGAAGATACAGGAAGACTCCCACTGAAGTACAAGCTATGGCTAACAGCCGGTTACTTCAAGTTCTTCTTGGAAAGTGAAGAACAGAAAATAAGAAGAGTCATCATCTTAGAAAGGATAATTAATAATGATTATCAGAAGGAGAAAGGGATACTGTTATAATGGGGAAAGGGAAAATATATTTGGTACTCAGTGCACTTGGGCACCTTTCAGCTATACCCTTGCCAAATTTTCTTGGCAAATGAACAAGTGTAACAGCCTTGGCCTAAGAAGCCTGTGTGACCAGGGACTCAGGTTTCTTAGGCATGTGGGGGTGGATCACGCCACAAGGTAAACCACTGAGACAAGCGGATGTGTTAGTTGAGGATGAAGGGAATCCAGAATGAAAGTAAAGGAGAGACACACAATGAGTGTCAGTTGTGACTTCAAGACCAACTATAGTAGCAAGGGCCATGTATTTTCCTGTTAATCTTCTTTAAGTTTCCCCTAGAAAGAGAGGCTTACTGGGATTCTTCAGTAACTGTTCCCAGAATTGACTTGAAGAATTATATCCTCGTATTGCAAGGGGTGGACTATAGAGGACACCCAGATTATCAGGACTGAAGGATTTATTTTCCCAAATGCTGGGAGTGCTTCCAGCAGACAGCTCTTATGTATTAGCCTTCTTTGGAAAGTGCCTAAACTCAAGAGAGCTGCTTTGCCCAGGGTTATAGCTGGTGCCCTGGCTTGCCTTTGGGACTTCTTGAAAAGTTGGGAATTCACATTTCTCTGGTCAGCTCCAGTGATGAGGACTGAGTTTTTTGTTTGACCACAGATACCTGAACTTGGATTTTACATTGGTCAAAAGCACATGTCCTCCCACCATACTCCCCCATCCTCGAAGAGTATTCCTCATGTTTTTTTAGCTCATCACTAGTCCTCCCAAATCAGTTCTCTCTAGGTCTCATCACGATCACCTACATCTGGGATCTCCTTTTGTGGTTCAGCCTGCTTTACTTACTTATCTTCTGTTACTACTTTGATCTTACAACTGGGACTTGGGTAGGTAAGCCAAAAATAAAACTCTAAGGCCCCCAACCATCTGAATGGACCCCTTCTTTCAGGCAAGGACATTCCAAAGTTAACCTGAAAATCTTAGTTCAGACCATCATGGGAAGGGGGGTCAGATATGCCTCATTATACCCTCCTCCTTTTTGTAATTCAGGGAAAGCTGAACAGTGTTAACATCAACACAGACTTTAAGTCTAATAAAAACATTTACAATCTCTTCTCTCTGAAGCCTGATACCTGGAGGCTTCATCTGCATGATAAAACCTAGGTCTTCAAAACCACTTATTCTAAACCAGACATTCCTTTCTGTTGATAATAACGCTTTCAACCAAATGCCAATCAGAAAATTTTGAAATCTACCTATGACCTGGAAACCCCAACTTAGAGTTGTCCCACACTTCCAGATCAAACCAGTGTAAATTTTACATGAATTGACTGATGTATTATGTCTCCCTAAGTTGTATAAAAACAAGCTATTCCCCAGCCATCTTAGGCACATGTCAGAATCTCCTGAGGCTGTATCTTGGATGTGTCCTTAACCTCACCAAAATAAACTTTCTAAATTGATTGAGACCTGTCTCAGATACTTTTGGGTTCACAGGTGTAAGTGGAGTGAAGACTGACTTCCTTTCTCTCACAGGCCATATGAATCTTGGTATCTAGGATGAGGCTGGGGAGGTGTTTTCACATGAGAACTAGGGCATGTCTCCCTAAGAAATTGGCCATCTCCAGGAATCCCAAAGAAATAACCTTTGCTGTATGGTGATTTGCAGACCAATAGTGTTAAGGAGAGAAGATACATCCCTCTAAGCTGTAATCATCACAAAGCAAGCTATAATTTTAGAAACTGATAGTTGGAAGGTATTATGTGTTAACAATTACAGTCAGGAAACTGGTGGTCAGAATGGAATGAAAGCAAAGAAGAATTAGTTAGAAGACAAATGGGATTTAGGTGGGATTTGGACTCTGCAGAAAATCTCATGGCTGCCAGATTCAGCTAGAAAAGCTCATTATCAGTGTTTAACTTATTTTTTCTAATGCTAGTATATGTCCCCTAGTTTCCTTTGTAGTCACACCTTGAAGTGGAAGTGCCCTTTTTTTTGTTTGAGATGGAGTCTCGCTCTGTCGCCCAGGCTGGAGTGCGGTGGCACCATCTTGGCTCACTGCCAGCTCTGCCTCCTGGGTTCACGCCATTCTCCTGCCTCAGCCTCCTGAGTAGCTGGGACTACAGGCGCCCACCACCAAACCCAGCTAATTTTTTTTTTTTTTTGTATTTTTTTAGTGGAGACAGGGTTTCACCGTGTTAGCCAGGATGGTCTCGATCTCCTGACCTTGTGATCCGCCTGCCTCGGCCTCCCAAAGTGCTGGAATTACAGGCGTGAGCCACCACGCTCGGCCAAAAGTGCCCTTTAAGTCAACAGTCTCACCTTTCAGGGCAGGCAGATATGAGATATTACAAATATATTGTAACTCTGTGGAATTAAAGTTGACTTCAGAATACAAACTTCATGTACCAAAGTAGCATTAAGTTTTCTCTCTTCAGAAATGCAAATCAAAACCACAATGAGATACCATCTCACACTGGCCGGAATGGTTATTATTAAAAAGACAGACATGTATGTGGGACTTTCATTTATCAGACCCCAGGAACTCAAGCTTTCATGAGCCTCTGGGTAGACAAGTACCAGCCCTAATCCTTGGGATGGATGGAGTATCACAGGGAGCAGGCAGCCCAGCTATACAACCTGGTGCAGGGTGGTGAGTTTCCTCACCTTTAAGTGTATGGACCATCAGGTTCTGGAAAAAAGACAAGTGCTATGTGTGTTCTACATCAACTTTATGGTGTTGGAGTGGAAAAATTGAGAATTAAATACCAGACCATCAGGACTCCATCTAAAAAAATTGAAATTAGCACCATTGCAAGTAATTACCACCTTGAAGTTAATCCCAGTGATGCTGGAAATATTGATGAGGTAGTAATTCAGAAGATGTTGAAAACAGTGGCTCAGTCACAGCAACTTGAAACAAACTGTCAGATATTTTAAAATGGTATTATTGACAGAAGTTGACAAACTCATCAAAGATGCTCAACATGCCTTGTAAAGAACCATGGGAAAGTATATGTCCACCTACAGATTGATCTTGTGCCACAGTTCTACATCTAATGTGATACTACCTATTTGTAGTAGGTGCTTGGCAGTTGGTGTGCCTGCTCCCAGCATTGGAGATATTTACCATGTGTTATTTACTGTGTACAACAAGGAAGATCTGAATCTTCCTTCACAACTGACTCATAGACTTGCAGAAAAGTCCTGCAGAAACCTCACAAAAGCCCTGCTTATGTGTGAAGTAGGATATCACTAGAGACCTCATGGACATTAAAAGGTTGATAAGAAAATATTATAAATAAGTCTAATCATATAAATTTGACAATTTAGATGAAATAGAGATTCCTTAAAAGCCACAAACTGCTGAACTCACTGAGAATATATATATAATATATAATTAATAAGTATATGTGGGTGTAACTTATATATTAAACCATTTCTATTGAAGAAATTGCATTACTAGTAAAGAGAAAAATCAGAAAGTCCTGAAAAAGAAAACTTTCTGTTCAGATGGTTTCACTGGCAGTGTAGAAAAGGCAAAATCTGCAAGATTGGTAAAGAAAAATTCCCTAGAGAAACCTGAGAAAAACAAGCAATGGGGAAAGGATTCCCTATTTAATAAATGGTGCTGGGAAAACTGGCTAGCCATATGTAGAAAGCTGAAACTGGATCCCTTCCTTACACCTTATACAAAAATTAATTCAAGATGGATTAAAGACTTAAACATTAGACCTAAAACCATAAAAACTCTAGAAGAAAACCTAGGCATTACCATTCAGGACATAGGCATGGGCAAGGACTTCATGTCCAAAACACCAAAAGCAATGGCAACAAAAGCCAAAATTGACAAATGGGATCTAATTAAACTAAAGAGCTTCTGCACAGCAAAAGAACTACCATCAGAGTGAACAGGCAACCTACAGAATGGGAGAAAATTTTCGCAACCTACTCATCTGACAAAGGGCTAATATCCAGAATCTACAATGAACTCAAACAAATTTACAAGAAAAAAACAAACAACCCCATCGAAAAGTGGGTGAAGGATATGGACAGACACTTCTCAAAAGAAGACATTTATGCAGCCAACAGACACATGAAAAACTGCTCATCATCACTGGCCATCAGAGAAATGCAAATCAAAACCACAATGAGATACCATCTCACACCAGTTAGAATGGCAATCATTAAAAAGTCAGGAAACAACAGGTGCTGGAGAGGATGTGGAGAAATAGGAACACTTTTACACTGTTGGTGGGACTGTAAACTAGTTCAACCATTGTGGAAGTCAGTGTGGCGATTCCTCAAGGATCTAGAACTAGAAATACCATTTGACCCAGCCATCCCATTACTGGGTATATACCCAAAGGATTATAAATCATGCTGCTATAAAGACGCATGCACACGTATGTTTATTGCGGCACTATTCACAATAGCAAAGACTTGGAACCAACCCAAATGTCCAACAATGATAGACTGGATTAAGAAAATGTGGCACATATACACCATGGAATACTATGCAGCCATAAAAAATGATGAGTTCATGTCCTTTGTAGGGACATGGATGAAATTGGAAATCATCATTCTCAGTAAACTATCATAAGAACAAAAAACCAAACACCGCATATTCTCACTCATAGGTGGGAATTGAACAATGAGAACACCTGGACACAGGAAGGGGAACATCACACTCTGGGGACTGTTGTGGGGTGGGGGGAAGGGGGAGGGACAGCATTAGGAGATATACCTAATGCTAAATGATGAGTTAATGGGTGCAGCGCACCAGCATGGCACATGTATACATATGTAACTAACCTGCACATTGTGCACCTGTACCCTAAAACTTAAAGTATAATAATAATAAAATAAAAAAAAAAAAGAAAATCCCCTAGGCTAGGCGAACTTTTCTTTATTACTTGGTCTACCTCTAAGATTTATCCAGTCAGGCTTTACAGTGCTGTAGTTACAGGAGAAGACCTGGAATGCTGGTCCCTGGTGGAGTAAAGGAAGGATCTGTCCACCCAGAGAGCTTAGCCCTTTTTATAGTCCATACTATGAATACTGAGGACCTTGGAATTCCTTTCTCAAGTGAGCCTGAGCTTGCTTCCAGGGTCTCCATGGGTCTCCTTCTGAGTTCATCCCTATACTCATGAGTTGTCCTCAGAAAGTGTAAACAGAGCTTGGACAGGGTTAGAGGTGTTCACACAAACATGCAGGAAGACCTGTGCAGGGCAGAAGGGAGAAGAGAGTGAGAGGAGGGAGACCCAGGCCTCAGCTGGGAGCCAGGGACTGAAGACTGGCTCTCCTCATTAGACCCTTATGTTCTAGTGGGAAATTCCATGGGGTTTGAGAATTCTAAACTTGAACTTGAAAGTCATAAAGGCATATTTTTTAGGGTAGGAAGAGAAAATGCATTTTATTCAGTCATTTGTTAACTTGATGAATGGCTTTTAAATATCTAGGCATAGGGTAAATTGTATTCATTTGTACTCTTGTCTTGGGTCCCACAATGTAAGCACCAGGATGGGTTGGTGAGGGGGCTTTGTTTACTAACAAATTTTGAGCTCCTAGAATAGTCCCTGGCACAGTGGGCACTCAATAATAATTTTGAATGAATGTGTAGATGAATGAATGAGTTTAATCTTCCTATGATCCCAAGAAGAATTCCAGATATAAAGAAAGTGGCCTAGTTGAGGGTGAAGAATGGGAGGAGGGAGAGGATCAGAAAAAATAACTATTGGGTACCAGGCTTACTACCTGGGTAACGAAATAATCTGTACAACAATACCCCCTACCCATGATGCGAGTTTACCTATATAGCAAACCTGCTCATATATCCCTAGACCTAAAATACAAGTTTTTTTTAAATAAGAAAGAAAGTGATACGTGGACATAGAGTGTAGAATAATAGTCATTGGAGACTCAGAAGGTTGAGAGGAGAGAAGAGAGGTGAGGGTTGAGAAATTACTTAATGGGTACAATGTACACTATTTCACCTATAAATATGTTCACATAACAAAACTGCCTTTTTACTCCTTGAATTTATACAAATTATTTAAAAGGCAAATATAAGCATACTTTGTTAAAAAAAGTGGTAATAAGAAGTTACTGACACTTGATAGAAGAATGAATATATAAAGGATGACTTGAGAAGGAAAATCCTTTAGGGTGTTAGACATAAGGAATACGCTCTTATTTGCTCTGATGGACCGTGTAAAACTTAAATCTATGAGGCCATCTCAGAAGAGCCACCTGGGCCCCAGTGGACTGTCACAAGCTGTGTTTCAGGAATACCAATCTTAGTCATTTCCTTGGAACTTGTTAAACCTCTGCCATGAGCCCCAACCTTGAAGTGATGCAGCAGTGACTCAGACAGCCTCCCTCCCCTCCAGGACTTTATTCAGTATCTGCCTTGTTTGCCAATGAGAGGCTGATTCTCAAAAGAAACTTTGGCTCAAATACGATACCTGAACAAAGAATCTCAGCATTGAAATAACCAATGGTATTCTTAGAAGAAAATAAATTTGAGAACGTAATGTAAGAAGTTGTAGTAGAACATGTTTGTCTCATGCCGATAAAACTTCTCCATTTACCATTTGAATCTAATTGAAACAGCATTTTCAAAAAATCCAAACTAGTTATGTGCCTGTAACACACAGTCATGGTTATTACTCAATTTCAAGATGAATTATTTTCAACCATTCACTATATCAAGGGGAAAATGCAGCCAACAAGCAATTTAATTATTTAAAAGAACATTGGAGCAACTAAACTTTTTCTACAATTACCACATGAGTAAAACAGAAGGACAGAAAGTAATGTGTTAACTGTTTGCCATTAAAATGGCTCATTGAGTCTCTAGCAATCATATGGTACAAATAGGACATTTATATAACATGCAAATACAGTGCCCAGAAAAAAATCAGCGGCAAACTTTCACACAGCTCATTGACTTATGGTCTTTAATGAGGAAGCCACAATGGAGCAATTATTTCACTGATAACACATTTATTATCGCTGTAATTTCCTCCTTAGCTCTGTTAACTGTATTATTAAATAAATAGCAATACTCATGATTTCTTTTAAAATGCAACTAACTGCTATGTAAAGAACAGTGAAATACGATATATTTATAAAAAATGAATATTTGTTCACATTGTTTTTGAGTTAAAAAATCTGTCCCTTAAATAAGACAAGCAGACACAAGATACTGAAACCTGACATAAAAATAAGTTTTTATGTATATATTTACCCAATGTGCACAGCACAGAGCTATAGAATTGCTATTATTGATTATTCAGCAAAATAACATCTTTTGCCTTGATTACATGTTTATAAAGGAAAATTGAAAAACTCATGTAGATTACAAAGCTATTACCATAACCATTCTACTATCAACATAGAACTATGAAAAATGCAATTTACAAAGTGCTAAGTACACTTGTACACTGTACCCTATTATACTTGTATTAAAGTTATTGGAGAAAACAAAAGAAAAATTATTCTAAAATTGGAAAAAGGAAAGAAAAATTTCCATAAAAATAAAATTTTGATATGTAAATGGGATTAGTAGCATAGTAAGTTAATAATTTTCCAATTTTAATTATTATCCAGAGTTTGCTCTTCAGTTGACTATATGCTTTCTGTGTGTGTATGTGTGTGTGGTTTATTGCTATAGCATTGTATGTATACAATCATCATTATATATCCTTAACAGACATAGAAATACTAGAAGAACGTAATCACTTTTTCTTATGTTCGGCTTCCTTAACTTATCTTTAAATATGCCCATGCCATTTTTAAATTTATGTTATTATCATTTTTATCTCTAATATATCTTTTTTCTTCTTTTGTTTTTTTGACAGGATCTTGCTATGTTGCCCAGGTTGGAGTGGAGTGGCACAATCTTGGTTCACTGCAACCTCCACCTCCTGGGCTCAAGTGATCCTCCCAACTGAGCCTCTCAAATAGCCAGGACTACAGGCATATGCCACCATGCTTGGCTAATTTTGTATTTTTTTGTAGAGACAGGGTTTCTCCATGTCACCCAGTCTGGTCTCAAACTCCTGGGCTCAAGTGATCCACCCACCTTCACCTTCCAAAGTGCTGGGATTACAGGCATAAGCCACCATGCCTGGACTATTTTTATCTCTAACATTTCTTTATTTTTCTCATAGTCTTCCTTTTATTGCAACCATTTGCAATATAATCAAAGCACTATTTTTGCTTTTTATCACCTATGGATATTAATTCTTTTTATGTTTTCTTCTATTCGGAGTATTGCCTCTTTTTCTTCTGTTTTTTTCTCTGTTTTTTGAATTTTTTCTCTGACCTTCATGTTAAATACTTTCTCAAATGCTTAATCATCCTAGGCTCTTAGGAACATACATCAAGTTGATATTTGGCAACTCGCCATGTGATTTTGTCTGTGGGGCATACGGTGTGGTAGTCATGATGGTGGTGGGGCAGTAGTGCCTGTCAACTGATACACTTCATTGTAGATTGATCAGAAGGAAACCCAGGCCATTTATTTGTGGGATTGCCAAAGGTCAATTGCTGTCAGTCTTGGATTCTTTCACCTCCCATTCAAGTTTGCTGTTATAAAGCTGACTTTGGGGTTTAGGATTTGAATAGAGAGAGAGAGCTGGGGACTCAATTTTCAGCAGACAGATTTTCTCTTAATCCGTTATTTTCAGTATCGGAACGTCACCCCCAGCCTTCCTTGTACCTCGTATTCTCAAGGCCCATTGCTTTTTCAGTTAAGACCTTGGGAGAGTAAACATCCAGGCTTCTTCCAGAGTGGAGGAGGGACAGGTCCTTGGGGTTCTAGGAAAGACAAGGAGATCTAGATTTCTCACTGCTCCTTAATCAAACTTTCAAGTACGTTTTCTGTTTTTCTGTTCCCTCTGACTTTCCTGACTTCAGAAGTACCTGATGTAATAAATATGTGTGTATCTGAGGGTGAGATGGGGCTATGGCGAGAGTTATCTTGCTTATTTTTGGCAATTCATACCCAACCACCACCAGCAGCTCACATGTTATTGTGTCTTCTCTATTATGTCAGTTAAATTACTTTCTACTTTTATTTATCCTCCATTCTACTTTTCCCATTCTCTCTCTCTTATTTTATGGATTTCTTGCACTTTAATGGGATATAGAAATCTCAGAAATAGTTATAGTAATAGTGGTAGTATGCTATTTCTAAAAGCTGAATAGGGAGTGATGAGAAATCAGGAAAAATCAACAAAGAAGGGCGGTGGATTGGATGGTCTGATGGCCTGTGCCATCAGATCTCTTTAAATAAAGAGATTTTCCTTGTGGGGGTTTGTGAAAAGGGAGGATAAATAATCCAGCAATAAGCATTAAGAACAGCTAACCCTCTTCCAGGCCCTGCAGTACTTGGGTTGTGAGCAAAAGAAGCAGCTATCACTAAGAGGGTTACCAAAGAAACAATCTCCTTGAGGTGGGCCAGGTGCCAATGAGCTCTGGAGGTGAAGGAAATTCAATAAAAAAGAGGCTGAGGAAGTTGGGAATTTTGTCAATGCCACGTGAAGTGTTCCAGAAGGCATAATGGAAAGGCTTGGGAGCTTGGTAAAGAGTAAAAATTTGGCTTAGGTTATGAACGTTCAGAGTCCTGTGAGGAAAATATCCTAGTGCTAATGGATGACTTGAGTTGTTTGGACAACCAGCAGTGACCTAGATAGTGATGGGTGTAAGAATTAAAGGGCTTGTCCTGGTGGTTCATGGAAAAGATGAGTGATCACTTTTAACAAGAGGAGGCTTCTCAGGACTGGCCTTTTGTGTGATTGGGATTGGTGAGACAGGTGATGGTGTGGCTACAGGGACTAAGCCAAGAGTATCAGGGGCCCGGGGTGGAATCTCTCATGTTTAGGAGCATATTGGGCTCTATGGCCTTCTTTATAGATTGAAGTAAATGATGTGGTTTACCCAAGCTCACCACGAACTCTAAGGCCTCCATCCACCTAACTGTGACCTAAATCTGCCATCAGTGATATATGCAACCACAGAAAGCATATCTGGGCTTTATTTTCCTCACCTATAAAATGAAGGCGTTGGCCTACTTCAGTGCTTCTCAAACTTTTCCGCCACACAGCTCCTGGAGAAACCTGCAGGGATGGCCTGAATAAACAGCATTTATCACATTGTAGCTTAACATTCAATGTGAAGTTAAATGGGAAATAATATTAGCCCTTGCAATGTGATCATTTCCTGACATATTAATTAGGTTTTACTTTTCTGCTGTAGAGAACCATGCCAAGTTAGAGCTATAAGTGTTGTGCTTCCTGTATTTTTTCTCTTCTGTTTCATGGAGGTTGTCAGATCTGTGTTTTTTTCTATTTCATGTTTTTTTTTTCATGGTGTGAGTGAGAAGCTGATGAATGTTATTCATTCTGCCTATCTGTGCAAGTCTGAAATCATGCAGAAGCCTATTGTATATGTAGAATTGGATAATGCAATGGAAAAACAGCATGGGCCATGAGAGAGATGGCGTATTTCCCCTCAATCTGTGAGAAGGATAGAGTTTGGGAGCCTGTGTATAGGGAAGACTTAGGCCCCATTCCTGGTTGCACCCAGGAAAGTCTGTGGTGCCACCAAAAGCTTTACCTTGATCTGGAGGCTCCAGAATCAGAGATTTCCACAGCTGAGCTTAACTCTGTTGCAGCAGATTTGTTAGTTTTCAGAGACCCCAGGTCCTTGAACAGAGTA
The DNA here is from genome assembly GCF_000001405.40 of Homo sapiens. Lineage (NCBI taxonomy): Eukaryota > Metazoa > Chordata > Mammalia > Primates > Hominidae > Homo > Homo sapiens. Next base: position 36,162,276 of record NC_000003.12, on the reverse strand, counting down.
TCAGCAACAATGGAGTGAAGATAAGACATCCTTATCCCATTGGAGGGACTTCATGGAGGATTCTCAGATTCTCGTACAACCCTAGAAGGAACTGTCCTGGCTATTGTTCAAATTCACCTTTGAGCCAGCTTAGCAGGTGGTGTTAAGAGTCATGTTTTACCCTATGAAAACTGTCTTGGCCTCCTTTCCTTCATTGGAGAAATGAAAAAGATAGACCTGCATGATTTTTATGGTCACATCCAGCTTTAAAATAAAATGTAATTCTTTTTTTATCAGACAAGTGATCCTACTCTAAGAATTCCTTCCTGCCCCATCTCCCAACCAGTCCCTAACCCCAAGCCCACTCCCTGTACTAACACAAGCAGTTTCACTAAGCCATTGCACTCTAAGTGAGAGAGAAATATATTCTTTGCCAGTCGCTCTTGATGCTCTTGTATGTTGGGGTGCTGGATTCATTCTGACCATTAAATTAGGAAACGTTGAGTAATTTCTTTGTTCTTCCTCCTTGAAGAGCCAACTTCAGGAAATATGGTAAAAATAGCAAGCTTCTTTTTTTTTTTTTTTTTTAAAGTGTTCTTAATGAAAAGGAAACATGATTTAAACCTATGGAGCTCAGTAACATTTTTAAAAATCTGAAAAAAGTAAGACTGTAAAATATGTAAGAAGTGTAAGTTTAAGTTTTAGTAAACAGTACATTAAAATATATTTTTTCTTAAGAAAAATATCCTAAAAGCAATTATTTGCTCCTTTGTGTACTTCAGAAAAGGTAATTTCCCAACCTTTAATGGCAAAAGCATTTATACTTTTGAAGAGAATGAAAGGAAGCAGGGAACTGACACCTCCTTCATTAGTCTATCTGGTTTGTTCTCCATTGCCTTTTCCCCATATAAACCAGAAATATGACAGTCATTACTCCACAACAATCAAAATACCTCTTCATGAATCCTTGAGCACATGGAAGCTCCTGCAAATAGAGTTTCCTCTATTAGCAATAATATGTGGCAAAGTTAGGGCTTAAGCCCCCATCTTAACACAAATGCCATAACTGTTATACTGTGCTACAGTTGGTAAGCAATGGCATTTACTAAAGATTACATCAAATAATGGTTAAGATTTTAGACTGACAGACCAAAGTTCAAGTTTCAGCCTTGTTACACACTAAAAGAAGTTCTTGGGATTCCCAGGCAAGAGAGCCAAATAGGAACAGCTCTGGTTTGTAGCTCCTAGCAAGACCAACACAGAAGGCAGGTGATTTCTGCATTTCTAACTGAGATACTTGGCTCATCTCATTGGGACTGGTTAGACAGTGGGTGCAATGCTTATTTTGCCATTAAGCAGTGGTCAGCCTTTAAATAAATGGGAAGTTGAGACTGCTGTTGAACAGTATGAACATGAACATGGCCCAATGACTTTTGGAAAACACACACACACACACACACACACACACACACACACACACTCACTCACACAAATATACAGATTCCCACATTTTTTGGATGGGGCAGTAAAGAAAATATTGTCTGTCACTTGGAAGAAAATGCCATAGCTGGACTTCCCAATGACACTAAGTGGTTCTCTGGCTGACTGACACACAAGAAGCTTTGAAGGCAATGCTTGCTATTGAGGAGACACATTTAGTGTTAATGTCAAATGGCTGGCTATTTGAATAAAAAAGGGTGGCTAATAGGGGTTGCTGCCACTGTTAGCATGCCACTACTCTTATAACCTAGAGAGAAATAGGGAGGCTCTTCTCAATCTGTCCCTTGTTTCTGTGTCACTGACGTTAAGGGAAATCAAAGAGCTTGGGTTTTTTCTCCGGCATTCTACTCCCACAGTTCTTTTCCTTCCTTAGCATCTCAGACTATCTGGCCCTTACAGCCTTTCCGTTAAGAAGCATGAGGAGGGCTTTAGTCAGGCAGAATGTTTTAGAGGTCCTCAGTCTGTGTTGCCTCAGAGAGGCTGATTTCCTTTTTATTTCATCGGGGGAGAAGTATTTATTCTCCCTATGAGTACAAGCAATGCATGGTACAAACGGGAGGCCATCCCTCTCCCCCACCACAGCAACAGTTCAGAACCACACAGTGGCCTTGCCCTCACTCCATTCTGCCAACTTACAAACTATTCTCTAAAATTTATTTCCATCTTATCATATCCTCAGAATGATATTGAACACCACCCAGATAAAAATTTGAGGATGTCTCAGTCATGGTGTTTCGCCTTCTGACTGCAATCTCAGACTGTCCTGAGAAACATCTTTCTCCTAGATGAAACCCCTTTGACTGGTCTAACACTAATACCACTCTTGGGTTGGACTTTTACAACATTGCCTTTGCTTTACCATAGGGAGCCAGCTTGTACTGTGAATAATGTAATAATACTACTACTTGATCAAAGCCTTATACTCTCAGGCATGTTGCTAACAGCTTTATATACATTACATTATTTAAGTCTCAGAATAAAATAACTATTATTATTTCTATTTTATAGATGAGAAAATGTAAGCACAGTGCTAAATGAGTAAAGGGTTAATACACCTTTTAAAACCACTGTTATAATTATAAAGAATGATTTTATAATGTTCTGATGCCATTTGGTCCAATATATGTGTGAAATCAGCATTCCAATGTGGAAGACAGGCACATCACTGTATAGATTTAAAAACTCTTTGAAAGGGCTGTAATGAAAATATTCACAGCTGCTAAGGTCTAAATGTTTGTGTCTCCCCAAATTCATATGTTGAAATTCTAATCCTCAAGGTGATGGTATTAAGAGGTAGTATATTTGGGAGATGATTTGATCATGAGGGAAGAAGTCTCATGCATAAAAATAGTGCCCTTATAAAAAAGGCCCAAGGGAACTTGTTCACCCTGCCCACCAAGTGAGGGGACCCATCGAGACAGTGCTATCTGTGAACCAGGAAATAGGTCTTCACCAGACATCAAATCTGTATCCTGTGCTTCCCAATCTCCAGAACTGTGAAAAATAATTTCCTACTGTTTATAAGCTACTCAGTCTATGGTATTTTGTTATAGCAGCCTGAATGGGTCAAGATAATATATAGTGTGATTATATCATGGAAGAAGGTCTGATGACTCTGTGGTTCAGACAGTGTGTGGGGCCTGGGGGAGGAAATTGCGAGAAGCTGTCCTCCCTTATTTGTAAAAGTATGGGGCAGTTTGGCTTTCATAATAATTTGAGGGAAATACTCTCATTTGGTTTATAGAACCAAAGATGCTACATTCTCACACAACTAGAGCAGGGTGTTACAATAAATCATCTTATCCAAAATGCCATGTTGTGTAAATAGCAAGTTTTTGATTTGTTCTCTTTTCTCTGAATGACTGAGGGAAGTGTGTTTTAACCTCCTGGAATGACGGTGGATTTGCTCATTTCTTTTTGTACTTCTGGTAATTTTTCCTTTCTCTTTATGTTGAGACATGCTATTAGATGAATACAAATTTAGAATAGTTCCTTCTTTCTGGTGAATTGAGTCATTATATAACGACATGTTCCTTTTGATCACTAGTAATGCTTTTCCTTAAAGTCTGTTCTGCTCATTTTAATATAGGCACAAAAGCTTTTTGTTCTTGGTTAGTGTTTGCGAAGTATGAGTCTTTTGTGGGATGTGCACACAAGTTTTTTTAAATAAACTTTTAATTTTAGGATAGTTTTAGATTTACAAAATTATTTCAAAGATAATACAAACAGTCCCTATAGACCCCACATCCAATTTCCTCTGTGATTCACATGCCATGTTAGTGTGGCATATTTGTTACGATTAACGAATCAATTTTGATATCATATAGTTAATATCTACAGTCTATATTTCCTTAGTTTTTACCTAATGTCCTTTTTCGGTTCCAGGACACTGTACAGGGTAACACAATACATTTTGTTGTCATGTCTCCTTAGGCTTCTCTTGACTGTGACAACATGAGAGCTTCCCAGACTTTCCTGGTTTGTTCGTTTGTTCGTTTTTGTTTTTGTTTTTTAAATGACCTTGGCAGTTTGAGCAGTACTTGTCAGGTATTTTGTAGAATATCCCTCAGTTGGGATTTGTGTGATGCTTTCCTTATGATTGGATTGGTGTTAGATATTTTCTAGAAGACCACACAGATGAAGTCATATCATATCATCACATCATTTCAAGTGTATATACTATCAAAATGACTTATCACTGTTGATGTTGACCTTGATCACTTGGCTAGGTTCTGTTCATCAGCCTTCACTTCTCCACTGTGAAGTTGCCCTGTGTCTCCCTATCTCCTGCCTTTTCCATACTGTACTCCCTAAAGGGATATTCTTCACAGCCTACCCTTCAGGAGTGGGAAGTTATATTTGCCTCCTTAAACACAGAATATGTCATTAATTTATTTATTCAATTATTATTTACATCAGTATGGACTCATGGATATTTATTTTATACTTTGGATTCTGATCCAACCTACTTGATTTTGTTGCTCAAATTGTTCTTTTGACATAATACTGTCTTTGTGCTTACGTTTTTAAAAGAACTTCATTACTTTCTGTCACTTTAAGATACTCCAGCCTCATTCTGTGTATTTTCTGCCCCACTTTAAGAGGAACTCATTTCTCCAAGCATCACTTTCTTTTATTGGAGGGTACTATTAGAAACCAAGATCTGGGTACTAGGTGTGCTTGTTGCAACTAGAGTATTTGTTGCCTATAGGTCCTCTCAGCAGACAGAGCAAGGAAATACATGTGTGTATATCAGCCTGTGTATTGCTTATATCTATAAATATTTATATGTGGCCATATATATGTATATTAAGCTAAGCATGAGTTTATACCGATGTCTCCAACTCTAATATATTACTATACACACCATTCTAGCCTCTTCCTCTAGTTTATCTGTAAACTCCCTTGCCAACAGTAGGAAACCAGGATCCCACCATCTACCAACCATTTAACTGTCCTATTCCAGTATAATTACATAGTAGCATCAGAATTATTAACTCATACTCCCATGGTGGGGAGGACCTTTATGTGCAGTTTTTTTTTCCTTTAGTTTTATAGACTCTACTAATTTCCAAAGTTACTTAGGTAAGCACCTTTTCCTCCACCCCCTTCACTGTGGTTGTTTTATACATTTGCACAACAGTTAGATTATTTTGTCACATACCACATTTCATCCTGGGATTTCCTAATCTACTAAGTTATTTTGAAAATTTGTATACATTAATATTTTCTCTTTGTGCTGTAAAGTTCTGTGGGTTTTGGTCAATGCATAGTGTCATGTATCCACCATTACATGACAGAATAGTTACACTACTCTAAAAAAAAATTCCCCATGCTTCAACTCTTCAGCCTTATTGACCTCCCCCTGAACCTCTGATAACCACTGACCTTTTGACCATTATAGTTTTCTTTGTCCAGAATGTTATATAATTATAATCATACAGTATATAACCTTACAACTGGTTTTTTTTTCGTTTAGTTATGTACATTTAAGGTTTATTCATTTGTTTTTGTGGCTTGATAGCTATTAACAATTATAGTTCATTTTAAAAGTTATGGTTGTCCTAGAGTTTGCCATATACATTTTGACTAATCTAAATATACCTTCAAATAACATTATACCACCTCACATCTCTTATGACATTATTGTCATTCATTTCACTTATCTATGTGTCATAATTATCTAATACATTGCTACTATGACTATCTTACACAATTATCTATTAGTAAATTAAGAATACAAAGATTTTATTTTACCATTTTTTCATCACTTTTCTTCATGTAAGAAAATTTCTGATCTATATCATTTTCCTTCTTCCTGAAGAATTCCTTTTAGGGCAAATTTATTGTTAATACATTTCCTTAATTTATTTCTCGTTCACTTTTGAAAATTATCACTGAATATAGAATTTAGGTTGATAAAATTTTTTCTAAAAACGTTAAGTATTTCACTCTACTCTCTTCTTCCTTTTCCTTGCATGGTTTCTGATGAGAAGTTTCCAGTGATTCTTATTTTCTTGACTGTATAGATAAGGCTTTTTTCTCTGGCATCTTTCAAGATATTTTTGTTTTCTGTCCTTTGCAGTTGGAAGGTGTTATGCCTAAGTGTAGACTTTTTGCTATTTATCCTGCTTGATGTTCTCTGAGATTTCTGGATCTGTGGTTTGGTGTCTGCCATTTATTTTGAAAAGTTTTCAGCCATAAATTACTTCAATTTTTTTTTTCTGCCCCATTATTTTCTATCCTTCTGGTGTTCCAATTATTCATATGTTAAATCTTTGGAAATCATGCCAAAGTTCTTGGATGTTCTGTTATTTTTTTTCCATTGTTTTCTGTCACTGAATTTCAGTTTGGGAGGATTTACTGACATATCTGTAAGCCCACTGATTGTTTCCTCTGCTTTCTCCAGTCTACTGATGAGCTCATCAGAGGCATTCACTTATTTTACAACATTTTTGATTTCTAGTATTTTGTTTTGATTATTTCTTAGAGTTTCAAATCTCTCTGTTTACCTTAGCTCTCTGTTCTTTTATGTCTACTTTTCTTTAGATGCCTAAAATATTAATCATATTTATTTTAAATGGTCTCTTTGACAATTTCAACATGTGCATCATCTCTGAGTATAGTTCTGATGTTTACTCTGTCTCTTCATGCAGTTTGTTTCTGTCTTTTAGCATACCTTGTGATTTTTTTTTGTTGAATGCTGAACATGATGTACTTGGTAACAGGAAGTAGGTAAGTAGGACTTTAGTTTGATAGCTTATGTTAATCTATCTAGGAGTCAGTTGAGCTTACTATTTACAGTATCTGTAGGTGCTTCAAATTCCTCTAGTGTCCTTGTCTCCCTTCTTCCTCAATTGTCTTTGGATTTCCCTGAGAACTCCTTCTTAGAGTCTATGACTTGCAGCTATTCTAGCCATAATCCACTGTTATCACACTGGAACTCTGTGGGTGTGGTGGCAAGGGAGGGAAAGTATTCTTAAATCTTGTAGTTAAATTTCAGCCCTTTAGTAGTCCTGCTGCGTTAGGCTGTGATCTTCACAAGTGTTTTTAGCTTCCCTCCCTTCTTTTTCTTGGGTGAGACAGGAAAGCTAGAGGGCACTGAAGTGAGAGAAATACTTTTCCCCATGTGACATATGGTCTTCATCTCTGGTAAAGTCTTTTCACCTTAAAAGTAAGTCTGTTGTGGAGAATGATCTGGGTATATTTTACAATGGTTATTCTTCCCTTCCTCCTGCCAGAACCACAGGGTATCTTCTCAGCTCTTCATCATTAGAGCCTGATGTGGTTTCTGCAGGTAAAACCCATGAAAGTGTGTTTAATACTCTGTATAAAGGTGTATAAGACTGCAGGTCCACAAGTTTCTCAGTCTCATTCTGGTCCACACTCAGCCTCCAAAATTGTGTCAAAACTACCATTTAAATGTTTCTACCCATTTATGGTTCTAGCAGTGTCTGGAGCCAATCTCAGCTGTGACTTTCTGGATTAACCTATCTCTCTAGATTACCCAGTGTCAGTTAGCCCTGTGACTCCATCTCTCCAATGGATCCAAGAATAGTCATTAAGTTTTAGATCAGCTTTTTTGTTGTTGCAGAGATAGGAGTAGGTAGGTATTTTGAATTCTTTTAATATCAATATTTCTCTAACTTATGTTTAAGGAGTTTCTTTTCTAAACATCATATAGTTACTTATAATAATCTGGAGTATTTATCTACTCATATTTAATATAATTACCAATATGTTTGTACTTAAATCTACCATTTTATTATGGATTTTTATTGCTCTTGCCTTTTCTAGGTTCTTTTGGTTCTCTTTTCTTCCTTTAGAAGTTTTATGCTTTATATTGCTGGGTAAATTTGGTAGTGCTTTCTTAAGGAATTTTGTGTTTCTATTCACTGGCCTTAATATTATTCTTATTATTTTTGGAATTTTGGGGTCAGATTTTAGTATTAAGGCTGTTCAGTCTTCATAAAATGAGTTTGGGAAATGTTCCCCTTCATTTCTTTTTTTTTTTTTTTTGAGACGGAATCTCGATCTTTCACCCAGGCTGGACTGCAGTGGCGCTATCTAGGCTTACTGCAAGCTCCGCAGGCCATTCTCCTGCCTCAGCCTCCAGAGTAGCTGGGACTACAGGCACCCGCCAACACACCTGGCTAATTTTTTTGTATTTTTAGTAGAGACGGGGTTTCACCATGTTAGCCAGGATGGTCTCAATCTCCTGACCTCATGATCCTCCCGCCTCAGCCTCCCAAAGTGCTGGGATTACAAGTGTGAGCCACGGCACCTGGCCTCCCTTCATTTCTTGAAAGAGTTTGCTATAAGATTGGTTTTATTTCTGCCTTAACTATTGATAGAACTCCCCTATGAAGCATCATAGGAAAATTTTATATTATTACAAATTCAATGTTTTCAATAGATATAAGGTTATTTAGATTTTGTTATCATTTCTTTTAGTCATTTTAATAAGGGTGCTTTTCAAGGAATTGTCAAATATATTCACAAAACACCTAGTACTAACTTTTTATTATACTGTTGAATCTCTGTAGAATGTATAGAGATTAATAAACAAACCTACAATGATTCCATAGTGTTTTCTATGTTTAAAATCATATCTTCCCTGAAAACATTTGCTTCTTTCTTTTTAATATTTATGCCTTTTATTTATTTTTCTTGCCTTATGGAACTGGCTATGAGTTCCAGGACAATGTTTCACAGCCTTCTTTTTGCTGTTTTTCATACATAGTATCTTGTCTCCTCATTTATCTGTTGATTCCTATTTGTTTGTTGGATATTTATATTTGCCAAGTTCAAATAGTAAAAGCCAAGTTAAAATATTAATGTGAAAAATAAATTTTTTTTAAATAGCATGTTTGAAAAGAACCAAAGAGAACTAATATATATAATTGAATTTAAGAAATAAATAATAAAAGACAGAAAAAATAAAATTAAATTTAGATTAGAAAATCAAAGGTATCAAGGACACAATAAGTGTACAAGAAACTCAAGTTCCAAAAGGGGAACAGAAAGAGAATAAGGAAGAGCCAATATTTGAAGAGCTATGGGCTGAAACTTTTCCAGACAAAAGTGATAAAACCACAAATCCTAGAAGCATAAATTCCAAGCAACAGGATAAACATAAAAATGCCCACACCTAAACACATCACATCGAAACTATAGAATATCAAAGGTAAAGAAAATATAAAAGTTTAAAACAGTGACAATTGGACTAGAGCTGACTTCCCACAAATAACCAGGTTTATAAGTGAGAGAGCCAAATAAGTGTTCTGATTTCCTCCCTCTATTAGATGGGAATCTAAATGTACTACTTACATGTGGTAAATAATAAAATTCAATGTTTTCAACAGATATACAATTACTTAGATTTTTCTACCATTTCTTTCAGTAGTTTTTATAATTCTTTTCAAAGAATTATCAAATGTATTTACTAAAACTTCCAATGGTAACTTACTTTAAAACCTATGTAGGATGTACAGTGATCAAAAAACAAATCTTAAAATAGTGGTAAATAATGAATCAACAACTAGAATTATGAGCATCCCACTATCTGAATATTGATTGGTAGAGGAGAGGGACAAGAGGAGGCATAATATATGTAAGTTGACTTTATTGTTGCTAATACTCAGAAATTAGTAGCTATTAAATTAATAAAGAGGACAATAATAATAAAATTTTAAATATATCTACATAAATAACAAAAAGTACAAACTTCTAAATATCAGAAGTAATAAAACTGAAAAAGAAAACAGAACACATAATAAAAGTACTTTAATATATGTCATATATAGAAAAAAGTAAAAATTAAGATATTTGTTGACATGATATGCATATTAGCACATATCAATGAGCTTTAGTCACTAATTACCAGAAAAATATTTTACATTTGGATTACAAAGCAAATCCCAATTATTTTCTATGTACCAGAGACACCAAGTATTTAGAAAATGCTTTTTTAAAGAAAAGTTTGGGGACATGGTAATGAAAAACTAGTTAATTCAACCATATCCCATGGAAAAAAAATGAAAGCTGGGCAAAACTTTAAAAAACATTTATATGTAATGTGCTAAGAGACAGCGAAAAATTCTAACCTGATACTCAAGAAAGATGGAAACAGAGAATTCAGTGCTGCTTCTAAACAAAGGGAGTTTGCTGATCCAAGTGAGTGAGAGGCTATGGTGTGCATTTAGTGACTTCATGTGACTTAGAGAATAGAAGTCAGAGTCCAGGGCTGCTGTGGTTGAATGTGTCCCTAGCATTCATGTGTTGAACACTTAATCCCCAGTGCAACAGTGTTAGAAAGTGGGGCCTAATGGGAGGTGTCTAGATCATGAGTGCACCACCCTCATGAATGGATGAATACCACTATAAAAAGGGCTTTGAGAGCGGGTTCTCTTTCTTCCACTCTCCTGCAATGTGAGCCCACAAAGTTCATTCCCTTTTGCCTTCCACCATATGAGGATGCAGTAAGAACACCCTCACCAGTTGCTGGTGCCTTATTCTTGGACTTCTCAGCCTCCAGAGAGAATAAATTTCTGTTCTTTATAAATTGCCCCATCTTGGTTATTTTGTTATAGCAACACAAACAGACTAAGACAAGGACCTACCAAAGGGTGAAACATGGTAAAGCACTTGCCACTTTGGGATGTGAGTCCTATGAACAGTACCCTAGGAGTACAGGTGAACTTAAAGAGGAACAGCCCTTGTGTGGACTTCAGCTCCATTAGAGCCATCTAAAAGGACCCAGAATATCATGAAAAAGTTGTTTTCATAAACTTGGCATCAAATTTGTCAGCCAAATCTTATCTGAACTGACAATAGCTGTCAGTTAGATCTCAGCACTTCTACCAGTCACTCAAACTGTTGAATTTTCATTTTATTATTTTGTAGTTTTACTATTTAAGTTTTAATCACACTGTGAAAATGTCAAAAGGTATTAAGGTATTACTCCATGTGTAACAATAACTTTGTGGGGGATAACCTGGTACAATATTTCTGGATGGGATTTTGATATAACTGTCATACACACACACACACACGAATCATATCCTGCCATGGCAATAGCCTTTCTAGAACTTTATCTTACACACAGAGTTGTGTATACAGAGGGCATTTATTGCAGTGCTATTTGCAATAGCTTAAAGTAATCTAATGTCAATCATTACGTGACAAACTAAATCAATTATGATGATGCTATACAATTTAGTAGCAAGGCAGTACTTTTTAAATGAATGAAGCAGCTCCATATGTGCAACTATGCCCTGTGCATATATAGTAACTGGAAAGTAATCAAGTAAATTTTAATATGTTAATTGCAGAAGGTCTCCAAGGGATGTATTATTAGGTGAAAATGGAAGAAATTATTCTCTGGATAGAATTTGCCTTTCTACATCCTTGACCTTTCCATAACTTCAAAATAAAAATCCTGTCCTATGGAGAACTGAGGAAAAAGCCTGACCAACACATGGAGGTTCTTGGGACAAAGTAGTAAGGTCCTTCTTAAGAGCATGAGAGCAGCTGGCATTATATCCCCAATGTGTAGACAATTGAGCCCAGTAAGAATTAGGTTAAAAAGTGAAAATATACTGAAAAGCAAAACATGTTTAAAAACTGTGCAGTAGTCTCTGGGGGAATGAGACTCTCAGCTATGGTTGGCAGATAAAATCAAAATGATGCCTATTGAAATTCACATATGCATTTATTGTCAAAGGCTGATAAGACATTTGGTTTATATTGCATACATTTTACACAAACAAACAAACCTACATGTATGCATATAAATATGTTTTACATAAATGTCTATATACATATATACATACATATATAATGCCTATGTACATATTATTTATGAAGATTACTGAGATTTTTCATAACTGGATAGGGTCTGATTGACTTGTAATGATGGCTGTTACACTAATTTAATGTAAGCTAATATCAAATATAAATGAGTTATTAAAATGTCATTGTGTCCGAATTTTTTCCATGCTTATAAAGTAGTCCATTAATATTAAAAGAATAGCAGAAATATAATTTCCTAACTCTAAATTTCCCAATTGAAAATTTGAAAAATGCCAATATAAGCAGGAGTTTTCTTAGGAAAAGTACAGGGTTCAATATCAGTTTTTTTTTTTTTTTTTTGTAATTTCTTTTCTATCCTCAAGGTCTGATTCTTAGCGGGCAGAGACTGCAGTCCAGCACAGAAAATAGCTAGATTATGTTTCTCCTACAAGAATGAGTGCAAATGTCTGTTTTCTCTTTACTTTAAGAAACTGTTGACAGGAGATAAATGTTTTAAGGATGTTAACACATGGTAATACACCAGGCCAGAAATCTATTGATTCTTTCTGTGATCAGCATTTGAAGAAAACTAAATTATTTTAGTTATAAATTTTTTGACAATAACTAGAAGTTCACATACTGTATTGGCCAGGAGGCCTATGTTTGCAAAGGTTGTCAGATACCTCTCATGAGTCACTGCAAAGTTATTTACCCTTATTTCAGTTTTCATGAGCCTGACAATTTCACCCAGGTGCATTCAGAAGGTGCCTCACCTCTGGTGACCTGCATGCTCTCTTCTAGCCCTGAAGCTCCTTTAACTCTATGGTGTGGGATGCCCATGTCTATACTCTTGCATGTGCAACTTGGAGTCCAGGGAAATTAATGCCTGGTGGGGCTACCCCTTGACCAATGGAGAAGGAAGCCAATGGATAAATGCTTCCTGCTTTCTGCTCAGAGGTGGGCAGTCTGGCAAAACACTTAATAAGGTGACTCAGAAGCTCTTGGCTGGATTGAGCATGGGCTGTTTCCTATAGAGGAGGCCAGGTTCATTCTGCATCCTAATTTTACCCCTTCCTCTCCTTCCCCACTCCACCTCTTATCCTGCACTCCTGTTCCCTGGGATTACTTTCCAATTAAAATACCTGGGAGCCCTTATCTCAGGCTCTGATTTCAGGAAAACTCAAGCAAAGAAACAAGTAAAATAGCACAATTATTGGTTTGTGTAACTAATGTTGGCATGTTGCAAATGATCTCAGGAATGGCCTGTTCCAGGGCTGAAATGCTCCAGTAATTCTCATTCTCCTTTTCTATCTTTCATTTCTCTTCTTTGCTCTGTGAAGGTCTCGTTTGCTTCTCCAGTAGAAATGTCTCCCAAGAATAACAGGAGCTTCTGATAGTCTTGGCTTTGTATTTCAAAGGTCCCTCTCCCCCTTTCCCAGAGATCCAGCTCAAGGACTTTCACTGGTGTGAGTAGGGCCAGGTGTCCTATCGTAATCACAGAGGCTGAGAAAACTGAGCACCTCCATAGCCTAGTATGGGACCTGGAGGTAGTGGGTACTATTTTCAGAAGTTGACTATGACTATAATTTTAAAAACTGTATATGAGTATTATGTTTTATATTAGCAGATATTGAGAAATTATCAGGCTTTTGATATCCTAAATTTTTAGGGCAACATCTGCTATGTGTTACTACATGGCCCTCATAACTTGGCAGACCTATACCCTAAACATACAATATGCCAATGTGTTAGTCAGGGTTCTCCAGGGGGACAGAACTAATAGGATACACGTATATATGAAAGGGAGTTTATTAAGGAGAATTGGCTCACATGACCACAAGGCGAAGTCCCACTACAGGCAGTATGCAAGTTGAGGAAGAAAGAAGCCAGTAGTGGTTCAGTCCAAATCCAAAAACCTCAAAAATAGGGAAACTGACAGTGTAGCCTCTGTCTGTGGCTGAAGGTCTGAGAACACCTGGCAGACAACTCGTGTAAGTCCAAGAGTCCGAAGGCCGAAGAACCTGGAGTCTGACATCCAAGGGCAGGAGGAACAGATGGAAGCATCCAACACAGGAGAAAGATGAAAGCCAGAAGACTCAGCGAGCCCGTTTATCCCACCGTCTTCTGCTTGCTTTGTTCTAGCTTCACTGACAGCTGATTGGATGGTGCCCGCTCACATTGAAGGTGGATCCTCCCCCCATCCACTGGCTCAAACGTTAATCTTCTCTGGCAACGCTCTCACAGACACACCCAGAAACAATACTTTACCAGCTATTTAGGCATCTTTCAATCCAATCAAGTTGACACCTAATACTAACCATCACAGCCAAAATAAACAAACAGATAAGAAAACAGTCCTCATATGGGCTGTTAGTCATAGCTTCTGTCAACGTGTCTTGCTAGTCCATCTTAAACTCAACATGTGGGCTTGTTCCTCACACCTAACTTGATTCCTGCCTTAACTGACTGTACATCTCCCTGAGCTCCAGGTTTATGTTCAGCATTACTCACTCTGAAGATCCCGCTCAAAAGTGATTCAATCAAAAGGGTTGACCCTGCCTGAGAGGCCTGGAAATCCAGTTTCAGGGTCCCTGTTGTGTTCCCAAGAAAACTTGCTTTGGAACAGTACAATTTACCACTCCTAATGCACTCCGGACAGGGTTTCGTCACTCTCCCATCGGTATTTAGTCTATGTTTAGCCACTGTTCTTGGAGAAAACACTCTGCTTTAAAATCTAAAGAGTATCATGAGTAGTCCTTTGATTTATGAGATTAAGCATGACCATTGCACACAATGTTCTCACCTTAATTAAACAAATTCATTGCTGGGTTCTAGCTTGATGAGTGATATCAGCTGCACACTGCAAAGAGTCTCTGGCTGATAGAATTCAAAAGCTAGGGAACAGATTAGTGAGACCTTGTGGAAGTTTCTTCTGAGATGTCTATGAAACACACCTATACCTACACACACTCTCATAACACACACACCACACACACTGACACCTTTTCACACATGTCAATTATGCATAGCTACAAGCATCAGAGTGCTTTGCTATACAATCCTATTTACCTTTCCACCAAGAAAGATTATAGTTTTTGTATTTCTTAGAAGTATTCAATTACGCTATATTTCATAGTAAGTTTCTATAATGCACTTGTTAACAAAAGTTGTTATGGAGAATTTTCCTGTAAATGCCAGTGTGGGTACCCTTTTTGTTTCTCATTCTAAATTATTTCTCATGGAGTGATGTGATATGGCATGCATCTTATTGCATTAACTGGGAAAAATATTCTCTCATTTTTTTGTGGGTGTGTATGTTTTTTTTTTTATTATTATACTTTAAGTTTTAGGGTACATGTGCACATTGTGCAGGTTAGTTACATACGTATACATGTGCCATGCTGGTGCGCTACACCCACTAACTCGTCATCTAGCATTAGGTATATCTCCCAATGCTATCCCTCCCCCCTCCCCCCACCCCACAACAGTCCCCAGAGTGTGATGTTCCCCTTCCTGTGTCCATGTGATCTCATAAAGAATCAACAAATCTTGCTTTGTACTTCCTTTGGCTCTGATTTTGAAGTCAAATTTTTTTTCATACCACAGACTGCACTCTGTGCTAGTAGGTCCCTGGGTTCATGACAGTGGGTCACTTGTGATAGAGGCCACTCTAATAGTCCAGGTACAAGAACTGTGGTGATTGAGGCTTCCTTTAGAGCAGATCTCTGCCAATTTCTCCACATAGACACAGATTGCTCAGCTATGCTGGGGTTTTTCTGTTGCTCAGACAGAAAAGACCTTTGAGGTCTTTGCATTCCCTGTCCCCTCTCTCTCTGCATATGGCCAGCTCATTCTCAATCTGTAGTTCATAGCTCAAATGTCACATCATCAGAGATGCCTTCTGTGCATGTTCTACTGGAAGTAGCCACACCCACATGCATCCTCTACCCCACCACTTACATCATTTTATAAGCTCTAGAGTGCTTAAAACCTAAAGTCAACGAAGTACTTATAAACAGTATCAACAGAAAAGACAGGAATATCGTAACCTACTACTAACTCTAGAAACAAAAAATAAAGCAAATATGTATGATTTTAAAAAGTGTAAATAAATACAGGCAAAATACAAATTTTTCTGAGTATTTCAAAGAGATTTATTTGGATAATGTAATTTTTTTGCATACAAAAAATTTTCAAATTAATAAGATAGCAATAAACCACCCAATAGAAAAAGAAGCGCAAGTCATGAAAAAGCAATTTACAGAACAAGAAAGACAAACCAGGAATAAAGATATGACATACTTAAGCATATTAAAAATAAAACAGATATCCACGTTAACATAAATTAATTAAAATTAAATTCACTAATGAAAGTCAGCAAAAATTTAGTTACATAAATTGAAATGGATTGAAGAAACAGTAGCAATGAAAATTTTCAAGAGCAATTTGAAATATCCTTCAGAACTTGACAAAGTAATTTCAAAAGTAGAATCATTTTATCCTACAAATATGTTAAAATAGGTACATAACAACTAGCCAACAGTTAGCTTTTACTGACTACGTGCAATGTTCCAGATTATGCTTTGAGCACTAAACATCCAATTTTAATTCAGCTAGCTAGGCACTACTGCTTTCACAATTTTGCACATGGAAAAAATCAGGCAGCAGAGGTGGCCTATCTTGCCCCAGCCCCCCTGCTAGTCACTAACACAGGCAGAATTAGAATGAGGGCATCTGGATGGATACAGGGCCTGGACCCAGCTTTTACCCTAAACTGCCTAGCCTCCTGGTAGCATTGTAATGGCACACAACTTTAAACAATCACAGTGTTTATTTACAAGACACTGATTTTTATGGTCATGTAAACTAATTTTTATGGTTATATAAACAAAACACTACTTCATAGTATCTAAAAGGAATGGAGAATATTTATATATGCCGATATGGAGAGACATCTGCTGTGATCTGAATGCTATGTCTCTCAAAAATTCATATGTTGAAATCCTCACTCCACATTGATGGTATTGGAAGGTAGGGCCTTTGGGGGCATGATTAGGTCATGAAGGGGTTAGTGCCCTTATAAAAGAAGCCCATGAGGAATACCTTGCCCTTTCTCCATGTGAGGTTAAAATGAGATGACAAGATGCTCTTCATTAGGAAGCTGGCCCTACCAGACACAGAATCTGCTTGCCCTTTGACCTTGGACTTCTCACCCTCCAGAATTGTGAGAAACAAATTTCTGTTTTTTATGAGCCACCCAGCCTATGGTATTTTGTTATAGCAGCCTAAACTGATTAGGACAGCATTGAAGACATATTAAGATGAAAAATAATCAAAATGAGTATGTTTAGTATAAACTTTCATTTTATGTAGATAGATATATACATGTGATGATATAGTATATTTATGCTTATATGTGTGTATGTATATGTATACACATGTATATATATACACACATATACACATGTACACAGAAACGTGCTTATTCAGAGACAAGTCTGGACTGTTGGAAAGAAAAGATGAATTTCAATGTCTCAATTTATACTTTTCAGTACATTGAGGATTTTTTTCCCCTAATATGTCCATGAGCAGATTGTATTGCTTAAAATAGTAATATTGCTTAAAATAGAACCAGGAAACTATACTTCTATGTCAGTGAGAAAACACTAAATCAGTGATTCCCTTCTGCTCTCACATTTCATGAAATGCATATAAAAATAATATTTAAGGCCCATTGAGATGGAGTTGCTGGAGACCTGTTGGACCTGGGTCTCTGGCTCCTCAGAGTTCCCCAGTAGATTGGAAGCTAGAGGAGATCCACTTCTGTGCGCACCTGTGACTTACTCTTAGCTAGTAGGAATTCACAGTTGGAGTATGGGGAAAGAAAAGGGGAATTCATTTTAGGACCTTGGGTACTGTTGGTGCAGCCTCCCTGCACAGAGCAGCGGGAGAACACATACATAGCCTATGTTGTGTCTTCTTTTGGAAAATAGGAACTAGCTTTAATAGTGATCATTTTTTTGTGGCATTTTATAGGCCCAGATTCTGTGATTGACACAAACAAGACACTGGTTTTAACCAAAATATTCTGCTCTAAAATGGTAATATTTTTACCTATTCAGATGCTTGTTATGTACCATATTTGGTGTATAAATTACCCTCAGTAGAGTTTTTCATTCCATGATAAAATTAGAGTAGGCATGGCTCCAGCTTTCCCAGGTAGATTGATAAATTGAGGCATGATTACAGCAGGATAAGTGTGTCTGTGCACACATGAGCAGACAGCATCTATCTGTTGCTGGTTTAGTGACTGAATTTTCATTCAAGGGAAGCTACGCTTAGAAAAAGAAATATATAGCAACATTTAGAGTGCCTGCTATGCCAGGCTCTGGCAAGTGTTTTCTTATACAACGTTTACAAGTAATTTATTTTGAAATAAAACATAAATATTTTCCAAATTAACCAACCAACAGACAAAATCAGTAGATTTAGGAGTATTGCATGTGCTTGTGTAGTTTGTGCCATATCAATAGGCTTCCAGCCAGCTGGAGGGGAATGGGCAACTGGAATCTGTAATTTAGCCTACTCTCTGCTTTTCAAATGTGTGCAAGGGTGCAGAAGGGCATTAGTCCAGAAGTGGCCCAGGAACCCAATGCAGTAACTGGGAAAATTACTTGGCATCTAACTTCATTCTCTGGCAAGTGCGGAAATTGTGATAAATGATAAAAGGCCACAAATGCTTTGCAGCTCATCCTCTCTAGAGTTTAAATCTACTTCCCAGATTTAAAATCTAGGCTGGCCTTGTGATTTGTTTTGATCAATAACATGTGGGAGAAGTCATATTAGGGGAGTTACCAGAATAAACCTCAAGAGTCTTGGAACATCTTATCTCTCCCTCTTGGAATACAGATGCTATGTAAAACAATATGCACAGAGGATAGCCTAGTAGCAAGCCAGCACCTATCTTCAGGCATGTTAGTTGAAACCATCTTAGCTAATCCTGACACAGTTGGACCACAAGATAGCTGCAATCACCATGGTAATCTAGGCAAGACTAGTAGAACTGTCCAGATGAGTCCAGCCCAAGTAACTGACTGAATTGTGAGCAAATAAGTGGTTGCTGCTTTAAGACACTAAGTTTTGGGGGTAGTTTGCCTCCTACTAATGAAAAAGCCCCCACCTGAAACAGATATATAATGTACAATTAATCAATTAGGGTTTATAGATTATAATTCTCCTACTTCCTAACTCTGATAACTTCAGCAAGTTGTTAATCTTAGTTTTCTTTTCTGCCAGGCAAGAGAAAGAAATAAAAGGCATCCAAAGGGGAAAAAAATAAGTCAAATTATCTTTCTTCATTGACAATATGATTCATTACATAGAAAACCCTAAAGATTCTGCCAAAAGACCTTTAGGCCTGATAAAGAACTTCAGTAAAGTTTCAGATATAAAACTGATGTGTAAAAGTCACTAGCATTTCTATACATTAGTAATGTTTAATCTGAAAAAGAAATCAATAATGAAATCCCATTTACAATAGCCACAAAAAATTAAAATACCTAGGAATACATCTAACCAAGGAGGTGAAAGATCTTTACAAGGAAAGCTATAAAACACTGCTGAAAAAAATCATAGACAATGTAAACAAATGGAAAAGACATTTCATGCTCATAGATTGTAAGAATAAACATTGTTAAAATGGCAATACTGCCCCAAGCAATCTATAGATTTGATGCAATTTCTATCAAATTATATGCATCATTTTTTTCACAGAATTAGAAAAAACTATTCTAAAATTTATATGGAACCAAAAAAGAGCCCAAATATCCAAAGCAGTCCTGAGCAAAAAGAATAAAGCTGGAGGCATCACATTACCCAACTTCAAACTATACTATAAGCCTGTAGGAATCAAAACAGCATGTTACTGGTACAAAAATAGAAACACAGACTAGTGGAACAAAATAGAGAACCCAGAAATAAAGCTGCACACCCACAACCAACTGATCTTCAACAAAGTCAGCAAAAATAAGCAATGGGGAAAGGACTCCTTATTCAATAAATGATACTGAGAAAAATCATTAATCATATACTGAAAAATAAAATTGGACCCCTACCTATCACGATATACAAAAGTTAACTCAAAATGAATTAAAGAATTAAATATAAGATCTGAAACTATAAGTATCCTATAAGAAAAATGAGGAAATCCTCTTCTCAACATTGGTCTAGGCAAAAAGTTTATGACTAAGTCCTCAAAAGCAAATGCAATGAAAATAAAAATTGATAAGTGAGACCTAATTAAACTAAGGGGCTTCTGCAAAAGAAGAAGAAACTATCAGCAAAAGAAACTATCAGCAGAGTAAACAGACAACCTATAGAATGGGAGAAAATATTAGCAAATTATGCATCTTGTAGGGAAAAGAAAGAGAGATCAGACTGTTACTGTGTCTATGTATAAAGGGAAGACATAAGAGATTCCATTTCGACCTGTACCTTAAACAATTGCTTTGCTGAGATGTTGTTAATTTGTAACTTTGCCCCAGCCACTTTGCCCCAGCCATTTTGCCCCAATTTTGAGCTCACAAAAACATGTGTTGTATGGAATCAAGGTTTAAGGGATCTAGGGCTGTGCAGGACGTGCCTTGTTAACAAAATGTTTACAAACAGTATGCTTGGTAAAAGTCATCGCCATTCTCTAGTCTCAATAAACCAGGGGCACAATGCACTGTGAAAAGCCACAGGGACCTCTGCCCTGAAAAGCTGGGTATTGTCCAAGGTTTCTCCCCATGTGATAGTCTGAAATATGGCCTCGTGGGATGAGAGAGACCTGACTTTACAGACACCCGTAAAGGGTCTGTGCTGAGGTGGATTAGTAAAAGAGGAAAGCCTCTTGCAGTTGAGATACAGGAAGGCCACTGTCTCCTGCCTGCCCCTGGGAACTGAATGTCTTGGTATAAAACCCGATTGTATATTTGTTCAATTCTGAGATAGGAGAAAAACCACCGTATGGTGGGAGACGAGACATGTTGGCAGCAATGCTGCCTTGTTATTCTTCACTCCACTGAGATGTTTGGGCGGAGAGAAACATAAATCTGGCCTATGTGCACATCCAGGCTTAGTACCTCCCCTTGAACTTAATTATGACACAGATTCTTTTGCTCACATGTTTTTTTGCTGACCTACTCCTTATTATCACCCTGCTCTCCTACCGCATTCCTTTTGCTGAGATAACGAAAATAATAATCAATAAAAACTGAGGGAACTCAGAGACCGTTGCTGGTGCAGGTCCTTGGTATGCTGAGTGCTGGTCTCCTGGGCCCACTGTTGTTTCTCTATACTTTGTCTCTGTGTCTTCTTTCTTTTCTCAGTCTCTCGTCTCACCTGACGAGATATCCCACAGGTGTGGAGGTGCAGGCCACCCCTTCACGTCTGACAAAGGACAAATATTCAGAATTTACAAGGAACTTAAACAGACAAGAAAAAAAATAACCTCTTTCAAAAGTAGGCAAAGAACACGAACACACACCTCTCAAAAGAAGACATACAAATGGCCAACAAACATTTGAAAAAATGGTCAACGTCACTAATCATCAGGGAGATGCACATCAAAACCACAAGGAGATATCATCTCACATCAATTGCAATGGCTATTATTAAAAAGACAAAAAATAATCGACGTTGACAAGGATGCAAAGAAAAGGAATACTTACACCCTCCTGGTGGGAATGTTAATTAGTTCAGCCCCTGTAAAAAGCAGTTTGGACATTTCTCAAATAAGCAAAAATAGAATCACCATTCATGCCAGCAATTCCATTATTGGGTGTATACTCAAAGGACAATAAATCATTCTACCAAAAAGATACCTACATTTGTATGTTTATCACAACACTATTTACAATAGCAAAGAGGTAAAATCAACCTAGGTGCTCATCAATGGTGGATTGGTTAAAGAAAATGTGTTATGCTTACACCATGGAATGCTACACAACCATAAAAAAGAATGAGCGCATGTTCTTTGCAGCAACACGAATGCAGCTGGAGGCCATTTTCCTAAGCGAATTAATACAGAAATAGACAACCAAGCACTACCTAATCTCACTTATAAGTGGGAGCTAATCATTGGGTACACAGATGTAAAGATGGGTGCAATAGACACTGCGGACTCCAAAAAGTGGAAGGAAGAAAGATGGTCAAAGGCTGAAAAACTACCTATTGAGTACTGTGGTCACTATTTGGGTGATGGGATCAGTAGAAGCCCAAGACTCAACATCACACAATATACTCATGTAATAAACCCGCACATGTACCCCCTGAATCTAAAATTAAAAAAATTTCTTTTCTGTATAATTTTGATAACAATACCATCTACTATGAAGTGTATTTGTGAGAATTAAATGAGAACATATATCTAAAGTTTACAATGTCTGCAATATAGGAAACATTAAAGAACATCGCTGACTTTAGACAAAAAACCAACTGTAGTTTTATGTTATACATTACATTATGTCTAACATAGCATCTTTCCATTAAATGCCATTTTCCAAGTAACACTAGAAGAGCAAGAGGAACAGTTTTTGTCAAATATTAAATGATGGTTCTTACAGATTGGAAAATACTACTTTCTCATTTGAATCATTAATATTTAATGGGAAACCTATAAATATCAAGCACTGAAATACAAAGTTAAAGAAGACATGGTTTTATTAGTAATGCAACTCACACTCATATAGCAAATGTTGAAAATAATATCTTACAGTTATTAAAAAAAAACGCATATCATTTAGTCAGCTATCACAATGGTAGCTTTACTTTTCCCAATACTTGTCTCCATGACTCCTCGGAGTATCAACCAGTCACCTAGAAAGAAACACTTTAACACTGCTGTATTTCCAAGACTTAAAACTTAGAAGCTCAACCTCCTGCTCCAATCCCTCTCATTCCTTCCTCTTGCTGAATCTCATATTCAATCTCACAACTAGAGGTCCTTACATTCTTGACTCTCCTTACTTTCCTATCCTATGGACCTTTTCAGATTTGTGTTAGACCTTTTTTCTTGCCTGGCTGTGGTGCTCAGCCATTTTCCCTTTCTATATTCAATGTTCCTAACTGAAGTGGAGAAAGCTCATGAACTAGCCCAGGTGTAATAAAGGATGAATGGTTGGTTTTAGGCACTGGAGTTTGAAGAATCAGAGCTGGCAAGGAGATTCCAACCCAAGGCACTAAACAGGGTGCTAACATACGGAAAGAAGATAACTATGGTTAAATTAACTCTTATTTTTAGCAATATTGTCCTCTAGTGATTGTACAACAGATGGAAATCGATCAGTTTTACCATTCTGTCTCCACTGTGCTCTGGACTATGCACAGTAATTTTTTTCTAGTGAATACCAGGGCTATATCTGTTACATTACTGGTCAGTGATGTGATTTTGGGCTAGGCAGTTAATCTCTCTCCACCTCAGTTTCCTCATTAGTAAAATAAGAATATGGTAAATATTCTGCAAAGGTGGTCACCATCAATTCCTTTCTCCCCTAAACATATGTGCTGTTCCACCCATCAGGAGGTAAAATCTACCTTCTATTTTCCTTTTCTTAGAATCTGGGCTGGCTTGTGACTTGCTTTGATCAGGAGCAACCATATAGTATGTGGGGCCCAGTGGAAAATAAAAATGTGAGGCCCCTTGTTCAAAAACTATTAAGAATTTCAAGATGACAGCAACAGAGCAACAAACATAGGGTCTTTCTATGCACCAGATTTTGTGCAACTATACAGATCACATGTCCATGAAGCTGGCCTTGGCTTGACAAGTGGAGTGCAGTGAAAGTTACACTATATTTGTTCTAGGCAGCTTGCCTTAATTGTACAATAAGCATAATAATCTACAGGGTTATTATATGCAGTGAGTATATATGAAAACTTTTGGTGAAAATTGCTGTGTATTTAAAATATTTAAAATTTTACTTAAGCAGACTTAAAAATGACAGTTAAAAAAATGTTAGGGAAAGGTAGAAGACATGTTAGGAGAGACAATTTCTAGTGCAATATGGCTCCCAGGAAAAGAGCTATAAGAGAGAAAACGTATGGGTGAGCAACAACTTTTCTAATTCTCTACTGCAGTTACTGATATGAGGTAAGGAGGACTAACAGAATTCAATCCAAGATCATGTTCTAGATTTATAGAATGTGCTAATTAAACTATTCTGCTAATCATGGCATATCACAAATTATCTGATATGAAAGATTAATGGTATTAGAAATAAATGGAATTTAATAATCTTATTAAGATGATTAATTATAGATGAGTCAAACTTATGTAAAAGGATTTATGGAACCAATTCTGGCTAGAGTTTTAGCAGGCTGGTTCAAAATTACAAATCATCACACTGGAAGATTTGAGTCAGTGATAGGAGTAGGACGTTTATTTTAGAAGATTTTTTTTTGAAGATGGCCAAATAAGGTACGAGCCAAGTGGAATTTGCTGATTCAGTCATGCACATTATATATCTTGAAGGTCTACCAGGTGCAAACTGCTGTTTGGAACTGAGCAAAACTGGCATAGGAAGGGCATATAGACAAAGTTTCTTCACTTCATATTGTCATAGTTTGACATAAGGGAATGCTGGCAAATTAGAGTTCAATAAATCTCAGCCAAGAAAGCATGCTTATAGAGTGCCCTCTTGGTGACTATAGGCATATATATATATATATATATACACACACACACACACACACACACACACATATATACATATACACACACACAAACATACACATATAGACATATATATGTAGGTATGCCACACAAAGAAATATTTAAGAACATGTTTATGAGAATTCTAGAAAGGGAAAACCATTGCATAGGCTTTAGAAATTTACTAGAAATTTGCTACTCACTTGTTATAACTGAGTTTAGGTAATGCTAAGTATACCTGGAACTTGGATGCCTGGAAAGAAATAATATCCCAAAAAGTAGATAGGTAACAAGAAATATGAAAATTGAAAGGACACAAGAAGTTCTTGATAAAATTGCCTGTATTTTTTGAACACTGTGAAGAAAACTGAAATTATAAATCAACTCTGGTTGAATTCATACACTAAGAAATTCAGACAGAAACATGTTTACTTTTCCACCCAAGAAAAGTAACCCAATAAAGAGTTACTGAATATTTACTATCTTCCAAGGGCAGTGGTAGAAACTGGAGGAATGAAGAATAATGAAACATGATCATGACCTTTGAAGATATCATATCCTAGTGAGTACAGAGATAGAGAATTACAGATTTTAAATATAACAGGAAAATGACATAGTAGAGGTCTTAACTGAGTATGTGAGATTTTAGAGAAGAGAGTGAATACCTCTCATTTTACTAATAACTTTGTTATTAATAGGAATTAATCATAAGCACACACAGAAAATGTGTGTCTTAGTTCATTCAGGCTGCTAGAACAAATCTCTTAAACTGTGTAATTTGTAAATAACATAAATTTATTTCTCACAGTTCTGCAGATTGGGGAGTCCAAGATCAAGACACCAGTAGATTCTGTATCTGGTGAGAGCTTGCTCTCTGATGGATAGATGGCACACCTTCTTGCTGTGTCCTCCCATGGCAGAAGGGGTGAACAAGCTCCCTCAGGCCTATTTTTTTTCAGGGAGAGGATCACATTGTTTTTTTCTTCTTTTTTGTTTTGCTTTTTAAAATTGATACAGGCTGTTCTTGGCCTGAAGGTCAAGCCCCACTGGTGACCCCATCCCTGTCTGCCCAGGAATCTATCTGTTTTCTTTCACTATCAATCCCCACCTTGAAGTGGTACATCTAACTGCCATTAGGATAGGGATGGTGACTGGTCTAGCTGCTTCATGCTAACAGGGGGTATTGTTTTGGAAAATGGCAGTCAGACCTCGATCTCTCTCTCTCTCTCTTTCTCTGTCTCTCAGAGGCCTTTTTAAGAGTCCCCGGTAAAAGGGAGCCATCATTTGAGTCTTCATTTGCGTCTTCATTTGCATGGCCATTTGGAGTTTGATGGGCTCTAGGTGAGAAGAAACAGGTTTTACAAGGAGGTTAAATATGCATGGACCAAATATGAGTATAATACAAACAGGAGCTAAGAAGGGAATAATCCAGGCCAGTGCCAGAGATAAGAAATAAAATAGACTAATCATTCTGAAAACCATGTTGTGGCCAGAGCTGTTTCACCATTGTGAAAGAAATTAAATCTTTTGTGGGGGAGGGCAGTTAAATTTTAGAAGAGAAACAGGTGTTTAGGGGAGTAGATAATCCCATGAGTATTCAGGATTAAGGGGTCCTTGGCAAAGACACCTTATGGTGAGGAACAGAACAGATGTGAGAACAGCAAGTATAAACAAGACTGTAAAGAGGTTATCCATAGAGGGTTAATTATTAACACTTATCTTTCATGATATTTAACTTGAGGTCTGTGATTTCTTCACACTGGTATTTTGTGCACTCTCCTGGGTCAACAGAGGTAATTCCATCAGTTCCTCAGGCCTTTACTTGAGTATAAAAAATTCAAGAATCTATTCCAGTGACCTTCACTGCTGAAGGAGTAGAAAGAAGTTCAGTGTAAGGTTCCTCCCAATCTGGGCCTAGAGATGGAGAAAGAGAAGGAAGAGCCTCTACCAGTACTAAGTCCACTGAGTTGAATAGAGGAGGCCCTAGTTCATGGGTTTGGACCTCTGAGAGGTGTTTCAGTTCCTGCTGGATATGAATCAAATAAGTTGCATATTTAATCAAATCAGAGATTTCTTGGTCTAGCAGGAAATCATTGGTGAGAAAATATTATTTCAAAGGGACTTAAACCCAGCTTTGAAGGAGTGTTTCTAACAGGTAGTAGGGCCATGGGAAGAAGAGTAATCCAGGGGAGATGAGTCTCTTGAGACAGTTTTCTAAGGTGCCTTTTGATAATATCAGTTGTCTTTTGTACCATTCCCAAGGATTGTAGTGTCCCAGCACAATTAAGATGGTATTGTATGCCTAGTGCCTTTGACACCCTGGGTGACAGCTGCCTGGAATGAGGGGCCATTATCATTCTTGAGGTACTTAGGGAATCCAAAGTGAGGAATTATCTCATGAGTTAGTACTTTTATCACCTCAGAGGCTTTCTCTGACATGCAAATGCTTCTACCCAGTTAGTGAAGGTATCTACCAATACTAAGCAGTATTGGATGCCCCTTATCTGATGGCATATGGTTGAAATCCATTTGCCATTCTTTTCCCAGGTAGATGCCCATTCTTTGGGTCCTGGAGAAGGGAAGAGAAGCCATCAGTTGAGGGAATTATTTTTAAGGCAAGGGTAACAAGCATTAACGACCTGTTTGATGATTTTTTAGCAGATTTTTACCTGAGAACAACCTTTGAGCCAATTGATAGGTTTTATCTTTTCCTAGGTGGGAGGCTTGATGAAGAATTTTAAGAACTTTCCATTGGCTGGAAGCTGGTAGATGAAGTTTGCCATCCTCCAATTGAGGCCATCCTAAGGGCTGAAGGTGTATCCCTGAGAAGTGGCCCATTATATTTCTGCAGGAGAATATTGAGGTTTTATTTCTCTTATGGAGCATCCCCCAGACCAGAGGGGCCTCAAGTGGATCAAAAATCTGGGGCTTTCTTGCTGCCAATTTAGCTGCTTGGTCTTCCAATTTATTTCCCTTGGTTATTTCATCCATCCACTTTTGGTGGCCTTTACAATGTATTACTGCCACTTCCTCTGGAAGGAAAGATGAGGATAATAGTCTGTTAATTTCATGATAGTGTTTAATGGGAGACACATTAGCTGTGAGGAAGTCTCTCTCTTTCTAGATAGTGGCATGGGCATGGAGGACTAGGAAAGCACACTTAGAATAAATGTTAACTTCTCTCCCTTTGTTTTAATTCAAGCACCCTTGTGAGGACAATTAGCTCAGCTAGCTGAGCACTGTGTCTAAGGAGAGAGTTGTGCTCTCAGTTGTGTCATTTAGGGTGACTACTGCATACCCTGCTTTATGGATCCCTTGTTCTACAAAAAAAAAAAAAAAAAAAAAAAAAAAAAACAAAAAAAAAACTTTGTTCATAAAGAGAGTTCAGTCTGGGTCTTCTAAGAGGGTTTCTTTGAGGTCATCTCCAGACACATAGGCTTCCAGTACTATCTGTTTTCCGTCATGTTCAGGCTCATCAGCTTCCTCTGGGAGAAAGGTGGCTGGGTTTAGGGAGAGACAGCTTCTTAAGTGGACTGTAGATCCCTCCCATAGCAGAACTTGATATTTGAGCAGGCAGTTGTCTGTTAGCCAGATACCATCCTTAGAATACAGCAGTCCTGCCACATTATGTGGGGTAACCATGGTTAAGTTATTCCCCATGGTTAACTTATTAGCCTCTGGCACCAGTAAAGCTACCACTGCAACTGCCTGTAGGCAAGCCAGCCATCCTTTAGCCACCAAATCAAGCTCCTTGCTTAGGTAGCCTATGGACTTGTGATGGTTAATATTGAATGTCAACTTGATTGGATTGAAGGATGCAAAATATTGTTCCTGGGTGTGACTGTAAGGGTGTTGCCAAAGGAGATTAACATTTGAGTCAGTGGACTGGGAGAGGCAGACCCACCATGAGTTTGGGTGGGCACCATCTAATCAGCTTCCAGTGTGGCTAGAATAAAGCAGGTAGCAGAAGATGGAGAGCTGACTTGCTGAATCTTCTAGCCTTCATCTTTCTCCTGTGCCAGATGCTTTCTGCCCTCAAATATTAGACTCCAAGTTCTTCAGCTTTTGCACCCTTGGACTTAAACAAGTGCTTTTCCAGGGGCTCTTGGGCCTTTGGCTACAGAATGAAGGCTGCACTGTAGGCTTCCCTACTTTTGAGGATTTGGGACTCAGACTGATCCACCACTGGCATCCTTGCTTCTCAACTTACAGATGACCTATCATGTGACTTTACCTTGTGATCATGTGATTCAATTCTCCTCAATAAACTCCCTTTCATATACACATCTGTTATATTAGTTCTGTCCCTCTAGAGAACATTGACTAATACAGGGTTGCTGGGTTTCACCTCAAGACTGGGTTAGAACTCCCAGGGCCATTTCCTTTTTTTCTGATACATAAAGATCAAATGTATTTCCTATGGGAAGACTAAGTGCTGGTGCCTCAAGCAGGGCTTGTTTCAATTGGTCAAAGGCCCTTTTAGCCTCTGGTTCCAAAATTAGAGAATGAGTCTTAGCAGCCTGAATTTCCTTTATTAGATGATAAAAAGGACAAGCTATCTCACTGTACCCAGATATCCATAATCTGCAGAATACTGGAATGCCCAATAATCCCCTCAGTTGTTTGAGGGTTTGAGCGAGGAGAAAGGAGACGATGGGCTTAATCCTTTCTTCACTCAGCACCCTGATTTCCTCTGACAAGACTAGACCTAGTACTTCACTGAAATCTGACAGATCTGAGCCTTAGGTTTTGAGACCTTATATCCACTGTTAGCCAGCAAATCAAGAGCCTTACTGCCTTCCTGAGAGATTCCTTCAGTTGGGGCACACAGGAGAATGTCATCTACATATTGTAAAACTTTAACCTGAGGATAAAGGAACTCAGAGAGATCCCTTGACAGCACCTGTCCAAACAGGTGGGGGCTGTCTCAGAATCCTGGAGGTAATACCATCCAGGCCAGCTGGGTGGTCTGGTTGGAGGGTTCCTTGAATGCAAACAAATATTGTAGTCAGGGTATAGTAACATGCAGAAAAATGCATCCTTTAGGTCCAGGACTGTGAAACATATAGTTCCCTCAGGCATTTGAGTTAGCAAGATATAAGAATTGGGAACCACTAGATGAGTTGGAACCACAGCCTCATTAATGAGATGGAGGTCCTGGACCAGTCACCATTCCCTGTTGGGTTTCTCTATCCCCGTTATAAGGGTAGTACAAGGGTTGTTGCAGGCCCTGCATCCTCAAGTTATAATGATGGCTTCTAGCCCTTTCTTAGCTTCTGGTTTTAGGGGAAATTGTCTCTCATTAGGGAAAGAAGTGGGATTCTTAAGGTGGATCCAGACTGGTGTAGCGGTTGTGGTTTGGCCAATTTTCCCTTGAGTTGCCCAAATTTCTGGATTATCAGTCTCCACCAGGGGGAGATAAATAGTCTGTCCTGGGTCCATAAGGACAGTGGTTCCTACATGAGGTAAAATATCCCTGCCTAGCAGAGGAGTTGGGCTTTCAGGCATGATTTAAAAGCCATGAGTAAACAAGAGGTCTTCACAACTACAACTAAGGGGTTGGGAAAAATATCGGATTAAAAGCTTTCCTGAAATGCCCCTCATGGTCATGCAAAGAAAGGAGGGGAGGCCTGGATTGGAAAGAACAGAAATAGCGGCTCTGGTATCCAGGAGGAAGTACACCTTCCTCAGTGTGACCTCCAGAATCACCTGGGCTCCTGGATGGTAATGGCAGTCTGAACCATCAGAGCTGGGAGAGGAGCCCTGGGACTCATCAGTCCTGCTGGACCATTTGGAAGACTGGCTCTGGACCTGGTGACCTGTGTCTCTAGGGACAGTCTGCCTTCCAATGATGCCCTCTGAAGATTGTACAGGGTTGAGGTGGCTTCCTCATGTTGTCTGGGCAGTCTTTCTTAAAGTGTTCTGGCTTGCCACATTTGTAGCAGTTAATAGGTGCCTTTGGGGATTCTGGGTTGAAGCTTGCAAGGCAGCCATTAGAGCCTCTGCCTTTATCTTGTGTCCCCTCTCCCTCTTTTGAGCCTCCTCTAGATCCCTATTGTGAAAGATCGAGGTGGGCACTTTCTGGAGGTTCTCTAAAGTACATCTGGTCCCATGGCCTGTTTCTGCAGCTTCCTCCTGATATCAGGGCCCACCTGGTAATAAACTTATCCTTTAGGGTTATCTGTCCCTCAACTGAATCAGGAGATAAAGGTATATGCTTTACCAAGGTCTCTAGGCCTTTCCAGAAAGGCAGAGGGCTTCTTATATGAGCCCTGGTCTATCATGGATAGTTTGGAGTAATTTAGAGGCTTAGTTCTAGTCCTTCATAAGCCTTCCAATATGCACGTCTAAAAGTGTTTCCTCTTCTATTCTCCCGTGTCATCACTGGGGTCCCATTTAGGGTCCTCCAATGGTACTGCTGTTTTTCCAATTGGATAATGCTGTCACCCTTCCTTGGCACTATATGTGATACAAAGCTCATCCCAAAACTTCTCTGCCACTTTCAGGGCTGCCTGCTTCTCAGCCATAGTCAGGGTTTGATTTAAAAGTACCATAATATCTTTGCAAAGGGGTTCAAATACTTGGGTTAAATTCTGGAAGACCTCTATATACCTGTCAGAGTTATCTGAAAACTTACAAAATCCCCCTTAATTTGTCTTAAGTCCTGTAGCAAAAGGGGGACTTGTACCTTAATGAGGTCATATTCACAAGGCATCTTTTGTAGGGGCATGAGTGAGGCTGGAACCTTCCTAAAATGAGAATTTCTAGGATGGGATAAGCTTGAGAGAGAGAACCTGGGTAGAGAGCACAGGATGGATCAGGAGGAGCAGGATCAGAGGGAGCTTACTCCCCTGCTGGAGGTACCTCTGAGGTTTAATGTCCTAGTCCCTTAGGATAGTCCTTTGCAGACCCTCCTGAGACGACCACTAGGAGGGCTGGATCCATCCTACAATGTCAGCAGAGTTCCTGATTATCCTACAAGGGAAAAAAAAATCCTGCATATGGGACATTGGACCATTTGCCCTTGTGTTTACAGAAAAGATTGAGCTGCAGGATAGTATTAAAATTGTTACTCCCTCCAGAGGCCAGGCTTTTCCATCTGCAAATTATAACCTGGCCAAGCCATTGTACAAAGGAATATAAGGCATTATTTCTTCAGAGTCTGAAGGTCAAAGGAGTCCCAGTGATTCAGAATGCACTCAAGAGGAGTGCAGGCTGAGAATAGTTTGCTACCCATTTGAAAAGTGAGAGGGGATAAAACATATCCCTTGGTCTCTCCCTTTCTCATTTTGAATTTGAGGCATCCTCCAAATCTTAGTACCTGGTACTGGCACCATGGGTGAACTCATGGGGCTCATACCATAAATATGAGGATGAGCTCCACCCATGAAGTGGGAAGGCCTACTCAGCAGGGGTAGTCATGCTTACCTCCACTGTGCTGTAGTCTTCCACTGTCAACTGCCTCTGGGTCCCTCAGATCTAGTTTTCCTTTTAGGGCTTCAAACCGAAGCTTGGAAAATATGCTGGAGTAATGCTAATGTAAAGCTATGGGAACAGATCTTCCTCAAACAAAGAAAGGGAATCCCTGGAATTGGGGACCAGGCCTAATAAAATGCCTCCCCAGAAGACAAACAATAACCCCTTACAACTAAAAGCTCCCTGTATTCGCAGGATTATGTTGACATCTGACATGGTGGGGAAAAAAAAACAACAACAAATTAAATGCAAAGGAGGGAAGGTGTCTGGGGGGAAAAAGCCTCTTTCCCTGTGCTAACAGGTTTTTTTTTGACAGGGGAAAGAAAACTCTCTTAGCCATTACATACCCCTGTTTCTAAGGATAGACAGAAACATTGTTCTGGTTTACTTTCCTGGTGACTAAGCCAAGTATTCATTCCACCCCATAAAATTATCTCTTTGGGTTGCAAAAACACCTGTAATATTGTGTATAAAGAAGGGATAGCAGCCAAAAGAGTCTCAAAAGAAAGAAAATGTGACAAGAAAGACTGGAAATCTTGGTCCAGCACCTGAATGGGCTGTCCGGGATTGGAGCTAGTCCAGGAGCTCTTGGGTAATGCCAAGGTGTAGCCTTAGCCAGATACCTTCAACTGCCCCGGGACCTTATTCTGATACCATGCAATGGCTAGACATCTGTAAAGGGAAACTAAATGGGAACAAAGCCAACATTACCAACATCTGAAGGTGAAGGGGTATTGACAAAGTCCTTCCCAGGAAGCCTGTCTTCTGAGTCTTGTAGACCATCAGCTGTGCTATCCACTCTTAACTGGCTGACAGAGTCCTGGTGTTTTATCTGTTTTTGGAAAATAATCTGAGGACAATAACCTTGGAATGAAACTAAAGAGTCATAGGTCCTCTCTTACTCAACCTTCTGAAGATCCTGAATGAGCCCCCCAAAATGTTGTAACTTTTTCACTCCTGTAGTTTGGCAAGCGGGAGGGAGTGGCACCCAGCAGCCTCTTCACACCCACAGCTTGGCGAATGGGAGGGAGTGTTACAGCTCTTTTTACTCCCACCACCTGCAGCTTGGCAAGCAGAAGTGTTCCAGTTCTTTTGCTCCCAGAGTTTGGTGAGTTCTGAGTTCTTGTCTTGTGACCAAGACGAATAAGGTACATGGACATTGGAGAGTGAGTAAGGCAGAATAGAATTTTATTCTGTGACAGGAAGAAAATTCTCAGCAGCGAGAGGAGACCTGAAAGTGGGTTGCCATTTGTGAGGCTGTGTCTGGGGTTTTTATGGGCTTAAAATGGGAGAATGCATGCTGATTGGTCCATGGGTGGGCTTGAAAAGACATCATAAGATTGGTTAAAAGGCAACATCCAGAAGGAATCAATAAAGAGAGAGTGGGTAAGATAGGAATAGAAGTTCTTACTCCGGTTTTGGACTCTATCTAGAATGAACAGCTTGATTTTCAGGCTTCAGACTGTTCTTGGCCTGAAGGTTGAGCCCCACTGGGCGCTTGTCTCTGTCTTCCTAGGAGTCTGTTTCCTTTCACTATCAGTTTTAGGTATTGCTTTTGCATTTTTAATCCACATCAGTTTATTTTTGTATATGTTGAGAGATATGGGTCTAGTTTCATTCTTCTACATATGGATATCCAGTTTTCCAGCACCATTTGTTGAATAGGGTTTCCCTTTCCCAGTGTATGTTCTTGGCACCTTAATTAAAAATAAGGTGGCAGTAAATATGTAGATTTATTTCTGAGTCTTTATTCTGTTCCATTAGTCTATGTGTCATTTTTATACCAGTATTAGGATGTTTTGGTTACTATAGCTTTGTAGTATATTTTGAAGTCAGGGAGTGTGATGCCTCCAGCTTTGTTCTTCTTACTTAGGTTGCTTAGACTACTTGGGGTCTTTTGTAATTTCAGACAAATTTTAGGATTCTTTTCTACTCAATTTCTATTACCAGTGTTTTATACTTTTCATTGTAGAGATCTTTCATATTTTGTTTAAATATATTCCTAGGTATTTTATCTTTTTTGGAGCTAGTGTAAATGGCCTTCCTTTCTTAATTTATTTTTAGATTGTTTGCTTTTGGCATATAGAATCGCTACTGATTTTTGTGTGTTTATTTTGTACTCTGTAACTTTACCAAATTTGTTTATGAGTGTTAAACATTTTTGGCAGATTCTTTAGGTTTTTCTAAATATAAGATCATGTAGTACACACACACACACACACACACACACACACACACACACACACACACCAATTTTACTTCTTTGTTTCCATTTGGATGCTCTTTACTTTTTTCTCTTGTCTAAGCACTCTGGAAGTTAACATTTGAAGTACTATATTGAATAAAAGTGGTGAAAGTGAGCATTCTTGTCTTGTTCCAGATTTTAGTGAAAATGCTTTTCACAAAATTTTTCTTCATTCAGTATGATGCTAGCTGTGGGTTTGTCATATATGGCAAAACCACAGCTAGCATCATGTTGAATGAAGAAAAATTTTTATGAGTTCATATATTACATAGGTTTTGATATTGTTTTATAAAAACAAAGTTTTGAGGTATGTTTCTTCTATAGCCAGTTTGTTGAGAGTTTTCTTATTATGAAAGTATATTGAATTTGTCAAATGCTTTCTAAGCATTTATTTAAATAATCATATGGTTTTTGTTCTTGACTCTGCTGATGAAATGTGCTATGTTTATTGGTTTTCATGTGTTAAAACATTATTGCATCCCTGGGATGAATCCCACTTGATAAAAGTGGGTAATCTTTTTAAAGTATTGAGTTCAGTTTGCTAATATTTCATTAGAGATTTTTGCATCTATTAATATATTCATTAGTGATATTGGCCTGTAGTTTTCTGTTTTTACTGTGTCTTTGTCTTGTTTTGGTATCAGGGTAATGCTGACCTCATACAATGAGTTTAGTAGTATTCCTTACTCTTTAATTTTTTTGGAATAGTTTGAGTAGAATGGGCATTAGTTCTTTAAATGTTTGGTAGAATTTAGCAGTAAAGCCATCAGGAACTGGGCTTTTCTCTGATGGAAGACTTTTTATTATTGCTTCTATCTTGTTACTTATCACTGGTCTGTTCAGATTTTCTATAACTTCATAGTTTAACTGGTAGGTTTTCTGTGCAGGAATGTATCTATTTCTTCTTGGTTTTCAAATTTGCTGATGTATAGTTGCTCACAACAGTCTCTAATGATCCTTCGTATTTCTGTAGTATCTGTTGTAGTGTTTCCTTTCCATCATTTAATTTGTTTTTTTTCTAATTCTAGATAAAGGTTTATAAATTTTATCTTTTCAAAACACCAACTTTTTGTGCTGCTAAACTTTTGTACTATTTTTAATCTCAATTTTAATTATTTCTGCTGTAGTCTTTATTATTTCTTTTCTCTATGAATTTTGCCTTTGGTTTGTCCTTGCTTTTCTAGTTCTTTGAGGTGCATTGTTACATTGTTTGTTTGAGGTTTTTATGCTTTTTTGATATAGGCATTTATTGCTATAAACTTCCCTCATAATACTGCTTTTGCTGTATTCTTTAGGTTTTCAAATTTTGTGTTTCCATTGTTATTTGTTTTTTAAAACTAATTATCTTTTAAATGTATTCATTGACCCATTTGTCACTCAGGGGCATGTTGTTTAATTTCCATGTATTTTTACATTTTCCAAAGTTCCTTTTGTTATTGATTCTAATTTTATTCCACTGTGGTCAGAAAAGATATTTGAATATGATTTTGATTATTTTTAATTTATTGAGACTTGTTCTGTGGCATTACACGTAGTCTCTCCTGGAAATTGCTCCATGTGCTGATGAATAGAATGTGTATTCTACAGCAGATGAATAAAATGTTCTACAAATGTCAATTATGTCCATTTTGTCTGCAATATAGTTTAATTCTGATGTTATTTTTGTGGATTTCCTGTTTGGATGATCTGTCCATTGCTGAGAGTGGTGTTTTGAAGTCCTCTATTATTATTGTATTGCAGTCTATCTCTTCCTTTAGATCTATTAATATTTGCTTTGTATAATATGTTTGAGTGCTCATGTGTTGGGTACGTAGAGATTTGCAATTGTTATATCCTCTCATTAAAATGACTCCTTTTATCACTATATAATGACCATCTTTGTCTCTTTTTTTTTGGAATTTTTGGCTTTTAGTTTATTTTATCTGATATAATAAGTATAGCTACTCCTTCTCTTTAATGATTTCTGTTTTCATGGAATACCTTTTTCCATCTTTTCAGTCATGTGTGTTTACAGGTGAAGCGAGTTTCTTTTAGGTAGCATGTAATTGTGTCTTTTTGAAAAAATGCATCCAGCTCCTCTATATCTTTTAGTTGGATAAATTAATCCATTTATATTCAACGTTATTATTGATATGTAAAGACTTACTACTGTCATTTTGCATCCTGTTTTCTAGTTGTTTGGTAAGTCCTCTCTTTCTTTCTTACTGTCTTCCTAATTTTCGCTGGTAATATGTTTTAATTTATTGTTCTTTATTTTTAGTGTAGCTATTCTCTTTTCTTTTTTTCTTTTTGCATAGTAGTTACCCTGAGACTTACGAAGAACATCTTACAGTTATAACAATTTATTTTAAGTTATTTGCACCTTAACTTTGATCACAATAAAAGAAGAAAAATCTACGAGAAAACTCAATTTTAACTGCACCTCTTTACTTTTTGTTGTCTCAATTTATATCTTTTTGTATTAACTATTTCTTAACAAATTGTTATTGTTTTTATAGATTTATCTTTTAGTCTTCCTAATAAAGATACCAGTGGTTTATACACCACCATTACACTGAGTATTCTGAATATGTCTATGTGCTTACTTTTATACCTTTCATAACCTCTTTTTATGGCTTGACATTCTTTTGTTTCAGGTTGACAAAGTCCTTTTAAAATTTCTTGTAACACAGGTCTGTGGTAATGAATTCCCTTAACGTTTGTTTGTCTAGGAAAGTATTTCCTTTTTATATTTAAAGGATAGCTTTCTAGGGACAGTATTCTCAGTTGAAAGGTTTTCTATCTTATTCAGTATTTTGAATATATCACCCCACTCCCTCCTGCCCTGTAAAGTTTCTGCAGAGAAGTCTGCTGTTAGCCATATCAGAGCTCCTTTATATGTTACTTGCTTCTTTCAGGATCCTCTCTTTGTTCTTGAACTTTGAGAGTATGATTATCATATGCCTTGGAGTAATTTTATTTGGATTGAATCTGCTTGGTGTTCTTTCACCTTCTTGTACTGGGATATTCCTATCTTTCTTTAGGTTATTATTCTTTGAATAAACTTTCTATCCCCATCCTGTTTGCTCCCTCTTTAATGCCAATGATACATAGATTTTCCTTTTAAGCCTATTTTCTAGATCTTGTAAGTGTACTTCTCTCCCTCTCTCTCTCTCTTCTCTCTGAATGTGTATTTTCAAGTCTTTGAAACTCATTGATGTTCTATGACAGTGGAACACAGCACTGGGTAGAATTCTATGAGTGCCCATGGTGAGAGTGCTTAGACCAGTCATGAACCAGACGGAAATACACTGCCTTGTCAAGAGAAATCTAAGTCTTGGCCTGCTTCACCATCAGCTAACTAAAGTGGCCTCGGACCCTGAATAAATTTCAGTGGCAACCAGGTTGTTGCAAGTGCAGTCCTTGGGTGAGCACTGGTGCTGTGCTAGTCTTGGAGGCTGTGGGCTTGGGATGTGACTCACTCTGAGCTTCAGCTACAGCAGCCACAGGAGTGCCTACATTACCCCTCCCCCAACTTCAGGCAGTATAGTAGAGAGAGACTCATTTTTACTTAGGGGAAATACAGGGACAATTACAGGGGGCATTGTCTTGCAACTTGGTGCCAACCCCACCACAGGAAAACAGAGCACCATGGAGAATACCAAAGCCCATTATATCAGGCCAATACAAGACAAATTGCCTGGGAACCCAGGCAATTTTTCTGTATCTTCCCAAAGTCCATCAGGGCTGAGTATCCTGGAGTCTGCGAGTCACACAGTGTACCTGGGCTTAGGACACCCTCTAGTGCTGAAATGGCTGCAGTGACCACAGACTTAGGGAATTCAGTGGTCAATTCCCTTTGATGATTAGAAAGCCTTCTGAAGAAGAATGGGTCAGTCTCTGAGCTCACTAATTCTTTTTTCTTTTTTGATCAATTATGCTGTTGAGACATTCTGATGCAATTTTCATTTGTCACTTATATTTTTCAGCTCCAGGATTTCTGTTGGAATTTTAAAAATTATTTAAACTCTGTTAAATTTATCTAATCAACTTTGAAATTTATTCTCTGTGTTTTCTTGAAGTTTGCTGGGTTTCCTCAAAATGGCAATTTTTTAAAAAAAATTACACTTTAATTTCTGGGATACATGTACAGAATGTGCAGGTTTGTTACATAGGTATACATGTGCCATGGTGTTTTGCTGCACCCATCAACTTGTCATCTCCATTAGGTATTTCTCCTAATGCTATCCCTCCCCTGGCCCCCCTCCCCCTGACAGGTCCCAGTGTGTGATGTTCCCCTCCCTGTGTCCATGTGTTCTCATTGTTCAGCTCCCACTTATGTGTGAGAACATGTGGTGTTTGGTTTTCTGTTCTTGTGTTAGTTCGCTGAGAATGATGGTTTCCAGCTTCATCCATGTCCCTGCAAAGGACATGAACTCATCCTTTTTTATGGCTGCATGGTATTCCATGGTGTATATGTGCCACATTTTCTTTATCCATTCTATCATTGACGCACATTTGGGTTGGTTCCAAGTCTTTGCTATTGTGAAGAGTGCTGCAATAAACATACATGTGCATGTGTCTTTATAGTAGAATGATTTATAATCCTTTGGGTATATACCCAG
This sequence comes from Homo sapiens, assembly GCF_000001405.40. Lineage (NCBI taxonomy): Eukaryota > Metazoa > Chordata > Mammalia > Primates > Hominidae > Homo > Homo sapiens. The sequence continues at coordinate 36,123,488 of NC_000003.12, read as the reverse complement.
TAATGGGATTGCTGGGGCAAATGCTATTTCTGAAAGGGATCCTTGAGGAATCGCCACACTGTCTTCTACAATGGTTGAACTAATTTACACTCCCACCAACAGTGTAAAAGTGTTCCTATTTCTGCACATCCTCTCCAGCATCCTGTGTTTCCTGACTTTTTAATGATCATTCTAACTGGCGTGAGATGGTATCTCATTGTGGTTTTGATTCGCATTTCTCTAATGACCAGTGATGATGAGCTTTTTTCATGTTTGTTGGCCACATAAATGTCTTCTTTTGAGAAGTGTCTCCTCATATCCTTTGCACATTTTTTGAGGGGGTTGTTTGTTTTTTTCTTGTAAAATTGTTTAAGTTCTTTTTAGATTCTGGATATTAGCCCTTTGTCAGATGGATAGATGGCAAAAATTTTCTCCCATTATGTAGGTTGCCTGTTCTCTCTGATGGTAGTTTCTTTTGCTGTGCAGAAGCTCTTTAGTTTAATTAGATCCCATTTGTCAAGTTTTGCTTTTGTTGCCATTACCTTTGGTGTTTTAGTCATGAAGTCTTTGCGTATGCCTATGTCCTGAATGGTATTGCCTAGGTTTTCTTCTAGGGTTTTTATGGTTTTAGGTCTCACATTTAAGTCTTTAATCCATCTTGAGCTAATTTTTGTGTAAGGTGTAAGGAAGGGGTCCAGTTTCAGTGTTCTGCATATGGCTAGCCAGTTTTCCTAGCACTGTTTATTAAATAGGGAATCCTTTCCACATTGCTTGTTTTTGTCAGGTTTGTCAAAGATCAGATGGTTGTAGATATGTGGCATTATTTCTGAGGCCCCTGTTCTGTTTCATTGATCTACATATCTGTTTTGGTAAAAACAGCTATTTTGAATTACCTGTGTGAGAGGTCACAGATCTCTGGCAATCCAGGTTGGTCACTGGTGTTTTATTTATTACATTTCGTAAGGTTATATTTTTTTGGAATGTTCTTGATGCTTGTAGATGTTCATCAATGGCTAGACATTGGAGAATTTTTATTTATTCTATTCTTTGTAGTCTCACCATGTTTATACCCATTATTCTTTAGAAGGCTTTCTAATAATTCAAAGGAGATTGACTGTTGAGGTCCCTAAGCCTGTGGTTACTGAATCCGTTTCAGCCCTAGACGGTATCCTAAGCCCAGGAACACTGGGACTTGCAGACTCCTAGATACCCACCCCTGGTGGACTTTGGTAAGATGCAGAAAATTTGCCTGGGTTCCCAGGCAATCTGTCTTGTAGTGGCCTGATATAATGGGCTATGGTATTCTGGGTGCTCTGTTTCCCGTGGTGTGGTTGGCACTGAATTGTAAGACAATATCCCCTGTAATCTTCCCTCTACTTCCCCCAAGCAAAAATGAGTTTCTCTCTATTTTACACTGCCTGGAATTGGGGGAGGGGTGATGTAGGCACTCCTGTGGCTGCTGTAGCTGAAGCTCAGGAAGGGTTACTTCCCAAGTCCACAGCCCCCAAGACTAGCACAGCACCAGTGCTCACCCAAGGACTGCACTTGCAACAACCTGGTTGCCACTGAAATTTATTCAGGGTCCGAGGCCACTTTAGTTAGCTGATGGTGAAGCAGGCCAAGACTTAGGTTTCTCTTGACAGGGTAGTGTATTTCCCGTCTGGTTAAGGGCTGGTCTAAGTACTCTCACCACGGGCACTGGTGGAATTCTACCCAGTGCTGTGTTCCACTGTCATGGAACATCACTGAGTTTCAAAGCAAAGTCCCACACTCACTTTGCTCTCCTTCCCTCAAGCACACAAATTCTTTATCCATGCTGCACTGCTTGGGAATGGAGTAGGAGTGGTGTAGGCAATGTAAGACTATTCTTTACACACTCTTTAATTCATCTGTTCTTGTTATTATGCTAAAACCAAATACTGTGATCTCTCGCCTGATTTTTCAGTTCTTGTGACGGTGCTTTCTTGCTTGCATAGTTATTCCATTTGATGTTTCTGCTGGGGGAAGATTGCTAGAGGGTTCTATTTAGTCATCTTGCTTTGTTTACTATTTTTCCAACCCTCAAGTCTTTTTTATAAAGGGACTGATCCTGTTCATGAGGGCATCATCCTCATGATTTAATCACCTCCTAAAGGCCCCATCTCCCAATACATTGAATATTAGGTTTCAACATATGAATTTTGTGGGGGTACACAACCATTCAGACCATAGCACTATGGCCATTGAGCTCATTTTGGAAATATGAGTTAGTTTGCCAGATGAAGAGAGCGATCTTAGGCCATGAGAATAGGGGAGAGTTACGACAAAGAATGATGAATTCAGCTTTACAGAAACAACGTGGATTATGTCACTTTTTCTGGAAGTTTAAATCTCAGCAACTACAATAAGAAGTCTTCAATATCACACTAACCTTAGTTCTTCTGAGTAAGTTTCTTTTCAAATGTGCATCTGAGTATCCTTTCTGGTATATATTTTACTTTATTTTTTATCACTGCTCTTTCTTTCAATATATACAACTGATTTTTTTCCCCCAATGTTTATTATTAGCCATATAATATTTGATCCCCAATAATATTCCTCACTTCATAGAAGTGAGGCAGTTTTGGAGTTATAGTCATCTATACTAGGAAACAGGTAATATTAATACGTTAAGAATTGAGGAGAAGTAGTCAGCATGACTTTTGGCCACTCTTGCTGCTCTCACCTTTTTTACATGTAGAGTAAATGAAAACAAATTTTTTCCCAAAATATCCAAGTCTTTGATCAAATTCCCATAACAATTTGCTGTTGTCTTGGCAGGTTCTGGAGTAACAAGGACTCTGAGCACAGCAACCCTAGGTGGTGGAAAAGCAAATACTTGGTAATGAATCCTGAGATATTTAATTGAGAAATACTTTGCCATTGGTCAAGGGATAATTCACTAAGCAGTCTCTTTGTCCATTTTGACTTCTATGGTACCACTACCCACATATTAGGTTTTTTCTGTACATTCCCATGAAAAAATTGTTTATCCTTGGACTAGATTGATGTAGGTTATCCCCAGAAAAAGATTAAGGAAAAAAAGAGACATACCTTTGTTTAATTTATGCTAGATCATTTTGAAAGTCATTCTCTACAAAGACCATATGACAGGATACTTTCAATTTTCAAATGAGGAAATTATAACTCTAATAATGCTGCTACTTGTCAGCACCATAGCTGATTTTGTGATAGAGCCAATATTAAACCCCCTTTTATGTTCTTTCACAGCGTATGGTCTTTTGAAAGTTATACTCCAGCTTCCCCCAATACCTACCCAGAGCATTTATATAGATAAGGAGACTAAGAGATATTCTAAGTAAGGTGGGTTATCTATACTTGACGGTAGTCCAGATATAGCTCCTCCAAGGACTTTTTGAGATTTTTGAAATATTTGTTACTTCCTCAATGCATAGGAATTCCCACCAATGTAGCAAATCATTCATTCATCCATTCAACATGTATTAATTGAACATCTAATATATTATGAGTACTCTTTTACAGGCTAAACCTACAGATGTGAAAAAATGGGCAAGGCACTTGCTCTTATGAAACATTCATTATAATGGGACAATAAAAATGAACTGGATAATTTTAGAGAGTGGTAAGTGCAATAAGAGAAATGAAACTATTATTTGAAGCCATTACAAATGCACAACCAATATTTAGTTCACTGGTCTCATAGTCAACTCATTTTTCTTTCTGAATCATAAATGACAAAGCTAATTGAGGCCATGCTGTAATTACTTCTATGATCTAAACATTGATATAATTTCAGAACCAGGTAAACCTATACTGACCACACTCATTCTTGGGTAAAGAGACTGTGACCCAAGGTGGCTAAGAGATATGTCCAAGATCCCTGGCAAAGGTGATTGAGCTAAAAATTCAACATTTGTATATTTGTTTTCTACCACAAAGAAATTTATCTGTCAACAAAAGGAAAATTAGGCCAAAGGTCTTGCAACAATAACAGCAAAAACAAAAACAATGTTCAATTTAGGATTAGCCTCAGTATACCTTATTAGAATGCCTTGCAATATACTAATCTTTATATATCTAGTTTATAGAAAAAAATACATAATGGACAATTCAGTGGGCTAAATACAGAAGCTCCCGTGACCTCAATTTAAAATAGATTGTGAGGATCACTTGATATTTCCGAAAGCAACCTCCTAATTGCTCTCTCTGCTTCACTCCACAACCCATTCTCCACATGGCACTAAAGTAAACTGTTCACAGGAGAAATCAAATGTCACTTCTCGGCTTAAAATCTTCCAATTACTTTTTAGAATGCTGAGAAGTTGATCCAAAACTTCTTACCAGAGGCTCTTATCAGAAGGCTTCTTATCAGAAGGCTCTACCTGATCTGCTCCCATTGAATTTTTTAATCTTCTGCTACACTCCTTTCTCACTGTATTCTGCACACACTGACCTTGCTGCTTCTAAACGATGCTAAGCATATGTCTACACCAGATATTTACATGCTTAAATCTTTCATATCCTTTTGTACTTAACCCAAATACAGCTTTCTTAAAAGAATCTCTACCAATCATAATATCTAAAACAGCTGTTCCTCTTATCCAAATACCTTCCTGTATTTTCAAAACAGAACTTACTACCACCTACAATTAAAGTATTTCTTTGTTTAATGTGTATTGTCTTTCTGTCTACTAGAATGTAAAATACACCAAAACAAGGGTCCTGTTCATTTTCTTCTGCTATATCTTCAGCCCCTTAATAAATGACTGACATACAGGAGTGACTCAATCATATATGCTGAGTGAATGTCAGAGAGAAAGAATGGACTCATTAGCAATAGAGTTCTCCTGGGTCCCAGGTAGCCAACTAGTTGTGTGTAGGGAAAATTGCACTGCACTACTTGGCATATGCAACCTTGAGCAGAGTGCTTTGCTTTGTTTTTGCTCACCCTTAATTTGTATTTTCCAAAAGAAGATATTTGACTGGAGTATCTGAGCTCCATGAGATATGGAGTATTGCTATGGCAAGAGTTTTTATCAGTGATGTGAAAAATAACTATACCCCCTTATCTGCAGTTCATATTTAGCTTCCTTCACTCTTTTAAAGTCCCTGGCAAAAAATTTAATTTAAAAATAAAATAGGTTGGGTGAAGTGGCTCACGCCTGTAATCCCACCACTTTGGGAGGCCGAGGTGGGAGGTCAAGAGTTCAAGACCAGCCTGCCTGACATGGTGAAACCTTATCTCTACTAAAAATGCAAAAAGTAGCTGGGTGTGATGGTACATGCCTGTAATCCCAGCTACTTGGGAGGCTGAGGCTAGAGAATCACTTGAACCTGGAAGGCAGCAGTTGCAGTGAGCCGAGATTGTGCCACTGCACTCCAGCCTGGGTGGCAAGAGAGAAACTCCATCTCAAAAAAATAAAATAAAATAATAAAATAAAATAAAATAATGCATTTTTTTTTCTCCAAAGGGAAGTTGCTTCATAGTCACTGGGGGCTTCTTTCTCCAGAAGGTGGCTGTATGTTTGTCAGGCATTTAAGATTCCTGTAAATAAGTTCGCAGTAGACCTATACAAGTACATCTGATGGCACACTAAGATAATAGTGAAGTTCTGAGCATATTCCAGTATATTGCTTAAAATTCACAGGTGGAAGTCAACTATATTGTATGCTACCATAGAGCATTTCTCACTGAACCAACATTTCAATTTTAGTCTGGTATCAGTGGCATTCTTTCAGCAGCCTACCTCACTGTCATGGGCATCCATCCCATGTGTGCCTGAAGAGGGTTGTTCAGTCTTACATGACAGCATTGTATGAATGTGTGTGTTAGGGAGTGGCGTGTGTGTTGTGTGTGTGTGTGTGTGTGAGAGAGAGAGAGTAAAAATGTGAATACAATTACTTGATTGATAATAAAATCTACTTGCCCATTGATGATTTCCCTGAAGTTTTACATGCTATATTGTAACCTTTGCTGTTTACTTAGCTTTGATTATAGACAAACCAGACCTTTAGGGATGTAGACTAGTGGAAGAGAACTGTGTGCCAGGGGCAAGGGCAGGAGAGCCTTCCTGGAGAAGTGAGGATCAGGCTTTGGTGTACCTTAATCATTCTTTTCTGGGGGTTGGCCCCACCTTGGGGGCCCTATCTTGTTCCAGTCTGTGGTTCTGGATGTCTGCCCATACCTCTTTCCCTCTGATCACATTGGCTCAGAAACAAACCCTGATTCCTAGCATTCTGCTGGGCTTTAATCGTGCTACTCCCAAACTAAAATTCTTCCACACTGTCATCCTATGTATGGAACTCATTTTGTTCTCTTAGGGTTCAGCTCAGACCCATCTGTCTGACTCAGATCCCCAAAACTTGTGTCTCTCATGAGTGGTACTTACTATTATTTTTTAATTTTTAATTCTTGTGGGTACATAGTAGGTCTATATATTTATGGGGTACATGAGATATTTTGATACAGGCATATAATATATAATAATCACAATGGGGTAAGTGGGGTATCCACCCCCTCAAGCATTTATCAATTCTTTGTGTTATAAACATTCCAATTATACCCTTTTAATTATTTAAAAATGTACAACAAATTATTGCCGACTGTAGTTCCCCTTTGTTCTATCATATACTAGATCTCATTCATTCTAACTATTTTTTTCCCTATTAACTATCCCCACTATCTCCACCTCCCATTACCCTTTCCAGGTTCTGGTAACCGTCATTCCACTCTCTATCTCAATGAATTAAATTGCTTTAATTTTTAGCTCCCACAAATGAATGTGCCTGGCTTATTTTACTTAAGATAATGACCTCCAGTTCTATTCATATTGTTGCAAATGACAGGATTTCATTGTTTTTACAGTTGACTAGTACTCCATTGTTTATGTGTACCACATTTTCTTTATCCATTCATCTGTTGATAGGCACTTACTTTGCCTCCAAAGCTTGCCTACTGTGACTGGTTCTACAATAAACATGGGAGTGCAATCTGTCCAACATACTGATTTCCTTTTGTTGGGGTGGGGGGTATATGCTTATCAGTGAAATTGCTGGATCATATGGTAGTTCTATTTTCAGTTTTTTGAGGAGCCTCCATATCGTTCTCCATAGTGACTGTACTAATTTACATTCCCACCAACAGTGTATAAGGGTTCCCTTTTCTCCACATCTTCACCAGCATTTATTATTGCCTGTCTTTTGGATAAAGACATTTTAACTGGGATGAGATGATATCTCATTGTAGTTTTGGTTTGCATTTCTCTGATAATCAGTGATGTTGAGTGCCTTTTCATGTGCCCGTTTGACATTTGCATGTCTTCTTTTGAAGTGTCTACTCAGATCCTTTGAACATTTTAAAATCAGACTATTATCCTTTCCTATAGAGTTGTTTGAGCTCCTTATATATTCTGATTATTAATTCCTTGTCAGACGGGTAGTTTGCAAATTTTATCTTCCATTCTGTGGGTGGTCTCTTCACTTCATTGATTGTTTCCTTTGCTGTGTAGAAGAATATCATTGTGTTTTGATAAGGATTGCATTGACTCTGTAGATTGCTTTGGGTAGTATGGACATTTAAAAAATATTGATTCTTCCAATCTATAATGAACATGGAACATTTTTCTGTTTTTTCTGTCATTTTCAGTTTCCTCCATTAATGTTTTATAGTTTGCATTATAGAGATCTTTTACTTCTTTCGTTAAGTTTATTCCTAGATATTTTATTTTATTTGTAGCTATTGTAAATGGCATTACTTTCTTGATTTCTTTTTCAGATTGTTTGTTGTTGGCATATAGAGGTGCTACTGATCTTTCTATGTTGATTTTGCATCCCACAACTTAACTAAATTTGTTTGTCAGTGTTATTACCTCTCTAGGGTGCTATTTCAGGTGTGTGAGGTTACACGATTCAGGAGTCAAGATGCCTGGGTTCAAAACCTGGCTTTCCTGTGTTCTAACACTAGTTACTTGTTCTCTTTGAGAGTCAGTTTGCAAATCTGTGAAATGGACCTTATATTTAAATATTTATTGAGTTATTACATGAAAACATACATGTAAAGCCCTCTGTGTAATGTCTAACAAATGCTTCAAGTAAATTAACCAACCAAAGAAAGGTCAGTGTTTGAATTAAAATTTGAATCTGTAAACTTCACTGGAATATTCTATAAATATATAGACAATTGCAGGCTGACACAGATTATTATAAACAATATTATGGGCTACTCAGTATGCTGATTGCAGAAAGAACTCCCAGTGACCCCAATTTATTGCTGTTCTTACTAATCACTTGACATTTCTAAGAAAAGTGTTAATTAACCTTACCCTAGTCAGTAACTTTAATGCTGCCCTGCAAATTCTCTGTAGTGCTTCTGCTAGGTAGTATATTAGTCCTAGCCAATGCTGAGAAAGTTTGCCATTGCTCAACAGCCTACTTACTGGGGGACAAAGAGGCTCACATATGTACGTGCACATGTTTTGTGAATCATCCTTTAAGTGGACGTATGTGTAGTTTGAAAGATATGGCACAAGCATTAGGACACTCCTCTCTGAAAATAAAGTGGTCTCTGATGAGTGGCAAAACATCACTGGGACATTTCTGAGTCCAAATTCAAAGGATATATACATTATCTCCACCAGATGAGTGTGATGTGCTTTAAATCAGGAATTCTTCTCAATGTTCTTGATTTTTTTGGGGGGAATTACAAACAGATGTACATATGTGTATGTATATACATATATGTGTGTATCAGTATATATAGTGTTGAGTTTTTTGTATATGTGTTGTTCAGTTTTCTAATATAGCATTGTGAAAAGAAATACAGAAAAATGAATTCAGAACACATAAACTTCTAATTCTGCATTTATTATCCATGGAAAGTTATATACTGAGTTTTTGATAAAATAGGCATAATTATTCATGATTCACAAAGTCTTGTTAAATACTTACTATATGTCAAGGATTATGCTGAGTCATTGTGAGTATTGAATAAATAATGTAAATATATACAAGTGTGTTTAATGGACTGAAAAGTAATAGGTAGATATTAAGTATCATAATCTTTTTTATAAGCATGTATAAGTAGTTATAAATAAATAGCATAAATTGTTAAATAAATTATCAGATTTATTTTCTAAAACAAAAATGAGGTTACATGATTAAACATCAGGTAATAACAGAAATGAAAAGTATACACAAAAAAGTACTATTAGTGAACATTTGCTATAATCCAGGCATTGTGCAAAGTATTTTCACATTATGTCTTATTGTTAAGAATGTTGTCTTTGAAGGCAGATCACCTGGGTTTCTGGGTTTAATTCTGTCTCTCTTTTTAACTAATCCTCTGGGCAAGTTATTGAACATCTTCCTGCCTGTTTGTTCATCTGTAAAATGGGTTCGTAACAGTATCTGCCTCATGGAGATAAATGAGCTGGTATATTTAAGGCACTTGGAGAAATCTCATCTATACACAACAACAGGCAAATAAATATTAGCTAAAGTTATTTTATTATTTAAAAGAACTATTCTGTATTCAAAAAAGGATTTATTTCATGTGTTTGTGTGGTGTGTGCATCTGTTTTGTGTGGTAGGCAGAATTTCTTAAATGGCCCCTGAAAGATGTCCTGCCTTCACCCCTGGAACCTATAAATATGATGAGATATTACTCTCATGATGACATATGGTTATATGGCACTGTTATGATAACATGGGGAGATTAGGCAGGTGGGTCGAATCTAATGACATGAGCCTTTAAAATCAGGGAGTTTTCTCCAGCTAGTAGCAAAAGAAGAAACCAGACAGATTTGCAGCATGAGAAGGACTTGATGAGCCATTGCTGATTTAAAGGTGGAGGAGGTCACATGAGAAGGCATGTGGGAGGCTTTAGGGAGCTCCACGAGGCTTCTCTGACAGCAAGGAATTGGGGACCTTAGTCCAACAACCACATATAATTAAATTCAACAACCACTAAACTCAGAAGAGAGCTCTTAGCCCCACATGAGAAACGAAGCCCTAGCTAATACCTTAATTTTAACCTTGTGATATACTGAGCAGAGAAGTCAGCCACACTATCTCAGCCTTTTAACTTACATAACTGTGAACTAATAAATAAGCGGTGTTTAAGCTGCTAAATTACTGCAATTTCTTGTGCACAATACAAAGCAAATAGAATGTATTTTCCTCAGAAATCTCCTCGTTCATTCTGGAGACTTTCATTTGATGTTAATTAAAATAACACCACTAGAGTTTATATTTTAACAGTATTTAAAAAGGTTTTCCTCTTGATATTGATTATTAATTTTGTACTATTAAGGTAAGACTAATACTTCAATGGCAAGGCATTCTAATTTCTGATAAAGCATCATGCTAAACAGGAATAGCTCTTCTATTGCTGCATTCTCTTCCAAGCCTGCAGGAGATGTTGACAACCAGTCACACACTGAACTCAGAATTTGTCTTTGAAGCTTTGTCACACATTGGTCAGGGTTTGCATGTGAGTTGAAACCCATATATATATAGTAGTTGAGGTGAACGTCATTAGCTTTTTCAGAACCATAAACATTTAATTTTTTGAAACCATATAAAGCATAATCAGCAGTATTGCAATCAATCTCCTCTGACAACAGTGGGGCCTCGGGAAGATCCCTTGAGATGAGTCCAAATGGTTTAGGGAATAGATTGTGGTCTGTAATTGCAAAATTACCCTGCATGTATGTGTGTAGGTTATAGGGCTTTCTTCTTAGCCCCATTGCTGCCTACAGTTATGCTTCCTTCTGCATGGAGGAAGCCACTTCTAGTAGATGAAAAAGAAGTGAGCACACAGAGAAAGACAAAAAAGAGAGAAAATTGAATGAAGAGAGGAAATAAAAAGCATAAAAAAAGGGGAGGAAAAGAGAAAGTCATGATAGTGTTTGAGCGGGTCAAGCTGCATTGCTGGTTAGATCCAGAGTCACTGGTAAATGCAGCAACATCAGCTATCCCATTGCCATATCCATGCCATGTTGTAGAGTAGAGGGAAGTAGTTCACACAGACAAGGAAGTGTTAAAGGTTGCCTTGGGAGTTTCTCAGTTTACGGTGAACTCATGAGTTTGTTGAATTATGAGCTCTTGTTTAGACATTATTTGGTTATATATGATAATCATGAAAATTTATGAGGTGATTTTAGGGTTTTTTTTGGTCAACACAATGAATGTTCATTATCTTTGTGTTTTATTCTTGTGCAGACTTTTCAGCCCTGAAAAGCAGAAGGGACATATGATAAGTATCATGCTATACTCTTCATTCCTGTGACTCACCCAAGAGGTGAACACTGAAGTGACACTGGGTTCCATGAATGCATGCCAATGGGTGGGAGGGTGTTTTAAATTTTTAAAATATTTTTGAAAAATTTTTATAAGGGTTTTAAATTCACAGAAATATTAGAAACATAGGACAGAGACTCCCCATATGCCTCACACACGGTTTCCCCTATTATTACTATCTAGCAATAGTATGCTACAGTCCATGAACACAGAGCACCTGTCAGTTTATTTAGCTCTTTTTATATTTCTTTAGTTTTCCGAATATACATCCTGTACATATTTTGTTAGAATTATGCCCAGGTTTTCAATTTTTTGGTTCTATTGTTAAGTGGTATTGGTTTTTTTGATGCCAAATTCCAATTGTTCTTTGCTGTTATATAAGAAAGCAATTGGTTTTTGTACATTATTTTTGTATTATATGCTTTTGCTATGCTCATTTATTAATTCTAAGAAATTTTTGTTGATGTTTCTGGGATTTTATACATAGATAATTATGTTATTTTTGAATAGACAGCTTTATTTGTTCCTTTTCAATCTGAATGCCTGACTTCTTTTTCTTGTCTTACTGTGCTAGCTAAGAAAACTAGTATTACATTCAATAGAAATGGTGAAAGAAAACATCCTTGTCTTCTCCTAAGGTTTGCTCTTTCACTTTCTCTGCAAGAGCCATGAAGGTATCTTTCTCAGATCTTCACCTTGAGAATCTGGAAAGCTTCCTGGAGGTAAAGCCCATGCAAATGTGGGGGTTCCTCTACAACTGCTGTCACCAGAACTTACTCACACACCCTGGTCTATATTCAGCCTCCAGGAATTCATCACAATTACCATTTCAGCGTTTCTACTAGTTTATAGCTCTAGCAAATTCTTGTCCAGGTAAGAAGATTTCAGCTATGATTCTCTGGATTCATCTGTCTCTCCTGACTTCAGGGTGGCAATTTACCCTACAACCTCAGTTCTCCAATGGGTCAAGAAAAGTCATTGCTTTTCAGTTTGTTCAGTTTTTAAAATATTGCTATTATAAGGATATGAGTGATGACTCCTACACTCTTTACATGACAGAGCTGAATACAGAAGTCCTATAGTGGTTTACTTCAAGCCACACTACACCTCACATTAAAGAGTATGCTCTCTTCTCTAGAGGTAATCTACTGTGCATTTTGAAATCCTGTGGCTGATTCTGAGCTAAGCAATTCAGAGAAGAATCCAGGTCCTCACACTCTCCTTAATGGCTTCTCACTTAAGTGCCCACTTAAGTTACAGGGCCTTTATTTGCCAGTAAGGGCATCCACCCCCACCATGCTTCTGATATATTGTTTACTGCTCCATGCCCACTACCAAGAGGCATATAGTGAGTGGGTGGTTAATTATTTAAGAAGCAAATAATTACACTAGGGCCTATGCCTGAACAGTCTATTGAGGAAAACCTCAGAGTCTCGCTAGGTGGTCTGCTCCAACTATTAAAACATCCTACCCTTTAGAAAGCAGAATTCTGCTTCTTTGTAACTCAATTGTCCTAATTCTGAGCAACTGTAGCTTATCTGAGGTCACCAGGTGAGCCCCCAGTGGCTTCCATGTCACATTTCCTGGTTGAATACCTCAATTTATCCAGCTGTTCTCCATATAACCTGGTTTCTATTCTGGATAATCTCCTTTGGGTAACCTCTCATTTTTTCTCTCAATGTCCCATTTATGGCATCATATTCAGAATTAAATATAACCAGGAGTACTGAGGGCTTGTGGATTAGTCCTATATGCAGTTGGGTATGCTGTGTTTCAGACACCTCCTTTCTGCTATCTATGACTGTGAGACTTGTTTTATGGTGACTTGAAGTTAAATTTACATGTGACAGAAATAGGCATCATCTTGCTATGCCTCATTTATTATTCTTTAAATAATATGTAAACATATAATGACCATCATGGTTATAATCCTTATTTTACTGATTTTGAAGAGTGAGGGTAGAAATCTTTATAGAGATGACTTAGCCTGAAGAATCTCCATTTGATTATTATTATTTTTTCTTTGCTGAAAGAAGAGTATTTTTTACTGTCTTTTTCAAATTCAATTTCATAAACCAGTTCAGTAAGCCATATTTTTCTAAGCCAACAGGGATAAAACTATTCTCCAGTCCATCTCCTCACAAAATCTTTTTGATTTTAATGAATTCAGACAGAAAGAATCAAGAATACAAAAGCATTATGCATTTCATCATCTGAGTTTTGTTCATGGCTAACAGCCATTCTTGGATGGAATATCTGCTACCTGATGGTTTTTATAAGATTACCAGGGCCACTATAGGACTGTAGGGTTCAAATATACTTCATTCATTCACTCATTCATTCATTCATCAAATATGCAATAAGTTAACATTCCAGGGGAATAGACAGATGCTTAAATAATTATTTGGGAATAAAGTTTCCATAATAAGTGAGGCTATTTGTTTAAGCATCTCAGAGTCTGTGAGTGAAATGTAATTTTGGCAAGAGATTCTTACATTAAATTGCAAGCCATATTAAATGACCAACACTTTTAGAACTGTTTTATATTTCAGAATTTCGGGACATAAAGTTCTGTCTCCCTGGGGAGTTCTTTCCTATCCATCGCTCATAAATCTGCATGGTGACTCCCTTTTTGTTTATGAAACTTGGTTTATTTGACTTTCTCTTCTTTGTGCTTCCTCTACATCGGAGATTTTTCTCTTTATAATATCTCTAATGTTTCATTGCAGTAATTTATAAGATTTTCTTACTCTACTGAGCTACAAATATCCTTCAGATAGTACCATAATATATACCTCACAGTTCTGGTTCTGAGCCCCTACTTACTTTAAGATGATTAGTATGTCCTCAATAATGCTCAATTGAATAAATGAAACTCAAATCTATAAATATATAGAAATGTTTCTGCTAAACCATCCCAGGCAAAGGAACTTCTTGCATGAAAGAGAATTCAAGAGATCTGTTATTTAGATGGGAAAAATACATATTTATTCTCACGAACATCTAATTGAAATTTGCCACTTCATTCAGTTACGAATGTAAGTAACAAATCATAGTAGTATTAGCAGTACCCATAACCTTGTCACTAATACAAATGACAGACATTTTCATATTTTATTACAGTTGTTAAAGAGGTATCAAAATATTATTTATGCTTAATGCCATTTGTAATTATGTTATTTATTATAACTTAATGACAGGCCTTCATATTTAATACAATAATAAGAGGCAACTATGTTACTACATCATAGATTTTTTCTTCAGTTCTTTGATAACTATAATGTAACTATTTTCTTGGTAGTGGTATGTATTTTATTTTATGTCTTTAGAAACTTTATTCTGAGAAAAGAGTTCATAGGCTTAAATAGACTGAAGAATTGTTCTATGGTACGAAAAACGTTAAGTGCATCAAGCCATATTATTTTCATGAAAATTCAATACAAAGCAAATTATAATTCAATAAAACAAATTTTAGCATATGCATCCTCTCTTTTCTATATTTTTAGGACTTACCCTTGTACCCTCTTTGAGATGCCCTATATTCATATTTATCTATCACCTCCCCTAAAACGAGTCTGATCTTAGTTATTTGTTTCTGGTGACATATTGATTATCCTTGAATTACATGAATTCTAAAGAGTAATGCTTCCCTGGAGATGCTTTTCCTTTTTATTATGGAGTAAAATATGCTGCCACTGTTTAAAGTGATTTTACAAAATAGCTCAATGACGTCAAGTTTAGAGAAATAATTTTTAGAAAGTCAGAACATAAAAACACATTTCAATAAATTAGGAATGTCCAACAATATTCAATCTGATAATTATTATATTTTCAAAATTTAAAAAGTTTTAAAGTGAAAACAGTGGTTTTTACTACCACATTACAAGGATAACATTTTGTTCTAACCATTGGGAGCATGCACACCTTCAACAGAGAGTAATTCTTCCAAGGTGTCCACATTGCCTAAACCTATGGAACAACAAATAGGAACAGAAATAGAACAATAATATTTTGGAAGAAAATACTCTCAGGATCAAATTTTAACAAACTTAGACATAAAAACTTAAAGTTGATTGTGATATCAGCTCTGATATTAAAAAGTGAGATTGAAACATGGATTGATATGAGATACAGGGCACATGCACCAAATGATGAGGAAGAATCATGCCTAGACATGGGAAGGACAGGAAGGTAAAAGAGGCAAATGGTTAATAAATTAGGAAACTTCATAAAGGGAATTTTCTGCCAACTTTAAAAAGAATGCAGAGTATCGCTGAAGCCATCATTGGTCTAGAAGCTTCAGGAAAGCAATGCTATTGGAATGAAATGCAACTTTAGGATCTGAATGATGGAAGATAATCAAATAGTATAAAAAAGAACAAGTTTTTAGTGATGTCACTTGAAGTTCAACAAAACACACTTGTTTTTTGCTGTTGTTGTTTTGTTTTTGTTTTTGCTTTTTAGAGATGCTTCCCTATTTGCTTGCTCACTCTGGGCACCAGACTCTTGACATTAGTATCCGTTCAGGGACCCAATAACATGGTTGCCAAAAACAGTAATTTTAACACAAGAATTTATGGAAGATGGCAATAGGACTTGTTAAAAATGATTAAGTTTCCTTTAGTAATACACTAATAGGGTTTGCCATCTGTACATAGAAAATAAACTATAAGGGCTTTACATTGGATTACTTGCCTGTTACCAATCATTTATGCATAGGTTATAACTATTAAATGTTGTCATGAAGGGCATTAGGCTTATTAAATGTACAGGTTTTCCATATGGCTCCTTTTTTTCTGAATTGTTAGGGGTTGGTGAAGACTGAGCTAGAACATGGCGGGGCTTCGAGAAATAGTACTGTTGGTGATATGGATAGAATAGCCATGTTTCAGATGTTGACCATAAACTAGCTCTCAAAGGAAAAGGATCTTCAAGAAAGTCTAAATGGCTTTCTGTGAGAAGAATGAGCTCTACATTCTCCCCAAGGACCAAAATGATTGAATCATTTTTCCAATGATTCCCCTCAAACACATTTGATTTTTCTTTCCCAGCCACTCCTCCAGTTCAAGTTCTGGCTCCAGCCCAAATGCAGATGCAAGCAGGATTCCAGGGTTGGAGAGCTACAAGGAATGAAAAGAAATACATGTTATGTGTTGGGAACCTATGCAACAAGATGTAGAGGAAGAAGTTAAGCCTGGAGTGTGTGTTATAGAAGTGTTTGCTGGTAGGCTGAAAATAATTGGAGAAGGTGTGATCTGAGAGAGCTGAAAAATGTGAACCCAAGATGAAAGAGGAGAAGGCTCTTAGAGTGGGGAAAGGGCTAGAGGAAAGTCTTATCCTTTGCCCAGAAAAGATTAATGACTGTTGAGTGTAGATGTTTAGTATGGCTTCCATCCTATTCCCTTTTAAAAAATACAGCTTTATTGAGGAGTAATTGACACACAATAACCTGCATATACTTAAGGTGTAGAATTTGATAAGTTTTGAAATATGTATACATCTGTGAAATCATCACTCCCCAAAAGTGTCTTCATGCCCCTTTGTAACCTCTTTCTCCTGACCCTCACTGCCACCCCAACTCTGTCCCCAGGCAAACACTGATCTATTTTCTGCCATTACAGATTAGTTTGAATTTTCTAGAATTCCATATAAATGAAGTAACACGATATGTTCACCCTTTGAGTTGACTTTTTTCACTCAACAAAATTATTTTGAGATTCATACACGTTTTTGCATGTATCAATAGTTCATTTTTTATTGATGTATAGTATACCACTGTATAATGATATTACAATTTGTTTATCTATTCACTGGTTGATGGATATTTGGGTTATTTTCAGTTTTTGGCTATTACAAATACAATTCCTATGAACATTTGTGTACATGTCTTTGTATGGAAATATGCTTTCATTTCTCTTCAATAAATACCCAGGAGAGGACAGTATATACATCATACAAATATATAGGCTTAATTTTTTAAGAAACTCCCAAACTGCTTTCCAAAGTAGTTATATAAGAGTTTTAGTTCCTCCATCTCCTCACGAACACTTGATATGATCTTTTAAATTTTAGCCATTCTAATTGGTGTCTAGTATTTTGTTACTGTATTTTTAGTATTTTTAGTTTTGTAGTTTTAATTTTCATTTCTCTAATGATGGATATTGACTATCTTTTCAAGTGCTTATCTGAAACCTGTGCATCTTCTTTAATTTTTTTTTATTTGCTTTTAAAATTTTTTTAAAGAGACGGGATCTCACTTTGTTACCCAGGCTGGGGTGCAGTGGCACAATCATAGCTCACTGCCACCTCAAATTCCTAGGTTCAAGCAATTCTCCCACCTCAGCCTCCCAAGTAGCTGGGACTAGAGGTGTGTGCCACTATGACTGGCTAATTTTTAATTTTTTTGTAGAGAAGGGTTCTTGCCATCTTTCCCAGGCTAGTCTGGAACTACCGGGCTCAAGTGATCATCTCACCTTGGCCTCCCAAAGTTCTGGGATTACAGGTATGAGCCACTGTGCCAGGCCACTTGTGTACCTTCTATGGTGAAGTTTCCATTTAAACACTTTGGCCATTTTTAACTGGTGTTTAATTTTAGTTTTAATTATTTTTTTGTATTCCTCTTAAGTTTTGAGAGTTCTTTTTTTTTATTATACTTTAAGTTTTAGGGTACATGTGCACATTGTGCAGGTTAGTTACATATGTATACATGTGCCATGCTGGTGTGCTGCACCCACTAACTCGTCATCTAGCATTAGGTATATCTCCCGATGCTATCCCTCCCCCCTCCCGCCACACCACAACAGTCCCCAGAGTGTGATATTCCCCTTCCTGTGTCCATGTGATCTCACTGTTCAATTCCCACCTATGAGTGAGAATATGCGGTGTTTGGTTTTTTGTTCTTGTGATAGTTTACTGAGAATGATGAATTCCAATTTCATCCATGTCCCTACAAAGACATGAACTCATCATTTTTTATGGCTGCATAGTATTCCATGTTGTATATGTGCCACATTTTCTTAATCCAGTCTATCATTGTTGGACATTTGGGTTGGTTCCAAGTCTTTGCTATTGTGAATAATGCCGCAATAAACATACGTGTGCATGTGTCTTTATAGCAGCATGATTTATAGTCCTTTGGGTATATACCCAGTAATGGGATGGCTGGGTCAAATGGTATTTCCAGTTCTAGATCCCTGAGGAATCACCACACTGACTTCCACAATGGTTGAACTAGTTTACAGTCCCACCAACAGTGTAAAAGTGTTCCTATTTCTCCACATCCTCTCCAGCACCTGTTGTTTCCTGACTTTTTAATGATTGCCATTCTAACTGGTGTGAGATGGTATCTCATTGTGGTTTTGATTTGCATTTCTCTGATGGCCAGTGATGATGAGCATTTTTTCATGTGTTTTTTTGGCTGCATAAATGTCTTCTTTTGAGAAGTGTCTGTTCATGTCCTTTGCCCACTTTTTGATGGGGTTGTTTGTTTTTTTCTTGTAAATTTGTTTGAGTTCATTGTAGATTCTGGATATTAGCCCTTTGTCAGATGAGTAGGTTGCAAAAAGTTTCTCCCATTTTGTAGGTTGCCTGTTCCCTCTGATGGTAGTTTCTTGTGCTGTGCAGAAGCTCTTTAGTTTAATTAGATCCCATTTGTCAATTTTGGCTTTTGTTGCCATTGCTTTTGGTGTTTTGGACATGAAGTCCTTGCCCATGCCTATGTCCTGAATGGTAATGCCTAGGTTTTCTTCTAGGGTTTTTATGGTTTTAGGTCTAACGTTTAAGTATTTAATCCATCGTGAATTGATTTTTGTATAAGGTGTAAGGAAGGGATCCAATTTCAGCTTTCTACATATGGCTAGCCAGTTTTCCCAGCACCATTTATTAAATAGGGAATCCTTTCCCCATTGCTTGTTTTTCTCAGGTTTGTCAAGGATCAGATAGTTGTAGATATGCAGCGTTATTTCTGAGGGCTCTGTTCTGTTCCATTGATCTATATCTCTGTTTTGGTACCAGTACCATGCTGTTTTGAGAGTTCTTCATATATGTTGGATAAAAATATTTTATGAGATATGTGAGTTGCCATTCTTTCTTTCAATCTTTGGCTCATCTTTTCATTCCCACTGCAGATCTTTGGAGTTCCTTTTCTATTGTGTGGCTCTCTCCTCGTCAGTGCTCTGTCTTGTGAGCTGTAGCTGCCTTGTTAACGCAGACTGTCAGCTCCAGGAGTCCACCTGGCCCAGGCTTGATTCCCCACTCATCTCTATGGCCTAAAAATCCTCTGAAAATAGTAAAGTGGGCAATTATAGGGTCATCTCAATTGCTTTCCATTTCTTACAAGTTACTGTCATTCCTTGCTTGATGTCTAATGTCTTAAAAACTGTAGTTTTATATATTTTGTCATTTTTTTTTGTTCCTTCAGGCAAGAAGACAAATCTGCACCTTACTATTTCATAGTGGCCAGAACCAGAAGTCAGAGACCAATTCTGGGAATGGATACTGGATACTATAATTGCAATTAAAAAACAGTCTGTGTTTTTTTCTGCTGCTATAACAAAAAATGCCATAGACTAGGTAGCTTAAACAACAGAACCCTGGGATAATGCACCATAGAAATTAATAATATAAATGAAGGATGCATGTTTCTTTTGTAAAGTGGAATAAAGATAGGTACTCAGGCAGAAGTCTTAGGAAAAAGAAGATATGGATGTTGAGGAGCTAGAAATTGATTATTTTAAATTGCCCTTGCTCCTATAATCCTTGGGATAATTTCATGTACTCACGTTGGTATCCACGTTTGAAGGAACACTACTCTCTGCAAGACAGAGATAGAGCAATGGAAATTAACATATTATATGGAAGAGGCAGTACATTGTTGCTCTTCTTGGGCCAGAATTTGTGAAATGTGAGGCCTAGAGCCTTTCATTAGAAGTTGGGAAATTGGTCTCTGACTTCGCTAGCAGTGGGATCTTCAAACAAACACTCTGGTTCTTGAGTCTACATTCCCATCTATGATATAAAGGTAGTCAAGTCTCTTACAGCTTTAATTTTCAGTGGCTCTAGTTTGAATGGTAGCATGCAATTCAATATGGGGAATTGGCATCTAGGTAGGTTATGGAGATCCTTGAAGGTCAGGTAAAGAACACTAGGCTTCTAATATTTGACATTTTATTGGGCTTCTGATGGGAATCATTGTTAATGATCAGTAATTGAATGGCAAGAATACATACAACCACAGGGCTCAAAAGCAATAGAAAGGATTTGAGGATTATAAGACATTTTCAGTTATCCAGGGTCTGGCCCTAACCACTAATGAGAGTAATGGAAAAAAAGGCATAACAATAACATTTGTGCTTTGGGGTATATACTATTTAATATTCACTCAATAATCTTAAACAATCCCCCAAATGTGATTCAGCTAGTTTCACTTCATAGATTAGATTAAAAATATATATTAGAGAGGATGTAAATATGCTGGTCAAGGTCACACAGTAACTACATAGAGGAACCAGGACTCAAACTTAGGGGTGCATCTTATCCTAAACCTCATGGTCTTTACATTACAATTATTGCGTCAAGTATTCTGTGTTGTGAGCCTGAGCACATGGATTTGAGCAGGACCTTGTTCTGTATTCAGTTCTTTTAAACACTTTTAAGCCTTATAATCCATAATTTTAATTTAACTCATTGTCATTATAAATGAGGTCTAGACAAGGTGCCTCCTGTAAGCTCTAGGAAGGAAAAAAAGGGTAATTATTTTGGGAGGTCACACTCAAGAAAAACTACAAACTATAGGAAGATTTAGAATAAACACAGGATGGTTATGTACCAAATCACCATCAGTCTTTTTCTACCCTGTAAGAGGCAATAAAAACAGTCTGTATTTGTCAATCTTGCACCTAACTTTAAGCATTCACAGACTTCTTATTTTACTGTTTCCATGACAACACATGGCATTTTAGGTATGTTTTTCAAAGAAAGGTGAAAATTACTCTCAGTGTTAAATTGAATTTTCTCCTTTTCCTCACCTATTTTATTCATAGGTACTTAGAAGGTACAGCAATTTCACATTCCTTTCAGAATTTCAGTGCCATTTTCTACGTTAGATGCAGATTAAATGATTTCAACTTCAATTCCTTATTCTGAATCCAGTATTTTTATATAGACAAAAAGTTTTCTTAAGGTTGCTCTATTCAACAAGCAATATTCATTATAATAGGAATGTTCCACAAAATTATATTCATTTTTTGTAACTTTCAAATTTGTAAGTGCTCAGTATTTTAGACACTCACTGCTAAATTCGGATGTAGTTCTCTATTTGCTCTACATAGGGTTTCTCTTTTATTCCATCTGCTAATAAATAATTAAATGAGGAAGGAATCAATAAATACTTGGGAAGGAATTGAGAATTGAATAAACAATTATTTTTGAAGTAATTTTTAAAATTTAGAAAACAGAAAGATTCTTTTAGAGTGAAATATTTGATGGTTAAAAATAATTTATTTTGGGGATGAAAAAAGACTGGATATTTATTGAACATTTGTAGTTGTATTAATCAGGATTTTCCAGAGAACCAAACCATCAGGTGTGTGTTTGTGTGTGTGTGTGTGTGTGTGTGTAGAGAGCGAGCGAGCTTGGTTGAATTTAGTGAATTGGCTCACACAGTTGTGAAGGCTTTGTAAGTCCAACATTTGTAGAATAGGCTGGCAAGCTGGAGACCCAGGAAGGGTTATAGTTTGAGTCCAAAGGTGGTCTGCTGGCAGAATTTCTTCTTGCTGAGAAGAGGTTAGTATTTTGTTCTATTAAGACCTTCAACTGATGGAATGAGGTCTACTCACAGGATGGAGGGTAATCCACTCTACTCAATATCCACTGATTTAAATGTTAATCTCTTCCAAAAAAAAAAATCTTCACAGAAACATCCAGAATAATGTTTCTTCAAATATCTGGGCACTGTGGCCCAGCCAAGTTGAACATAAAATTGACCATCACAGTATATTGGGCCAGGCACTGTTCTAGGGGCTGGTTTTTAAAAGATGACCTTGCATAACCAACCCAGTACAGCGAAATCTTTTGGCTTCTACTTCCAATCATGTGTCCAGGCATATTGATTACGTGTTGAATACTTAGAATGTGCCAAACATAGTTGCTGCCTGTGGGGATTAGTCTAATGGGGGAATTATCATATCCTAGAAAGCCACTGGGAATTGTTGTATATCTTAAAGAGATTAAGCCCCTTGCTTGGCTTCAAGTGCTCTTTAACATTGGAGACAATATTGCTTAGAAAGCAGCTTTTTATACTTGTGTGGCATTTAATAGTATCCCAAGCACATTAATATTTATTGTTTGGTTTGAGTATCACAACAATCTGTGACCTAGCAAGGATGACATTACATTCTCACTTGACCAAAGAGGAGCCTGCAGCGTTACCCTTCTGAGCTAGCAGTGACATCTCCAATCTCTTGTTTCTAGACTCCTCATGGATGTTCTAGGAGTGAGAGTGATTTCCTCAGGGCTACACACTTATGAGAAGAAGCCAAAACTTTGATTTCTTTTTGTCTATGTCTGGAATTTGTGTTCTGTCAGCTTTTATATATTATTTTCACTGTGTGTGTGTGTGTGTGTGTGTGTGTGTGTGTATGTGTGTGTGTATGAGTTGAGAGACATTCTCTGTTTCTTGTTTTCAAAGCCAAACCCAGAGAATTCGGAACTAACAAACAGCCTCTCCAGCCCATTCTCTGTGGGCCGCCCTAATAGCTGCTTTCACAGGATTATTTCCCAGCTGGGTAGTTTCCAAAAGTATATTTACTAGGAACAAAGATTTTCATCCTGCTTTTCAGATCCCTAATAGTATTTCAAAGCCTGAAAACAAAAGGAATGCACAACTGGGTGATTAAGAAATTTGAATTGAGTGGGAAGTAAACCGAGATAGCTGATGAAATGAAAATGGAAAGGAACTTGCATTTATGTCTTTGGTTCTCTCCAATTAACACTTTTATCCCTTCTAGTGTGCATGCCAAGACCTTCTCATCACCCTACAGTTAACTCTTCCTAATAAGGAAGGCACTTTTGAGGCTGATTTAACCTGATTCATCCTCTACAAGTAGCAAATCTTAAGGCAGAGGCAGGGCAATGTGGTAGGAGTAGGCATTCTGGGGTCAGGTAGATTGCCATTTATTTTATGGGTGATTATTAGAAAGTCACACAGAGTGTGATGTTCCCCTTCCTGTGTCCATGTGATCTCATTGTTCAATTCCCACCTATGAGTGAGAATATGCGGTGTTTGGTTTTTTGTTCTTGCGATAGTTTACTGAGAATGATGATTTCCAATTTCATCCATGTCGCTACAAAGGACATGAACTCATCATTTTTTATGGCTGCATAGTATTCCATGGTGTATATGTGCCACATTTTCTTAATCCAGTCTATCATTGTTGGACATTTGGGTTGGTTCCAAGTCTTTGCTATTGTGAATAATGCCGCAATAAACATACGTGTGCATGTGTCTTTATAGCAGCATTATTTATAGTCCTTTGGGTATATACCCAGTAATGGGGTGACTGGGTCAAATGGTATTTCTAGTTCTAGATCCCTGAGGAATTGCCACACTGACTTCCACAATGGTTGAACTAGTTGACAGTCCCACCAACAGTGTAAAAGTGTTCCTGTTTCTCCACATCCTCTCCAGCACCTGTTGTTTCCTGATTTTTTGATGATTGCCATTCTAACTGGTGTGAGATGGTATCTCATTGTGGTTTTGATTTGCATTTCTCTGATGGCCAGTGATGGTGAGCATTTTTTCATGTGTTTTTTGGCTGCATAAATGTCTTCTTTTGGGACTGTTGTGGGGTGGGGGGAGGAGGGAGGGATAGCATTGGGAGATATACCTAATGCTAGATGACGAGTTAGTGGGTGCAGCACACCAGCATGGCACATGTATACGTATGTAACTAACCTGCACAATGTGCACATGTACCCTAAAACTTAAAGTATAATAAAAATAATAAAAAAAAGAAAGTCACACAATACCCCAGAATCCCAATTTCTTTATCTTGTGAGGATTAAATGAATCAATGCATTTGTGTGTGCCTATAGTAGGTAACGCTCAGTACTCTTAGCCCTCTTTCACTTTAAACAAAAAAGGATGCCAATTATTACAAAATTTTAAAGACCCTAAGATATGAAGAGAAGAATTCTGGCACCAAAGCTTTTACTTGTGGAAGGGGCCTGCTGGCCATGTCCCTCATCACACATCTGACCTACCTTCAGGACTGACTCAAGTCCTTCAGCTACGTTCAAGTGAGTGACCTACTCACTCAAGGCAGATATAAGGCCTTCCCCAAAATTACTGCTACATACTGCTTTGGTTTTACCTAGTGTTTATCTCAATGGAAATATTGAGTACTAGGGACTTTTCCAAACTGAGAAAAACAACTGCTTTTAAAGGACTTCTGTTTTCCTGGGCAGTTGCAAATTTGAAGGCAGAATTTTTGTTTGTTTTTGAGACAAGGTTCCAGGCTGGAATGCAGTGGTGAAATCATAGCTTACTACCGCCTTGACCTCCCAGGCTCAAAGGATCCTCCTGCCTCAGTCTACCGAGTAGCTGGGACTACAGGTGTGCACCACCACACCCGGACTTGAAGACAGAGTTTTGAAGTTCAGGATCTGCTCCCTACTTTTAGTTTAAAATAGTCCTTTTGGTCATAGCTATGCTGCAATGGGTTATGTTACATTTGTAATAAGGAAATGTTAGTTTCTAGTTTGTCTGCTTTAGCATTACCAAGTTCTTTCCATTTCAAAGTCGCGTAATTTTTCTTCTTTCACAGGGAGTTATTTTTTTAATGGGTGGAATTTTTATTGTTTATGACTATTAAGTTGATAAAATTTAAAATTATAAAAAATTTTAAGATAGTATAAAAAATCATGTATACCCTTGACATTGCTTCAGAAATTTCTTATATTTTCCCTCTCTCTGGCTCTCATTTGGTCTCTGAAACATTTGAAATTGACTAGGATACTTGTAACCTCTTTACTTCTGAATACTTCAGTGTGCATTCCCTAAGGAAGGACAAGCACTTTCCCTTAACATCAAATGTTCACCCACTAGTTTTGGCACTCACTTATGATTTCCTAACTCCATCATTTCATCCATATTTATTAGTCAGCAGTCTTCTGAAAGGAAGAGTTGTCCCTTATTAATTATTTATATCAGTATGGGCTCATGGATTTTTATCTTATTTGGTGGGTTATAATCCATTAGTAATTTCATTTATTTTGATTTTCAAATTATTTTAGATTTGGCTAGTGGGAAACACTTCACTATAGCTCTGATGTGTTTTTGCCATGTGCTCATTTGTTTTTAGCATGCACTGGCTTGACAGAATGTCTCCAGGTTCATCTTTTACATATGCTGCCTTACCCTGGGAAGCAGCCTTTTATCCAAGGAGTCCTGGCACTAGGTATACTCGTTGCTAACAGTGTATCATTGCTTCTAGATCCACTCAGCAACAGAGCTAGTAAATATCTTTATTAATTATAAACTTTGTGTTAATTCAATCCCAAGCCAGCACCACCCCGGGTATATTGTAGTCTCTTTTCTTATCTGTAACACGCTTCACTAACATTGAGAAACCTGGCTTTCATTATCCTAAATACATTGACTCATTTGATCAAGCCTGTAATACAGTGAAGGCAGGAGGAAGGGCAGAAAAGCAAGGTCTTTAACATCTGTTGGTCATGGCTGCCACTCTAGAAAACCACACTGATGGCTGAGAGGAAACACTACCTCCATGTCGCTTAGCCTGTTCCTTCTTTTCAAAGAGAGATTATGGGTGGTGTGAAATGTTGTGACTCCCAGTTTGACAGTCCATGTTACCATTGTCACCACTAGGCACCACAAGTAGAGACAGTGTTTATCACATTTCCAGGCCAGAGTTTCTTAAATGATCCTTTTGAGGATGGGAAAAAGAAACCTCATTCTTAGATGCAATGGTATAAATTCTAAGGACATTTGATGGGGGTTCATCTGATTCTGTTAACTGGTTAACAGAGTCTATTGCTCTACATTTTGATGAAAATTATCTAAAGCAGCAGGCTATATCTCAAGAAGAAATGTGTGATGTCAGAATCTATTTTCTCCATCAAATTCAGATCTCATCCAAGGGACCAACCCAGTAAGACACACCTCTTTCCCAACAAGGAGACTGACGGTCCTAGAATCGGTGAGGTATTTATTCAGTATAAAGTTATGAGGCCAAAGGGGAATCTGAAGCACAAAAATATTTTCAAAATTATATAAAGAAGGTTAGAAAGTACTATCAAGGTTTTGGTTTGAAAGGTGAAGACCAAAAATGGGGAGAGAAAAAAATGAATTCAGCCATAAGGACAACTGAGGAATATCAGGATGCTCAGGAGGCATAGAAAAGCAAGTAGCAAAGGACTACAGACAGGAACAGAGTGGGGCAGCCTGCTGTGGATGGCGGTGGTGCTGTGACACTTGGGCTTAAAGAAATTGGGCAGATCCAGACATACTATAATCATATGATTTCTCCCTAAATAGTAGACCCTACAGAGCAACGATTTTTACCACAGCATCTCTTCTTGTCATCTCAAGCTAGTTTCCTATAAAAAGCGTGTACAGAGAGACTTGCAGTAGCGATGAACTCCTTTGAAGCAGGTGATCATCACCATTCTGCCTCCTCTTGCAGCCTTGTTTTATGTTAATCATTTGTCACACAAACTGATAGTGTTAAAGAAAAGAAAAAGGAAAGAAATTGCTACAAAACACTCTGCTTTGGAGCTTGACAGCTTTGTTTAAATATCTGCTTGATCACTTACTAGAGGGGTGCGTGTGTGTGTGTGTGTGTGTGTGTGTATTTTACCTGACTTTATTGTGCCTCAGTTTCCTCATATATAAAATGGAATTAAAAGAACCTTCTCAAAGTGCGGTTTTGAAGATTATAAAACACTGACAGTAATTGGCATATAATATATTCTTAATAATATTAGCTATTATGTTAGTCTGGCTGTTAATATTTTACATTTTTAAAAACATTATAGTGTCTCCATTTCCCAGCAGGTTTTTGAGACAGATAAATAGATTATTACTGCAACTTAATATAAACAATCTAAGGACTGAGGAAATAAAACTTTCTGAAGTATATAGAACTGATGAGTGGCAAAGATGGGATGCTTAGGCCATGGATTCTAGAATTCATGTTCATTCACTGAGACCATTAGCCCTAATACCACCTTTTTACCCTCTACCGCTCTGCAACTCTTGAAGGTATATATGGGGTCTCCTGTTATGTCAAAGTGTTCTTTCTGGGATGGAACAAATGTTTTCTTCCTGGGAGTAGAGAAAGTGGGATGGCCTTCCTAACTTTGGAAATTTCTAATCTAGAATGAAATACCTATATCTAAAACACTTCTTATGCCACTTCTTTTATTCCAGCCATTCCTTCTGCAACCAGCTACCTGTGGTGTAACCTGACAGCCCCTTGCCTCAGTACTTCTGGCTTTCTGTCCGAAGGTGGTTTTTTTTAGGCAATGAAGGTAACTACTGCATGCACAAACACACCCCGATATTTTTAGGAAGCTTATATCCCATGAAGTAACACTTGACAAAAAGGAATGAGAGCACATGGATAATAGCTTCCTCATCCAGCCCTATGGTGGACAATTCAGAAATATATTCTATGGGTTCCTCAAGGGCACTGGCAGGATTCAACTTCAGTTGTCCACTCAAGAGGCAAAGTCAGCTCAAGAGTTTTTCTTCTTCTCTCTTTCACTTTCCTCTGTCTTTCACTTCCCATTTCACTTCCTTAAGATTGCTTTCTGACGTAGATTACCTTCAGCAATTTTTTTTGGATCGTGCCTCTTTTTTATTACAATTTTATTCTGATACAGGCTCTACTTTGTAATAACATTTAATTTTAATGCAATTTCAATTAAAAATTTTATTGTGTATATTTAAGCTTTACAACTTACTATTTTGATATATATAGTGAAATGATTACTTATAGTGAAGCAAATTAACATACCCATCACCTTACATAGTTACCTTTTCTATTTGTGTATGTGGTAAGATCACCTAAATCCTACCTTCCTAGCAAATTTTCAGTGTACAATACAATATTAGTTAATAACTAATAATTAGTTAATACTTAGTTGGTATTATTAACTAATATTGTGTTATACACTGAAAACATACATGTTATTGTTTCACACTGTCCTTTGCAGGGGGAACCAGTCTCCAGTATCCTTGCTCCTACCCACATAAGTGGAATTCTCTTACTTGAAACTAAACTGATCTTTTGACTTGGAGAACTCGAGGCATTCTATACTGGTATTTATATTAGTCTTCCTACTCGTCTGACAATGGTCTTCAACCTGCATTTTGCCACCAGATTTTTTGCCTTGTGAAGTTATCTGGTCAGTCACTCAGCAAATACTTGTCATATTATTTCTACCATAAACCCTTCCTGGAAATTCAGAAAAGATACTGTACCTGTGGCCAGACAGTTTAGGAAGCAGTGAAAGAATAGATATGCAGATAAATAATTTACTAAAATCAGAAGAATGAGCTTTAACTTATTCTTTTGTGTGTTGGCGTGTGTACACACATTTTCTCCCACAATTATATAACAAGAATATAATAATATAAAAACAGGAATATATATTATTCTTGTTATATAAATGTGGAAAGATTTTCTTCCTGTAACCGAGGTTTGGGTCTGCAAGGTAGTATCTTTCTGCAGGTTTTCAGGTACCTGCTCCTCTAAGACAGTTGTTATCAAACTCAAAGGAGCATCAGAATCACCTGGCAGGCTTGTTAGAACACAGATTTCTGGGCATACCCTCAGAATTTCTGATTCAGTAGTTCTGGGTTCAGGCCCCCAGATTTGCACCTTTAGCAGTTTCTCAGGTGATGCTGTACTGCTGTTTCTGGACCACACTTGAGAGCCACCTAAGAAGAAAGGGTCATTGACTGCTCTTTCCTCCAACCATTCTGGAGGAATCCCTTCATCAATGGTTTATTTAGAATCCTGAAAAGACTGAGGAAGCTTGTGAACTTTATTCCCACAGTTCTTGTAAGGAAAGATCTTTGAGACCCATTAATTGTACCGCTTTGAAGCCATCCTTACCTCTTTTTTATTCTCACCAGCAGAATGCATGTTCATTATTCTCAAAATGACCTGGAAAAATTCCATTCATGACCACAATCTAGGCATCAAATGAAGCTTTCCTCATTAATCTTCCAACTCTAGGCGCATAATCTCTATGACCACCATCCTTTTATGTGCTTCAGCTTTATCAGGAAAATTGTGGAAGGCTTTGAAATGGGCAAGAGCACATTATTTTGTGTCCTGTCTAGGTCATCCATCAAGGTTATCGCCCTTTTGTATTATCTCTGAACTATTTTACAACTCTAGAAAATGCACAAAACATAATCACGCAAATGATTTGTGTCCATAGAAATGCAAACTAATTGCATCTGGTGGAATGCAATTATTGACCATTGGATAGAGTTATTTTCATTTATTTGCAAATCCATTTCAAAAATCTGTTTCTGCTCTCTGA
Organism: Homo sapiens; assembly: GCF_000001405.40. NCBI lineage: Eukaryota > Metazoa > Chordata > Mammalia > Primates > Hominidae > Homo > Homo sapiens. The sequence goes on along the minus strand of NC_000003.12, from coordinate 36,093,632 downwards.
ATTCTCTGTTGAATCAGCTGTATCATCTTATTGGTTCTCTCATTAATTAATGAGATAAATACAACGTTTGAATCTTTCACACGTGTTCATTTTTTATTTGTGTGAGCCATAATTATGCTTTCTTTAGAGCATTATCTATTGACAACAATACCAATCATCATATTGAATTCTAGTGGTTTAGTTATATTTAAAGCATCCCTCTGCTCACCTCGCTGTAAGCTTCTAGAACTCTGACACCATATTTATCTTTATATTCTCAGATTCTATCAGTGTTTACAGTGAGTGTTTAATAAATATTTGTTAGTTAAATAAAAAGCATGTTGCTTTAGGACAGAAGATAGAAAATGAGAAAAGTAGGCAGAATCTAGTTTTTAAAGGTTATTAAATACCATTTTAAAGAGTATGAGCTTTATCCAGAGGGTACAAGTTCCTGAGGAACCATTGAGGACTTTCAGATAATCAAATTTGCATTTGAGAATGATCCCTCTCTGCAACAAAGAGGTTGTATTTGAAGAAAAGAACACTGCAGACAGAAAGACCATTAAAAACTATTATAGCAAATGCACCGAAAGACCTTACATTCCATCTCTAGAAACTCAGTCATCATGTGTAAATTTTCTGTTTTCAGGGCATCATAGTTCCTCTTGCAGTTTCTGTCGCTTGGGATGGAGTAATTTGGTTTCCCAAAATCTTGGTACCATGATTGTGTCACTGTACTCAAATACATCTCTAGGTGGGTGCTGTCTGCCTAAGTCTTTTCAGATAGCTTCTTCATATTGTGGTAGATTTTCTGTTGTAGGAACACCCTACTGTTACAACTGGATTCCCATGATACTCCATTGATTGCCTGGCCACTCTTCTGCTAGCCTTCACTTCATGCTCTGATTTTCTTATTCTGCTTACACAACTTGCCTGTGTCTTTTGCATTGATCCCATCTCCAACTACAGTTGAGACCCTGGCCCCTTCTATTCAGTTGAGTTCTGGGCCATGGTTTGCTAGATTCAACAAAGTCCATAATTGTATAATTATCATTTGAAAATGTGATTACCAATGTTGCAACTAAGTTCATCTTCATGATAGTGATTCTCTGAAATAACTAGATGTCAAATTGCACTTAAATTTATTAAGTTCTATACAAGTTTAACATCCTATTGTTAAAAATGAAATTTAATAATAAGATGCAATGGCAATAATTTAAGGAGAGTTTGTAGATTGAAACTGTGCAAGTGAAGCAGTTATGGAAAGTTATTCTTTTCTCTCTGAAGGAGAATAATAACATAACTGAATGAGATTGGCTGCTGAAAATTGACTTAGCAATTTTTACTTCTATTATGGTTCCATCTTCTCACAAACTGAAATTCTGTTATTTTGCTATTATGAATAAAGATGGCAATTTAAGATCAAAATGTATCCAAATGCCTTTAAACCTTAGAAATATTCTAATCTAATATTCTTTCCCCTCTATATATTTCATCATTCTTATATTTATGACCTGAATATCAAATTTTCAATGACGTTTGCTGATGATCACGACTCCAAGTTTTGTTGTCAAGCAGAATGTGGGAAGTAATTATCTGCTCATGTGCATCATATCACCACATGTTTTTCCTAAAATAAGCTCTGAAATTTGGCTTTCTGATTTTTTAAATTGTACTTTTAAAGTAGTCACATAATGTTTCAAAAAAGGTGACATAAAAAGGAAAATAAGGTTCTTTTTTGGCTGATAAAACAGTCACTAGGCATGTACCCGAAAATATTTTGCTAACCTTTGATTCATCTCACTAACTTATTGAAATCAATAAAATTAATTACATTTCTAAAGAATTTATATTCCATTACCTCCAGGTAACCCAACTACAGGGTTTTTGTTGAATTAAAAAGTAAAAGCTCCAAATCAATCCTACTAGCAGAAAGTTTATTGAGGAGATGAAAGCGAGGAGGGCAAATTTATAACTAATATAGATTTTGTTGATAAAAAAGAGAATAAAACTAAGAATTTTACCTGAGTTAGGATGGTAATTGGCAGATTTCCATTTAATGTGAATGGAAAAATCAACATAAATTTACATGTTTCATGTAATCAACAAAAGTAGAGAACTTAAATTGTAAGCAGGAATATTAAAAGCAAGGAAACAACCAGCCAAGTCTAGATCAGACCTGCCATTATTCAAAATAAATATAAGTATTTATAATAAACATTTTTCTCATAAAAATAGGTTCATTTTTTTCTTCTTTTTTTTGGGGAAACAAAATATAGTAAAAAATGAGGGGGCAAAGATAACAAAATATCTATGATTTATAATAATTATAACTACCATGATGATGACAAAGCTTCGTTTTACTGAAACTTTTTCTTTTCAATGGCACCTGAAAGATGAGTTAAGACAGAGTTGTTATGATTACATTTTACTGATGGAGAGATTGAAATATAAAAAAGAAATATCTCACTTCTAAGAAGTGGATTTTAATGATTACATTTTACTGATGGAGAGATTGAAATATAAAAAAGAAATATCTCACGTCTAAGAAGTGGATTTTATGCAGTGCTTGAATTACTGTTTGCAAAATATTTCGATGTCCTCATAACTTCTAAGAGGTTTATAAAGCACCCCTATCTATTTTTCTATTTTCTTACAAGTTTAGTTGGTTGATTTGAATTTAAAATATGCACATTGCAAGATGAGAACCCAGTCATTGAGGAAATGCAACAAAACACTTTATATTTTGAGAGTAAAGATTTGGGCCTTCTCAATGGTTGTTTCTTTTCTGATTCACATTTGCATAGACTTTGAAAAAGCTAGTGTATTTATTATCTTGTTCACTCTTTGTCAGATAGAAAACAATGCATGAGATCTATATATACATCTAGAATGTCTGATATAAAGTTCTCTAAGTTATTTACTTTACTTAATTCAGTTGCCTGTTATGGTTGAAAACCCATATGATACGCAAAAGATAGATCTGCAAAAAGAGAACCTTTTATTGTTGTAAGAAAAGATCTCATGCTAAATCACTATTGAATGCAAGTATAAAAAGTGGAAATAAATAAACATTTTAACAGTGATTTATAGTGCTCTTACTATTTTTAGCAGTTTAATAGCTATTAAAATAAATTTAAGTAAACATATATTCTCTAAAATTGCTAATGGTCACAGAAAACAAGTTGCTAGGAATGTAGGGTTTCCTGAAATAAACATCTTCAGCTTTCCTTAATCCTCAAATGAATCAATGATATTGACAGATCAGTAGGCAGCCAGGGGATAATTTTCCTACCATGAAGCCTGAAGAACAAGCAAACAAAAAGGTAGTGTTCTTAGGGATCACATTTATCTTCTACTAATTTATAAATCTTTAAAATATAAAACACATTTATGGTACAGTAGTAACTTTGATTAGATAACAGTTGTTGCTAACTTTAAAGGAAAAAAAGCTGTGTCAGTAGACATCTCTAAATTTGATAGTAAAGCAAATATACTTTTGTCTTAGAATAATATGGAAAATAGATGCAATCAAATTATGCTTCTATTAGTATTCATATGAAAAAATTTGGAGACAATGAAAGAACTGTATTTTTCAATCCAAAGTGTTCGAAATATTGAAACATATAATATTTAAATATTAGTTTTCTTTTTTTGACACAGGATCTCACTCTGTTACCCAAGCTGGAATGCAGTGGTGCCATCATAGTTCACTGCAGCCTCCACCCCTGGGCTCAAGCGATCGTCCCACCTCAGCCTTCCTTGTAGCTGGGACCACAGGTGCGTACCACCATGTCCAGTTAATTGTTAGTATTTTTTGTAGAGACAGGGTCTCACTGTGTTGCCTAGGCTAAAATATTAGTGTTGTTAGGTTAAAAGTTTTTTTTCTGCTAATTGTATAACCTTTCATAGTTTCTGATTCTTATTTGAAAATATGTGTCATGTTATTGCAGAAGATGTTGTGTGGATGGAATAAAACAAACCTTGTAAACCTGCCCAGCATACTAGCTCCTCCTAGTTTTATTACCAGCACAATGCACATTTGACTTTTAGAACTTATTAATATAGAGATCTTTCTAGACAGAATTTTTTATTAGCAACAAAATTGGGCTAATTCAGGCAGGTAAAGGCCTCCTATTACATGATTCCACTTATATAAAATGTTTAGAATAGGTAAATCTATAGAGACAGAAGGTAGATTAGTGAGTACCAGGGTCTGTGGGGAGTGAGGAATGGGGAGTGACTGCTTAATGGGTATGAGCTGATTTCTTCTTGAAGTGATGAAAATGTTCTGGAATTAGATCATGGAGATGTTTGCATGGCATGGTGAATATACTGAAAACCACTGAGTGTGATACTTTAAAATGATGAATTTTACATTATACGAATTTTATCTCAATAAAAGCCAAAGCGACATTTTTAAATTTGAGGCATTCAGATATAAAATATAGGGAAAAATGAAAAAAGGCTACTGAACAGTTAACTCCTTTCTTGAAAATTCTCTCCCTCACTCTCCACAAGTCACCTGCCCTTGTTTACCAAAATACCAACCCTCTCACACTGCAAAAAGCTTCATTTTATTCCTTTACAAACTGTTCTGCAACAATGATCTTATTTTGTTCAACCTTAGAGTACCTACTTACTATAACCTAAGTGACCGATTTCTCAATTCTCTTTCTGTATTAATCTGGCTTTTTAAATTTTTATTTATGTATTTTTTGGCTTCAGAGTCCATGAGTTTATTTATTTTCATTTATTTATTTTTAAATTTTATTATGATTATACTTTAAGTTTTAGGGTACACGTGCACAATGTGCAGGTGTGTTACATATGTATACATGTGCCATGTTGGTGTGCTGCACCCATTAACTCGTCATTTACGTTAGGTATATCTCCTAATGCTATGCCTCCCCACTGCCCCCACCCCACAACAGTCCCCGGTGTGTGATGTTCCCCTTCCTCTGTTCATGTGTTCTCATTGTTCAATTCCCACCTATGAGTGAGAATATGCGGTGTTTGGTTTTTTGTCCTTGCGATAGTTTGCTGAGAAAGATGGTTTCTAGTTTCATCTATGTACCTACAAAGGACATGAACTCGTCATTTTTTATGGCTGCATAGTATTCCATGGTGTATATGTGCCACATTTTCTTAATCCAGTCTATCGTTGTTGGACATTTAGGTTGGTTCCAAGTCTTTGCTATTGTGAATAGTGCTGCAATAAACATACATGTGCATGTGTCTTTATAGCAGCATGATTTATAATCCTTTGGGTATATACCCAGTAATGGGATGGATGGGTCAAATGGTATTTCTAGTTCTAGATCCCTGAGGAATCACCACACTGACTTCCACAATGGTTGAACTAGTTTACAGTTCCACCAACAGTGTAAAAGTGCTCCTATTTCTCCACATCCTCTCCAGCACCTGTTGTTTCCTGACTTTTTAATGATTGCCATTCTAACTGGTGTGAGATGGTATCACATTGTGGTTTTGATTTACATTTCTCTGATGGCCAGTGATGATGAGCATTTTTTCATGTGTTTTTTGGCTGCATAAATGTCCTCTTTTAAGAAGTGTCTGTTCATATCCTTTGCCCACTTTTTGATGGGGTTGTTTTTTTCTTGTAAATTTGTTTGAGTTCATCGTAGATTCTGGATATTAGCCCTTTGTCAGATGAGTAGGTTGCGAAAATTTTCTCCCATTTTGTAGGTTGCCTGTTCACTCTGAAGGTAGTTTCTTTTGCTGTGCAGAAGCTCTTTAGTTTAATTAGATCCCATTTGTCAATTTTGGCTTTTGTTGCCATTGCTTTTGGTGTTTTAGACATGAAGTCCTTGCCCATGCCTATGTCCTGAATGGTATTGCCTAGGTTTTCTTCTAGGGTTTTTATGGTTTTAGGTCTAACGTTTAAGTCTTTAATCCATCTTGAATTAATTTTTGTATAAGATGTAAGGAAGGGATCCAATTTCAGCTTTCTACATATGGTTAGCCAGTTTTCCCAGCACCATTTATTAAATAGGGAATCCTTTCCCCATTGCTTGTTTTTCTCAGGTTTGTCAAAGATCAGATAGTTGTAGATATGCGGCATTACTTCTGAGGGCTCTGTTCTGTTCCATTGGTCTGTATATCTATTTTGGTACCAGTACCACGCTTTTCTGGTTACTGTAGCCTTGTAGTATAGTTTGAAGTCAGGTAGCGTGATGCCTCCAGCTTTGTTCTTTTGGCTTAGGATTGACTTGACTTGGCGATGCGGGCTCTTTTTTGGTTCCATATGAACTTTAAAGTAGTATTTTCCAATTCTGTGAAGAAAGTCATTGGTAGCTTGATGGGGATGGCATTGAATCTATAAATTACCTTGGGCAGTATGGCCATTTTCAAGATATTTATTCTTCCTACCCCTGAGCATGGAATGTTCTTCCATTTGTTTGTATCCTCTTTTATTTCATTGAGCAGTGGTTTGTAGTTCTCCTTGAAGAGGTCCTTCACATCCCTTGTAAGTTGGATTCCTAGGTATTTTATTCTCTTTGAAGCAATTGTGAATGGCAGTTCACTCATGATTTGGCTCTCTGTTTGTCTGTTATTGGTGTATAAAAATGCTTGTGATTTTTGTACATTGCTTTTGTATCCTGAGACTTTGCTGAAGTTGCTTATCAGCTAGAGGAGATTTTGGGCTGAGACAATGGGGTTTTCTAGATATACAATCATGTCATCTGCAAACAGGGACAATTTGACTTCCTCTTTTCCTAATTGAATACCCTTTATTTCCTTCTCCTGCCTGATTGCCCTGGCCAGAACTTCCAACACTATGTTGAATAGGAGTGATGAGAGAGGGCATCCCTGTCTTGTGCCAGTTTTCAAAGGGAATGCTTCCAGTTTTTGCCCATTCAGTATGATATTGGCTGTGGGTTTGTCATAGATAGCTCTTATTATTTTGAGATACGTCCCATCAATACCTAATTTATTGAGAGTTTTTAGCATGAAGGGTTGTTGAATTTTGTCAAAGGCCTTTTCTGCATCTATTGAGATAATCATGTGGTTTTTGTCTTCAGTTCTGTTTATATGTTGGATTACATTTATTGATTTGCATATGTTGAACCAGCCTTGCATCCCATGGATGAAGCCCACTTGATCACGGTGGATAAGCTTTTTGATGTGCTGCTGGATTTGGTTTGCCAGTATTTTATTGAGGATTTTTGCATTGGTGTTCATCAAGGATATTGGTCTAAAATTCTCTTTTTTGGTTGTGTCTCTACCAGGCTTTGGTATCAGGATGAGGCTGCCCTCATAAAATGAGTTAGGGAGGATTCCCTCTTTTTCTGTTGATTGGATTAGTTTCAGAAGGAATGGTACCAGCTCCTCTTTGTACCTCTGGTAGAATTCGGCTGTGAATCCATCTGGTCCTGGACTTTTTTTGGTTGGTAAGCTGTTGATTATTGTCTCAATTTCAGAGCCTGTTATTGGTCTATTCAGAGATTCAACTTCTTCCTGGTTTATTCTTGGGAGGATGTATGTGTCGAGGAATTTATCCATTTCTTCTAGATTTTCTAGTTTATTTTCATAGAGGTGTTTATAGTATTCTCTGATGGTAGTTTGTGTTTCTGTGGGATCAGTGGTGATATCCCCTTTATCATTTTTTATTGCGTCTATTTGATTATTCTCTCTTTTCTTCTTTATTAGTCTTGTTAATGGTCTATCAATTTTGTTGATCTTTTCAAAAAACCAGCTCCTGGATTCATTAATTCTTTCAAGGGTTTTTTGTGTCTCTATTTCCTTCAGTTCTGCCCTGATCTTAGTTATTTCTTGCCTTCTCCTAGCTTTTGCATATGTTTGCTCTTGCTTTTCTAGTTCTTTTAATTGTGATGTTAGGGTGTCAATTTTAGTTCTTTCCTGCTTTCTCTTGTGGGCATTTAGTGCTATAAATTTCCCTCTACACACTGCTTTGAATGTGTCCCATAGATTCTGGTATGTTGTGTCTTTGTTCTCATTGGTTTCAAAGAACATCTTTATTTTTGCCTTCATTTCATTATTTACCCAGTAGTCATTCAGGAGCAGGTTGTTCAGTTTCCATGTAGTTGAGTGGTTTTGAGTTAGTTTCTTAATCCTAAGTTCTAGTTTGATTGCACTGTGGTCTGAGAAACTGTTTGTTATAATTTGTGTTCTTTTACATTTGCTGAGGAGTGCTTTACTTCCAACTATGTGGTCAATTTTGGAGTAGGTGTGGTGTGGTGCTGAAAAGAATGTATATTCTGTTGATTTGGGGTGGAGAGTTCTGTAGATGTCTATTAGGTCCACTTGGTGCAGAGCTGAGTTCAATTCCTGGGTATCCTTGTTAACTTTCTGTCTCGTTGATCTGTCTAATGTTGACAGTGGGGTGTTAAAATCTCCCATTATTAATGTGTGGGAGTCTAAGTCTCTTTGTTGGTCACTCAGGACTTGCTTTATGAATCTTGGTGCTCCTGTATTGGGTGCATATATATTTAGGATAGTTAGCTCTTCTTGTTGAATTGATCCCTTTACCATTATGTAATGGCCTTCTTTGTCTCTTTTGATCTTTGTTGGCTTAAAGTCTGTTTTATCAGAGACTAGGATTGCAACCCCTGCCTTTTTTTGTTTTCCATTTGCTTGGTAGATCTTCCTCCATCCCTTTATTTTGAGCCTATGTGTGTCTCTGCACGTGCGATGGGTTTCCTGAATACAGCACACTGATGGGTCTTGACTCTTTATCCAATTTGCCAGTCTGTGTCTTTTAATTGGAGCATTTAGCCCAATTACATTTAAAGTTAATATTGTTATGTGTGAATTTGATCCTGTCATTATGATGTTACCTGGTTATTTTGCTTGTTAGTTGATGCAGTTTCTTCCTAGCCTTGATGGTCTTTACAATTTGACATGTTCTTGCAGTGGCTGGTAATGGTTGTTCCTTTCCATGTTTAGTGCTTCCTTCAGGAGCTCTTTTAGGGCAGGCCTGGTGGTGACAAAATCTCTCAGCATTTGCTTGTCTGTAAAGTATTTTATTTCTCCTTCACTTATGAAGCTTAGTTTGGCTGGATATGAGATTCTGGGTTGAAAATTTTTTTCTTTAAGAATGTTGAATATTGGTCCCCACTCTCTTCTGGCTTGTAGAGTTTCTGCTGAGAGATCTGCTGTTATTCTGATGGGCTTCCCTTTGTGGGTAACCTGACCTTTCTCTCTGGCTGCCCTTCACATTTTTTCCTTCATTTCAACTTTGGTGAATCTGACAATTATGTGTCTTGGAGTTGCTCTTCTAGAGGAGTATCTTTGTGGCGTTCTCTGTATTTCCTGAATCTGAATGTTGGCCTGCCATGCTAGATTGGGGAAGTTCTCCTGGATAATATCCTGCAGAGTGTTTTCCAACTTGGTTCCATTCTCCCTGTCACTTTCAGGTACACCAATCAGATGTAGATTTGGTCTTTTCACATAGTCCCATATTTCTTGGAGGCTTTGTTCATTTGTTTTTATTCTTTTTTCTCTAATCTTCTCTTCTCGCTTCATTTCATTCATTTCGTCTTCCATCACTGATACCCTTTCTTCCAGTTGATCGCATCGGCTCCTGAGGCTTCTGCATTCCTCACGTAGCTCTCGTGCCTTGGTTTTCAGCTCCATCAGGTCCTTTAAGGACTCCTCTGCATTGATTATTCTAGTTATACATTCGTCTAATTTTTTTTTCAAAGCTTTTAACTTCTTGGCCATTGGTTCGAATTTCCTCCTGTAGCTTGGAGTAGTTTGATCGTCTGAAGCCTTCTTCTCTCAACTTGTCAAAGTCATTCTCTGTCCAGCTTTGTTCTGTTGCTGGTGAGGAGCTGCGTTCCTTTGGAGGAGGAGAGGTGCTCTGATTTTTAGAGTTTCCAGTTTTTCTGCTCTGTTTTTTTCCCATCTTTGTGGTTTTATCTGCCTTTGGTCTTTGATGATGGTGACGTACAGATGGGTTTTTGGTGTGGATGTCCTTTCTGTTTGTTAGTTTTCCTTCTAACAGACAGGACCCTCAGCTGCAGGTCTGTTGGAGTTTGCTAGAGGTCCACCCCATACCCTGTTTGCCTGGGTTTCAGCAGCAGTGGCTGCAGAACAGCGGATATTGGTGAACCGCAGATGCTGCTGCCTGATCGTTCCTCTGGAAGTTTTGTCTGAGAGGAGTACCCGGCCATGTGACGTGTCAGTCCGCCCCTACTAGGGGTGCCTCCCAGTTAGGCTACTCGGGGGTCAGGGACCCACTTGAGGAGGCAGTCTTCCCGTTCTCAGATCTCAAGCTGCATGCTGGGAGAACCACTACTCTCTTCAAAGCTGTCAGAGAGGGACATTTAATTCTGCAGAGGTTACTGCTGTCTTTTTGTTTGTCTGTGCCCTGCCCCCAGAGGTGGAGCCTACAGAGGCAGGCAGGCCTCCTTGAACTGTGGTGGGCTCCACCCAGTTCAAGCTTCCCAGCTGCTTTGTTTACCTAGTCAAACAACTAACTCAGTAATGGCGGACGTCCCTCCCCCAGCCTCGCTGCTGCCTTGCAGTTCGATCTCGGACTGCTGTGCTAGAAATGAGCGAGACTTCGTGGGCGTAGGGCCCTCTGAGCCATGTGTGGGATATAATCTCCTGGTGTGCTGTTTTTTAAGCCCGTTGGAAAAGCGCAGTATTAGGGTGGGAGTGACCCGATTTTCCAGGTGCTGTCTGTCACCGCTTTCTTTGACAGGAAAGGGAATTCCTTGACCCCTTGCACTATCGCCTCACCCTGCTTTGGCTAGTGCACAGTGCGCTGCACCCACTGTCCTGCACCTGCTGTCTGGCACTCCCCAGTGAGATGAACCCGGTACCTCAGTTGGAAATGCAGAAATCACCCGTCTTCTGCGTCACTCACACTGGGAGCTGTAGACTGGAGCTGTTCCTATTCGGCCATCTTGGCTCCTCCTGTTATTTCTAAGATTACTACTTAGTTGATCCTATCACAATATCTTATGAAACTTTTCAAATACATGGCAAAGTTGAAAAAATTTGTACAGAGTACCTGTTTACCTGACATGTCAATCCTACCATTAATATTTTACTGTACTTTATCAGATTTCTATTTTTCATTTCATCCCTCTATTCATCTAACAATCATATTATGACCAAAATCAGTCACTCATCTTGTCTGACGTCTCTAAAACACTTGATGTTGCTGACAATTATTTCTGAAAACCTTGTCATTTTTCAATATGTCTCATGTGTTTCTCAAGTATTTGAAATTGCCAGTTATTGGTATGTTTCAAAATTCCCTCCTTTTCTTTGTGCCAGTATTCCTTTCACATCGATGAACATGCTTCTTGGGATCATTAGTGGCTGTTCTTTAATCCCTGTTCATCTGCATTAGAACCTCATACCCTGCAGATTAGAACCTCATACCCTGCAGACTGGTTTCATGATACGTAACTCCTAATTTAACTGACCCTTAATTATCTGTACATTCTTGTCTGTTTTCTTGGTATGCTATTTGGAACACAGCCCCATCTCTTCAGATTCAACATACTCCTCACACACCTGCTTCCTGTCTGGTTTTGAGCAGATAGTCTTCCCATTTACTTCATAGAGAATAAAACATATCCTGTGAAAAATCCTTTTATACTCGCCTCACATCTACCAGCATATGTTCTCTGCCTGGAACAGTCTTTCCCCTTTTACAAAACTAGCTAATTAATTAAGCCACTCATTGAGATGGGGGGCATTGAAATAGCAACAGAATAGTTAGAAATGTGTGAAAGTTGGTCAGGATATGAATTGGTTTTGAACATGAGTTTGAGAGGACTTTGAAATGTCCAGGAGGATCTGTGCAGTAGCTACGGAAAAATGCAGATCTCTGAGGATTTTGTGTTCTGAGGAAGTTTGGTATGGAGGTTCAAATGCATGAGTCCTCTACATGTAGGTGGCAACTAATGCTGGAGACATGGATGAGCTTGCTCAGATAAAGACTATAAAGGAAGAAGGGGATTGTTTCATCATTTAATAGCTGACAAGAAAATACAGAAAAGTGGCCTAGAATATTGTAGAAAAAGTAAATGTAATGATAGTTAAGTCCTTAGGTACTAGAGTTCCAGGGGCCACATTTAAGAAACTGACCTAAAGGTACAAATTATATTTTCCTGTAAATGATATTTTATGTATAAAAATACTGTTAAAATTATTTGCTCACTAACCAATTAAAGATAAAGAAAAAATATGCAAGGTAATAAAGGCAATTCAGCACTAGATAAATCAGAACACAATACTTTCATATAATATGGGAAAAACTGGAATGAATATGAAAACACACTATAAGAACAGGGTATTCCATTTTAAATGAGAATCATATAAAACACATCAAATTTGGTATTTTAAGGTAATAGGTGTGAGTAAGTAATAGGTTATTTTTCAAGAAATTGAGTATCCTTTATGAAGGAGTAATTTAATATGTGTCATGTTTGTTAACAAAAGTTTAAGTGGGCTTGATAACTCTTGGAGTAAAAAACAAATGGTGTCTTTAACAAGTCTATTTAGAAAAATCTACAACCATCTGATCTTTGACAAACCTGACAAAAACAAGCAATAGGGAAGGGATCTCCTATTTAATAAATGGTGCTGGGAAAACTGGCTAGCCATATATAGAAAGCTGAAACTGGACCCCTTCCTTACACCTTATACAAAAATTAACTCAAGATGGATTAAAGACTTTTAAATGTAAAACCCAAAACCATAAAATCCCTAGAAGAAAACCTAGGCAATGCCATTTAGGGCACAAGCATGGGCAAAGACTTCATGACTAAAACGCCAAAAGCAATGGCAACAAGAGCAAAAATTGACAAATAAGATCTAATTAAACTAAAAAGCTTCTGCACAGCAAAAGAAACTATCATCAGAGTGAACAGGCAACCTACAGAATGGGAGGTTTGTGCAATGTACCCACCTGACAAAGGTCTAATATCCAGAATTCACAAGGAAATTAAATAAATTTACAAGAAAAAATCTCCATCAAAAAGTGGACAAAGGATATGAACAATCACTTCTCAAAAGAAGATGCGCAATCAACAAACAGATAAAAAAAAACCTCAACATCAGTAATCATTAGAGAAATGCAAATCAAAACCACAATGAAATACCATCTCATGCCAGTAAGAATGGCGATTATTATAAAGTCAAGAAACAATAGATGCTGGTGAGGCTGTGGAGAAATACGAATGCTTTTACACTGTTGGTGGGAATGTAAATTAGTTCAACCACTGTGGAAGACAGTACGGGGATTCCTCAAGGATCTAGAACCAGAAATACCATTTGACCCAGCAATCCCATTGCTGAGTGTATACCCAAAGGAATATAAATCATTCTACTATAAAGACACATGCACACGTATGTTTATTGTGGCACTATTCACAATAGCAAAGTAATGGAAACAACCTAAATGTCCAGCAATGATAGACTAAATAAAGAAAATGTGGCACATATACACCATGGAATACTATGCAGCCATTAAAACAAATGAGATCATGTCCTTTGAAGGGACATGGATGAAGCTGGAAGCCATCATCTTCAGCAAACTAACACAGGAACAGAAAACCAAACGCTGAATGTTCTCACTCATAAGTGGGAGTTGAACAGTGAGAACACATAGACACAGGGAAGTTAACAACACACACTAAGGCTGTTAGGGGGTGGGAGGCGAGGGCAGAGAACTTAGAGGATGGGTCAATAGGTGCAGCAAACCACCGTGGCACATGTATACCTATGTAACAAACCTGTACATTCTGCACATGTATCCTGGAACATAAAGCAAAATAAATAAATAAATGAAGACAGACTTTAGTCCAAAAAAAAGAAAAAGAAAGATAAGCCATTACCGTAAGAAGAATAATATTCACAAATTACATGAAGATCAATTTTAATATAACTTAATATTTTGCTAGTTATCAAATGATACATTTGTTATAGAAACTTGAAAAGTACTGACAAATAAAAATAAGAAAATAAAGTAGAGATTTCTATCATTCAGAGATAATTATAGTTTATATTTTGTTGTAATATAACAGGATTTGGAAAATAACTTATAGCAATCTCAGTTTCAAATGCAGTCATAGAGCTATGAATGGTGATGGAACTATGAATCAGTTTAATCGGTCGTATTCTGTATCCTGATTGGAATCAGGCCAATTTTAAAATTAGGATGAGGAGATTCAGACATCATGCAAGTACAACGAAGACAGGGCATGTTTGTTTTCCCTGCAGAAGAAAATAAGCTTTTATTTGCTATGGACTGAATTTTGTCCCCCCAAATTCAAATGTTGAAGCCCTAACTCCCAAGGTGATAGTATTTGGAGATGGGGTCTTTGGGGATAATTAGGTTTAGATGAGATAATGAGGGTAGAGCCCCCACGATGAGATTCATACCCTAATAAGAAGAGGAAACACCAGAGCTCTCTCTCTGTCATGTGAGGACACAGGGATAAAATGGCCATTTGCGAGAACTTGACCATGCTGGCTCTGATCATGGACTTGCAGCCTTCATCACTGTGAGAAATGAATTTATGTTGTTTAAGCTACTCAATTTATGGTATTTTGTTACAGAAGTCCCAGCTGCCTAAGACACCACTTCAAATATTTAGACAACCAAAATGGTAAGAGGGAGAGAAAAATGAGGGGAGGCAAAAGAGGGTATATGCGAGGCACTCAGTATTTTCTTTCTAGCAAGTCACCAGCAAGAAGGTAAGGGATTTTGATTCAAAATCATTACATTCCCCAAAGCTGCTGAATTACAAAGTCTCCAAGAAGGCATCTTTGAGAATAAGCACAAAGGAATCATGGAACAGGTTAGCCAAAAACTGCAACAGGTTAGCCAAAAAGTCATTCAAGGCACCAGGCTATGATGAGGTCTTGCAGCAGAATACCCTTGAATTCAGGGTCCTGTTACCTCACTCCACATATAACTTCCACTATGTAATAGATAAAATAGAAATGTGTCTTCCTCCCACCAAAGCTGACAGTATTTCCATATAAAAGTTAATTAATAAAATAAAGCAAACAAAAAATATTCTACTAGCTAGTACAAAGCCATCTTTATTATTTTTGCAGTACCTATGTGTATATGGCGTAATATCCCTATAAACTGTGTTGCCATAAATCCAGCCAGTTGACAGTTTACTGAAGTAATTTTAAGTAACCAAGATTCTGAAATGAGTAGAGAAGCATGACATAGTTTACAAAACAAATTGTAGTAACTTTTTCATTTGATCACTTTTAATTTTATCCAGGTTTTACATGCACAGAATTTTGAAATTGAAATAATTCTAATTATCTCTTATAGAATTCCTTCCCACTTTTGTTTCCAGATGCCCCAAATTTGCTTATTTCAGAAATTCATGTTTCTAGAAAACATGGTTTTCCTCCATTTTTTGATATTAAAATTTTATATATAGCTGTTTATTTCTTGGAAAACTAAGGATTTCATTCTCTTAAAACTACCACATCTGTCATTTTCCTGCCATAATGCTAATATAATAAAATAAATTACTAGGTTAAATCCATATTTTGGGTTTGCATTATGACATTTATGTAAATATATTTATATTTCATATCTGATTGAAAAAGCAGAAATGGGTTGGGAAAATTATTATTCTGTAATTTTCCTTACTTACCTTTGTCTTTAAGGATACTTCCAGGGAAATTTCAACTTGGAAATGGCTCAAAGTGACACTCTAGACTGTTCAATACAAAGAAAGATTGTGCACTGGGAAGAAGCAGGCCAGTGAGTCAAACCAGTCATCTCAGCCAGTATTAAATTTGGCATTTAACTAACAGTTAAATAGAAGGACATTTTGTGGTTAGGTGATAGTAGAGTTCTTTAAATATTTTAAAACATATATTATTAGTGATTGGTTAAATTCTAATCCAGATATACTTAACATTAATATTCAAGTCATTTAGACTTAAAATTCATTATTGAATTTTATAAATTTAAAAATACTTTAAAAATAATTATTGACTAGAGTATTCATTTACACTCTGCAGAAAGTATCTAGAGTATTTTTAAAAAGCTTTTTTAAAACATATTTTGATGAAATTCACCTGTTTGAAGTGTACGATTCAGTGTTGTGGGGTATATGCATGGCGTTACGCAACCATCAATTTTAGAACATTTTGATGATTTCAAACAGAAACCTCGTACCTATTAGCTGTCATTTATCATCTCCCTCCCACTACTTCCCACCTCAGACAACTATTAATCTACTTTCTGTCTCTATAGATTTATCCATCCTTGTGATTTCATATAAATGAAATCATACAATATGTGATCTTTTGTGACTGACCTCTTTCACTCAGCATGACGTTTTTGAAATTCATCAGTGTTGTAACATATATCAGCACTGAATTGTATGGGTATACCACTAAGACTCTTCGTTAACATCTGTATCGCATTCACTCTTACCTGCAGAAATCTTAGATTTGGCACATGTAAACTTAACTAGAGGACACACTCTACACCTGATAAGAAAAAACTGAGTTGTAGAGCCTCAGAAGAAATACAATGGCTGGGCTAATGGAAACCTATAGTGATGGTAAATGTCATATCACTACTTCCCAGAAAGCTACTCTACATTACCCTGATTGTAGGCTACTTAAGAAAACCTTACTTTTCTGACATAGTTTATGAGCAGGTGCCATAATCATGGACAGAAAAAGAAGGATGATTACATTTAGACTTTTTGCAAAAGTAGATCTTGCTCTGTTTCCCACCTAAATGGAAATCTCAGTTGCCAACATTTTGCAGGAGAGGTACTCACATTTAGAGTCTAAAAAGTACTTACCAGAAATGTATTTAAATCCATTACTAAATCTTTTAGTGTTAGATATGTATGAGTATTGTGATCCACTTCTGCTCTTTTAATATATTAAATTGTATTGCTAGACTTTTGAAGATGGCATATTCGCAATATTAGGTAGACACAGTGTACCATTTCTCTAATGGAAAAAATACGATGTCTACTCATATTTAAGTACTTTTTCTTCTCAGTAGTCATAAACTACAATCTGTCATTTAGCAAAGGTGCCTATCCATGGAGGTAATTACATATTTTAAGACAAGTCCAACAAAAGAACATAAGGAAGCGTTATGTTGAAATAAATAGTGTCATATAGCATACTAAAAAATGTATAAAAATAAATATTATTTGTCTGCTTTGTGCCAAAGGCACTACATTTGAAAGAATGCATGTGACCAAAATTATTTATATCCTTATAAACTGGATATTTTTATTACTTCTATATAGATGTCACATCTTTCTTTTATTTATAAAATATTTTATTAAACTCTTAATTGAAATGGATGGCTATATTAGAGAACTTGGCAGTACACAAAAAGAAGTATACAGCCAAAATGCCTTCCTTCTGAGAGATTATAAACTAAGAAAAGCAATGCAATCAAATAAGTGTTAATTAACCAAGCAATAATTAATCACCTGGGTCTGTGAGAGGAACTAATAATTTAAAGGAATTTAAAATTTCAGATTTGGGGGAATTTCATTTTTCTTTGATAACCTATATTGATTTCTGTCTCATCACAGGGTTGAAATTGCTTGTTTTCCTTACTATACCAATAGGTCATCAGAAAGACTTAGTTAGCACAGTGCCTGGTGCAAAGTAAAACCTAGTAATTACTCACAATTGGTATGTCAGCACAAGGGTTGAATTAGCAAAACAGACTCACATGATTCAAATATCTTATCCAACAGCAAACTTTACCAACTATAAAAAGAATAAAGCAAGAAAACAATGTAATCACAACAGTCTCTGGAGAGATCCCAAACCATCTGACATAGCTTCTATAAAATGTTTCTTTCTTACACTCTGGTTCGAAGTTTGGCTTCATAGTAGCAGACAGTACTAACAATATGTTTAGAACATTGCTCACAAGGGAAGCTGCCTAGGTTTAGGACTTCTCAGTATTTATTTTCCCTTACTCACACAGAGAAAGTATCTGTGTGACTAACTTTCTATTCTCCATCCAACCATGGCCCACAACCCTTAGTCATGAGCGTTTCCCTAGCTAGTCTCATTCCCCATCCTCAGCTCTAGCTTCTGTGTATTTCTTGGGTTTAAAATGTCATCTTTAGGCTGGGAGCAGCGGCTCACACCTGTAATCCCAGCACTTTGGGAGCCCAAGGTCACTTGAGGTCAGGAGTTTAAGACAAGCCTGGCCAACGTGGTGAAACCCTGTCTCTATTAAAAATACAAAAATTAGCCAGGCATGGTGGTGCACACCTGTAATCCCAGCTACTCAGGTGGCTGAGGCAAGAGAATCTCTTGAACCCGGGAGGCGGAGGTTGCAGTGAGCTGAGATCACACTAATGCACTCCAGCCTGGGCAACAGAACAAGACTCTGTCTCAAAAAATTATCATCTTAGTGTATTCTTGCTTCTTGGTCCTTGGATATACCTGCTTTCTAGTTCTTGTTTCTTCAATCTATTTCTATTCACAGTCCAGAATTTTCACATTATTTGAATTTAATGAGAATGTGGAGAAATGGTAGCTATGGTTCAGTTGGGATCAGAATTTATAAAAACTAGAAGAGGAGTGAAGATGGCTGATTAGTAGCAACTGCAGTCTGTAGCTCTCACTGAGAAGAACCATAACAGTGAGTTAATTCTGCATCTTTAACTGAGGTATCTGGGTTCTTTCACTGGGACTGACTAGGTGACTGGCACAACCCACAAAGAGAGAGGAAAAGCAGAGTGGGGTGATGGCCCACCCAGGAGTGGCAGGACAAGGGAAGCTCCCTCCCTGCCAAGGGAGGCAGTGAGTGATTTTGCTACCCTGTCCAGAAAATCACATTTTTCCCATGGATCAGGAGATCCCCTCATGAGCCCATGATACCAGGGCCTTGGGTGCCAAACAGAGCTATGCAGACTCTTGGCAGATGCTCAGGTCAGTGGCCGCAGGAGCAGGCATTGAGACACAGGAATTGTTTTGTTTGTTTGTTTTTTTGGGACAGAGTCTTGCCCTGTCACCCAGACTGGAGTGCAGTGGTGCGATCTCAGCTCACAGGAACCTCCTTCTCCCAGGTTCAAGCGATTCTCTTGCCTCAGCCTCCCAAGTAGCCACCACACCCGGCTAATTTTTGCATTTTTAGTAAAGACAGGGCTTCACCATGTTGGCCAGGCTGGTCTAGAACTCCTGACCTCAAGTGATCTGCCCACTTCAGCCTCCCAAAGTGCTGGGATTATAGGCATGAGCCACTGCACCTGGCCTGCAGGAATTGTTTTGCATACTCCAGCCCCAGGAATTCTGATGAGGCAGGAAATCATCCACTCCTGAAGGAAGGGGGCTTAAACCAGAGAGCAAAGTGACAATGTTTAGCTGGCCCCACTCCCACGGAACCTCACGAGCTTAGACCCACTGGCTTGGAATCCCTGCCAGCTTAGTGGCAGCAGGCTGGAGACCGCCTAAGATAATTGAGTTCTTGGGGGGAATGGTGGCCACCATCTCTGTAGCTCCAGTTGGCTGTTTTCCCCTGTCGGTGCTGGGGAGACTGGGAGGTTTGGACCGGGAGGCATTCCCCACAGTGCAGCACAGTGGCTGTGGCAGATGGTGGCCAGACTGCTTCTCTAAGTGGGACCATTATTCATCCCTCATCACTGGGTGAAGCCTTCCCACAGGAATTTGAACAACTCCAGTCATGGGTTTACAGATGGAACTCTGACCTCCTTTTGGGGGAGCCCCTGAGTGGAGGGGTGGCTGCGACCTGCATGGTTCAGCTTACTTAGTCTTTCCTTCCAGTTGGCTCTGGAGAGTCTGGACAGTCCAGATAAGGGGGATTTGCCCCATTGTAGCACACCTTCTCTGCCAAGGGACAGCCAGATTGCTTCTTTAAGCAGGTCCCTGATCCCATTCTTCCTGTCTGGGTGAGACCTCCCAATAGGGGTTTCCAGACACCTCATACAGGAGCGTTCCGGCCAGCATTAGGTGGGTGCCCCTCTGGGACAGAGTGCCCACAGGAAGGAGCAGGCTGCCATCTTTGCTGTTTTGCAGCCTCCACTGGTTATACCTCCAAGTGTAGGAGGGACCCAGGAAAATAGTGTCTGGAGTGGACCCCCAGCAAACCAAATCAGTCCTATGGAAGAAGGGACTGATTGTTAAAAGAAAACAAACAAACCAACAGAAAGCAACAACTACAAGAACATTAACAAAAAAGACTCCACAAAAAATCCCATCCAAAGGTCAGCAGCCTAAAAGATTGAAGGTAGATAAACCCACAAAAATGAGAAAGAATCAATGCAAAAATGCTGAAAACTCAAAAAGCCAGAGTGCCTCTTCTCCAAATGATTGCAACACCTCTCCAGCAAGAGCACAGAACTGAGCCGAGGCTGAGATGGATGAATTAACAGAAGTAGGCTTCAGAACTTCAGAACTTAACTGAGCTAAAGGAGTATGTTCTAACCCAATGCAAGAAGCTAAGTAATATGATAAAACATTACAGGAGCTGATAACCAGAATAACCAGTTTAGAGAGGAAGATAAATAACCTGATGGAACTGAAAAACACAACACAAGAACTTAACAATGCAATCACAAGTGTCAATAGCTACATATACCAAGTGGTGGAAAGACTCTCAGAGCTTGAAGACTATCTTGCTAAAATAAGACAGACAAGATTAGAGAAAAAAGAATGAAAAGAAGTGAACAAAATTTCTGAGAAATATGCGATTATGTAAAAAGACGGAACCTACAACTGATTGGGGTACCTGAAAGAGACGGGGAGAATGGAACCAAGTTGGAAAATGTCCAGGAGAATGTCCCCAATCTAGCAAGACAGGCCAATATTCAAATTCAGGAAATCCAGGGAACTCCAGTAAGACTTCAAACAGACAAAGATCAGAAAAGAAAAGGAAGGAATTACGTAATGGTAAAGGGTTCAATTCAAGAAGAGCTAACTAACCTAAATATATATGCACCCAATACAGGAGCAGCCAGATTTATAACAAGTTCTTAGAGACCTGCAAAGAGACTTAGGCTCCCACACAATAATAGTGGGAGACTTTGACACCACACCGTCCAAATTAGACAGATCATCAAAACAGAAAATTAACAAACATATTCAGGACCTGAACTCAGCTCTAAATTGAGTGCACTTGATAAGTATCTACAGAACTCTCTACCTAAAAACAATAGAATATACATTCTTCTTGGTGCTACATGGCACTTACTCTAAAATTGATCATATACTTGAAAGTAAAACATTTCTCAGAAAATGTAAAAGAAGTGAAATCATAACAGTCTCTCAGATCACAGAATAATTAAATCAGGACTCAAGATTAAGAAACTCAATAAAAACCAAACAACTACATGGAAATTGAACAACCTGCTCCTAAATGATCTCTGGGTAATTAATGAAATCAAGGCAGAAATCAAGAAGTACTTTGAAGCTAATGAGAACAAAGAGACAATGTATGAGAATCTCTGGGATGCAGTTAAAGCGTGTTAACAGGGAAATTTATAGCACTAAATGTCCACATCAGAAAGCTAGAAAGATCTCAAAGTGACATCCTAACAACACAACTAAAGGAACTAGAGTATCAAGAGCAGACAAATCCCAAATCTGGCAGAAGACAAGAAATAACAAAGATCAGAGCAGAAATGAAGGAGATGGAGACATGAAATCTTTTCAAAAATCAACAAATCCAGGTGCTTTTTTTTTTGAAAAAAATAATAAAATAGACTGCTAGCTAGACTAGTAAGAAGAAAAGAAAGAAGAATCAAATAGATACAATCAGAGATGATAAAGAGGATACCACCACTGACCACACAGAAATACAAACAACTGTAAGAGAATACTATAAATACCTATCTACCCATAAACTAGAAAATCTAGAAGAAATGGATGAATTCTTGGATGCATACACCCTCCCAAAACTGAAACAGGAAGAGGTTGAATCCCTGAATAGACCAACAGTAAGTTCTGAAATTGAGGCAGTAATAAATAGCCTACCAACAAAAAAAAAAAAAAAAAAAGCCCAGGATCAGGTGGATTTACAGGTGAATTCTACCAGAGTTACAAAGAGGAGCTGGTACCATTTCCTCTGAAATTATTCCAAACAATTGAAAAGGAGGGGACTCTTCCTTAACGCATTTTATGAGGCCAACAACACCCTGACATGAAAACCTGGCAGAGATACAACAAAAAAGAAAACTTCAGGCCAATATTCCTGATGAACATTGATGCAAAAATCCTCAATAAATTACTGACAAACCAAATCCAGCAGCACATCAAAAAGCTTATACATGACGATCAAGTAAGCTTCATCCCCAGGATACAAGGTTGGTTCAACATACACAAATCAATAAATGTAACTCATCACATAAACAGAACTAAAGCCCAATCTACATGATTATCTCAATAGATGCAGAAAAGGCCTTTGATAAAATTCAATATTTATTTGTGTTAAAAACTTTCAACAAACTACGTACTGAAGGAGCATACAGTAAAATAATAAGAACCATTTATGACAAATGCACAACCAATATTATACTGAATGAGGAAAAGCTGGAAGCATTCCCCTTGAAAACTGGCACAGGAAAAGGATGCCCTCTCTCATCATACCTATTCAACATAGTATTGGAAGTTCTGGCCAGGGCAATCAGGCAAGAGAAAGAAATAAAGGGTATTCAAGTAGAAAGAGAGGAAGTCAAATTGTCTTTGCAGATAACATGATCCTATATTTAGAAAACCCCATTGTTTCAGCCCAAAGCCTTCTTAAGATGATAATCAACTTCAGCAAAGTCTTTGGATACAAAATCAATGTGCAAAAATCCCAAGCATTCCTGTGCCCCGACAACAGACAAGTAGAGAAGCAAATAATAAGTGACCTCCCATTCACAATTGTTACAAAGAGAATAAAATACCTAGGAAAACAGCTAACAAGGGAAGTGAAGGACCTGTTCAAGAACTACAAACCACTGCTGAAGGAAATAAGAGAGGACACAAAATGGAAAAACATTCCATGCTCATGGATAGAAACAATCAATACTGCAAAAACGGCCATACTGCCCAAAGTAATAGATTCAGTGTTATTCCCATCAAACTGCCATTGACATTCTTCACAGAATTAGAAAAAAACTATTTAAAAATTCATATGAACCAAAGGCGCCCATATAGCCAAGAGAATCCTAAGCAAAAAGAACAAAGCTGGAGGCTTCATGCTACCTGACTTCAAATTATACTACAAGGCTACAGTAAGCAAAACAGCATGATACTGGTACAAAAACAGACACATAGACCAATGGAATAGAGAACTCAAAAATAAGACCACACGTGTACAACCATCTGGTCTTTGACAAACCTGACAAAAGCAATGGGGAAAGGATTTCCTATTTAATAAGTGGTTCAGGGAGAACTGGCTAGCCATATGCAGAAAGTTGAAACTGGACCTGTTCCTTACACCTTATACAAAAATTAACTCCAGACGGATTAAAGACTTAAATGTAAAACCCAAAACTTTAAAAATCCTAGAAGAAAATCTAGGCAATATCACTCAGGACAGAGGTAAGGGCAAATATTTCATGATGAAGATGCTAAAAGCAATTGCAACAAAAGCAAAAATTGACAAATGAGATCAAATTAAAGAGCTTCTGCACAGCCATGCACAGCCAAAGAAACTATCATCGGATCACACAGACAACATACAGAATGGGAGAAAATTTTTGCGATTTAGCCATCTGACAAAGGTCTAATATCCAGAGTTTACAAGGAACTTAAACAAATTTACAAAAAAAAAAAACAATAACCCCATTAATAAGTGGGCAAAAGACATGAACTAACACTTCTGAAAAGAACATATTTTTGCAGTCAACAAATATTAGAAAAAGCTCAGCATCTCTGATCATTAGAGAAATGCAAATCAAAACCACAAAGAGATACTATCTCACACCAGTCAGAATGGCAATTATTATGAAATCAAGAAACAACTGGTGAGGCTGTGGAGAAATAGGAATGTTTTTACACTGTTGGTGGGAATGTAAATTAATTCAACCATTGTGAAAGATAGTGTGGCAATTCCTCAAAGACCTAAAATCAGAAATACCATTTAACCCAGCAATCCCATAACTGGGTATATACCCAAAGGAATAGAAATCATTGTATTATAAAGATACATGCACGTGTATGTTCATTGCAGCACTATTCACCACAGTAAAGACATGGAATAAACCCAAATGCCCATCAAAGATAGATTGGTTAAAGAATATGTGGTACATTTACCACCATGGAATACTACACAGCCATAAATAGGAGCAAGATCATGTCCTTTGCAGGGACATGGATGGTGCTGGAAGCCATTATTCTCAGCAAAGTAATGCAGGAACAGAAAACCAAACCCTGCACGTTCTCATTTATAAGTGGGAAGTGAAAAATGAGAATATGTGGACATGGGGAGGGGAACAACACACACTGGGGCCTGTTGTGGGAGAGAGAGTTTGAGGGGATGGGAGAACATCAGGAAAAATAGCTAATGTATGTGGGGCTTAATACTTAGGTGATGGGTTGATAGGTACAGCAAACCACCATGACACACGTTTACCTATGTAATAAATTTGCACATCCTGCACATGTACCACAGAACTTAAAATAAATAATATATTAAAAAACATAATATATAAAAATTTATAAAAACTAACTAAACAGTCTTTAGATACATTTTCTTCAGCTGCTCTGTGTAAACAGACCTGGCAACCTCATGGGGTGTTTTAGAATAATACTTTTAGTTCAAAAGCATTGGAAGTGGTGCCATTTGAGTTCTTCTGTACAGTGAAGTCTCCATCTGGTCATATTTAGGTCTCATACATCTTTGAGGTACTTGGGAATTACCACAACCCTTATTAGAAGTAGGCTGGCATGTCAGTAACTTAGAGGTTGTGTTGTTTTGGGCAAGTTATTTGAAAACTATGGGTCTTCATTTTCTCAAGTAAAATAATAGGAGAATCATTATAGTTTTAACTATCTGACAAAGTAGTTATCAAGCATAGAATAAGCAGCAAATCCTTATAAAATGTAAATTAACATTCCTATTATTTTACTCTATTTTGAATGTATACATTCTTTATTGTATCAATCATTTTAATTTATCCTAGGTAAGAATAGAGCTGAATATTTTGGTTGTTACAGTCCTGTTATATTCTTCTTAAATCCTGGTGAAACATATTTGCTTTTGAATATACCTCCCACTGGCTTGTATAGTACTAAATGTTTTTAAAAATTAAAATCCTAAATTTGTGATGAGATTTTAGGGGAATAGAATATTCTCTTACAGCTAATCTTACAAATTATTCATTATGGAGTTTACCACAATGCTCTGCAGGTGATGTCTGCTGGCTAAGGGTACTATTGGAAAATACTAATTTTCCTCTGATAAAAAGTGGCAGAAAATATTCTGTGATTAGGCTAAGACTATAGTCTGGGACTATTAATCAGGTGGTTGATAAGTATACACAGATATCTGAAAATCATGTGCATTGTCTAGCTTTGACTTCCAAAGAGCAGCAGGTGGATAGTTGGGTTTGCATAAAAGAATGACAATATTACTTAACTATTATTTTAAAATCCTGAAAATAAAACTAATTAATCCACTTATGTATTTCAAACATAATTGTTATGACAAAATTAGTTTAGTAGAGGAAAAATATGTTCTGGTTTTGTGAGGATTTAAATGAGATTATATATGCAAAGCCCAATAATTGGTACATAGTAAGTACTCAATAAGCGATATCTATTGTATCCTTAGGAATAATCACATATAATTACTAAATTTCTAATTACTGAAATTCTCATGTCTGCTAATGTAGCCTTTATTTGAAAAATCTGGTTAAATTGTTTTTAATCCCAGTCCACCTATCATGAGGACCAATCAAGTCTCTTTAGTGGTAGGAGCCCTTTATTTTATGATAGCTATGAGTTAAGTGTTGCTGCTTCTTAAATAGAGATTGCATCTAAAATGTGTATTGAAATTGACTGCAACTCTGGGACTAGTATTTTCATATAAAAGGAAGCAAAAAGCATAATTTTCCAGAATGCACTGTGATAGAATTATGGGGATAAGGAGCTTTAGATTAGTACCCTTCTTAGCATTCAAGAGGTAAATACTTACCTGCCTATCCATGCAAATCATGCTTTTTTTGTTACATATTCATTCTACCTCTTAGGGAAGGTATAGTATGAAACATCTCACTACAAAAATGTTGTTGTGTGGGTCTGGGGACATAATGCCTTAGCACGCTTTGATTATGACAGGGAAAGGTCTCAACACGAGGAGGGACTTACACACTTTCATTTGTTGTATTTTGTATCTTGATGACATTTAAGATGTGTACACTGGTTCAGAACAAGTAAAGCTGTGAGTTTTATTCCATAATTTATATGGTTGGTGTCATGTTTGTTTCTTTTTTTCAATTTTTGCCCGATTGTTACCATTTCAATGGTTGCATGTTTTCTCTCTGGAATATCAAGATTTTAAAGTGGGATGTTGTTAAGTGGAGGCCCTTCTATATCTCACTGAAGACATTTATCTTGATTTCTACTCTATTTCTAACTGCATAGAGCATTTAATCCTTTGTTGGTGGTAGGTAAGTCCTAAAGAACATAAAGAGAGTAAAACCAGTGTCTTAGTTTGCTAGGACTGCCATAACAAAATATCGCAAACTGGGTGGTTTAAACAAAAGAAACGGCCGGGCGCGGTGGCTCACGCCTGTAATCCCAGCACTTTGGGAGGCCGAGGCGGGCGGATCACGAGGTCAGGAGATCGAGACCATCCTGGCTAACACGGTGAAACCCCGTCTCTACTAAAAATACAAAAAATTAGCCGGGCGTAGTGGCGGGCGCCTGTAGTCCCAGCTACTCGGGAGGCTGAGGCAGGAGAATGGCGTGAACCCGAGAGGCGGAGCTTGCAGTGAGCCGAGATTGCGCCACTGCACTCCAGCCTGGGCGACAGAGCGAGACTCCGTCTCAAAAAAAAAAAAAAAAAAAAAAAAAAACAAAAGAAACGCATTGTCTCACAGTTCTGAAAGATAGAAATCCAAAGTAAATGTGTCGTCAGGGTTGGTTTCTTCTGAAAATTTTCAGAGAAAATCCATTTCATGCCTCTAGCCTAGCTTCTGATGGTTTGCTGGCAATCTTTGGCTTTTCTTGGCTTGTAGAAATGTCCCCTCAATCTCTCTCTTCATCTTCATATGACATTCTCTCTATGTGCATGTCTGTCTTCAAATTTCCCCCTTCTATAAGGACACTGGTCATATTGGATGATGACATAGCCTAATTACTTCATTTTAACCTGATTACCTCTGTAAAAGACACTGTGTGCAAATAAGGCCACATTCTAAGGGACTAAGGGTTAGAAATATGAATTTTAGGGCAACAAAATTCAACCCACGACAATAAGTCACTGTAGTTCAGATTTTTAAAGCATATTCATAATTGTAATGTAGCACGAAAGGGCAAATGGACTTCTTGTCTGAGTGTCATGGGAATATGGATAGAAGAGCTCACTAAGCAATTATAATCCCAGAATTTTAAAATTCAGATTGAGATTTCAGGAAGAAGGCATGCTATTTATTGAATAATAGTAATAATAAATATCGCCTCAACAGTGCCAGGAAAATGCTCATAATTTAGGCACCAAAATGATATGCTATCCTTTGTTTACTCTTGTTTTTGACATTCCTTTACTTTTTTTTTCACTTTTTCCTTCTTTTTTTTCTTCTATTTTCTTTTCTCTCTTCTTTCATCTTTCTCATTATTTGTCTGTGTCTCCTTATCTAAAATCTTTATAACAATGTAGCCAATATCAACTTAAGCATACTTAGTCCTTCACTTTAAATTATTTTAAGGAATAATAATCAAATGGAGATTGAAGATAAATGTTATTTCTAGAGAAATTGTGGTGTTACATTAAATAAAACAAACACAAACATACGCATACAAAAAAAAGAAAAAAGAAAAAATATTCCAACAAATAACCTAATCCCATCCTACCCACATAACATCTGTGAAAAATCTCATCACCGTCTTTCCTTGGTGGGTGTGAGTTAAAAGCAGTAAGGAAGGAAGGAAGAGGAGATGACATCTGTGTTTATGTCTCCCTAGGTGTTAGCTGTGTGTTTGTGACTCATTGCTTCATGGTTTCTTAGCAGGGGCCATTTCACATTTTTCTGGACAGATTTCAGGTGGGCTATGTGGTTAGTTAACACTGTAGTCTCATGTTTGTGCCAGGTGTTACCTTAATAAGCAATCTGACCAGAATTATTGTTTTCTGAAAAACACATTTATTCAGAGAAGTCATCTCTGATTTTGATTCTATGGGCTTGAAAGAAACAGATGCTAACTGAACCACAAACTATGGCAAAACAAAAAGCTTTTTTCTCTTTGTTATCTTATCCAGAATGAATGTGCAGGTCTAGCATTGAACCTGATCTTAGGATGCACTTTAGATTCTGTCCCTACTAATAAAACAGGAACACTTACTGATAACCATGACAAGCAAGATTTACGGTCACTGCCACTGCAATCATTTGGCCATTTTACGTGCAGAGAATTTAGAATGGGCCCAGACTTTAGTGCGCTCCTGTGTTGGGGAGAATTTCTCTGCAGATATGGAGGTCTCACAGCTGACAATGCAATGGGATGTAGGACATAGTTAGGGTTACACATTTGAAGGAAAGAGAATACCCTGATTAGAAGTGCCTGGTGATAGTAGAAGTTTGCAGAGAGAGATTGTTATGAAAATAATAGAAAAATGTGTCATAAAAGCCCATAAGAGCAATTTAATTTCACTGTCATTGAATGAGATAAAGGCACTTTTTGCTACTTATGAGTTATAGCTGACTTCTGTTACTCTCCCTCACACATATATATGTGTGTGTGTGTGTGTGTGTTTTCTTCATATATGTGAAGAAAAATTTAAAAGAACTGTAAAGTATAACAATATTTCTAAACTTGCAAAAAATTTCAAGTAATCCTGTTTAGGACAATAAGGGAGATATATCTTCACCTTGGATGTGGAATTAATTTGTAAATGAGTAACTCCAAGAAACTGTTACAGAGGAACAAGAAACCCTTTATTAAGTACAAAATTAGCAGATACTAAGGTTATTGCAGAGTAGGTGCCAGTGGACTTGGATTTCTGCCTATACAGTGAGAAAAGCTAAAAAGAAAAGTTGCAGTTCCTGTTTAGAATCTGTGAAACTTCTGGAATTGCCTAAAATGTTTGTTCATGCATGTATTTGATCTTATACCTACCACCATATCCAATAACACTCCATGAAATATGTAGCGAAAATTGGGAAGAAGTCTGTACTTTTGGTATAGACTTTAGGTTAATATAAAAGTATTTTAACCAAAGCATATTGTGATCAAATCAAAATGATTCATAATGAGGTCAGTTATACAGAGACGCTTAAAGAGGAGGAAAATAAATATCTGACTCCTTTCATTCTTCCCTTTTTCATTTTTTAAAAGATAAGGGTTACATTTTATAGGATTTCTCTTCCTGATTCATCACATGTGGGTTTTCCAATCTGCTACACAAGGAATGTAAGGGGAGGCTTCAATTTTAAGTCATTAACTTGTATACAGACTTTGTTTACTGGATATATTCCTTGACTCCAGCCCTTATTTCTCCCAGCTAGCTAAGATATTACTGGATACCCTATCAGTGCTAAAGATTATTTTTTTTCCAAGTCAAGGAGGATATATGTAGTCTCTCAGATGCACTTTGGGAACTTCTAAAGTGCAAGCTAAGTACCACTCGGGATTTCACAAAAAGGAGACTCAGTTGCTGGCTCTAAAATCATATAATCACTTGTACATTACATTTCAGACATTCATTTTATATCACTAATTGTATTTCATCTGTGTCCCTCTTACTACAATGAGCTTGTCCCAGTGGGGGCCTTTTAGCATATCTGTCTCTTTCTCAATTTCAGTGAGAATTCCAATTTTCTTGCCCAATATTTGCTTCTCCACCTGTCAGTCACACTGATTGTTCTCAAAAGTAGGTGAAAGGATACTAGCTGTGTGAAAAATACAAGTTTGATTGTTTTGTGAGCTTTAAACAGTACTATTTTAGAGGAAGTTCTTGTTCTCTAAGGAATTAAGACTCAGAAGGTATGATCAAGTCCCTGCTAATGTAGGCCTGAGGATTGATAATCCCACTCTCTAGTAATAAATTGACCTACAAAGATATGTGCATTAACTTATATTGCCTTCCTTCAATGAATTTCCCAATAGGTTGGCTTAATGAGAAAGCAAAAATTACTCAAAAAAATTAATAAGTTGAAATATTTTCTATGCTCATGTGCTGAAATGGTTTTTGCTATCAGATTGGGATTGCTGGCAGCTATTAGAAGTGTGATGTGCAAGAACCCAACACTCAACTTGCAGCCCTGCTCACTGGTGTATCATTTTCAACCTAGCACTTCAGATAATTATGCATTTGGCCCATCTTTCCTTATAGAATGTACATTCTATGAATGGAGAGCCCAAATATTATTCATTTTTATATTGCCCCATGCCTCGGGCATAGTTAGTACCTACATTGATCTTGTCAGTATAGAAGATGTGCTTGTGTTAAGTGAGTGGTTTAGAGTGAAGCCTGAAGTTGTTGTCATTTGCAGTTTTCTCTCTTTCCCTGTCTGCCCAAATCCTTTCCCATTGTCCATGATGATGTCTGTCATTTCTCAGACTTCTCCCAGTGTTTGAATAAATAATAAAAAGCGATGTAAATTGTGTGACCACATAAAATATTGAGTGTGGAGTGATCCAAGTGTTATTATTTCATTACAGTTATCTAAAGTTCACTTAACAAAAAGGGTAACGGAATCCACATATTTGTACTTGCTAAGATCTGTTTTTTGTTGTTGTTGTTTGGGCTCTAAGTAGGAAAAGACACTTCCCATCAAATTCACTTTAAAATGTTTTCCCAGTAGTCAATGAGTGTAAGAACACTGGCTGATTCTAGGCCAGAAGAATGGCAGCCCTAAAGAGTCTGAAGTCAGGTGCAGTTAGGTTACAAAGAGTCAACATGTGTAATCCTGACATGCTGTAATCCAGCAATGTCTAAGAAATCTCTATGCTAACACATTAGAGCATTGAGCCAGAGGAAGATACAGCCACCCTAACCAAAAAGAGCATGGAGCAAGCACTCTTAAGTAGACAGAGACCATACAGAAGAAAGACTGTTCTCCTAGCCTCTCCATTTAGGACTATAAGCAGTTCTTGGGTAAGAAAACCAGAGTTTCTTTGCAGAAACTATGTTTCTTGTACTGTAATGTAACTGTGCATGGTAAATTCTATGCATTTATTGCAAAGCATCTCAGATATTCTTAATAAATCTTTCATTAACTTATACCACAAATTAATGATTACATACCTTTAGTATTCTATGTAGATTTCTAAGAAGAATTCTACGTAGACTTCCGAAATAGATGGTTCTTCCTTGACAATTAAAATTAAGCATTCTATGCTCTCAGGAGGCAAAACCATGTAAACCTCCTGTTAGATATGTTTGCATCAAGGAGATTTATTCTGACTAGGTGTTTCACTTGTCACATTTGCATAATGACAGTGTTTTCTGCACTAACTGTGCATACACCTGTGTGGTCTATCAAACACACACAGTCATAGGCAGGCCTAAAGGGAAAGACCCAAGTATTATTATTAATATTTTTAAAAGTGACAACAACAAAAATCCTTCTTAGATAAAGGAAAGATTGATATGCCCGTCAGTGCTAAATATGTTATGAAGGCCTTTCATATATGTCTCATGTACAATTGTTACAAATAATAATTATTTTTATCATTTCTATTGTTACTAAAAATAAACTGGTTTCCTTATACTCTCACCTTTTCCTGGTAATCATCTCAAATTCTCCTTCCCCAAATTGATTGAACCCAATCTCAAAATCTAGTTCTATAGGAAACAAGTTTTTCAAATTTTTAATATCATGATTCATGAAAAGATATTCTTACAAATATCTAATCAGGAAGTTTTAAGAAGCAGTGTCCTTATGTATTTGATATCTGAGTGTTTTATTCTGTCCTGTTTTCTACTCAGCTCCATTCATTTCATTTCCTTTCATTCTATTCTATTATTTTATTTTAATAATTGTTGTTTGAAAAATCATGAAGTTAGGTAATGACTTGCAGTATGAATATCAGTGACCTTTTTCTCCTCCTAGTATGGCTCTGACTTCTCTACACATTAAGCTCTACTAAGTGGATGAGAAAAAGGAGATCATGTTAACGCAGAACATAAAAACTCCAGCTTGGCAAATAATAACGTCCCTGAGCTTATAATTGTGTTGGTGAGCTGAATGTTTCCTTTTAACACTCCAGTAGATTTTAGATTGCCCTTTGGACTGTGATGATCAGACAGTAATACATTCCTCTCTGTAGTAAATGTGAACGCTCATTATCTCCCCATCTGGCTAGGAGAATACATTTGGCTGTTCTTTGAGGAAGTGATATTTAATCTTAAGGATTTATCATTCTGATTCATGTTCACCAGTTGAGGATGATGAGGTATGAGAGACTGACTAAACAGTGTGATGACGGATTGTCGTACCTACTCAGGACCGGGTAAAAGCAGTTATCTTAATGGTTTCATTCAGTGTGTTACATAGCTCCCTTGTGTCTCTTTGCCTCAGATCTGGTCTCTAGAATATATATGCATCAGTAAAAAGGGAAGTACATTACAACAAACCAAGGCATACGGACAATTAATTTCAAATTGAAACCAGTATTGGATAACGACTAGGCAATGGCGCTTGATGCTAACACCAACTCAAATTATGAGGAAAGTCATTGGATGGGAGAAAAGATCACTGTCTTGGGTTCTAATTGTTTTTTATTAATAATACAGAGGAGAATAGAAAAGAGATTTTATATTTGGCTCTCTCTTCTTAATCCTTCTGTATAACCTGTAGTTTAAGATGTCCTATTCATTTTGTATCTTTTGTTTCTCTCAGAATCATACAACTTAGCACTGCTTAAAATCTTATCTGGGGTGACATCAGGAGGATGGTGAAGTAGGAAGCACCAAGAATCGGATTCTCCACACAGAAAACAGTTGTACTGGCAGAAACTGTTTGATGTAACTATTTTGGAAATCTGGAGTCTATTTGAAAGCCTGCAGCTTCCAGGGGAAAACATGGTTAGTAAACTGTTTAATTTAGCCAACTTCAACCTTTAGGGTAGTAGCGGCTACCCACCCCCTAGCCCTGTGTTAGGCAGTCATGCCTGTTTTTGGTGTGTCTTGCTGGAGCCAAGATGGACAAGCAAGAGTTTGTCCTCCGTGTATTCAGTTTCCGAGTTCTGATTGCTGACTGTTGTTTCTGATCACTCAGGTTCAGGCACAGAGGCTAGCTACCACTATCTCGGATATCACTGTCTTAACTCCCACTGTTTTTTACCCCCTTTTCCCCTTTTAGAAGTCAGGCATTTAAAGATTAGAATATTCAAAAACAACCACACATATCAGGGCATTTAGAAAGCCGCCATGCAAGCCCATGGAAGGACGTAGACCCAGAACTAAGTCCTGAGATGACTTTAAGCTTTCACCTCAGGCAAATCCTCAGCACAGAGATACCCTTCAACAATAAAAAAGACAACATGTTCTGGAAGCAGACGAAGAATACAATTTCCAGAGTTAACACAATGTAAGATTGAAATAGACAGTTTTCAATTTTAAAAAATCACAAGGCATTAAAAAACCTCAGAAAAGTATAGCCCACCTGAAGGAACAAAAAATGTCATGTCTGAGGAATCCCAGAATTTGATTTAATAAATACTTTAAAATAACTGTCTTAAAAGATGCACAAAGAGCTGAAGAAGGACACAGATAGGAAAATTGTGCTCCAGGCTTATCTTGTATATTTTCTGCCCCAGTCCTGGAATCAGCCGTTTCTCCAAGGAGCACTAGTCCCTATTATCAGGGAATAATATTAGAACCCAAGCTCTGGGTACTCAAAGTGCTAGTTACTGATAGAGTGACAAACCTAAAACTAAATGTGTTTATACTAACTTGTGTTTATGCACATACCTATAAATAATTAATAACTATCCACATCAATATATTAAGTTAAACATGAATTCATACTTGTGTGTTAAACTAATCCATTATCAAGTGAATTCTTGCTTTTCCATGAACTCTAACTCCAACAGTAAGATGATTGGCTCCCACCTTCTGCCATCCATCTACTTGATTGTTCTGTTCTGGAATACATGTGTAGCAGGATCAGAATTGCTAACCTGTACACCCCTGGGAAATAACCATATCAACTAAAATATAGTGCTTAAGTACAGTTCCTTTTGCCTTCAGTCTTATAGACTCCACTCATTTCCAAAGTTACTTAGGTCAGTACATTTTATCCCAATCTCCTTCAGAGAGTTTGGCACATATATTTGTAATACAGTTAGATTCTTTTTTCAGTCTGCACGTTTTCCTGAGATGTTCCAACCTCCTAAATTATTTTTTAAATTTGCAAACACTGAGGATTGCTCCTTGTATTGTAAAGATTTATGGGTTTTGTCAAATGCATAATGTCTTGTATGCAACTTTAAAAATCATATAGAATAATTTTATTGCCCTGATAATTCCCTGTGCTTCATTTTTTAATCCCTACCTCCTCCTGAATTCCTGGCAACCACTTATAATTTTACTGTCTCTATAATTTTACCATTTGCTAGTATGCCATGTAATTGGAGTCACACAAGTTGGAGCCTTTTCAATTGTCTTCTTTCAGTTAGCAATATCTATTTAAGATTCCTCCATGTCTTTTCATGGTTTCATGGCTCATTTCTTTTTATTGCAGAATAATAGCCTACTCATACCCAATTGGTAGATGTACTAGTTTATTTAGCTGTTAAGCCACTGAAGAACATCTTGGTTGCTTTCAATGTTTGATTATAAATAATGCTGTTGTAAGCATTCATGTGAAAGATTTTTGTTTTGACATGAGTTTTCAAATCAATTGTGTAAATATCTAAGAGTGGGACTGCTGGATCATATAATAAGACTCTACTTAGCTTTGTAAGAGCTGCCAAACTGTCTTTCAGAGTGGCAGTACCATTTTGCATTTGCACCATCAAATGAATTAGAGTTCCTATTGCCCCATAGCCTCATGATTTGCTATTGTCAGTTTTTTTGTCATCTCTAGGTTCTCTATTTACTATTTCCTCCCCTACCTATGGGCCACATTATCCAGTTTTTCATATGTGTAATAGTTATTGATTGCATGCTTGTCATTGTCAATGCTATATTGTTGAGCATATAACTTTGTTTTTTCATTTTAAAAAATATTGACTTTCATTCTGGAAGATGGTTACTTTACTGGTAGCTTAGCATGATCTTGACAAAGTCTGGTTTTAGCTTTTATAAAGTAAGTCTACAGTATTCCTTATCCTTATCTTTATTCTTGGGCCAAGGTACCTCTACTTCTAATGTGTGGGCTTTCGGAGTCTTTAACTGAATGCCTAGGGTGTTCAATTAGTTTTTTTAAACTATATCTGGTTGTAACTCCAAAGTTTATGGTCCTGTATGTCTTTTAACATATTTGCTTCACTCATACACCACCTTCTTTGATAGGCGTCACAGAATACTGCTTTGCACATGTACAGTAGTCCCCCTAGACACCCCTTGAAACACTTTCTGTGTTTCAATTACCTGAGGTCTACTGGAGTCTGAAAATAGGTGAGAGCAGTACAATAAAATATTTTGAGAGAGAGAGAGGGAGTATGTGTGTGTGTGTGTGTGTGTGTGTGTGTGTAGAGAGACCATTCACATACTTTATTACAGAATATTGTTATAATTGTTTTATTTTATTATTAGTTATTGTTAATCTCTTACTGTGCCTAATATATACATGAAACTTCACCATAGGTATCTTTGCATAGAAAAAGCATAGCATATGTAGGGTTTATTACTATCTGAGTTTCAGGCATCCACTGGGGATCATGGAATGTACCCCTTGTAGGTAAGGGGAGATTACTGTGTAGTTAAATATTTGCTCAACAGTGCCAGGAAACTTCTATCAGACTATGAGGCTCCCTCTCTGTACATCTCCTTCCTATCTAGTATATTGTCCCAGAAATTCTAGCCATCATTTTACCTTCTAACTCTGATCTTTGTTTCCTCCACTAGTGAAACTACTGCTCTCTATTTAGAACTCATTTCCCTGTGGTGATATTTAAAAATTCCCCCAGAGAGAAAATTAGGCTGACGTGGAACTCATCTCCTATGGTACTCCAGGGATCAGAGTACTATCCTTTTTGCCCTCCAGTGTCTTCAAACAATTGCATTGTACACTTTGTGTATTTTATAATTGTTTACAGTGTGAGGGAGG
Source organism: Homo sapiens (assembly GCF_000001405.40). Taxonomy (NCBI): domain Eukaryota; kingdom Metazoa; phylum Chordata; class Mammalia; order Primates; family Hominidae; genus Homo; species Homo sapiens. The sequence continues at coordinate 36,057,276 of NC_000003.12, read as the reverse complement.
ACAGATACATCCAATAATTCATCATGATCAGAATCAGAACAAGTTGATATTTGCTTTCCGAAGAAACTTTTTTGTATGAATTTAATCCTAACCTGATTTCTTAAACATATTTTTGTTTAAAAAGTTAGAGATTTTAGTATTGCCATTTAGATAATTTATTTTTATGTATGGTGTGAGCTAAGACATACTTTCATCTTTTACCATATGGATAATTAATTATGTCTGCACCATGAATTTAGTATCTATCTTTGACCCATCCCTCACAGTCACTGTGCGTGTAGCAAGAACGAGACAGATTCAGGATTTCCAAATATAAATGTTAAGAAAGGAAAACTGTGGTCCAGAAAATACCAAGTACTACTAATACATTACTCACAGCTTTAAAAAGCAGAATAACTAAAAATGAATAAAAATTAGAATGTTTATTTCTTGCAATTTAATAAACTGTAGAAATGATCCAAAGAATGTCACACTTAAAATTTCATTTCCTCTGGGATTTTAGAATGATGTTTAATTGCAGATGGTGACCTTCTGAATAAGACCCTGTTTACAAGTGTTAAATTTCAAGTAGGCTACATCCATGGTTCTCCATAATGTGTCTCCATGGAGTAGTATAAAAACTCCAGGGGAAGATTTATAAATCAAGAAAAACCAGATGCTTCTGTGTCACCAGATTACTCACCTATCCATTCCCAAGGTTGCAGCATATTTGCAATTCAAATTATTTCAGAATAAAATTTTTATTGTCATTTAGTGTTATGTAATATTATTTTATTTTTGTGAATTATTTGAGAGGTGATGAATAGGAATATAATACTTTGGTCTACTAATAAACATTACGTTTCTTGAACTGGTCTTGATAGGAGCGTAGTGACTTAAATACTATATACCCTTAACAGAAATTAGACATTTGTCCTAATGTAACTCTGCAGTTCTACAATTTAGCTTTCTTGTCCTGACTTGTGGAAGGATGGTTAATATATCTGTCCACAAATTGCTCCATAAACAGTTGGCATGTGTTCAGAACAAGTTGAATTTTATCTCAAATGTCACACTTCCCTATACTAGAAATTAAGGCAGTGGCTAGAAATTATGAGGTGGAATGGAGGCATCATCTTATCCCTCTCATAATACTCAATGTCCTTGTCTCTAGTACTTTCTCTGAAATATTAATAATCATAGGATATCTCTTGCTATCCATTCCTGTCCATAGCCATTCTAGGCATATTAATAGATTAAAAATAGAGTTAAGAGAGAGGTAAAAATCTTGGTGACATCTGGAGAGAAATGCTTTTCTAAGATACCATAGCTACTTTTGGTTATGGGGCATATGCTTTCTAGTAAGGGTAATGGAAATATTAAGGTAAGGGGGTAAGATTGCAGAAGTGGGCTGTGAGCCCACTGTGATTAGTTTTCTAGGTGTTTCTTTCTGACCCATCACCAGCCTGCCTATTTCTACTCATGCCTGCAACACCATGAAGTTCTTTCTTTCCCCATTGACTTGTTACTGTATTCTCAGCAAAGACAAAATTTCCTTGTTTTCCTGAGACATAATCAGGGTAAATATATTCCATGGAATGTTGCTAAAGATATATTTGGTAGCTAGTTCAAAAGCATACTGAAATGAACGGTTACAGTTTTTTATCTGTCTGTGTATTAGTCAGTTCTCACACTGCTAATAAAGACATTCCCGAGACTGGGTAATTTATAAAGAAAAGAGGTTTAATTGACTCACAGTTCCACAGGCTTGGAAAGGCCTCAGGAAACTTACAATCATGGCAGAAGAGGAGGCAAACGCATCCTTCTTCACATGGTGGCAGCAAGGAGAAGTGCCGAGCAAAAGGGGGAAAAGCCCATTACGAAACCATCAGATCTTGTGAGAGCTCACTCACTATCATGAGAAGAACAGCATGGGGGTAACTGCCCCTATGATTCAATTACCTCCCACCAGGTCCCACCCATGATATGTGGGGATTATGGGAACTACAATTCAAGATGAGATTTGGGTGGGGACACAGCTAAACCATATCTGCCCGAGATAAATGATATATTTGAATAAAAGAAGCATTTTCTCAACTTTTTGAAGGAATTATTAAAGATTCAGTTAAAAAGCAAAGTGGTTGCTTGTCCACTTGAGAAAATGATCAAATGTAGAGCTTATCAGATAAAGGTGAAAAGTTGTCTGAGTTTCTCTGATTTAGTACTTTCAATAAGTGGCTAAAGAACACAAATAGAGAAAACTCCATTAACCAAAAGTAATTAATTTTTAATTAAACAAAACTCCTATGAAGCTTGTTATGAGCAAAGAAATCAAGGTGTTTTAATCACCTGGCAAGATATTGTGAGAGTTTTCTGACCATGTAAAAAGTTTCAATTAAAATAGCCAGCTGGAATTTGAGGAACATACCTAATTGAAATGTCTGAGCTATAAATACAGTAAAATGCTGTTTTAGGGGTAACAACTTTATTGAGATATAAATCAAATACCATAGAATTCACCCATTTAAAATACACAACTCAGTGGATTTCAGTATATTTGTAGGTGTTTGTTTGTAATCTCACCAGTTAGATTTAGTACATTTTTTATCAAATCAAAATTGCTACTACTTCCCAGCCCTCTTTTCTTTCCCCATCCTGCACAGCCCTTATCTAATCACAGTACTAATCACAGTACTAATCTACCTAATCACAGTACTAATCTACTTTTTGTTTCCACTGTTTTCCCTGTTCTGGACACATTATATGAATGGAGTTATATAATATGTATTTTGTGACTGTTTTCTTTCATTTAGCATAATATTTTCAAGCTTCATTTATGTAGTAGCATACATCAGTATTGTCATGCAGTGCATAATAATGTTTAGGTCAATGACAGACCACATATATGATGGTGGTCCCATAAGATTATAATAAAGGGGGGTTCAAGATAGCTTAGTGGATACAGCTAGTACGTGCCTCTGTCACAGGGAGGAATCAAAATAAATAACAAGCAGATATTCACACTTTGAACAGAACATCTAACAGCACTGGGTTGAACAGAAAAGCAACAGAAAGCACCAAAAGCAAAAAAGAAGGAATTTAGGTAGCCAGCTTGGCCAGGCAGGGCTGGGAGTCAAGATAAGTTCCTGGACTTAGGAAAGAGGTTAGTGAGAGACTCCAGGGCTCCACATTCCCACCACAAAACTGACACCTCACACGGCCAGGTACTCCTCTGAGACAAAACTTCCAGAGGAATGATCAGACAGCAGCATTCGCGGTTCACGAAAATCCGCTGTTCTGCAGCCACCGCTGCTGATACACAGGCAAACAAGGTCTGGAGTGGACCTCTAGCAAACTCCAACAGACCTGCAGCTGAGGGTCCTGTCTGTTAGAAGGAAAACTAACAAACAAACAGAAAGGACATCCACACCAAAAACCCATCTGTACATCACTATCACCAAAGACCAAAAGTAGATAAAATCACAAAGATGGGGAAAAAACAGAGCAGAAAAACTGGAAACTCTAAAAATCAGAGCACCTCTCCTCCTCCAAAGGAACGCAGTTCCTCACCAGCAATGGAACAAAGCTGGATGGAGAATGACTTTGATGAGTTGAGAGAAGAAGGCTTCAGGTGATCAAACTACTCCGAGCTACAGGAGGAAATTCAAACCAAAGGCAAAGAAGTTAAAAACTTTGAAAAAAATTTAGACAAATGTATAACTAGAATAACCAATACAGATAAGTGCTTAAAGGAGCTGATGGAGCTGAAAGCCAAGGCTCGAGAACTACGTGAAGAATGCAGAAACCTCAGGAGCCGATGCGATCAACTGGAAGAAAGGGTATCAGTGATGGAAGATGAAATGAATGAAATGAAGTGAGAAGGGAAGTTTAGAGAAAAAAGAATAAAAAGAAATGAACAAAGCCTCCAAGAAATATGGGACTATGTGAAAAGACCAAATCTACGTCTGATTAATGTACCTGAAAGTGATGGGGAGAATGGAACCAAGTTGGAAAACACTCTGCAGGATATTATCCAGGAGAACTTCCCCAATCTAGCAAGGCAGGCCAACATTCAGATTCAGGAAATACAGAGAACACCACAAAGATAACTCCTCTAGAAGAGCAACTCCAAGACACATAATTGTCAGATTCACCAAAGTTGAAATGAAGGAAAAAATGTGAAGGGCAGCCAGAGAGAAAGGTCGGGTTACCCACAAAGGGAAGCCCATCAGACCAGCAGCAGATCTCTCGGCAGAAACTCTACAAGCCAGAAGAGAGTGGGGACCAATATTCAACATTCTTAAAGAAAAGAATCTTCAACCCAGAATTTCATATCCAGCCAAACTAAGCTTCATAAGTGAAGGAGAAATAAAATACTTTACAGACAAGCAAATGCTGAGAGATTTCGTCACCACCAGGCCTGCCCTAAAAGAGCTCCTGAAGGAAGCACTAAACATGGAAAGGAACAACCTGTACCAGCCACTGCAAAATCATGCCAAATTCTAAAGACCATCAAGGCTAGGAAGAAACTGCATCAACTAACGAGCAAAATAACCAGCTAACATCATAATGACAGGATCAAATTCACACATAAGAATATTAACTTTAAATGTAAAAGGACTAAATGCTCCAATTAAAAGACACAGACTGGCAAATTGGATAAAGAGTCAAGACCCATCAGTGTGCTATATTCAGGAAACTCATCTCACGTGCAGAGACACACATAGGCTCAAAATAAAAGGATGGAGGAAGACCTACCAAGCAAATGGAAAACAAAAAAAGGCAGGGGTTGCAATCCTCATCTCTGATAGAACAGACTTTAAACCAACAAAGATCAAAAGAGACAAAGAAGGCCATTACATAATGGTAAAGGGATCAATTCAACAAGAAGAGCTAACTATCCTAAATATATATGCACCCAATACAGGAGCACCCAGATTCATAAAGCAAGTCCTGAGTGACCTACAAAGAGACTTAGACTCCCACACAATAATAATGGGAGACTTTAATACCCCACTGTCAACATTAGACAGATCAACGAGACAGAAAGTTAACAAGGATAACCAGGCATTGAACTCAGTTCTGCACCAAGCGGACCTAATAGACATTTACAGAACTCTCCACCCCAAATCAACAGAATGTACATTCTTTTCAGCAGCACACCACACCTACTCCAAAACTGACCACATAGTTGGAAGTAAAGCACTCCTCAGCAGATGTAAAAGAACAGAAATTACAACAAACTGTCTCTCAGACCACAGTGCAATCAAACTAGAACTCAGGATTAAGAAACTCACTCAAAACTGCTCAACTACATGGAAACTGAACAACCTGCTCCTGAATGACTACTGGGTACGTAAGGATATGAAGGCAGAAATAAAGATGTTCTTTGAAACCAACGAGAACAAAGACACAACATACCAGAATCTCTGGGACACATTCAAAGCAGTGTGTAGAGGGAAATTTATAGCACTAAATGCCCACAAGAGAAAGCAGGAAAGATCCAAAATTGACACCCTAACATCACAATTAAAAGAACTAGAAAAGCAAGAGCAAACACATTCAAAAGCTAGCAGAAGGCAAGAAATAACTAAAATCAGAGCAGAATTGAAGGAAATAGAGACACAAAACCCTTCAAAAAATTAATGAATCCAGGAGCCGGTTTTTTGAAAGGATCAACAAAATTGATAGACCGCTAGCAAGACTAATAAAGAAGAAAAGAGAGAAGAATCAAATAGATGCAATAAAAAATGATAAAGGGGATATCATCACTGATCCCACAGAAATACAAACTACCATCAGAGAATACTACAAACACCTCTGTGCAAATAAACTAGAAAATCCAGAAGAAATGGATAAATTCCTCGCCACACACACCCTCCCATGACTAAACCAGGAAGAAGTTGAATCTCTGAATAGACCAATAACAGGATCTGAAATTGTGGCAATAATCAATAGCTTACCAACCAAAAAAAGTCCTGGACCAGATGGATTCACAGCCGAATTCTACCAGAGGTACAAGGGGGAGCTGGTACCAGTTCTTCTGAAACTATTCCAATTAATAGAAAAAGAGGGAATCCTCCCTAACTCATTTTATGAGGCCAGCATCATCCTGATACCAAAGCCGGGCAGAGACACAACTAAAAAACAGAATTGTAGACCAATATCCTTGATGAACATTGATGCAAAAATCCTCAATAAAATACTGGCAAACCGAATCCAGCAGCACATCAAAAAGCTTATCCACCATGATCAAGTGGGCTTCATCCCTGGGATGCAAGGCTGGTTCAATATATGAAAATCAATAAATGTAATCCAGCATATAAACAGAACCCAAGACAAAAACCACATGACTATCTCAATAGATGCAGAAAAGGCCTTTGACAAAATTCAACAACCCTGCATGCTAAAAACTCTCAATAAATTAGGTATTGATGGGAGGTATCTCAAAATAATAAGAGCTAACTATGACAAACCCACAGCCAATATCATACTGAATGGGCAAAAACTGGAAGCATTTCCTTTGAAAACTGGCACAAGACAGGGATGCCCTCTCTCACCACTCCTATCCAACATAGTGTTGGAAGTTCTGCCCAGGGCAATTAGGCAGGAGGAGGAAATAAAGGGTATTCAATTAGGAAAAGAGGAAGCCAAATTGTCCCTGTTTGCAGATGACATGATTGTATATCTAGAAAACCCCATTGTCTCAGCCCAAAATCTCCTCAAGCTGATAAGCATCTTCAGCAAAGTCTCAGGATACAAAATCAATGTACAAAAATCACAAGCATTCTTATACACCAATAACAGACAAGCAGAGAGCCAAATCATGAGTGAACTGCCATTCACAATTGCTTCAAAGAGAATAAAATACCTAGGAATCCAACTTACAAGGGACGTGAAGGACCTCTACAAGGAGAACTACAAACCACTGCTCAATGAAATAAAAGAGGGTACAAAGAAATGGAAGAACATTCCATGCTCATGGATAGGAAGAATCAATATCGTGAAAATGGCCATACTGCCCAAGGTAATTTATAGATTGAATACCATCCCCATCAAGCTACCAATGACTTTCTTCACAGAATTGGAAAATACTACTTTAAAGTTCATATGGAACCAAAAAAGAGCCCGCATCGCCAAGTCAATCCTAAGCCAAAAGAACAAAGCTGGAGGCATCACGCTACCTGACTTCAAACTGTACTACAAGGCTACAGTAACCAAAACAGTGTGGTACTGGTACCAAAATAGATATATAGACCAATGGAACAGAACAGAGCCCTCAGAAATAACACCGCTTATCTACAACTATCTGATCTTTGACAAACATGAGAAAAACAAGCAATGGGGAAAGGATTCCCTATTTAATAAATGGTGCTGGGAAAACTGGCTAGCCATATGTAGAAAGCTGAAACTGGATCCCTTCCTTACACCTTATACAAAAATCAATTCAAGATGGATGAAAGACTTAAACATTAGACCTAAAACCATAAAAACCCTAGAAGAAAACCTAGGCAATACCATTCAGGACATAGGCATGGGCAAGGACTTCATGTCCAAAACACCAAAAGCAATGGCAACAAAAGCCAAAATTGACAAATGGGATCTAATTAAACTAAAGAGCTTCTGCACAGCAAAAGAAACTACCATTAGAGTGAGCAGGCAACCTACAAAATGGGAGAAAATTTTCACAACCTACTCATCTGACAAAGGGCTAATATCCAGACTCTACAATGAACTCAAACAAATTTACAAGGAAAAAACAACCCCATCAAAAAGTGGGCGAAGGACATGAACAGACACTTCTCAAAAGAAGACATTTATGCAGCCAAAAAACACGTGAAAAAATGCTCACCATCACTGGCCATCAGAGAAATGCAAATCAAAACCACAATGAGATACCATCTCATACCAGTTAGAATGGCAATCATTAAAAAGTCAGGAAACAACAGGTGCTGGAGAGGATGTGGAGAAATAGGAACACTTTTACACTGTTGGTGGGACTGTAAACTAGTTCAACCATTGTGGAAGTCAGTGTGGCGATTCCTCAGGGATCTAGAACTTGAAATACCATTTGACCCAGCCATCCTATTACTGGGTATATACCCAAAGGACGATAAATTGTGCTGCTATAAAGACACATGAACACGTATGTTTATTGCGGCACTATTCACAATAGCAAAGACTTGGAACCAACACAAATGTCCAACAATGATAGACTGGATTAAGAAAATGTGGCACATATACACCATGGAATACTATTCAGCCATAAAAAATGATGAGTTCATGTCCTTTGTAGGGACATGGATGAAACTGGAAATCATCATTCTCAGTAAACTATCGCAAGGACAAAAAACCACACACCGCATATTCTCACTCATAGGTGGGAATTGAACAATGAGAACACCTGGACACAGGAAGGGGAACATCACACACTGGGGCCTGTTGTGGGGTGGGGGGAGGGGGGAGGGATAGCATTAGGAGATATACCTAATGCTAAATGACGAGTTAATGGGTGCAGCACACAAGCATGGCACATGTATACATATGTAACTAACCTGCACATTGTGCACATGTACCCTAAAACTTAAAGTACAATAATAATAATAAAAAAAAATAAAAACAAGTACAAAAAAATAAAAAAATAAAAAGGATGAGTTTATGTCGTTTGCAGGGACATGGATGATGCTGGAAACCATCATTCTCAGCAAACTATCGCAAGAACAGAAAACCAATTGCTGCATGTTCTCACTCATAAGTGGGAGTTAAACAAGAAGAACACATGGACATAGGGAGGGGAATATCACACACTGGGGCCTAACGGGGTGGCATACTGGGGGAGGGATAACATTAGGAGAAACATCTAACGTAGATGATGGGTTGATAGGTGCAGCAAACCACCATGGTACGTGTGTACCTACGTAACAAACCTGCACATTCTGCTTATGTACCCCAGAACTTAAAGTATAATAATAAAAGCACTCTCCAAACTAGGAACAGAAGAAACTTACCTCAAAATAATAAGCACCATACATGTTAAATCCACAGATAGCATCAACTGAATAGAGAAAAGCTGAAAGCTCTTTCTCTAAGATCTGGAACAAGACAATAATGCCTGCTTTTACCATGCCTATTCAAAAATATCTGGAAGTCCTAGCCAGAACAATCAGGCAAGAAGAAGATACAAAAGGCATCCACATTGGAAAAGAGTGTGTAAGATTATCTCTGTCTGCAGATGATATGATCTTATATCTAGAAAAACCTAAAAACTCCATAAAAATCTCCTAGATCTGATAAATTCAGTAAATTTGTGGGATATGAAATCCACACATAAAAATCAGCAGTTTTTCTATACATCAATAATGAGATGACTGAGAAAGAAATCAAGAATGCAGTTTCATTTACAGTAGCTAACAACAATACCAATGAATAAATTTAACTCAGAAGAAATATCTCTATGAGAGAAACTACAAAACATTGATGAAAGAAATTTACAAGGACACAAATAAATGGAGAAAGACCTCATTCTCATGGATCAGAATTAATATTATTAAAATGACCATTCTGCCCAAAGCAAGCTACAGATTCAATGCAATCTCTCTTAAAATAGCAATGCCATTTTTCACCAAATTAGAGAAAAAATTCTAACATTTGTGTGGAATGAATAAAGAGCCCAAATAGCCAAAGCAATCCTGAGCAAAAAGAACAAACCTGGAGGAGGCATCAAAGTACCTGACTTCAAAATATATTACAAGGCCATTGTAACCAAAAGAGCATGGCATTGGTATAAAAACAGACACATAGATGAATAGAACAGGAACAGAGAACCAAGAAATAAATCCAACCACTTACTACCAATGGGTTTTCAATAAAGGCACAGAGAACATACACAGGGAAAAGGACACCCTCTTCAACTAATGGTGTTGGGCAAGTTGGATATCCATACACAGAGTAATGAAACTAGACCCGTGTCTTTCCACATATTCAAAAATCAACTCAAGATGGACTAAAGACTTAAAAATAAGACCTGAAGCTATAAACTACTAGAAAAAAATAAGGAAAACACTTCAAGATAGCAGTGTAGCAAAAATTTCACACCTGAGAACTCAAAAGCACAGACAACCATAACAAAATGGAGCTATATTAAACAAAAACCTTCTGTGCAGCAAAGGAAACAATCAAGAGACTGAAGAGAAAAACAGTTTAATGGGAGAAAATATTTACAAACTATTCATCTGACTAGGAACTAATCTTTAGAATATACAAGGAATTCAAACAACTCAACAATTTTTAAACATTTCCTGAAAAACTGTACTTAGGACATGAATAGACATTTCTCAAAAGAAGACATACAAATGGCTAACAGATACATGAAAAAATGTTCAACATTATGAAGCATCAGAAAAATGCAAATCAAAAGCACAGTGAGATATCAATCATCTTACTCCAGTTAGAATTATATTATTAAAAAGAGAAAAAGTACTAGATTCTGGCAAGGATGTGGGGAAAAGGGAAATCATGCATTATTGGTGGCAATGTAAATTGGTACAACCACTGTGGAAAATGGCATGGAGACTTCTCAAAAAACTAAAAATATAACTACTATATGATCCCACAATCCCTGTATTTTGTCTTTATCTAAAGGGAAATAAATCTGTATGTCAAGGGAATAGTGCACCCACATGTTTATTGCAACACTGTTCACAATAGCAAAAATTTAGAACTAACCTAAGTGTTAATCAATGGACAAAAGGATAAAGAAAACGTGGTATATATACACAGCGGGATACTATTCAGCCATGAAAAAGAATAAACTCATGTCATTTGCAGCAATATAGATGGAACTAGAAGTTATTAAGGGAAATGAACTAGGCACAGAGAGACAGATGCCACATGTTCTCACTCATGTGGGAGCTTAAAAAAGGAAGATCTCATGGAGCAAGATAAAAAAATAAAGAGTATTCAAATAGGAAGAGAGGAAGTCAAATTTTCTGTGTTTGCAGATGACATGATTGCATACTTAGAAAACTCCATCATCTCAGCCCAAAATCTCCTTAAGCTAATAAACAACTTCAGCAAAGTCTCAGGATACAAAATCAATGTGCAAAAATGACAAGCATTCCTATACACCAATAATAGACAAACAGAGAGCAAAATCATGAGTGAACTCCCACTCACAATTGCTACAAAGAGAATAAAATACTAGGAATACAACTTACAAGAGATGTGAAGGACATCTTTACAAATCACTGCTCAAGGAAATAAGAGAGGACACAAACAAATGGAAAAATATTCCATGCTCATAGATAGGGAGAATCAATATCATGAAACTGGCAATACTGTCCAAAGTAATTTATAGATTCCATGCTATTCCCATCAAGCTACCATTGACTTTCTTCACAGAATTAGAAAAAAACTACTTTAAATGTCATATGGAACCAAAAAAGTGTCCATATAGGCAAGACAATCCTAAGCAAAAAGAACAAAGCTGGAGGCCTCATGCTACCTGACTTCAAACTATACTACAGGGCTACAGTAAACAACACAGTATGGTACATGTACCAAAACAGATATATAGACCAATGGAAAAGAACAGAGGCCTCAGAAATAATGCCACACGTCTACAACCATCTGATCTTTGACAAACCTGACAAAAACAAGCAATGGGGAAAGGATTCCCTACTGAATAAATGGTGTTGGGAAAACTGACTAGCCATATGCAGAACACTGAAACTGGACCCCTTCCTTACATCTTACACAAAAATTGAGCTCAAGATGGATTAAAGACTTAAATGTAAGACCTAAAACCATAAAAACTCTAGAAGAAAACCTAGGCAATACCATTCAGGACATAGGCATGGGCAAAGACTTCATGACTAAAACACCAAAAGCAATGGCAACAAAAGCCAAAATTGACAAATGGGATCTAGTTAAACTAAAGGCTTCTGCACAGCAAAATAAACTATCATCAGAGTTAACAGGCAACCTACATAATGGGAGAAAATTTTTGCAATATATCCATCTGACAAAGGGCTAATATCCAGAATGTACAAGGAACTTAAACAAATTTACAAGAAAAAGTAAGCCTGTCAAAAAGCTGGTGAAGGATATGAAGAGACACTTCTCAAAAGAAGACATTTATGCAGCCAAGAAACAAAAAAAAGCTCGTCATCACTGGTCATTAGAGAAATGCAAACCAAAACCACAATGAGATACCATTTCACACCAGTTACAATGATGATCATTAAAAAGTCAGGAAACTACAGATGCTGGAGAGGATGTGGAGAAATAGGAATGCTTTTACACCATTGGTGGGAGTGTTAATTAGTTCAACCATTGTGGAAGACACTGTGGCAATTCCTCAAGGATCTAGAACCAGAAATACCGTTTGGCCCAGCAATCCCATTACTGGGTATATACCCAAAGGATTATAAATCTCTCTACTATAAAGACACATGCACACGTATGTTTATTGCGGCACTATTCACAATAGCAAAGACTTGGAACCAACCCAAATGTCCATCAACGACAGATTGGATAAAGAAAATGTGGCACATATACACCATGGAATATCATGCAGCCATAGGAAAGGATGTGTTCATGTCCTTTGCAGGGACATAGATGAAGCTGGAAACCATCATTATTAGCAAACTAACACAGGAACAGAAAACCAAACACCGGATGTTCTCCATTGGTTAGTGTTGACCTTTTCCTTTTAATTTGCAAGGTTGTGTTTGATTAAATACTATCTGAATTTTCTTTAGATTTGGTTTAAAAATCAGCATCACACACTTCAATTATATAAATTATTCTAAGATGTTCTCACTCATAAGTGGGAGTTGAACAATGAGAACACATGGACACAGGGAGAGGAACATCACACACCGGGGGCTGTTGGGGGTGTTGGGGGCTAGGGGAGGGAGAGCATTAGGATAAATACCTAATGTAGATGATGAGTTGGTGGGTGCAGCAAACTACCATGGCATGTGTATACCTATGTAACAAACCTGCATATTCTGCACATGTAACCCAGAACTTAAAGTATATATATGTATATACATATGTGTGTGTGTATATATACACACATATATATACGTATATATGTATATATGTACATATATATGTACATGTATATACGTACATATATACATGTATATATGTACATGTATATACGTACATATATACATGTATATATGTACTTGTATATACGTACATATATACATGTATATATGTACATGTATATGTGTACGTATACATCTGCACTCCAGCCTGGGGTGACAGAGTGAGACTCCATCTGAAAAAAAAGGAGGGGGTTGAGGAGAGAGGGTACTTATGAAAAAATGACTTTAGGACAGATAAATAGGTCCTTAGTAGAAAAGATAAATGGGTCCTTAGAAGAATAGATGGGCAATATGATAGTTTTGTTACAGTCTAAGTTTTAAGTGTGATGTTTACTTCTAGCCTATGACTTCTAATCTCCAATGAAAGAATCAGTATTCTCTAGTTGCTCCTGGAAAGGGATTTATGATGATAGAGATCTTTTGAGCATTTTTTTTCTGAGGCTGTGATTTTAGGGAGATAAAGGAGTTAAAGAGAGGAGCCCATTCTCAAATATCTTCACCTCCAAACGACTTTTATGCTACAGTGACATAGTCTGGACTTGTTCAACCCAACTGAAAATAAAACCGCAACTAAAATGCATTGTTTTTGGTAATCAATTATTAGTGTGAAAGTTGTTAGCCTCAAAAGGGCAAATCTAAGAGTTATTGGCCTTGAAAAGGAGGGTAGAGCAAGAGATAGGGGTAGAAAGTTTATTCAAAGGGATAATATCAGAGAACTTCCTAAACCTAGAGAAAGATATCAACGTTCAAGTACAAGAGGTTATAGAACACCAAACAGATTAAATCCAAAGAAGACTACTTCAAGGCATTTAATAATTAAACTCCCAAATGTCAAGGATAAAGAAAGGATCCTAAAAGCAGCAAGCACAAAAGAAACACATAACATACAATGGAACTCTAATCTGGCAGCACACTTTTCAGTGGAAACTTTACAAGTCAGGAGAGAGTGGCATGACATGTTTAACTTATGAAGGAAAAAATCTTTTACCCAAGAATAGTATATCTGATGAAAATACACTTTAAGCATGAAGGAGAAATAAAGATCTTCCCAGATAAAGCAAAGTTGGGAGATTTAATCAACACTAGACTTGTCCTACAAGAAATGCTAAAGGGAGTTCCTCAATCTGAGAGAAAAAGTGTTAATGAGCAGGAAGAAGTCATATAAAGGTATACAATTCACTGCTAATAGTAAGCACACGAAAAACACAGAATATTACAGCACTGCAATTACGGTGTGTCAAGAACTCTTGACTTAAGAGGAATAATAAATTATAAACCAAAGAAAAGTTATAACTATAACAACTTTTAAAGACATAGACAGTAAAAGAAGACATAATGAGAAACAACAGGAAGTTAAACAACAGGAGAACAAAGTCAAATTGTAGAGTTTTCATTAGTTTTCATTTTGCATGTGTGTTTATGCCATCAGTGTTAAGTTGTCATCAGTTTAAAATAAAACACACAGTGGGTACACAAAAAATGAAAATGAAGAAATTAAAGCATACCACCAGAGAAATCACCTTCACTAAAAAGAAGAAAGGAAGAAAGAAATAAAAGACCACAAAAACAATCAGAAAACAACAAAATGGTTATGTATAGTAACATTGAAGGCAAATAGATTAAATTCTCTGGTCAAAAGACAGAGAGTGGCTGAATGGATGAAAAAACAAGACCCAATGAACAGACCAATAGCACATAATGAGATCGAAGCCATAATAAAAAGTCTCCCAGTGAAGAAAAGTCCAAGACCCATGGCTTCACTGCTGAATTCTACCAAACATTTAAAGAACTAATACCAATCCCACTCAAACTGTTCCAAAAAATAGAGGATGGAACACTTCTGAACTCACTCTAAAGACCACTATTACCCTGATACCAAAACCAGACAGAGATACAGAAAATAAAGAAAACTACAGACCGGTATCTCTGATGAGTATTCATGGAAAAGCCCTCAACAAAATACTGGGAAACAAAATTCAAGAATACATTAAAGATTATTAATCATGACCAAGTGGGATTTATTCCAGTGAGGCAAGTATAGTTATGGTGCAACATATGGAAACCAATCACTGTGATACATCATATCAACAGAATGAAGTACAAAAAGCATATGAACATTTCAATTGATGCTA
This sequence comes from Homo sapiens, assembly GCF_000001405.40. NCBI lineage: Eukaryota > Metazoa > Chordata > Mammalia > Primates > Hominidae > Homo > Homo sapiens. The sequence goes on along the minus strand of NC_000003.12, from coordinate 36,042,047 downwards.
AAAATGCATTTGTAAAGTCCGACATCCCTTCTTGATAAAAATCCTCAAAAAACTGGGTATAGAAGGAACATACCTCAACATAATAAAAACCACATATGACAGTTTCACAGCTAGTGTCATATAAAATGGAGCAAAACTGAAAGCCTTTCCTCTTTGATCTGTAACACGACAAGGATGCCCACTTTCACCACTGTTATTCAACACAGTACTGGAAGTCCTAGCTAGAGCAATCAGATAAGAGAAGGAAATAAAGGGCATTCAAATTGAAAAGAAAGAAGTCAAATTGTCCTTGTTTTCAGATGATATGAGCTCATGTTTGTAAAAACCTAAAGACTCCACCAGAAAACTATTAGAACTCATAAACAAATTCAGTAAAGTTTCAGGACACAATATCAATATACAAAAATCAGTAGCATTTCTATATGCCAACAGTGAATAATCTGAAAAAAGAAATAAAAATGTATTACCATTTACAATAGACACAAATAAAATTAAATACCTAGGAATTAACCAAAGAAGTGAAAGAGCTCTACAATGAAAACTATCAAATACTGTTGAAAAAAATTGAAGAGAACACAAAAAAAGGAAATATATTTCATGTTGATGGATTGAAAGAATCAATATTGTTAAAATGTCCTTACCACCCAAGCAATCACTACATGCAATTCAATCCCTATCAAAATACCAGTGACATTCTTCACAGAAACAGAAACATCCTATACTAAAATTTATATGGAACCACAAAAGACTCAGAATAGCCAAAGCCATCCTGAGAAAAAAGAACAAAACTGAAGGAATCATATTACCTGACTTCAAATTCTATTACAGAAGTAAAATAACCAAAACAGCATATTATTCATATAAAAACAGACACATAGACCAATGGAACAGAATAGAGACCCAAGTAACAAATCCATACACCTACAGTGAACTCATTTTCAACAAATTTGTTAGTGGGAATGTAAATTAGTGTAACCACTATGGAAGACAGTTTGGAGGTTCCTCAAAAAACTGAAAATAGAGCTACCATATGATCCAGTAATCTCACTGCTGGGTATATGCCCCAAAAGAAGGAAAATAGTATATCGAAGAGGGTTTCTGCACACCCATGTTTGTTGCAGCACTGTTCACAATAGCCAAGAATTGGAAGCAACCTAAGTGTACATTACCAGATGAATGGATAAAGAAAATGTGGTATTTATACACAATGAAGTACTATTCAGTCATAAAAAAAGAATGAAATTCTGTCATTTGCAACAATATGGAAGGAACTTGCAGTCGTTATGTTAACTGAAATAAGTCAGGCACAGAAGGGCAAACATTGCATGTTCTCACTTATTTGTGGGACCTAAAAATCAAAACAATTGAACTCATGGAGGTAAGAGAATAGAAGGATGGTTACCAGAGGCTGGGGGAAGCTTGTGGGGAAGTGAGGTCATGGTAAGGATGGTTACTGGGTACAGAAAAAAGAACAGTTAGAGAGAATGAATAAGACCTATTATCTGAGAGCACAACATCGAGACTATAGTCAATTATAATTTAATTGTACATTTTAAAATAACTAAAAGAGTATTACTGGACTGTTTGTAATACAAAGAAAAAGTACTTGAGGGGATGAATACCCAGTTGTCCATGATGTGATTATTATGTGTTGCATACCTGTCCCAAAATATCTCGTGTGTCTTATAATATATATACCTACTATGTACACACAAAGATTAAAAATCTTATTTAAAAATAGTAAACTTGATATTTCTTCTCTGATACTGCTATGTACATATTGTTGAATAAAACAAATGAATAATTAAGGTTATTTTGTTGCAAATGAGGTTTGCCATTATGAAAAAAAGACATAATGGAAAATTATTGAGTTCTAATTAGTAAATAAAGATATCACTATGAATCCCTTTTCTTTTTCTTACATATACATATGTCTTAGATTTAGGCACTGAAACAATGACAACCTTAGCTGAAAGCAGTTCTGGGGCATGACATACACAGATACATTCAGAACATCTTTTCATAGTAGATAAAAAGGAAGCTTTCAAAGACTCTCAAAAGGTCTCAAAAATCATGGCATGTAAATCACTTATATATAGTATGAAAATTTAAAAACAAAACTATTAAAAACAACAATAATAACTTGTTAAGGAATACATAATGTAAAAAGACATAAATTCTGACATCAAAAATTCAAAACATGGGGATGAAAAATGGGACAAAATATAGAATAAAAATGTAAATTTTTTTTTGTTTTGGTTATTTCAGCAAACAAACTTAGTTGTTATCAGTTTAATATAACCTGTTAGAACTATAAGATTTTTTGTAAGTCTAATTGTAACCACAAAACAGAAACTTGTAATAGATGCACTAAAAATAAAAAGCAAGGAATGAAAACATACTACTACAGAAAATCATACAACCATGAAGGAAGATAGTAAAAGTGGAGAAAAGGAGGAATGAATCTACAAGCAAATAGAAAACAATGAACAAAAGAGCAGTAATATGTCTCTACTTATTAATAATTACCCTGAATGTAAATGGACTAAATCCTTCAAGTAAAATACATGGAGTGTCTGGATGGATAAGAAAACAAGAATTAGTTATATGCTGCCTACAATAGACCCATTTTCCCTATAAGGACACACATACACTGAAAGTAAAAGGATTGAAAATGATATTCCATGCAAGTGGAAATTGAGGAATATCTATATCCATATCAGATAAAATAGACTTTAAAGCAAAACCCATAAAAAGAGACAAAAAATACATTATATAATAATAAAGGGGTCAATACAACTAAAGGATATAATAGTTGTAAATATATTTATGCACTCAACATTGGAGCACCAAAATGTATAAAGCAAATATTGATAAACCTAAAGGGAGAAATAGACTGCAATACAATAATAGTAGAAGACTTCAACACCTTACTCTCAGCAATGAACGCATCATGCAGATGGAAAATCAACAAACAGGGAAGTTAAACTGTACTCTAGATCAAATGGACCTAAAAAACATTTACAGAATGTTTCATATGATAGTTGAAGAAAGCACATATTTCTCAACAGCACATAGAACATTCTCCAGGATAGATCATATTTTAGAAATTTAAAAAACTCATCAAATTTTAAAAATCAAAATCATGTCAAGTGTCTTTTCTGATCATAATGGAATAAAACTATAAATCAGTAACAAAAGAAACTTTGGAAAGTACACAAATACATGGATATTAAACAACATACTCCTGAATAACTGAAGGATAAATGAAGAAATCAAAAAGGTTTAAAAAAATTCTTGAGACAAATAAAAATGGAAACACAACATACCAAAACCTATGTGATTCAGCAGAGCTCTATAAGGAAATTTCGTATTAGTAAATTCCTACATCAATAAAGCAGAAAAATCTTAAATAAACAACCTAATGTTACACCTCAGAAAAACCTAGAAAAGCGAGAATGAACTAAACCAAAATTAGTAGAGGAAAAGAAGTAAATATCAAAGCAGGAATAAACAAAAGAGACTTACAAAACTCCAAAAGATCAGTATTAATAATGAAATAAACATTTGGGCTTTTTTTGAGAAGATAAAAAGAACAAACCTTTTTGCAAGACCTAAGTAAAAAAAGCGAGAGAAAAGATGCAAATTAATAGAATCAGAAATAAAAAGAAAAACGTTACAAATGATACCAAACAACTTCAAAAGATCATAAGGGACAGCTCTGAACAATTATATGCCAAAAAACTGGAAAAACTTAGAGTAAATGAAAAAATTCCTGAACACCTACAGCCTACCAAAATTGCATCATGAAGAAATAGAAAACCTAAACAGACCAATAATGAGAAACAAGTTTGAATCAGTAATAAAAACTCCCATCAAAAAAAAAAAGGCAAAAATCCCAGAGACCGATGGCTTCATTGCTGAATTCCACCAAACACTTAAAGAACTAATACCAATTTTTCCAACCTCTTCCAGAAAAATAAAGAGGAAGGCTGTCTTAGTCCATTTTCTGTTACTTTCAACAAAATGCCTGAAACTGGGTAATTTATAAAGATATTTTTTTTTCTTTTCTCTTTTTTTTTTTTTTTTTTGAGATGGACTCTCACTGTCACCCAGGGTGGTGTTCTGTGGTGTGATCTCAGCTCATTGCAATATCCACCTCCCAGGTTCAAGTGATTGTCCTGCCTCAGCCTTCTGAGTAGCTGGGATTACAGGCACATGCAACCATGCCTGGCTAATTTTTGTATTTTTAGTAGAGATGGGGTTTCCCCATGTTGGCCGGGCTGGTCTCAAACTCCTGACATCAGGTGATCTGCCCACCTCAGCCTCCCAAAGTGCTGGGATTACAGGGGTGAGCCACTGTGCCCTGCCCAATAAATTTATTTCTTACATTTTTGGAGGCTGAGAAGTACAAGGTCAAAGGCTTCATCTGGTGAGGGCCTTTTTGCTGGTGGAGACCCTCTGTAAAGTCCAGAGGAGGTGCAGAGTATCACATGGTGAGGGGACTGAATTGCTGGCTCAGGATTCTCTTTTTCTTCTCATAAAGTCTTACTCCCAGAGTAACCCACTTATCCATTAACTCATTAATCCATTAATCCATTATTGGATTAATCCCTTCATGAGGGGAGAGCCCTCATTACCCAGTCTACTCTTAAAGGCCCACCTCTTGGTGTTGCCACATTGGGAATTAAGTTTTAACATGAGATTTGGAGGGAACAAATACACAACTTCTAGCAAGAAATTTCTTCCAAACTCATTCTTTTAGGCCAGCATTACCCTGACGGTGAAAGCAGACAAGGACATGACAAGAAAGGAAAACCACATGCCAATCAATATCCTTGATGAACACAGATGCAAAGATCCTCAACAAAATACTATCAAATAAAATTCAACAACACATTTAAAAAAAATCACCATGATCACATGGGATTCATCCCAGGAATTCAAGGATGGTTCACTATACACAAATCAATAAACATGATACATCACATTGAAAGAATTAAGGTCAAAACAACATGATCATTTCAATAGAAATGGAAAAATATTTGATAGAATTCAACATGCCTTCATAATAAAACTCTTAGCAAATTAGGTATAGATGAAACACACCTCAACATAATGTTAACTGAAAAATAACAAGGTCTTATATGGAGAGGAGACTTTATTTCATATCAAAGGTTACAGCTTGCAAGGTGGCCATCCTGTAGGATGGGAAGCATAGCCTTAGGCAAATACATGAGATAAGCACTTCAAAGGAGGAAAGCTGAGACAGAAATTTATGCTCGAATGGTTGGTTATGTATACATATTCAATAGGTAACAGGATAAGCTATGATTATTCATAAGGTAGTTCTAAAACATGTACTAGACAAATGTGCATGTTACAACATATGACCCATTTTCACCTAGGAGTGGAGACTTAACATTTAGATGTACTAAATTTAGGCCCTATACCTCAAAAGGTGAAGCAGGGACATGAAGATATTCAAATGCACAGCCTCTGTAAACCAGACAGAACTAGTCCATGGTCAGTGGTCTTCTTATCAACAGAAAATTACTGAAATCAGTCTCTTATCCAGTCAAAGCTGTAGTTGTGGCCTGTGGAATCCGAGGGTCAGTTAGCAACTGAAATTGAGCTGGAAATTGTTTAATATTGCTTATCTTGAGGCCAGTGCTTATTTAGCTGCTAGAGAAAAAGAAAATCCTTGTGGCAGTTAGAACGTAGTTTGTTCTTCAAGTGTAAGGCTGCATGAATTAACCCTTGCCTGGCATGGCATTAAGTGTTTTTGCAGTTTGTTATCTTCTTACCATAAATAGTCCATTCCAGTCAGTCTTATAATCTCTATTTTAACATTAATACTGACCAGTTTTTGTCTAAACCATAAAAGGGTATGAGTATAACAAGGCCTGTCCAACCTCCTATCTCATCATGACCAAAAACTCAGTTTTTAAAGCTTCTCTGGGGTCCCCGTGGCCAAAAGAAGGTCCATTCAGTTGGCTGAGGGGCCTGACATTTTATTTTTAGTTTATGTATTAAATGTCATACAAGATAAACCCACAGCTAACATCATAATGAACAGAGAAAAATTGAAAACTTTTCATTTAAGACCTGGGTCAGGACAAGGATGCCCACATTTACCACTTGCATTAAACATAGTACTGGAAGTTCTAGCTAGAGAAATTGGGCAAGAGAAAGAAATAAGGAGTATCTAAATTGAAAAGGAGGAGGTTGAATTGTCCCTGTTTGCAAATAACATAATCTTATATATAAAAAAACCCTAAAGATGCCACCAAAAAGTTGTTTTTATCAAGTTTGAATTTGATAAACAAATTCAATAAAGATGTAGCATACAAATCAACATAAAAAAGTCAGTAGTGTTTTATATTCTAATAGTGAATGATCTGAAAAAGAAATCAAGAAGACAATTCCATTTATACCAGCTAAAAGAAAAGAGATAAATTTTACCAAGGAGGTGAAAGATCTCTACAATAAAAACTATAAAACACTAATGGAAGAAACTGAAGAGGACACAAATAAATGGAAAGATATCCCATGGGCATGAATGGAAAGATTTAATATTAATAAAATATCCATACTCCCCAATGCAATCTATAGATTCAATGCAATTTTTTTTCAGTATATCAATGACGTTCTTCACAAAAATAGAAAAAAAGACAATTCTAAAATGTCTGTGGAAACACAAAAAATTCCTAAATAGCCAAAGCAATCTGGGGTACACAGAACAATGCTGGAGGCATCACATTATTTGACTTCAAAATATACTACTAAGTTATAATAACTAAAACAGCATGGTGTTGTCATGAAAACAGACACAGATTAATGAAACTAAATAATGAACTTAGAAATAAACCATACATCTACAGTTAACTGATTTTCAACAAAGACACCAAGAACACACATTGGGGAAAGGATACTTTCTTCAATTAATGACGCTGGAATGTCAAAACCACAATGAGATATGATCACATCCCAATTAGAATGGCTATTGCCAAAAAGACAAAAAATAACAAATGCTGGCCAGGATGTGGAGAAAGGGGAACTCTTGTACACTGTTGATGAGAATGTAAATTAGTACAACCATTAGGGTGAACAATATGAGGGTTCCTCAAAAAATTAAAAATAGAACTGCCATATTATCCAGCAATCCTATTATTGGGTATATACCCAAAAGAAATGAAATGAATATGTTGAAAAGATGTCTGTCCTCCCATGTCTATTTCAACTTTCAAAATGTGGAATCAATCTAAGTATCCATCAATGAACAAATGAAATAAAAATGTGGTACATATACACAATGGAATACTATTCAGCCATAACAAAGAATGAAATCCTGTCATTTGCAACAACATGGATGAACTAAGAGGACATTATTTTAAGTGAAAGAAGCCAGGCACAGAAGGTCAAATACTACATGATCTCACTCACATATGGGATCTAAAAAAGGTGGATCTCATAGAAGTCGAGTAGAATCATGGTTACCAGAGACTAGGGAAAGTAGAGAAGATGAGAAGGGGTTTGTAAATGAGTACTCTGTCAGTTAGATCAGAGGAATAAGTTCTAGTCTTCTTTGCACAGAATTGTGATATAGTTAACGATAATGTATATTTCAACATAGCTAGAAGAGAAGATTTTGAATGTTCTGACCACAAAGAAATAAATGTTTTAGATGGTAAATATGTTAATTACCTTGATTAGATCATTACACAATGTAAATATTACACACTGGAAACATCACACAGTACTCCATAAATATGTGCAATTATTACTTTTAATTAAAATTATATATAAACTTTATAAATAATTTCATATAAATCTATAAAAAGAAATCACAATGATGAGAATCACTGATCAAAGGTGAGGAATAAGAACCACGAATGCAATTGTTTGAAACTCACCAAACACTTTTAAATCCCTGAATTCATAATGATATTTCAAAAGTAAAATATCATTAGCTAATTTTAGAAGATGCTAGGAAACATTATGTGAAAAATTCATAAATAAAGAGAAAGAATCAACATTAGTTTTGCCTCTTCTTTTTAAACTATGCATCTGGGTAGTCAAAGAGTTTATAAAGGAAAGTTCTTAAAGATGGGATCCAGCTAATGCATGAAGAGAGAATAATAGAATGAGAATATCAACATTTAGCAATCCATAATGAACAAGGATTCCTAGAACAAAAGTGCTAACATTTCCTAATGAAAATACACATGACCAATAAAGAAGTTTTGCCAAAACAAATCAAACTCATTTCTGATGAAAATTCTAAATCTAAACACTAATTTTCAAATAAAATATTACATGACACTACAGGGGCGCAACTAGCAAAGTCCCTACTGTGGTGTATTCCAAAGGGCATCAAGCTGGCTTCCTCAATAAATGCATTGATAGAAAAGAAAGAGAAAAAGATGGAGAAAGAAACTACAGATTTAAAATACTTTGGAAATAACCAATCGCAATGCATGCCATGATTCAGACAAGCAAAAGCAAACTGTTCTAATTAATTAATTAGGCAATTATGGAAATTTAAACACTGACTGGATATTTGATTGTACTGAGAACTTTTTGTGTTGCAGGTTTTGTATTTTGAGAAATGAGAACCAAAATGACAAAACTAATTTGCAAATTTTCATGACAAGAACAGCACCCTAGACTGGAAATAGGATTGGCTCTGCGTCCCATTGTTAGAGTTATTAAATTTCCTCTCTGGGTCTTAATGTCTTTAAGTTTCTACTTAATTGTCTGTATCCTTCTTTTCATACGTATCTTTGCTGTTAAATAGATTGTATTGTTATGATAGCCCTTTGCAAAGTAATATCATTTTAAATGTAGAAATAATCATTTTACTTAGGAAAAGGTGACGTTTCTATCCACGTTATTTTTTTTAAAACATTTTTCATCTTTCTATGACTTGCTAGGGACATCCAGATCAACAGTTTTTTAGAGGAGAAAAAAAGAAGAGAAACACTCTATTTCAGCACACAATTTTAATTAAAATAAATATAGCATTGATTGTTATAGAATAATATAGTAAGCAGTGAAGGGAGAATTTGTCAGTAACAAGAACTCAGAATCACAGGGTAGATTTAGCTTAATAATGTTAATGTATTCTTGTCTGCTGAGGTTTCTATAAATAACACACACCCGGCACAAGGCACATCCTTCATGATTAGCTTCTCCCTCTTGACTTACTTCATCAATTGGTGCCATCAGACTCTTGAAAGTCATTGCTACTGATTAAGAGAAATGAGCTGTTTCTCTCTCAGAAGGCTCATTGAACTGGCAATAAGGCGGGAGAAGCCGACTTCTCCCTGGCTCCTGGGTGTCTGCGGGAGCAGGTGGGTGCTCCTTATGAGATGAACAGAGACCCGGAATCCCTGGTTTGCAATGGAGACACAGCTGCTACTTGAAGTGTGAAATGGAGGCTTCTGGGAAGGAAGTTAGCCCCTTAGAAGCCATTCTCTGGTCCCTGTGTGTATATGTGTGTGTTTGTATGTGTGCCTACCTGGGCATGTTCTGTATATGAGTAGGTGATGCTTGCTCAAGCTCCAAAATCAGATAATGATGTCATACACCAGGCTTTTGCTTAACTTCCCACATCCCTCTAGTGCACTTGAAAATGTGCAGACTGAAGCGACCTGAACCAGGCAAGGGAAGGTGAAAGATAGGGTTAACTAAAAGCTTCTAATCAGAGTAGGGAGATGGAAACAGATTACCAGATTCATGGACTACATTATCCAGAAAACAGATTAAGAATGCTTCAACTAAATTGATGCTGGTTTCTGAAGTGGGCCAAGAACTATTTCTACAGTCTACTCTGTTCTGCATTTAGGCAGAGCCAACAATTCAAAGAAATAAAAGCACAGGAAATGAAGTAAGAGAGAGGATGGAAGGGGGTACATTACAGACGGGAGAGCCCACCCTCACTGCTTTGGAATGATTCCATGGCAAATTTAATTATGCTTCATTTAGCACATTTGCAAGATAATATTTTTATACTGGAAGTTTTGAGTATTACTTACTTGAGGAAAAAAATCTGCTATGGTAATTTCTATCTAACTATACTTAATGTTAATAAAAGGAAGAATAGAAAGAGAAGTAGAGGAAAACAATAAAAAGAAGGAAGTGCAGGGGCTATAGCTTCTGGGTTCTACATTTTCTAGGAAAACACAAAAGAAGTTTCTGGTCTGAGACATTTGCTTTAGATTTAGAGAAGTTTTTGAAATCTATAACTGATTTGGGTCCCTTCTTTCTACTGTGGGAATGGTTTCTGTATATGGAGTTGAATTATTAATGAGAATTTCATACTTCTAATGAGCACCTGCTGTCTTCTTTGGGTCAGTATATTTTTATCATTTTTAAAGTTACATTAATCACACATGCTGGATTACTATCTAGTATGATACATTGCTTTAAAAAAAACAAAAGGTAATTTGAACCAATTTTAGACTTACAGAAAAGTTGTAAGAACAGTACAGAGAGTTCCCATATATCTCTTATTCAGCTTCCCCTAATGTTAACATCTTGCATAACTAGAATAAAACTTGCAAATCCTGGACATTAGCTTTTATACAATACAATTTGTAGAGTTTTCACGTGAATAAAACTTAAGAAATAGTAAAAAACATAATATTCCAAATTTAAAAAAAAATATATAAATAGCAACAACAGATAGAAGGTTTCGAAAATTGGAGGGCAGATCATAACAAATTATGCAGAGTAAATCATAGAAAAAAGCAAAGGTAAACATATAGATTAGAGGTTATAATATTTTGCTTTAATAACAACTATATATTTAGGTCCCCCCTAACCCATTTCCTGGCATACAACTCCTAAAACCTTTGGAATCTCTGAAATGATGTGTCTTTTGTATGCTAATGAAATGACCAGATGGTTGAGGGCCCTGGGATAAGCTCAGAATTGATAATGATTACCAGGGGATCAAACATATGATTAGCAGGGATGGAACTTTCAAACCCTCAGCCATTTTCCAACCTCCTCTACCATTTTCTCTACCATTTTCCAACCTCCAGGGAGGGAAAATGGGCTGGAGATTGAGCTACTTACTAATAGCCAATGATTTAATCAACCGTGCTTGTATAGAATGAAGCTTCCAAAAACACCAAAAGGGTTCAGGCACAGTAGCTCATGCCTGTAATTTCAGCAATTTGGGAGGCTGACATGTGCTAATGATTGAGCCCAGAGTTTGAGACAAGCCTGGGCAAAAACCCGTCTCTACAAAAAATACAAAAATTATCCAGGTGTGGTGGTATGCACCTGTGGTCCCAGCTACTTGGGAGAATTTCTTGAGCCCAGAAGATTGAGCCTGCAGTGAGCTATCATTGTGCCACTGCACTGCAGCCTGGACAATAGAGCAAGACCCTATCTCAGCAAAACAAAACAACAAAACCAAACCCAGAAGGATGGACTTGAAGAGTTTTTGGATTCCTGAACATGTGGAACTTCTGGGAGGGTGGTGTGCCTGGAGAGGGCATGGAAATTCCAAGCTCCTCTCCACATAACTTGTTGTATGCATCTCTTCCATCTGGCTGTTCCTGAGTTGTATCCTTTTATAATAATTGGGTGAATGTAAGTAAAGTGTTTCCCTGAGTTCTGTGTGTCATTCTAGCAAAACATGGAACCTGAGAGGGAAGTGAAGGAATCTCTAATTTGTAGCCAAGTCAGACAAAGTGTGGGTAGCCTGGAAACCTATTACCTGAGATTGTCATCTGTTGTGGGGCAGTCCTGTGGGACTAAGCCCTTAACCTGTGGGGTCTGGGTCTGTGCTAACTTTGGTTAATGTTAGAACTGAATTGAATTATAGTACACGTAGCTATTGGAGAATTGCTACGTGTGGAACACCCTCTCTGCCCCTGCCACAGTTTGGTGACACCCCCATTTCATATTTAGTGACTGATTTCTCAACAGTCACTACAAAAATCAGAAAACAGAAAGGCTGTCTTTAAAATCCTGAAATAAAATAACTGCAACCTAGAATTTTATATCCAGAGAAAATATACCGAATGAAAGTCAAATACAAACATCTACAATAAACAAAGACTAAGGAAAGATTCTTACAAAAGATAATTTTGAAGAATTCATTTCAAGTAGAAAAAAAATGAACACAAATGTGAGGCCTGAAAAGCCAAAGGAATTAGAAAATGACAAATATGGGGCTAATGTAAATGAACCAAAATTGTACAAAATTGTAAAACTAATGTCTAGTGGGGATCAGAATGTTATAGTAGGTAGCTAGTCAGGAATGAGCAAGGCAGGAGAGGGCTTCCTTCCAACTCAGAAATGTCAGGCAACCATCAGGTGATGGTCAGGCAGTTGTTTCTAAAATAGTAATTAGTTATAGCTGGGATCAGGGAAAGGCAGTCTCTCAGTAGATAGAAAAATTGGAAACTGGTTATCAGCAGCTTCCCAATAAGATCTCAGTTCAGTGAGTGGGCCCCAAGCATGCACACAAAGAGGCAAAATAGTGGATGACCTTCCTTTAGGAACACTGAACTGGTGAGGGAAAAACACCTCAAGTGAGCATGTGTACAGCTCCAGTAAACATATCGTGCGTGCTCCCCTCCCAAATGCCAGCAGGCCACTAAGCATGTGGACAGCCCACCCCAAGGGAAGAATCATAGGAAAAGTAACACAAGACCCCAGAAGCATGCCAACGTATAAAACCCCACATGCACTTGATCTCTCAAGTTAGCCACTTGGCCCTCTTCCAAGTATACTTTTTTCATTCCTGCTCTAAAGCTTTTTAATAAACTTTCACTCCTGCTCAAAAACATGCCTCAGTCTCTCCTTCTGCCTTATGCCCTTCAGTCAAATTCTATCTTCTGAGGAGGCAAGAATTGAGGTTGCCGCAGACCCTTGCGGGTTTCACTGGCAGTAACAATAAGTAAAAAAAATGTTAGACTAAATCCCATGGGAAAAAAATGAGTTAGAAGGTGATTAAATGGTGTTTACATTTTAAATTTTATTTTATTTTACTGACAGGATAAGTTTTAATTATATTTAGATTTTGGATTCCCTATTTCACTTCATACATGGAAAGTAATTCCAGGTCAATGAAAGACACAGACATTAAAGGCTTTTACAAGCCTTAGTAGCATTGGGATGTGGTAGGATTTTTTAAAAAACGACACATTGAAACCACCAACCATGAATAGAGAGTGATAAATTTAACGATACAACATTTGATATATTTTTGCAAAGATAAAGCCACAAAGTGAGAAAAAGCATTTGTCACACATATTATTACACATATTTGCTACACATATTATTACTGACGAAGGACAAATATCTGGAATATCTATAAAACTGCTATAGATAAGTGATGAAAAGCCAGCCCATAAAAATTTTAAAAATGTTAAAAAAAACTTGAAGAGGCACTTCAACAAAGAGGAAATCTAAATTTTAAGAAACAAAGGGTGTCCAACTGAATTTATAGGCAGTGAAATACAAATTGAAATCACAGTAGAATACCATTATACACCTACCCCTACCAGAACATCTAATATTAGCAAAAACTGAAGATTCCCAGGATTGGTAAAAATGTGGAACAACTAGAACTGGGCATATAGCATAAATTCATACCTCTACTTTGGAAATTTGCTTGTCAATGTTTATATATGTACACTTGATTACCTAATATTTCCATTGTTAGATATGTACTACCAGAAATGCGTACATGTGTCATCAAGAAACATGTCAAGAATGTTCACAGCAGTTTCATTTGAAATCGGCAAAAACAGGAAAAAACCCAAATATCTATAAACAGGAAAATTAATATATTGTGGTATGTTTATAAAATGAAATTCTGTACAATGAAAATAAAAATTTTGTTCTATTAAACGATATGAATGCATCTTGTATTCATAATATTAATCAAGAAAACAAAGAAAAGTTGTGAAAGCGTACAAGCAATTTGATTCCATTTATGTAAATTTCAAAAACAGGCAAAGTGAAGCAGAAGTAAGTAGATCATGTAGAGATGGATACACAGGCAATAAAAATATTTATTTATTTATTTATTTATTTTTGAGATGGAGTCTCTCTCTGTCACCCAGGCTGGAGTGCAGTGGTGTGGTCACGGCTCACTGCAACCTCCACCTCCTGGGTTCACGCCATTCTCCTGCCTCAGCCTCCCAAGTAGCTGGGACTACAGGTGCCCGCCACCACACCTGGCTAATTTTTTGTATTTTTAGTAGAGACAGGGTTTCACCATGTTAGCCAGGATGGTCTTGATCTCCTGACCTTGTGATCCACCCGCCTTGGCCTCCCAAAGTGCTGGGATTACAGGCGTGAGCCACCACGCCCGGCCAAAAATATTTTTTAAAAGCAATTAAATAATGGGTATAAATGAACAATTATGGTTACCTCTGGGGGATGAATTGCAATTGGTAAGGACTAGAGAAACTTTGATAACAAACATTTTTTTCTTGACTTGAGTGGTAGTAACATGAATTTTTTTTGGCTTTGCTATCATTTATTCAACTTATATATTTATTTTATATACTTTTTTGTATATTTTCTTTTAAGATAAAATGAGATAAAAATTTTCAACAGTCTGAAATTAGATACAATAAAATGATCCATGAATTTTTGGTAACACCATGAAAAAAAATTCTGAGAGAGGTTTAGGGTTGCTATATATTAAATGTAAAAAATTTGCTGAGAAGAACATACAAAAAATATGAAATTTCTCTTATCCTTTGTGAATAAATTGAATATAAATTATTAGTGAATTTTATTTACCTAATGCCATTCACAATTTTTTTCATAATGGAATTTTCATTGGTTAGTGGAGGAGATGACAACACTGATTTTGAATCCTGAGAGAGAGGGTTTGAATCCCTCTGCATAGTTGGTATGTAACTATAAAGAAGTTACTTAACCTCTTGAAGCCAGTTTTGTAACCAGGAACCTCAGTTTTAATAATATATTTTAATCACTCACTTTCATTTTCTTCCTTCCCTCCCCTCTCACTCTTTCATTCTTCCTCCTCTAGGCACTCCCTTCAGCAATGCATGTTTATCCAATTATGTTCTTGTTTAAGAAATTCCAGAGGGTAATCTAGAAACAAATCAGGCATAGAGCCCCTGTGGAATCCTCCCACTTAGGGAGAGTGGCAAACAATTAAGTCCACCACCATGGGCCAAAGTCAAGATAACATGACAACCAGGCCTCGAGATGGGTGATTACTCAGGATAGCCATCAGAATAGACACACAGACCCTGCACCTTGCACCACTCCTGCGTGTCTCCCATACCAAGTTTCCCTTTAGAAATGCTATGGTACAATTTAAAATTTAAGGTGGTCCTTTAGAATGCTAGTTTACCATCTTCCACTTGCTGGCTCTCTGATTAAACCTGCACTTCCTCCCATCAACCCTTGCTGCTTATGTTTGGCTTTTGAGCAGTGAGCAGAAGAACCTGGGTCTAGTTACAATTTTGTCTTTTCAAAAACTAGGATAAGATAATTTATCTCAAATGCACATTTTGAGGATTAAGTTTTTATTTAAAGAGATTGCTCATGGTTGGAATCTGAATAATGATAGCTATAGTAATATTTCTTTTTCTGGTTGGTGACATGTATCATAAGTTGACAAAAAGAGCAGTTGTTCTTAGAAACACTTTCCAAAGAAATTCTAACTCAAATGGGGGAAAAAAATGGGATGATAGGACCTACACTGCTGCATTATAGGAAGGGTTACATGAGATAATGTGAGCAGGTTCCTGATACTAGATGACATCAAATTGGGTAATTTAAGAAGAATATAACAAAGGAACTATTTTCAAAAGTGTAAGTAGGGTGAAGGGAAATCAGGAGAAAAATTTCAGAAGCTTGGGGCTAGAAAAGTGCTGGGCAGTGAGGTAGTGGTTTCTGGAACCGAGATGAGGGATATATGGAGAGGGCTGGCTGGTAGAATTGTGACCTCTGAATGACAGATCCAGTTAGACCACAGTTACCCCACAGGGAGGGAACAGAGTGATAAATACCCTGGCTTCATTCTCCTCTCTTCCTTTAATATCCTACCTGTGCTCCTCATTGACAAGATTCAAATAGAAGTGCAAGGGCAAGGAATCTTCAGGGACACAGAATAGGGTGAAAATGAAGAGTAGAGAGTGGTAGGAGAGGAAATCATAAGATTACCAGCACAGTGATGTCCTGAGCACAATGCTTGTCACATAATAAATACTCTATAATAAACAGTAGCTATGACTGAATGGTGACATTTACTGTTTGCCTCATTATTTCATGTCATTTCACAGAAGGAGAAAGGGCAACAATTATGATATTACAGTGCTCTTCCTTTCCCTGGGTATAGCTGGAAAATTCTCAAACTTTACTGAAGACTACATTGAAACGATAACTTCTCTGTGAACTCTTTTGCTGTCTCCAAAGCAGGATGAGGAGCACTTCCTCCATCATTCCAAATGGAACCCTTGAGCATAATGCACTGTAATTACCTTTTCAAGTATATGCCTCACTTGTGATCTGTGACTTCCTCAAGGTCCAAATGAATCATCATCACTTCTTAGCATCCAGAAAATCTTACCTGTCTGAGTGACATCACTCCTGAGGATGATAGATATCTTCCCTTACTAGCATTCCCAGTAATGAATGCTATGTCAGGGCAGGCTAGGTGATGGTGACGGGAGAGGCTTAGGATAGTATGGGGAAAAGTCACTGTCAGCACCCCATACCAAGAAATACCAGAACTTTGTGCATATGGAGTAAAACGGCGTGGGAGGTGTTGATGAATTCATACTTTGGAAAAACTTCCTGTGTGATTGAGGTCTGTATCTTTAAGGGGAAGTGTGGTCCATTTTGTATCTTGGAATTATTGCTGTAGTACCTAATTCATTATCATTGATCTTTATCAATTAAAGTTCAAATGTATATAATTTCTTGGTGCAACATTTTGAAATATATAGAGATCTTTATAAAATATGTTTTATTTTATGTATTTGGTACATCCTTGCTTCTTTTTCAGTTTCTGCAACACACAATAGTTTTAATGCTTTAATTTAAACTTGTAGCATAAAATTGACATGAATTTTCCTTTTACTATCTAACTTCAGAGCTAGAATAGTTCAATCATGTCCCTCTCATCACTCAAAGTTTGAAGACTTCTATGTAGTGTATTTTTAAAGTATCCATGTAAGGAAGCATATTTGAACATGATGTTGGCAGTAGAAAAATACAATTTATTGAAAATAGAAAGGTACATATTCCCATTTTTATTAAATATATATTATCGCTCACATATCCAGTTTTTCATATATTTATAGTTATGTAAAGGTACTCAAAATATATACTCACATGTAAATGGTAGTTACTGTTATCTGGTTACCATCATTTTCTTTATTTTTTTAAATTCATGTTTTGTAAGAGAAAAAATGAATAAAACTTTATTTTTAGCTATTGGCTGGCTTATACTGTCTGCTGCAGCATTTCTGATAGTCTGAAGGCATAGAACTGATTTAAAAAAAGTAATACAGCCATGCATTGCTTTATGACGAAAGTATGTTCTGAAAAATACCTGCCTCCTCAGGCAATTTCTTCCTTGTGTGAACATCATAAGAGTGTACTTACACAAACTCTAGATGGTATAGCTTACTACACAACTAGGCTGTATGGTACAGCCTATTGCTCCTATATAAAACTGTACAGCATGTTAGTGAACTAAATACTGTAGGCAATTGTAATACAATGGTAAGTACTTGTATATCTAAATATAGAAAAGGTACATTAAAAGACACAGCATAAAAGATAGAGTAGTATACCTATATAGGGTACATAGCATGAATGGAGCTTGCAGGACTGGAAGTTGCTCTGGAAGAGCCAGTGAGTGAGCGGTGGCTGAATATGAAGGCCTAGGACATTACTGTATGCTACGGTAGACTTTATAAACTTTGTCACTTATGCTACACTAAATTTATAAAACATACTTTTCTTTCTTCAATAATAGATTAACCTTAGCTTATTGTTACTTTGTTATTGTTTAAACTTTAATTTTTTTTAACTTTTGCCTCTTTTGTAATAATATTTAGCTTAAGACACAAACATTGCACAGGTGTACAAAACTATTTTTCTCTTTATATTTTTATTCTATAAGCTTTTATCTAATTTTAATTTTTTTCCTCTTTCAACTTTTTGTTATGCCTACACAGGGACAGGATCATCAAGACATCACGAGGCAATAGGAATTTTTCAGCTCCATTATAATCTTATGGGACCACCATTGTATATGCAGTCCATTATGGGGTGTATGACTATACAATAAAAACACAGTCTGATCATCAACCTAAGTCGAAAACGCCGAAGGAAAAAAAAAATCACTTGATATGAAATTATCAACTCATGAAATATAGTAAATATACTGCAAGACTCCTCTTTGTTTAGAGTTTAAGGTTGTGTTTAAGAAAAAAACATTTACAACACTTGTTAAATACAGTAAAACAGACTTTATTAAAGGGGACCGTAGCGATAGGAAAACTGCGATGGAATTTTTCAATGGGGGAGAGAGAATGGGCTCAACTCTGATTCCAACAAAGGCAAATGGGGATTTATAGCCAACAAGCCGGGTCAGAATCAGTGGATGGAAAATGAATAACAGGAAATATCAAGGATAAGGGAGTTCCTGGCTACACCAACTTGACAGAATTATTGCCGAAGGTAGGCCAGGGTGATCAGCTATTGAGGGTGGTCAGATATCGAGGATGGGGGATTTTCACCAAACTACCTTAGCAGGATTCTTGCTCATACTTGATTCTACAAGGATAGAGAGGGTAACCCAAGGTTGGGTCTAGTCATAAAGAACTCACAGGAGCCTGACTCAAGTTTTGTTAAAGGAGAGAGTCTTCATCAGTTGTTATGAATCAGAAAACTAAAAAACTTTCATTCCATCTCGCACCAGTTAGAATGGCGATCATTAAAAAGTCAGATGCTGAATTTTATGCTGGAGAGGATGTGGAGAAATAGGAACACTTTTACACTGTTGGTGGGATTGTAAACTAGTTCAACCATTGTGGAAGTCAGTGTGGCGATTCCTCAGGGATCTAGAACTAGAAATACCATTTGACCCAGCCACCCCATTACTGGGTATATACCCAAAGGATTATAAAACATGCTGCTATAAAGACACATGCACACGTATGTTTATTGCAGCACTATTCACAATAGCAAAGACTTGGAACCAAGCCAAATGTCCAACAATGATAGACTGGATTAAGAAAATGTGGCACATATACACCATGGAATACTATGCAGCCATAAAAAATGATGAGTTCATGTCCTTTGTAGGGACATGAATGAAGCTGGAAACCATCATTCTCAGCAAACTATCTCAAGGACAAAAAAACCAAACACCGCATGTTCTCACTCATAGGTGGGAATTGAGCAATGAGAACACATGGACACAGGAAGGGGAACATCACACACCAGGGCCTGTTGTGGGGTGGGGGGAGAGGGGAGGGATAGCATTAGGAGATATACCTGATGTTAAATGATGAGTTAATGGGTGCAGCACACCAAAATAGCACATGTATACATATGTAACAAACCTGCACGTTGTGCACATGTACCCTAAAACTTAAAGTATAATAAAAAAACCCAAAAAGCAAGCAAACAAAAAACTTTCATTCCATTACAAAGGAATGGATTTTTCTAGTTAGCAACAATATTATTCCTTCTTTTCCTTCTCTCATTTGTGCCTTGCTCCTCTTTTCTATATTCATTGTGCAACAGCAAATCTAAACAAACAAACAAACAAACAAACAAAACAAGATATAAAGTAGGAGGAATTTTGGCATGGTGACATTTATCCTGAGATGTGGGGCTCCTATAAAGTAAATACTGTAGGTAAAGACAGAGAAAAGAACTCTGGAAGTAGTGTATATGGAAGAGCATAGTTTGTCATATTTTTCATTGGATCAGAGTGTCCGAGAAGCAAACAGGAGGGAAGAAGGTGGTCACTCAATTCCATGAAGCAGAAATGGTCACATGTTAGGTGCTGTGTATGTCAGTTTGTTCTCTAGTTCTAGACACATGGTGTGTGCATTGTGAACCACCAGACAGGGAATTTAGCTAATGGTAGAGTCTGTCTCCTTTGTGTTGCAAATATTAAGTCTAAAAAAATTGACCCGATTGAAGTATTAACTTTTAAAACACTACACAGGTATTTATATAATACTACAGGAAAATGAATGTGATTCATGATTCAGAAGACACAGACATTTCAGTCTAAGGATTAACTATAAATGTCAGGTAAATTAATAGATACTTTGAAAACTCAGTATTGTTATGCTGAAATCAGATACTGACATTGGCCTGAATCAATGTCTCTCTTGATTCTCCATTTCCGAGTTGGGTTTCTCTGAACAAGTTAAGTTACACAGTGACTCAGATACCTAATGTGTAAAATGTGGACAATTACAAAACCTACATTTTACACTTATAATGACAATTGCATAAGGTAATGGATATAATGTCCTCAATGGATAGTCAGCATCCTCAGTGTATATTTAGCATGCTGTAAACTATTACTGCTATTGCCAACACGTGGTAAGCAGACCATGTTCCAAAGGGAAATATCAGTATGAAATACAAAAGGAGCTAAATAATATCAAGAAAGATATTCAAAACTAAAAACACAGAAACTTTCTTCTATACTTGATTTTGATTTAATAGAGAATCAAATTGATTCAATTAAAAGTGAATGATACATGCCTACAATGTCTAATGATCAAATCAGGGTAATTGAGATATTCATCACCTCAAACATTTAACATTTGTTTGTGTTAGAAACATTCAAAATCTTCTCTTCTAGCTATTTTTAAAATATACAACAGCATCTTATTAATAGTAGTCACCTTACTGTGCTATCGAACACTAGAACTGTACCTACCTAACTGTATCTTTGTACCCATTAACCAACCTCTCTTCATGCCATTTTCTCCCCTACCCTTCTTAGCCTCTGGTAACCACCATTCTATTCTCTACCACCTTGAGATAAACTTTTTTAGCCCTCACATATGAGTTAGAATATACAGAAACAAACAAATAAAAAAGTGAATGAATGACATGCAGGTCAAACTGGTAGATTCTTGCAGAATATACAAGAAAAATGACAAAAAGAACCAATGACAGAAAATAACAGGTCTGATAAACAGAGAACAGAAATCTAACCTGTAGAAACTCGGAGTTATGAACAAGAGATTTGTATGGCAAGATCACAAAATTATTCAAAAATAGAATTGAAAAAATTTCTCAGTTGAGGAAAGATGTGTGAAGTGTGAAAGGAGCAACCAAGCAATAGAAAAATTACTGAAAAGAAAACTCACATCTAAAATTAGTCAGGTAAAATGCTTGAATTATAAAATTAAAAGGAAATCATTCTACATTCATCTAGAACATTAGAAAAGGATTAAAAACATTTGACTTCTGCTCTGCAACACAAGTTGTGAGAGATATAGAAACAATGTAAAGAATATTTTTGGGAGGGGTAGGTATTGATGATGGAATAATTTTAAACTTAGCCAAATTATATTTCAGATGGTAGCACAATAGAAAGTACTTATAAATATGTAATATTGCCTGAAATATTTGATTATTTCAACATATCTTTAAAAGTCTTAATGCCAATGAGCTGGAAGGAAAAAAATCAAATTGGAGAAACTATGACAGGGAAAGATTAATGGATAAGTTTCAAAACAAATTTTGAAAGATTCAGGTCCAGAAAACTGGTGAAAATATGATAATTTAAATCAACAATTAATTATTGAAAACTTTCTGTTTGACAGTCTCTAGGTTTTAAAACACATAAGCAACAGGGAGCAAAACTGAAAACAAAGTAAATACAAAGCATAAATTACATCATAAAATAATAAATGAATAAAATAACTTGTATTAAAACCCCCAGATCATACCCATAAAAACTTGGAGCAGGGTGATGAAATACCTTAATAAATGGATGAACAGTAAGAAAAGTTTTTATGTAATATGGCTAATTAGAGAACTATCAGGGAGATAATTTTAACCAAATTTAACCCCTAATAGAACTGCAAATAAGATAAATTTCTTTCAAATATCTAGAGGACAACTGTAAATATTAAAAGGCCATATTAAAATAACAGAAAACAAATACTGCAGAAATATAAATGCAAGAATAAAAAACTAGAGTAATTGAAAACAAAACTTAGAAATTATGCTAATAAATATACATTTAAAAACTATCTTCTTGAATAAAAAAAAAACAAATTGAAAGAGACTAAAGGAGAAATAACTGAATGCAATGTTGAACCTAAGTAGAATTCTAAAGGGGAGATTAATAGAAAATCTGGCACAATTCAAATAAAGTTGAATGTTTCATTAATAGAATTACATCAATGATATATTTCTGGTTTTGATAAGTGTCTAAAGTTATTTAAAAATTAGAAAGTTGAAAAATAAAATTCAACAACTGTTATACCATCCATCAATCTCACTACTAGATATTTATCTAAAGGATAAATCGGTATATTGAAGAGATATCTGTAACCCTATATTCATTGCAGCTGTATTCACAATAGCCAAATATGGAATCAACTTAAGTGTCTATCGACAGACAAATGGATAAAGAAAAGGGGTATATAAACAGGGTGGAATATTATTTAGCCATAAAACAAATGAAATCCTATTATTCACAGCAACATGGATGAGCTTGGGGGATGTTACGTTAGGTGAAATAAGTTAGGCACAGAAAGATCAATATTGCATGTTCTCAGTCATATAGGAATTAAAACATCAATTTCATAGGATTAGAGAGTAGAATTATGGTTACTAGAGACTGGAAAGGGTAGGGAAAGGGAAAAATAGAAAGAGGTTGGTTAAGGGATGCAAAATTACAGCTAGATGGGAGGAATAAGTTTTAGGGTTCTTTAGCACTGTAGAGTGGATATGGTTAACAATAATTTAGTGTATATTTTGAAAAAAGCTATAAGACAAGATTCAGAATGTTTACAACAAATAGAAATGATAAATGTTTTAAGTGGTAGATATGCTAATTATCCTGATTTAATCATTATATATTATGTGCATGTATCAGAATACTCTGTATCTCATAAATGTGTACGATTATTACATGTTAATTAAAAATAAGAGGGAAAATGTCAACAAATTAGATATAGAAGGAATATATCTCAGCATAATAAAGGCCGTATATGACAAACCCACAGCTAAACATACTGAATGGAAAAAAGTTGAAAGTTTTTTGCCTAAGATCAGGAATAAGACAAGGATGCCCACTCTCACCATTTCTATTCAACACAGTACCAGAAGTCCTAGCCAGAGAAATTAGACAAAATAAAGAAATAAAAGGCATCTAAATTGGAAAAAAAAAAGCAGTTAAATTGTTCCTGTTTGCAGATAACACAATCTTATCTATAGGAAACCTTATAGACTTCATCAAAAATTTATTAGAACACATGAATTCGATAAAGTTGCACAATGCAAAATCAACGTACAAAGATTACTAGTGTTTCTGTACATTAAGAACATGCCATTGAAAACAAAATTAAGAAAACAATCTCTTTCACAATATGTACAAAAACTAGGAATAAATTTAACCAAGGAGGTTATCCTGTATTCATGGGTTGGAAAAATTAATATTGTTAAAAATGCCCATACTAACCAAAATATTATTCAGATTCCATGCAATCCCTATCAAAATTTCAATGATATTTTTCACAGCAACAACAATAAATCTATCCTAAAGTTTATCTGGAACCGCAAAAGACCCTGAATAGCCAAAGCAATCTCGAGAAAATGAACAAAGTTAGAGACATCAAGCTAATCTAATCTCAAAATTGAGTACAAATCTATAATAATCAAAATGGTGTGGTGCTAACCCAAAAACAGACACATTGACCAGTGGAACAGAATAGAGAGCCCAGAAATAAGCTCACACATATCCAGTCAACTAATCTTTGACAAAGGCACCAAGAAGATACCATGGGGAAAGGATTGTATCTTCAACAAATGATGCTGGGGAACTAGATATTTACATGCAAAAGAATGAAATTGGACCTGTATTGTACACAATATACAAAAATCAACTGAAAATGGAGTAAAGACCAAAACATAAGACCTGAAACCATAAAACTTCTATAAGAATACATAGGGGCAAAGCTCTTAGGCGTCAGTCTTGGCAATTATTTTTTGGATATGATACCAAAGAACAAACAACAATAGCACAAATAAATAAGTGAGATTACATCAAACTAAAAAGCTTCTGTGCAGCAAAGGACATAATCAACAAAATAAAAAGGCAGCCTACAGATTGGAAGAAAACATTGGTGAATTATATATCTGATAAGGAGTTAATTCAAAATACAATATAGAAGGAATCTGCTCAACTAAATAGCAGAAAAACAGAATAACCTGTTTTTTTAAATGGGCAAAGGACCTAAATAAACATTTCTTCAAAGAAGGCATAAAAATGGCTAACAGGTATATGAAAAATGCTCAACACTACTAATCATCAGGGAAATGCAAATCAAGACCATAATGAGATATCAGCTCACAACTGTTAGGATGGCTTTTATCAAAAAGACAAGACATAAGTGTTAGCGAGAGTTTGGAGAAAGGGAAACCTTTCTACACTGTTGGCGAGAATGTATATTGGTGCAGCCACTGTGGAAAACAGTATAGAGATTCCTAATGAAATTAAAAATAGAACTACTATATGATCCAGCAATCCCTTTTCTGGGTGTATATTCAAAAGAAACGAAATCACCACCCTGTAAAGATACCTGCATTTCTATGTTTATTGCAGCATTATTCACAATAGTGAAGACATGCAAACAATATGAGTATCCATGAACAGATATAAATAATTTGGGATATATATATATCTCTACACATATACTTAATGAAATACTATTCAGCTTCAAAATAGAATATCCTAGCATTTAAGACAACATGGATGATGAACTTAGAGGACATTCTGTGAAGTGAAGTAAGCCAGACACAAAAAGAAAAATACTACATGATCTCGCTTATATGTGGGATCTAAAATAAATAAATAAATACATTGAATGCATAGAAAGAGAGTAGGATGGTATTTAACAGGGGTTGAGATGGGGGAAATGGGAAGACGTAGGTTAAAGGGTACAAAGTCTCAGTTATGTAGGATGAATAAGTGCAGAGATCTAATGTACAACATGAGGACAATAGTTAATATTTTATTGTGTACTGAAAATGTGCTCAGAGTGGATTTTAGGTACTCTGACCACAAAAAAAGAAAAGAAAAGAAAGACAACTATGTGAGATGGTGGGTATGTTAATTTATTAGTCTGTAGTAATTACTTCACTGCAAGTATGTATATAAAAACATAGTGCCTTATATCTTAAAATATGCAATAAAAACAAAATTAAATAAAATAAAAAATTTTCACGGAAAAATAGTAATGGGAAATGAGAAGCAGTGCAAAACTTACTAATCAAAGGAAGTTGTTGAGAGAAAAAGTCTTAGAAGGTAGAAATATTTTTAATGGATACAAGAGAGACATTTTTAATAACAAAAGGAGTAATTCACCAGAAATACATTATTTGAATTCATATGCACCTGATATTATAAACCAAAATATATAATGTAAAAATTAAAAGAATTATAAAACACTCTTAGAAACTGATGGAAAAACTTTGGTGACTATTAGTAGAATTAAGAATAAAAAATATAAGTTCTAAAGCAGTAGAGTTGGTAAGAGCAAAGTAAATAAATTCCCCATTGAAAGAGTATGAATTCAGAGGAAACTTGAATGGAACAACATGGTGAAAGTAAAGCAAAACATACCTGTTATAACATGAATAAATAGATTCAGTTTTCTTATTAAATGACAGATACTCTTAATGGGTCAAAAACAAAATCAAATTATACCCTAGTATAATTTGGACTATATTATACCCTAGTATAATAAGGACAAAAACAGAGTGGAATAGTAAGGTAAAAATTAAAAGTATATGCAGAGGTGTGTCATCAAATGTGTAAAAATAACATTATATTGTAATATTTCTATCAGATTAGGTGGAATAAGACGCAAAACATTGTAACCTTTTAGACTATAGATGTGTTGAGTAACTTTGCATGAAATTGTTTACAGAAACATAACTGAAGTGGAAAATGTTAGACCAATCCTTCTAAAGGATTAACAGATGACATAACTAAAACTTAGCAACGTATTCAAGAATATACATTAATTGTGATATATGCCTTCATTTATGTATGATGTGTACACACACACACACACACAGAGTGTAGAAGCTATCATAATCTACATTCAGTAAGTGACTTTTTGTTAAAGACTTAGTACCCTCAATATGATAATTTGGCAAAAAATAGCACTTGCCAGTTTAGGGTGAGAGTTTTCTGATTGGATTGAGACATTAACTTAAACAATCATAAATTTCAACAATAGATTCCAGGGTTGATGATATACCACTCACTTCAACTTTTGAGAAAGCTTATATCTATACTATAGCAAAAATCATTCTAAAGAAGTGTTTCTAAGCAGGGAACGCTTTTGTCATCCAGAGGAATATTTGGCAATGTTTGGGCATTTCTGGCTGTCATAGCAGTGTGGGTGGGTGGGCTTGCTACTGGCATCTAATGGGTAGAGGTCAGGGAAGGTGCTAATCATCCTACTATGCACAGGACAGCCACCTCCCCCCGACAAAGAATGATCTGGCCCCAAATGTCAACAGTGTTAAGGTTGAGAAATACTGATCTAAACCAATATACTTTAAAGTCCTAGCACAAACTGAATCTAAATCAAATATAAAGGATTTTGTATAAGGTAGTGGTGCTTAGAGAGAGGGTCTCACTGTATTTTCACTAACTTCAGACACTTTTGAGAGTGGATATCAAAAAATCTGTTCATGAAAAATAAATTTCCTCTTTGAAACTACTCAATATATTCTATCCAAGTGTGAAGGAACTTGAGAGGGTTTTGATCAAAGAGTATGAACCCTCAAAATTGAATTTCAGTCAGGTGGAGAGGAAAGTCTAATAATATCTACTAGCAGTTCCCACATACAAGTACACTTTTAGAAACCATTTGTTCGTTCATCTATTCAGTATTTAGGCTTCAAATTTCTACTTTGTGCCCAGCCACATCTTTTGATGACAGAGATGATTAAGCTGAGATCTTGTCCCTCAACTAAGTGAGAACTTGGAAATAAGTACACAGATATTGGTCAGGTTACTAAATTAATCTCAAAAGCTTTTTAAACTTAAGATGAACCTCAGTTCGGTACAAGGCTGAACTGAATACATGAATAAGGATCTATCTAGCTTGTATAGCCAAATACTAAGAATTCAAACCCGGGAAAAGAAAATCATGCATACTTAGCATTTTCTAAATATCTCCTATTGTATAAAGACTCTAACTTACAGCAAGTTAAAGGCTCTAACTTACATTTGCCTTACAGCAACTCAATGATATCACTTTTATTAATCCATTTTACAAATGAGAAACTTGAGATTCAATGACATGGAGTCATCTGTCCTTGTTCACAAAATTTGGGTGATGTGATTGGAATTTGAACCCAGGTGTAAGAATTTGAATTCTAGGGTCAGTTATTTACCTACTACACCAGGGACAAACATGATCATCTCAGGAAAGGAGTACCTGTCTCCATACTTGCTCAGCTGCTCAGTGTTGATGAGGACCCTGCAGAACAAGGACTTGGGATCTGTAAGATGAAAGAAAAAGATAAAGATTCTTAGTTATCTGATGCTGAGGAGAAACCTGTCTACTCCCTGGTGATAGACATGCTTGTCTTCTCCATGTCTACCTTAATATTTCCTTTATAGTTTATTCTTTGGCCCATGAGTTATTTAAAATTGTTTTAAAATTCCAAATACTTGCTTGTGATTTTTTATTTCAATTTTTAGTCATTAACATCCAATTTAATTGCATTGTTGCCAGAAAGTGTCACCTGTATGATATGTATTCTTTAAAATTTATTGTGGATTGATTTTTAAACTAGTATATGACCAATTTTTATAAATATGACAAGTGTGATTGAGAAGAATATTTAGGGCTAATAGTTGGGTCCATTATTGGATTCTTTTTTGTCTACTTTATCTAGCCATAACTAGTAGAAGTGTGGTATAATCTACTGTGGTAGAAATGTCTTTCTCTAGTTCAATGATATTTTCTTCTTTATATATTGTGAGAATAAAACATACATTTTAAGAATTATTATGTTTTCTTAGTGAATTAAACATTTTAATCACTTCATCGTATGGCAGCCATGAAACTGGGCCTCTCAGGTCTGCAGCTGCAGGGAACATAATTGACCTATAACTCCCACTGCTGTGTTCTGAAATTTATCACTGTGTTCACATGGAAACCACACTTTTCATGGACTGCTCACAGCCAAAGACTGAGTGTGGCAGAGATACAAGGGCAGGTGTATTCCTGGAAGACATGGGACTCCTGTAATAGATTATGTTAGTAAAAGGACTTGTGATCAGATTTACCAAGCTTTTCTAAGAACCACACCACATTCTGAGACTTTTTCTACTTAAATTTATTTCCTTGCCTGCTCAACCTTCTTCCCTTTCTTCTCTCTTCCATAGAGATAAGACTTGCATCAAGATCTGATGGCTCTCCTAGGTTCCTCCACCTTCCTCCTAATATTTTGTTCTTAGGGAAAATATTGGAGCCTCTTCCTGCTGCTCAAGATAGCACATTGATTTCAGAATTTTTGTTTCATGTACCAATATCAACAAATTCTGCCTGCTCCAGTATTATATTCCTTCCCCCGCAATGCAACATCCTTATGATGCAAATTTATACATATTCTTGAGATTTCTGTGGATATGTGCTAGCAAAATTTTTCAGTTGTTTTGGTGTGTTTTGTATCTCCTCACAGGTCCCACTTTTTACCTTGCCCCCTAGTGCCTACTAGGTACTGAGTAGAAAAAATGCAGAAGGGGCAGGGATAATTCTGGAGGACCAAAATTCCATTGAAGGCAATTATCTCAGGGGGGACTAATAAAGTTTCCTTAGGCAAAGGAAGACTAAACTCCTCAATGAGGAGGAAGTGATATTTCTGCTGGCAAACGACTTACTGAAACAATTAAATCATCTCATATTTCCCCACTCTGATTTTAAGGATCCCATCCATTCTTTCTCAATCAATACCCAGGTTTAATGTAAGAGAGGCTGAAAGAGTCTGATCCAATTTGAGTTTAATTAAGCTACCTGAAAGGTCAGTTTTTGGACCTGTTTTTCAGCAATTGCATTCCTGCAGTCAGAAGACAAAGGACTTTTCTTTCAGAGCAGTCGTAAAGACTTTCTGTCCCAGCAGATTTTAAGTTGGAATTTTAAATCCCAGAACTCAAAATTTCATTTCTCTACGTTCTTCAGTGCACTTAGAAGCAATAAGCCAACCAAAATAAACTCTTTTCATTAATACATTCCATGATATTAACCATTTAATCACGCAAAGCTTTTCCTTCCATAGTCACTTGATTGCAGCTACCGACAGATAATAATTTTAATACCTTTTTTTCACCATGTGCCATAGATTACTAGTGTTTCCTTTACTACTGGCAACAGGGTTATTAATCCAACAGGATAATCAGCTAAGAAAACATATTTCAGATTCTCATCTTTAAATTTCTGTTTCCAGGAACCAATTATGCAGACAAGTGTTTCTGACAGGCTTCAAACAAGAAAGCAGAACCACTGTAATTATTATGAAATCAGGGACTTATAGAACATTATAGACCTTAAACAACTGTGGGAAGACATGAAAGAGTTAAAGTATGGAAAAAAATACTTGGAGGTTCAAAGAAAAATGACTACCAGCCATTGTAAAGCTTTAACATGAATGAACAAGTTGGAGCTTACAGGAAGATCTGAGGAGCCAGGCACACCTGGTTGAGAGTTTGAGGTATGGTAGTGTGTGGACAAGTCTACAGAAGGCTATTTAGCTCTGCGCTGTGTAGTGGGCTGGCATTATCACTGGTCAGCAGGGCTGACATTTGAGATAAGCTGTATTTTGGGTAGAGGAGGGTGAAGAAAATTTCAATAGTTGGCCCCTTGGCATATGCCACCACATCTAACCAAAACCACATCAGGAAACAAGTTGACTGTTTCATATTTGACTTTTAAATCTTGTGCAAAGTTTTCTTTCGGCCAACTCTAAGCCAGGACTATGGCAAATGAAAGGATTCTGGGAAACAACTTTGGTTTATTCAAGCAGACTCAACATAAAATCACTATTCTAAACAAAGAATTGTTTACTAAAAGGATGAAGGAAAAACTCACTTAAATGAAGCCCATCAGTGATTGATTGAATGGCTAAAGTTACTTTAACTACATTTACACAGTTTCACAACTGGTCTACTTATGGGCTAGCCTAAAGATTTATAAAGTTTAAATAATAGAGAATTAATTCATAATGGGCAAATCTTGTTCATAATTAAAATACAGCTAAATATTTACATTTTATTTTAAATTGACATTTAATAATTGTACAGAAGTACAGAGTGACAGAGTGATTTTTTAATTTTTAATTTTTTGGGTACATAGTAGATGTGTATATTTATAGGGTACATGAGAAATTTCGATACAAGAATAAAATGCATAATAATGACATCAGGGTAAATAGGGTATCCATCACCTTAAGCATTTATCCTTGTGTTACAAACAATTCAATCATACTCTTTTAGATATTTTAAACTGTACATTTATATTACAGTTATATTAATAACTTATTTTATGTTAATATTTTTATTAACATACATATATTATATAATATAGTATATATTAATATACATATAATATAGTTATATTAAATAACTGTACTGTTATTTAAACTGTACAATTACTATATTTTCTACCCATTATCATTCTCACTTCCACCCTACACTCCTACTAGCCTTTCCTGCCTCTGGTAACTATCATTCAACACTCTATCTCCACGAGTTCAATTGCTTTAATTTTTAGCTCCCACAAATAAGTGAGAACATGCAGTTTGTCTTTATTTGCCTGGCTTATTTTTAATATCCTCCAGTTCTATCCATGTTGTTGCAAATGAACAGGATCCCATTCTTTTCATGTCTGAATAGGACTCCATCATGGATATGTACTACATTTTCTTCATCCATTCATCAGTTGATGGAAACTTAGGTTACTTCTAAGTCTTGGCTATTTTGAGCAATGCAACAATAAACATGAGAATGCAGGTATCTATTAGACATACTTATTTCCTTTCTTTTGTGTATATACCCAGTGGTGAGATGGCTGGATCATACGATAGCTCTGTTTTTAGTTTATTGAGGAACCTCCCTACTGTTCTCTATAGTGGTTGTACTAATGTATATTCCCACCAAGAGTGTATGAAGATTCCATTTTCTCCACATCCTCTCCAGAATTTGTTGTTGCCCGTCTTTTGGATAAAAGCTATTGACTGGGTGATATAATATCTCATTGTAGTTTTGGTTTGCATTTCTCTGATGATCAGTGAGGCTGAGCACCTTTTCTTATGCCTGTTTGCCATTTATAAGTCTTCTTTTGAAAAGTGTCTAATCAGATCTTTTGAACATTTTAAGTAAGACTATTTTTTCCTATAGAGTTGAGCTCTCTATATATTCTTTTTTGAGCTCCTTATATATTCAGGTTATTAATCCCTTGTCAGATGAGTAGTTTGCAAATATTTTCTTCTATTCTGTGGGTTATCTCTTCGCTTTGTTGATTGTTTCTTTTGCTGTGTAGAAGATGTGATCTCATTTGTTCATCTGTGCTTTGAGGTGATTGTGCTTGTTGGTATTAAGAAATCCTTGCCCAGACAAATGTCCTAGAAATCTTTCCACTGTTTTCTTGTAATTGTTTTATAGTTGCAGTTATTATATTTATTTTTAAAATTTTTATTACTTTTGAGACAGAGTGTCATTTCCATCATCCAGGCTAGAATGCAGTGGCACAATCACAGCTCACTGCAGCCTTGACTTCCCCTTGCTCAGGTGATTCTCCCACCTCAGCATCCCAGATAGCTGGGACTAGAGGTAGGCTTCTGCTTTTTTAAATTTTTTTAGTAGAGATGGGGTTTCACCATGTTGTCAAGGCTGGTCTCTAACTCCTGGGCTCAAGCCACCCGCCTCAGCCTCTCAGGGTGCTGAGATGACAGGCGTGAGCCACCATACCTGGTCAGTTCTTATATTTAAGCCTTTAATCCATTTTGATTTGATTTTTGTTTAGGGTGAGAGATAGGAGTCTAGTTTCATTCTTCTGCATATGGATATCCAGTTTTCCCAGCACCATTTATTGCAGAGACCTTCCCAAATGCATGTCCTTGGTACCTCTGTGAAAAATGAATTCACTATAGGTATGTGAATTTGTTTCTGGGTTTTCTGTTTTGTTAACATAGGTCTATGTATCTGTTTTTATGCCAGTACCAGGCTATTTTGGTTACTATAGCTCTATAGTATAATTTTAAGTTAGGTAAAGTCATTCATTGAGTTTTGTTCCTTTTGCTCAGGATGGCTGTAGCTACTCTGAGTGTCTTGTGGTTCAATACACATTTGAGAATTATTTTTTCTATTTCTGTGAAAAAATGTCATTGGTATTTTGATAGGAATTGCACTGAATCTATAGATTGCTTTAGATAGTATGGATATTTTAACAATATTGACTCTTCTAATTTATGAAAATAGAATATCTTTCCATTGTGTTGTGTCCTCTTCAGTATCTTTCATGAATGTTTTATAGTTTTTATTTTAGAGATCTTTCACTTCTTTGGTTAATTCCTAGGTATTTAATTTTATTCATGGTTATTATAAATGGGGTTGCTTTTTTATTTCTTTTTCAGACTATTCACTGCTGTTGTATAGAAATGCCACTGATTTTTTATGATCTTGATTTTATAGAATTTGTTTATGGTTTCAAATTTTTTTGGTGGATTCTTAGATTTTTTTTCTAAACATAAGCTCATATGATCTGCAAACAATGATAATTGGACTTCTTTTTTCCAATTTGGGTGTGCTTTATTTCTTTCTCTTGCCAGAATGCTCTAGCTAAGACTTTCAGTACAATATTGAATAACAATGGGAAAAGTGAGAATCTAGATGTGACCTGGCTGCTTCTAATAACCTAAGCTCATATGTGTGAGCAAAGAAATTATGTAAAGTTGGAACTTATATTTAAAGGGTAAGTAGAGCAAAAAAGTTTGGAAAATTTGTAATGTGACCATGTGGTAGAAAAGAAAAGCCCGTTTTCAGGGGAGGAATTCAAGTAGGCTGTATGAATTTGCATAAGTAAAAAAAAAAGCCAAGTGCTGATAGCCATGACAATGGGAAAAGGGTCTCAAAGGTATTTCAGAGACCATTGCAGCAGCCCCTCCTATCACAGACCCAGAGGCCTAGGAAGACTAAATGGTTTTGTGGGCCACATCCAGTGCTCTGCTGTCCTGGGGAGCTTCTGGATGTTGCTCCCTGAATCCCAGCCACTCCAGCTTCAGCCATGGCTTAAAGGGGTCCAGGTACAGCTTAGGCCACTGCTTCAGAGGGTAAAAGCCATAAGCTTTGACAGCTTCTACATAGTGTTTCTCCTTGGTTTTGGACTTGTATGGGAATTGTATCCCCTTTCTTTTAGCTGATTTCTCCCTTTGGGAATTGAGAATTTACCCAATGCCTACATCTCCATTTTATCTTGGAAGTTACTAACTTGTTTTTGATTTTACAGGCTTATTGGTGGAAAGGACTTGCCTTTTCTTAGATGAGGCTTTGGACTTTTGAGTTAATGTGGAAGTAACTTAAGATTTTGGGAGACTGTTGAGAATAAATTATTGCATTTTGCAATGGAAAAAGACATGAAATTTGTGGTGGTGAGGTAGCTAGGGGCAGAATGATATGGTTTGGATCTGTGTTCCCACCCAAATCTTATGTCTAATTGTAATCCCCAGTGTTGAAGATGGGGCCTAGTAGGAAGTGATTGGATCATGGGGATGGTTTCTGATGAATGAGTTAGCACCATACCCTTGGTGCTCTTCTCATAATAGTGAGTTCTCATGAGAGCTGGTTGTTTAAAAGTGCATAGCACCTCCCTCCTCTCTCTCTGTTGCTCCTGATTCTGCCATGTAAGTTGTGCTGGTCCCCCACTTCAACTTCTGCTATGATTGTAAGCTCCCTGATGCCTCCCCAGAAGCTAAGCAGATGCCAGCATTATGCTTGCTATACAGCCTGTGGAATCATGAGTCAATTAAACCTATTTTCTTTATTAATTAATTGGTCTCAGGTATTTATTTACAGCAATAAGGAAACAGACTAATATAGAAGGACAATCACTGGAGGCTTCCAGTTGGTCATCCTTCTCTGCCTTCTCCTAGAGTGATATTTTGATACATGTATACAATGTGTAATGATCAAATCAGGATAATTATTATATTCATCACCTCAAACATGTATTATTTCTTTGTTTTGGGAACATTCAAAATCTTTTCTAGCTATTTGAACATACACAATAAATTATTAATAACTGTGGTCATCCTACAGTGCTATAGAACAATAGAACTTATTCCTTTTATCTAGCTGTAATTTTGTATTTATTAACCAACCATTCTCTAAGCCCTCTTCTCCCCTTCCCAGCCTCTAGTAGTCACTATTCTTTATAGTTCTATGGGATCAACTTTTTAGCTTCCAAATATGAGTGAGAACCCACAGTATTTTTCTTTCTGTGTCTGACTTTTATTTCAATTATCATATTGTTTTCCATGATCATCCATGTTGCCTCAAATGACAGAATTTAAGTTTTTTTATGGCTCAGTAGTATTCCCTTAGGGGTGTGTGTGTGTGAGGGGAGGTGTGTGTTTGTGTGTGTGTATACATACATACCACATTTTCTTTATCTAGTCATCTTTTGATAGACACTTAGGTTGATTATGTATCATGGCTATTGTGAATAGTGCTGCAATAAACATTGGAAGTACAGATACCTCTTTGATAAACTGATTTTCTTTCCTTTGGATAAATACCCAGTAGTGGGATTGCTGGATCATATTGTAGATCTATTTTTAGTGTTTTCTGAGAAAACTTTATACTGTTTTTCATAATGGCTATACTAATTTACATTCCCATCAGCAATGTATAAGAATTATCTTTTCTTCACATCTCCATTCCCATTCTCCTTGCCAATATTTGTGTTTTTTAAAATATTTTTTAATACCCATTCTATCTGGGGTGAGATAATATCTCAGTATGGTTTTCATTGGCATTTCACTGATCATTAGGGATGTAGAGCATTTTTTTATGTTTATTGACAATTTTTACAACTTCTTTGAGAAATGTATATTTAGAAGTTTTGCCCATTTTTTAAATCAGATGATTTGTTTTTAGCTATTGAATTGTTTGAGTTCCTGGTGACTTCTGGTTATTAATCTCTGCTCAGATGAATAGTTTGCAAATATTTCCCCGTTTTGCAGGTTATCTCTTTATTCTGCTGATTGTTTTCTTTGCTGTGAAGATGCTTTTTAATTTTATATAGTACTATTTTTTTGCTTTTGTTGCCTTTGTTTTTTTGCCCATAAAATCTTTGGCCCATTAAATCTTTGCCCAAATCAATGTCCTGAAGTATTTCCCCTATATTTTCTTCTAGTACTTGTATAATTTTCAGTTTTACATGTAAGTCTTTAATCCATTTTTATTTTTGTGTATTACAAAATATAGGGGTATAGTTTTAATCTTGTACATATGAATATCCAACTTTCCAGCATAATTTATTGAAGAGACTGTCTTCCCTAATATCTGTTCTTGGCATCTTTGTTGAAAATGAGTTGGCTGTAAATGCTTGGATTTATTCTGGGTTCTCCATTCTGTTCCATTGATCTATGTGTTTGGTTTTGTGCCATTACCAACTTATTTTGGTTATGTAGCTTTGTAGCATATTTTGAAGTCTGGTCGTGTGATACCTTCAGTTTTCTTCTTCTTCTTCTTCTTTGTTTTTTTAAATAAACCTAGATTTTACTTTAAGTGCATTATGTCATGATAAGTAATTCAGGATAATATTTTTTTAATTTCTGGGTTTCCAAGTTATTTGGAGTTTTAGGAAAAAGGGTATGGCCAATGGCATTAAGGATAAAGCACCACAATGAAAGACTGAGTCAATTTCAGAAACTAAAGTAGAAAATTGAGGAGCAAGGTAGGATCACTTGAATGCACTTTCGTTAGGATCCTGGGAGAGCTGCATCTCATTGTTAAGCCTACCTGGTTCTGATAAAAAAGGACCATTTACCACGAATAAGGATAGAAAAAGAGGGAGTAGGGTTGTCAACAGAGAAGCTGCCAGGAGCTTTGAATATTGTGTATGTGCCTTCACTGTCACCACATTTATAATTATATCCTGGATGCAGAGCCATTGTACTGTCCCCAGAATTTTGGCACATTTTTTAACCACTCTTGAATTGACTTAATTGCTGATTTCTGAAATTTTCACTTTAAAGATTCATTCATTTGGCTTTAAAATGCAAATCCCATTATTATTCATACACTAGCATGAATAATTGTAGTATTTTGATTAAGACTGATTAAGCTTTCCATTCATCAGGAAAAAATGTAGATGCACTACATATATTATTTGTATTTTATGTTACCTTCTAAATAGTAGTTACAGAATTCTAACTATTAAATAAGGTGTTTCTCAGAGTCCAAAATATTGTCTGATAAGAAAGTGAAAGGAAACAGTAAACAAAGTAGAGGTTCCACTGTCTAGGAAGACTGAGTAGTTTGTTAGAAAGATAATTTAGTGTATCCTAAGTGTTTTTATTTTGTCTTGGTTTTTATTCTTAACTTTTAAAATCCATATAATCACCTATAGAAATATTCCACATTTCTGATTTTAGATGACGTTAAGTTCTTCATGATAAAGAGAAGTCTAATGGTTGGGTTCAGTTTGTGAAGAACATGCAGG
Organism: Homo sapiens; assembly: GCF_000001405.40. Taxonomy (NCBI): domain Eukaryota; kingdom Metazoa; phylum Chordata; class Mammalia; order Primates; family Hominidae; genus Homo; species Homo sapiens. The sequence continues at coordinate 36,005,061 of NC_000003.12, read as the reverse complement.
TATCAAATATCTATATCTCTTTCTTATTTATTATCTCTAACATGTTATGCAGCCTTATAATGGGATATCTTTTATGACTCTAAATATATGTGTCATAAAGTTGATTGAATGTTGGATTCAATTAGAGTTTTGGTTTCATCATGAGCATAAGGTAGTAGGATAGGAGATCAAAGAACTTGAAGATAAATAAGTCAGGTTCTACCAGAGAAGCAGTACTATATGATATTATTAACATACATGTGAAACAATACATTTAAATATAAGGAATCGGCTTATGCAATTGTGGAACCTGGCTAAGAAAGTAAAATTCCATAGGGCAGGCAGTCTGGGAGGCAAGATTATGGGCAGGCTGGAATTTATGGGCACAAGCTGAAGCTGTTGTCCACAGACAGTCAAGAAAGTAAGATTTTAAACTAGATGTAAGTCTATGAACAAGGTCCAAAGCTATTATCCACAGGTGGAATTCCTTTGTACCTTGGAGAAGTCTCAGTAAGGCTTTTATGGCCTTCCAGTTGCTTCAGTCAGGCCTACTCATATTATCCAGGATAATATACCTTACTTAAAGTTACCTGATTAGGGAGCTGAATTAGATTTGCAAAATACCTTTACAGTAACACCCAAGTTAGTGTTTGATTGAATAACTAGAGAAAATAACCTAGCCAAATTGACATATTGTAAAAGCCATCACAGAATTAACAAAGGGAGAGGTCATGTGACAGACCACAGTTTCTTCTTTGGATAATCTCTAAGGACATAAAGATTTATTTCCAACATCTTCAACTCATTCTCTCTGCTAGATTTTTTTCTTACTGACGTATTCTCAATTTTCTTCATTATCTCACATACCACCTTCTCTGCTACCCACCTAAGATTAACTTCCATATGAGCCCATGAAGCTTCTGAAATACTCCCACTTGTCACCACAGACATAGCTTTTTCTCGGCATAACTGATCATCAGCTCCTGTCACCAGAAAACAAATACATAGAATTAGTCAATGTGATAAGCTTGGAGTGATCATAACAATTTCTTTCATTCCAAAACCCATCCTCACATTCAATCAGTCATCAGAGTCTAATTTACTCATGCTTTTTTTATTTTCCTATTTTAACTTATTGCCAAACAATGCCGTGGAAAAACAAATTAAAATTTTCAATCCTCATGACAATTTGTGTATTATATAAAGAGAACAAAAAGATATATGTATAATTCAAAAAGTACAATAATGGAATAGATTTGTTTGAGCAAAGGAATAATCTAAGTGCTAAAGTAAAATGGCTGCATAAAAATCATGATACACTGAAAGAAAAGTCTTATAAAAACATATTAATATATTATCTTATAAATCAGTCTATTACAGCTGTTTTCTGTTAGCATTATTTGAAATTATTAAATATAAGCAATTTCACTACCTTGCATTCTTTATCTGAACTCTGAAAGTATACTTTCTCTCAACAGTAGCTTATTATTGGTTATGGCAAAAACATTACAGGTAAATGTAAGTCAAAACCTTGAGTTAAGTGAATTTACCTTCCCTTAGCATTTGCTGTTGGTGAACTTTTATATGCCTCCTTGTTTAGTCTTTGTTTTTAACAAAATTTTTGTTAATAACATACTATTGATAATATTAAGCCTTAGCAAATAGCCAAACTAAAGAAAGGATTCTTTAAAGTTTTGGTCCATATTTTCTCAGATGTTCAAGGAATCTTTCTTCTTACACATATGTCCTGTAAAGATAAGTCTTATTTCAAACAACAGTAACTAAAAAAGAAGAAAAGTTATTTAACATTTGCAAAGCACCTTTTATATGCTAGGCATTCAACTATTAATAAATTATTTTCTGTAAATAACATTTAATTTTTACAAAGCCCCCTGAAATAGACATTACCATTATGCCCAATTTACAAGTAAGGGAACCTAATAGTGCATCTGAGGAATTGATTCCACATTATTTTTCCAGTTATTATTGCTACCTATAAAATACTTTAACTTATACACTTAAAACAACGATTTTTTTAATATATAAATTTCAGAGATTCTGTAGTTTGGGAATTTGGAAAGACTCATCTCCATTTACGGCCAGGAAAACAGACTCTGTGGTTAAGTGTTATACCTATGTAATAACAATATAAAACTTGAAACACATTTTCTAGTTATAAAACTCACACTCTTTCTACAAACAACATAGCCTTACAATAAAATTGTAATCACTCACTGTCAAGCATCTCTGACCATCATATATGCTAGCAAGAGTTTTATTAAGTACAACAACAATGAAATAGCTGGTCTATCAAGGTGTTTCACTCCAGGGTTAAGGAAAGATAGAAATGAACAAAGAGATGGATCGACTAGATATCTGGTGTTAAAGATGAAATGGAAATATCAAAAAGGGATTAGAATAATAAGAAGAAAAGGGCAGAATGAAGATAAATTAAGTAACAGGTATGATTTATCGAGTTTCAAAAAACAGCAGAATAGGTACATATGTTTGTGTAAGAATGAAATTGAAATAGTAACTAAAGAAGGCAAGGAATCTACATTACCATTAAAATAGCAGAAGTTGTTAGTAAGTGGTGGCCATGTTAATAAAAGAGCTATCACTTGGAAAAGGTGAGTATAGTATATTTAGTGTTGCTCAGCAAACTCACATCCCCAAATTACCATCTAGATCTGAAATCCTCGTTAGAGCATGGTGAAAGCAGATATAGATAAGGACACGTTATTTGGTTAGAAAATTCAGTAAGCTATGTGGATTAACAAGTATAAATTTTGGATATTTGCAACTTCTGCTTTTACACCTGAACTATTATGAATGAACTGTTTTGCAATTACCTTTCTATTGTAGACAATTAGAAAACTAGAAAAAATATATGAAATAATTATTTTGAAACAGTGGATCATGGAAAACAAGATTGTGATCATAACAGTAGATTGTCTTGAAAATACTGCTGAGAGGTAGCTTCGGGCTACAGAGCAGGTATGGGAACCCAAATGGAGCCCAACAATCTTGCTGAGTTGAAGAAAAAGATAGCAGAGTTCACAGAGGCTGAGGTGGCTGAAATTTTAGAGAAGAATGCCAAAGAGAAGGACTCTGCAAGGACAACTGCAGAAATCTGCAGATTGTCTCAAAGAAATTTGGACTGAATACTACTTTTCAAGACTATGCCAAGAGACACAAGGGAGCAATTGCCAAATAATTACTGGTTTTTAAAAGGGAAGGAAGAGTTCATTCACACCAGGCCTAGTAGAGAAACCTCATTAAATATGGTATAGGAAAGAGTCCTGAGAGGTCTATTACCTTAATAATTATGCCTATATATATTTATACTATACCTAAATCCCTGTATCCATTATAACAAATCTTAAGGATTTAGTGCCAAGATGGTCAGTTAGAAGCAGCTGCAGTCCTCAGCGCTCATGGAGAAGAACGAAAAGGATGAGTGAATACAGCACCTTCAACCAAAATATCCAGGTACTCATACTGGGACTGATCATGGAAACAAATTGACCGATGGAGAATGAAGAAAAACAGGGCAGGGTGACGGCCTACCTGGAAGCCACACAAAGCCAAGGGAGCCCTCACCTCCAGTCAAGGGAAGCAGTGAGTGATTGTGTGACCCTGGGAAATCACACTTCTTCCACGGATCTTTGCAAACTGCAGATCAGGAGATCCCCTAGTGAGCCCACACCATCAGGGCCTCGGGTCCGACACACAGAACTGTGGGGAATCTTGGTGGAGCAGCTGTTCAAGCACACACAGAGACCCAGGAGCTTTATATAGTCCAGCCCTGGGATCCCCAACACATGTGTCTGCAACTCAGGCAAGTCGGAAGGCCTGCACATACCTTCCTAGGAGCCAAACAGCATCATTCCATCGGTCCCACTTCCACAGCACCTCAATAGATAAGACAAACTGGCTTGGAATTCCAGCCAGCCACTTGCAACAGGGTGGAGCCTTTGTGAGATGGGATGGAGCCCCCAGCAAAATGGGTGGTCACCATCTCTGCTGTTTGTTCAACCAAGCTGTTCTAGCCTGTGGGCTTTGGAGAGTCCAAACAGACAAGAAAGCGTCATGCCAGTGAAGCACAGAGGCTTTGCCAGATCATGGCCAGATCATGGCCAAATTATGCTTCCTTAAGCAAGACCCCAATCTATTCCTCCTCACTAAGCGAGACCTACAACCAGGCCCTCCAGCCATGCCCACCTGCACATCTTAGAGACTGAGCTCTGATCTCTCCCTGAGACAGAGTGCCCAGGGGAAGGAGGGCCACCACCTGGGTTGGTTGGATGACTCAGCTGTTCCAACCTGTGGGCTTTTGAAAGTCCAAGCTGACAGGGGCAAAGGTGGTTCCCCACCACAACACACTGTTTTGTGTGCTTTGTTTTTTTTTGAGACAGAGTCTTGCTCTGTCACCCAAGCTAGAGTGCAATGGCACAATCTCGGCTCACTGCAACCTCCGCCTCCTGGATTCAAGCTATTCTCCTACCTCAGCCTCCTGAGTAGCTGGGATTACTGGCGTCCACCACTATGCCGGCTAATTTTTGTATTTTTAGTAGAGACGGGGTTTCACCATGTTAGTCAGGCTGGTCTTGAACCCCTGACCTCAGGTGATCTGCCCGCCTTGGCCTCCTAAAGTGCTGGGATTACAGGCATGAGCCACCACGCCCGACCAGACTGCTTCTTTAAGTGGGACTGCAATCCACTTCTCCTCATGGGGAAGGTCCTCCCAGCTGGGGCCTCTGGCCACCCCTGTCCGTGTTCTATGGCCAACAAAGGTATAATTTTTCCCTAGGACAGAGTGCCTGAGGGACAGGGCAGGCTGTTGCCTTGGCTCTTCAGGCTTCTCAGCTCGTCCAGTCTGTGGGCCTTGGAGAGCCCAAACATCAAGGACTGAAGGGACTGCTAACACAGTACACCTCCTCTACCAAAAAGCAGTCAGACTGCTGCTTTAACAGGTCCCTGATCCCATTCTTCCTCACTGGGTGAGACCTCCAAACTGGGGTCTCCAGCCACCTCTTACAGATGCATAGAGGTTGGCAATAGGTCAGTACCCGCCTGGGATGGAGCTTCCAGAGGAAAGGGCAGGCTACCATCTTTGCTGTTTCACAGCCTTAACTGGTGATACTTCCATGTCTGGGAAAAACTGAGGCAACTATGGTCTGGAACAGACCCTCAGCAAATCACAGCATCTCTGACTGAAGAGTGGCCAGACTGTTAAAAGAAAAGCAAACAAACAGAAAACAGCAACAACAAACCCCCCAACAAAAACTCCATCCAAATGTCAGCAACCTCAAAGATCAAAGGTACAGATAAGTCCACAAAAATGAGAAAGAATCAATGCAAAAACACTGAAAACTCAAAAATTCAGAGTGCTGCTTTTCCCCCAAATGACCACAGCACCTTTCCAGCAAGAACTGGGCTGTGGCTGAGATGGCTAAAATGACAGAAGTAGGCTTCAGAATGTGGATGATAATGAACTTCTTTGAGCTAAAAGAGCACATTGTAATGTAATGCAAAGAAGCTAAGAAGCATGATAAAACAAACCAGGAGCTTACAGCCAAAATAACCCGTCTAGAGAGGAACATAACCAACCTGTTAGAGCTAATAAACAAACTACAAGAATTTCACAATGCAATCATGAGTACTAATAGCAGAATAGACCAAGTGAAGAAGAGTCTCAGAGCTTGAAGACTATCTCTCTGAAATAAGACAGGCAGACAAGAAGAGAGAAAAAATAATAAAAAGGAATGAACAAAACCACTGAGAAATATGGGATTATGTAAAGAGACTGGATCTATGACTGACTGGGGTACATGAAAGAGATGGGGAGAATGAACCAAGTTTGATAACATACTTCAGGGTATCATCCAGGATAACATTCTCAACCTGGCCAGAAAGGTCAACATTGAAATTCAGGAAATGAAGAGAACCCCAGTAAGATATTCCGCCAAAAGATTATCCCCAAGACACATAATTATCAGATTCTCCAAGGTAGAAGTAAAAGAAAAAATGTTAAGTGCAGCCAAAGGGAAAGACCACGTCACCTACAAATCAGACTAATAGCAAACCTCCCAGCAGAAACCCTACAAGCCAAAAGGGATTGGAAGCCAATATTCAATATTCTTAGAATTTATAACACGAAATTTCATATCAGTCCAAACTAACCTTCAAAAGTGCAGGAGAAATCAGATTCTTTTCAGAGAAGCAAATCTCAAGGGAATATATCACCACCAGGGCTGCCTTGCAAGAGCTCTTGAAGGAAGCACTAAATACCGAAAGAAGAAACCATTACCAGCCACTACAAAAGGACACTGAAGTATGCAGACCAGTGACACTATAAAGCAACCACATTAACAAGTCTGCAAAATAACCAACTAGTAGTATAATGATGAGATCAAATCCACACATAACAATACTAACCTTAAATGTAAATGGGCTAAATGCCTCAATTAAAAGACACAATATGGTAAGCTGTATAAAAAGCCAAGACCCATCAGTATGCTATCTTCAAGAGGCCCATCTCACATGCAAAGACACACGTAGGCTCAGAATAAAGGGATGGAAGAAAATTTACCAAGAAAATAAAAAACAGAAAAAATCAGGGGCTGCAATCCTAGTTTCTGACAAAACAGACTTTTAACCAGCAAAGATCAAAAAAGACAAAGAAGGGCATTACATAATGGTACAGGGTTCAATTCAACAAGAAGACGTAGCTATCCTAAATATATATATTCACCCAAAACAAGAGCATTCAGATTCATAAAGCAAGTTCTTAGAGACCTTCAAAGAGATTTAGAGTCCCACAAAAATAATGGTGGGATACTTTAACACCTCACTGAAAAGATTAGACAGATCATTGAGACAGAAAACTAACAAAGATTTTCAGAACCTGAACTCAACTCTGGATCAAGAGGACCTGTTATATACCTACAGAACTCTCCACTCCAAAACAACAGAATATACATTCTTCTCATTGCCACATGACAGTCTAAAATTGATCACATAATTGGAAGTAAAACACTCAGCAAATGCAAAAGAACTGAAAGTATAACAGTCTCTTAGACCACAGCTCAATCAAATTAGAATTTGAGATTAAGAAGTTCACTCTAAAGCATACAACTACGAGCAAACTGAACAATCTGCTCCTGAATGATTCTTGAGTAAATCATGGAATTAAGGCAGAAAATAAGATGTTTTTGAAACTAATGAGAAAAAAGATATGATGTACACAAATCTCTGGGACACAGCTAAAGCAGTGTTAGAGGAAAATTTATAGCCCTTAATGCCCACATCAAAAAGCTAGAGAGATCTCAATTTAATATCCTAACATCACAACTATAAAAACTGAGAATCAACTACAAACAAACCCTAAAGCTAGCAATACACAAGAAATAACGAAGATCAGAGCTGAACTGAAGGAGTTAGAGATTAAAAAAAAACCTTTCAAAAAATCAATGAATCCAGGATCTAGTTTGTGAAAAAATTAATACAGTGCTAGCTAGATTGATAAAGAAGAAAAGAGAGAAGATGCAAACAGACACAATAAGAAATGATAAGGGGGATATTACCACTGACCCTACAGAAATACAAAGAACCATCAGAAAATACTATAAACATTTCTATGCCCATTAACTAGAAAATCTAGAAGAAATGGAATAATTCCTGGATGCATACACCCTCCCAAGACTGAACCAGGAAGAAATTGATTCCTTAAATAGACCAATAATTAGTTCTAAAATTGAGGCAGTGATAAATAGCCTACTAACAAAAAAAAAGCTCAAGAACAGATGAATTTACGGCTGAATTCTACGAGATATTCAAAGAAGAGCTGGTACCATTCCTACTGAAACTATTTCAAAAAATGGAAATGGAGGCACTTCTCCTTAACTAATTCTATGAGGCCAGCATCAGCCTGATACCAAAACTTGGCTGAGACACAATAAAAGAAAACTTCAGACCAATATCCTTGATGAACACTGATGCAAAAATTCTCAGTAAAATACTGGCAAATCAAATCCAGCACCACATCAAAAAGCTTATCCACTATGATCAAGTAGGCTTCATCCCTGGGATGCAAGATTGGTTCAACATACGCAAATCATTAAATGTGATTCATTCCACAAGCAGAACTAAAGACAAAAACCACATGATTATCTCAATAGATGCAGAAAAGGCCTTTGATAAAATTCAACATTCTTTCATGATAAAAACTCTCAATAAACTAGGTATTGAAGGAACATAACTCAAAATAATAAGAGCCATATATGACAAACCCACAGCTAGTATCATAATGAATGGGCAAAAGCTGGAAGCATTCTCCTTGAAAACCAGCACAACACAAGGATGCCATCTCTCACCCCTCCTATTTAACATAGTATTGGAAGTTCTGGCCAGGACAACCAGACAAGAGAAAGAAATAAAGCATATTCAAATAGGAAGAGAAAGTCAAACTAACTTTTGTTTGCAGATGACATGATCCTATATCAAGAAAACCCCATCATCTCAGCCCAAAACCTTCTTAATCTGATAAGCAACTTCAGCAAAGTCTCAGGATACAAAATCAATGTGCAAAAATTCTGTCATTTCTACAACCCAACAATTGGTAAGCAGACAGCCAAATCATGAATGAACTTCCATTCATAATTGCCACAAAAAGAATAAAATACCTAGGAATTTTATTTTATACAAATAAAAAGAGAAGTGAGGGATCTCTTCAAGGAGAACTGCAAACCACTGCAAAGATATCAGAGATGACACAACCAAATGAAAAAACATTCCATGCTCATGGATAGGAAGAATCAATGTTATAAAAATGGCCATACTGCCCAAAGCAATTTATAGATTCGATGCTATTTTTATGAAATTATCAGTCATTCTTCATGGAATTTAAAAAAGACTATTTTAAAATTCATATGGAACTAAAAAAAGAGCCTGAATAGCCAAGACAATTCTAAGCAAAAAGAACAAAACTGGAAGTATCATGCTACCTGACTTCAAACTACACTACAAAGCTACAGTAACCAAAACAGCATGCTACTGGTACAAGAACAGACACAAACACCAATGGAACAGAACAGAGAACCCAGAAATAAGACCACACATCTACAACTACTTGATCTTTGACAAACCTGTCAAAAACAAGCAATGGAAAAAGATTCTTTATTCAATAAATGGAGCTGGGAGAACTGGTTAGCCGTATGCAGAAAATTGTAACTGGACCATTTCCTTACATCATATACAAAAATCAACTCAAGATGGATTAAAGAGTTAAATGTAAAATCCAAAACTATAAAAACCCTAGAAGAAAACCTAGGCAATACAATTTGAGACATAGGCATGGGCAAAGATTTCATGACAAAGCTGTCAAAAGCAATTGCAACATAAGCAAAAATTGGCAAATGGAAACTAATTAAACTAAAGAGCTTCTGCACAACAAAAGAAAGTATGAACAGAGCAAACAGACAAGCTACAGATCTGGGAGAAAATTTCTGTAATCTATCTGACAAAGGTCTAATATCCAGCATCTACAAAGAACTTAAACAAATTTACAAAGAAATAAACAACCATATTAAAGTATTAAAAAGTGGGCAAAGGACATGAACAGACACTTCTCAAAAGAAGACATACATGTGGCCAACAAACATATGAATAAAAGCTCAACATCGACAGGGTGCAGTGGCTCATGCCTGTAATCCCAGCACTTTGGGAGGCCGAAGCGGGTGGATCACAAGGTCAGGAGATCGAGACCATCCTGGCTAACATGGTGAAACCCCATCTCTGCTAAAAACACAAAAAATTAGCCGGGCGCAGTGGCGGGCATCTATAGTCCCAGGTACTCGGGAGGCTGAGGCAGGAGAATGGCATGAACCTGGGAGGCGGAGCTTGCAGTAAGTGGAGATCGCACCACTGGACTCTAGCAGCCTGGGCGACAGAGCAAAACTCTGTCTCGAAAAAAAAAAAAAAAAGAAAAAAACCTCAACATCACTGACTATTAGACAAATGCAAATAAAAACCACAATGAGATACTATCTCACACCAGCAGAACGGCTATTATTAAAAAGTCAGTGGTGGGGTTGTGGAGAAAAAGGAATGCTTTTACACTGTTGGTGGGAGTATACATGAGTTCAACAATTGTGGAAGAAAATGTGGCAATTTCTCAAAGACCTACAGGCAGAAATACCACTTGATGCAGCGATCCCATTACTGGGTATATACCCAAAGGAATATAAATCATTCTATTATGAAGACACATGCATGAATATGTTCACTGCAGCACTATTCACAATAGAAAAGACATGGAATCAACCTAAATGCCCTCTGGTGATACACTGAATAAAGAAAATGTGGTTCCAGCATCTACACTATGGAATACCATGCAGCCATAAAAAGGAACAATTTTATGTCCTTTGCAGGGACATGGATGGAGCTCGATGCCATTCCTCAGCAAACTAACACAAGAACAGAAAACCAAAAACCTACGAAAACTACTCTGAAAATAGAGTCTCTCTCCCTGTGCTTAGCTGTCTGGAACTGGGGGTGTGGCCTGCTGGAACCACTACTTGTCTACCACCCATGTTCACTCAAGGCCCTGAGTCTTTACAATTAGAAGGTGGTGAAGCTATTCAGGTTTGTGTATTTTCCTTCAGGGAACCAAGTTCCCCTAGGCCCTGGGTGGGTTCAGAGATGCTGTCAGGGAGCCAGGAATCGAAGTCAAAAACCTTAGAAATTTGCCTGATGTTTATTCTACTGCTGCTAAACTGGCACTCAAACTACAATATAAAGTCCTTCCTGCTTTTTACCCACCTTTCCAAGGGCAGTGAAGCCTCTCCCTGTGGCAGCACCACTGCTGGTCCACAAGGAGCTTTTGTGAGGCCACTGCTCCTGTTCACTTAAAGCCCAAGTGCTCTTCAGTCAGCTTGTGATAAATGCTGCCAGGCCTGGGACTCAGCCTTCTGGGAATTGGGCTCTCCTCTGTCTCAGGGAAAGTCCACAAATGCTTACCAAGAGCCTGAGCCTACACTCAGGGACTCCTAAGAGCCTACTTGTTGTCCTACTCCACTGTGGTCAAGCTGGCATCTAAGGTGTGAGACAAAGCCCCCTTTACTTTTCCTTAACTTTTATCCAAAAGGAGTCTTTCAACATAGCCACCATAGCTTGGAATGCGCTGGATTACACCTGTAGTCAGCATGTCTCAGAGCTCAAGGCCCATGGTGTATTACCTGAATATTGCTACAGGTTATTCAGGGCACAAGGGCTCTTTAGGTAGCAGGTGATAAATATTGACAGGACTGGGTTAGTCCCTTCAAGGCAGTAGGTTCCCTTTAGACCTAGGATGTGTTTAGAAATGTAATCCTGGAGCTAGGGCCCAGAATGGGAGCATTAAGACTCTGCTTGGTGCTTTATCCTACTGTGGCTGAGCTTGTATCCAAGAAGAAAAACTAAGTGCTTTTTACTCTTAGCTCTCCTCCCCTTGAGCAGAAGGAAGGAGACTTTCACTGCTGTGAGCTGCACTGCCTTGGGTAATGGGAGGAGTGGTGCAAGCACTCCTTTAGCGGCCCTGACTGGTATCTCCCTAGATCATATGCCACGCTAGTCCACTGGTTCTGACCTCAGCCCAGCACTAGGAGTTGCCTAGGAATTGCCGTTCTAGGAATTGCAGTGCTTGTGTCCTAGACTGCCTTTCAAGTTTACTTAGCACCCTAGAGCACTTTGGCCTGTGGTAGTGAGGCTTGCTGAGAAATTTGAGTTTTGACTGATGGGATGGGTGATTCTCCTCTAGCTGAGTCTGGTCCAAATTCTCCCTCTGTGCATGGGTGCTAGTTGAGCTCAGCACAGCTTTATTCTCTGCTGTGACAGGGTAGCACTGAGTTCAATGTAATGTTCCCTTATTACCGTACTTTCCCTCCCTCAAGTGAACAGATTCTCAGAACTGCATGGCTGCAGTAGGGAATGGAGGAGTGGCATTGGCAATTCAACACTGTCTCTCCTGCTCTCCTCAAAGCCTCTTTCAATGAGTTGAAGTTAAAACCAGGTACTGTGATTGCTCACTTGGTTTTTGGTTCTTGTGACAATGCTTTTCTGTGTGCAGATAGTAAAATTTGGTGTTTCTTCAGGAGGTACCAATGCTGAAGGCTTTTATTCTGCCATCTTGTTCTGTACCTTTAGATAGAAATTTTTAAAGCAGGCTGGGCACAAAGCCCTGTTTACTTTTCCTTAACTTTCCTCAACACCTGTAATCCTAGCACTTTGGGAGGCTGAGGCAGGCAGACTGCCGAGCTCAGGAGTTTGAGAGGAGCCTGGGCAACACAGTGAAACCCCGTCTCTACTAAAAATACAAACAATTAGCTGGGCGTGGCGGCCTGCAGCTGTAGTCCCAGCTACTTGGGAGGCTGAGGCAGGTGAATTGCTTGAACCCAGGAGTCAGAGGTTGCAATGAGCCGAGATCACACCACTGCACTCCAGCCTGGGCTACAGTGCGAGACAACATCTCCAAAAAAAAAAAAAAAAAGGAGTTTTGTGTTAAATAGCCAATCAAATGCAAACATATAGTAAAATAATTTTTAAAAACCATGACTGATCTATCCAGCTGCTGAAAACACACACACACACACACACACACACACACACACCATGATTGAATAAGGTTTATCCCAAGAATGTCAGTTTGGTTTAACTTTCAAAAATCAATCAGCATAGTTCACTACATTAACAGACTATTATAAAAAAGTAAATATAATGAGAACAGGGTTTACAGAGGCTGATGTTGCTAGATATTTTGGAGAAAGATGCCAAAGAGGAGGACTCTGTACAGACAATTCCGGAAATCTGCAGATAGTCTCTAAGAATTTTGGACTGAATACTGCTTTTCACTTAACATGGGATGAAATGCCGGAGACCATGGCCAAGAGACACCAGGGAGCAATAGCCAAATAATTACTAAAGTTTCTACAAAGCATATATTACATATTTCTGAGATACTTACACAAAATACTAAGACATCTATGTTTTCACAAACATTTACACATGAATACCCATAACAATAATATTTGTAATAGCCAACAATTGGAAACAACTCAAATGTGAATCAACAGATAAATAGGTAAACAAACTGTGAAATAGACAAACAATGAACTTGTAATGAACAATAAAAATGATGAAATGATTGGTATATCCAACATAAACAATAAATGTCAAAATAATTATGCTGAGTAAATAACATAGACAATAAGGAGTTATATACTGTATGTTTCCATTTTTGTAAAATTCTAGAAAATCCAAACTAATCTATAGTGGCAGCAAGCAAATCATTGAGTGTCTAGAGATAAAGAGGAATTGATTACAAAGAAATGTAACATTTAGGGGTGATGGACGTATTTATTATCTTGATTGCGATGATGGTTTTACATGTGTCTACATATGCCTTAACACATTTAATTTTCTACTTTAAATATGTGCAATTTTATGTGCATCAATTATACTTCAATAAATTTGTTAATATAAGAAAATAAAATTTGCATTGAGATCTTGATATTGACAAAGTATAATTCAAGAAAAAGGCACTTAAATATGACATAAGATATTATTCTCTAAAAGCCATAAATCATAATGAACATATGACAGTTATGAATATGTATGTACCAAATATAACAAACTTCTATTAAAATAGAAACTACAGGAGATTAAATTAGACACAAAAATGTAGTAAGAAATAAATATTAATACATTACTATCAGTTCAAACAAAATAATTGGACAAAAAGAAATAAGGCACCAGAAGAGTTCTATAGCACAATTAACAATGTCTGAGTTGTGAATTTGAGACTCTGAATTGGGGATATACCTTCTTGTCAAGTACACACAGAGCATTCTGCTGGCTTAAAGCAATTCCCTATGGGACAACTATGAACAGTGAACATCCAAGACTCACTGGAGCTAGGGGATTGGCATAGATATTCAAACAGGATTTTCTTCGTAGGAAACCCCTGTATCCATTTTACATTGTTAACTAAGTGATCAAATGTAACATCACTGATAAAGTAACAAACTGACATCATGTGTCTCCTGTTATGATGGGATTAAAGGTACAGAAAATTAACTAAATTGTACTCTTGGGGGAAATGATTAAGTTGAATCTAAGCAAAAGGAAATGAAATCAGATAATATTGAAGTGATGAGACATTATAATCGACAATTGGACTGAACTCTTCAAAAATACCAATATTGGCTGGGCGTGGTGGTTAACGCCTGTAATCCCAACACTCTGGGAGGCCGAGGCTGGCAGATCATCTGAGGTTAGGAGTTAGAGACCAACCTGACAAACATGGTGAAACCCCATCTCTACTAAAAACAAAACAAAACAAAAAAAACAACAGAATTAGCCTGGCGTGGTGGCGCATGCCTGTCATCCCAGCTACTTGGGAAGCTGAGGCAGGAGAATTGTTTGAACCTGGGAGGTGGAGGTTGCAGTGAGCCGAGGTTGCAACATTGCACTCCAACCTGGGCAACAGAGCGAAACTCCATATCAAAAAAATAAAATAAAATAAATAAAATAAAATAAAATAAAATAAAATACAAACATCATGAAAATAAAGGCTACATATCATCACAGATTTTTTTTAATTAAAAATACATGATAAAAAATAAATAAAAATAGAATTGATCTTTATGTTAAAGCAAAAATAACTATAAAGAACATCTTTGGGAGCACTGAGAAAAATTTAGTATAGAATGTGTATTAGAAAATACTAATGTTAAATTCCTGAAGTGTGATAATTATTTTTATGATCTTATTATTAGAAGATAGATGCAAAAGTACTTAGAAGAATGCCAAACAACTAGAACTCTCACACGCTGTTAGTGGGAGTGTAAATTAGTACAATCATTTTCAAAACCACTTTGGTGCTAATAAGGTGCATTTCCAGCAATTTCACATATTAGATAAGCAACATATTTCACATATTAGATAGCCAACATAAATGTTCAGATGTTCACTACAGGACACACAAAAGAACATTCACAGTAGCATCATTCATAATAGTCCCACCACATACATCTCAGATAGGAGTGGTAAAGAGATAGGAGGGAGATTTAACTGCATCTATGTCCATAAATATTTCTGAGGTAAATATGGCAAGATTTTAACACTTGTTAAATGTGGGTGCTGGGAACATGAGCTTTATTATATATTCTCTGTAATTGTATGTCTATGTAAATATCTTCATAAAATATGTAACTAACAACATGATAAATGGATAGATATAAATGATTGAATGAATTACATCAAAATTGTTTTAAAATGAGTTAGATTTGTTGATTTTTTAAATTTTTTAAAGATTGGCCAGGCATGGTGGCTCATACCTGTAATCCCAGGTCTTTGGGAGGCTGAGACGGGAGGATCACTTGAGCCCAGGATTTCAAGATCAGCCTGGGCAACATGAAGAAGTTCTATCTCTATTTTTAAAAAAGATAAACTTATATTTACCCTGTAATTTCAAAAGATAAACAACATTCACACCTTAAAATACAAATTTCTATACTGAATATAATTTGAAATGCCATAAGAGAACAAAGAGAAAATGAATAATGAGAACATTGGAAAAGACTATCAATGAAGTGAAAGACATCTGGGCCATTTCTTGAAGATGAGGTGGAAGTTTGCTAGGTCACAAGATACATTCAAGAGAAATAGATACTTGCAATCCCTGGAGGTCTGAAGTAATAGATGTCATTTGTAGAATAATTTAGTTTGTTTCAGGCAATGTGTATCTATCTATCTATCTATCTATCTATCTATCTATCTATCTATCTATCTATCTATCATCTATCCATCCATCTACCTATCTATGAATGCTCACTAGATTTGCAATACCTCAGAAAAAAACAGCATTCCCATTTTACAGTACACTAATGCTCATTTACTAAGTAGTGATGTAGATTTGAAATCAGCTCAGATTTACTCCCAAAACCTGTGACTTCATTTAATACTGCTTCCCTGAAGAAGAGCACAGCATGACCACAGATCAAAGAAGAGGAATAATAGGTCTCCTTTACCTGTAGAATTTGTGTGTAGGTGTTAGAATAGATTACAAAGGTGAAGAGACAGGTGAGTCTGTGGAAAATCTGTCAAGATTTCTACAAGGTTATAGGAAATCACAGAAAACTATTAAACATGGAGGTTATAAGATGGCATCTGTGCCTTAGAAAAATAACAGCAGAGGCAATACTGAGGGAAGACTGGAAGACCAGTAGGAAGCACAGCATACAGGGGTTGTTGCCTACACTAAAGGAAAAGTGTGGGGATAAAAATGTGACAGATATTTTTGTCATAGTAACTGTTGATAACAATGTATAAGTACAGACTTCAGGAAAAATAATGTAAATGTTTTTTAATCCAAACATAAAAGTGATATCACACCATTAGGTAAGCAATGTGAATTCCAAATTAAAATGCAAATGAGGCTGGGCGCAGGGGCTCACGCCTGTAATCCCAGCACTTTGGGAGCCAAGGCGGGCGAATCACGAGGTCAGAAGATTGAGACCATCCTGGCCAACATGGTAAAACACTGTCTCTACTGAAAATACAAAAATTAGCTGGGCATGGTGGCATGCACCTGTAGTCCCAGCTACTTGGGAGGCTGAGGCAGGAGAATTGCTTGAACCCGGGAGGTGGGGGTTGTGGTGGGCTGAGATTGTGCCACTGAACTCCAGCCTGGCGACAGAATGAGACTCTGTCAAAAAAAAAAAAAAAAGGTAAATGAAAGGAATAACTGAAATAATACTATTGGTTCCTGAAGGTTCCACTTGAAGACACTATAAATAGATAAAGAATATCACATAGAAATCAAATTGATCTTTTAATTTTAGGAATTTTCACCTCTTCTGTAGCAAGTTTGATGGGAACATCTTCCTTCTTGAATTTCTGAAGCATCAATCATGGAAAGGGGTTATACACAAACCTCCTTTTGGGACATGTACTGATGGAAGAAGTCTCATCCCAAGATTAAGATTTTGGAATTTAAATAATGTGGTAGAGATTTCTAATGTTTATGTATGTCTGTTCTATTGTCCTTTTGATCAATGGTAGGATTTGGCTTTCCTATCTTCCTTGTATTTCTGTAGAATGCTGTAAGAGGTTCTGGCCAATAGGTTATGGTCAACATAAAAAGTATTACTTGTGGACTGGATTATTTAACTGCCAGTGAGAAGATGCTCTAATAACTTTTTCCCTCTTACACGGTAATCAGCAACATCCTTGATAATGGCATCGCCTTTAGCTTGAGTCCCTATCTTGGGGCTGAGCTTCTGGCCAACTCATGATGAATTTCTAGCAGAGACATGAAATAAAACCCTGCTTTGGAAGGCACAAAGATTTTGCAGTTTGTGTTATCACTGCATAATCCAGCTTTCCCTGATTGACATAGCATATATTAATATCAATTTTTTTCTGACACTGATGGTGCAAGATGTGGTGAAACTGATTCATGAGTCACATCAAGGTTCCTTAACTTGTAAAAATGAACATTTCATGAGAATGGAAATTATTGGATCACTCCAGAGACAAACTGAGGTTTTCTCTCACTTCACAAGGGAAAATTACTCTGTGTCACTGTAAATGTGAATTGTCCATATAGTGTGTCTTTGGATGAAACTGTCAATTAATTATCCTTTGGTTCATAAAGTCTCTTCAATAAGGTCCACATTTGTAAACATAATAGTAGTACAGTCATGCCCTGTATAACAACGTTTCTATCAAAGACAGACTGCATATACTATGGTGGTCCCATAAGATTATAGTACCATATTTTAACTATCTTTTCTATGTGTAGGTTATGTTTGGATACCCAAATACTTATCAATATGTTACAACTGCCTGCATTATTCAGTATAGTAACATGCTGTACTGGTTTGTATCCCAGGAGCAATAGGCTATATCATATAGCCTAGGTGTCTAATAGGCTATACCATATAGGTTTGTGTAAGTACATTCTGTAATGTTCACACAATCATAAAATCACCTAACAATTCATTTTCAGAACATATCCCATCATTGACACTGTATATGACTCTCTCTATAATATTAAAACATATAGAATATATTAATATAGATTAGCATTAACTATTATACATAATATATTACACACTGTACATATTAATTAATATAATCATTATATAATATTAATATATTATATACTATATATTGTAATTTGGTACACCATTAGTGAGGTTGCAGAGGAACAAATGAATATAAAAGTTGTTTCAAAGATAAAGCCAAAAAATATTAGCAGATGAATGTGAATGAGGAAGTCATGGGTGAGTAAGTTTAGTAACCTAGGAGACTTAAATAGTGACATAGCTTAAGGAATAAAACATACAAGAAGGTAAATACATTTTGAGAAGGAAGATGTGATTTTATTTTATTTAGACATAATAAAAGTAGACAACACTTACTGGGTACACCAGCCACTGTTCTAAATATTTCACATGTACAAACCTATATAATTCTTCCAACACAATGATATAGATTTTTGTATAAGCCCCATTGTATAGATGAAAAAACAAAGGCACAGGGAATAAAGTGTTTTAATGTAAATCCAGGTTTCTACTGTAATACTGGGAAGAAAATAGAGGGAAATGAATTCTCACTTTGGCACTTTTTCCATTTTCCTAGTTATTTGTCTTGCTCTAGCATTTCTTGGGCCAAAGTATTACAATTTGGAATCTTAGATTCCATGCTGAAACTTCAGTTTGCTCAGTTGAGAAATGAGGATAAAAATCTTTCTGCTCTCTACTTCCTGGGGCTGTTATAAATATCCAATAGACTTGGCTCACTTGATGAAATGAAGAACAAAGGATAAGGAATGATGTAGAAGAATCAAGATGACCTCTACACACACTGCAGTAACTCACAATTCACAAGACCAGAGGAGAATGGAGCAAAGGTGGGGAGTGATTAAGCTAGAGAAGGAAAGAGAAGCAGTACATGTCCAGGAACTATCAAAGTTTAGAGAAATCAGACTATCCATTTATCCCCTGGCCTTGGCCACCAGAATACTATCAACTGCATAAAGGTCATGAAAAGTGGTGAAGGCAAGGGAAGCAGTCATGTGTGCAGTTCAGGGAAGACCAGTGTCTTTGGATCAAGATTTCTGTAGCTAAGAGTATGTGTCAGGAGATCCAGTTTACAAGATAGATTGAGGAAAAAGATCAGAAAAAAAAGATTTAGGGTAATGCCATGGTTAGGTGGTGACAGGAAAAGTGACCTGTTTAAAAGGAAAAGAGTAGACCTAAAGCAGGGGTCTATTTCTTGGATGCTGAGAAGACAGCTTCCACTGTAGCATCCCATGCAAGGCAACTTCAGTTCTTCGGAGAATTTGTGTTAACTTTAAAGAATATGCCAAGAGAAAAAAAGACAACTAGAATTATGTCGTGGGATTCAAGAAGCTAGATAATGCTCAAATCTTCAATCATTCACTTTTAGCATTAGGTTGTCAATATAAGAAAAAAAATAACCTGAAAAAAATTGAGGTGTGTAAACAATCCCAGTAAAATTGTCTACCTGATTCTGAGTTTGAATGAGTGAATGTAAGCATGAAATGAAATCCGGAAACCCGGCAGATAGAAGGCAGACTTAACCAAATGCTCTGTAATTTTCATTTAGAAAGTGAGAAGAGATTATTCTATAGAGAGATGTGTATCTGCTGTAGAAGTTTTACTGGCAGGTGCAAGCATAACTGTTTGAAATATGGAAGATAAACTCCTTTACACATCTCCTGTAAAAATTGAGTTGAAATTTTGGAATATACAAAGACATATATATTTAATGAAGAAAAAGGTGAAAAAGGAATTCCTGGACCAGTTTAAAGAACTCAGATCTGAAGGACAGATTAAAACAGCTAAACCAACACCATTTATCCAAGAAGTTCAGGGAAAGCATGAGGGAGTGTTTAAAAAGGATGTAGGTAATTGGATATTTTAGAAAGATTTAGAGAATAACAACAAAAAAGATATTCAGATGGTGTTAGAGAAGACAATTAGGAAAAAAAAAAAAACAAATGAGCAGAGAATAAGTAAGACACTTGTTTAAAACCTCTGGGAGGTGATGGTTTTTTCTTAGGAAAGCAAAATTAGACCTCCACTGTGTTCTGGGATCTAAGACTTAAAGAGGGCATCATCCTCTGTTGTGCAAGAGACACCAAGAGGAAGAAAACATTGCCATGAAATATCCAACTGTTTAGTTGGGGACATGGGTACTGTCAATTATGAAGCAAGGAGGAATGCCATTTTAGAATAGAAATATAAACAACGATCTTTGGGAGGACTGTGGAAATAAAGATAAACTTAGTAAAGAGAAAAGAGAGGAAAAGATTTCTGAACCAGTACAGCGGTGTGAGCCATGAACATTGTGATGAGTGAGGAAGGAAATATTTTCTCCCCTACATACTTTTAGTCAGAACATATACTGTTGTTTTAGATGGACAGAAATAGAGGCCAGAATTTCCACATAAATGAATAAAAGGAAAATCAAAGACCATGAATACCACAGAGTTATTGTGAGTGAAAACTATGTCTAAGAGAAATCAACAATAAACAGTTTCTAAACCAATCTGTTGACCAAAAACAGTGGCCTATTTGAATCTTGTGCTCCTCAGTTTGTTTGCTGTGTAATCTTGGAAAGTTTCTTTATTTATGTGAGCTATAGTCCCAGAGCCAAAACATGGGAATTAAAGATATATATGACATAGTGCAGAAGAAATAAGATAATACACATAAATAACTTCATATTATTTCCAGCAAATAGGAAGTTTTCAGTAATAGTCGCTACTAACTCTCAGATGAACTGACTTGATAAATTGCACTGAGATATCCCAAGCCCATATTGTATTTTTCCTGCCCCAGATACAGAATTGATTGGCTATGTCTTCAAGGAGCCTTGGTTCCTTTAGTGCAAAATGATATTTAGATACTAATATCTGGTTGCTAGGTGTGACAGAACTGAATATTATCTGTCTGTCTGTCTATCTGTCTATCTATCCATCCATATCTGTCTATCAAGCCATACATGCACATATATCTAAATATGAGCAGGCTGAGAATATCTACATATGAGCAGGCTGAGAATATCTAATTAACCACTTCTAATTGACTTGGTGGCAGAGCTCCTATACAGAAATAAATAATAAATATAGTAGAGGAGATTCTACAGAAATAAACACATAGATTACTTAAAAAGTAGTAAAGAGCTGGGCATGGTAGCTCACATCTGTAATCCCAGAACTTTGAGAATCTAGGGAAGAAGGATCACTTGAGTCCAGGAGTTCGATACCAATCTGGAAAACGTAGGGAGATCCTGTCTCTGCAAAAATAAAATTAAAAAAATAATAATAAACTAGCCAGGCATGGTGGCATACACCTGTGGTTCCAGCTACTTTGGAGGCTGAGGTGGGAGGATCACCTGAACCTGGGAGACAGAGGATGCAGTGAGCCGTGATACTGCCACTACACTCCACTCTGGGTGACAGAGGCAGGCCCTGTCTCAAAACTAACAAACAAAAGAAGTAGTAAATAAATAAAGGAATAAAATATATAAGAATGAAAAGTAAAACCTAAATTGTTGTCATCCCAGTTGTTATAACTTTCCACATCAAAAGATTTGTTAATTTACAGACAAACAGAATTAATTTAAAGCTTAGTAAAATTCATGCATACAAGATGACAACTCAAATACTGACTGCGTTTATATAATCCAGCAATAAATAATTTGAAAATGTAATGTTTTAAGTGATACCTTTTACCAATAGATCCAAGAAATAAGGTATTGAAGAATACATTTAACAAATAAAGTGCAAGAGGTCATGAAAATTTGCTAAAAGAAGTGTTTAAATAGAGAGATAAATCATGCCAATGGATTAAAAAACTCATAAACATGCCAATTATCCTCAAATTAAATCTATACATTTGATGCTATTCCAATTAAAATCCTAATAGGATTTGTGTGTGTGTGTGATTTTAAGTTGTTGTTTACTGTAATACCAATAAAAATACCTTGTTCTAAAATTAGGAAAACTTAATTATTAAGTAATCAAGAGTTTTTATTGATTTGTTTGCTTTCAATGAGGGTCAAAGAGTGATTTGGTAGAGGATTAAGTACATATTATAATCACACGATATGTATCAGCTTGAACCATAGGAAATTGCTATTTTTGTTTTTCAACAAAATCTAATATTGACAATTTCATATGATTCAATTTGATATATATTTTGTTAAAAATTATTGGGAATCACCAAATAAAATACATGCTCTTAAAAGTCCAACGTGTTCTATGAACATGACACCATGCAAAATAAAAAAAAATGCATTCAGGTAAAAAAGGGAACTTTCAGTTTCACATCTTCATACTTCATTTTGTGGAGATACTATTACAACTAATGAGAAAAAGATTTCAAAAAGCCCCTCAACTCAGGTATATACCATTCCCAACTCTTCTTTTTCTTATGAACTGCTCATAGCTTCTCTTAGCAATGAAAAACATACAAGATATATTGAATAGTATCTCCTGGTGGCAGGCTGCATTGCATAGCTAGTCAGTCACAGTTGGGTGGATTCTCTTTATACAACATAAAAAAGATTGAGGGAATACACACAGGAACTTCATTTCTTTTGAGCATATAATTTCTTTTTTCCTTATTCTCTATAGATTTATGACATGAAGATATGTACATTTATGTAAGAAGTATCCCCAAATGTCCATCTAATATACATATCAAAGTGGATTTGTAAAAACCCAATTATGCAGTATAGTTACTTGGGAGGTTATTAACTTTTAAATTATTCCCTTTGTATATGGTCTTCTAAGATATTTTGCAATTATTAAAAAAAAGTTACACTAAATTTGAGACCTCCTCCAAAAAGTTATTTTACATAAAATCATTTTTTTCTAGGGGAAAATGTAGCTCTAGTGTAAGATCTTAAAAGAAAACACAAAACATATATTATTTACATAAAGCATATCCACTTAAGGATGCCTGGAGATACCCAAATAAACATACACATCCTTGTGTACTAGAAAGTTGGAAATGGTACCAGCATTCACACTTAATGAGCACAGCCTAGTCAGTGAGAAGCAAAAGTCTTTGTCCAGCCTCAATTCTGTCACCAAATAGCTGTATCACAATGGCTAAGTCACTCAGCATTTCTCTGCTTCCACTGACTCAAATAATAGAAAAATAAAATATTCTTGATTTTTGTTTTTGCTCAACTGATATTGTTTGCATATGCACAACAAAAAGTGCCATAAGTCCATTGATAATTCTGTCATAACCATCTTCTAATGTTCCACAAGTGAAAGCAATATGGTCTTGAAAATGTCCATTTAAACTCGTTGAAATATTCAAAATGTAATATCCAGTTTAAAAAAATCTCAGTACTTATTTGCCACAGACTTTCCCCCAATATTATTTCTTCTCACTATGCTAGCTATAGAGTTGAGATCCATATTAATTATGATTTCCCTTGCCTTCCTTTTAAAATGGCTTTAATTAGGCATTTTTATTTGTGTTGTATTTCCTGATATTTACCAATGAAATCTTTCCATAATACAGGCAAAACAAAAAGTCTTGCCTTTTTTTTTTTTGAGACCGAGTCTTTGTCTGTCGCCCAGGCTGGAGTGCAGTGGTGCGATCTCGGCTTACTGCAAGCTCCACCTCCCAGGTTCACACCCATTCTGCTGCCTCAGCCTCCCAACCAGCTGGGACTACAGGCACTTGCCATCACGCCCGGCTAATTTTTTTTTTTTTTTTTTTGTATTTTCAGTAGAGACAGAGTTTCACCATGTTAGCCAGGATCAATCTCCTGATCTCGTGATCCGCTTGTCTCGGCCTCCCAAAGTGCTGGGATTACAGGCGTGAGCCACTGCGCCCGGCCAAGTCTTGTCTTTTAAAACTCACTTTAAGCACAAAAATCCCAGAGCTTCAAGTAATGGTACGTTTTAAAAGCCTTTACTTCAATCACAAGATAGAGTCTCCTGGATTATTGAATTATTAAAGCATAAGTATTTCTTAAAGAAAGAATATGTTTACTGGCCAGGCTCAGTGGCTGATGACTACAATCCTAGCACTTTGGGAGGCTGAGAGGTAGGAGGGTCACTTGAGTCCACCAGTCTGAGATATGCCTGGGCAACAGAGTGAGATCTTATCTCTCCAAAAAAAAAAAAAAAGAAAGAAAGAAAGAAAGAAAGAAAGAAAGAAAGAAAGAAAGAAGGAAAGAAGGAAAGAAGGAAAGAAGGAAAGAAAGAAAGAAAGAAAGAAAGAAAGAAAGAAAGAAAGAAAGGAAGAAAAAATTGGCCAGGCGTGGCGGTGCATGCCTGCAGTCTCAACTTCGTGGAAGGCTGAGGTGGGAGGATCTCTTGAGCCTAGGTGATCGAGGCTGCAGTGTCCTGTGATCCTGCCACTGCCCCCCTAGATTGGGTGACAGAGCAAGACCCTTTCTCAAAAAAAAAAAAAAAAAGTTTATAGCATTATATATGCAATAAACATTGCTGAGAATATTGAATGTAATTTAAATTTAACCCACAAAAGTCAGAGCAAAGCAATAAGGTGGAAAGAATTCTGGGATAGAGGAAAAAAAAATATTCTTCAAAGATTATGTATCAACTTCCTGCTAAAGTAACATGACAATATTTTATTTCTCTGTATTTTGCCTTCTTCATTGGAAAATAGAGATATTAATATCTACTTTGCTTCTCATTGGATTATTTTGCAACTGCATTTTTTAAAAAGTCATAAACTGGCATGTAAGTATGACCGTATTAAATGGATTTAAAGCTTAGCTGTATTTTTAATGGAAATAGAAACCATTTTGGAAAGTTAATTACCCTAAATTTGGAATTGGAATAACACTTTATTATAGACTGAGTGTATATGTTTCCCCCAAATTCATGTGTTGAAACCTAAGCCCCAAGGTGAGAATTCATGTTTGAAAATGGGGCCTTTGGGAGGTGATGAGAAGGTGCTCAAGCCTAAGTGTATTTCCATTCACATGGAAATGATGTATGAAGCACGTCAAGAGAATAGAGAACGTTTTAGAGTTAACTCACTGAACAACAAAAGAGGTTCTGCAACAATTTTTTTGCTAATAGATGACAAAAAAATGAGGGAGGAAACATGTATGATTTCAAATATATAGAAGTGGCACAGTAAAATTTACTAGCAAGAGGCCAGACCTGCATTAGAGAAAGACAGTCTTACACTGAATGAAATAGAAGAAGTTGACTATATGTATCACTTGAATAGACTTAGAGTTTGCTTCTCACAAATAATATTTATTTATAACTGTTTCCACATATTCATTTTTACCATATCCTCTTATCTTATGCCACTGGTGATTTTGATGTTTTTTTAACTACTTCACTTCCTGATCACATTTCATTAAATCGTTTAATTTCTTCTGTTATTACTGTGGAAAATGTTAAAACCAGATAGAGTAGTGAAAGTGCCTCCTAATTTCCTTGCCAGAGGTAACCACTATTAACAGTTTGGTATATATCTTTTCTGCTCTTTACAGTATCATTTTAAGAGAATAAAAAGACAACTCACAGATGGGAGGAAATATTTGTAAATTTCATATCTAAATTAGAATGTGTATAGAATATATAAAGAACTCTCAAAGTTCAATAATAAGCAAACAAGCAAATACATATGAAAAATGAGGAAAGAATTTAAACAGACACCATGCCTAAGGAGGTACTTAATGACAAATTAATATATAAATAAATCATCAATAGCATTTATGATTAGAAAAATGGAAATTGAAGAAATGAGACACTAGTACTTACTAAAAAAGCTAAAATTAAAAAGACTGATTATAAAAAGTGTTGGCAAAGGTTTGCAGAAAAAAGAACTCCCATATAGTGCTTGTGGAGATGTAAAATGGTACAACCATTTTGGAAAGTAGTTTGGCAGTTTCTTTAAAAGTTATATGCATGTGTGTCATATGTCCAAGCCATTCTATTTCTAGGAATTGCCTAAGAGAAATAAAATAATATGTCTACACAAGACGTGAGCATGAATTTTTATAGCAACTTTATTTCTAAGAGCCAGAATCTGGAAATGACATGAAAGTTGCATCAATAGATGAACAGAGAAGTAAATTTTGGTATACAATGGAATATTATTTAGCAAGAGAAATGAACTATTGATACACATAACATAGATAAATCTTAAAATAAATACACTGAGAGAAAGAAGGCAGACAAAAATTATTCATACTGTATAATTTCATTTATATAAAATTCTAGAAAATAGAAATTAATGGAAATTAGTATATATGGACAGAAAGCAGATCAGCAGTTGTTTCTGGGAGAATGTGAGGAGAAGCAGAAGGGAGGGATCACAGATGGACATAAGGATACTTTTGGGAGTAATGGATACATTCATTAAATTGATTGTGGTCCTGACCTTATATGTCTTGGTTTTGTATTCATTTTTGACTCAAAATAATGCAATTTAAATATGTGGAGTTTGTTATATGTCAATTATATTTCAATAAAGCTGTTACAAAGAAGAAAATAACATGAGCTCCCATCTCCTTGTCATGTCCTAAAGAATGAATTTTAGTGACACAATGTCCAAAATAAGATACCCTTCTCCCAAATTTCTGAATGTCATACGGGAAGTTAAGCCCCAAAAGTGTTTTCTCTTATCCGTGAAACTCCCTTTTAGGTGATGATTTGGGATAATACAATTATTAAACTTACTATTTTTAGACTTAACTTTTGGGATTATGTTTACTTTGAGCCAGACACAGTGCTAAGCATGTGTGTTACCTCAGAGAATCCTCATCTATGTAAATAGACTAATATTACATTCGTTTTAAAATTAAAATGTAAACTCATGGGAGTAAACTTAATTAATCAAGGGTACCACGTTCGCTATAGGGAACCATTTCCAAAAGTTGATGATCTTTTTTTTTATATCTCCAAATGATCTATTTGGAGAATGTAGTTTTATTAATGATTTTCTAAAAGCAAATATGCCTCTAAAGAAACTCTTCAGAAAAAATAAGGGGAGATAGCACTGCTCAAGTGTAACTATAAACTTAGTGTTCAAATAGTTTTTTTGATTAAAAATCTTTCATTCCTTGAATCTGACTTCAGTAACCCACTCAGATCTCATTTCCTGGGTTATTGTACTCATCCTCCAGCTGCATTGAATTTTGGCTACTAAAGGCTCACAGATGTTCCTTTTTCTGGTCTCAAACTTGCCTTCTACTGAATTGAACTCCCTTGCCCAAAAAGTTGTGCCCTGCCTTGGTCAATGACTTACTTAAATGGGACTACAAAAAAGGACTGGCACCTTGACTCTGGTGGGACAAACTGTGATATAGTTCATGTTCCAGAACTCCCCATGAGATCAGACTGCAGCTAGACTCTTGCTGACATCACGTTGTTTCTTAGCTTGTCCTGCTGTATCCTGCTTCCCCCACGTCCTTGCTTCTGAGCACACTTCTCAGTCTATCACTTAAACAAGAATCCTTGTTGCAGGTCTGGTTTCTAAGGAATCTAACCTAAGATGACACGTCAAGGATAACCATGTGCTATTTAGCCTCCAGAACTTCACTATAACCAAGTTTAAGGTTCTCTGGTTTCAATATAATTTGCAAAATCTTATAACATTGAGGCAAATATTCATTAAAAATTAATAGCTATTTGCTGAGTAAGTATTGTACTAAATTAAAAGTTTCATATAACTGAACAAAAACTGTTACAAAGCTGCTTATCAAGAGATAAATAACTGCCTTTTTTATGGATGATATCTCTTCTAGGAACCTGAAAATTACCTTAAATAATATGTTGAGCACCATTTCTTCACCAAAGGTGAATCTAATAGATATTTTGTACTGCAATTTTATAATGAAGTTTATATGTAGTTATTTGCCAGACTTTTGAAACATGGGTTATCTTCTTTTTATACTGTCTCATGAATAATAAGACAATAATAAATCTTTAACAGTAATATTTTCCACACCATTCATCTCTAATGATGAGATGATTTAGTGTTTAGTGACCAGTAGTTTGAAAACTGTGTTTCAGGCATGTCACTACCTCTAAATTTGTAAATTGCTACTATAAAAATTCACTTAACATTTTAGGGCCTCAAATTCCTTATTGCTGATTGAAAGAAATTTAATAACATTTATTGGTTTTCATTAACTATATTGTATTTATCTTTAATTCTATCTTAATTGTTATATACATTTTTATCGTGTACACGAATAATTGTTTCTTAAAAAACAAATGATATGCAAAGGCATTTAATGAAAACAATGCCTTTCCTCTTCCCTTTAATGGACAGCCATTTTTTAAAAATTGTAGCTTATCATTCAGCTATCTCTCTCTCTCTCTCTCTATATATATATATAATAGTATACTATTTTACATAATTCTAAATATTAAATTTCTGACATGACAGATATTAAAATGTAGCAAAGATTGGTCATGTGTTATGTGTTAATTGTTGAAACCAGGCCATGGGTATGTGGGGCTTCTTGTATTATCCTACAATTTATACATAACTACTTAAAATTCCACCCAGTAAATGAAGATTTCGTTAATGTCCTAGGAAATCACTTCCCCAGGACCTCCTGGACTGCTATTTGAATATTAGTTTTCTTTTTTTTTTTTTTTTTTTTTGCTTCTTGCATTGTTGAATTCTGGATTTAATTTCTTTTCTGATTAGTCCCAATCCTAAATCCCATCTCTTTCTGGTTTTTATTTTATATTTTACTTGTGCATATCCTCAAGCAATGTCCAAATAAAATATCTTTAATCCATCCTCATATGTCATTGAGAATGTGTTTTAGGAAAAAAATATGCTCTACTAGAACTTTAAATGGCATTGTCTAGCTTTCTGTAATGTTACTCGTAAGTCTGAGACCATAGTGCCTTTTGTTCCTTTGTCAATAACTATTTTCTCCTATCCAAATACTTTTAATATTTTTTATTATCCTTATAGTTCTTGATATGGTTCAGCTCTGTGTCCCCACCCAAACTGCACCTGAATTGTAATTCCCATAATGTTAACATGTCAAGGATGGGACCAGGTGGAGGTAACTGGATCATAGGGCAGTTTCCTCCATGCCATTCTTGTGATGGTAAGTGAGTCTCATGAGATTGGATGGTTTTACAAGCATCTGGCATTTCCCCTGCTAGTGCTCAATCCATCCTGCTGCCCTATGAAGAAAGTTCCTGCTTCTCCTTTGCTTTCTGCCATGATTGTAAGTTTCCAGAGGCCTCCCCAGCAATGCAGAACTGTGAATCAATTAAACCTCTTTCCTTTACAAATCACCCTGTCTCAGGTGTTACTTCACAGCAGCATGAGAACAGACTAATACAGTAAATTTGTACTGAGAGTGGGGCATTGCTATAAGATACCTGAGAATGTGGAAGCGACTCTGAAACTGGGTAATGGGCAGAGGTTGGAACAGTTTGGAGGACTCCGAAGCAGACAGAAAGATGTGGGAAAGATTGGAACCTCCTAGAGACTTGTTTCATGGCTTTGACCAAAATTCTGATAGTGATATGGACAATGAAATCCAGGCTGAGGTGGTCTTAGGTGGAGATGAGAAACTTGTGGGAACTGGAGTAAGGTCACCCTTACTGTGCTTTAGCAAAAAGACTGGTGGCTTTTTGCCCCTGCCTTAGAGATCTGTGGAACTTTGAACCTGAGAGAGACAATTTAGGGTATCTGGTGGAAAAAATTTCTAAGGCAGCAAAGCATTCAAGAGGTGACAGAGCATAAAAGTTTGGAAAATTTGCAGCCTGATGATGCAGTAGAAACAAAAACCCATTTTCTGGGAAAAAATTTAAGCTGGCTGCATAAATTTGCATAAGAAATGAGGAGCTGAATGTTAATAGCCAAGACAATGGAGAAAATGTCTCCAGGGCATGTCAGAGGCCTTCACAGAAGCCCCTCCCATCATAGACCCTGAGGCCTAGGAGGGAAAAATAGTTTTATGGGCCAGGGCCAGGGCCAGGGCCCCCTCTGTTGTGTGCAGCCTCCAGACTTGATGCTCTGTGTCCCAGCTGCTCCACCTGTGGCAAAAAGGGCAAAGTTACAGCTCAGGCCACTGCTTCAGAGGGTGCAAGCCCCAATCTTTGGCAGCTTCCATGTGGTGTTGGTCCTGCAGGTGCATAGAAGACAAGAATTGAGTTTTGGGAACCTCTCCCTAGATTTCAGAGGTTGTATGGAAATGCCTGGATGTCCACGCAGAAGTTAGCTGCAGGGGCAAAGCCCTCATGGAGAACCTCTGCTAGGACAGTGCAGAAGGGAAATGTGGGGTGTGAACCCCGACACAGAGTCCCCACTGGGGCACTGCCTAGTGGAGCTGTGCAAAGAGTACCACTGTCCTCCAGACCCCAGAATGGTAGATCCACCAACTTGCACCATGCATGTGGAAAACCCACAGACACTCAACACCAGCTCATGAAAGCAGCTGGGAGGGGGGCTGTACCCTGCAAAGCCACAGGGACAAAGCTATCCAAGGCCATGGGAGCCTACCTCTTGCATCAGCATGACCTGGATGTAAGACAAGGAGTCAAAGGAGATCATTTTGGAACTTTAAGGTTTAATGGCTGCCCTTTTGGATTTTGAACTTCCATGGGGCCAATAGCCCTTTTGTTTTGACCAATTTATCCCATTTGGAATGGATATATTTACCCAATGCCTGTACCCCATTTAATCTACGAAGTAACTAACTTGCTTTTGATTTTACAAGCTCATAGGCAGAAGTGACTTGCTTATTTTGGATGAGACTTTAGACTTGGACTTTTGGGTTAACACTGGAATGAGTTAAGATTTTGGGGGACTGTGGGAAGGGCATGCTTGTGTTTTGAAATGTGAGGACATGAGATTTGGGAGGGGCCAGGTCAGAATGATATGGTTTGGCTCTGTGTCCCCACCTAAATTTCACCTTGAATTGTAATCCCCATAATCTTCACATGTCAAGGGTGAGACCAAGTGGAGGTAATTGGATCATGAGGGCGGTTCCCCATGTTGTTCTCATGACAGTGAATGAGTCTCATGAGATCTGATGGTTTTATAAGCATCTGGCATTTCCCTTGCTTGCACTCACTCCATCTTGCCACCCTGTGAAGAAGGTGCCTGCTTCTCCTTTGCCTTCTGCCATGATTGTAAGTTTCCTGAGGCCACCTAAGCAGTGCAGAACCATGAGTCAATTACCCTTCTTTCCTTTATAAATTGCCGAGTCTCAGGTGTTTCTTCATAGTAGCATGAGAATGGACTAATACAGTTCTTAAACACTGGAATGATGCATATGTGGGCATAATTTTCAATTATGGTATTGTTCACTAAGTAGACCTCTTAACCAGGAAATATGTGCCTTTCTGATACAGGAAATTCTCTTGTAATTTTTCTTTAATGTTTTCTATCTTTTCTTAGAATTTCTACTTATTGGGTAATAAGCCTTCTGGGTTCTCCTATACTGTCATTATAGAACCTGGATTGGTTCTTATCTTTGATAGATTTATTTGACTTAGACTTCCAAAATTTCTATTGATTTTTCATTTTAACATTCATTCATGCTTTTACTTTTCAAATATTACCTCTTTTTCCTTTTTTATTATGTATTTTTTTGTGGTTTCAAACAAATACATTTTTATCCTAGTTATTTTTTTTTTTTTTTTTTTTTTTTTTTTTTGAGACGGAGTCTCGCTCTGTTGCCCAGGCTGCACAGTGCAGTGGCGCAATCTCGGCTCACTGCAAGCTCCGCCTCCCGGGTTCACGCCATTCTCCTGCCTCAGCCTCCCAAGTAGCTGGGACTACAGGCGCTCGCCACCACGCCCGGCTGATTTTTTGTATTTTTAGTAGAGACGGGGTTTCACTGTGTTAGCCAGGATGGTCTTGATATCCTGACCTTGTGATCCGCCCGCCTCGGCCTCCCAAAGTGCTGGGATTACAGGCGTGAGCCACTGCGCCCGGCCCCCTAGTTAGTTTTCTTAAATGTTGTTTTCAGTTTCCTAAATTATTGCCTTCTCATTCAGGATTTTGCTTTCATTTGTTTATCTGCTGCTAGTCAAATAGTTGGTGATCTTGACTGTTGGTTGGGTTTTAAGAAGAAAAAAACCTGACTTTAGGGCTCTGTGTAACACAAAGGGGAAATATATGATTGCTCTATTTCACCATGGAAATGGCCAATTATGTTGAAGCTCCTCACTGCCTGAATTCTGAAGTCTTTTCTCCAAGGACATTCATTTTCTCTATAAATACACAGTTTGATGTTTTCTCCTATGATAGGGTGTGATGTGGATACCCAGTTGCTGAGAGTTTTGCACCTATGGAGACAGCTAGGGTGTCAGTTATTTCATCTTTAGTTTTTCACAGAAGCACCCTTAGTTTAGATACATTTTTCACTTCTGCCCGTGAACAAAACAAGTGTTTCCAAGTTTTAAGGCTTTTTTGGAATCTAGAGTTGTATAGGCTCCTCTCTGTCTCTCTCCTCTCCATGAACTTGCCTGCCTCTCTGTTTTCTCCTGCTGTAGTCCGCTTGTTCTGCCTTTATAAGTTTGCTGAACTTTCCTGTCTGCTAATGTCTAGTCTTCCTGAAATAGGAATTTAAAATTTATATATCATTTTATCAAGATCTTACCTGTGTGAGTTCTTAACTGTGTGGCTGTCTATCCCATATCTTTAATAAATAAATGTTTAAGGTACCTTCAAAAATGAACAAAAAAAAGTAGTAAGGCCATAAACACAGTTAGTACTCAAGGTCTCCATAAGTCCAGATAGTAAGTTCAAATCATACTTTGTTATAAGACTCTGGGAACACAATGCCTTAGAAAGGACTTGGAAGTCAAACAGGATGATGTTTGTATCCTACTTTGCTAGTCACCTTTTTAAACTTAAGGAAATGTGTTTCTGAATTACACTGCCTTCTAAGGCTACTTGGAGGAGATAAGGGAACAAATCACCTGAAACTATCCCTGGAACACAGTAGGACCCCAAAAGTGCTAGTTCCTTTCCTTAATCTCATAATGTTTCATTTTTCTTTCTCCTAAATATGCAGTTCTTCTCATGACTCTATTCATACTGGAGTACTACATGTAGTCCTTCACCTTCTGCTCATGTGCTGTCATGGATATCTTTTCAAATAGTAGCCATGACGTATCTATTTCTTATCTTGAGCAACATATTTCCCCACATGCAGTGGATTAAATAGTAAGTATTTATTTAGCTCAGAAATCTGTGAATTGGCAAATTGGGCTGAACTCAATGGATCATTTCTGTTAATCTGGGCCACCCTTATCAGATCAGTTGGATTTGCTGACCTTCCTTTTAGTCAGTTGAGACTTAGATGCCTCTGCTGGAATGGGTAATTTACTTTTCAAGAGGTTTCTCACCCTCCCACAAGCCATACAGTGATATTTCCATAAACATGATGTCACATTCTATGAGTGAGGCAGAAGTGAGCAAAAGACCAAAGTAAATCTGCACATTATTGCTTTTGCTACCTTCTATTGGTAGAAGTCAGAAGAAGAGCCTGCTTGCCTAAGTATACACTCCCTCTTCCATCTCCTGGTAGGAGCTGTAAAGAATTGTGGCCGTTTCTGTATCTATGACACAGAACAAAGGTTTAGATGTCAAGTTCTTGAGGATGTGTCCAAGTAACACTGCAATGAAAGATCTAAAGAACATGAAGTTGAGGACCAGGACAAGGGGACAAGGTTGTTACCTTCATCAGAGGCTCTGATTAGTGTGTTCCCACTTGATTCGTGGCAGAGATCAAGAAAATATGGTTTGCTAGCCAATACCTGCGTGTCATTCACTTTTTTTTATTTTTATTTTTTGCTGTCTGCAAGCTAAGAAGAGTTTTTACACTTGTAAATGGTTTAAAAATATCAAAAGAAGAATAACATTTTGTGATGTGTGAAAATCAGATGAAATACAAATTTCAGTGTGCATAAATCAAGTTTTATTAGAAAACAACCTCTCCCATGTATTTACGTATCATCTATGGCTGCATTCAGGCTGCAATTGCCAGATTTGAGTAGTTGCAGAAGAGACTGTGTGGGGCTCACAAAGTCTGTAATGTTTACTACCAATTACTCCTTCCGGAGTAAGCTTGCCAACATCTGATTTATAATATCTGTCAAGTATTTGGAGATGGGTGTGTCATCCATACAAAGCCACAGGGAAAAAACAAAAATCACCAAAGATGGTGAGAAACAATGGTTAATACAAAAAAAGTGTTTAAGAATCATCCTCTGAAACATTTATATCCTAATACCATTAATTATCTAATAATAATCTTAGTAAGAAAAATTGTACCCCAAGGTTTTCTTTAGGTATCAAAATGGGAGAACTAACAGATTTATCATGTAATTCAAAATACACAGCAGGAAATGCTTTATTTCATTTTTATTATTTTGTGCAGAATGAATGGGTTCCTACAGCAATATTTAGTGTTTTCAAAATGGAAGGCCCAAATGCCTTGAGTTTTTAAACAAACTTCAGTTACAGTTTGTTCCCAAATTCACAGAGAAATATATTGGAAGGAAAATAGGAAGATGTTAGAAGGGTCAAGGTGACAGGGCAGAAAATGAGAAGTTGACAGTGAGTAATAAAAATGTATTTTTCCCATGAATTAAAAACGAGAGCAGAATCCACAAGTGTGAATTTTTTAGTAATACTGAGAAATTAAATGGCTTTAAGCTAGGTCCCCTAGCTCCTGAAAATTAAAAGGACAGCATTTTTTATAATTGTATACATTTTTCCTGTTTCACATCATTCTACGTTGTTGCTTTTAAAAGCCTGTCCTCTTATCATTTTCTTTCATCTATATTTCAGTAAGCCATTTCCTGATTATAATATGAAGTATTTTCCATGCAGAAAAACAGAAACATACAGAAAAATTATTTGAAGCAAATTTAATTTCTTAGTTGTCATTATTCAGGGATACTACATCTAACACTTAGTCTTAGTTTGTTCTCTGCATTATAACAATTAACATTTGCATGTTCTCAAGTAATTATACAAATTTTAATGTTTGCCTAATGTTTCACCAAATATCTGTTTTCAGATTTTAGAGGTATTTGATCTATTTTTATATTTCTATTTCTGTTATGTTTCAATCTCATAAATAATAGCATTGTGAAATTTGACATAAAGTTGTTTCCCATTATTCCTTAAGAAAAATGTCAATTTAGGTAGGCATGTGTAAATATTTGAAAACTCATGGGGTTTTTGTCTCTGGGTTTATGTTGCCAAACTATTTCTAAAAATATCTTTTTTAAAAATAGAAAACTAGCATACCTCCCTAAGAACAGAGTGCCTCTAAAGATCATTAAATTCTCTTGAACACATAGCAGTGTAGATCGGACTTAGGAGATATAGTCTTTTTTAACAAGGCTTGATGACGTAAACAAAAAAGTAGGACTGAATATTATGTAGTTGCAGAATAGCATATTTTCATGATGGAAGAAACTTACTTTCACTTTTATTATTCTAGTTCTGATGCAGATCACTACTTCAGTGTAAATCAGGACGTGACTTTGACTAAAGTTAACAAAAGCTATGTTAATCTTTTGTTGTATTATATCAGAATTCCAAAAGCTTGATTAGTATTTTGTGATATTTGCAAAACAAAAACAAAAGTGAGCAAACACACAAACAAACAAAAAATCTGTGTTCTAATGCATGATACTCAGAAAGTCATTAATCCCTTGGTATTTCAATTTTCTCATATGTAAGAAGAAATTATTAGACTTGATAAATTTCAAGACCCCTCAAACTCTTTTTAAAAAGCTATTACTCTTATTACACATTTAAAGTATGCGTACTGTTATTTTCTCTCTCAAAAAAGCCCTCCAAATTAACCTACTTTTTTACTTGTGACTAGATTTGGCTATAAGGGCATCCATGATAGAAATCTAAAAAGTTTCCTAACATCCTTTTATTGCCTTTCTCAAATCTTCCCCCCAGCAATAGATGCTTAGTAATATTACATCTATATAATTATGGAAAACCACTGGGACCAGTCTTCATCAGCAAATGAATATAAGTTTCATTGTAACTTTCAGATCATACTTACACTAGGAGCAAATGATAATATCATTCCCTATAAAAGAAAAGAGAAAGAAGAAAAATAGTATCTCTAATATATAACAGACTCTTTTATAGTACTATTGCTAAAATTTAAATAGGATCACTAAAGGAGCAATAACAGAATATAAACATAAGAAATGCCAGGCTAATATGGACATTGTGATTAATTATAAGTGATTTTTACAGCTAATATAAAGGAGACAATTATAGATTATCTTATAAAAAAGGAACATGCTATGTTTTCAGGAAAATACTTATTTTTTTCTATTAAGTCCTAAATTAACCACACAATGTAAGCATTGTTTTCACCAGAGATTAAACAGAGAATACCTCATATAGAATTCAAAAGTATAATGCTAAAATGTACTCCATTGAAGTCCTCCTAAGTCTAGGTTCACAGTTTCTTGTTGCTATATTTCTTTCCCATAAATTAAGTAAATTGCAACCAAAAATAATCTTGTTTCCTTGTTCCTGTCAAATAGTGCCCACAAATGCCACCAACTGAAACTACACAGGCTATATCTCCATTAAAGGAGCTTGCTTATCACCAGGCCTGACAGAGTATCACATATAAATTGTTACTGATAGGCTTATTCACAGGCAAATGATATGTTGTGCACATTTATAATGAGCACTCTGCATTATCCATTTCCAAAAAAGCACCATGTTATTCAATGTAAGAAACTCTGATTTTGGCTTGTTACAAATCAAATATGTCACATGATTCACAGTATCTAACAACGTAGAACTTCTTTACATAACAAATTCACTACAATTAGAAAACATGTGAAACATTTTTCTAAAAATATATGCCTAACAGCCTCAAGTTCTTAAAAACTCCAATTCAAATGTTATCCTCACCACACTAGGAATCTTGGAGACTTAAGAGGCACTGAGACAACAGTATCCTCTTTCCTTTCCACATAGTAAGAGAAATTTCGGAGTAAGTCTGCAAACCATTTACCATGCCCCTATCACTTATGTGATTAAGAGTGAGCAACAGGTAGCACAAGCAAGCACTTCAAAAGCATACTTCTCTATGCCCCCAACTTCAGTCTTTCACACTCTGCAAAAACAGGACTCCTCATAACTTTCTTCCATGCCCCTGTGCTTTCATCTGCCAGCAGCATGACCCTATTCTTCTCTGTCTTCAGTTTCTCCTTCCTGTCCTGTCAGTCCAAGGGTATCCTATCCATCCTTCAAAATTCAGGTTAAACTTCCCTTTTTCAGAAGTCCTTCCTGACCATTGCTGACACCAACCATTGCTGCACTCCCTCCTTGCCACTGATGCTCTGTGACTTGTCACACTTTGCACAGACATTGTATCATGTCTGCATATGTGTCACCTCTGCTCCACAGCAAGGTTTTAGCCACAGGATTTTTTATTATACAATTTATAGGATAACACAATCTCCTAGGTATTCTTCTGAAAATATATGCCAATATATCTGGCACAGTGGGTTGCATGGAATACATCTTCATTGAAGATAATAGCCTTACCTTATTGCCTTTTAGTGATTATAAATAAATATCAAGCCATTTTTTACCTCTAGTGTTACTGTTTCAGGAGGACGCAAAGAAAACCCTTTTGGATCCTCTCCTAACCCAAAACTTAAATTGAAGGAAGCACTGTTTTTTAGAGGCTGCAAAGAGAAGACTGCTTCATGGGCTCAGAAACCTAGTGGTAAGTGTGAGCGCTGTCCATAGTTGCCTGGCTTAGAAACACAGGTAATTTCTATATGAAGTTCACTCAAGTTTGCAAAAGCTGAGATGAGATGCTGTGAGTGGGGGTCTAACCTGTCTTTCTCACCCTTGTTTATTACTTAACTAGCATTTTGCTGACTCCCTCTTCAGTGAGTGACTTCACTAGGAATGAAACAAAGAGGATGAGCTAATAAGAGCCATTTCCAAGGCGCTTTATGCAGAGTGTTTTGTCCAATGGGGACCTCTCATATATTCACCTTGAACTGTAGTGGTTTCAGTTAAGGTGTCACAGAAGCTTTTTCTAAAGAGGGTTATACTTCAACACATGGATGAGTAATTTAGAAAATTCCTAATGGGCCAAATACAGGAAGAAAAGTCCAGCAAATACAATTATTCACAAGTCTAAGAAATAATTGTCTCTTTAGTATTTTGCCACAAAGAATAATGCCTAAAACTCTGCCCTTTCACTTCCTTCTTTTGAACTGTGAGGGGTTTTTACTTCCAAAATTATTTCATACCATTAGAATAGAATATAAAGAGAAAAACAATGAAAGAAAATGTACCTAGAATAAAGCTGGAAAACAAAATGGGAATATTGAGAAGAAAAGATCATATTCAGAAAAGAAACAGAAGCCATGTGTGGCCATCTTCAAAAGTCAGTCAATCAACAGACCCCAGAAGCAGTTCCACTATTTATATAAAAGGACTTTGGATGGAACAATTGGCTAAAAGAAGGGTCTTAAATCTGCATTTGCAGATACTTTACATGAGACTGTTAAGATCAATTATTAGTGTCAAAGAGAGCCAAGGCTTACCTTTGTCATAGGTACACACACACACACACACACACACACACACATTCTTTGTGGAGCATTGTCCCAGTGCAGTGATTTCCTTGAATCTCACAATTCTGGGACTCAGAGCTTCTGCTTCAAGTTCTCATTGTTTTAAAGTAATGACCCTGAGTCTGGAAGGACTTTAATTCCCCAAATTGAATACTTCCTAACACAAATAACTGATAATCAGGGGAAATTACTTAGCCTTGATTTCTGGGAGTCTCTGAATTGTGTAGGATAAAGTAAATGATGTTAATCTAAAAAGATGGTAGGCAACTTGAATTCATGTTAGTCAAGAGCTCCATCTCCTGTTCTATGTGGGTATGTTCTCAAAACAGTTTCCACCAGCACGGGATTGCTATGCACACCAGAGTAATCAGAAAAAGTAAGCCAGTTCATAGCTTTTTTGCAATGTAGATTCTCGATTCTTTTGTTCACTCACTGTGCCTAAAAATGAATGCCATTTCTATTGTGGGAGTACTGACAACTGAGAGAGGGAAATGCTGAATTAAATATGGTTTTACATGTTGAGCTTACAGTAAAGAAAAAAGGGTGCCAGCAATTTTATTGAAATAATTTTACACTTTCATTTAGAGAAATCAATTTTGTGCCTTAGGAACAGCAACAAGAAAACTTTCTATCAGCTCTGTGAAATAAATGGGCCTCAGTGTAGATCTAGTTCAAGTTGGCAATGAAACATCTACCCTGTCTTATAAATTGAACCAAGTTTGGTCTATTTGACACTGTAAAACTTATTCTATTGATTCTACCCTTATTCTCCCTCAGCGTTCTGCCTTTTACTACAAAAGGAGCTTAAAGGATAGGAAAATGAAAGGGAAAGTGTTTATTATAAGATAAAAATGCTAAGGATCTAATAAATGTGAGATAATGATTTAGCAGAAGAGATGCTATTATACAAAATTACATTTTTCTTTTTTTGTTCAGTGTTAAGAACAACTTTTTTGGCAACAACCCATTGTTAGTTTTTGTTTGCTTGATATTCTTTGTTTTTATTGGAAACCAAGGAAAAGGCTCAGTAAAACCAACCAACTTTATATGTACAATTATACTAGGAGGCTTTGTAATTTAGAGCAACTAAACCAACTGACACTGACTGTTTGAACAGCCTCTATGAATTCCAGATTATTCCCTTTGTAAGGAAGGATTAAATCCTTTCCTTTCATATCTGAATGCATTATTATTGTGTCATCCCCCAGTAACATATTGAAACTTAGAAACACATTGCCTATTATATTTATGAGATAGATAGATAAATACACACACACGCGCACACACACACACGCACGCACACATATTAGGGTTAGGGTTAGGGTTGATTCTAGCCTGGCTTTATTCTCTCTCAATGTTCTGCCTTTTACTACAATAGAAGCTTAAAGGAGCAGAAAATACTATCTGTGTGTGTGTGTGTGTGTGTGTATATTTACCTATTTCAAAATATAACTATATTTTTAATCAATACAGTTAATTAGATTCTATATAAAAAAAATTTACATAGAAGTCCATGCCCTTTGTCATTTTAACCTTAGGAAAAAGAGGCCCAGCTTATCTTATTGGTTTTTCACATTAAATAGCATGCTATTAACCTCAGAGAGCAATAACATGCTAATGTGACTTGGCTGTCATAATTTCCAGATAACTGAGGCAGCACGAAAAACTATCATATTAACATCACCCCTTTATTACTGTATATAATCATACCCAATATCCTGAAATGCTTAATTATGATTGAGTGTATGATTAAATATTTTATATCCAGAAGGCAATTGGTATGAAATAGTAAACAGAGAAAATACAGATATCCAAATTATAATTATTTTTAAAATTGTCATCATTAGCCACAAAGACAGGTTTGTATCCACATGGATACATTTTGCCATGTAATCAGTGAGGGCTCATTCTTAGTTGATCCACAAATTTCTCTACAGGAAAGTGTTAGGAGAAGCTAGCATTATCTCTGCTTTTTTTTTTTATTGTTATAGTGCATTTTGAAGAAAAAGTTTCGAAAAATAAATATAGATATTTGATATAGGGTTGAGACCAATTCTGATATCATCTTCCAAGGAACTTACAAGGTAATAATCAAGGGATGTCATTAAATACTAGTTTTTCCATGAGTAGGTAATAATGTGACAAGGACCATGGCAAGCAGAAAAAAAAGACAAAAACCAACCATTATGTATAACGCTGTATTTTATGGCATAAATTCTATGAAATCTATGTGGTTTACAGACATGTAAGGTAGTGAGATTATAAATACTTTTTATTTTTTCTATATTAAGTTTCATTAAGAATAGTATTACTCATAACTGGAGAAAAATAGTGAATGACATCAATATGAGATAAGTCATGTAAAGTACTTAACGATGTGTCAGGATGTACTAATCAATATATTTTTTTTAATTTTGTTTTTCCTTTCTTCCCTTATCTCTTCCTGCTTGGTGCTATTTTCTGCCCAAACTGAATCATGAGTCTGAAGTTATGGTGTCTAAACAGTTAACAATGCTTCCCTACATTATTCTCAATGTTAAGCTATCCACACAGTGCATATAAAAATATTAGAAACTCAGCCCCATTCTCTGCCACTTATCTACTCATTTATGCCCTTGTCTTAGCTCTACATATGATTTCTTACCTTCTGTTGGACTTTCTGTATTCAACAATAGAGCTCACATTCAAGGAAATGATTTTGCCTTCTTCCTCCTGCTTATTCCAGTATGTCCCTCTGCTTCTTTTTCTCATTCTCCCCAAAGTGATTATAATCACACAAAACACAATAGAACACTTTGGATAGCAATTTCTCACCTTCAATTTTGCTTTACTCCTTTGCAAACATTTCTACATCAGAATCTTTTACATTGCTTTGTTTAGAAATAGCATGCTGTCTTTCTATCTACTGTTATAAGCTTTTGCAAATCATCCCTCAAAATGTTCTGTATCACACTAAGGTCTTTTTTAATTGGTTGTACCTTAAAAAGGTTATAGGATTTGATTTAAATTTCTAAGGATAAGTAACTGAGACTATTCAGTTGTGTCTAACTTTTTTCTTATTAACTTCCTAAGTTTCAAGTGCCCCCCCCACCCAGCTCAATATGAGAAGTCCTGGGCAAATTTGAAGTTTTATATTTTAAATAAAAACAAAATCCATCTTCTATTTATCAAAGCCTCAAGAACATATTTTGGGGGGTAGGGTAGAAGGGTAGCTTTTAAAATAACTCTGATAATGTTTCAGTTGTTTGACTACTATCTATAAAGAAAAATTACTTAGAAATATTTATGCCATCTGGGTAGAGACTAAGTAAAACTTCCACTTTACAACTTACTTTCTTGAGTATTCTCTTAGGGAGGAATAAGTGGAAAAGAAAAAGGATTGGAAAAAGTCAAAGCAGATATTGATTTTCATGTGATACCTGATACTTACCTAAGTATTGGTATTTTCATTCCTACCAATGGAAAGTAGAGAGGATAACCATTGGAAGTTATTGTTCCAGACACTAATGATGAACTAGCACCTCTGTTTGCAAAGGTACTTTTATATATACAAACATATTCAACATTCAAGGCAGCTCCGTGATGTCAGTAGAGCAAGACAAATCTTTTAAAATAGGACTCAATTTTTTTTCATCACTCTCCTTCCACAAAGGCTACTAAATGCACTTAGGTACTTAGTATCTAGTGTGGGAATCACTGCTGCCTTGTTGGCTTTTGACTGTGGCTATCTTCATCAGGCATTCATCAGTACATGAGCAGTCTAAGTAAAAATTCTCATCAAATCAATTAAACAGAGAAAATGTCTGAGAACTTCCAAACATAAGCTTTAGCTCAGTGAGCGTAATGGAAACCAAGAGCTGGTTGAAGGATAAACCAGAGCAGCAATTTTCAGGTGGCCACTCCATAGGAGCATAAAAGCACCACAAGCATAAACTTAGATTTCCGTGCAGAATTCTCATGTACCTAGTGAAATGTAATCTGGATTCAGTCCAGCTGAAGTCAACAGAATCCTAGAGTGTGAATTTAACAATTGAAAAAACAATTCTTGGCTAGCAATATCTGGTTCCTGGGAGGAGTTTTATCTTAGCATGTTGCCACTATTGCAACCAGCCTTTCGTAAAGTCAGTACTCATGAACCATGGATATCATAAAACTGCATGGCTTCCTGCATGCTACAGTGATGTCTTCAGGGGAAAAAAAGCAATTTATGTCAATATATACATTTCAAAATTTTTCATTTGATTGCTGATGTAGCTTGAAGGTTTTGTCCCCTCCAAATCTCACATTGAAATGGGATCCCCAATGTTGGAGGTGGAACCTGATGGGAGTGTTTGGGTTATGGAGACAGATCCCTCATGAATGGTTTCATACTGTCCTGTGGTAGTGAGTGAGTGCTCACTCTCTTAGTTCTTGCCAGGGCTGGTTGTTTAAAGGAGTCTGGCACCTTCGCCTTTCTCTCTTGCACCCTCCCTCACCATGTGACATGTCTGCTATCTCTTCACCTCCCACCATAAGCAAAAGTTTCCTGAGGCATCACCCAAAGAAGATGCTGCTGCCATGCTTGTACAGCCTGCAGAACTATGAGCCAAATAAACCACTTTTCTATACAAATTACCCATTCTCAGGTATTCCTTTATAGCAATGCAAAACAGAATAACGCAATTGCTGAAATGATGACTGGTTTGGAAAATCACTGAGGAAAGGAAGGAACAACAAGACCTTCAGAACGGTGCTTTCCAGTACAAAAGCCAGAAAGAAACTTTAAAACAGCTTGAACATGATTTTTGGAAGTATATTCATGTAAATTAACTTTATTCTGAGTGCCAATGAGTAACACCATTTAAATATAACTAGTGGAGAAAAGGGTGAAATGAAAGATAAATACAAATATGTTAAAAATTATTTTATATTTAGCACATGTAAAAATTCTTTATTTTTGATAAAGAAGAGATATCTAATTTTTGTTAATATATAATTGATTATTAATAACACCTTCACATAAACACTAAACAAATATCCAAAGAATATTTGTAGTGATGGGTTTCAAATTTTTAACTTGTCTGTGTTACCTTCATTATCATCAGTCTCATAGACAAAGACTAACTTTGTCCTAGCTCAGTATAGTAGACTCTCTATCACTGGAGGAATTGGTGATGGAACCCATCATTCAGAAAACAGTACCACATATAATCACTATATTGAATCACACTGAAGTTCAAAATAAGCATCGCTCAAGGCTTATGGGAATGTTATATAAGAAAGCTGTGAAGATAACCATCAATAGTAGAAAGTTTCTGTGCTATCAGTTTTCTGATTTATTTTTATAGGAGCTTATTTAAAACATGAAAGATAACCTGTAAGTAGCTAGCTTGGATAACATTGTGAAAGCCCAACCCTGGGTGGGGAATGTTCCTTGTTTAGGCCCTAATTTTTCTCTTGGGAATAGCTTCCTTGTCCATTGTTCTATGTGGTCCCTGACTCCACTCTGGGAGGGGTTCTTCCTTTACTGTTTTCCTCCGTGGCTTTCTCTAATACAGGTATTAGGGAAACACAACCTTCTTACAGGGTGCACAGCTTTCTCAGCCTGCATTCTGCTCATGATAGGTACGTG
Organism: Homo sapiens; assembly: GCF_000001405.40. Taxonomy (NCBI): domain Eukaryota; kingdom Metazoa; phylum Chordata; class Mammalia; order Primates; family Hominidae; genus Homo; species Homo sapiens. The sequence continues at coordinate 35,960,788 of NC_000003.12, read as the reverse complement.
TCTAAGATCCAGTCAGAAAACTTTCACATACAGCTTCATGATTTCTTTGACTAATTCTCTCAAATCTTAATAGGCTTTTAATCCATTTCCTTCCAAAAAGTTTTCTGTGCCAGAAATCTTTTAGAGAGCGGAGTTTTCATGTAACTTGTGCTTTTTTTCTATTTCGTCTTCCTATTGCGCTATCTATTCTGGAAATGCTATGCCTTTATTCTTATATTTGCTTTCAGGTATCTTAATTCATTTAAGTTTTTTAATACTAGAGGTAAAGTCATACCCTTAATTTGGTTTATTCCAACAAATTAAATTTTAATGTGTCTTAAGACTTCCTTAATTTTATCTTTACATTTTGAACATAAAGACAATCAGCTATTCTAATTCTACATTATTACAAAATTTCTAAACTCTGTTTACTCCCTTTTATTTCTGCTTTCAAGCTAGCCAGTTATTTAATTAGCTCAAACCTTTATTTTAATTCCTTGCCAAATGCACCCAATTGCTTTCACTTTAGTATCCCTATGGTCTACCTATCAAGATGTTGTAGATTACTATTTAAAAAATATTATAAAATATTTTCTGCTGTAACATGAGCTTCCATTTCTGGCCTCTAATATCAGTTTCATGGACAGCTATCTTCCAAGCCATATATCCCATGCCATATATTTTATGTTGTTATAATATGCACCTATATATCTACTACTACATTATTCAGGCTAGGATAGGCTAGTCAATGGCCAGAGTTTGAGAGCTAGAGTGAGCTGTGAATTCTATAGCCTTGAATCATACATGTTAGTGTTATCACCTCAGTGAATATTTCACAGACTTTTTAAGGTATGGGTCAGAGCTTGTGGGCTGCATTGTGGCAGTTTTTTTATTTCTCTATTTAGAGTTTTCCTCAATCTTTTCATTTTTCAGTGGATGTAAGGATTGAGGATTTAAGCAAAAATAATTTTACTCAGTTAGATTTACTCAGGTTTCATAGTAATAAAAATTTAAAGACCCAGGGTATATATAATGTCTCTTAACTTCCATTAATTACCAGGAAAGAAGATTCTTCCCAATCAGACCTTGGTTCTTGTCTTCCTCTAAATGGAATTTTAAACATAAAATAGCAGACTTATATCACAGCTCTCCAAAAGCCCACATAAACTTTAATAATAAAGTATATAAATAGCAAGGACAAAGACTACAGGCAATGTGACAGCAGTAGATTAAAAATTTCAAAACTTTTGGGGAGATGAAATGCAGACGGAACACAGGAGCAGCTCTACCTTCGAGTCTCCTGGAGAATTAAAGCAGAAAAGCTAAGTGCTCACAGAGGAAGAACTTTTTGGTGGGAATTTGACCTCAGAAGCACTACAGAATCTCTGAATTAAAAGTCAACTGGTAACACAGAAGTTGGAAGTGGTTTACGGGGCTAAAAACAGGAACACTGCGCCAAAGTATACGTGTGGGGTTCTTATACCTCCAAGTGACTTCACACTCCATACGGTCAACTGATTACCACCTTTCTCACCTTGCACCCAAAGCAAGAGAACAAGAAGGTAAATGAAGAGAATCCACTGACTGACAAACAAGAACTGTGGAGAATGGGATGAGCTGCAAGGCTGGAAATAACATTAAATGAAAGTCTAACCTCCCTCTCACTCTCTTTCCAGACCGTTAGCAACCAGGTACATACTTCAGGTAACTTCAGGTAATGTATTAGAGGATGCTCTTAGAGTGATGATCAGCCCAAAGCCAAAATGACCAGCATATCAACAAAACTAACATTTTCTTTTGAAGCCCAAGTTTCTCTACAGTGAATTGTACTAGTACAAAAATCCCTTCCAGACATGTAGAGTTTAAAACTCACTAATGTAACATCTCATTCTTCAATATAAATGGACAACCAAGAACAACCATGGGTTACATAATGTATGAGGGGAGCTTCCAATGTGACAAACAGAATCTAAACAAACAAAAAAACAAAAAAAAAGAAAACCAGAGAGGAAACAGAGACCATGAAAGAAACAGAGGAAAAGAAAGATGACTGACAAGAAGAAAACTATCTGTTATACCCTCAAAGAGATGAGAAAATATTGCATCCATGAAACAAAAATATATGTTTTTTAAAAAGCCTTAGAGAAAAATTAGCTATTTCATTACTGAATTTGAGCAGAAAAATAGTAGAAAATACCAAACTAAAACTGAGGCAGTTCCAGAAACAGGAATAAGAGGCCAAAGATGTAAAATAGCTAATAAATTATGAGACTATTATAGAAACAATCTAGGAGATCAAAAAATATAGCAGAAATATTAGAAGAACTGAACAGGTAAATATGGGGAGGAAATAAAGACAAAGACTTGGAACCAACCCAAATGTCCAACAATGATAGACTGGATTAAGAAAATGTGGCACATATATACCATAGAATACTATGCAGCCATAAAAAATGATGAGTTCATGTCCTTTGTAGGTACATGGATGAAGCTGGAAACCATCATTCTCAGCAAACTATTGCAAGGACAAAAAACCAAACTCCGCATGTTCTCACTCATAGGTGGGAATTGAACAATGAGAACACATGGACAAGGAAGGGGAACATCACACACTGGGGCCTGTTGTGGGGTGGGGGTGGGGGAGGGGGGAGGGATAGCATTAGGAGATATACCTAATGTTAAATGACGAGTTAATGGGTACAGCACACCAACATGGCACATGTATACATATGGAACTAACCTGCACATTGTGCACATGTACCCTAAAACTTAAAGTATAATAAAAAAAATAAAAAAATAAAAAAATTTTAAAAAGATATTTCAAGGGTGAAAGGGCCATTCTGTGTCTGTCTACTACAATGAACAGAAAGGAGCCTCGCCCCAAGGCATATCAATATGACAATTCAGAACGTCAAGATCTAGGCAAAAAAAACTTACAAGCTTTTATGGACAAAAAATAGGTAAAATACTAAATATGAGGACAGAAAGGTTTCAGGCTTCTTGGCAGCAATGCTAGAAAGTAAAAGACAATGCATCAAAGATTCTGAAAAGAAAAAAAAAATTCTAATTCTAGAATTCTATACCCAACCAAACTACTCTCAAATTTAAGGCTAAAACTAATACAGTGTTAGACAGCAGTATTCAATTGACTTTCTAAGTACCTTTCTTCACAGGAAACTTTGGAAGATATATTCCACTAAGATGTAGGAATAAACTAAGAATTAAGAAAACAGAGCTCAAGAAACAGGGATCAACACTAGATAATGTAGGACAGTTCTGGGACAATATGTACTCAGTAGCCTAGAGAACAACAATTCTAGATTAGAGAACGAGGAAAATTGGTTTCAAAAGAGAATTCCCTAGGAAAAATAAAATGCACTGAATTATTTGTCTAATGTGTTTAGTGAGAGATAAAATGGAAGCATTTTAGAAGAATTTGTAGTAAGTACATAGAAAAGAAAACAAATTGTTTTGCAGTACACAAAACATAATCATGTTTCACTAAGTGGAACTGACTATTTGGAGTGTATTTCAGTGAGGTCAGTTATTGACAGTCATACACATAAATGGTGAATATTGACTTAACCAGTGTGTATAAAATAACTATATTGAAATGTAGAGGAGAAATGGTGGGGAGGAGAATGTTTTCTGTCTAAATCCTAATCCACTAGAATAAGAAGTCAATAGATAATATCTAAATGAGAAGTTCACAAACATATTACTTAGAAATATCAATATAAATATATTCACACATGGCTAACAGAATTGGACATTTATGCTTCTTACACTCAAGTGTAAAAAAAGGTAGAACAATTAGATTTGTATCTTTTCCCTTTCAGTCATTTAGAACAATTTAATTTTTTAAGCACATGAGTTTTTCTTTTAATAAAATGGAAGTAAAAAATACAAAATCCATACTTTTGTTATTTAGGAGGTTTAGGTATCTTTCTTTAAACCACAGTCACTTGAAGAACTAGTTTCACTTTTGAACCGAGATTTTGTCAGAAATAACTGAAATATTTTAGCACTTAAAATATAGCTGCCGTTTATAATTTCAAGTGCAAAGGCAATAATACTCATTAGAGGAAGAATGGATCTATTTTTGATGAGCTTAAGTTTCTAATTCATGCTGGGAGCAATGATATGGGCACTGAAAAAACATAAATATTAATGTCCTGAGAGACCGGGCAGCAAGTGCAGAATGAAAATCAGTGGGAGTAATGAAAAATAACATTGATAATATAACATGAATAAAGTGAGGCAGAGGGTTTTAAATGCCAGGCTGAAGAGTTGACTTTGATCACCAACAAATCAGCATCATCTTAGAATGTTGGACATCAACTTCAAAAATTCTCTGCCTCTTTTGAATGTACTCCAACCCTCTTAGGGAGTCATGAGAAAGTTCAGAGATATAACAGAAATAAAAGCTCCCTCTCTTATTTTTCTAAGATCTAAACACTAAAGCCAGCCTTTATTTATTTTTCTCCATGAAGATCTTTCTTCTCTTATGCATGGCATATCCTTCAAATATTCTCCTCACTCAAGGGATAGGCTATCCTTAACTCGTTATTATGCTGTGGCCTTACTTTGTGACTGACAACAGGTTAAGTAGTTCAGAAGGTAATGAGCTAATATCTATGTTACGTGTAACCTATAGAGTTATGGGGGTAGGCTAGTGCCATAAAGCATAAAATCTGTATAGCCATCTTCATGTTTGGATGCTTCTGTACAAAAGAGAACACTTAGCTCTTCACCTCTCCCTCAACTCCTACCTCAAAAGAAACAATCATTGGCAAAAGGAAAGTAATTCCATTCTGTTATAACAACAAGACTTTTTAAGCCATCAGTGCTTCTCGAACTATTCAATATTAATACCACCAACAGCAGAGACATAACGTGGTCATGAGGAAACTTTGAGTCTAGCCTGACATTAGTTTCTAAAACAGAAAGTGTCCTTGAATTTGAGTTTTGTCTTTTAAAATGATAGTCAATTATATAATATGTAGTAGCCATTTTTGGTTTAACTTTAAAATAATTTATATTATTTGCCAGTTAAATTTTACACCCAATTTTCTCTTGATACTTTCTAGCGATCTTGACAACTCACTAAAAGTGTGCTGTTAGCCCCATGACTATACTGATTCCGCAGCACATGCTGCAGATCACCTCTGGGGACCAAGGAAGCACAGGTGAACCAGTACTCAAGTTCTAGTCCTTATGGCAACCCTTAGCCAGGACCTAGATTCCTTAAATTTTGGGGTATTACAAAAAACACAGGTTTGGAAGTGAAAATTTCTGCGGTCTCACCAAACCACCAAAGTTAAAGTGGCTTTGAAAAGCAGTTTAATCTCTGATTCTTGATTTCCTTGCTGTAGCAGTGGTAGTACCTCCCTGGTAGAACTGAGGAGGCTTTAGATGTGAGAATGCATGTGGAAGTACACGCTGAACGATGCCATTGGTGGTGGTGTTCAGGAATGGCCCTCTGCCAAGTGCTGGACCCATTTCTCCACATCCTGATTTTCCTTTCTCCAGGGTGTTTTATGGTTTTGTGCAGCACAAATTCACCCTCTGGAGGCTGAGCCTTATTCTCAGAAATCTTTATCTCATGCCTCTCAGCACACACAAAATTACTTAAAGATCCTTAGATTTAAATGAGAATGATTGATATATTTTGTGTTTTAACACTTGGGGAGGTATGCTTTTAAATAAGATAAAGTTTATCACAATAACTTACTGGTAGTGATATTATAGGAAAAATGAGGGCCATTTTCTTCTGTAGGGTTTTTCCCAGGAGAGCTACTGTTGTCACTAGTATTGCCTACTGTACATTTATATACACATATGTGTGAAAGTTCCTAAGACTATATACAACATAGGTTCCCACCCCTTGGAAAAAGCAACTGAGAAAATTTCTGTGTAAGAGTGAAGACGGGCCATCACTCCTGAGCTAAGCAGGGAAACCAGAACAAACAGTGACTTGCAATCAGGAAAAAATTTCCTCAGGATAGAGAACATGACAGAATAAAATAAAAAAAAATTATACTTGCATGTATAATTTAAAATCTGTATCAACATCTCTACTTCTTTAAATAGTAATTAAAATGTTTTGAATTCTTCTTGGCTAATGCATGTATTCAGAATATAAAATAGATAAGCTTTGAAAGAAGACATGTGTTTAAAAATAGAAAAGCAAGATTAAGGCAGGAGGTCCCTCCTTGTGCTCTGGTTTAACACAGTTGCAAGGGAAAGAAGTGCTGACATTTGAAAGCTGCAGGGATCTTAGTTCTGGAAAAGCAGACACTGGGTCTTACTAGCAATGAAATTTAATACCCAGATCTTAACAGGTGGACAGGCTAAATCTGTGATATACTATTTAAACTTTTGTGTTTAATGCAGGAACTGGAATAGTGTGCACCATCAAATACTCTGTAAATGTTCACCATCATTGTTATTGGCCATTTTAAATGTGTTTTAGACCCTAATCTGCCTCTCAGCCTTCCCTTTGCACCATTATTTCTCTTACTCTCAGTGCGCTGTCCACATTACTCTTCAATCAGTTCTTCCAATAAACTATAACATTTTTCAACTTTAGAACCTTCTTTCATGATTCTTTCCCTACCCAGAAATCTGCTTTCTTTACTCAACTAACATTTTCTCATACTTAAGATTTTATCCCACATTTTTATTTCTTTGCACAAGCTTTCCTGAGACAAAAAAAGAAAAAAAAAGATATTTAGAATGGACAGAGAGAAGATGCAGTCCCCAGACTGAAGGGGAAGGAAGCTTGGGACCCTGCATAGGGTCACTGAACACCAGGACTCATTCCTGGCCCATAGCAGCTTCTAGGGAAGGGCTGAGTAAAACAGGCATGTAATGGTGCACTCTCACCATGAACCTCCAGAATCCTAGCAACAGGAGATCCCATGACCCCCACAGACACCTGAGCTAGCAAGGAGAACTGCCTGGAGAATTGACAGATAAATAACTTCAGCCTGTGCAGAGCCCAGAAGGTTTGGTGTGGGAACAGCTGCAGTGGAGCACAGCCATGTGTGTTCAACCCCCAAAGCTCACCATACTCTAAGGGGCTTTAGACTTTGTTAGCTACCAGGCTTGGACAGAGCAGAGCTGTCTTACCTGTGAGACAGGAATAGTCTTATCTGAGCACTTGCCTGTCTGCCAGCCTCTCGCAGAGTCCCTGCTTGGCTGCACCCATGCAGTACAGCCTCAGCTTGCCAGTGGCCGCCACCAGAGCTCTTTTGCCAGCAGACCCCACCTACCCATCAGAGCACTTTGCAGATGGACCTCCACCAGTGTGCACTCCCTCACAGTCTCCCCACACTGCCCCACTGGAATGCATACATGTGGGTTCTCTCTGCCACCCTGCTAGCATGCATCCATTCACAGACCCATCTCCAGCACACTGCTGGCACACACATGCACAGGGTCCCACCGCCACCTCACTAGAGATTTTGCTGGCAGCCCCTGTTGGAGTGTTGTTGCTAGTGTGCTGGGAACACCTTGGCCCCTCCAGTGCAGCACATACTAAACTCAAGGGCCCAGAAAACAAAGTCACAGGCCTGATCCCAGCTGCCAAGATTAGAGCATACAGCCGAGGAGTGCTGAGCTAAGCCTTGGCCACCTGAAAGGATCAGAAATAAAGCCAATTGACTAAACCCAATTTATAACACAGTCAAACTCTCATGTGCATAAAAAATATATATAAAAGCAAAAAGTTCCATCCAGAAGACAGCAACCTCAAAGATTAAAGGAACATCAGCCCACAGAGATGAGAAAGAACCAGCCCAAGAACATGGGAATGCTGTAAAAGCCAGAGTGTCCTCTTGCCTCCAAATGACCACACTTGCTCCCCAGGAAAGTTTCTTAACCAGACTGAAATGATTGAAACGACAGACATAGAATTCAGAATATGGATGGCAAGGTAGCTCATCCAGATACAGGAGAGGGTTGAAACCCAATCCAAGGAAAAGAGTAAAATGGTCAAAGAGTTGAAATATGACAAAGGCATTTTAAGAAAGAACCAAACTGAACTTCTGGAAATAAAAAATTAACTACAGGAATTTTAGAATACAATTGGAAGCATTAGTAACAGAATAGACCAAACTGAGCAAAGAATCTCAGAGCTCAAAGATAATTCCTTCAAGTCAATGCAGGCAGACAAAAATAAAGAAAAAAGAATTTTTTAAAAATGAACAAAATTGCTGAGAAATAAAGGATTATGTAAAGAGAACAAACCAATGACTGTCATTTCTGAAAGAGACAGAGAGAGAACAAGCAACGTGGAAGGCATATTTGAGAATATTGTCCATGAAAATTTCCACAACTTCACTAGACAGGTCAACATGCAAATTCAGGAAATTCAGAGAACCCCTGTGAGATACTATTCAAGATGACTAGCCCCAAGACACATACTCATCAGTTTATTCAAGGTCAACACAAAAGAAAAAATCTTAAAGGCAGCTAGAAAGAAGGGGCAGGTCACATACAAAGGAAACCCCATCAGGCTAACAGCAGACCTTTAAGTAGAAACTTTACAAGCCAGAAGAGATTCGGAGCCTATATTCGGCATCCTTAAAGAAAAAAATGTGAATGAAGAATTTTATATTCAGCCAAAATAAGCTTCATAAGAAAAACAGAAATAAAATCATTTTCAGACAAGTAAATGCTAATTGAATTTATTACCACTAGACCTGCCTCATAAGAGGTCATCAAGAGAGTGCTAAACATAGAAATGAGAGATCATTAGTGGCCACAACAAAAACACACTTAAGCACATAGCCCACTGACACTATAAAGCAACTATACAATCAAGTCTGTATAAGAACTAGCTAAAAAAACAATAACAGGATCAAATCCTCACATATCAATATTAACCTTGAATGTAAACTGGCTAAGTATCCCAATTAGAAGACATAGAGTGACAAGTTGGATATAGAAGCAAGATTCAACTGTATGCTGTCTTCAAGAAACCCATCTCACCTGAAATGGTATCCATAAGCTCAAAGTAAAGGGATGGAGAAAGGTCTAATGAAAAACAAAACAGAGCAGAGATTGCTATTTTTACTTCAGACAAAACAGACTTTAACAACAATGAAAAAGGACAAAAAATGGCATTACATAATGATAAAAGGTTCAATTCAACAAGAACACTTCACTATTCTAAACATATATGCACCCAAACTGAAGCACTCAGATTCATAAAACAGGTTCTTAGAGACCTAAGAAGAGGCTTAGACAGCCACAGAATAATAGTGGGAGACTTTGGCATCCTATTGACCATCTTAGACATTATTAGTCTAATAATAATAATAATTAGTTTAATAATATTAGTCTAATAACAGACATATTAGCAGAATATAGGCAGAAAACCAACAAAGATATTCTAGAACTTAACTTGACACTTGACGAAACAGACTAACAGATATCTATAGAATACCATGCCTAACAAGATAATATACATTCTTCTCATCTGCACATGGCACATACTCTTAGGATTGACCACACACGAGGCCATAAAGCAATTATGAATGAATTTTTAAAAAACACACAATCATACCTACCACATTCTTGAATGACAATGCAATAAAAATAGAAATCAACACCGAGAAGAGCTCTCAAAACCATACAATTACAAGGAAATTAAACAATGTGCTCCTGAATGACTTTAGGGTAAAGAATGAAATTAAGGCAGAAGTAAAAAAAATTCTTTGAAACTGATGAAAACGAAGGTACAACATACCAGAATCTCTGAGACATAGCTAAAGCCGTGTTAAGAGGAAAGTTTATAGTGCTAAATGCCTACATCAAGAAGATTGAATGATTTTTAAATTAATAATCTAACATTATATATAGAGGAACTAGTAAAACAAGAGCCAGCCAGCTCCAAAGCTAGCAGAAGAAAAAAATAACCAAAATCAGAGCTATACTGAACAAAACTGAGCATGAAAATCCATGCAAAAGATCAACGAAACCAAAAGTTTTTTTTGAAAGAATAAATAACATTGAGAGATTACTAGCTAGATTAATAAAGAAAAAAAGAAAGAAGATCCAAATAAACACAATCAGAAATGACAAAGGTGACATTACTAATAACCCCACAGAAATACAAAAAACCCCCAGAGACTATTATGAACATCTCTATGCACGCAAACTAGAAAAGTAGAAAACCTAGGTGAAATGGCTAAATTCGTGGACACATACAACCTCCCAAGATTGATCTAGTAGGAAATTTAAATCCTGAATAGACTAATGATGAGTTCCAAAATTGAATCAGTAATAAAAAGAAAAAACCTACTGACCAAACAATGTCCTGGACCAGCTGGATTCACAGCTGAATTTTACCACATGTATGAAGAAGAGCTGGTACCAATCCTCCTAAAACTATTCCAAAAAATCAAGGAGAAGGGGCTTCTCCCTAACTCATTCTTTATGGCCAACATCATTCTGATACCAAAACCTGGCAGACAGACAACAAAACAGGGAAACTTCAGGCCCATATCCCTAATGAACATAGACACAAATATCCTCAATAAGTACTAGTGAATCAAAACCAGCAGCCCATCAAAGAGCTAATCAACTATGATCAAGTAGGCTTTATTCCTGGAGTGCAAGTTTGGTTCTCCATATGCAAATCATTAAATGTGACTCATCACATAAACAGAACTAAAAACAAAAGCTACATGATCACCTCGATAGATGCAGAAAAGCTTTTTAATAAAATCCAATATCCCTTCTATATTAGTTCATTCTTGCTTTGCTATAGCAAATATCTGAGACTGGGTAACTTGTAAAAAAAAAAAGGAGGTTTAATTGGCTCACAGTTCTGCATGCTGTATAGAAAACATGATGCTGGCTTCTACTTGGCCTGTGGGGAAGCCTCAGGAAACTTAACAATCATGGCAGACTGCGAAGTTGGAGCAGGTATAACACATGGTCAGAGCAGGAGCAATAGAGCAAATGGGGAGGTGCTACACACTTTTAAATAACCATATCTTATAAGAACTCACTCACTATCACCAGGACAGTACCAAGGGGGACGGTGCTAAACCATGAGCAATCCACCCCCGTGATCCAATCCCCTCCAACATTGGGGATTGCATTTTAAAATGAGATTTGAAGGGGAAAAAAACATCCAAACTATATCACTTTTATGTTAAAACCCTGAAAAAACTAGCCATCAAAAAAACACACCTTAAAATAATAAGGGTCATCTATGGCACACCCCCAGCCAGCAACATACTGAGTGGGCAAAAGCTGGAAGCATTCTTCCTGAAATCTGGAACAAGGTAAGAATGCCCACTCTCACCACTCCTATTTAACATAGTACTGAAAGTCCTAGCCAGAGCAATCAGGTAAGAGAAAGAAATAAAAGACATCTAAATAGGAAGAAAGTAACTCAAACTACCTCTCTTTGCAGATTATATGATTCTATACATAGAAAATCCTATAGTCTCTGCCCAAAGGCTCCTTGAACTGATAAGCAACTTCAGTAAAGTTTCAGGACACAAAAATCAATGTATAAAAATGAATTGTATCTCTATATGTCAATAATGTCCAACCTGAGAACCAAATCAAGAATGCAATTCCATTCACAATAGTCACTAAGAGAATAAAATATCTAGAAATACAGCTAACCAGGGATATGAATGACTGCTACAAGAATTCCAAAACACTACTTAAAGAAATCAGAGATGAAACAAACAAATGAAAAAAAGTTCCAAGCTCATAGATGGGAAGAAATAATATAATTAAAATGGCAATACTGCCCAAAGCAATCTACAGATTCGATGCTATTCCTATCAAATTACAAATGTCATTCTTCACAGAACCAGGAAAAAAACTAATCTAAAATTCATATGGAACCAAAAACAAAAACAAAAACAAAAACAAAAACCTGAATAGCCCAAGCAATCCTAAGCAAATAGAACAAATCTGGAGACATCATACTACCTGACTTCAAACTATGCTGTAAGGTAACCGAAACAGCATGGTACTGGTACAAAAACAGACACATAGACCAATGGAGCATAATAGAGAACCCCAAAATAAAGTCACACACCTTCAACCATCTAATCTTCAACAAAGTCAACCATAACTAACAATGGGGAAAGGACTCCCTGTTCAACAAAGAGATGTCCCTATTCAACACTGCATGTTCTTATTTATAAGTGAGAGCTAAATGTTGAATACACATGTACTCAAAGAAGGGAAAAAATAGACACTGGAGCCTATCTGCGGGCAGAGAGTGGGAGGAGGGTGACGATAGTAAAACTACCTATCAAATATTATGCTCACAATCTGGTTGACAAAATCTTTTGTACACCAAACCCCAGCAACATGCAATTTACCCATGTGACAAACCTGCACATGTACCCCCTGAATGTAAAATAAAAGTTAAAGAATAAAAAATAAATAAATACAAATGACCCCTTTCATCAGGGTTGTGCAACCATCCTGCAGCTGCTGTGAGTGATGACTGCTACATGCTCAGAGACACCCCCTTCTCCAAGGAATTGACCTCAACTAGTGGTTCTCAAATTTTATAATGAATCAGAATCACCTGGGGGGCTTGTTAACCCTCATAGATCTGGACCCCATTCTCAGAGTTTCTCATTCAGTACGTCTGGGGAGATTTCTGAGAACTAGCATTTATAACAAATTCCTAGGTGCTATTGATTCTGCTAGTCTATGGGTCACTTCTTGAGAACCACTCTCCTAGACCAAGCTAAATCCTCCTGACCTAGAGGTCACAGCAACCCCTTTCCATCCCTCCTCTCCATGGAGGATTATACCTGACTGACAGAGGGCAAAAGGATAATTCCCTTACTAAGAGTGAGATCAACTCTGTGGAGCAATGCATGCTTCAGAGCTCCCCATGGTGTCTGGCTGAGGTTAGACCCCACCTGAGACCACAGGCTTGCTCAGCCCCTCCTGTTTCCCTCGCTGCCCTTCTCCAAGGAGAACCATCTTCAATAAACCATGTCTCAGCCTTCACTTCAGAGTAACTCAGCCAAAGACACACACACACACACACACACACACACACACACACACACAGTGGAAATACAGGAAAGAACAAAGAGCAAAGTTATCAACTTTCCCTAGACAGACAGGAATATGAATTTCCTCAAAGGAGGATTTGAAGGAGCTTTCTAGAATGAAGAAAGCCTATTTTCCCTTGAAGTCATGAGCACAGAAAGATGTATCCTGTAAAAATCTTAAAAGTTTATCAGCATCATTTTTAACAAGCCTCGGAAGCCCAGTTGTACCTGAGGCCTGCGAGTACTTGGAATTGCTCTATCTCTAAGGTGCTAGGCTGTCATTTCATCTAATGAGACAATCTGTATTTTCTAGGACTTTACACAGTAAGACTCTATAAATTCTGCATCAGGCAGACTGTGGAGCCATCTCTTAATGGCCCCAACAACTACCATTCCACTGTCTGGAATCTTCCAATATGAGATAATGTTGATAAACTGTACAGCTTTCTGCCAGCAATAAAACCAGAGAGCAAACAGAGTTTAAAGGCTGCAAGTAATTTCATTGCAGGCAAGGCCAGAGGACAGAGAATGGAAAGAATGAAGAGGTCTCAGTGGCCTGTTTCTAGAAATGGGCTATGGGGTACCACATGCCCAACTCTCTTCAATCAGTGTCATCTTTGTAAATCAGAATTAATGGGCTCACCTCTCTTTCTCGAGCAGGTGGCAGTGCCCTCCTTTGTGGGCTGACATGCCTAGAGTAGAGGCTGATGCCATCTGGACTGCTGCCAGGTAATCACATTGTTGCTGAGATTGGACCACAAGGCAATTAGCAGGGCTCTCCACAGTAGCTTTGTGTATGCCACAGCCCTCCTCATCAGTCCCTTCCTCATGCCTGACATGACAATATGCACTTGGCTACAATAATAATGAAGGGATGCAATGGACCAGTCCATCTGGTATGTTAGTAAAAATAAGACCAAGAAGGTCTCTGAATAGGTAACGGCACCAGTCAAAAGTAAAATGATAGTACTTGATGTCCAACGTCTAATTGAATATATTTCTAGATTTACACATTTTTAACAATAGGGGGCGTCAGGTCTCTATGTTGTCTGTGGTATTTATTGTGCTTCTTAAAACCCTGATTCCTTTCTGGCTTCATCACGTAGTTCCACAAGTGAAATTTGCACATGGGTGCTGTTACCAATACCTTTTATTGTCCTTGAGTAAGGTAAATAAAGACAAATCTGGCTGACAAAACCACAGGAGATTTCATGTATAGTATAGTTTCCTCAACACTGTAAGAGCAAGCACATGAAGGATCCCGGTTTATCTTTTAATAATAATTCTGAACAAGCTTATAACAAGAAAAGGAAATGCTCTTCCCACCTCAATTTTATTATTTATTTCTGAAAATAAGAAAATCCTTCATAGTCTGCATTACATTGGGAGAAGGGAATTTTATCTGAAAGTTGATGCAACCCAACTTTCTATTGCGGCTTTTCATCTCAAAGATATTTGCCTGCAGGAGCTTCCTGTTTCTCATCTTCCAAATGCAACATCTATAGCGCCAAATATTTAAATTATATTAATCTTACTTGTACATTGACTGAGAGAGAAATAATTCGAGGCAGTGGAAGCATGTTATTGCTGGATATGAAATGTGGAATGGAACATGCTTTCACTATTAAGTCCTGGAGCCTTTTGACTGATACTTGAATATTGAACTCAGAAAATTCTCAGAAAACATGCAAGAAGGGATAAGAGGCCCATCTAGAAGAAAGTTCCATATTTAACATGTTAGCAGCCTATTTGAAATATAATCTTGGGTAAAGATGCATAACATGTAAAACCTCACTGTCTGCCCATTTTTACACTATTATGTAAATGGCTGATACTTCTTTAAAGAATGAAAACTTTAATACAGTGGAATCAAACTATAATACTGGCCCCATCAAAGGAGGAAGCATTAGTTTACTGGAGTCCTATTTCAAAAAATTCAATTAAAGTCTTTGGCCAAAACAGTTAAGCCCAAAGACAATTTAGTGACCACGAGGAAAAACAGAAGCTGTTCTTCTTAAAAGTTAGTTATTTTTCCCTCCCCACCCTCCTTTTCAAAATCAAACTCCAATTATTTTTTCCTGTAGTTTTTATCTGGCAGGACAGAGACCTCAGAGGTGGAATGACAAGGCCACACTGCTTTCTGGCACACCTAGGTAGGTGAGCAAAGCAGTCTGAACATTCACCTCCTGGGATGAGTGATGAAGTGATGAGTCAAAGTCTTCTCTTTGGAGTGACTTCATTCCCTCAGGTTTGGGTTCTCTGACCTATGAATCCCACAGTGGAAAAAATCAGCTGTCACCACCAACTCTTGACCCGGCTTTCCCCATGCATTTTTTTCTACTTTCTGGATCATTGTATTCAAGTGTTTTTTCTTAATATTACATATCATTTTCTCACAGGCAATCTCTCAGCGCACTAAACATCACTAAAATGTTTATTACAGTAACTTTTCTATCACCATTTTAGGCAGTTTATAGAGGATGACTTGTGCTTTATGTACACTATAAATGTTATATATTTGCTATGAACCCAACAAATTACATTCTAATTTCAAATGTTTACACACAGCAATCCAGAATGTTAAACAATAATTTTCTGCCCTTTGAACAGGAAGTAGAGTCATTATAAAAAGTCTCATCTAAATGGAAAGGATAGGCTTCTGGAATGTTAAAGATTTTGTGTGAGTAATCTCTGAAACAAGTGATGGTTGTAAATGTCATGTAAAAGAATATTCAGCTTGCTTTTGGAAGTCCATTTTGGTTATTTTCTCTAAATATTTTTCATGCTATTTTGTTTTATAAAAGAGTGCCTTTTCAGAAGTGGCTCTTTGCTGAACGAGGAGCATCCCTTCCCCTTTCTGTTAATGGAAGATTTTGCCATCAGCTTGGAAACAGCCAAGCATGTGGTGATTTGTGTCGGGCAAGGTAAATGTTTCTCATCCACATCCCTTCCTAACTTCTGAGTGGGTCTAGGTGAAAAGGACCTGCCATTGTTTTCACCATTTGCAAGGTTCTCTTTATTGGAAAATAGAGAGCTGGTAGAATTTGTGTTGGGGGCGATTCTTCTTTTTGAGAGGATGATAGCATGACTAAAATTATGGAAGCATAAAAGCTGCAGGTTTTCTATAATGGGCACTGCTCAGTATTATTAATAACCATGCACAAGGCACTTTTATGTTGGCAAGTGGCTTCAATCATTTTTATCACGTAATAGCTGCAGAGGTTCAGTGAGCTCTTCAATCTCTTCACAAGATTGGGTCCCAGTAACTTGTAGAGTTTTAAGGCTGGGAGGAAATTCCCAAGACTTATTCAAGAAATATTCTTGAATTATTAATTTAAGAAATATTTTATATGTAAATACATACACATATGCAAGCACACACACACACACACACATGCATGCATCAGTGTATATCCTAGGGATATGACAATGAGATAAACACAGGCCCTGAATTATCTCATTTAATCTTTACCATAATCCCATGAGAAAGACTCTATTATAATAGCCTTTTCAAAGATGAAGAAAATGAGATTTGGAAAAGTTAAGGGATTTATCACTACGATAATAAGTGGCAGAACCTGGACTCAAATCTAAGTGTCTGATTTTAAACCTCACACTCTTTAGGTGAATATATTTGACAAGAGACCACATGTCAGAGTCAGGAGGAGGCTCTGTGCTCTTCCAGATGATCCCTTACCCAGAGACCCAGAGTCAGTACTAGTGATGGAAGTGGAAGCCAGCCTTTTGCAAACATCTGCTAGAGATGAGGTTTCCATGGTCCGCTCTCCAGTGCCTCCCTGCCACCACACATCCTCAGCCAGGCAGACACTACGTGTTCCAGAAAATAAAAACCAAAGGATGGGAAATAAGTCAATACAGATTGAAATCATTAAATTAGAAAACTAAAAATAATTTTTTAAAAAGTGATTAAGAGCTACTTTTGGGAAACACTAATAAACAAATTTCTGACAATGTTGAAGAAATACAAATTATTATGAGAGAAATGAGATAGAGACATTTGTTCAGAGGAGATTAAGAAGCTAATTATTCTTTAAAAGCTATGTATAGTAAACTGATACATTTAAACAGTTTTGTTGAAATAGTTGATATCTGGGCTAATACAAATTAAATATAAAGAAAGTCAAAAGAGATAGAGAGCCTTGAAAGCAAACACACGTGGAAGAAAGAGGAAAAAGTTTTCAAAGAATTAAGGATTCAAGAGGCATTAGGCTCTACTGCTTTACTGGCAAATTTTATTAAGCCTTTAAAATATAAAACATTCTTAATTTTTTTGTTTCTTTGAGTGTCTGTGTGTGTGTGTTTACACACCTATTGAATGCCTATTACTTGCCACAAGTAGTGACATGATAGTGTGTGCTCACATTAAATATGATAGTGCGTGCTATCATATTTAATACGATTTTATGAGGGAGGTACTGTTGTTATTTTTTTTCCTACAGATGGGAAATAAGTTTGTTAAGTTACACAACCAAGATGAGACAGTAAATAGTGTAACTGAATTTCTAACCCACATCTGTCATATGTAAGAGCCTAGATTCTTAACCATTACCTTAAGTTACTTCCTGAACTCAAATTGTAACAGAGTACAAAATTTTTTAAAATAAGTGAAGTATTGATGCAATAGTACTTTACCAATATGCATCCCTAAAGAAAAAATATTTAGACCATTCTCATTTTTAAATGTTGAAACAACAAATGTCTTAAATAAAATATTAGTATATCAATTATAGCAGCATGAAAAATATGCCATGACCAGTATGTTTATGTTATCAATAGCAGGATATATATTACCTTAATAAGTAAAAGGAGAAAAAATATATATAAATTCTACTAATCAGTGTCAGAAAAAGTTATTTATTTTATTTTATTTATTTTTTTCTTTTTGAGAGGGAGTCTCGCTCCCTCACCCAGGCTGGAGTGCAGTGGCGCGATCTCGGCTCACTGCAAGCTCCACCTCCCGGGTTCACGCCATTCTCCTGCCTCAGCCTCCGGAGTAGCTGGGACTACAGGCGCCTGCCACCACGCCTGGCTAATTTATTTTATTTCTTTGTATTTTTAGTAGAGACGGGGTTTCACCGTGTTAGCCAGGATGGTCTCTATCTGTTGACCTCGTGATCCCCCCGCCTCGGCCTCCCAAAGTGCTGGGATTACAGGCGTGAGCCACCGCGCCCGGCCAGAAAAAGTTATTTATATAATTTAACTTTTATTCTGATTTAAAAATAATCCTAATATTAAAGGAATTTTCATTAAAGGTCAGAACAGAAAAGAATGTACACTCTCTCAAGCATTATTTATATTGTTTTAGAAATTCCTGTCAATGCAATAAAATTTTTAAAAAGATATTTAGGTATTTGAAAGTTGCAGTGGAATTTGTTATAATTACCCACAGATCCTCCATGTGAAAAATCCAAGAGAACCAAGGTAACAATGATCAAAAATTTAAAGAACAATTCACTAAGTGGGATGAATAAAAAGAACTATTAAAAGAATTCTATATCTGCCTGTGCTCATTATCCAAATTTATATTGAGGTCATTTTATCATCAATTTTATAGCACTCTTTGAATATTAATTTTAGTTTTATAGGTCTTTTTATGGTATCTTTTGCCAATCTTTAAGAATCTTGGTTTATATCCCTTTTTGTTTTGTGTTTGATTAGATTGTCCCATGCTAAAAGACCTCCTCAAGACCCTGGCTATTTTAAATGGACTTTGAAATAAATAATAACTATATGCCCAATAGCTATTGGGCAACTCCTCTTTCTGAACATATAATAGATACCATTAATAAGTTGTGGCATCTCTTCCCTAGTCCAGATGTTGTCTACAAATCTTTCTCAATAGAACTACTGCTGACTGATTAACACTGACTTATGAAATATAAATGAATATTTCTCCCCAGTCTAGGAACTTTGCAGCAACCCACCCAGTAGATTTCCACCTGGGGAAGGGCAATCTCCCAACATTCTCTACAAACACTAACTTGCTACAAACTCAACTTTGTTGATTCTTCTTAGAAAGGTCAAGGGCTCTAATATGCAACCTCTTAGAGGTAAGTCCTTTTGCACATGGGATTACCAGAGGTTGTGACAAATTTATTCAAAGGGAATACCATACTTCACTTCTGAAATATCTGTAACCTATAGCCTTAGAATGAAAAGCTTGACAGTTCTTTTATACCTAAACTGTCAAAGCAGTCACTGCACCAAATGTCTGTAGTTCACAAACAGTCATTTTTAGCTGGCAGCAATGTTAAGAGCTCAACCATTTGGGAAGGTCCAAAGTTGATTAAAGGCAATTTTTTTGATAGTTTAACCAGTTATTCTGTTCGATTAGAGACAATTTTTTTAAAAATACCATTTGAAAAAAAGGTATAGAATTTTATGCATACTATGCTGAAGTTGGTGTCATTATACAAGAAAGTAGTCTGATTATGATGACACTACATTCATGATTCAGAAAATAAAGAAAATAATTTATTCTATGTCTCAGAAAATACACATTAAACAACTGATGTTTTCAAAGAATTATATAAGGCACTGCAGAGTTAAAAATATATTAAAGATAAAATAGGCATAGATATGTCAACACACACTGTTAATTTTCTGGAAGAATAAATAAACATTCAAAATTGAAGCATGGGAATTACTGATTTAAATCCTATGGGATACTTTCATTTGCACAAGGAGATATGAACTCATGAGTGCTGAGTGATCTGACCCTGCCTTCCTTTCTACATTGATGCCTGTCTATTGGTTCACTCAAGGTATTTTGACCTGAGGGCTCCACTGCAAAACCCTACTGGATACCATTCCCATAGACAACTGCACAGTTTTATACCACGTCCTTGAATGATCTTGTTTTGGTTCTTGGAAAACACAGTCTTTCTACATTTCAAAATCGATGCATACGCTTTTCCTTATGCTTAGGACATTGTTCTTCCACACTCCCATTCTTTACTTGGCTAATTTCTGTTCATCCTGATGTCTTAGCTGACATTTGCCTTCTTTGGCAAAGCCACATCAGAACCAATCCCCTCACTCATTATGACCTTTCTTTATTGTCTCATCGTATTATGTGCTTGTCTTCATAGCGCTAGTTAAAATGTTTACATATTTATTTTGAGTTTTCATAACTAAATTGTATGTTTTTTGAGAGCAAAGATCATGTTTATTTTTTTTATATACCAGGTGTTCAGCAAAGTCCTTGTCATTTGGTAGGCCTAAACTTAAATTGGAAAAGATTTCATGAATTTGGTGAGAACCGAGGTAGAAGCACAAGGAATATCTGGACCGTGAAATGTACTCAAACTGATAGAACAAGAACTCTGGAGCCTAATAGCTATAAATTTAAGTAAGTTTTAAGAATTAGACAAGTCATTTAAATGAGCCACAGTTGTTTCGTATGTGAAATAGAGGCTATCATATGTGATAAAGTCAATGTGATAACATTTGGAAACCTTATTCAATTCCTGGAACAAAGCAGGTAGTCAATACACAATATATGATAGCTATTATTATGTAGATATTATAGGGCTTTCTAGACCAACTAGACAGACTAAATCTAGGAATAAGGTGGCAAAGTGAAGGGCATGAAAGGGGAGCTGAGGATTTGGATTTGAATGGAACTGGAGTTGGCCAAAAGGAAGGAGAAAGAAGTATGCTTTGAAAAAACTGTATTCAGGCTACTGATTGGGAGAATGAAATGATCAGAGTAAGGTTTCAGGAGTGTTGATTTGGAAGCTCTGCTAGGAGTGAGCTTAAAGCAGGGAGAAACTGCTTCAAGTTGCTATGGCAGTAGTGGAGGAAAGACTCCTAGTGGCACTAATGTGTGGGAATTCAGAGAAGAGAGGGCATTTGGAAAGAGTTTGCTGGAATACAATTTACTGTGCAATTTTTAAAAAACTAAACAGACCTGAGAGCCTAAAGGCAAGCTGGGCCCATCCCCAGAGCTAAAATATACTGCAATGATTTGATAAACTTAATTAAAATACATTAAAAACTTAAGGGCAATTTTTTGATGACTCTATTTTCTGAAAGATATGCAAAAATGATGTGCATAGGCCAGGTGCGGTGGCTCACGCCTATAATCCCAGCACTTTGGGAGGCCGAGGTGGGCGGATCACCTGAGGTCAGGAGTTCGAGACCAGCCTAGCCAACATGGTGAACCCCGTCTCTACTAAAAAATACAAAAATTAGCCAGGCATGATGATGGGTGCCTGTAATCTCAGCTACTCAGGAGGCTGTGGTGGGAGAATCACTAGAACCCAGTCAGTGGAGGTTACAGTGAGCCGAGATGCACCATTGCACTCCAGCCTGAGTGAAAAGAGTGAAACTCAAAAAAAAAAAAAAAAAAAAAGATGTATGATATGTGTATTAGACAACTAGTGGTGATATTCAGATATTTTCATATATTTTAGATAAATAGAGCATTCTTCCTGATGAAAGCAGCAATTGGGGTAAGTAAAAAAGAATGCGAGATATCTATGTATGCATGTATCCACATAATGCTACCTATCTCCTTCATATAGATTTCTATTTAAATGTCCATATATCTGTAAATGTATTACTGTTTCTATATGTATTTTATCTCTCTTTTCCTATATATTTTTACAATTGTTCTTAGAGTTTAATTATTACGGTCTATAGCACAAATTTGACAGTGCTTTTGGAAAATGCTTTTATATTTGTCTGCATATATTAGATTCTTAAAAATCTGATGATACATTCTCTAAGATGGGACCCATAGCTGAAATACCATTCGATTTTAACCATAGCACCACACCCGGCACATATGCTCAGTTAAATAAGTGAATACGTATCTGTTGAACAAATAAATCAAGTAGTAAATAAAATTTTGATCCTTTAATCCCAATTATAAGAAATTATTATAAATGAGTAATCTAAAATATAGGGAAGAAAACCTTAGAATTTTAAAACTTTACAAGACTTTAATACTAATTTATAAGAATTATAACTTGGTAAAAAGCTTATAAACATTACCATAAATTAATGGTTAGGAAAATAACGGCATGTTCACTCAATTGAAAATAATGTAACATCTATAAATAATATCTATAAAGAGTGTGTACTAACAAATGTTAAAATGTTAAGAAAAAAGGAATGTACAAAATTTTATATTCAGAATGAGTATAAGTGAAACAAACTAAAAGAAAAGTAACTGGTGTTTTATTCTTGTGCATGGCTTAATAATATCCCATTGTGAGGCCGGGTGCGATGGCTCATGCCTGTAATCCCAGCACTTTGGGAGGCCGAAGAAGGCAGATCACTTGAGGTCAGGAGTTTGAGACCTGCCTGGCCACAATGGTGAAACCCTGTCTCTACTAAAAATACAAAAATTAGCTGGGCGTGGTGGTGGACGCCTGTAATCCCAGCTACTGGGGAGGCTGAGGCAGGAGAATCATATGAACCCAGGAGACAGAGGTTGCAGTGAGCCTAGATCTTGCCATTGCACTCCAGCCTGGGCGACATAGTGAGACTCTGTCTCACCAAAAAAAAAAAGTCCCATTGTGTATATATAGTACTTTTTAAAATCCATTCATCCATTGATGGGTATTTAGATTGATTACATATTTTAACTATTGTGAATAGTGCAGCAGTAAACATAAGAGTGCAGATGCCTTTTTGATATATTGATTTTCTTTTTTTTTGGATATATACCCAGTAGTGAAATTGCTGGATCATATGGTAGTTCTTCTCTTAATTTTTTGAGGAACTTTCATTTGCAGCAACATACATGGAACTGTTCATTATATTAAGTGAAATAGGCCAGGCACAGAAAGATAACTATTGCATGTTCTCACTCGCATGTGGGACCTAAAAAAAAAATTAACTCAAGGAGATAGTATAATGATGGTTATCAGAGTCTGTGAAGGGTAGTGGAGAGGGGTGAATAAAGAAGGGTTACATCGTGGGTACAAAAATACAGTTAGCTAGAAGGAATATGATCTAGTGTTTGTTAGCACAATTGAGTGACTATAACTAACAATCATTTATTGTATATTTCAAAATAACTAGAGAAGTGGAATTGGAATGTCCCTACCACAAAAAAAGATAAGTAAATGTTTGAGGTGATGAAAATCTCAATTACTTGATTTGATCATCACACATTGTATGCTTGTATCAAAATATCTCATGTACCCCATAAATATGTACAACTAATATGTATGCATAAAAATTAAAGATAAAAGTTTTTAAGGCCAGGCGCGGTGGCTCATGCCTGTAATCCCAGCACTTGGGAGGCTGAGGTGAGTAGACCCTTGGGCTCAGGAGTTCAAGACCAGCCCGGGCAACATGGCAAAACCCCATCTCTACCAAAAATACAAAAAATTAGCCAGGCATGGTGGCCTGTGCCTGTAATCCCAGCTCAGGAGGCTGAGGTGGGAGAATCACTTGAGCCCCGGAGGCGGAGATTGCACCACTGCACTCCAGCCTGGGTGACAGAGTGACACTGTGTCTCAAAAAAAAAATTGAGTCAAAAAATATTAAATGGTGAAAGAAATATGGAAAGTGACCCATCTTATGTTAACAATGGTTTTCTTTAGAAGATAAGCCTAAGTACAATTAATTGTTATATTTTACACCTCTCAATTTTCCAAAACTTCAGTAGTAAGCATGAATTACTTTATTATAAAAAAGGACTTATTTAAAAATATAACATCATTACCCAAAACCAACAAATGCCTAAATATAAATCACCACCACGGAAGGGAGGGCTTGTTATTGGAGTACCTATCACAGTTCTAATTTCTGTGGGACATTCACATCAAAGTTTTGAGAGTGGTGTAGGGGAAGCCATCCTTGGGCATATAACATTGAAAAATACTGAGTTACATAAAGCTTAGGAACAATCTTTAGTGCAGTACTTTTCAAAGCATTCAATGTACTCATGTGTATTTTGCAAACTTATTTGACTATGACCACTCTGGCACCTTTTCAAGTCTTTCTCACCCTAGTCAACCTTCTGGTATGTAATAATTATAATACAAACCAAAGTCACCCTTGGTTTGAGCCCTTACTACATTTCATGTCAGATATAATGCTAAGGATTTTTATAGGCATAGTCACATTTAATACCTGAAATCATTATATTAGGTATCACTATGACCCCCATCATATAGATGAGAAAACTGAGGTTATTGACTTTGCCAGGACCCACATAGCAAGTAACAAATGCAGACCTTGAATTCAGAAACTGTGATTTTGTACAGTACCAGATCTTGCTTCTGATGATATTATTCTATTCAAGATCCACTAATATCATTATCATTAAAAAATATTCTAGATGAAGATTCCAAAACTGCTTTTTTTTTTTCCTGTTTCTGCGAACCTAGACTGCTGAAATCTACAAAAGAACAAAATTTGTGACTTTCATTAACATTAATGCCAGGTTATAACTTTAATCTTCAAAACAAATGTTTAAGCTAAAAAGTATTTTTGACATTTTAATTTACTATCTGTTTTGAGGCAGAAAATGATTTAAATACCTTTGGAGATAATGTGATTTGTGCTTTGGATAGGAAATGCAATATCAGTCATTTAAACATTTTCCTATAGCTCTTTTCTCGATGTTTGTTGCCAGGATGAAATGAATAAATGAAAGTAAAATCTAAATATATGAATAATAGCTCTTATGCCATAGTAAAAGACACCTGGTCATATATGGGAGAAATGAAAGGTGGTTTTACCCTTCCAGCTCTGAATGGTTGTTATTTCTATGACATCTCACTTTACAGGTGTGCATGTCCTTAATCTGTGACTTGTTGTAGTTTAGCATAGTAGCATGGCAAATTGAAAAAAAAAAATCTCCCATTTAAAGGAAGGTTTAAGTCTTTTAAACAGTTGTTTTGAACAGTTGCATGGCTACAAAGAGAAAGCCGCAGTTGGTGCCTTCAACCTCTTAGTGAAAGGAATTTATCTGAAACCAGAAGAAAGCGATGGTACAATGGAAACTACTCTACTGAAGACTGCAGTCCTCCCGCAATTCAGATGTGAGAAAACCTGACTTAAGTAGTTTTCTGCAAATATTCTCTTCACAAAATCCCAACTTGAGTTATGTAATCCAATTCCGTTAGAATTTAAGGTTAACCATATTCTCAGAGGCAGTGAGGGGGAGAGGGAGAGTTTTGCACAGACTTGGAGCAGGTAGACCCAGGCCGCCCCTGTTCCATGGATTTGAACAGCTCTCAAAGCTTCTGTTTCTTCATCTGCATGGTGTAGGATTTATGTAATCTAGGTCTAATATGATTGTATGTCTGAAGTGAGTGGCACAGTGTTTGTTCTACAGTAAATGATAGTGCTTCTGGTGCCTCATAAATGCCTCTAACTCTCCACGCTGTGGGGATGGGTTGTGAGGGCGATGTAGGGAATAGCTGACAGCTGGGTTGTCAGTTCTTCCAGAGGAAAGCTCGGCATCCTATATAATCTGGATTACTCTCAAGGCACAGCAGGACTTAATCATGGGATGGAGGCGCCCTTATTAGGGTTATAAATAATGGGAAAAAAAGGAAAAAGGAAGGGACATAATGTGGTAAGGGGATCACAAACAGATGAGATAATAAAATAGGAGACAGGGAAGGAGATGGGGTGAGAAAGAAGGAAGGAATATGGTAAACCAGCCAGGACAAGCCAAGGAAACCGGCATTACCAGAAGTGGGATTGTAACTTTCTGTGACACACACAGCAGAATGCCCACCAGAGGTTTCCTGTCCTCTGTCAGACTTCAGTAGCCGGTGTTCTTTTCATCTCACCTTTGGTAATTAATGGACATTGGTTATTATTAATGGGCACTATCAATTAGTGGACATTATTAGTAAAAGTTCAGGGAAGTTTTTTTTTTCCCTTCCTGCCAGGTCCCCAATAAATATATTGGTTTCATAAGGGAGAGTATGATAGGTTCAGAAATTCAAGAGGCAGAATTCATTCACAAAGTATTTTCAACATAATTTATTTCTCTACACGGGATAACATGAAATAAAAATCAGATATTCTCCTGCAAGTTTTTGAGCCCTTTCCTGGTGAGGTCATAATCTTTAAAGTTTTTCAAAAGTGAGAGCAAAAAACCCTTGAAACCCCATACCCCCATAGGAAGAATAGACCCCAAACGAAAGGGTCCATCCACAGGAACATGAGCTTCATGCTGGGTCTCCTTCTCAAGTCAGTGAATCTCCCTTTTTTTTAACATAAAAATGATTGACAGGAATGGCATTCAAAAAAAATCATTTTCTCCCTTATTTGCATCACTGAAAGTGGATTTTATTCCTTTTATTCTGCATCAGAAAATATTACACGGTACTAAACACAAAGTCTGTCAATTTTTTTGAACAATTGAAAAATATATTCTCTTTCCTTTCTAAAAACTCATAATGTATCTTCCAGGCATGGAACCAACTGGGCCCTATATCATGCTCTTCTATTAACAGTTTAAAATATATATGTTCATAGATAAAAGAAGCAGTATCAACACAAGGAACAAATTATTAATAGGTGGTGTACACATTTTTAAAATTTCATTTAAGCTCAGAATGTAAATAACAAACGGTTATTAATAATATAAATATCAGACTCTGAGGCAAGCAGTCTGGATTCATGTGAGTTGCCATATATGTGCTATGTGACCTTAGGCAAATCATTTAACCTCCTTGTGCCTCATCTTTTCAGGGTTATATGGAATATATATGTGAGTTTTAAAAGATTAAAAAACTATGTAAAATATTTGACTATTAATAGCTTGGCTATTTCTTAAAATAAATAAATGTGGATATCAAATTTCTCTATTTATTGAAGACATTTTAAGCAGTGATATGAGCTTTATTTTAAAATTTTAGTATTTATAATACTACAAATTACATCTTTTATAACAATTTAAGTTTTGTATTAAAAATTTTGTAGGTCAACTTGAAATATCCAAAGTTTTTCAAAGTTATTTTTTAAGGGGTAAAAAAGTATGAAACTTGAAGATCATGGATGCAAATTTCCCACTTCCTAACTGAAGTGGAAACTGAAAATTAGTTTTGTTGTATAGCCACCATTGTGATGACATAAAATACATAAAATTACATTGTCTTTATTAATAATATAAATAATTTTTAGCATTTATAAATGGCAGTTTTCTATTGAGTTCTGACACAAATTGATATGAAATCACAAATAAACTAGTGTCTATATTTGGTCACAGTGCCTCAAACGTCAAAGGCAACATCAGAAATGTAAAGACTCAAAAACACTATCTCAACAAAGCTTGATAAAAAATTTATATATTCAACAGATTTCAAGCAATCACTTTAGCTTCACATCTGACTGAAAACAGGAGAGCAATCAAATTATCCAGCATTTTCAAGCTCCACATGAATGATTTGGCACCATTCTTCTGTCAGCTTCATTCTCAAACGTGTACTAATGACAGCCTAAAAAGTGATGATTCATGGATAACGGAATAATTGTCTTTTCACTAGGTTAAAAAAAAAAACAATGCTCAAACAACAAGCTTTTTTTAGGGGATATTGATGACTCACTGTTTGACATCACTTTCATCCAGAAAGAGATTTCTGTTTCTCCATATCTGAAAGGTGGATATGTTCCAAGCAGGAAAAATGACAAACACGGGGTCACACAGAGGTCAAACCGCAACACTTCCCCAGATCTGCCTCAAGCGTAAGAAGTGCGGGTTGACTGCACTGTTAAAGAGGAAGGAGGAAAGGATACTTCCAACTATTAACAGTGACTACATTGGGAAAATAAAAATCTTAAACAGGTTCACTAAGAAAACTTTCTCATTTCTCTCCACATGCTTCTGAATCTTTTAAAGTAAGTTATTCATATATTGTGTGAATCAAACAACATGGAAAAAAAAAAAACCTTAACTCAAAATGAGGTGTGTGTGTCCAAGGGGGGTTTGTCCAAAGTCCCTTTATGGTGATTTCATGTCTTCTTTGAATCAATGACATTATTACTTAAATTGTAAGTTTTATGGTTTATAAAGTTTTTCACTCATCTCTTCTTATCTGTACAACACTCTTATAAGCAGGTGATAATATCTCTATTTTACATATGGGAAAACAAAAGATCAGAAAAGCCGACTGATTTTCCCAAGTATATCTAGTTAGTTAAGGTTAAAACCTAGACTATCATTAACACATTAGGAGTGTTCTATTTAACAGAAGAGAGTACCCACCTTTAAAATGGAAAATCAGAGCTATTACCCAAGGTTTTTTCATTTTAAAGGTGGGTTTCTTCCCAAGGTTTTAAAATTTATTTTTCAATCCCTCATACTCCGGTTTAATATGTGAGTGTCAGGCATCAAGGTAAGGGTATGAGAGGTAAGTGAGGTCTCATCTGTGCTCAAATTTTAAGAACTAGAGCAATAACATAAAAACCACTTTGGTATTTGTTCAATCTTTCAGAAGTTACTTGGAAATTTGCTGTGAAATAAGTAAAATAAAACAAGCAAAATCTTTAGGAAATTAGTTTGTCTGGTGTCATCTTTAAATAATAACAGTATTCAGAAATAGTAAGGATTTTGTTTTATGGCTCATGGCGTTCAACTTTCCTGCTATTTTTAGTGATTTCACTATCTGAAAGATTCAATGCATTATTCATTGCTATGAGGAAATGACCATATCTCCTGGTTGGTATTTTAAAACAATGACAGATTCTAGAACATTTGCTGTAACTAAGAGTGTTGGCTATGCATGGGGCAGGGGGTGGGGGGCAGCAATGCCACCAATTCCAGCCCTCTCTAAATAACTAGGAAGCAAGCATGTCATTTTGTTACAAGGGAGTTTCTAATCCACAATACAAATGGCACTGAAGAAACTAGTAGGGGCCTATTATTTTAGAGGTGGGGTGATAACAATCATCGTTTCAGTTCTCGTGCTCCCTTCTGTAGCATTCTCCTCATTCTTAAATCTAGTTTAAGTCACCTGATGCTGCAATTTCTAAACTTGAAAAATAGGCATACCTGTCAGAGAATGCTGTTATGGGAAAGAGATCAGGATTGGAAGATGGTTCTGAAAATTACATGGCACCCATCTTGCTAATTACTCTCCAGAAAGCACCTGTAATTATGATATGAAAAGAAACTTGACGGTCTAGTGATTTGGTTCATGTTCCTTGTCAAGGCAACCTTCTGCACTCTAACAAGCACGTTTATGAGACAAAAAGTCAGAGTTATGAAGGTAGAGTTAGAAGAGGTTCTGGGCAAGGGCATAGGTCGTGAAAAATAAACAGGTAGTGATTGAAATTGTATGCTGCTCTCCTGATCAAAATTATTAGAGCTCTTTAAAAAGTATTTTGAAAACATGGTGATCATAAATTAGAGAAAAGAAGAAAGAAAAAAATGAGAATGAGGAAGAAGCAAAAAACAGGGGGGTCATTGTAAAGTTAATCTTCAAAGGTTGTAAAGATCATCAAGACATACATAACAACATTCAGTTTTACTTCACCTTAAGAAAGTGACTGTACCACTTAGCACGTCAGTTTTCTTCACTTCTATAATGAAGACACCTCAAAAAGTTGGGACATTGATTAAAGATATCGGCACAGTGCCTGGCGCACAAGAAGACATGACTAAATGTTTATCTTTCTTTATTCTCACTAAACCCAGCTTTCATGGCCTGAAATCCCATATAATCAGAATTTATCCATTTTCTTTTCAAAGTAATCCCTGGAGGACATAAGGCTCTTTAGGAAGCTCCTGTTTCCATTTCCTTCTCATTTTGATTGTGCTGTATTCCTGTAGCTTCCAAAGTATAAATAACTATGATTCTCTTTTCTTTATTCAGAAGCCCTCCCTAGGAGATTCAGAAGGGAAGACCAGAAGTCTTAGGGCCAAAACAAACCAAACAAAATAACAAACAAAAAGCCCACCTTAGCAAGTCCCAGGGACATCAGATTTATTATTCCGGTTACTAAGACTTTCTACCACCACTCAAAAGAATTACCAACTTTTACCAACATACAGCTCTTTAATATTTTCTCTATATTAAATCCACTAGTGGTAAATTGTATCAACCAATTTCAAAGCAGTATTCAATTTTCTCTTTTATTTACCAAATACTATATAATTACATGTGATTCTGTAGATCAAGAACTAGGAAGCATTGGGTCACAGGGTTCGTACAGTGCCACTTTGGAAAAGAAAGCTTTGATAACCTATTTTTTCTAACACAAAATCACGATTATTGTTTTGTTACAGATAGACAGAAAGAGCTTGGTCTCTGGATCCAGATACAATTAATTTCTAATTCTAAGTCTGCTGCTTAGTAGTTATAGAAGGAATAGCTAAGTCTTTAACCTTTGGAATCCCAACAATCTCATTCCTATATTACAGATACTTAATAGTCTCCTCAACAGGTAGTACTGTGAGTTTTAAATCAAACAATTGTGCAAGATGGACAATACAGAGCCAGGAATGTGACAATTTTTCAATGAATGCTAACTCACAAAATTTTACTATCTCCCAATTTTAAATCCTCCTCTGCCTGAAAAATTAAAGAAAGAAAAAGATATGAATTACTGGGCTCAGAAGGATTTACTTGGTAGCCTGCAAGATTTTGAATATAAAGATGGAAATTAAATAGACTTTCAAACACTTCCTTTTCTCTCTCTATGCCTTAAGTAATCTCATATATCATTTTCACCATCCTATGTAGACTTTCCCACTATCACAGTATGTATCTTCCTTTCTTGGTATGTGAGTTTTGATTGGGTCAACAAAACACAGGTTGCATTTCTTTCACATATTCATTTGTAGTGTGTTTGCACTGGTATTTATTCCTGGGTACATATCACATTAAATGTTATTTATTACATAATTACTAATTATATTACATAATTAATGATATATATTAATATATGTTTATTAAATATATTCACAAACATGTATATACACGTGTGTATATACACGTAAGTGTCTATATACTAATATTTATTAGTTATCATATATGGACTTGTTGAAGGTTTTAGAGTGTCTTAATCGTGAAGAAAAGGTTTCAAAATGAGGCCAAGAGAACAGATAAAAATGACTTTTATTTTGCATTGTAGAATAAAAATCTGTTTAGAACCGAAATGTATCTGGGTGATTATATTGTTTAATGTCATTTTAAGCCAAGGAAACCAAGGTCCTAACAGGTCAAATGGCTTGCTCTGGATATATAAGGTATAAATACAGCTAGATGTAGGAGTATGGTATTTAGAATCCTTCCAATAATAGGAAGGAGAAGGTGAAGGACAAAACTAAGGGGTTATCATAATAGTCATCTTCAGAGCTCTTAAAGGTTGTTAAAAGGGAGGCTAATGACTACTTGCTTTCTATCTTAAGGCCGTATCACAACATTCCAAGCTAAAGGAGGAAGTGAGGCATTGTTTTTCATCCTAAGATACCCATTTGTGGTTCTTAGGTCAGTGCCAAGGGCTTCAGAATAAGCCCCTAAAAACAACAGCATACAGTATGATGAAGTGATTTCATGCATTGGAATTCAAAAATCCAGCGCCCAAATGTACTGCTTATCTTTCATATGATTTTTAAAAATAGTCGTAAGATGTCTCAGTTTTGTTATGTATAATATGAAGGATAATACTAGCACCAATTTCATAGAGCAAGTTTGTGAAATCAGTAATAAAATGCATGGAAAATGCTTTTTATAATGCCTATGACTAGCATGTTTTCAATTATTGGTTCTTCGCTCCCACCGTCAAATGCACAATATAGAGAAAGCGAGCCCATATGTAGGAGCTTGAGGTTAGGTGATGGGCTGAACAATGGAAAATTCAGGTAGTTTCTGTGTGAGCATGGAATGAAGACAACTCAATGAATGAATGATCTTCTCAGTATTTGTTCCAGCATCAACATCCATCCAATTTGGAGGTTACCAGCTGTATTCCATCCTTGTGAAACTTGAACCTAAAAACATGATCTGAGTTTTTGTCTTCATGGAAAGTAACTAATGAGCAATGGTATTCATATTTTGGGGGTATTTAAACCTCAATTAGGCCAGAGATGACACCAGTCTCCCTCTATTCATTGAAGTATTTATGGACTTATACAGACCTATTCTTCTCTAAATAGAAAGGGATTGAAGAGAAGAAAAAGTAGGATGAATATGGAGTGGTAAACAATTAACTCATCTGCATATCTATTATTAAATATTTTTGGGGCATAAAACTATCCATTTGCAACATGTATTATCTTATTTAATCTTAACTGTAGTATTTAAGATAGATGCAATTTTTTTCTATTTCCCAGAATGGTTAAATAGCTTGCCTGATATCAAAACCAAAATAGATTAAATCTGGAATTCAAACCCAGGTCTGACTCCCAAATCTGTATTATTTTCACTTGACCCGACACATTATTAATACAGCCAAGCCATGATCAAATATTGTAATAATTTAAAAGTATAGAGATATTAATCTTCACCTGCATAAAAATTATGCAAAAATACTTGGAGAGATCATTTTCAGTTACTGTCCAACACAGAGAATAGAAATCAATCACACATGTTATTAATTTTCAGTGGCCATTTATTTCTGTCCCACTATTTAGCAACTGGGGTCTCAGTATCAATTAGAAGTTAAACTGAGACAGTTATTTAACCTCTAGGGAGGCTTATTAGTATAAGGAAGAGGGAAAAAAAGGAAGAATAAGTGTTTTCAGATTATTTTAGTAGTTTTGTAATATTCGGAAATATTTTTAAAAGATGCATTAATTAAAATAGTTAACATTTCTTTTAGGGAACCCTGATTGAATGTTGACTTATTTGCCCAGCTGTTTGTAACAAAAGGATCATTATGTTCTTTCCTTCTGTGTCACAGTTTTTGCATAATGGCTGTTTTATTTTGAATGAATTGATAAGGTAGCTTTCACAGGAATATCATTAATATACTTAAAAGCCCCTTTCACAGCATCAGAACAATGCCTCCACTTCAGTTCGTGATTGTCTTCCACACCCTTCTGCACCCCACTTGATTCAACTTTCACTGTTAGGGTTCCTAATGGCAGTCTTCCTGAATACTGCTTATGAACTTAAATGAAGGAAGATTTATGTCAGGATGTTCTGATGACATAATATACGCCCAGGAGAGATGCAAACTGCAAGGTGGGAAAGGAGTGCATGAAGTTAAATGAAGAGCAGGCTGCTGACATTCTCAGAGCTTTGTAAGCCAAATTACAACTTCTTGAACTCACCTCGTTAAGTTTATATGTCAATCTTTTTTCTCCTGAATGTATTAGTTCAGCCAGCTCCCAACTCCCAACATATGTGCTCAAGAAAGATTCCCGTATGTTCCAAACTACTCCGGAAACAATCTGCATTGCAGTTTGTCATTAGAATGTTTGAATGAGGCTTCAAGATTCCAGGGGATAAAACAGTGGTCTCAGAGTAATAGTATGGTCTTTTGAGAACCTTTAAAGAGGGAAGGCCTCAATTTTGAAGGAGCAAAATTACCATTGGACACTAATTTAGTAAGGCTAGAGTTATCTTTAATGTCCCCCAATCAAAAACAAAAACAAACAACTCTAGACAGAAATTAAACACGTACAACCATCTGATATTCAACAAAATTGACAAAAACAAGCAATGGGAAAGAACTTCCTATGTAATAAATGATGCCGAGATAGCTAGCTGTCTAGCCATGTGCAGGAGACTGAAGATGGACCCCTTCCTTGCACCATATACAAAAATCAAATCAAGATGGATTAAACACTTAAATGTAAAATGAAAAACTATAAAAACCTTGGAAGATAACCTAGGAAATACCATTCTGGACATAGGACCTGGCAAAGATTTTATAATGAAGACACCAAAAGCAATTGCAACAAAAACAAAAACTGACAAATGAGACCTAATGAAACTAAAGACCTCTCCACAGCAAAAGACACTATCAGCAGAGTAAACAAACAACCTACAGAATGGGAGAAAATATTTGCAAACTATGCATCTGACAAAGGTCTAATACCCAGAATCTATAAGGAACTTAAGCAAATTTGTAAGCAAAAAACAACGCCACTAAAAAAGGGCAAATGACATGAACAGACACTATTCAAAAGAAGGCATACACATGGCCAACAAGCATATAAAAAATGCTCAACATCATGAATCATTAGAGAAACGCAAATCAAAATCACAATGAGATAACATCTCACACCAGTCAGAATGGCTATTATTAAAAAATCAAAAAATAACAGATTCTGGTAAATTTGTGGAACAAAGGGAGTGCTTATATACTGCTGGTGAGAATGTAAATTAATTCAGCCATCATGGAAAGCAGTTTGGCAATTTATCAAAGAATGTAAAATAGAAGTACCATTCCACCAGAAATTCCATTATTGGTTATATACCCAAAGGAATATAAATTGTTCTACCCTAAAAACACATGCACATATATGTTCATCACAGCACTATTCACAATAGCAAAGACATGGAATCAACCTAAATGCCCATTAATGATAGACTGAATAAAGAAAATGTGGTATGTATACACCATGGAATACTATGCAGGCATAAAAAGAATGAGATCGTGTGTACTTTGCAGCATCTTGAGTGGAGCTTGGGGCCATTATCATAAGCAAACTAACACAGAAACAGAAAATCAAATGACACATGCTGTCACTTCTAAGTGGTAGCTAAACTTTGAGTACATGTATACACAAAGAAGGGAACAACAAACACTGGGGACTACTTGAGGGTAGAGGGTGGGAGTAGGGAGATCAAGAAACTACCTATCAGGTACTATGCTTATTACTTGGGTGATAAAATAATCTTTCCACCAAACCCCTGCAACACACAATTTACTTGTATAACAAACCTGCACATGTACCCCTAAACCTAAAATAAAAGTTAAAAAAATCAAAATCTATATGAGAAAAATTTTGAAATAATTATCTATTATAAAAACTTGACTTGAACAAATAGAAGAGAAAAATGTGTATGGTCAGGGAGACCAAGGAGTATTGGAGAGATGCCAATGCTCCCTAAATAAATATATAAATTCAGTGGATTCCCAATACAATGCATATGTTATTTTTTATAATTACACGAAGTGAAGACAGTGCTATTCTTGAAGACCACGTATAGCTGGGAAATCCCCAAAAAGAAGAGCAATCTGGGGAACAGGCCTACCAAATTACAATTTCTATAATTAAATCAGTGTTGTTATTGGCTTAGGAATGGCCATTCAGATTAATGGAACAAAAGCAAAAGCTCTGAAAAATGTACAAGGGCATATGGAATCTTAATACATGGCATAAATGGCATCTCAATAGAGAATGGACAGGCTTTTTAATAAATGTTATTTAAAAACTGGATAAGCATTTGGAAAAAACACATTTATTATCACCCATGTGTAAACAAATCACTAATAGTTAAAGGAGGTAATTTTTTTGAAAAGGCTGTAAACTTTCTAGAAAACAATAGATTAATTTCATCATAAAATGAAAGAGGAAACATTTCTGTAACTATGATTCAAAATCCAGAAGAAATAACACATTGACTTTGATTACATTACAAAACATTTATAGCTTAAAAAGCATTGACAAAGCCAAAGAAAAATGTAAAAATTTGAGAAAAGGTATACAGAAGTATATAACAGGAAATTAGGCTTAAAAGTTCCAACACATAAAGAATGAGAATTAAGAAGGGGAAGACCAAGAGAAAAATGGACCAAATTTATGAATAGACATTTTGCAGAAAAATAATTTAAGATGGCCCTTAAATATATGAACTAATTCTCTTACTGATAGAAAAGTGTAAATTTTAATGCTCCTAAAGTGTTTCAGAAACATGAAAAAAAGGTTAATTAATATAAAATCAAATAACTAGCATAAAAACTAATTTTACAGTTGAACTGAAAATATCATTATAAACTTCTGACATTATCTTTTTGAGAATACATATTTCTTCTATGCACTTATCAACAGAGCTTCAAAATATGTGAGACAAAAATGGACAGGTCTAAAAGGAAAAATATAAAAACTCACAGCTATAGTTGGAGACATCAACTTTTCTCTTTCAGTAATTGATATGAATATGTAAGCAGAAGTCAGTTAGGATATAGATACCCTCAACTATCAAGTACCTTAACCTAATTTATATTTATCGGGCACTCCACCAAAAAATAGCAAAATATACATTCTTCTCAAGCATACATGGAACATGCACCAAGCTAGAACTTATTGTTACAGTTTATTTTATGACTCAGAATATGTTCTAGGTCTTAGACTATCACAAAATTAAAGCTAAAATCAATAACAAGAGACACTTAGAAGCCAAATGCATTAGTCTGTTTTCACACTGCTATAAAGATACTACCTGAGACTGGGTAAATAGTAAAGAAAAGAGGCTTAATTGACTCATGGTTCTGCCTAGCTGGGGAGGCCTCAGGAAACTTTCAATCATGGTGGAAGGCAAAGGGCAAGCAGGCACTGTCTGCACAAGGTGGCAGCAGAGAGAGAGAAAGAGTGCAGGGGAAATGCCAGACACTTATCAAACAACCAGATCTCATGAGAACTACCTCATTATCACAGAACAGCATGGGGAAAACTGCCCCTATGATCCAATCACCTCCCACCAGGTCCCTCCCTTGACATGTGGGGATTACAATTTGAAATGAGATTTGAGTGGGAACACAGAGCCAAACCATATCACCAAATATTTGGAAATTAAATACATACTTTCAAATAACTTGAAAAGCTATCACAATAACATTTTTTAAAATATTGATCTAATAAAAATGAAAGTACAGCATATAAAAATTTGTGAGAGGTAGCTGAAACAGTGCTTAAGGGGAAATTTATAGCATTGAATGTTTATATTAAAAAATAAGAAAGATCTAGCTCCAGTAACCTATTTCCAACTTCAGAAACTAGAAAAAGATGAGCACATTTACCACAAAGAAAATGAAGAAAAAATAATTAATGAAACTAAAAATAGAAAAGCCATGGAGAATATTAATTAAACCAAAAGCTGGCTCTATCAATAATATTGACAAATTTCTAGCACAGCGGATGAAGAGAAAAAAAATTGATGAAATAATTAACACAAGAAATCAAAGGGGAAACATCACTATCTCAAATATGTTAAAAAACAATAAAAAGAATACTACAAAAATTATATGCCTATAAATTACACAACTTAGATTACATATATCAATTCTTGAAAAATACATACTACTAATTCTCATGCAAGAAGAATAACCCTTTAAATTCCAAGATGACAGATTAGAGGCTTTTAGCATGCCTCCACCACTTGAAAATAGCAAGACTGTGCATAAAGATCAACTCTGTGAGCTTTAATTAAAGAAGAAAAATGGGAATCCACTGGAACTATGAAGGATCCTCCAGATTGCAGGGAAGAGAACACCGATGACTATTCCCTGTGACAGCATTTAGCTGGTAAAAGTGAGTGAAGCTCCAGTACATAAGGGAGGCAGAGAATCTCCTTCTGTGATTCACCTCTCCACTGGTGATCTGAGAAACCCAGGCTGAAGAAGTGTACTTCGTTTATCTCAAGCCCTGGAGATAACTTGGGAAAAGATTTGGAGATACTATGAGGGAAAGATACTGGGAAAAGTTGCAGATATTTTCCCAGACCTGGGACAGAGAGCAAGATGACATTTTTAATCTGGGTGCATATAATCTGGGTGCCATTTTTTAGTGACCCAGCCGCATGGCCGTGCAAGCATCTTAGTCTCAGACCAGAGATTGGAGTGCCTACTCTGGAGTTGGATAGGGGCCTCCATAGCCAAAACCGTGGAAAGTGTCCCAGCAATAGGTGCCAGAATTGTGCTCTTCTTGTCACAAGCCTGGGGCAGAAGGAGAGATGCTACACCTGCAGTTTCTCCTGGGTGGCAAGACTTGCAGTCAGGGCCATCTTGGTGACCTGGAACTGGTCTGCATGTCTCATTGGTGGGTACCCCAACCTGCTCCCCTGATATCATGGTGCAGCAGGGCCCTCTCTGTGCCATCCCCAGGCAGAAATTCAGGATTTTGGAACTCTCACTTATCAGGACCAGAAGCCTGAGACACCCTACTCTTCATGGACATAGATCATAAAGTAGCAAGGCCCTATCTGTTCCCAGGCAGATTGACAGCCATACAGAGCACCCATTTGCCTGGTTCAGTATCCTAAGCCACTCCACCACTCCTGGGCATAAGTCGTGGTGCAGCAGGGCTCTCTCTGCTCCATGCTTGGGCAGATCTCTAGGCATTTGGAATACTCACTTACCTGAATCAGCAATCTGACCCACTCCACCCTTTCTATGCAGAAACCCAGGTGCAGGGAGACTCTGCTTCATTCCCAGACAGAACTCCAGATATCTAGAGCACATGCTTTCCTGGCTCAGCAGCCTGAGCCACCTAATCCTTCCTGGACATAGATTGTGGTACAGTGAGGCCCTCTATGCTTCACCCCCAGGCATATCTCCAGGCATTCAGAGCATCTGTTTGCCTGGATCAGCAACATGAGTTGCCCCCACCTGTCCTATGCAGATATCTTCATGCAGGGGGGCCCCTCTCTGCCTCATGCCCAGGCAGATCTACAGGAATCTGGAGTACCCACTCTCCTGGATTAGGAGTTTAGGCTGGTCCCATCTCTGTGCAAATAACTTTGAGCTGAGAGGGTTGCCCACACCTCTGGGTACTTGGCAGCCACTCACTGGATTTTCCCTTGGCACTGGTGCTTGTGCCTGCCATCAGGAGACCTTGTAGGCAAACCTACTCAGTCCAGCCCTGCCCATTGTGGCCTCTGCCCTCCTCTCCTCCGTAGCTGAGCAGGGAGCTCAGATCGCTGTGCATTATACAAATCAGCCCATTGCCTAAGGCAACACAGAGCTTTCTTTAGTAAACAAAATATACACCCAGCCACGTTGGCCGCAGCTGGCTCTTTCCTATAAATGCCATCTACTGGCCTCTAGGTTGAACTGTACACCCCAATATAAAATCTGCTGACAGGGCCAGGTGCAATGGCTCCTTCCTGTAATCCAAGCAATTTGGGAGGCTGAGGCAGATGGATCAGCTGAGGTCAAGTGTTCGAGACCAGCCTAACCAACATGGTGAAACCCCATCTCTACTAAAAATACAAAAATTAGCTGGGTGTGGTGACGGGTGCCTGTAATCCCAGCTACTCAGGAGGCTGAGGCAGAAGAATCCCTTGAAACCAGGAGGTGAAGGTTGCAGTGAGCCAAGATCGTGCCATTGCACTCCAGCCTAGGCGACACAGTGAGACTCCCCCTGAAAAAAATATAAATAAATAAATAAATCTGAATCTGCTGACAGAAGTCCATAGAGCTATAGAAGCAAAGCCAAAAGACCCTACACCACATTTTCTATAGTAACACTCCCTAGAAAAGGAGGGAAATAAAAGGGATAGAAAAAAAAACTCACAATGATGTAGGGAAAGAAAGAAAAAGATAAACATACTACCCACATGAAAATAATTACAAAGGTTAGAAGTGCCAGCATCTCCAGATGAGAATAAACCAGCACAACAATTCTGGCACCATGAAAAACCTGAATATAGTGACAACACCAAAGGCATGTGCTAGCTCTCCATCTATAGCCCATAACTAAAAGTGAAACTCAGAAATGACAGAAAAGAGCTCAAAGCATGGATTGCAAGAAAGCTCAATGAGATCCAAGACAACGTTGAAAATCCACACAAAGAAACTTATAGAGCAATCCAGGAAATTAAGAAAGAGATAAAAATCTAAAAATATAAATCAATCAAAGCTTCTGGAATTGAAAAACTCACTTAAGGAATTTCAAAATATAATTGAAAGATTTATCAATAGGCTGGACCATGCAGAAGAAATTTCAGAGCTTAAAGACCAATCATTTGCATTAACCCAGTTATTTTTTCAGATAAGCAAGACAAGCAAGCAGTAAGGGAATTTAACACCACTAGACCAGCCTTATAAAAGATCATAAGGGAATTCTACATATGGAAATGAAAGAACAATACCTGCTACCACAAAGGCACACTTAAGTACATAGCCCACAGACCCTAAAAGCAACCGTACAATAGTAACTACAAAGCAGCCATCTAACAACTTCACAATAGGATCAAAACCTCACATACCAATATTAACCTTGAATGTAAATGGACAAATAAAAAAAAAATGCATCTGCTGTTTTCAAGATACCCATCCCTCACATACTGACACACATAGCTTCAAAGCAAAGTATAAGAGAGAGAGTTACAATACAAATGGAAAACAAAACAGCAGGGATCACTATTTTTATATCAGATAAAACAGACCTTAAACCAACAATAGTAATAAAAGGTCAAAGAAGGGCGTGATATAATGAGAAAGGGATCAGTGCAACAAGAAGACTTAACTATCCTTAATATATATACACAACCAACATTGAAGCACCCAGATTTATAAAACAAGTACTTCTAGACCTACAAAAAGACTATGATACATAATAATAGTGGGTGACATCAACACCCCATTGACAGCATCAAACATATCATCAAGGCAAAAGACTAACAAAGAAATTCTGGGCTTAAATTTCACACTTGACCAATTGGACCTAATAGACAACTATAGAATACTTCACCCATCAACCACAGAATATACTTTCTTCTCATCTGCACAAGGAATATACTCTACAATGGACCACATTATTGGCTGTAAAGCAAGCCTAAATAAATTTTTTTTAAAAATCAAAATTATACCAACCATATTCTTCGACCACAGTAGAATAAAAATAGAACTCAATACCAATAAAATCACACAAAACCACACAAGTAAATGAAAATTAAACAAATGCTTATGACTGACTTTTGGGTAAACAGTAAAATTAAGGCAGAAATCAAAACATTCCTTGAAATAAATGAAAACAGAGACACAACACACAAAAATCTTTGAGATGCAGCAAAAGCAGTGTTAAGAGGAAAGCTGGTAATGCTAAAAGCCTGTCTCAAAAATTAGATCTCAAATGATCTAACGTCACACCGAGTGGAACTAGAAAAAAAGAAAAACTAGTCTCAAAGATAGAAGAAAAGAAAAAACTAAAGCAAAACTGAGTGAAATTGAGACATGAAAATCCACACAGACAATCAATGAAACCAAAAGTTGATGTTTTAAAAGGATAAACAAGTTGATAGACCACTATCTAGATTAAGAACGAATAAAGAAAGAATAAATGCAAGCAGAAAAAAACAAAGGTGATTGTATTAGTCCCCGTTCTCACACTGCTATGAAGAAACACCCGAGACTGAGTAATTTATAAAGAAAAGAGGTTTACTTGACTCACAGTTCCGCATTGCTGGGGAAGTCTCAAGAAACTTACAATCATGATAGAAGGAAAAGGAGAAGCAGGCACCTTCTTTACAGGGCGGCCTGACAATGTGAGTGCAAGTAGGGGAAATACCAGACACTTATAAAACCATCAGATCTCATGAGACTCACTTATATTATCAAGAGAACAGCTTGGGGGAAACCACCCCCATGATCAAATTACCGCCACTTGGTCCCAACCTTTGACACGTGGGCATTATGGGTATTATGATTAAAGGTGAGATTTGGGTAG
This sequence comes from Homo sapiens, assembly GCF_000001405.40. Classification (NCBI taxonomy): domain Eukaryota; kingdom Metazoa; phylum Chordata; class Mammalia; order Primates; family Hominidae; genus Homo; species Homo sapiens. The sequence goes on along the minus strand of NC_000003.12, from coordinate 35,919,181 downwards.
GGACACAGAGCAAAATCATATCAGTGTTGTTTGCATGCAGTTACACAGAAATAAAAGATCCTCAGACTTTTATGAACAACTCACACATTAGAAAATCTAGAGGGAATAAATAAATTCCTGAAAACACAATCTCCCAAGATTGAACCAGGAGAAAGTGAAACCCTGAACAGACCAATATTGAATTCAGAAATTGAATCAGTGATAAACATCTACCAGCCAAAAATACCCTACACCATATGAATTCATAGCCAAATTTTAACCAGATGTACAAAAAAAAAAAAAAAAGCTGATACCAATTCTACTGAAACCATTTCAAAAAATTGAGGAAGAACTCCTCTCTAACTCTTGCTAAGAAGCCAGCATCACCTGATACCAAAACTAGGCAAAGACACATTCAAAAAAGAAAAGTTCAGGCCAATATCCCTAATTAACATTGATGCAAAAATCTTCAACAAAATACTAGCAAACGAAATCCAGCAACATATCAAAGAGTTAATTTACCACGATCAAGTAGCCTTCATTTCTGGGATGCAAGGTTGGCTCAACATAGGCAAATCAATAAGGGTGATTTATCACATAAATAGAATTAAAAACCAAAAACCATATGGCCATCTTAATAGATATGGAAAAAGCCATCAGTAAAATCTAACATCCCTTCATGATAAAAACTCTCAATAAACTAGGCAGTGAAGGAACATACCTCAAATTAATAAGAGCCATCTATGATAAACCCATAGCCAACATCATACTGAATTGGCAGAAACTGAAAACATTTCCCTTGAAAACTGGAATAAGACAAGATGCCCACTTTCACCACTCCTATTCAACATAGTATTGGAAGTGCTATCCACAGCAGTTAGGCAAGAGAAACACATAAAAGGCATCCAAATAGGAAAAGAAGTCAAAGTGTCTCTCTTCAGAGACAATATGATTCTATACTTAGAAAACTCTAAAGACTCTGCCGAGAGGCTCCTGGAACTGATAAATAATTTTAGTCAAGTTTCAGGAAACAAAATCCATGTACAAAAACTGGTCGCATTTCTATACAACAATAACGTTCCAGCAGACGGCCATATCAAGAATGCAATCCCTCCATGGGTTGAAAAAATGAATAAGACATAGCATTTGATAGCACAACAAGGGGACTATAGTCAATAATAGATTAAGTGTACTTTTAAAAATAACTAAAAGTGTATAGATAGATTGTTTGTAACACAAATGATATATGCTTGAGGGGAGGGATAACCAATTTTCCATGATGTGATAATTATGCATTGCATGCCTGTACCCAAATGTATCATTTATTTCATATATATATATAACTACTATATACCCATAAAAGTTAAAAATAAAAATAATTTAAAAATGCAATCCCATCTACAATAGCACAAAAAATTAAAATACCTAGGAATATGTCTAACCAAGGAGGTGAAAGATCTCTAAAAGGAGAACTACAAAACACTGCTAAAAGAAATCATGGATGACACAAAGAAATAAAGGAACATTCCATTATCATGAATTGGAAGAGTCAAAATATTAAAAATGGCCATATTGCTCCCAATCTAGAAATTCAATGTTATTCCTATCAAACTACCAATAAAATTTTTCACAGAACCTGAAGAAACTTCTACAATTTATGTGGAACGAAAAAAGAGCCTAAATAGCCAAAGAAATCCTAAGCAAAAGAACAAAACCAGGAGCATTACATTGTCTGACTTCAAACTATATTATAAGGGTAACAAAACATCATGGTACTGGTACAAAAATAGACACATAGACTAATAAAACAGAATAGAGAATGCAGAAATAAGGACACACATGTACAATCATCAGATCTTTGATAAAATCAACAAAAATAAGCAATGGGAGGAGTCTGTATTCAATAAATGGTAATGGATAGCTGGCTAGCCATATGCAGAAGAATAAAACTGGATCCCTACCTTTCACCATATAAAAAATTAACTAAGGTGAATTAAAGGTTTAAAAGTAAGACCTCAAAGTATAAAAATTCTAGAAGAAAACCTATAGAACACTATTGTGGACATCGGCCTTAGGAAAAAATTTATGAGTTAGTCCTCAAAAGCAATTACAACAAAGATAAGATTGACAGGTGGAACCCAATTTAACTAAGGAGCTTCTGCACAGCAGAAGAAACTATCAACAGAGTAAACATGAAACTTACAGAATGGGAGAAAATATTCACAAACTACACATCCAACAAAGGTCTAATATCCAGAATCTATAAGGCACTTAAGCATTTGAACAAGCAAAAACCAAATAACCCCATTAAAAAAATGAAAATGGGCAAAACACATGAACAGATACATCTCAAAAGAAGACATACAAGAAGCCAACGGACTTGAAAAAATGCTTCATATCACTAATCATTAGAGAAATGCAAATCAAAAGTACAATGAAATACCATCTTACACCACTCAGAATGGCTATTTTCAAAAAGGCTAAAAACAACCCATGCTGGTGAGGCTGAGGAGAAATGGAAACACTTATGCACTCTTGGTGGGAATGTAAATTAATTAAACCCTGGTGGAAAGCAGTTTGGAAATTTCTCAAGAAATTTCCAGGAAATTTCCAAGAAATAACACAGAATTACCATTTGACCCAGCAGTCTGTTTCTGGGTATATATCCAAAAGAAAAATCATTCTACCAAAAAGACACACACACTCGTGTGTTCATTGCAGCACTATTCACAATAGCAAAGACAAGGAATCAACCTAAGTGTCCACCAACAGTGGATTGGATTAAGAAAATGTGGTACATATACACCATGGAATACTACCTGGCCATAAAAATGAATGAAATGATACCCTTGGAAGCAACATGGACACAGCTGGAGGCCACTATCCTAAGTGAATTAATGCAGGAACAGAAAACCAAATACTGCATGTTCTCATTTATAAGTGGGAGTCAAACGTTGGGTATTCATGGACATAAAGATGGCAACAATAGAAATTGGGGACTACAAGAGCAGGTAGGCAGGAGGGAGGACAGAGTTGAAAAACTGTGGGTACTATGCTCAGTACGTGGGTAATAGGATTATTCATATCGTAAACCTCAGCATCACACAATATGCCCAGGTAACACACCTGTGGATGTACCCCCTAAATATCAAATGAAAATTTGAAAAAATAAAAAGAATAAAGAGATAAACTGAATAGTCCTGTGTCTATTAAAAATTTAACTTTTTTAAAAAATAAAAAACATTTCAAAAGGGAAAAAAAAAAATGAGAAAAGACTGCCAGCCCAGATGGTTTTACTCGTGAATTATGGCAAATATTTAAGGAATAAATAATAAAATTTCTACAAAATTTCTTTCATAAATAGAATAAAAGGAATCATTCCCAATTCATTCTACGAGTTCAGCAATACCTTAATACAAAAAACAAAGACATTATACAAAGACACTATACAAATACAACAGCTCAATATCCTTCATGAACATAGACATAAAAATCCTTGACAACATGTCAGCAAATCAAATTCAGTAATAAATAAAAAGGATAATTGTCACAACCATTGTGGTTCATCTAAGAATATAAGGCTTGTTCAGCATACAAAAATCTATCATTGTAATTCACAGCATTAACAGGATAAATAAGAAAATAATATCATCATTCCAATAGTACCAGAAAAAAGCATTCAATCAAATTAAACATCCATTTATGATTAAAAAAACTCTCAGAAAATTAGAAATAATAGAAGGAACATCCTTATCCTAATAGAAAGCATATACAAATAATTTATATATTATTTCAATTAATTGAAATTATCATGGTTATTGATAATCACATATTGTCTTTGCCCCAAAGATCAGAAATAAGCTCAAGATCTCTTGTTAGACTGTTCTTATTTAACATCATAGCAGAAGTCCCAATCAGTGCAACGAGGAAAGAAAATGAAATAAAAGACATACAGAATGGAAAGGAAAAAATAATACTATTTGTATTTAGAGACAGCTTGAATATAAGTGTAGAAAATTCCAAAGAATGTACAAAAATGCTCCTGGGACTAATAAGTGAGATTAATATGGGTGTAGGACACCAACTCAATCTTTAAAAGTCAATTGTGTTTCTTTATGCTGTCAATATGCAGTTTGAACTTGAAGCTAGAAAAAGAGCAAAATCAATTATAATAGTACCAAAATCACGAAGTACTTAAGTATAAATATATCAGAACATGTGCAGATATATCATCCGCACTCTTACACACTTAAGACAAAGATCAGAGTTCTAAACAGGTAGAGATATCCCATACTCATAAATTGAAAGATCCAATATTAAGATGCCACTTCTGTCTAATTTGATCAATAGATTATAGAAGATTCCAATGAAAATCATGTCAATTTTTTTTGTAGATACTGACAAGCTGATCCTAAAAGTTATATGAAAAGAAAGAGTAACTAGAATAGTTAAAACAATTCTGAAAAAGGAAAGCAATGTTTGTGGACTCAAATTACATGATTTAAAGACTTAGTATCAACTATAGCTATCAAGACAGTGTGATGTTGGTAAACAGTAGACACATAGGGCAGTGGAACAGAAGGGGCAGCCCAGGAATATATGCTTAAAAAATGGAATAAACTGATTGTTTTTATAAAGGATCAAAGGTAATAAAATACAGTCTTTTAAGAAAATATTACTAATATAATTGGATATTTATATGCAAAAATGAAACTCAACATTTACCTCACATTTCACACAAAGATGAACCAAAAATGAGTCACAGATTTCAAAATAAAACATAAAATTTTTAAATTTCTAGAAAAAACATAGGATAAAATCTGTGTAATCTTGGATTTCTCAATAAATTTTTAGATGCAACATCAAAGGCATGTTCTGTTAAAAAACGATAAATTATATTTTTTCAAAATTAACTTTTGCTCTTAAAATGATTCTCAAAAGAATGAAAAGATGATATATAGATGGACAAATGTATTTGCAAGTCATATATGTGATAAAGTACTTATATCAAGAATATGTAGAGAACTCTTAACAACTCAATAGTACAGAAACAAACTGCCTAATTAGGAAAATGCACAAAAGATCTGAAAAAAACACTTTATTAAAGAAGATGCCAATTATATTAATGAAAAGATGCTCAACATCACTAGTCTTGATAAATGCAAATAAAACCATAATACAGTATTATACACATTATAATGAATAAAATAATAATAATCCAAAATCTGACAATACCAAATGTTGGCAAGCAAGAGGAATGCTCATTCATTTCTGGTGAGAATGCAAAATGGCACAGACACTGGAAAACATTTTTGGCAGTTTTTTTCAGAATGCACTTACCATATGACCCAACAATCCAACTCGTAATTATTTACTAAAGAGTAATGAAAAGTTATCTTCATACAAATCATGTATGTGGATGTTTTTACCAACTCTTTTCTCATATTTGCCAAACACTGGAAACATATTTGAGGTCTTTCAGCAGAAGAATAGGTAAGCCAATTTTGGTACCTAGATACAATGAACTTCTATTCAGCAATAAAAAGGAGCGAGCCACTGATTCACCCTCCAATCTGTATAAATTTTAAATACATTTTGCTAAATGAAATAAACAAGATACCAAAGGCTATATATTGTATGAGTCCATTGATATGATATTCTGAAAAAGGTGAACGTGTAAGGATTGGAGGAGAACGACTGTGGCGGCATATACAGGGGGAATTTTTGAAGTGAGAAAAGTGTCCATGTGATACTGAGGTGTAAACATAAACACAAAAATAACGGTGTAACAATGGGAAGAAGTATTAAAAGAAAGGAAGGAAAGCAATGAATAGAGTGATAGAAATTATACAGCACAGGCACAAGTAAAATAAAGAGAATAAAGTAGCTTATGATGGCAAAAAAAAAAGATTATTCCACTAGGTCACAATTCACCCATATATTTTATACTTGACGTATCTAATATAAAATGACCAAGAAAAGTAAAAAATAAAATGATTGGTAAAAAATAGGCAAATGCAAATTAAGAGAAAGAAAATATTGAGATACTAATATTTGACATGGTTAAAATCAAGCTTCAAACTGTGGAACAGCAACAGCAAGAACATGAAACAATGAAGTCATGATTACAAAGAATATCTAAACTTTCATAAATTTCTGTGCATCCAATTTTTCTTTTTTGAGATGGAGTCTCACTCTGTTGCCCAGGCTGCAGTGCAGTGGCGTGATCTCAACTCACTGCAACCTCTGCCTCCTGGGTTCAAGCGATTCTCCTGCCTCAGCCTCCCGAGTAGCTGGGACTACAGGTGTGTGCCACCACTACAGGCATATGCCACTAGGCCTGGCTAATTTTTTTTGTATTTTTAGTAGAAACGAGGTTTCACTGTGTTAGCCAAGATGGTCTTGATCTACTGACCTTGTGATCTGCCTGCCTCGGCCTCCCAAAGTGCTAGGATTACAGGCGTGAGCCACCGTGTCAGGCCGCATCGAAATTTTTAAAAATGAAAATGCATAAAGCAAAATCTCCAGCAAAATCCAAGGAGAGAAATTAAGCAAGACATAGTAGTAGGCAACCCCATTTATATCTCCTGGTTCATGATAGATCAGGCAGAATGAAAATAAGTTAGGCTATAAAAGTATAAATCACAAATTCAATAAAATAAGTACAGTGGGTGTTTTTACTAGCTGTTATAATGTAAAAGAAGGGAATCTACTTCCTTTTCAAATATTATGAAAAATGTACAAAATTTGACTATTATGCAAAAATGAAATCTGACATAACAATGCAGAAAATATTATTTAGATCACAATGCTGGAAAGCTAAACATTAAATCAAACATGGAAGAAAAAATTTTACCACTTGGAAATTTAAGCATACAAATTAATTATTCTTTACTAGAAAAATGAAAGTTACCCAAACTTACCTAAGAATAAATGAAAAATCCTTGCAAATCATTATACAGAGGATGTTCAAAAATGTAGCAATAATCTATTAGACCAATTAAACACTAGTCCCAGACAATTTCTTCCAATTTTTAATATAATATATATCTAATGAAATTTAAACTTTGCCAGAGATAAAAGTTTACAAACATCTTGTATAAATTCTACATAGCATTAATAATAATATCTAAAACATAGAACAATCTAATTTTTGAATATTGAGGAAAACAATTTATTTTAAAAGAGAATTCACTATTACATCAAAATAATAATATAAACAAGTGGTCCTGAGATCACTGGATATTCACATGCAAAGAATGAAGTTGAATCCTTCCTTTATACAATACAGAAAAGTTAATTATCTCAAAGTGCATCATTGTCACAAATGAAAGGCTAAAACAGTAAAACTATTTTAAAAATTGTGGTAAAACTTCATCATCTTGGATTAGGGCCTTGGCTCTTGGCACAAAAGTACAAGTGTCAAAAGAAAAATGGGAATATTTGAGTTTCTCAAAATCAGATAATGTTGTAAAGGACACCATGCAAAAGTGAAGAGACAATCCATGGACATATATACACAAGGAGAAAGTATTTGCACATTACATATCTGATAAGAGACTTCTATCAAGAATATGTAAAGAACTTTTATAATTCAATAAAAGAAGGAAAACATAATCTGTTTTAAAAATAAGCAAATAATCTGAATGTTTTTTTCAAAGAAAATATACACATGCACAACAAACACATGAGAAGATTCTCAACATTATTAGTCATTAGGAAAATGCAAATCAAAACCAGCTTGAGATACCACTTCACATTTACTATTTAGTATGACTATAATAAAACATCTTGGCAAGGATGTAGATAAACTGGAAGTCTCATATATTGCTGATTAGCCTGTCAAATGGTAGAGCCACTTTGGAAAACTGTTTGACGATCCTCAAAATATTAAACATAAAGTTATCATATGACCCAGCAATTTCACTTCTAGATCTATACCCAAGAAATGACATATGTCTACACAAAAACCTGTACATGAATGTCCATGGCAGCATTTTTATTAATAGCCAGAATATGGAAACAACCCAAATGTCCATCAACTGATGAAGGGATAATCAAAGTGTGCTATGTCCATACAATGGATATGAGGTTATCAGAATTTTGGTTGGTTAAAAAATAAACAAAAGCATGTAAAAAAAATAAAATGCTTCTTTCCTTGAAAGTTTCAATATTTTATAGATATCCATTCTCCATAATACATAAATGTAAAATGTCCCCAAACCAAAATATTTTTTAAGAAATCAGTAGAGCTACATTTAGAATTAATATGTAAAAATAAGTAGAAACAGTTCTCGGAAAGTTCTGAAAAGTAAGAATAAGGAAGAGGAACTAGTCCAATCAGATTTTAAAACATATATAAGTATACAATAATTAAAATATACAGAAAATAATGCATTGTCCAAAAGTAAAGCTAAATATATGTAAGAATTAATTTTATGATGCAGATAGCATTTTAGTCATTTGAGACAAGAGGCAACCAACAAATCAATTTTTTAAAATTAATAAAGCTTGAATGCTGCTTTATTTCTAGTATTAAAATAAATTCCAGGTAATGGGTAGAATTTTTAGATACTGAAAACAAAACCATGGAAGTTTTTAAAATAAGAACAAGAGGCTTTTGCTTTGTTTTTATGACAATAATCTTGCAGTTGGAGATGACTTTGTAAGACTAGCAAAATAGTGCATAGAAGGAAAAGAAAATGATACATATGCATATTAAAATATATAATAAAAAGTCAAATCAATTTTTAATATTTTAATTACCTGTAACAGAGAACTAATTGTCTTATTATAGAAATAACTCTTACTAATTAGTAAGAAAATGACTCATACCCTAATAGAAAATGGGAAGTCAAATGGATTTTATTTTTAAAACATTCTTATCTTAACTCAAAATTTTCAAATTTCCTAAAATGCAATTTAAACCCATAATGAGTGCACTCTTTTCACCTATGTGATTTGGAGATACCTGTCAGGTAGAAGCAACTGTCCTCTATGGAAGCTGAAGTGGTCGCATGCATCCTCTCCTCACTCAGAAAACAAGTGACTTCTGCCAATCAGGAGCTGGCTCCCATAACTTTATCTCCTCAAGTTGATGTCACAGGGTGGTAAGGCAGTTTAGAGATGTTTTGTTTCATTGTAATGACTTTAATGAATGAATTGTTGTGCTGAAACCCTTCCCTAGCATTCCTGCTGCCCAGCCCTCTGGAGTTTAATTGATTCCTACTTATCTTCAAAGTTCTCTCCCAGGTTCCATTCATCTCCATGAGGAAAATACGGCCCCTCGATGCACTCTTTTTTACTTTTTAAGGTAACCAGGTTTGGTTTCTGTTACTTGCAACCAAGACTTTTGAAAGATACATAAATAATCACATAAGTGTAAGGTTAAATGCGTAAGATTGTTTAATGCACAAAATATGGTTTGGCTGTGTCCTCATCAGAATCTCATCTCAAATTGCAATAGGAATTGTAATCCCCACGTGTTGCGGGAGGGACCTGGTGGGAGGTGATTGGCTCATGGGGGGCAGTTTCCCTCATGCTGTTCTCCTGATAGTGAGTGAGTTCTCATGAGACCTGATGGTTTTATAATGGCCTCTTCCCTCTTCACCCTCTCCTGCCACCTTGTTAAAAAAGTACTTGCTTCTCCTTTGCCTCCCCGCCATGACTGTAAGTTTCCTGAGGCCTCTGCAGCCATGTGGAGCTGTGAGTCAATTAAACTTCTTTCCTTTATAAATTATCCAGTCTCAGGTATTTCTTTATAGCAGTGTGAGAACGGGCCAATACAGCACAAAACACAAAATTATTTGTTTATAATAGCTGAAATTTGAAGTAAAAACTCAAATTCCATCAATTTAAAAAATTAAGAGAAGATAGAAAAAGAAGATAAACCTTATTACTTTGTAAAAGAAGAAAAGACAGACAATTTGGAAAAAGGAAATATCAAACTTAAAGGTTTCATCCAACATATTTAACTGTAACCTCATCTGATGTGTAAACAGACAGTAACCTACTCTATTAAAAAGAAACAGTCTCAGCCCATCACCAGCAATCAACTGTTGAAGGCAGATTCAAATTAACTGAAGGCTCAACTGTAACCCATCCAGCTGTTTCTGTAGCTCATTTCCATTTTCTGTAAATCACTGTTCTTTATCTGTCCCTAAAAGTTGTCTGACCACGTGACAGCCCTGGGGCCACTCTAAACGTATTCTGGTTCTGGGTGCTGCCCGATTCTACGAATCAGTCTTTGCTCAGTTAAATTCTGTTAAATTTTATTAGTCTAAGCTTTTTCTTTAAACAATATCCTAAGTTCAAAACCTAAGAGGTCATTAATTATGTGACCTTAAGTCGACTACATAACCTAACAATAGCTCATTATCTTCAGACTGTAAATTAGAAATGAGAAAGTTCAACCTCTTTGTAGTGATAACCCATGCAATTCAGTTTTTTTCTCCAAGGCAAGTTAACAACAATTTATTTTCACCCTACAAATTGCATCTTCTAATCAGAACTAGGTAATTATCTCGAAGTTATATTACTATAATTCAAAAAAAAATCATTTCAATTTGGAGGAGCTACAATTCAAGGGATTTGGGGGCTAAGTAAGGAAAATAATCGACCACGAGGTGGCAGTAGCGCACACAAGCTTTATTGAGTGTTGCTTTGACAGGTTTGCATGCAGGCAAGTCCTTCATAGCAGGCATCTGGCCAGAGGCTAGAGGCAGTGGGGGTTTCTACTCAGAAGAGGAAGAGGGAAAGGGAATTCCTGGGGAGAGGAAGATCAGAAAGGAGGCTTACCTATCTGAGTGATGTCTGCTCAACAGCACCAGAAATTATTCTCATCTATGGCTACCAGATTTTTACCATCGTATGCAAAGCAGTCAGGTTCTAAATGGCTAAAATGTGCTTGTTTGGGCTATGTTTAAAACCATCTGCTATATAAAAATTTCAGTTATACTGAAGAAGTAAGCAACCTAGGGGCCAATTCACAAAAGTCATCTTTGACTCATTTGTATATAACAAATTTTAGTGGGATTATATGCCTTATCTATATAAAAGTAAAACTGTATTAGAACCCACTTTTGCATAATTTCTGTGTTCTTTGGTAACTTTGAGGACAGAAAGAAGAGTTAGCTAAAACAGTTGGAAATACTTTTATAAGGAAGCCAATGTACTTTGGGACTTGGGCAATGTCCCAGTCCAAGACCATTCAGGCATACGAAACATCATACCTACTCTCAGGGCGTTCTTCAGTCTATAATTTATCATTACAATTCACACAAAATGATTTACAGTACTTCTAAACCTGCTCACACAGATTAAATGTGTTTTTAAATATCATAAATGAGAAATTTGAAAGATTCCCCTTTGCTTATCTACAGCCTTGGCTGCCAAAACCTGCAACTAACTAGCACCAAGTAAGTTTTCCTGACTCTTTCAGGTATATACTAAATGAAGGTGATACTCTTGGAACAAAAAGAACAGGAAAGTCATTACAAAAAGTTCTAGCTATCCAAGAATATTGACTCTGATCCCTTGAGCTATAATGTCATATCTTAAAAGAAGAATGCTTTGGAAGGAATATTCTGAAATTCATTCTGGTTTTATTTGAATATTAAGCCTTGTCTCAGATTTCTCTGCAATTTTTACATGTCTTGTCTTTTGTCTAAATCATCTGGAGATGTTATCTTTTCTTTAAAAAAAAGCTAATGTAAGCATCTGGTAAAAATTTAAATATTATAAAGAATATACAGTGAAAACTTAGTCTTCCTTGTAAGCTTGACTTTCGAGCTTCTGCCCCAAACACTAACCCTAACACTAGCTATAATCCTAATCTCCCAGTTTCATGTACAGTATACATTCTTCCAGTAAATCCAAGCGGAACAATAATATTCACACAATGTTCTGTACCTTATGATTTTCTCTTGAACAAAGACATACACGTAGTATTTAATGTGGTATGCTGTTTTATTGATGTATCACATTTTCTTTTACTAGCCCTAATTAATAAAAATTTTGTGGTTTCTGTTTGGTGCTTTAAATGGCACTACTATTGAAATCTCTGTGTTATTCCATATATGTGTAGGTGTCAGACGTGTGTGAACCTGAGCAACTCCATCTTAAATAGTAGTTAGGTAAAATGAGGCTGAAACCTACTGGGCTGCATTCCCAGATGGTTAAGGCATTCCAAGTCATGGGATGAGATAGTAGGTCAGCACAAAATGCAGGTCATAAAAACCTTGCTGATAAAACAAGTCACAGTAACAAAGACGGCCCAAACCCACCAAAACCAAGATGGCCACAAGAGTGACCTCAGTTTATCCTCACAGCTATACACCCACCAGTGCCATGACAGTTTACAGATGCCATGGCAACATCAGGAAGTTACCACTTATGGTCTAAAAGGGGGAGGCATGAATAAACCACCCCTCGTTTAGCATTTGCTCAAGAAATAACCATAAAAATGGACAACCAGCAGCCATTGGGGTCATAAAGAAATAATCATAGAAATGAACAACCAGCAGCCCTTGGGGCTGCTCTGTCTATGGAATAGCTGTTCTTTTATTCCTTCACTCTCCTAATAAACTTGCTTTCACTTTACTGTATGGACTTGGCCTGAATTCTTTCTTGTGTGAGATCCAAGAACCCTCTCTTGGGGTCTGGATCAAGACTCCCTTCCTGTAAAGTAAGTATATAATTTTTCTCAACAAAATATATGGTACATTTTATGTTCCTTGAAATTTTGAAAATAATTTATGAACACACAGATTCCAGGGTTGAAACTATTGCTAGAGATGTTTTATGAACAGCTTCAAATATTTTAACTAAATTATGTTTTTGTAGACACTCAGTTGCTTCATATTTACTTATTACTGAGTTTGCTTCAATAAACTGATTCTGTGATGAGTCCCTCCATGTGCCAAGCACTGTGCTAGGTGTTCTAAACAACCATGTAGAAAAAGACATGAAACCTAGAATCAATCAGTTTGCAAATAAAAAATGAACAAATTAATAATGTCTAAAATAACTCTCTAAAATGTATAATTACGTTAATTACGTTAATGTCTTGAGAAGTTGCTTTGAAAGTGACAAGGATGACCATGGTAAGTTTAAGTGATAAGGGGACATCCAAGTAGTGATTATGACATGCAGTTGATTAGGGAGAATGTTAAAGATCTGTGAATCATCATTAGATGTCCTGTTTAAGTATTGACAGTATTTCCAGTCAAAAAGGGAACATATTTAGAGAAAATCAAAAGGTTAGTAATTTTGGTTTAGGAATCCACAATCAAACTAAAGAACTGAAAACAAAGGGAAGGAGAAACACCAGTGGTAAGCAGTGAATCAAGAGGATATGAAGTCATGGAAAATAATGGCTATCCGTGTTACCACTGCAGGTCCTCCTATAAACCAAACCACCTGTGCCAGGTAATTATTGCAACAGATAACCAAGTCTAATCCAGGTAGGTGCAAGAATGTTGTTGGCTAATTGTGTACTCTCTGCTTCTGGCATTTTAAATAACGCCTGACACTATGGTAAGCACTGAATAAATGTTAGGTGTATTACCTCTTCCTCTCTTCTCCACTCTTTCCCTTGCTGCCTACTTCTCCTGGCTGCTGTAAACCAAAAATAAAATTCTTAGTCCCCCAACCAACTGAATGGGCCCCTACCCTTGGTCAAGGGGATTACAAAGTAAATTCGAAAAACTAGTTCAGGCCCTGATGGGAAGGAGAAGTCAGACATGCCTTATTGAATGCCCCTCTCTTTGGAATTCAGGCACAACTGACCAGAATTAACATTAAAACAGATCTTAAGACTGACTAAACAGATTCTTTGTAGCAATAAGAGACCAAATTCCAACCTGATGGTAGTATAGCATCACATGACAGCATGGCCTGAAAGAAATCAAAGTATTTTACCCCAAAGTATATTTCTTTGATATATTTTGAAATGGCCCTGCAAAGCTATCTCTTGTGGGGAAAATCAACATTCTATAGATTTCTTCCCTTTCTAGGTCCAGGAGAAAATTTTTCCTGATCCAGGAAAAAATTATCTAAGCATGTGGCACCTTTCAGGGTCTGACAAGAGACATTTACCATCTATTTTCTTTGAAGGCTGCCTGGAAGCTTCATCTACATAATAAGAACCTTCATCTCCACAGTTCCTTATCTTAACCCAGATGCTTTTTTCCATTGATCCAGATCTTTAGATAGTAATTTAACTCTTTCAACCAATTGCCAGTGAGAAAATCTTTGAATCTGCCTATGACCTGGAAGCCCCCACTTTGAGTTGTTCCTCCTTTCCTGTAACTTCTGTTCTCCTAAAATGTATAAAACCAAGCTGTAATCCAATCACCTTAGGCATATGCTCTCAGGACCTCTTGAGACAGTGCCTTGGGCCTTGGTCACTCATATTTGACTCAGAATAAATCTCTAAATAATTTACAGAATTTGATTCTTTTTCATAGACACTGTGGACCTCAGCTGTCAATTCCTCCTTTGTTTCCTCCATTTTGTTAATGCATTTAGACTCCCAAGTCAAAATTGCCAAATTTGATTTCTACATTTGCATTAGGTCTGCCCATCCATGATTTCAATGTCCACCACAGGTTCACCTTGAGCATTTCCTTTATTAGGCTTTGCAAGTGGGACCTCAGAAACTGACCAGCCCAGCCCTGCCCAGACTAGAGAAAGAAGACAAACAGCACTTAAGGTAATTAGAAAAGTGAGAAAAGAAAATAGAAGTTGGACACGAATAAATAGTGCAATAAAACCATCTTTAGTTCAATTCCTAAGCCTACTTCTTATGTTTAGTATCTCAACTTTTATGAAGACATTTTACTTCCAACTTAATTATATCATTAAATCATATTGGAAATCGTTTCTTATTCCTATGTAATATTTAGAAACATATTACTTTCATATACTTAGCATTCTATTTTAAATTTAGATATTTACCTTAAGTAAAGGACAAACTTATTTAAAGAAAAATTTTAAAATGTCTTTCATTCTTTTCACACTTAGCCTTTACAACATACAAGTTGGCCCATTCTATAGATTTGCAAACCAATGAATAGATGCATGAAATGTTTAAAATGACTTACTGGTAATGTCAAGTGCAGTTGCAACTCTAAGTCACAGTTGCTCTGAAAGTTTCACGTAGGTGACAATTTTCTGAGCAGAGTGTTAAAAACTGCTTTATAATAGCAACTCCCACAAAACCTCTTCAGTCATATGGGTCTGGTAGCATTTTATTTTAAACACCATTTTGACAGGTGTATTATGTAGCTATTTTATTTTTCATGCATAGAACATTCTTGACATTCACTTCACTTGCACTTTTCTATTAGAAGAAGAAAAAGTTCAGGCAAAAATTGTTTTCCTGGCTGAATAAGAATGAAAGAGAAGTCCATTTTGTGATGACTTTTTGTATCATTGACCTGAAGTAAAACAAAATCCCAAATTCATTCAGACAACTTTTCATGCATTTAGGCACGCACAAGCTCATTCATTTATTCAGAAGTCACTTATTAATTTTGTACTGTGCTATGTGACCTTGTACTTACATGTGCTTACATCAGGCATATAAAGAAAAAGACCTAGTCTGTGACTGCACAAAGCACAACTTTTTCTATGGGAAGTAGCAATGCAAACAAGTAATTACTACAAAGCAGCTATAAAATATGCTAGAAATAGCATAAAGACAAGTGTGATTATCTGTACGAGCCAGAAAAAGCCTTCCATAAAAGATGTTTTCTCTCAGAGGATCATAATTCACTAGGTCAATGTTGATAAAGGCATTTGAGGCTGAGAAAATTGTCCACACAAAGGCAAAGAGGCAAGGAAATACCTGGGAAGTTTGGACACATAAGCTAGCTCAGTACAACTGAAAAAAATAATAGTGACTGTGGGCTAGGCTTGGAGCTGAATATTAAATGGTGTCCAGATTATCAAAGACTGTGGGTATCCTGTGAAAAAGTTTAGGCTTCAGGGCTGCAGAAGCAGGGAGAAACCAGAGAGTGATTGTGCCATGATGATGTCTTTTCATTGTGTTTAAAGCAGAAAATCTAGAAGAAATGGATAAATTCCTCGACACATACACTCTCCCAAGACTAAACCAGGAAGAAGTTGAATCTCTGAATAGACCAGTAACAGGATCTGAAATTGTGGCAATAATCAATAGCTTACCAACCAAAAAGAGTCCAGGACCAGATGGATTCACAGCCGAATTCTACCAGAGGTACAAGGAGGAACTGGTACCATTCCTTCTGAAACTATTCCAATCAATAGAAAAAGAGGGAATTCTCCCTAACTCATTTTATGAGGCCAGCATCATTCTGATACCAAAGCCTGGCAGAAACACAACCAAAAAAGAGAATTTTAGACCAATATCCTTGATGAACATTGATGCAAAAATCCTCAATAAAATACTGGCAAAATGAATCCAGCAGCACATCAAAAAGCTTATCCACCATGATCAAGTGGGCTTCATCCCTGGGATGCAAGGCTGGTTCAATATACACAAATCAATAAATGTAATCCCGCATATAAACAGAGCCAAAGACAAAAACCACATGATTATCTCAATAGATGCAGAAAAGGCCTTTGACAAAATTCAACAACCCTTCATGCTAAAAACTCTCAATAAATTAGGTATTGATGGGACGTATTTCAAAATAATAAGAGCTATCTATGACAAACCCACAGCCAATATCATACTGAATGGGCAAAAACTGGAAGCATTCCATTTGAAAACTGGCACAAGACAGGGATGCCCTCTCTCACCACTCCTATTCAACATAGTGTTGGAAGTTCTGGCCAGGGCAATTAGGCAGGAGAAGGAAATAAAGGGTATTCAATTAGGAAAAGAGGAAGTCAAATTGTCCCTGTTTGCAGATGACATGATTGTATATCTAGAAAACCCCATTGTCTCAGCCCAAAATCTCCTTAAGCTGATAAGCAACTTCAGCAAAGTCTCAGGATACAAAATCAATGTACAAAAATCACAAGCATTCTTATACACCAACAACAGACAAACAAGTGCCAAATCATGAGTGAACTCCCATCCACAATTGCTTCAAAGAGAATAAAATACCTAGGAATCCAACTTACAAGGGATGTGAAGGACCTCTTCAAGGAGAACTACAAACCACTGCTCAATGAAATAAAAGAGGATACAAACAAATGGAAGAACATTCCATGCTCATGGGTAGGAAGAATCATTATCGTGAAAATGGCCATACTGCCCAAGGTAATTTACAGATTCAATGCCATCCCCATCAAGCTACCAATGACTTTCTTCACAGAATTGGAAAACTCTACTTTAAAGTTCATATGGAACCAAAAAAGAGCCCGCATCGCCAAGTCAATCCTAAGCCAAAAGAACAAAGCTGGAGGCATCACACTACCTGACTTCAAATTATACTACAAGGCTACAGTAACCAAAACAGCATGGTACTGGTACCAAAACACAGATATAGATCAATGGAACAGAACAGAGCCCTCAGAAATAACACCACATATCTACAACTATCTGATCTTTGACAAACCTGAGAAAAACAAGCAATGGGGAAAGGATTCCCTATTTAATAAATGGTGCTGGGAAAACTGGCTAGCCATATGTAGAAAGCTGAAGCTGGATCCCTTCCTTACACCTTATACAAAAATCATTTCAAGATGGATTAAAGACTTAAACATTAGACCTAAAACCATAAAAACCCTAGAAGAAAACCTAGGCAATACCATTCAGGACATAGGCATGGGCAAGGACTTCATGTCTAAAACACCAAAAGCAATGGCAACAAAAGACAAAATTGACAAATGGCATCTAATTAAACTAAAGAGCTTCTGTACAGCAAAAGAAACTACCATCAGAGTGAACAGGCAACCTACAACATGGGAGAAAATTTTTGCAACCTACTCATCTGACAAAGGGCTAATATCCAGAATCTACAATGAACTCAAACAAATTTACAAGAAAAAAACAAACAACCCCATCAAAAAGTGGGCGAAGGACATGAACACACACTTCTCAAAAGAAGACATTTATGCAGCCAAAAAACACATGAAAAAATGCTCATCATCACTGGCCATCAGAGAAATGCAAATCAAAACCACAATGAGATACCATCTCACACCAGTGAGAATGGCAATCATTAAAAAGTCAGGAAACAACAGGTGCTGGAGAGGATGTGCATAAATAGGAACACTTTTACACTGTTGGTGGGACTGTAAACTAGTTGTGGAAGTCAGTGTGGCGATTCCTCAGGGATCTACAACTAGAAATACCATTTGACCCAGCCATCCCATTACTGGGTATATACCCAAAGGACTATAAATCATGCTGCTATAAAGACACATGCACACGTAAGTTTATTGCAGCATTATTCACAATAGCAAAGACTTGGAACCAACCCAAATGTCCAACAATGATAGACTGCATTAAGAAAATGTGGTAGATATACACCATGGAATACTATTCAGCCATAAAAAATGATGAGTTCATGTCCTTTGTAGGGACATGGATGAAATTGGAAATCATCATTCTCAGTAAACTATCACAAGAACAAAAAACCAAACACTGCATATTCTCACTCATAGGTGGGAATTGAACAATGAGATCACATGGACACAGGAAGGGGAACATCACACTCTGGGGACTGTTGTGGGGTGGGGGGAGGTGGGAGGGATAGCATTGGGAGATATACCTAATGCTAGATGATGAGTTAGTGGGTGCAGCACACCCTTGGCACATGTATACAAATGTAACTAACCTGCACAATGTGCACATGTACCCTAAAACTTAAAGTATAATAATAAAAGAAAAAAAAAAAGCTCTGCTTAGCTGATCTCTAAGGTCTTTCCTCTCACTCCTATTTGCTCTGCTCACTCCAGCACAAGCGTTTCCCTCCTGCTGTTTCTTGAGAAGCCAAGCACATTCCACCCCCCCAACCCCCACCCCCGCTCTCAAGGCCTTTGCATTTGCTCTTGGTCTGTTTGGTTTTTCTTGCAGTTATGCATGGACTTGCTTCTTCACTTTATTCATATGTCTGCTCCAAGGCACCTCCTTAGAGAATTTTCCCTTGACTATCCCATGTAAAATAGAAGCATTGATTACCGATTATGTCTGCTCGATGCTTTTAAGTTTTCTTTAGTTGTGGTTGGCATTACTTCAAATAATACTAAATACTATTTATTTGTTTATTGTCTGTATCACCTACTAAAAGGTAAACTCTATCAAGGCAGAGGCTTCGTGATTTTATAACCACAGCATCAGCAATGAAAATAGCCCCTGGCACATAGAGATTGACAAGAGTGAATAAATATTTGCTGAATGGTGAATACATCAAAGAGATGTATTTCTGTATGCATGTGAACACATGTACAGTTCTTACAGCACCCATCAGAAACACAAATGCACTCTATAAAAGCAAAGAGGAAATGTCGCTGAAAGTTGTCCTTGACCTTATCTTATGCTAGTTTCACCAAGGAGAGAGCTTGGAGAAGGGCTCTTTCCCAACACAAAGTAACAAAATCTTGAGAAAGAACCTTCTGTGATGGAGAAGTGTCAATTTTTCACCCACCATATTCCCTTAAAGGATGACAGCCCTAAAATAGGAAAAGATGTGATAAGCAAGTGATTTGCCAACTAATTTCTTTCCCTTAGGTACTTTGTTGAATTTGGTCTGAAGCTAACAAAGGAAGTGCTATCTGAAGATCTGGCTCTGGCTCTCCTAGAAAAGCACATATTTCTGTATCACCAGTCAATCTTATCTCTAATGGCTACAGCAAAATCCTCTGCCCCAATAACATGTCACTTTTTCTGAGTGTAGGCAGTTTGCCTTAATCAAATTGTCCATCACAGGAGAAGAAATGGTTGTTCAGAGCCTGAGAAGAAGGGAAAAGAGGATTTTCTCCTCATAGACTTTCAGCACAAGTTATACAGGCTTTGTTAATTATAAATCAGTTTCCTTTAGAACATCTCAGTCTTTAGTAGGTCATCTGTGATCCGAAGTTAGCAGTAGATAGAGGGTCTGAAAACATTGTGTCAGCTGACATTGATTACCTCTGAAGGGTGGCCGTATGGGTAATTTATATTTCTTTATACAGTTCGGCACATTCAAAAATTTCCAGGATAAATGTGTATTTGTTTTATTATTAGCAAATAAAATAAAGCCCACTTATGCTTTTTCCTAACCAACCAATTGAAGAATCCAGTCCTTGTACCTCTAAGATCAGTTGATTAAAGTAATTCTTCATTTGGGTTAAATGAGAGCAGGGGTGACTTGTAAAACCTCTGGGTGCTGACTGCCCATATTTCTGTAGTAGAGTACCAGAGTTCTACCTGGGCATATGGCTATCTAGCTGAGATTTTTCTTTTGACGTCTCCATGTAGTCATTTCCGAGAAGGGCTAGTTATCACTCCACATTTGACAATTGATAAAATTGTCAATTTTATCACAATAAGAAAAGACTGGTACCAAAGAGGTACCAGTTTCTTGTTCTGATTCAAGCTGCCTTTCCATTGCATTTTTTTGTATGTCTAAAGCACAGAGAAAGTTGAGGAGTTCTCTCTGGTCCTTACCTATACCATGGCTTGTATTGCTCCATGGTGGGTTTCCTCTAATCTCTGGTTTCCAACCTTCTAACTTAAATTACAAACCGCTTGGCTTCTTCTGTTGTCAATTCGCTGATGACTTTGCTGACTTTTATATCATCTCCTTTTACCAGGGATGTATTGGTGAAGATTGTGTTACTAATTTTTTTCCAGCTTTATTGAGTTATAATTGACAATAAAACATATACAACACAAAATGTACGTGTTTAAGGTGTATAATGTGTTATTTTGATGTACATATGTGTTATAGAGTAATTACAAATCAGGCTAATTAACACATCCATCAGCTCATAAAGTTAGCAATATGTGTATGTGTGTGTGTGTGTGGGGGGCGGGGGTGAGAATTCTTAAGATCCACCCTCTTCGCAAATTTCAAGTATGTAATAGGTTATTATTAACTATAGTTACCATGCTGTACATTTGATCCTCAGAGCTTAATCCTCTTATAATTGAAAGTTTATACTCTTCGACCAAAGTCCTACCATTTCCCCCATAACCTCAGCCCCTAACAAACACCTTCTATTCTGTTTTTATGTTTGACTTCTTGAGATTCCACGTATAAGTGAGATAATGCAGTATTTGTATTTCTGTGTTTGATTTATTTGTGTTACTGATTTTTAATGTCTTAGAAGGTAGCCATCAAGTACAATAGCTTTCAAATAAGCAGATGTGCTTTACTCCTAACACTGCTGCCTACTGGCTTTATGAGCATTTACTTTGTCTAGTTTTTTTCTCATTTGTAAAATGGGGGGAGGTGAGAAGGGGTTAATAAAAATACCTTACATGTGGAATTATTTTGAAGATTTGATGACATAGCACAAGTCTTAGAATTGTTCCTGACACATAGTGAGAGTTTAGAGAATGTTAGTGATTACGGCATTACTAGATCTATTAACCAGCATTATTATCAGGGGAATCACTAGCCTTCTTTAAATAATTACTGATTATACTCACCTCAGAGCACCTGTTGTTTGCCATTCTCTTGAGGAACAGCTCCATTGCAAACCAGGTACTCTAGACGGTGAAGGCCCAGTTCTGTGATGTGCCAGTCCTCATCTTACAAGTCAAACCAAAGTGAATTCTATTTATGCCACATAGCCTATATTTTTAAGTAGGTCCACTTCAAACAGCCCCTCCAAGTTTGCCAAAAATCCCTCCAGCAACTTTCATGAGATGCTGTAACTGACACATTTCCATTCATTTATGTAGATATAGATAATAATTTCTTTCAATCTGCTCCTATGTGTAAAGAGAAGAGGCTTGAAGATTCTCTTAACTGATGTGGAATCTAAAAATTAGTTTCTACGTATCTCCTATTGCAAGAACTTTAACAACACTTGTGAATAAATATGTCACAGATACTTTCTGTTATTTGGATTAAAGGAGGCCTCTTGCAGTTCCAGTGGTAGAATCAGTGTTGAGCTGAGTTTGTAAACACACGTTTATAGGAGAAATAAACTACTGTGCAATATAAAGAGTAAATGTTGATTTCTGGATCCCCTGAACTTGTTTCCACCAAATGCTGAGTATAAAACTCCCATTAGAGATGAACTCTTAAACTCATATTTCTCTTATAACCTCCTTCTGCTTCCTTTATAGAGGAAGAAAGAGAGAGAGTGAGAGGGAGAGAAATAATACACAAGTACATAAAGTGTTAATGATTCACACCCTCACTCCCAGGAACTAGGGCTCATGGACTTGTCTTCTCTGACATCCACAGAGAATGACTGGATTATCTAGGTGAGAAATGATGCCTCCTATTCTGTTAAAGCAATCAGTGAAATGAATGAGTAATGAGTGAGAGAGCATTAGTAACACTGGTGCTTGTTTAATGAGCTCCATTGTCTTTACTGTATCTCCCTAATTTCCTCATCTTGCTAAATAAATGTTTATTTATATTCTTTAGTGTAAGATAATTTTCACAGCTGAGCTTTAATAAAGCACAAAGAGGTACAAGAAGAAACACTACAGGAAACTAATGAAGGCAAAAATGAAAAATGAGAAAAATAATAAATTTTTACTAGGGATTCCCTACTAAGAAACCCCTGAGTGTGAGAATAATATAATTTCACTATGAAGAAATATTACTTAACATTGATGTGTTCTTGCTTGAGAATGGGAGGTGGGTATCCTAGCTAAGGGTAACTTTAAAGTGTACCCCTAGTCTAGCCATTCATCTTTTGTCACTCTGCCCTAAACTTTGGCTGACATTGGTCTTTTGGGATTACAAAAATAAGACTCTCAAGTTATTTAAGTGTCTGGAAGGGGTGTGGAGAGATACGTTACTACTCACCAGCCCATCAGCTACAGGTGCGTGGATGCTGCTTCTGGATTACTCTCCCACATTCCTACATCTTAAGGGGATATCTTTTCTGTGATGTGGACAGAGGAGCATGATGAGTGTTCTGGGCTGCCATACAACTCAAATCTATACAGAGGGTCTCTGGTAGGACACAGCAAACTCTTTGGGCAAGAGTAGATTTGTTTCTGGAGGATGACAAGGGTCTTGAAGGTGATACTGAGAAGGAGGTCACTTGCTGGTTATTTAAGGAACATAAGTATCTGTGACTTTGATTTAGCTTTGAAAAACCCTAGGATACTATCCTGCAGAGATCAGGAAAAGGAGGGCAAAAATAACAAAGAGGACTGAGAAGTAGCAGCTAATGGAGTAGAAAGAAAACCTAAATTGGAGTCCAAGTCATGATTTTATTGCTAGCAGGAGGATAGGAGGGATCAACCTTGTAAAGTGCTTCTCTTAAGTAAAATATCTAAAGACTGACATTTGAATACTGGATTTAGTAATATGAAGTTTTTAAAATTATTTCAATGGACTATTGGGGAAAATCACTGATTAGTGTGTATATAAAGACACAACGTAAAGAGATAAATTAGATACAATCACTTATAATCAGCAGTAGTATTTTGATGAGAAAGGGAGTAGTTTGAGAGGAAAATGTGTTCAAGATAGATTTTTATTATAAAAGAAATAGTAGCACATTCATATGCCAATATGAATAATCTCATTGAAGGGGTGTCAGGCTCTTAGCTGGGGCCCAAGGGGAATTGGTGGATGGGTGGCTGGTCGTTGAAAGAACACTCGGTGGGGCCATAGGCAGGTGGGATATGCCTTTATTATGTACTCACTCTAACAGTGTCAGGGATACATTTATGTACTTCACAGACAATAGTGGCTCAGAGCCAGGTGATGAGCCTACCCATAACATGGTTACACAACTGTGATTATATAATGCACGGGATTGTGTGCTTGCGCTCCAATCCCACTGTGTCATGCTGCACCAGATGTTTACCTCAGCCTACTCTTGACTGCCGCACAGCTACTTGTCTTACAAGGGGGAAACTGATAATATTTTTAAAAGGGGAATATTGCAGAGTGCTGTTGTAATCACCCAAAGTGGGTTCTTCTTGCCTGTTGCACAGATAAACCCACTGAGATAGCATTATTGTAGTATGGAAAGAGTTTTAATTAGTACAAGTCTGGCAAAGTGGAAGGACAGGATTTTATTATTACTCAAATCAGCCTCCATGCCAACTCAGAGGCTAGGATTTTTATGGATATTTGATGGGTAGGCGGCTAGGGAATGGGTACTGCTGATTGATTGGGGATGAAATCATAAGGGTGTGGAAAAGGGTCTGCTTGTGCTGAGTCCACACTTGGGTGGAGCCACATGTCCAGTTGAGTCATGTGTTCATGAGTCACGGGTCGAGGTGGGGTTAGCTGGTTGTCAGATGCAAAAGTCTAAAAACACCTCAAAAGACCCATTTCAGGTTCTTCCTCAATTGCTCCTACAGATAACGTCACTATTGTTATAACGATGTTATCTGTAGGAGAATTAAGGAAGTCCCAAACCTTCTGACCTCTAGCCATATGACTCCTGAGTAGTAAGGAATTATAGAAATTATAGCTACATTTTTGAAGAACTCAGGTCCCATAATCTTAATTTCATGGCCTTTCATTAAGTGGCTTCAGTCCCTGAGGTGGCTTCTATCCCTGAGCAAGGAGGGGGTTAGTTTTAGGGAGAGACTATTTCATCCCTGCTTCAAAGTGAAACTTTAAACCAAATTTCTCCCTTAGTTAGCTTGGCCTATGCCAAGAAATGAGCAAGGACAGCCAGCGTGATGAGGCGAGAGGCAGAATGGAGTCAGCCATGCTAGACTTCCCTTGCTGCCATGATCTTTGCAAAGGTGGTTTCACTGTCCTTGTGTAAACAAGAGGGGATGGGAGAAAATGCTTTTAGAAATGAAGGCAAATAGTTGATCTGTTGTGACATGAGGAAAGGCAGAGTACACAGATGCAGGTGTTGTTAGATATATAATTGATCTATATGAATCGCAAGATATACTTTGTAATTGATCCATTTTTACGTGAATTAGGAAGCAAGATCTTCAACTGAGAGTAAAAGGTGAGATGTTGTAAGAGACAGAAAAATATGAAATAGTACCCTCAGATAGTAAGAAAATGAATAAGCTGGGGGAATTGAGTATGGTTGCCAGGCAGCATTAAGGCCTACTTGGGATTGATGGTAATTAATTTAAAGTTAGATCAGTCAGCAGGTTTTGTGTTTTCCCCAGCATCATTCTGCTGCACAGGTATAAGTGTGGAGCAGGTAGAAAGTTGGATTTAACCAGGGTTGCTGTTAAATTTTTACTTTGTTTAATACTTTATATTTTACAATCATCCCTCAGTATCTATGGGAGATAGATTTCAAGACCCCTTGAATACCAAAATGTGTGGATGCTCAAGTCCTTTATATAAAATCGCTTAGTATTTGCATATAACCTACGCATATCCTCCCATTTAATTTAAATCATTTCTAGGTTATTTATAATAGCTATACAATGTAAATGCTGTAAAAATAGTTGCTATACTATGTTTTTAATTTGTATTATTTTTAACTGCTGTATTTTTTTTTTTTTTTTTTTTTTACTATTTCTTCAATATGCTTGATCTGTGGTTGGTTGAATTCTTGAATGCAGAATCCGTAGATACAAAGAACTGATTATGTATTGAATTGATTATAAATTTCAGTTCAAAAATCAAAAGAACATAAAAATACATACATTGAAATGCCTCACCCCAAACTCTGTGCCAGTCTGGCCCACTGTATTCTTTCCCCAGTTTACCTTCAGAGTAACCATTTTCCTGTGTTTGGGCTCAGAAACTGATACTCTCAAATATGTCCTTTTGACATACTGAATTAAGGAAGCCTCAAGGTCTCTCTGACCTTACCCTCACAAATATCTCTTCCAAAGAAGCTGAAGTTCCTTTATCAGCTTAAGATCCAGACCCACCAAGAATAATTGTTCTTTCTTTCCTTCCATGTTATCTCATTATCCTCTGCAGATAATACTTTAATACTTACTTCATTAAAGCAGACCAAGATGTGACCTCACCTGAGCAGACCTTTTTACTAGTACAAAGACTGTCTCCAAGGATCATTTAAATTCTAAAGACAACTCTTTACAAATTAGTTCATCTCAATGCCAGTCATTTTCCCTCACAATCAGTTATTGTCCCTCGATAGAATTCCTCTTCTCCTCAATACCATAACCTGTTTTACCAGGACTGACGCCTCCATTCTTTCCGTAACCTCAAAATGGTATATAAGTTTCTGTAACTCATTGGAAAGTTGGATCTTTATTCTGAAGGCTCCAATGTATACATATTAAATACATATGTATGCCTTCTCTCCTATTAATCAATCTGTCTCATGCCCGTGATTTTTCAGTGAAACTTTAGGTGGCCAATAGCTATGGCACCACACCTGTATGTATCTGCTCCTTGCTGCTTTCTGCTCTCCGAGGTTTAATTTGTTTGATGCTATCAATGTAATAGGCCAACGGGACATTCTCTGAGACTCAAGGTGATTATGATCCTCTGGACTATATTTCCCCAGAGATCAAGCTAGTTTAATATAACCATGACATTAGGAAAGTGAAGGTGTAAATGCTATCCTCCAGAGGTAAAGGTGGGAATTTTTTTTTTTTTTAAGACAGTATATCTCTCTGTCGCTCAGGCTGGCATGCAGTGGGGTGATCTCAGCTCACTGCAACCTCTGCCTCCCGGGTTCAAATGATTCTCCCACCTCAGCCTCCGAAGTAACTGGGACTACAGGCATGCACCACCCTGCCAATCTTTTTTTTTTTTTTTCAGTAGAGATGGGGTTTCCACCATCTTGGCCAGGCTGGTCTCAAACTCCTGACCTCAAGTGATCTGCCCGCCTCGGCCTCCCAAAGTGCTGGGATTACAGGCGTGAGTCACCATGCCCTGCCAAGGTGATAAATTTCTAATTGTACTTTCAGATCAGATTTCAGAAAACATCATTTACCATGTCAATAGCTGCAAACCAGGTGACAGAAGTTTTGTTAATTTGTTTAAATATACCACATTTGAAATGGGAGATGCATTTAACCTCATTAGGTTTACTAATCATTCACAATAGTTTTCCAAACTCATTTAGCTTTGCATGGACCAAACAGACAAGTAAGAATATGATAGAAATCATCACTTTTAAACCTTTCAACTTTGTGATGAGGACAAAAATTTATGCACTCCCTGCCATGTATGTGATATTTATTGTTTTTATTGGGAAGGGTGGGCTTCCAAATGTTTTCATAACTATTTCTACTATAAAAGCCCTTATTCCACTGGAGTCTATGTAAGGAATCCACCAGATGCTGGTTACTGTGAAATAAATTCAATTTGGGTCTTTGGATCTGCTAGACTCACAGTGAAATAGATTTAAGCAAAGACTATATTTATCACCTGCCTTTCATAAGCCCTACTCTGACCTGTGAACCACAGCAGCTTTTTGAGTCTCTCTTACATTCAGAATCTATATTAATGGCCCACAGAGACGCTAGATATTTCTTTCCCCAGGGCACACTCACCTAGTTTTTAGCAGCAGGTTTTTCTGTGGAAAGGTCTAAAGGAAGTTTTATAGTATACATGCGTGGCTTCGCAGCACAGTCTTCTCACAAAAGTACCAATTCTCCCTCCATCAAGGATCTCTAAGGGGACTGACTTAGGTCTGTGAACTCAGAAAAGACCTTCAATTTCCTGTATACTGACCTGGGTCAAGACTGTGCACACCAGACTGAGAGTTTTGTTTTTTGGTTATATAGATGAAGCAATGAGTAGATATTGCTCATCTATATTGTTTCTAGGAAACATTAATTAAAAAGTCACTGACACAGATTCATGTGGGTTAAAACACTCTGGCCACTCCTATAATTCTATGGTTATATACAGTAAATATATAACTGACTCCAAAGATTAAGCACTGTCACATGAAATCTGTCATTCCAGAATCCTATTTTACACTGAAATCATGAAATCCAGTTCCATAATTCGTCTTCCACTGTCCTCTCTGATCTTCACTAAAGAATTTTTCAAGAATTCTGGTGCTCCCCTCACTGATGCATTTCTTAGGACTATATTAAACTAAAGGAATCTCTTCCCAAGGGGTACTGTTCTCACAATTAACTTCCTATTATGCATTTATTTTACAGATTAAAAAAACATAACAAGGTTAAGTAAATCATATATCTAAGAAGGTAGTAGACGAGATTAGCGACCAGGCAATCTGATATTACCACCCCTAACTACTATGTCATACCACCTCTAAGATACATGTCAGCAGAATCATTAATCCTAAAAACTGAAGCAAAGGTAACACAAAACAGCTTTCCATGGTATTAAATAAATCGAGAAGAGTATAGATTCTTAAAGATATATTAAAATAAAAAGACATAAGACCAAATAAAAGGTGATATTTTATGTAAAAAGCTAAAAGGGGACATAGTACAATTCAGTTAAAAACTGAAAATAAAGCCATTTCAGAAATAAAAGTTGCACTAAAATTGGAAAGGAAATAAAAAATTTACTGGTAAAAATACATGGTCATGAAGAATAAGTTGGAAAACACTTAAAATGGAAAGCCACAGATAGATAAAAGTAAACAACTTATACAGAGAAGGCAGAAAAAGAGAATATTTGCATAGAAAATGTATCTGAACAAAAGTTACAACAATTGGGAATGAAAATATTAAAGACAATATTCCTTTACCGCAATAAAGGAAGTTCTATATCTGTTTACCTAAAATCATCTATGTCTCTCCCTCATCAAAAAAAAATTCATGCAGAACTATCTTCACAAAGAAATACTGTGATTTGATTAATAAACTGATAAACTGATGGTTAACCCACATAGATAATTCTATGAGGATATAGGGGCAGGGGAAGAAAGGAAGAAGAAAAATAAGAAAATCAAGGGACATGTGACAGGGCAATCAGATAGGCCTTAGATATACATTGAAGGCCACGACAAGATAATTATTTTCTCTAAAGTTATTAAGGATTAAAGTATAACCCAGAACCCAGGAATAGCTTCACATAAGTAAAACCAACTACCAACTGATTTTTGACAAAGGTACAAATAAAATTCAATGGAGAAAAACCATCTTTTAAAAAAATAGTTGGGATATCCATAGGCCAAAAAAAAAAAAAAAAAAAAAAAGAAGAAAGAAAGAGAAGAAAAAATAAAGAATCTTAAAAAATCTTGACCTAAACCTCACACCATACAAAATAAATATAAAAAAATTAGCCGAGCAAGGTAGTGGGAGCCTGTAGTCCCAGCTACTTGGGAGGCTGAGGCAGGAGAATAGTGTGAACCTGGGAGGCAGAGCTTGCAGTGAGCCAAGATCACGCCACTGCACTCCAGCCTGGGTGAGAGCGAGACCCGTCTCAAAAAAAAAAAAAAATACCCACACACACACACACACATATATATATATATTTAAACATAAAAGTCTGAGAAGAAATTATAGGAAAAAGTCTGTGGGATGGGAAAAATTCCTAATCATGACATTAAAAACATGATCTATTAAAAAGAAAAAAATCAGTAAATGAAACTTTATCAAAATTAAATACTTTTGCTCAGTGAAAAACACTGTTAAAAGGATGAAAAAACTCTTTTTCAATATGTAACTTCCTACCAGTGTTTTGTTATTGTAAACAGTAGTGAGCACACTTGCTTCAGTTGATTTGCGCTGCTGTAACAAAATACCTGAGACTGGGTGATTTATGAACAGTATAAATTTATTTTTTCACAGTTCTTGAGTTGGGAAGACCAAGATCAAGGCACTGCCAGCTTTGATGTCTGACGAGGGCCCATTCCTCATAGATGGTACCGTCTAGGTGTCCTTACATGGTAAAAGGGACAGAAGGGCAAAAGAGGGGACAAATGCTGTGTCTTCATGTGGTGGAAGAACAGAAGAGCAAAAAGGGCCTACGCTAGTTCCCTCCAGCCCTTTTATAAAGCACAATCCATTGAGGACGGTGGAGCCCTCAAGACTTAATCACTTCCTCAAAGGCCTCGCATCTTAATACAACCACCATGAGGATTACGTTTCCAAACATCTCTGGGGTGTGGGTTAAATTCAACCCATACCAATACTTAGCTTATTTAATTTATTTTCCTGAAGCCATTACTTACAAGTGGAATCCCTGAGTCAACTATTAGCACAATTTTAAATTATTTCATATGCACACCTAATTTTCTTCCAGAAACTAGATTCCTTGATACTACAATTAGCAGTGTCTTAAAGATAAAGTTTACACATTCTTCTATGCATTAGAAAACAAATTTACTTAATAATGGCTAATTTTTTTTCTTTTGCCAATTTAATTCAGTAAAAATAGTATCACATTATCTTAATTTGTATTTTTTAAGTGGAAAGCCTTAAAAAGATATTCTGTAGTTTGTGACAATTATCCATTCCTTCTCCATTGTTTTTGAATATCCATTTTCCATAAACCAAATTATAATATATATTTGGTCTCTGTCTAGATTTGTGCTGTCTCACAAGGTAGCCACTAGGCAAATATGGCTATTTTAATTTTAATTAATTAAAATTGAAATATAATAAAAAATTCAATTTCTTAGTTATACTTGCCACATTTTAAGTACTCAAAAGCCACATGTGAATAGCAGCCAATGTATCAAACCGCACAGCTATGTATTTTCATAATTGAAGAAAGTTATATTGGATAGTGCTAATCTTGAATTCCTATTCTATAATATTTATAAAATTAATGGAGCTTTATAATAATACTTTAAAAATTAATATGTCTATTAGAGTCTTTTGAATAAGGTCTATCTTAATAGCTTTTCTCCAGATTCACTAAGAGTATCTTAGTCTATTAGAGCTGCTATGACAAAATATCATAGACTGAGTGGCTTAGAAACAATGGAAATTTATTTCTCACAGTTCTGGAGGCCAGAAGACTGAAATCAAGGCTCCAGCACAGCTGGTGTCTGGTGAAGGCCTGTTTCCTTGTTCATGGACAGCTGTCTTTTTGTTAGAACCTCACATTTTAGAAGGGCTGAGGGATCTTTCTTGGTCCTTTTGTATAAAGGAACTAATCCCTGCCCTGGTTCAAAGACCACACTGAGAAATAGCGGAGGCTGGGATGGTGTGGGGAAAAGACGCTTTGTCCTTCTGAGAAGTTAAATAGTTTAATGAATACATGTGCCTCAGTTTGTTTCATGTGTTTGGCCAATTTCCAGAGCACTGAAATAGTGGTTTTGACAGTTTTGTGCAGCTCTGTTGTTGTTTCTGAAAGAGCGAGTATGTTGCACTCCTCCCTCCATCATGCTAAAGTTACGTGATTTTTGTTACACTGTTGAGTTTGCCTGAGACAGAGGGGTCTTGTCTAATTCTGGGAGTTGCTCTGCTTGGGTGCCTCTTTTGATATTGTAGATTCAGACAAGTTGAGGGGGAAAATGCTTTCCTTCCCAGAATTTTAATTTTAAATTTCAGAGAGCACCTTGGATGGGTGGGTATACAAGCAAGTAGAAGTGGAAACTGTCAAAGCATTGGCCTTCTCTTCTGGGTCAAAGAGTTCAATGTTGGCATTGGCTGTGGCAGCTGAATGCTTTTAGTTTCCTTAAGTAAGATTGTTCCTCACCGTGTTGTTTCCTCATCATAAGGGTTAGAGAAAAGCTGAGCAGTGAGAGATTTATCCCAAATAGAATTTCTAAAATATTCCTCTGTGGGCTTATTTACATTATCATGTTTGTATTACATTATCAGGTTTGTATTGACATGATCACAATACATTCATGGAAAAATGTGTGGGATATTGGAAATTCATCCCACCAACTGAAAGGAATTTCTGTGAGGAGTTTATTCATGCATTAATGAAGAAAAAATGGATAAACTAAGTTATTGGGAAGTAGATAAAAAGTCTGAAGTATGATTCCAGTAGTACCCCTGACTTGAACGACCAGTGGTGGCAGATGAGGACAGACTGAAGCAAACCCAGTGGACCTGGGAAGTATATCCACTTCCCACTAGGTGGCTGCTTGGGCTGGCCTTCAGATCCTTTGCCAGTGAGGGGTTGCCGAGCCACAGGCAGGTAGCCACAAGGGTTATCCTGGATGAGCCCCCAGATATATAACTAGCTAGTGGGTTCTTTTGTCCTGCTGTCCAGATACAGTTGATTTATCAAGATAGGGGAATTGTAATTGATATGGTATAGCTGTGTCCCCACCCAAATCTCATCTTGAATTCCTGTGTGTTATGGGAGGGACCCAGTGGGAGGTAATTGAATCATGGGAGCAGGTCTTTCCTGTGCTGTTCTCATGATAGTGAATAAGTCTCATGGGATCCAATGGTTTTAAAAATGGGAGTTTTTCTGCACAATCTCTCTTTTGCCACTGTGTAAGAGGTAACTTTCGCCTTCCGCCATCATTGTGAGGCCTCTCTAGCCACATGGAACTGTAAGTCCATTAAACCTCTTGCTTTTGTAAATTGCCCAGTCTCAGGTATGTCTTTATCAGCAGCATGTAAACAGACTAATACAACAATAAAGAGTTTAATACACATAGAGCCATCTAAATGGAGACCAGTTTTATTATTACTAAAATTAGCCTCTTTGAAAATTTGGAGGCTAGGGTTTTTCAAGGATAGTTTGGTGTGCTAGGAGTTAAGGAATGGGGAATGCTTATTGGTGAGGAATCCAATTATAGGTGTGTAGAAAACAGTCCTCATGCTCTGCATCCACTTCCAAGAAAGGGTCACAGAGCAGTCTCTGGTCTGGGTGGAGTTATCCATTATTCAGAAATGTGAAAATCTGAAAAGACATCTTAAAAGGCCAGTAGGCCAAAGTTCTATAATAGTGTTGTTATTTATAGGAGTAATTGGGGAAGTTGCAAATTTTGTGACCTCCAGAACAATGACTGGTAATCATTTATTCCTACGTCTTTGCAGAATTCAGGCCCCTCTCATCTTCCTAACCTGATGGACTTTCATTGTTTTAAAAACGTGGTTTAGTTTTGGGAAGGCCTATTTTCACTTAAACTATAAACACTTCTCCCCCATGTCCAGGAATGATCAAAGGCAGTTTAGAGGTAAAAGGCAAGATGAAGTTGGTTAAAATGCTGTCCTTCATTTGCTACTGCAGCAGCTCAACAGATCTCCTTCACTGTCATAATTTTCTCACTGTTATAATTTTCACAAAGGCAGTTTTAGAAGATCAGATCCTAAGATTACCTCTTGGAATCCTAAGACTGTCATAAGCTGAAGGCTGCTGAAATTAGGAAATTCTGTGCCAATGTTTACTCCTTGCTTATATTAGTGTGGATTAGTTTCTTTATAAAAAATGGAGAAATTCCACATCTGGACCCCAGTTTTCCTTCTCATTGCTTCTCCCCAGAATTTTCCTGCTCTTCCTATTTTCCACTTAGAATTCATGGTTCGGTTAGACTTACTGCTTAAAGACAGTCTCCTCTCTCTTTCTGGATACTTCTAAGGTAACTCGATGAGTTCTGGGCAAGTTCAGGGCCACCGCAAACAGCCTGAAAACTCCAGACACACCATGGAGTTCCTGATGCTGTGCTCCCTGCTCTTTGAAAGGGGAGAATTAGGTTACAGCATTAAGGAAAGTCAAGTTTTAGAATCCAGAATGAAGCTGGTGATGCAGAGATTGAGTTAGGAGATGGCTTATTGTTTGGCTTTGAAAGCACAAACTGGATAATTCCTAGAAGGAACAGAAAAGTCACTTTTTGTTATTGTTGTTACTATTGATTTTGTTTTAAAGGTAGAAGTGATTGTATAGGTATAATGGCTGAAGGAGCCCATAGAGAGTTGATGTCTGACATTACAGTCTCTGAAATGACTATCTGATTAACCCACTGAATTGAAGCAGCTGAATATCTTTACATATTTTAAATGACAAATTGAGGCCAAGGCAACACTGGTTTCACACAAATCTTGTTTTTTCTTACCACTCAGCAATAAAGACAAGTATAATATTCATTCCCATTTTAGGCTCTGGGAACAAATCAGTAAGTAAAATCTATTGATGCAGGAATGATGTAAACACTTCTAGGGCCCTCCTTGTCAATGTCAGAAAGAGGAGCTGTGTTTGTAACCTCATATTTGCAGAAGCACTATTACAAAGGGTAAATTTTTCAGTGATTGCATTTTGTTCTGATTTCTACCTTCTCCTGAATCTCTTATTCTCCCCTTTCATTAAATCTGTACCAGCCTCCTGTGTACTCATAATCTCTGCCCTATAGTGAAATTCATCAGCCAGTGTCAATGCCTTGGTCATCCACATTGTTGAAAGCAAAGAGCAGCAAATAATTTTAAGTTCATTTGATGATAAATGCACTATTAATGGATCAGAAAGACAAATGGACTCGAACTGCAAATCCACACAATGTCATAGGAGTTTACTGTAAGGGTGAGGGTAGTTGAATTGCCAACATGATATATAGAAAGCATAATTTTTATGACATAAACATTTGTATACCATACAATTGAGTTGCAGTAACAGGCCTCTGGGGTAATGAGGTGATTTTTCCCATTTTGTGAGTTAAAACTTTAGAAAAATGCTGTCCTTCATTTGCTGCTGCTGCTGCAACTCAACAGATTGTGAGCCACCATCACTTCTCCTGCTGGGAATGGCCTTCTCTGTCCAAGACAGAGAAAAATAACCAGAAAACTCATGGCTAGACATGACACTTGTTTTCTATAGCAAACCTTCTGATGAAAGCAGTGGCTTTCAAATTGGCATGGTCCATGAAACTTCAGTATTCAGTATTCAAAAAATGTTCAGGGACACCTTATTTATATTTGAGTGAAAGGTGTGTCTGTGGATCTCCCACCCCAAGTTCAGTCAAAGCAGTTTCTCTGTGGTCATTTATATTTTGTGGATTTCTGACTTAGACTTTACTTTTTAAATGGATTTCATCAATTAAAGAAAGTTAGAAAACCCCTGATTTTTGATTTAATTAGAATTTGAGCAAATCTATTGAAGTGGAGGATTAAATGGAGTAGGAATGAAAAAAGAAAGTAACTGACACAGTATCTTGGGCCTGCAGATAACACAAAAATCACTGACTCATGCAGTTTGTATAGTTATAAAACAAACTGTTTTGTGTGTATAGTAACTCCGAAAAGAACCACAGAAAATCTGCCCCAACAAATGGTGTCTGGATTCAGACAAGACTGCCTTTCAGGAGCAATGAAGTCTTGGGTCACTTATTCAGCATACTGGTTCTCCTTTTTCTAGTTTTAAGGAGCTTTTCTAGTTTTATAAGAGGACTAGTAACATCTACTTCACAGAGGCATTGTAGGAATAGATGATTTAACAGGCGTGAGCGGGTATTCACAGAAAGAACAGTTGCCTTACCTTTTTTTCTGTGTTCTTATATTCATCCAGTTATCACTGAAAGATTAATTTCTCCTTTGATTGGTTGTTAACAAGTCAAGTTTCCAGGC
Source organism: Homo sapiens (assembly GCF_000001405.40). Classification (NCBI taxonomy): domain Eukaryota; kingdom Metazoa; phylum Chordata; class Mammalia; order Primates; family Hominidae; genus Homo; species Homo sapiens. The sequence continues at coordinate 35,883,774 of NC_000003.12, read as the reverse complement.
CATTCTATATTCAGTGCCTTAGAGAGAAAGAAAAAAATATTTTGGACTCAGTGTCTACTCAGTCATCATGAAAACAAGAGCCTGTGAATAGGGAAGGTATGCATGGAGATGGCAGCCAGAATTTCTAATGAGTTACCTCAGAGCTCCCCGAGGTTGCCTTGTATGAATGTTTTGGTCTTCTCCTCCCGGGGGGAAGAGCTGTGCCCAAACTCAAGTCCTACAGGACCAGAACTCCCACATTTTCTACATGGACTGCTTGAAGCCTGGCAATTCTTAGCACTTTGCTGAACAATCTGATCTCAGACCACTTGGCACCCAAGTCTAAGGTGCAGTGTTGCTGTCATATCTGTCTTAGGAAAAAGAATAGAATAGATTCTTTGAATGGCGTGCAGTCCCACAGTGTATTCAGCTATGCCCAAACCAAATAATTTATTTTCACAATGGGCACCATAATATCTCTTAGCCTTCTGCCCAAAGTCCAGAATTGATTCAGTGACCTTCATTATTGTTTGCCCACAGCAGTGTACCCCCAAATCATAGCTGTAACAATAATACTAAAGACTTTTCTAACTTGAAAAAGCTTCCCCTCTGAAAGAGATGTCATAAATGTCTTCACATGAGAAATATGTAGAGCACATGACAATTTTCAATCAACATTAGGGTTATGTGAACTGGCTAAAATGTAACTGAGAGTATTAGAAGCTTAAACATAGTAAAAATATCCCAACTGACATTCCTTTCATTGGAATCCGTGGAATTTGAGTAAAAGTATTTGATTTTATGCTTTTTTTTTGTATTATTTAGTTTCAAACTATTTGATAGCCAATCATATTTTAAGGAGATAAGTTTAGTAGATAATGCTACTATAAATGCTTTAGCAAAAATTTATACATAAACAAGAAAATTAAGTTATTATTATTGTGTACTTTAAACATAGTAACCTCAAAGAACACTTACGCATGAGATTGTGTGAATTTGAAATAAATAAAACTTCCTAATGCCTTTTCTCCAATTAGTTAAAAATATTCTCAAATTATGATGTTTTATGAAGACATATTCTCTTGGATAAGTCACTGCATTTAGTGGAGAAAATGATGGTGGTTTGACAGTCTGTAATTATTCTATAATGCACTTTTATTATTTTTATTATGATTAATATATATTTTATATTTATTTAAATGTTATATTTACTTCATTATTATATTGAGGTCTTTCAACAAATAATGAATAGTTACTATGTTACAGATGTAGGCAAAGGACAATCAGGTCACTACCCCTGACCTCAGGGAGATTTCAGTCCAGTAGTCATAACAATTACCCATTTACTTAGAAAGTGAATATGTGTGAATAAAGAATTAATGTGTGATAAGTCAGAACGTTGGCAGTGAGTCGTAACCTCTCTAGGAGTGACCATGGAGGCAAGATTCACATACAGTAATGGTTTATAGGAAGAAGCCTGAGACAGGAATAGGAGAAATGTACCAGGAGAAAAGGAAGAATCAGCCCATAGAGAATGGGAGACCTCGGAAGAGGAGGAAAAGAGGGAGTTCTAGAGGGGAGATGTAGGCAGGGATCAGATCATGGAAGCCTTAGGATGGGAAAATAAAAATACATAATAACTTTTTGGAAGAGGGCAACCACAGAATCCAGTTTTAAACTTGATATTATACACAACACAAATGGCTGGTAACACGAAAGGAGTTCCTGGAAGGGGAAACTGCTTGAATAAAGGCAGCACAGTAGGAGATCTTCAGAAGTTAGCACATGAAGAGCACAGGAAATCTGGGGCAAGCTGGGGGAAGTTCTGGACAGAGGAGAAAAGATTGTTTGGGACCTGATGGTGACAGACTTTGTATTCCACATGGAAGAATTTGAATGCAATCCCCATGACAATGGGAAGCCATGGATGATCAGATCTATTTGGAGAGTCCACTCCATTAATTTGAGTTAGAAGTTGGGAGAAGAGTTAGCTGGCAGTGGCAGTCACAATCCAGAACGTGATGATGAGGGTTCGTACTGGAACACTGGCAGTGGGGATAAACAGGTGAAAATCCACCTGAGAGCAAGTTTAATGTATACAGTTGTTAAAACTTCATAACCGCTTGTATTTTAATACACAGTGAAGCTGTTTTGGCTTTGTTTTGTTCTATTTTGTCTTTTGGGAGGTGGTGACCCTGGAAAACTAGTTTTTTTTTTTTTTAAAGTTAGGGTCTCTTTTCCCTTGAAGGGTCAATTTGGAGAGTTAGGGACAGTTGATTCTTATTTAATACATCATATATCAGCATTAAGGTGTTCACATTTTAGGATTAGAATGTTGAAGAAGCATCCTGGAAATGGGGGAAGTCAAGTTGCTGATGCTATGAATAATTGACTTGGCTTATGCTACGGACAGGTAAGCATGGAAATTGCAACACGGACCATGGTCAACAGGAATCATTATTTGTTGTTGGGAGCTTCTGGCATCATGAGCCCTTGTGATCAAAGACAGAAAAAACAAACAAAAATTCCAACAGCCTATGCATTCCTCTCTGTCCAGCAATGGGCCCTACAATCAGCCATATCTTCCAATTGTAATCTGTGCTATTTCCTGGCAATGTTTATTGGATTTGGAACCAAACTTAAAAGTATATCTATAATTTCTCTATTTGCTTCCATATATTCTCAATATTTTTTATTGTCTAATGCACCATTACTGTCTCTGCCTAATTTTTATTTTCTTCTGAGATGAAAACTATCAAGTTTCCATGTTCACTGAAAAGCTGCTGCTACACAGACATCATGAGAACATACTCCACTTGTCATTTTTCTTTAACTAAAATTAGGCAATGATCTCTCAGGATGTACATACAAACTGAAAGAGATAATTCAGCTGGAAACAATGTTATTTAAAACAGCAGAGGAAATACATTCTTGTTATCTGTTCATTAGACCAATTCTAAACTTGTATTCAAAGTCAGTGTGAGTGTCGGTGAGCAGAGGAATAAAGAATGAAGTGTAGGGAAAGATGTTAGAAAAGAAGGAATGCAAGAGGTATCCTGTAGGGATAGCAAGGGGAACATTTGAAAAGAAAGTGTGATGTGGGGAGACTTCTTTCATCTTTTATGGTTATAGTAATTGCTTGTTTGGATGTAACTTACTAGAATATAAGTGTTTTGTGGTGTAGTTTCAGATGTCTTTCATCTTTAAATTCCATTAGCACCATTCATAATTCAATGAGTCTGGATAAATAACAACTGAATAAATGAAAAATCAATTAACAAGCAAAAGAAATGAAACAGACACAAAATACAAGTACTATAAAACACTCGACTTGAAATATAAAAATTGTGGAAGTGGGCTTAGTTCTGAAGGAAATCCAAAGTCAGGTGCATTGAATTCAGAAATTCAATGTCCCGACCTAGGCTGCTCCACCGAGATCAGCACCAAGCATCCCTAAGAATTAATTTTTATAGTTATCTATTCATGTATATATATAAAAATTGACACTTTGCTTTATCAAGTTGGCTGTGTTGTGCATCTATGGTAAATTTTGTGTGATGGTGATGTTTTAATCCTAGAAATTATTGTGATAGGTTCTTATTATCTCACTAGCTGAGATGTACACAAAAATTAATGTCCAATCACCAATCCTATTTTTCCTGGTTTCTGTAATCTGGTCTAGGAGCTCAGGGTTAGACATAGCCAAAGACACCTCCTTTACTGTATATCTCAGAGCCCTCTGTCTCCCACGTCTTTCTTACGAGACACAGTGTCAGGCCTCTGAGCCCAAGCTAACATCATATCCCTTGTGACCTGCACGTACACATCCAGATGGCCGGTTCCTGCCTTAACTGATGAAATTGTCTTATGAAATTCCTTCTCCTGGCTCATCCTGGCTCAAAAGCTCCCCTACTGAGCACCTTGTGACCCCCACTCCTGCCCACCAGAGAACAACACCCCTTTGACTGTAATTTTCCTTTATCTACCCAAATCCTATAAAACGGCCCCACCCTTATCTCCCTTCACTGACTCTCTTTTCGGACTCAGCCCACCTGCACCCAGGTGAAATAAACAGCTTTACTGCTCACACAAAGCCTGTTTGGTGGTCTCTTCACACGGACGTGAGTGAAATTTGGTGCCATGACTCAGATCGGGGGACCTCCCTTGGGAGATCAATCCCCTGTCCTTCTGCTCTTTGCTCTGTGAGAAAGGTCCACCTATGACCTCAGGTCCTCAGACCGACCAGCCCAAGAAACATCTCACCAATTTCAAATCCGGTAGGAGGCCTCTTTTTACTCTATTCTCCAACCTCCCTCACTATCCCTCAACCTCTTTCTCCTTTCAATCTTGGTGCCACACTTCAATCTCTCCCTTCTCTTAATTTCAATTCCTTTCATTTTCTGGTAGAGACAAAGGAGACACATTTTATCCATGGACCCAAAACTCTGGCGCCGGTCACGGACTGGGAAGGCAGGCTTCCCTTGGTGTTTAATCATTGCAGGGACGCTGCTCTGATTATTCACTCACGTTTCAGAGGTGTCAGACCACGCAGGGACGCCTGCCTTGGTCCTTCACCCTTAGCAGTAAGTCCTGCTTTTCTGGGGGAGGGGCAAGTACCCCAACCCCTTCTCTCCGTGTCTCTACCCCTTCTCTGCTTTTCTGGGGGAGGGGCAAGAACCCCTCAACCCCTTCTCCTTCACCCTTATTGGCAAGTCCTGCTTTTCTAGGGGGCAAGAATCCCCAATCCCTTATTTCCATGCCCCAACCTCTTATCTCTGTGCCCCGATCCCTTATTTCCATGCTCCGACCTCTTATATCTCTGTGCTCCGATCCCTTATTTCCACACCCCGACCTCATATCTCTGTGCCCCGACCCCTTTCCCGCTTTTCTGGAAGGTAAGAGCCCCTGAACCTCTTCCCTCTGTGTCTCTACTCTCCCTTTTCTTTAAACTTGCCTCCTTCACTATAGGCAACCTTCTACCCTCCATTCCTCCTTCTTCTCCCTTAGCCTGTGTTCTTAAGAACATAAAACCTCTTCAACTCTCGCCTGACCTAAAACCTAAATGCCTTATTTTCTTCTGCAATGCCGCTTGACCCCAATACAAACTTGACAGTTGTTCTAAATGGCCAGAAAATGGCACTTTTGATTTCTCCATCCTACAAGACCTAAATAATTTTTGTCAAAAAATAGGCAAATTGTCTGAGGTGCCTGATGTCCAGGCATTCTTTTACACATCGGTCCCTCCCTAGTCTCTGTGCCCAGTGCAACTCGTCCAAATCTTCCTTCTTTCCCTCCCACCTGTCCTCTCAGTCCCAACCCCAAGCGTCGCTGAGTCTTTCTAATCTTCCTTTTCTACAGACCCATCTGACCTCTCCCCTCCTCCCCAGGCTGCTCCTCACCAGGCCGAGCTAGGTCCCAATTCTTCCTCAGCCTCTGCTCCTCCACCCTATAATCTTTTTATCACCTCCCCTCCTGACATCCGGTCCAGTTTACAGTTTCATTCCGTGAGTAGCCCTCCCCCACCTGCCCAGCAATTTCCTCTTAAAAAGGTGGCTGAAGCTAAAGGCATAGTGAAGGTTAATGCTCCTTTTTCTTTATCAGACCTCTCCCAAATCAGTGAGCATTTAGGCTCTTTCATCAAATATGAAAAACCCAGCCCAGTTTCATGGCTCATTCGGTAGTGACCCTGAGATGCTTGACAGCCCTAGACCCTAAAAGGTCAAAAGGCCGTCTTATTCTCAATGTACATTTTATTATCCAATCTGCTCCTGACATTAAATAAAACTCCAAAAATTAAATTCTGGCCCTCAAACCCCACAACAGGACTTAATTAACCTCACCTTCAAGGTGTACAATAATAGAGGCAGCCAAGTAGCAACATATTTCTGAGTTGCAATTCTTTGCTTCCACTGTGAGACAAACCCCAGCCACATCTCCAGCACACAAGAACTCCAAACGCCTGAACCACAGCTGCCAGGGTTTCCTCCAGAACCTCCTCCCCCAGGAGCTTTCTACAAGAGCCGGAAATCTGGCCACTGGGCCAAGGAATGCCCACAGCCCAGGATTCCTCCTAAGCCATGTCCCATCTGTGCGGGACCCCACTGAAAATTGGACTGTTCAACTCACCTGGCAGCCACTTCCGAGCCCCTGGAACTCTGGACCAAGGCTCTCTGACTGACTCCTTCCCAGATCTTCTCAGCTTAGCAGCTGAACACTGACGCTGCCCAATCATCTCAGAAGCCTACAGGACCATCACAGACACTCTAGGTAACTCTCACAGTGGAGGGTAAGTCCGTCCCCTTCTTAATCAATATGGAGGCTACTCACTCCGCATTACTTTCTTTTCAAGGGCCTCTTTCCCTTGCTTCCATAACTGTTGTGGGTATTGACAGCCAGGCTTCTAAACCTCTTAAAACTCCCCAACTCTGGTGCCAACTTAGACGATACTCTTTCGAGCACTCCTTTTTAGTTATCCCCACCTGCCCAGTTCCCTTATTAGGCCGAGACACTTTAACTAAATTATCTGCTTCCCTGACTATTCCTGGGCTACAGCCATACCTCATTGCCGCCTTTTCTCCCAGTTCAAAGCCTCCTTCACATCCTCCCCTTGTATCTCCCCACCTTAACCCACAAGTATAAGACACCTCTACTCCCTTCTTAGCAACGGATCATGCACCCCTTACCATCCCATTAAAACCTAATCACTGTTACCCCACTCAATGCCAATATCCCATGCCACAGCATGCTTTGAAAGGATTAAAGCCTGTTATCACTTGCCTGTTACAGCATGGCCTTTTAAAGCCTATAAACTCTTCTTACAATTCCCCCATTTTACCTGTCCTAAAACCAGACAAGGCTTACAGGTTAGTTCAGAATCTGAGCCTTATCACCCAAATTGTTTTGCCTATCCGCCCCGTGGTGCCAAACCCATATACTCTCCTATCCTCAATACCTCCCTCTACAACCCATTATTCTGTTCTGGATCTCAAACATGCTTTCTTTACTATTCCTTTGCACCCTTCATCCCAGCCTCTCTTTGCTTTCACTTAGACTGACCCTGACACCCATTAGGCTCAGCAAATTACCTGGGCTGTACTGCCACAAGGCTTCACAGACAGGTCCCATTACTTCAATCAAGCCCAAATTTTATCCTCATCTGTTACCTATCTCGGCATAATTCTCATAAAATCACACGTGCTCTCCCTGCTGATTGTGTCCGAGTAATCCCCCAAACCTCAATCCCTTACAAAACAACAACTCCTTTCCTTCCTAGGCATGGTTAGTGCGGTCAGAATTCTTACACAAGAGCCAGGACTGCACCCTGTAGGCTTTCTGTCCAAACAACTTGACCTTACTGTTTTAGCCTAGCCATCATGTCTCCATGCAGCGGCTGCTGCCACCCTAATACTTATAGAGGCCCTCAAAATCACAAACTATGCTCAACTCACTCTCTACATTTCTCATAACTTCCAAAATCTGTTTTCTTCCTCATACCTGACACATACTTTCTGCTTCCCAGCTCCTTCAGCTGTACTCACTCTTTGTTAAGTCCCACAATTAACATTGTTCCTGGCCAGGACTTCAATCTGGCCTTCCACATTATTCCTGATACCACACCTGACCTCTATGACTGTATCTCTCTGATCCACCTGACATTCACCCCATTTCCCCATATTTCCTTCTTTCCTGTTCCTCACCCTGATCAAGCTTGATTTATTGATGGCAGTTCCACCAGGCCTAATCGCCACACACCAGCAAAGGCAGGCTATGCTATAGTACAAGCCACTAGCCCGCCTCTTAGAACCTCTCATTTCCTTTCCATCGTGGAAATCTATCCTAAAGGAAATAACTTCTCAGTGTTCCATCTGCTATTCTACTACTCCTCAGGGATTATTCAGGCCCCCTCCCTTCCCTACACATCAAGCTCAGGAATTTGCCCCCACCCAGGACTGGCAAATTGGCTTTACTCAACATGCCCCAAGTCAGAAAACTAAAATACCTCTTAGTCTAGGTAGAGACTGTGACTGGATGCGTAGAGGCCTTTCCTACAGGCTCTGAGATGGCCACCGCAGTCATTTCTTCCCTTCTGTCAGACATAATTCCTCAGTTTAGCCTTCCCACCTCTATACAGTCTGATAACAGACCAGCCTTTATTAGTCAAATCAGCCAAGCAGTTTTTCAGGCTCTTAGTATTCAGTGAAACCTTTATATCCCTTACAGTCCTCCGTCTTCAGGAAAAGTAGAATGGACTAAATGTCTTTTAAAAACACACCTCACCAAGCTCAGCCACCAACTTAAAAAGGACTGGACAATACTTTTACCACTTTCCCTTCTCAGAAGTCAGACCTGTCCTCAGAATGCTACAGGGTACAGCCCATTTGAGCTCCCGTATAGATGCTCCTTTTTATTAGGCCTCAGTCTCATTCCAGACACTGGAGCAACTTAGACTGTGCCCCCAAAAAACTTGTCATCCCTACTATCTTCTGTCTAGTCATACTTATTCACCGTTCTCAACTACTCATACATGCCCTGCTCTTGTTTACATTGCCAGTTTACACTGTTTCTCCAAGCCATCACAGCTGATATCTCCTGGTGCTATCCCTAAACTGCCACTCTAAACTCTTGAAGTAAATAAATAATCTTTGCTGGCAGGACTATGCTGAATCTCCTTAGGCACTCCCTAATCAGATGTCCTAGGTCCTTCCAATTCTTGGACCTTTTATACCTGTTTTTTTCCTTCTCTTATTCCATTTAGTTTTTCAATTCATACAAAACCGTATCCAGGGCATCACCAATAATTCTACACGACAAATGTTTCTTCTAACAACCCCACAATATCACCCCTTACCACAAAATCTTCCTTCAGCTTAATATCTCCCACTCTAGGTCCCCACGCTGCCCCTAATCCCGCTCAAAGCAGCCCTGAGAAACATCGCCCATTATCTCTCCATACCACCCCCCAAAATTTTCACTGTCCCAACACTTTACCACTATTTCATTTTATTTTTCTTATTAACATAAGACGACAGGAATGTCAGGCCTCTGAGCCCAAGCTAAGCCATCATATCCCCTGTGACCTGCACGTACACATCCAGATGGCCAGTTCCTGCCTTAACTGATGACATTGTCTTGTGAAATTCCTTCTCCTGGCTCATCCTGGCTCAAAAGCTCCCCTACTGAGCACCTTGTGACCCCTACTCTGCCTGCCAGAGAACAACCCCCCTTTGACTGTAATTTTCCTTTATCTACCCAAATTCTATAAAACGGCCCCACCCTTATCTCCCTTCACTGACTCTCTTTTTGGACTCAGCCCACCTGCACCCAGGTGAAATAAACGGCGTTATTGCTCACACAAAGCCTGTTTGGTGGTATCTTCACACGGACGTGAGTGAAACACAGCAATCAGCTAAAAGCTCCTACATTCTCAAATTGCTGTCTGCTTGTTTTTGTTTTCACAAAATAAAAACTGCTTTGGGATTTGGGAAACTTTTGATTCTTACTTTGATTAATTTTGTATATTACATATTAATTTCATGTATCACTACCAGTTTCACAGAGTTAACAGAATTTACCTTGGAATATGACACACATCTGCTCAGCATTCTCTGGTAATTCCCCATACTGCTCCACATAACATAATGTCTGCTGGGGTACCTAAGCGTGTTGCTCAACTCTCCTCTGTACTTTAACCAATGCTGTGTTAATGAGTCATCTCACAGCTTTTCTTCTTACATGATTTTATTTGCATTTATTTTATTTTTAAAGTTTGTTATTGTAAAATATGCATAATTTAAAATTTACTATTTTAACCGTGTTTTAGTGTACAGTTCAGGGACATTAAGTACATTCACATTGTTGTGCAACCATTGCCACTGTCTATCTCATGAATTTTTTCATTTTCCCAAACCAAGATTCTGTAGCCACTAAATAAACCCCTATGTTTTAAGTTTTTATTACAGTATAACACATGCAGGAAAATCTCACATATTTACTATCAGAACATGAGTACACCTATGTAATTCCCACTAGGTAAAGACATGGAATACCAGAACCCTAAAAGCTACCTTTTGGTCTTCCTGATAATTATCCTTCCCTTTTTCTGAAAAGGCAATCCCTATCTTATAGGTAACCCCTGTATATAAAATAGTCTATTGCATTGGCTTTTTTGGCTCACTTAGTTTCTCTGTGAGTTTCATCCATGTTTCTGTGTATAACTAACTGTGAAATGTTGATTTTCATTGTTGTATGTAAAGTACTCTATTGTATAAATATATATCACGATTTATTATTTAGACTTGATGGACTTTGAGCCATATTCAAATTCCAAATTTTGGCTCTTATGAAAAACACTGCTATAAAAATTCTTATGCATGCATTTTGGTGCAAAAGTGGATATATTTTATATACACATTATACAGCATGTTTTCATTTTATTTCTAACTTTATATTTAACCAGAAGTAGAATTGTAGTGTATAGACATATTAAACTTTGGTATGTAACACTAAATAATTTTTTAAGGCAGTAATTTCAATTCGTACTTCTAGCAGCTGTGAATGAGCCCTCAAAATGTACCACATATTTGGCAACACTTGAATTTCTCGGTCTTTTAAATTTTCACCATTCTAGTAAAATATGATAGTATCTCATTGTCTTTTTAATTTGCATTCCCATAATGACTAATGAGATTGAGCACATTTGCATGTTTATGGCATTTTTAGTATTCTCTTTTATGAAGTTAATATTTTTTTGCCAATTAAAAAATAGGTTATATTTTATTATTGATTTATATGACTTCTTTACATATTCATAGCCATTTGTCAGTTATATGTGCTATAATAAGTGTCTTCTCTCACTTTTTTTTTTTTTTTGAGACAGTCTTTCATTGTTGCCTGGGCTGCATTGGAGGGCATTGGCACAATCTTGGCTTACTGCAAGCTCCGCCTCCCAGGTTCAAGCGATTCTCTGGCCTCAGCCTCCCGAGTAGCTGGGATTACAGGCGCCCACCACCATGCCCAGCTAATTTTTGTATTTTTTTTTAGTAGAGACAGAATTTCACTATGTTGGCAAGGCTGGTCTCCAACGCCTGATGTAGTGATCCGTCTGCCTCGGCCTCCCAAAGTGCTGGGATTACAGGCGTGAGCCACTGCACCCGGTCCTTCTCTCACTTTTTATTGACATATGTTTATACATTTTTATGGGGTATGTGTAGTATTCTGTTATATGCATAGAATGTATAATGATCAAGTCAGAGTTGTTTGAATATCAATCACTTCAAGTATTTATGATTTTTATGTGTTAGAAACACTTGCAGTCCCCTCTTAGCTATTTTGAAATATACAATACATTGTTGTCAACTCTAGTCATCCTACTCTGCTATCAAACATTGTAACATTCTTTTCTGTTTAAATGTATGTTTATACCCATTATACATATCCTCAACTCCCTTACCTTCCACCATGATTGTGAGGCCTCCCCAGCCACGTGGAATTGAGTTCAATTAAACCTCTTATTTTTGTAAATTGTCCAGTCTCAGATATGTCTCTATCATCAGTGTGAAAACGGACTAATACAGTAATAAAACAAAAGATGACACTTAGAACTGGATCTCTTGGCACTTTCTCTTATTTCCTCCCAGTTCAAAATGCTTGCGTATTTTAATAGCCAGCATTTCCTTAGATCTGCAGTTGGGCTCCATACCCTCAAGCTTTAGCACAATCTTTGTAGTTTTAGCCTTTTTCCAGAAAATCTACTTAGTCTGCCTACCATAGCCACTCTGCTTCCTGTTAGAACGCCACTTTCCCTGGGCCTACAGAGAATCCTTGCCCTTCTTGTACTGTGTTACTTTGCGAGGTTGGTGCTTGCCCCACTTCTTACAGAAAGTCCGGTGGGTTTTAGAAACATTCATCATGTTTGTGTGAGTGCTATTGGCATGGAAAGGATCCCTATACATTTTCTTTGCCTTACTTTATTCACCATGTAAGACCTTAGGATGTTGTAAAAAGTGGTCTCTTACCCAATATCAGTGGAACTGAGAAATGTATTCGAATCTTACATTGGAGGATCCACGTTTTCTTGCAGAGAACTGAGCCAGGAGGAGGCAAGCAGAGGACCCTGCAGCAGTATTTATAATCAAGGATAATCAAGGTCTGCAGCAGAGGTGATAGGACTCAGTTATGCTTTCCCAAATTATGCCATCAGTATCTATACCTTCGAATCATACTACTATTGAAAGAGAACTGATATTGAGGGCTCAGAGGCAACGTTCTCTGAGCTCAGCATGAATATTGCAATCCTATGAAGTAATATTATTATCCCACTTTAGAGTTAAGGGACCTGAAAGTAAAGAGATTGACAACTTACCCAAGGGCACGGAACTAGTAAAGGTTGATCCAGTGTTTGTATCCTTTTTTTCTGATTCCAGAGCCCATGTAAACAAATATAGTACATATATCCTTCTTCCTCATGTCTCAGTGGTGAGCTTAGACCTCAGATAGCTTCGGGGGCAGTTTTTTATCAGCTCAGTATCATATCTTCAAACCATTTCTTCTCAGTCTTTACTGTGCACATGAATCATCTGGGGAGCTTTAAATGCAGATTCTGTTCGGGTGGGTCCGGGGTGAGGCTCAAGGATCTGTGTGCTAATAAGCTCCCTGGCAATGCTGCTGCTGCTGCTGCTGCTGCTGACACAGGCCCAAGCTTTGAGAAAACAGCAAGACTTTAACCCATCTGTAAAGTCTGTGAAGTTGAGCTGCAAAGTCGAGTAGGTCACATCTACACCTGCTTGCCTTGATTGGCTGAACAATTCCAGCTGCTATGCATTCCCCTTCAGGGGTCACTTGCTTAGTGAAGGAGATACATAAGCTGTTTCATCAATTTGCCCACAGTAAATGGCATTACAAAAAAAGAATTTCTATGTCTCTCTCTGATGTTTTTTCATGCTCTGAAGAAGGCTGTGAAATAGGTAATTTATGCCAGCAGTTACAGATTACACATTTATTTAGCTAACTGACTGCAATAATAAGACCCCACAGGGGGCCAAATGGGGTTTCGTGGTCTTTACAATGCTGAAAATCTGTCCAAATTTAACAATTATGTAGGTTTCAATGGTCTCCTTATGCAATCCCAGATAAAAAAAAAAAATCAATCCTTATGATATAAAATGTGAATCTGGCTAGTGACCTATTGGTGTGCTCTCCAAAGAATTTGTAGCTATTTTGGATTTGATTTCCAGACACACAGGAGAAAGTGGAACTGTGTAATTAATTCAATAGTCTACACATGTCTAAGAGGCTGTAACACCTCTGATTACCTCTTTCATCCTGTGTGGGACTCAGGATGAAGGCAAGATTGTCTCCTTGGCTGTTTCTGCTGTGAATTTCTTCTCTGGTAATCCCTAACAGCATGTATTTTGTACTGAAAAAGTAAGGCATGAGAAATGAAACTATGGGAGAGTTAGTTAATCCTTGGGATATAGCGATCCTCTATGATCTCGCCAGGCAATGTTCTAGAGGTGATGCAGCTGAACAGATGGCACCTGTAATGTCTTTTCTTTCAACATAAACAGGACAAAAACAAAAACAAAAAAAAAAAGAAAAAGAAAAAGGCATTTGTCTGGAGTGGAGTCTAGAGATAGGGCACTTTGGGTTTCTCTGTTAGGTTTATAAAATTTGGGGAGGTTATCTTTATGATGGAGAATACAAAACTACTTTGATGCACTTGTGCGTGAGGAGGGGATGATAATTATTAAACCCAATTAGCCCTAGCCAATTCACTTTTGCCTGTATTGTTGCTCATTGATTTATCTCCAGCTTCTGGGCCTTCTTCTTTCATTACCCTTCTGCCATTCCCTATGTCAGCTGAATATAATTTCTTTGCTTTGTTCTGTCACTTCATAAGTCCTTGTCTTCTTCAGTGGCTTTTCAGGATATCATCTGAACTCCAAGGATGGCTTTTGAGGCTTCCTGTGGCCCCAGAGACATTTTGGAAACTTGAGTTGTTTCAGGCAGGCTTCATTACCTTTTTGTCATGAACTTCCTCATCTGCAAATAATTTTTTTCTCTTGTTTCCTCTTTCTTCCACAAGCCTAGGAATCGAGGGAGAAATATGTCATTTACTCCTAAACACATTTAACTTTGTGAGTTCAGTTATTTTTGCATTTCTTCTTGCATCCAACAAGGTATGTCCCATCTCCATCTTCTCCATTTCCCTGCCACATTAGTTACCATGTATGTATGTGGTCCACATAGGTGAAAGGCACGATCCCAGGCACTTTATGTGCATATCTTATTTAATATCAGATTTAAGGAACTGTTATTTCTACTCATTATCTTTTACATTTCTCCTTGAGATCCTAAATTATAATTTTTTTGTTATATCCAGGAGTGGGATTGTTGTGTTCTAGAGTTTGAGCATTCTCAGTTCCACTAAATAGTGCCAGATTTTTTTTCTGTCTCAGAAGAGAGTACCGGTTTATGTTCCCACTAAGAGTGCGGAAGGTACCACATTTCTTTACAACTCTAAAATATTTGATATTTCAGTTGCTCAGATCTTTGCCAGTCTGTAAGGGTATAAATTGACATCTTTTTTTAAGTATTTTACCTTCTGATCCTTTTTCAACTCCTTATTGAAATGTAATAAACATACAGAAAAGTATACATGTGTACATCTCAATACCTTTTTACAAATAGAACACAGTGTGTAGCTGTCGTGCCAAAACTCTATTGACTCCAACGGGGATGGCACCAGGTTCAAGAGGCCAAAGAAGAGACCCAGAACCAGAGAATGAGACATGGGGTGTTATCAGGAGCTTCTATACAGGGGAGAGAGTCCAGTGGTGGTGGGCTGGACAGAAAAACTGCAACCACTTTCAGAAAGCATTCAGTTTACACAAAATTTTCACTTAACACTCTCCCCCTAACAACCTCCACCTGGCAATCTTCGTTTAACCCGTAACAAAGGGTCTCGATCTCTAGTATGGCATGCTTCCAGGGGCTGGGCCAGGGACACAGATGTTCCTCTTAGATAAGGAATGGATCTCCAGGTTGGCTACTCCTGGATTCCTTAGCGCCAAAACCTGAACATTCAGGTGCATCTGCCATACAGGATTATTCTTAGGGTATGAGCAGATTACCACTGTCAGGTGCATCTACCATACAGTAACCAATCCAGATCAATACAGTTTTGCATTTCCCTGATTACTGCTAACCAATGTTGAATCTCCTGATAATAATTAGCCATTTGAAACCCCCTCATTTCATATCCTTTGCCCATTGTTCTACTGGGCTGCTGCTTTTCAATTTCCTACTGCACAAGGCATTATTTTACATTCTAGAACTTGTTTATGTTAGGTGTTATAACACCTAACTGGTCTATCTTGGGTGTTTAGGAGTTTTAATAAATATTAGGGATATAACAGATGGAGAATAGAAGACACCATGTTTCAAAAATCGTGTGTACTGACAGAAAGCCAAAGACCTGGTTTTTAAAGCAGAAAACTTTTTCACCCATCATAGTAAAGAAAAATGCAAACTCCAGCCAGTGAACAGAGATTATACAGTGGCTTATTTGGTCTTAAAAGTAAAATAGAACACTTCTATGGACTTTTTCAGAAAAGTTATAGGGAAAAATATATATCCAAATCCAAACACAAACACAAACTTCAGCTAATCCAATTTAACATCTGTTGGCATTGCTGTTTCTTTTCATGAAATAAAGTCTTCTGCTTGGTGAATATAATTGCTTTGCTTTAATCCTGTTGCTTTGCCTTCCCTTCACTCAAGGGTCTTTGATTGACAGCTTGATGGGTTTTCTTAGAATTAGATTCAAGTGAGTCCACTAAATTAACTGAAAGGGCTATGCATTTTAGACCACCTGTTCCTCAGCTGTCTCAAGCTACAAGCATGTCAGATAGTTGACTGAGCTTAATTTACCTCATTCCTTAAAACAAGCAATCAATCAAATTTGTAGAATATAAAAGGAAAATGCAGCATAATTGGAAATTGAGTGAAGACAAACCTCTTGAATTCCAGTGGAACTTTTCCTCTGATGCTTACTGTCAGGCATCAATAAATGAAAATTATTTCCAAGGAATACTGTGTACAGCTAAAAATTACCAGAAAGACCTCTTCCTAAGAATGGAAAATACCTTCAGCAGACTCCAACAATCAATGCTTGAGGAGTACTTGGGCATTTCTAACATATGCATACACAAAGGACTGTGGGGGATAAATGCGGACTATCCCAGGGAGGCAGGAGATGCTGCAGTTGCTGGAGAATAAAAACAATTTGTGTTATTAAGGTCTGTAAAGGTCCTCCGGTGGATTACAATGCCTTTAAGACACAGCCTTAGAGAGAGGCACACCTGTGACACAGGGTCCAAGAAGAGAAGGGAATTGAGACAATTAGATAAACTGCAAGGGAAAGAACAAAATTTCAAGGGAAACTTCATACCTGAGGTTACTAATGTTCCAATTTCCTGACACTGCAAGAAGTCAGCAATGTTCCAGATAATACTTTAGAAAAGGAAATGAAGGTTTACATGAGTTTCTTCTCTCCCTCATATATCTTAATTCCGTAGAAGCAAAATTAAGCTCTTAAGAGGAATATCAGATGGAACATTATTGGCAAAAAAATGAGTGTTTGTTGAATAAATAAAGACATTTAAAAAGCAAACCTAAATACACAAGCAATAGAGTCAAAAGATCTGTCTTATTGATAGGCATGTCAATAGGCTGAAACCAAAAGGTTTCTGCTGTCTGCTTTCATTGTCTTAGATACCACTTATTGTTTTCTATGACTTTTAATGAGCTCTAGTATTGAAACTTGAAAAAATAAAATTGCATATGATAATTACTTTATAGGCAGAGAATTACCTTGCTTTCTGAATTTGGAATGTGGAGCCCAGCTGACACTGTGATCATCTTTGTTTTGTGTTATCTATTTGGACTCTTCAAATTGGAAAGTCCTGAAATAATTGTGCAGAACTAATGTAACATCCATGGCCCTCAAGGACAGATACTGTTATTAAGGTCTGTGTAGGTCTTCCAGTTGACTCCCATACCTTTAAGACACACAGGCACACCTGCTCCAGTGAGAGATTCCAGGTGTCACCTACTGAAGGAGTTTCTATTATTGATTCAAAATAGAACTACCCAGGAACCAAGAGCTCTTCTAGCTAGAAAGGCCCAGAATAAAAAATTAAGAAGGGCCTTAATTTTTAGAAATGTTTTTACTATGCTAAAATATAACATAAAATTGTCAACTATTTGGAGGACATAATTCAATGATGTAATTATAGTTATGATGTTGTGCAAGCATCACCACTATCAATTTCCAAAACTTTTCCATCACCCTAAAGAAGAACCTTATACCCATTAAGCAATAACTCACCATTTTCCCTCCCCTCTGCCCTTGGGAACCTCTAATCTATTTTCTGTCACTATAAATTTTCCTATTCTAGATATTTCATATAAGTGGAATTACACACCATTTGTCCTTTTGTGTCTGTCTCATTTCACTTAGCAAATTATGATAATATGGGAGTTGATATCTGTGTGATAAAATGGTGAAAGTAGACTGATATCCCCCCAGGCAACAGTAAATTTGCACTTTTTTGCAAATCTGTACAGAGAAGAGAGAAGTACACATTTATTTCTTTCTGATCAGTAGTTACACATCCAGCCTCAGGCCCATGTTGATTTGTGTAAAAAAATCTACAACTTTCTTTCTTTTTTTTTTTTTTTTGAGAGAGAGTCTTGCTTTGTCACCCAGGCTGGAGTACAGTGGTGCAATCTCGGCTCACTGCAACTTCTGCCTTCCGGGTTCAAGTGATTCTCCTGTCTCAGCCTCCTGAGTAGCTGGGATTACAGGCGCACACCACCATGCCCCGCTAAGTTTTTGTAATTTTGGTAGAGCCGGGGTTTCACCATATTGGTCAGGCTGGTCTCGAACTCCTGACCTGATGATCTGCCTGCCTCAGCATCCCAAAGTGCTGGGATTACAGGCGTGAGCCACCGCACCTGGCCAAAAAAATCTACAACTTTCTAAACAGCAGTGGTCATTGGAATTTATTCATGATTAAATTTTCACCTACCTTTCACTTTCAAGATCCTACTGCCACCAGTCCTTAACATTCAATAAGCACTTAAAGGATGTTATTCTTGTCTGCAACCTATTCTGGTACCAAATACTATATCAGTTTGAACTCAACTGTTGATAACAAAAATACACTTGACAGTTTAAGCAGATACAGAGTGTAATACATGGAATTAAAGGTTTACAAAATTATTGGATGAACCACGGGAGCAGTCTCCAGGCTGAGGCTCTATGGATGACCCTTAGAACAACACAGCACACTAGCTCATAAAGAAAACTGCTTCCTCTGCCTCAGCCAGGAAGCTCAAAATCACAAAGCAACTGCGCCAATTTGTAGAAACAAATCACCTTAGCTAAATTTGGGTAGCAGAAAACTATCGCAAGAACTGTTGGTTTTGGAAACATATCACCTTATTAGTGATCTGGTGCTACCTGTGGAGGGTGTCCAGGTTCTTGGCATTTTGAACAAAGAATTGGACAAAATTTACAAACAAAGCAAAGAGAATGAAGCAACAAAAGCCGAAATTTATTGAAAGTACACTCCACAGGGAAGGGAGTGGGCCAAGCAAGTGCCTCAAGAGCACTGGTTACAGAATTTTCTGGGGTTTAAGTGCCCTCTAGAGGTTTCCCATTGGTTACTTGATTTAAACCCTAGGGAAATGTAGAAGTGGCCCATGATCAAGCATTGTCTTAAGTGACCAATCGGAGGCTGAAGTGAAGTTACAAAGTTATACTCCTATGCAAATGAAGACTTGACCTACCACCAGTCTGACTGGTTTGGGGAGGGGACCAATCAGAAATACTTTCAATTTTTTATCTGCCATGCAGAAAAGTGGGGTGGGGGTTGAAAACAGAGTAGCCTCTGGTCCTTCTGTTACTTGTGCATGAAAGTTGGGGTTTTCCTTCTGATTTAGTTCTAGGAAGTCAGCATGAATCGGCCTTAGGTTCACTGCCTCCAGAGCCTGTTCTCCTGCCTCACTGGGTTACAAGAAATTGCAACAAAACTTGTTTATCTTCTGGGCCAGGGCATTCCCACTTTAACCAGAACTTGCAAAATGGACACCTTGCTTGCTATCAACTTATTTCTAATTCAAGTCAGAGCAAGTATATGTTACTGATAGAAAGTAAGTTGTATGCAGACTTCTAACTACAAGAACAATTGCAGCTTTCATTTCTTTTCAGTTTCTGTAGTATAGGAAGTTATTCTGGAAAGTCTAGAACATATGATTAGTGAATGAATCTTCCATCTCCCCTAGAAGAACTGACTGTAGCTTTATTCAATGTTTTAAAAGAATTCCTAAGGCATACAAAAAGGAAAAACTTTCTGGTGTTTGCACAGAACCAAGTAATTACACTTTATCTGGACTCTGGTCATAATGATAAGATACTACATGCAACAATGGACCTTACTGAATCCCAATAATGAAATCATCAGAAGCTAGGTTAAGTGATCTTTTGTTTAATAATGCTTTAAAAATTGTTACTAATACCTAACATTTTTCCCAAAGGCATTAACATACTGTGTGATATAAATTATTTAGAACAATGATTTCCTTTTTAACATCCTGTTAAAAAAATATACGTAACTTAAATGCAATTCAAGCAATAAATGGAAATAAATGTACTTTTGTCCTTTGTTTCTCATTTGGTTTTTGTTTTCCTTTTGGTTTTGTGAAAATGTATTTCTGGAATAACTTAATATATCTCTTTTTCAAGATCTCTGTTAGATATATCCTCATAAACCAAGCCATGACCAAAGCACTGGAGTGGTGAGTTTGATTATTTGGAAGAAAGTATGACAATAGTAAGTTCAGATGAAGCCAGTGAATATTTTATCCACAAAAGAGCTACTTGCCTTCTGAATAATCTTTTAAAATGATCTGAGATGTTTCAAAGTTCAGATTTTCTACAGGAAACCATAGCTGAAAGTTGAAAACAAAAATGTAGGCTGGGTGCGGCGGCTCACACCTGTAATCCTAGCACTTTGGGAGACCAAGGTGGGTGGATCATTTAAGGCCAGGAATTCGAGACCAGCCTGGGCAATATGGTGAAACCCTGCCTCTACTAAAAATACAAAAATTAGCCAGGAGTGGTGGCACACACCTCTAATCCCAGCTACTCAGGAGGCTGAAGCAGGAGAATGGCTTGCACCAGGGAGGTGGAGGTTGCAGTGAGCCGAGATCACGCCACTGCACTCCAGCTGCGTGACAGAGCAAGACTCTGTCTCGGGAAAAAAAAAAAAGGAAACAAAAATCTAATATTTTAAGGCAAAAAAACTAATAATACTTGTTACCTGGAAAACAGTAACTTAATTATAACTTGGTCGCTTCTAACTTTAGTATCCAACTTAAAACTGTCTTTATAACATCAAGGAAAAAGCATAAACGAAGTTAAATGTGTTAAATTTCATAACAAATAATTTGCAAATTACTTACCGCTAAATTTTGTTTTCTTGTCATCCACTAACAAGCTGGATTATAAGTTTTATATAAGTGAAAAGAAAAAATAGGCGACATATACATAAAATGCACACATTTGAAATTTAGGTCAAACTGCATTCACGTCCTTAAATGGTCACTTTTATGTTGGAAATAGTAAATGACTGTCTGTAAGCCACAAAAAGAGTAAACATTTATTGTGTGCTGTCTATGGGCCAGTCACTATTATAAGTAAACCATCCATATTGTGAACCGTGTAATACTCACAATAGGGCTAGATGGTGGGTAGTATAACTATGATGATGGACAAACATGTGATGAAACTAAGGCACTGAATAACTGACCTGAGGCCACACAGATAAGATGTGGACAACAATATTTGAACTCAGGAGATTAAACTGTTTCATATCACACGAGCAGCACTAAAAGAAAAGTGGACTGAAATACAATGAGTAGGAGAATGAAGAAAGAATCTTTCCCTTCCTTCTACTCATCCTCATTTCTTCAGGCACCCTTAGGCCGCTGTGTTGTCAGGGAAGAGAAAGCTGTTGTGTTTTCTTCCAACTCAATATAGCAGTTGCTCTGGGTTGCATCTTAATAGCAGTGGTGGTCCCAGCTTATACCCATAAACCAAAGTAGATTAAAAATATTTTGATTATTTTTGCTGACTATATCCTTATCAGTGGGAGATATATGGTAGACATGAGTTCTAAACTTGAAAGCTCAGTAAAATTCGTTTCACTTTCAATCCACATCTGTCCCTGTGTATCACCCTTTACCAATATAAATAGATAATGAATAAATAAATAATAAATACTCTTCTCAACCCGACTCCAACACTTTCTCAAAGATAGAATTGGCTAGTGCACATGTTTCCCCTGATTGATTTTATCTTGTTTAGGGGTGTCCTTTGGCATTTTTAAAACGCCACCCTGAGGAAGAATCACCAGGAGGATCGCCTGTGTAATTTCACGTCACATGGGCCCTGGACTATTTTTGACAGTGCACCTAATGTGTTGATAACACTCCTGCACTTTGCAAAATGCCAACACTCTGTAGGCTTTCCTAGATATCTTCTACATTCTGTCAACACCAACCTCTTAAAAATGTTTCCTCTTCTCTTTTTATTGCCTTTAGAATTAATATTTTATTGTAGTTTTTGTATTTTTTGATAAATTTGTTGTAAATTATATATTCCTTTTATATTTTAGTGTGTAGACTTTACATCTTAAAATGAACACTTATGTTTTAAAGTTAATCATGTTTCTTACTCTTTTGTGAACAATACTCTAAGTAGAATTATTATTTTTTTACCAGTAAATATTTGTGTTTATACATCCACGTGTACTACTTTCTTTGCTTTTTACTCTTCCTTGCATCTAAAATCTTCCATCTCATCACATTATTTCTGCACTATCAATGAATGTTTTATTTCAATTACCTATTTTTTATTTTTAAAGTTCTTTTAAAAAATGTGTGTATTCCTTTTTATTATTATTATTATTATACTTTAAGTTTTAGGGTACATGTGCACAATGTGCAGGTTAGTTACATATGTATACATGTGCCATGCTGGTGTGCTGCACTCATTAACTCGTCATTTAGCATTGGGGGGGAGGGACCTAAAAATGTGTGTATTCCTTATTCATATTTTGTATCCTTTCAAATGAATTATTTATAAAAGACTAAACATTTTATTTTGTCATTTCCTAAGTTCAGTGTCTTTAATTTTTAGGCTGTTCCTGCTGACTAGCTTATATCCCTTATTTTTCTGGGTATTTCATGAGTTTTCTTCCTGTGAGCTGCTAATTTTTCCTGCAACTGTATGCATGCACATTTTTTGAGGTCTGGAATAATGTGAGTTTTTCAATAGAGAACTTTCAAATGCTCTCATAAGATGCCCTAAGGGACTGCACTTTAAAAACAACTTTAAATTAAATACATGATTTAATTACTTTTACGTCACTCCCACAGTTTATTTGTGTTTACTCTTAGTAAAGTGCCTGCCTAAGTCCTTTATCCATTTTTCTACTATATTCCTTATCTCTTTCATATTGAGAGTCTCACAATTTTAGATAAGAATACTATTTTGATGCCATATTTATTTGTGTCATAAATATGACACAAATATTTTTTCTAAGTTTGTGGTATGTCTTTTCATTTTGTTTGTGGTAGGTTTTCAGAGGTGGCATTTATTTCTTTTAATGTAGTCATATTATTATTTCTCTACATTTTGTTTAAGAACTACTTCTCTTTTATGTTATACATGTATTAATAGTTCATATTTTTCTAATGTTTTATAGTTTTGCCCTGCACTTTTAAGCAGTTTATCCACAAAATATTTTTGTGAAAAGTCAGAATTGTAATTTGTTTTTTCCCCATATGTATAACAAATGTAGAAGACACTACCCATTGAGTAATCCATCCTCTACCCACTTATCTGCAATGACAAATATAACAAGGATTATAATTCTACTTTGCCATCAGTCTGTTCTTAGAGTTCTGCTCTCTTCAATTTGGTCTATTTGTTTATCACTAAGTCAAAATTACACTGTTTTAATTGGTAGCCTTTAAAACAAATCTTTATATCTTGTTAATAAATCTTTGTTTCTTGCTTCCCACCTTGTTATTTTCCTTCATTATTTTGACTATCTTTTGGCTTTGTCTTCTCATATACATTTTAGATTAAGTTGTCTATTTCTGTCAGTCATCTACTGTCTTTTCTATTGGCGTTAGGTTAGAATGAAGAATCAGAATGACATTATGCTAGCTATTCCTCTAGTATTTCCAAATTTCTACATTTAGAAATTTAAAGGAGGGAAAGTAAAGTTATCATTTTTGGGGCACGTGTTTCTTCATTCTTATTTTAAAACATAAAACAAAATCAAACTATGTAATAAATACTTTATATTGTGTCTTTGCCTACTTTTCTATCATATTTTCGTTTCCTATCTCCATGATTTGATTCTTTCATGCATTGATTATTTCATGCATTATTTGATTCATGCATCGAGGCATTCATGGGTACAGTTTACCTGGGTCAGAAGTTTCTATTTGTCTACAAGTAGAAACTCTCAGATAACTCTTTTTCCCCTCCATAAAAAAGCAACATTTGATCTTAAATTACTGAAGTGTATGGCTAAAACATCTAAATTCATTTGATGTTTAGACCCTTCCCAGCAAGGGCTTAAAAATAAAACTTTAGATGAGGAATGGAAATGCAACAATCTGTTTAAATTAAGAATCTCCTCTAAGAATTTTAAGGGGACCTACCACTCTCTGAGATGGATCTTGCTCAAAAATGAACCCTAATTTATTACTTCCAGTCCCGGTTTTTCTGTTGCTCAGTTGGTACTGAGGGCTAAAAATAGCAACACAGCAAACACCCAAAACACACAAAGTCTAACAATTTATGCTGCCAAAATGTAGAGAGAAAGTAGTACAAGAATATTCAGCAAATATTCAATCTCTTAGGGAATTAAAGGAAACATTATTCTCAATAACAGATTATCTCTAGGTTGAAAATGTAAAACTTTTTTTAACAGCTTCAGTCCATCTTGGAACTTGGATTTTTGCCCCCTTCTATTTGTGGCATTGACATAGCTCAGCAAATTTTTGTCTCAGAAAAAATTGAACAAGAGTAATTCTATTTTTTTCTTTCTGCTTTACAAATACAGCATAAACTTAGACTGTTACTTTCAGAAGTCAAATTTACAGATTCAACTTTGTACTACTAATCTTCCTTTTAAAGTTATATTTGTATCTACATTTTCAGCCAATATTTACTGTGTGCCTCTTCTGCGTCAGACATATCTTTAGGTACAGCATTAGAGAGAAAATACAGACATAATTTCCTACTCCTAAGGGGATGCAGCTTAATAGATGAAGACATTCAACCTTTGGCCCTTATCTATTCAGAATTGGTTTTTGAGTGATGCTTTGGGGGAAATCATCTCCTGATACAGAAAAACAAGAAGAAGTAATGAGACACGAAACACAGTGTGCACCTAAATTCATTTTAAATATACTTTAGTGAATAAGACAAGCTAGACAACTCTAGCTTCTGAAGACACATTGAGATTGAGTCATGGTCCCAGATTCTACTGGGAGAGATAGCTATCTAAACAGATTATTTTAATATCATATGATTAAAGGAAGCTCCTCACAACTTAGATTGAGACAAGTAAGATTTCACAGAGTAGGTAGCATTTGAACTAGTAAAATTATACAGTGAGTTCAGTAAAGACAAGATTTTCCATGTGGACGTTTTATGGGAAAAGGGGGAATTACACTAGATTTTACTTAATGATGAAGAGTGAAAGTCTAGAGTAAGCATTTTGCTAAAAATAGATTTGTCTTCATTGATAAATACTTCAAACAGCACTTGACTCAGAAATGTACCCAAACATTCTGTCTCCAATGAAGGAGAAACTCACTTTTAAACCATTTTTCATTTCAAATAACATTTTGTAGCTGTCTTCTAGTGGGTATGAACTGTCAACTCTCATTCATGTTTCCTTCCTTCTTGGGGTCTCCCTTTCATAGATATTGAGATCCTATAACCAGTAAACTTTTCCTAAAAAGTGTGAAGATCATGTGCAAACTGGAGAACATATGAGTCCCTTTGCTATCACATTGCTATTGATTTTATTTAAATAAATAAAACTTTCTACTTCAAAGAAGAAAGCTTTGATCACTTAAAGTCCCCAAGAAGGCTAAAGGTGGCACTGAAGTTGCCTTTCTCTGGGGATAATAAGTATAATTGGCTCAGTCACGAAGAGCACCTGTAGCATTAGAGCACCTGGTTAGCTACATGGATCCAGCTGTCCTTGACACCCCACTTTATGAATTAACTGAAAAAGAAAAAAAGAGGTAGAAGAAGGCAAAAGAGTCAGAAGGTAAGGATCAAAAACAGAGGGGTTTAGATGACAGTGCCAAAATTACATCTGGGGGAAGAGTAACACTGATTTGGCATAGATTCATTGAGAAGACTAAACAGAATCAATTTATAGCAAGCCTTTTATGAACTCTTTTAAGCTCATTTTTGTCTCCACTCAAATTATTGGCATGTCCTTGCACAATAGTCAAGAATGACAAATACCAAACAATTAATCAAGCAAAACTATCAGCATTTCAAAATGATTAATTTATGTGATACAGAGAAACTGTGATATACCAGGCATTGTAGGTAAGTAAAGCAAGCCCTGTATTGCTAATGGCTTACAACTGGGTAGAAATCAAGAGAGATTACTCATTCATTAATTTAACAAATATTTATTACACCTACTAAGTACAAGATTGTGTTTTTATTAATGAGTAAATAGCAGGGAACAAAAACAATAGGTTTTCTGCTTGTGATAGCTTATATTCAAATGAGAAAGAAAGAGAAACAATAAACATGTAACCAAGCAATTAAACACATACATAATATATCTACAGATAGTGACAAATGTTAGCGGGGGAAAAAAGGGAAAGAAAATGACTGGGTAGATGTACAGGAGGATACTTAAAATTGAGTGGACAGAAAAGTATCTTTGGGAAGAAGTTTGAACTTTGACTTGAGGGATTAAAAGCGATCATTCACACAAAGTACTAGGGAGACTGTTTCAGGCAGTCAAAGAAGTTAGTATGCTAAGAGTAAATTAGTTTGGCATGTTTGCAGAACAGAAAGAGGCTACAGTAGCTGAAATTTGGTAAATAAAGGAGAAAGTTTTATAAAAAGTTCAGAGAAGTAGCCAGGCATCTGGTCATATAGACTCTACATTGTAGAGTCTGGAAATACGTGATTAAAAATTTAGATTTTCTTCTAATTGCAGAAGCAGACAGCTAATGGTTTTAAAAAAGAACTGAAATGTTGTCAATTACATTAATAAAAAATGACTCTAGCTACAAAGTCTAGAAGAGACCATTATACACGCACCAAGAATGGAAGCAGGAAATCAATGAGGAAGTTGTTTTAGTAATTCAGGCAGAGTAGATGATGGTAGAAGTGACCATGATAACAAGCAGTTAGAGTGAACATGTATTTAGAAAATAGTGTAGCTAGATCTACTTGATCTAGTGCAGATAGATCTTGGCTTTGATATGAAAGCGAAAGAAAAAAGAGGAACCAAGAATAATTCTTTTGTGGGGAGCAGGCTTAAAAATCAGGTAACGATGTTATGATGATGGCATTTACAAAAAACAGGCAGATTTTAGAAGGTGCATTTTTGAGGAAGAAAATAAGAATTTTGTTCTGACATGTTCAGTCTGAGATGATTGTTGCACATTTAAGAGATATCCAGTAGGCAGTGATCATATATCAATGAAGGTGATATTACTGGGAGATAGCACTTTGAGAGGCCATTTGTGCATTGAGGGCATATGAAGACATATGTCCTAATGAAAAGTTTTTTGCAGTATTAAAAATTAAATAACTAGGGGCTTCTGGTTCTGAAAAGAGATGGCATAGACTCACTTTCCCTCCTCCTCTCCTCTAAATACAACTGAAAGCCCTAGAAATAATTCAACAGAAAACCAAAATATAACTCTGGGTAAGAAGAAGGTGAATTTATTAGGGATATCAGGACTTGAGGAAAGAACACGGTGAGTTCTCTGGGTTTTTGTTTTTTGTTTGTATTGTGGATTGGAGACTGGAGAGGTTTGGACTGCAATCCAAAACCACCAACAGTTGTAGACAAAATGATCAAACAAATAAGAAAACCTGGCTAAAGAACGGGAAGCCGAAGCACATCAGAGAGCCAGTGGGGTGTTTCAATCCCTTCTTCACAACCACACACTGGCAGTATCTCCAATTTACCCATAAAGTCACAGGAGAATCTCCAGTGGAGCAAATAAAGTCCACAGTGGCAGCGAGGACCCTGGCCACTCCACAGCCAGATCTCCAGCCAGCGGTCTAATTCTACCACAGCAGCAGCAACAGCAACAAGAGCAGCAGCAGCAGCAAAATCACAGTGCAACTATCCAACCCCTGTTCCATAACCAGCTACTTGTGGGTAGGGTCATCAGCCCAAAAACGTAGTATCAGAGAAGCTTAGCATCTCCAGCGAGTGTTATAATGAGACCCAGGTCCAACACCTCAACCTCTACAATAGCATTGCAATGGGTCTGAAATCTAAACACACTGGGGTTGTAGCTCACATAAGCAAACCAGAATTTATGCCAGAACAAAACTTAAACTAAAGCCAGACTAAACCTAAATAAGGCAACTGCATGCTAAAATACAACACTGAAAAAGGATCAAAAGTATTCTAATATAATGAGCAAACGATATGAGATATACTAAGAACAAAGGACCGAGAATCACAAGTTCGGTGACAATAGACAATCAACTGATGTCAATAGCAAAGTAAATCAGTGGTGAAATTGTTTGACAAGAATTCTAAAGCAGCCATCATAAAATTCTTCAATAAGCAATTATGAATTTTATTGAAAATGATGAAAAAGAGATCTCATTAAAAATTGATATTATAAAAATAATCAAATAAAAGAAAGGCAAAATATGATAGCCAATATTTAAAAAAAATCTGGATACTCAGTAGCAGAGAGGAGAGGACAGAGTATAGCATCAGTGAGTTTGAAGACAAAGCAATGAAATTTACTCAAAGAAAAAGTAGAAAACAAAACAAAACAAAAAAAACAGTGCCTTAAGAACCTGACAATAAAAACCAGTTCAACATTTGCACTGTTGATTAGTCAGGAGAGAATAGAAGAGAGTGTGAGATGGAAAAATATTTGAAGAAATAATGGCTTAAAAGTTCCCAAACTTGCCGAAAGGCATAAATCTACAAATTTCAAAAATCGGGTTAACTCCAGATGGGAAAACCTAAAGAAATCTAAACCAAGACACATCATAATTACACGCTAAATAACTAAACACAAAGAAAAAAATAGAAACAGCTAGATAGCTAGATAGACAAAATTATAGAAATAGATATTACCTACAGAGTTACACCAATTTGAATAACAGATTTCTCATCTAAAATCATGGAGGCTTGAAGTAAGTGGCACAGATTTTTAAACTCTGAATGACAAAAAAAAGTCAAGGTTGAGCCTATATCCAGCAATACTATCCTTCAAGACATCCTAAGATGGATAAAAATTAGAGAATTTGTTGCTACCACATTGACCATTAAGGAATGGCTAAAAAAAGCTCTCAAAAAATAAAAATAAATAAAAGCAGGAGAAGGTTGGAAACTTCAGATAGGAAAGAAGAATAATGTAATGAATAAAACTCAAGGTAAACATAATATACTGTCACTTTATGAGTTTCTTAATTTGTATAGGCCTAGCTCATTTTATTGTGCTTTGTTTCATTGCACTTCACCGATACTCCATTTTTTTTTACAAATTGAAGGCTTGTAGCAACCCTACATTGAGGGTCTACTGGTGCCAGTTTTCAAACAGTATGTTCTCACTCCTTGTCTCCTCATATTTCAATAATTCTTACAATATTTCGAGCCTTTTCATTGTTTTCATGTCTATCATGTTCATCTGTGGTCAGTGATTGATCTTTGATATTACTATTTTCATTGTTTTGTGGTGCCACTAACTATGCCCACATAATATGGTGAACTTAAACAATAAATGGTGTGTATTCTGAATGTTTCACTACCTGTCTATTACCCTATTTCTCTCTCTTCATTCAGGCCTCCTTATTTCCCAAGACACAACACTATTACTTCATTCATAAATAACCCTACAATTGTCTCTAAATGTTCAAGTGAAGAGAAGAGTTACATGCCTCTCTCTTTAAATAAAAAGCTAGAAATAATTAAGCTTAGTGAGGAAAGCATATATAAAGTCCAACAGATTTTAAATTGGCTAAACCTAAAATAGAACACACCATAGTACAATATAATCAAACTGTCAAAAGTCAAAGAAGAAGAGATAATTTTAAAAAAGCAGGAGTAAAGCTACTTGTAATATAGAGGAGAGTTTCCATAAAACTTTCAGCAGATGTCTTAGCATTCACCTTATAGGCTAGAAGGGAGTGAGATAGTATATTTAAAGTCTTGAAAGAAAAAAAGCTATCAATGAATAATGTAATACCTTGCAAAAGGCATACTGTCCTTCACAAATGAAGAAAAGATAAAGACATTTGTAACAAATGAAAGATTAGAGAGATGTCAGTCAGAATGACTATTATTAAAAAGTCAAAAAACAACAGTTGCTGGTGAGGTTGCAGAGAAAGGAATACTTTTACACTGTTGGTGGGAGTGTAAATTAGTTCAATCATTGTGAAAGACAGTGTGGCAATTCTGCAAAGACCAAGAGGCAGAAATATCATTCAAACCAGCAATCCAATTACTGAGTATATACCCCAAAATATATAAATCATCCTATTATAAAGATACATGGACATGTATATTCATTGCAGCACTATTCACAATAGCAAAGACACGGCATCAACCTAAATGTCCATCAATGATAGACGGGATGAAGAAAATGTGATACATATACACCGTGGAATAGTATGCAGCCATAAAATGGAACAAGATCATGTCCTTTGCAGGGATATGAAAGGAGTATCCTTAGCAAACTAAAGCAGGAAGAGAAAACCAAATGCCACACATTCTCACTTACCAGTGAAAGCTGAATAATGAGAACCCATGGACACATGGGGGAAATAACACACTGGGGCTTGTCAGAAGTGGGGTTTGGGGGAAGAAGAGCATCAGGAAGAATAGCTAATGGATGCTGGGCTTAATACCTAGGCAATGGGATGATCTGGGCAGCAAACCACCATGGTATATGTTTACCTATGTAAAAACCTGCACATTCTGCACAGGTACCCCTGAACTGAAAATAAAACTTGAAGAAAAAAAAAAGCTTAGAGAGTTCATCACCACTAGACCTAGCTTGTAAGACATGCTAAAGGAAGTTTTCAAATTGAAATGAAAGGATGCTGAAGTGCAACATGAAAGCATACAAAATTATAAACCTCATTGGTAGAAGGAAATATATAGACAAATACAGAATACTGTAATATGATAATGGTGGTAAGTACATCACATTGAATTATAGTATAAAAGTAAAAATAGGAAGATATTTTTAAAATATACGATATGTTAATGAATGCACACTATAAAGACATGTCAATTATGACATCAATTGCAAAGTATTGGAGTAGGGAAGAAGTAAAAGTGTGGAGTTTTTGTATGTAAATGAAGTTGTTTATATCAGCTTACAATAGACTGTTCTAACTATAAGATGGTTTATGTAAACATCATTGTGACCACAAAGAAAATACCTATAGAATATAAAAAAAACTTAAAGTATATCACTACAAAAATTAACAAATTACAAAGAAAGACAACAAGAGAAAGAGAGGGATAAAAGAAGAAGACAAACATAAAACAATTAACAAAATGACAATAATAAGTTACTCTCCATCAGCAATTACTTTAAATTTAATGGATTAAATTCCTCAATAAAGAATACACTAGATGAATAGATTTGAAAAAAAACAAGATATTACTACATGTTGTATGTAAGAGATGCACTTTTGCTTTACACACACATAAGCTGAAGGTGAAGTAATAGAAAAATATACTCTATGCAAATGGTAACCAATTTATATGTACATCAGAAAAAAATAGATTTTAAGTCAAAATTGACACAAGAAACAAAAAATATAAAGTGATAAAAGGGTCAATTAGTCAATAAGATGCAATAATTATAAAAAATTGTTATTTTTTATTGTGGTAAGAACACAACATAAGATCTACTCTCTTGATGTATATTAAGTTCATAATAAATTACTGTTAATAATAGGTACACTGTTATACAGCAAATTTCTAGAGCTTATTTTTCTTGGATAACTGAAACTTTATACATGTTGAATACCAATTCCCCATTTCTCTCTTCCCACAGTCCTTGTTAATCATCATTTTATTCTCTGTTTCTGTGAGTTTTACTATTTTCAGTTACTCAGATAAATTGAATTGTGCAGTGTTAGTTCTGTGACTGTGTCATTTCAGTTAGCATAACATCCTTCAGGTTCAACTATGTTGTTGCAAATAACAAAGTTTTCTTCTTTTTTAAAAACTAAATAACATTTCATTGTAGTCTATATCCATTCTCTGCTGATGAACATTTATGTTGTTTTCAAATTTTTACTATTGCTTATAATGCTGCACATAAGCAATAATGCTGAACATAAGAATGCAGATACGTCTTCAAGATCTTCATTTTAATTCTTCTGGATAAATAGCCAAAAGTTAGATTGCTGAATCATATGAAAATTCTATTTTTTTTTTTTTTGGAAACTCCATACTGTTATTCACAGTATAAAATGCACCATTTTATACTCCCACCAATAGTATACAGTATACAAATGTTCCATTTCTCCACGTCATTGTCAATACTTGTTATCTTTTCAGTTTTATTTTATAGTAATTATTTTAATACGTGTAAGCTGATATCTTATTGTGGTTTTAATTGGCATTTCCCTGATGATTATGGCTATTGATCACCTTTTATATATAGCTGTTGGCCATTTGTATGTCTTCTTTTGAGAAAAATCTATTTTAAAACTTTGCCCATTTATTAATCATATTATTTCCTTCATTGTTGTTGAGCTGTAGGAGTTACTTCTATGTTGAGGGTATTAACTCCATATCAGTTTTGTGGTTTGCAATTATTTTCTTCTATTCTGTAGGTTAATACTTTACTCTGTTTAACTCTTCCTTTGCATTACTTCAAAAATTTATTTTTAATCTCTGGAAGTACCATTTTTGGTCAAGTATACTATGACAAGGGATATTTGACCAAAAATGGTACTTCCAGAAATTAAAAATACATTTTTTGAAGTAACGCAAAAGAGGAGTTAAACAACAGATTGAACACAGCTTAAGGACAAAGAGAAAATGGGAAGAAGCAGCTGAGGAAATTATACAGATTGCAATAGTTAGAAACCATAAATAAGAAATAAGCTAAGAGATATTGGAGATAAACTAGAAGACCCAAAATATATCTAATCAGACAATTATGGCAAGAATGGGCAAGGCATGATATAAAAAGAGAGTAATAAAGATTGTTCAGGAATTTAAGCCATAAAACCTCAAATTTAAAAAGCACAAGAAATCTCTACCATGATGAAGAAAAATATATTAACAAAGCACATAATAGTAAAACTGCATGAAACCAAATAAAAAAAATTCTCCATAGCAAGTGAAAAAATTGATTGTCTAAAAATAGAAATAAGACAGCTGATTTTTCAGCAGTGACAAAAGAACTCAAAAAATGTCAGTAGTAGCATGAAAGTGGCTGAAATAAACCTAAAGTTGTTTAAAGAGGATAAAGATATGCCAGAAAAACAAAAATAAATTTTCTATCCAGAGAGCTTCACTAAAGGACTTCAAAATAAAAGAAAAATAATCCCCAAACTGCTCTGCAATGTAACAGGAATTGTGAGCAAAGAAAACCATAGGTAAATGTTAGCAAGCACTGACAACATAGGAGAATATTTTTAATGTCTAATTTACAGGGTTACAGAAATACCAAAAGTACGTATCTTTTAACATCTAAATCATAGGTACCAAAAATACTATGAGCTAAAAAGTTGAAGGCAATGTATGGGGTCTAAACTGTCTAAGATTATTGTATTGTTTGAGAGGTTTATAACAATATTAATTTGATTTTTAAAAAATGAAGTACATTATAATTTCAAAAGTAATTATTAAAGAAATGTACAGTAAATACAAAATGTTTATACCTGTGAAGAGGGAAGGAAAATAGAAAAAAAGAAACCATGATATATTAAAAGGAAGAAAAAATATGAAAAACTGAAGAAAAAAGATAGAAAAATGCAAATGTTGCTATTGTTACAATAATAAAACTGCATTAAAATAGCCAATTAAAAGACATGTTTGTAAGATTAGACACCAAAAAATTATTGCTATACAAAGTGTATAGAGACATATATAAAACATAAGGACAAAGAAAAGGAACCATAGTAAAAGAAAGGAAAAAATGTGTATGGAAGTGTTAATGAGCTAAGTAATTTCTACACACCATCAGGGAAAGAATGATTCAAAACCCTGTAGTACTTTGTGGGTTCTGACCTGTAGTACTTCTGACTTCTGGCATGATGAGGCGAAAAGTTTAAAGAGTCACTTCCCCAAAATACAACTATGAAGCTGGACAAAATGGCCCAAAACAACTGTTTGAATGCTCCAGAATGTAACCAAAAGCATACAACAAACTGGTAAGTGGTTACTCATGAAAACTATTGAACTTGGGTATAAAGAATATAGGCACATGCTATTATTTCCTGGGGCTGCCTCCATCTTCCCCCAAGCACGGTCAATATGGCTTTTCTATTGTTGGGGGTGAACTATAAAACAATAAGCTTCGCTGTCATTGCCAGATAGAAATGCATTTGAATCGAAGCATTATCAGTCAAAGTGACGATCCCAGAGACAAGTGAGAAAGATGGTCAATTGCTGTTCGTTGGGGTCAAAAACACAGATCAGCGGACTTGCCAGGGATTTAAGGGGGAAATCCTAAATGTGAGAGAGCCCTATAGGAGACCTAATACACTCACTATATTTCCTGAAATGACTGGAGGAAGTGTCAGAACCCAGGTCACTCATATTTTCCTGACTGACAGAGCCTGCACTTGTGCTTCTTAAACATAAAAGACCAGCACAGAGTAAAAGCCAGGGAAGGCTTGGAAATAATCTGAACTTTGAGTGCACTTCTCAACCTACAAACAAACCCATTAGTAGAGAATGGAAGCCTTAGTGACTTGAGATATTTGAGTGCAATTCTTGACCAATCTTTTGCAGAACACTAAGTTTTACATTCACAAGGGCAACCACTAAGAAAGCAGGCTTAAAGACAAAAACAAGGTGTTTTTTAAAAATCAGCAAAGACACTAGCAGCCAGACATCATAAGGTAGATAGTCATCACACATTCTGTTCACACAAGTTATAAAAAAAAACAACTTTAGCAAAAACAACATCAATCCTTGTGGGAGGTGGGAAGAAAGAATGCAGAATCTCTATAATGTATTATCTAAAATGTCAAGTATGGCAGGGCACAGTGGCTCACACCTATAATTCCAGCACTTTGGGAGGCCGAGACAGGCAGATCATTTGAGGTCAGAAGTTCAAGACCAGCCTGACCAACATGCTGAAACCCTGTGTCTACTAAAAATACACAAATTAGCTGGGTATGATGGTGTGCAACTGTAATCCCACCTACTCAGGAGGCTGAGGCATGAAAGTCGCTTGAACCCGAGAGGTGGAGGTTGCAGTGAGCCAAGATTGCACCACTGTACTCTAGCCTGGGAGAAAGAGTGAGACTGTATCTCAAAATAAACAAACCAACAAATAAATATAAAATGTCAAGTTATTTAATAAAATATTGCAAGGCGCTCAAAGAAATAAGCATAATCTATACTCAGTAAAAACAAAAAAAAAAATCCAAGAGTCAACAGAAACCACCTCTGAGTGTTTTCAGATATTGGATTTTGCAGACAATAATTCAAATCAGATATTATAAATATGGTAATGAAAAAAGGAAACCACTTGTAAAAGAAAGTATAGTGACAATGAATCAACAAATAGAAAATCTTAAAAAGAAGTTAAAATTAAAAGATGGAAACTAAGGGTTTGAAAAGGTAAAAACTGAAAAGAAAACATTACCATAGGGGCTTAACAGCAGATTCGAAATATCAGGAGAATTAATACGTTACAAAATAGATTAACAAAAGTTATCCAATATGAAAAATACATAAGAAAAATATTGAAGAACAATAGAAACTCAAAGATTGGTGGGACACAATCAAGCATACCAACATATATGTAATATGAATTTCAGAAATACAGGAGAGAGAAAAAGGAACAAAAAATAAATATATGCAAAATAATTACTAAGAACCTTTCCAATTTTATGAAAATCAGTAATCCATAATACTAAGAAGCTCAGTGAACTCAAAGAAGAATGAATTAAGTA
Source organism: Homo sapiens (assembly GCF_000001405.40). Lineage (NCBI taxonomy): Eukaryota > Metazoa > Chordata > Mammalia > Primates > Hominidae > Homo > Homo sapiens. The sequence goes on along the minus strand of NC_000003.12, from coordinate 35,848,298 downwards.
ATTACACCTAGACAGATCATAGTCAAACTGTCGAAAACCATGACCTTGAAAGCAGCAAGAGAGAAACGACTCAGTGCAGTCAGAAAAAGACTATTGAGGCCTGACTTTTCGTCAGAAAAAATGGAGTTCATAAAGCAGTTGAATGACATACTCAAATTTCTGAAAGATTAAAAAAAATCCACCAAAAATTCTATAAATAGCAAAACTATACTTCAACAATGAAGACAAACTGCAGATTTTTCCAGATAAACAAAGATGGAAACAATTGTTGCTAGTACACTTGCTTTAAAAATCATGAAAGAAAAAGCTCATTGGTTTAAAGGAAGTGACTCCAGATGATAACTTGTATCCACGGGAAATAATGAAGACAGATAAAAAACAAAAAACATATAAATAACTTTTTAAAACTCTATAAATACATTTTCTTACATATTTACACCGTGTTTAAAATACACAAAATGATATAAAGCAATAATTATAACATTGTATTGTTGGTGCATAACATATAAATATTGAACACAAAGTACAGGAAAGGAAAGGAGATATATTGGAGAAAAAATTCTCTATCTGCTTTGTTGCTAGTATTCTGAAGTCAATTATTAAGATAGATATTTTATTTTCTAGGCCAACCAATAAGAAAATAGCTAAAAAATATGGTAAAACTCAACAGAAATAAATGTGTTATACTAAAAAATGTATTTAATGTAAAACAGGAGATAAGTTAGAAAGAGAGAGACTCAAAAAACAAGAGATATATAGAAATCACATACCAAAATGGCAGGTATAAATTCAACCGCAGTAATAAAATGATCCTTAAACTAAACTCTCTATCTTACACAAAAATGCACTCAAAATAGAACCCATTAACTGTAAAATGTAACTTTTTACCAACTTTAAAACTTTTGGAAAAATACACAGGAGTAAATCTTCAGAGCCCAGGAAAGATTTCTTATATTTGACATGAAAAACAAGTTCTGAAAAAAAGAAAAATTGATACATTTTACTTTATCAAAATTTAAAACTTTTGATCTGTAGGAGACTCCATGAAGAGGTTGCAATGACAAGCTATCAACAATGAGAAAATTGTTGCAAACCACATATCCAACAAATAACTAATATCTAGAATATATAAAGAATTATAAAAACTCAAGCAAGCAACCCAGTAAGAAATGAACACAATACATTAACAGACATTTCACTGAAGTATATACAGATGACAAGTAATCATATGAAAAGATGTTCAATATTATTAGACATTAGAGAAATAAAAAATTAAAACCACAACATATTAGCAAAATTATAAAATTAAACATTGATAACATGGCATTTTGGTGAGTGTTTGGAGAAACTAGATCACTCAAATATTGCTGTTTGACATGGAAAATGGTACGGACACTCTGGGAAAAAATATGACAGTTTCTTACCCACTAAATATGCTTCTTAAACCTAAACATGTGCTTACCACAAACACTCAGAAATTGATCTTGGATATTGATCTCAGGAAAACAAATACTTATATTCATGCCAAAACATGCACTGAGTGTTTATAGCAGCTTTATTTGTAATAGCTCAAAACTATAAACAACCCAATGTCCTTTAAGTGGTGAATGGTCAAAAATATTGTGCTACACGCATAGTGTAGAATACTGCTCATCAATAAAAGGAACAAACTATTGATACACACACCCACTTGGATGGATCTCAATGTCATTGTGCTAAGTAAAAAAGCCAATCTCAAAAGGCCACTATTATGGGCTGAACTGTGACCCTCCCATATGTGTATGGTAAAGTCCCAAGCCCCAGTTCCTCAAAATGTGACCCTGTTGGGAGACAAGGTCTTAAAGAGGTGATTAAGTTAAAATGTGACCATTAGGGTGGGACTGTAATCCAATATGACTACTGTCTTTACAAGAAAAGGAAGAGACATCAGGCGTGCATCTGCACAGAGGAATGACCAGATGAGAACACAGCTAGAAGGTAGCAATATTCAAGCAAAGAAGATAGGCTTCAGGAGAATTCAAACCTGCCAAGACTTTTGTCCTGGACTTCTAGCCTCCAGAACTGTCAGCTAATATATTTCTTTTTTTTTAAGCTATCCAGTCTGGGGTATTTTGTTATGACAGCCCTGAAAACCTAATACAGTTACATACTATATGACCCCACTCACGTAATTTTTACAAATGACAAAATTATAGAGATGGAGAACAATTAGTGGTTGCCAGGGAGTGGGGAGGAGTGAGGGAGTAAGGTGGATGTGCCTATAAGAGGATGACATGAAAAATACTTTCGATGGAACTTTTCTGTATCTTGACTGTGGCAGTGGTCACATGTAATTGCACATGTGATAATATTATAATGAACACACATGATAAATGAATACATGCACAATGAGTGCATGTAAAACTGGTGATGTCTGAATAAGTGAGTGGATTGTAACATTGTCAATTTCATGGTTATGATATTGTACTATAATTATACAAGATGTTACTATTGGGGGGAACTGTGAAGGCTATATCTTCCTCTAGTTATGATTTGAATTTATATCTGGCAAGTGCCTAGAATCACAATAATCGTGGTCACTTTAGTCTAATTTCAGGGATTGATGTGAATTGAAGCTGAGATGTAGTCCATGTAAAAGCACTTCTATTTCCAGTTTTCCTTTCCTAGGTTATGTCTCTTTGTTGGGAAGAAGCCCTAGTGCCTGGTATTGCAATAAAGTTTCATTGGGACATAGGCACACACATTTATGAATCATCTACAGCTAATTTCATGTTACAATAACAAATTTGAGTAGTTACATAACAAATTTAAGTAGTTGCAACAGAAATGGTATGGCCTGCAAAGGCAAAATCATTGCTACCTGATTGTTTATAGGAAAAGTTTGCCTACCTTTATTCTAATCCAAAATGTGAAATGTTATACTTGGCAAGTTGGTAATCCAATTTTTATCCCTGCCCCCACCTCCCCCCCAAACCCATGAGGTTGTCAGATGTACTGCTCACCTTCTCAGTTTCTCTGTCTTCTAAATTCTGCAGAGGACTTTAGAAGAAAAGCAACCTCAAATGGCAGTCTGACCTCTCTGGGCTTCATGTTTTTCTAGGTCTTTTTTTCTGGGAATTCTTCATAGCCTTGCTATCAATCCAGTGTCTTTAAACAGGCTTTATTTCCAGTGATTCTAATTGTCCTCAGCAATATGGTTGGTCTAATTTTCTTAGACTGCCATCACCAGAAGCAAAAGTCACTAATTTCCCCAGTTTCCGTCTCCATGGTATCTAATAAAAGAGCAATTTCCCCATTAACCATAGGAGCTTGACTTTTCAAGCTTAAAGCATTCACATCCGATCCATCTAAAACATCCGAATTGTGACTCTCACCATTTATTTGAATTTTTAGTCATCTTCATGATGACTCCCCAAGGACCTCATGATACTGACTGCCCATGTGAATAATTTGAGAATCATTAAGCTAGATATAGTCATTGGAATATCTGTTATCTACAGGCACCACTTTAGAGTAACCAGAATGACCAAGGTCAGGGACTTGCAGATTTAGAGGCTACTTAAGGGAAAATCTAAAACGACTGTGAGAGAAGTGGCTTTAATAAACTTCAAAGAGTACTTGAAAGAAATGGGAATGGATGGGTGAACAAAGGTTTCATGGTCATGAAGGGCAACAGTGAGAAAATCAGGAATATGGAACTCCAGCAGAGAGGCATGAGTAAAAGGAGAAAATACATCCAATGGGATACATAGAATATATTTTCTATATATATAACTTTTTTCCATTGGCTGGTGGTCAAACACTGACCCCTTTATAATGTCACCTCCAGATGTTTTGTACTATTTTGGTGCAGCCTTTAGTCTCAGAATATGTTGCCATGAGAACATGAATTCAGACAGACTTAGGCACTCTTTTTTTTTAACAATAAGATGAAAGCATTTTTTTTTTTCATTCAGGGCATGATGTGATAAAGCCCTCACAATTCTCCCACTGTGAAGTTCCAAGCCATGATTCATTTGTAGTCTTTAAATAGTAGCGAAGATATTATAGATATACAGAGAACAGACATAACGATGTGACATTCTTGTTATTATTGATAATAATTAGGAGAAATGTGATGGCATGTAAAGTAACATGCTTCATTCTGCCTCTTTAATCCTATTTTTTTTCATCCCTATCCATTTAGTTACACCTGAAAACTTGTAAATAGTCGAAAGGCAAATGTATTTTTATCCATACTTAGAATGTTTTCTTTTAAAAAGCAAATCTTGGGTAAACTGCAGTACTGACTGCACTTCTTCATTCACAAACTGTAGTCAGGGTCCACAAGTAGGCACCCAAACCAGCTGTGGTCACCCCTAGCCTACAAGGCAATTTTGTGGGAATTTGGAATAACACTCCCTCCATTTGGTGGGACACAGCTGCATCGATGTGTGGCTTGAGGGAGCAGACAGTGAAAAAGGAACAATGAAACTGTGGAAAAGGAACTATGGACTGACGCTTGGCAAGGGGAAATTGGACTAGATTTCAGCTGCAATTCGCCCTCTTTGCCAGATGTTCTTGTGAAGTTAACTAAGTCTGTGATATCCCTAAAATTAATCTTGAATAAATTTTAGGAGTTGTGGATATCGCTGATCTGGCATGCGGCTCTGGAGAAGTCACCAGTCTTTGCTGTTACAAAACCTCATATTAGTGTCCAATATGGACTAGAAGATGATATTACAGAGGATTTATAATTTTTACTATAAATGGGGAATTTTAAATATGAGTATCACACTCAGGTTTGGATGTCTATTACTAGTACACATGCTACTGTTATTAGTACCCATAATAGCTAACACTGATTTGTAATAATTCATCAGAACAGAGTGGAAAGCACATTAATGAAAGGATACGGCAGGCAAAATATAACAACTTAATAGAAATCTGTTTTCCCTAGTTGAAACAGTCTGAAAAAAGATATTGTCTATATATTTTTGTTGTAATTATTGCTGAATAAATGAATTTTGCTGAATAAATGAATTAATTAATGAGCAGCAGTTAGAGCAGGACAAGTACCTCTGCTACATACTCATAAAATAACTCGTTATCACTGGTGGAATTGCAGAAATCAAAACTGCTTTAAAAATCAGACAAATTTGTATGTGAAACCTGTATGCACAATTTATTAACTGGTGACCTCAGGGAAGTAATCAATCTTGCTAAACTTTAGTTTAACTGTAAAATTGGGAAATAATCCATCCCCCACAGGGATATTGTGAGGATTAAATAAAAGTAACTATGTAAAAGACTTTACCGATTGTCTGGCACCCAAAATCATTTGATATATCGTAACTATTACTTTTAGGTTTTTTTAAATAAACCAATTCCTCTCTCTCTCTCTCTCTCTCTCTCTCCTTCTATTGGTGGTATAATTATTCACTCATTGTTACAGGCCAGAAATCTAGAATTCATTCTCATACTGCTCTTTTTGCCAACGATCCACAGTCAAACTCAAGTCAAACTCCTCGCCAAATATATATCCAGTTCACCCCTTCTTTCCCATCTCAAATGCCACCGCTTTGGGTCAAACTTTCAACATCTCTTGGCTTGATTGTTGTCAGGGGCACCCATCTGATCTCCTGGCTTCCACTTTCAATCCTTTCTAAGCAGATATTTTATATGGAGCAACATAGTTATTTTTCTTAATTCTATCATAACCATGCCACTGTTTTGCTTTAATTTTCTAAGCTACCCTCCACCCATCCATTTGCTACAAATTAATTATAGACGTTTAAAACTAACATTCAAGGCCATTAGCAATCGGATCTTTCCTATTTCTTTAGACTAAGCTCTGCCTTTCTCTCATCCCTGTACCAGTTTTAAGCCAAGAGGCTTTCATGTAGCTTTAAATTTGTAGACTTCATTATAAAAAATAAAGGCCACATTAAATGAGATTTGGGGGATAATCCCTTAGTGATAGCCCACATAACCTCGCTTTTATTGAGATTCTCTTTCAACAGGTTTTAGTTTTCCAATATGCTTTCCCCTATGAATGCAGCTAGTTAGATCAGCATAAAGCACACTCATTACTATTATAGGATGTTGTCTTAATCTGGAGACCCACAGTAGAGTCTTGGTTCTAAGGAGCTAGGAAATACATGATTTGGAAATTCAGACTGGTTAATTTACCTTAGTTGCAATACAGTGCTTATAAGAGCAAGGTTACTGTCCCTTTTATATGTGGATTGAATCTGAACATTGCTAACTAAGTGGTGCATCTGGTACCACTTAAACTGAGTGGGATTCCTACCCAAGACTGTACTGGGTCTCTTCAGACATTCCACTGCTATATTTATATCTTCGCACTTCTAGAAAAAAAGTTTTTCAAAAAGAGTAGCTTATTATACCTGTCAGAGGATGTGAAAATTTAGACAGGTTTAATAAGCCAAGTCTGGGACCCCTCAGTTTATCATTCTGGAATTGCAGAGACACTGTCAATATCAAGGATATATTTGGGTTCTGAGTTGCTTTAGTCCCACCCAACTCATGAGCACCTTTCTAAATGTGTTAACTCTGCGTATTTCTCTGCCTCCTGATCATACTGGATTCTGTTAGGTAAAATGTCAATGTGGGGATAAAGAATAGATGTTGTGTAACTTCTAGGGCCTAAAGAACACATTTCAGGGCTATGCTGATTAGTCTGTGGCTCCTTCAAATAAAAAATATCTGGAAGAACAAGAGTTGCACACACAGCAGCTGATCATCCTAATCTATGAATATGTTCCCTTCTCACATTCTCATTTGAACTCTCATCTGTATAGCCCATAAATTGAGAAAACTGCCTTTCCCACTGATCAAACTATAATATAAAAACATACATTTATGGTGACTCCTGCCCACCTGGAATCCCAATAAAGCTTTGTGTCAGGTGGTGAACAAATATGCTTGCATCATTATTTTATCATTCACAACCCAGAGACCTGGAGTTAGTGGCATCAGAAAGGCATCCATTAAAGTGGTGGTTTGGGCATCTGAATGTATTTCCTCTCTATACAAAGATCTGATTAAAATGTTAGTGAAGTATTTTATCTGCCTCATTGAGACAAGATGGACAACTCCCCAAAACCTGGTTCAGATGTTGACTTTGATGGCACCACACGCACACACCAAGAGAGTATGCAAAGGCTTTTTACTTACATAATGAGACTTTCAGAGGAGTTCAAGGTGGCTCCCAAATGATCTGAAAGTGGCTTGAGAGATCAGAAAAAAGAGACTGGCTTGGAGTTTTTATTGTTTAAGAGTGGAAGTGAGGTTAGGGTACCTGCACATGGTTTGAACTTCACCTCAGTGGCAAAGGAAGGAACACCCAGGCTTTCTTATCATATTGCCCAGATGTGGGGCAGAAGGGCAAGAGGAATGAGGCTTAAAAGTGCACATGTACCCTAAAACTTAAAGTATAATAATAATAAAATAAAATAAAAAGTTGTCATCAAAAATTTAAAAAAAGACTCTTTATTACATAAAGGAGTGTAAAAGTATCAACCTGTAAATCTAAACAAATCTGAATTGGAACATCAGTGAATAAGAAATCTCAATAAGATGTGGAAAAATAAAAGCAGTGGAAGATTTGGCAAGGAGGATAAAAACACAAGCTAAAGTATGTGCAAAATTGGACAAAGGTGTGGAGAGATTCAGTTCACCCTGCAGAATCTCAGAGTGTCAAGGCACCTAATACTATAATCTTTAAGTGTAAGTCTTCCGCAGGGAAATTTCTCTCAGTGGACCCCTTTTGCTTGGACCACTTCAAGTACTCTTACGACTTCCAGCATCACTGATATCCTCGATATCGACAGGATATATTGATAACTCACCCATAGCTCTAGTTCTCACCTTTCCCTTGACCTACAGACCTAAACACCTACCTGCCTGCTGAAGATCCTTCTCTGTATAACCCAAAAGCAACTTCAACTCCACTGCCCAAAGAGTTCATCTTTTCCTTCAGCTTACTCAAGATTTGTATGTCTTATTCCCATGAATGACTTTGCAATACATCTAGTCATCATTCAAGATTCATCTCATTTTGCCTCACCTGAGAAAGTTTTTCTTCCTCACCTGTCTCCAGCTCACTCCATAGCTCTTTGGACTGACCTCTGTTTTATTAGTGACCCAGTAACTCAATATGGCAATCGATGATTCATCTTCCACTACAATGTAAACTCCTTTAGTGAAGGGAACATCTAATTTATAGCATTACTCTCATAAATCTGCCTGGATGCAAAATAAATGCTGTAACTGCTATAAATTTTACTTCACATTTCCATTGTGAAAAATGTCACAGTCCTTTCTTTTATTAACTCACATAGAACAGGTAAGATATCCTGAATGGATCAGCCAGTGGAAAATTCAATCACAGTCGTGAGCTATGGAATCTCTTCCCCTATTCAAGAATATTCAAATTTTATGGACTCAGCATTCAAGAATGCACAAGGAAGGGCATCCATCTTCATTCCATATTTGACACCGATGATCTACTCAAAATTCCAGTATTTATAATTTCATGCAAGAGAGAAGTTCAGCTGTTTTTAGGCTTATCTCAACTATGGAGAATTTTTACCCCAGGTCCCGGGCCATGGCCATTTCTGGTGACTCCACTTCTACTCTGTATACTTGGGGTTACTTTGTCATCCCATAAATGGTCCTGTATCTTGAAGAAGCACTGCAGCGGAACTGGTCGTATGTCTCCCATTCACAGAAAACCCATCAAACTTGTTTCTTTCCCAATCTTAGAGAAACCGTCAAAAATGTTCTTCTGCCATAGTTGGCCCACCTTTGTGTTCCATATCCGAAGATCTCTTTCTTCCCTTTCCCTTGCAACTAAAGCCTCCATGAATTGCTGTATTTGGCATGTCTGGCAGTGGCTGCTTTGGGTCTTAAATATACATTATGAGCTTCTTTTCATAGTGAGAAGTCAAAATCTCTTCCAGAAAGTTCAGAGGGATTTGAGAGAGACGACACTTTCTGTTATTTTTCACCTACCATAATAATGAAAACAAAATATAAGTAAGTACCTCAATAGATTATCCTTCTGTTTATAGAGTAAATGATAGATTCTGGTTATGATTCCCAAAGGAAAATGTTATTAAAGTTAACAAAATATTTACTAATATTATTTTACATTGTCCACAGATTTATATTGCCTGAGATAAGACAAATGCCCTTTAAATCTCTTGATCAACTGCTCTAAATCTGACTCATTTTGCTCAATGAGCATTAAGGAGCAGCCAAGAACTTGATCCATTTGTTTTGTTGCAGTCTAGACCCTTTTAAATAAATCTCTTTCTGAGGCCTCAAAATCAGGCAGCTATTGTTACAAAAACGGTATGTATTTTCGTGATATGAAATACTCTTTAATGTGATTAGTCTTCATCTTTTACCTCCCTGCATCTCTTTCTGTCTCTCTCTCTGTCTCTCTCTCTCTCTCTGTCTCTCTCTCTCTCTCTCTCTCTCTCTCTCTCTCTCTCTCTCACACACACACACACACACACACACACACACCCCACAGCTATCATTAAGGGCTGTTTTTATTTCCAAAATTATACCCCGTGCTACGGTGTTTTTCCCCTTGTTAAATAGCTGATTTTTTTTAAAAAAATGACAGGAATTTGACAACATCTGGAAAAGAACAAGAGTTGACATTAATTCATGAAACATTTGCACTGCGCAAAGATCAAACTGGCAAATGTTCATGTGACATATTCATGTGAGCATAATTCTACCTTCTTTGCAATGCTCACATTGAACAAACAAAATGGCAATATTCTTGGATTAAATGTGTTGTGTTTTTTCACCCTGTGCCCATGTAAAGGTAAAGAAAAAATGTTTCGTTTCAGAACATTTTCCTGTCATGTTGGTGTAATCATTGTTGGTTTTGGTTTTCTGCCACAGTGAAATTATAGGTGGGTATGTTTATGTGTATACACAACTAAACAGATATAAGCATAGACACAAATATTGATCCTAAGCCTCTCTTTTCTATATTGTTTCTTTGCTCTTTAATCTCTGTCTCTGTTTCTTTTTTTCTCTCCTCCCCATGCACACACACACACACAGACACATACACACACACACAGATGTAAATAAATATATACATATATACAGACATATCTTCTTTTATTGTACTTTGCAGATATTGCAGTTTTTATAAATTCAAGGTTTGTGGCAACCCTGAGTTAAGTCTATTGGTGCCATTTTTTCCTACAGCATGTGATCATTTAGTATCTCTGTGTCACATTTTGGTAATTCTCACAATATATCAAATGTGTTCATTATTGTATCTGTGGTGATCTGTCATCAGTGATTTTGATGTTACTAGTGTAGTTGTCTTGGGGTGCCACAAACTGCACTCATTTAAGACAGGGACTTTAGTCAATAAATGTTGTGTGCATCCTGACTTCTCCACCAGCCAGCCATTCTCTTGTCTCTCTTCCTCTCCTTGGGCCTCCCTATTCCCTGAGACACACAATTTTGAAATCAGGCTAATAAATAATCTTACAGTGGTCTCTAGGTGTTCAAGTGAATAGAAGAGTTACATGTCTCTTACTTTAAATCCAAAGCTGGAAATGATTAAGCTTAGTGAGAAAAGCATGCTTAAAGCCAAGATAGGGTGAAAGCTAAGTCTTTTGTGCCAACCAGTTACGTACGTTTTGAATATAAAGAAAAAGTTCTTGAAGAAAATTAAAAGTGCTACTCCAATGAACATACAAGTAAGTGAAACAGCCTTATTGCTGCTATGGAGAAAGTTTTAGTGTTCTGCACAGAAGATCAAACCAGCTACAATATTGCTTTAAGCCCAAGCCTAATCCAGAGCAAGGTCCCAACTCTTTTTAAATCTATGAAGGCTGTCAGGGGTGGGAAAGCTGCAGAAGAAAAGTTTGAAGCTAGCAGAGACTGGTTTACAAACTTTAAAGTAAGAAGCCATAATATAAAAGTGCAAGATGAAGTAGCAAGTTGTATAGCAAGCTATGCAGAAGATTTAGCTAAAATCATTGACGAGGGTGGCTACACTAAACAACATATTTTTAGTAAAGACAAAGCAGCGTTATACTGTATTGGAAGAAGATGCCATCCAGGACTCTCCTAGCTAGAGAGACATCAATAACTGGCTTCACAGCTTCAAAAGACAGGCTGACTCTTGTTAGGGGATAAAGCAGCTGGGTGACTTTAAGTTGAAGCTAATGCTCGCTTACCATTCTGAAAATCTAGAGCTCTGATGAATTAGGTTAATTCCACTCAGCCTGTGCTCTATAAATGGAACAAAAAGGCTGGACGACAGCACATCTGTTTACGGCATAGTTTACCGAATATTTTAAGCCCACTGTTGAGACCCTCTGCTCAAAAAAGATTCCTCTCAAAATATTACTGCTCATAGTCACTCAAGAACTCTGATGGAGAAGTACAAGGAGACTGATGTTATTTCCATGCCTACTAACACAGCATCCATTCTGAAGCCCATGGATAAAGTGTAATTTTGACTTTCAAATCTTCTTATTTAAGAAGTACATTTTCCAAGGCTATAGCTGCCATAGTTAATGATTACTCTAATGAATCTGAGTGAAGTAACTTGAAAATATTCTAGAAAGGATTCATCATTCTAAATGCTATTGAGAATATCCATGATTCATGGAAGGAGAACAAAATATCAATATTGAAAAGAGTTTGGAAGAAACTGTTTCCAAACCTTCATAGATGACTGTGAGGGGTTCAATATTTCAGTGGAGTAAGTGCAGATGTGGCAGACATAGCCTGAGAACTAAAATTAGAAGCGGAACCTGAAGATGTGACTGAACTGCTACAATATTACGATAAAGTTGAATGGACAAGGAATTGTTTCTTATGGGTGAACAAAGAAAGTGGTTTCTTGAGATGGAAACTATTCCTGGTGAAGGTGCTGGAAACATGATTGAAATGAGAAGAAAGGATTGAGACTATTATATAGACTTAGTTTATAAAGCAGTGGCAGGGTTTTAGGGGATTTACTCCAATTTTGAAAGAAGTTCTACTGTGGGTAAAATGCTTTCCAGCAGCAGCATGACATGCTACAAAGAAATCTTTTATGAAAGAGTCAATCGATGAGGCAAACTCCATTGTTGTTTTATTTTTAAAATTTGCTACAACCATCTCAACCTTTAGCATCCACCACTCTAATCAGTTGGCAACTGTCAATATCAAGATAAAATGCTCCACCAGCAAGAAGATTAAAATGATGCTCCAATGCTCATTAGCATTTTAGCAGTAATGTATTTTTAAATTAAAGTAGGTATATTGCTTTTTTTTAGACAGAATGATATTTCACACTTAATAGTGTACAATATAGTATAAATATAACCTCTATATGCACTGGGAAACAAAAAGATGTGTATGACTTGTGTTATTATGGTGTTTGCTTTATTGGGGTGATCTAAAACCAAATATATCTGAGGTATGCCTATTTGCACACATATGCACACAGACATACACACAGTCAAATGTATAAGACAAGTAAGATAACTGGAGTGAGGTTGACATGGAATTCTTTGTTTCCAAGTCTAGGTAAACTTATACCTGGGTAGAATATTGTAACCTCATTTTATGGTAGAAAACAATAAGGCTAAAAGAGAGTGCCCATGATGACTTGAGTGGTATTGGGGTCACAGCACTCAATGCATTATTATGTGATATGGAGGAAAACATTAGAAATAGCAAGAATTCTTGACTTTCAAAATAAAGCCATGGTATTAGACTATAATATATTTCAGAGATATTGGGGTAAAATGGGAATACTGTGGTTTCTATTTAATAGGAGAATAGTAAATGTCATCATTAGTCGCCCTTGTAAAATGTAATGGAGCTGTATGGGTCACCATGCATTTTTTTTCTTGCCTGTAACTCACTGTATTTGTTCACCCTGAGAAGCAATAAGCCCAATGAAAATACTCTTTTCTCTTTGATCTGTCTTGACAAATCAATTTGGGATTTCTAAATCACAGGAGGATAGGAAATGAGAGAAGAGTCAAGTCTTAAAAGTACATTTAATTTTTAACACTAAGAATACAACAGTTAAAAGTATCCTGCATGTTTGTATTTTTCAAGTTTTAAATAGACTTAATATCCTTTTTGGAAAACCTTATTTTAGTTAAACCAGGCATCAGTATTAGAAGAAGGATAGAGAAAGAGGAGGAGGAGGAGGAAGAGGAGAAGGAGGAAGAGGAGGAGGAGGAGGAGGATAATGGAAAGAAGCCATTGACATCTTGAAGAACTTGTTTTTATAAGATGCCCAGGTTGATTATTCTGCTAGACTGTATCATCTAGTAATTGTTATTCTTTTTAGCAAAAGGGAAAGAGTAGGAAGATACAATAATACTATAAGAATGTGAACAGATTAGAAATCCCATTGTTTTTGTCTGTGAGATTTCGCATGAAAAATGGATGAAGAGCCCTCACTGTTGGTAACTTAGAAAACTGCTACAGTTTGATTCTAAGAATACCTCCTTCAAAGTGGACAAATATACTGTAGTTTAGAAGAAAAGATCCAAAATGAGGATCTAAAGGGCTTGTTTATAGCACTCTGAATGATTAACAGAAGCAACTTGGTTTATTTAGGTTTTCTCAGCATATTTAATGTTAGCTAACTAACTTACCAAAAGAAAAAAAAATAACTCCAATTTAATTTCGTCACCCATTCTAATGGGAACAGTTCACAAAAGTGAAAGAAATAAGGAGATGGAGATATGTATGTATATGCATACACACACACATCCTTATTTAGTGGGCATTTTCTAAGTAAACTGATTGATTTTAATGATATCAAGTTCTATCATTCTTTAATATCATCTTCACTTCTAAAACCTTGTTCTAGACTACAGAGTGAAAAGACAATATTTGGCGGTAAGCTCAGAAAAAAACCCATGCAACAGGAGACCAAGCCAGGGAGAATGTATCTCATTATTGTTTCTCAAGCAAACAAACAAACAAACAAAAAATCTCACGTTGGGACAAGCTCGTCAATCAACCAGCAGAGTTGGGGACATGGGAAGAAATTCTGAAGTAATCAGTTGCTACATAAAACTAAAATTTTGAAGCAGGTTAACCTTTTATAAATTGAACAAAGAGCACTCCTGAGGAGGAAGAAAGCCCCGAGTGAGGAGGGATGGGGCTAGGGCAGCATGAGGTGATTCAGCCAACAGTGACAGTCAGAGGCTTCAGTGTTGTCCTTTTGTAACCAAGTACTCTATTTTTAACTTTTTTTCCCCCTTTTCCTTCTGTGGCCTTTTGTATTAACTTTTTAGTGGTAAAATAATAATATTTACTCTCCTTTCCACCAGGAGAGTGGAAAGAAATAAATAATATTTACTCACCTTTCTTCCTTGCATTGCTAGCTTATCTAATTATGTTCGCTTAGAAGTTCCAGAGACGGTATCTCGAGACAATCCAGGTGACTATGGACTTCTCCCCCACCAAGAGATTATTTCAAGACTGTTCAAGACTGCAGCTAATTTACAACTGGGTTGATCCTGAGATGACACCAGCCCATTCATCAGATGGGCAACAACTCAAGGTCAGTCATCAGAGCATGTCGTGTAGATCTGTACCACCTCGTCCCCTATCCTGCATAACTTCGCCCTCCATACCAAACTTGCTTTTTTTAACCCTAGCATTTTGCCTGAGAATTTTGAAGTGGTTTCATTAAGGTGGGAATCTGAACCACTTCTCCACTGCTAACTTTGGAAAATAAAGTCACTTTCCTTCTACAGTACTTCATTCTAGTAATTCGATTTTGTAAGCGGCTGAACCTGTGTTTGGTTCCACCTTGTCAGTTCTACAAGACCTATGTGAAGATGACGTATGCACTTTGGCATACAGAAACCTATTGAAGAACTTTTCCTTCCTCTTGGGAAATGAAATTTCCTGGTCAGAGTACACTGGCAAGGCTGAAAAATAGGCCCATCTCTAAATCCTATAAGGGGTACTAACCTTCAATCCAATAGAGCCCTGTTCTCTCACTTTTCTGGTTCAGTCTGATTTGGGTGTAAAGTTTCATGAGAGGTCTGTCCCTGCCTGATTCCATGAGAGGTATACCAGCAATCTTGACTATAATTGTGAGGGCTTCATTAGCCAGTAGGCTTGAAAGTTTCTCTCAAATTATCCAGTCCAGGATACAGACTGGAGAGAGCTGTTCTTCCCAGAACCCAACTTTTTTTTGGTCCACTCTTGGCTCCTGATTCCACCTCCAGAGAATGTTTGAGGGTAATGAAGCAAATATATACAAAGATTCTCAGTTAAATATGTTAATGAAAACCAATACATTTACCTCGCTTCGTCTAAACTCCACTAAAATGGTGGTACAGGAATAAAGAGGTGGATAAGGTAAAGGAAGAAAGCAGGCAATTTGAGAATTAGTGAGGAGATAACAGCCAATTTAAAATGTTAATTTAATTAATTTTGGATGCTGGAAACAATATGGGCAAGTGGTAACTGACTCAGTGTATCTGACAAAGCTGAAAGTGTGCAATGAGAAAACCTTGAAGGAGCAAGTTGATTCATGCCACAGAACCCAGGAAAGGATGAAAAAATGAACTACTGCATTCCAGGGCTAATGCCAGCCCATTTTAGACAATCCTAGCCTTGAGTTCCTGTGACACTAGAATTCACAACTATAGAAGATTTGCAACTGCCTTAGGTACATAAAGAACACATGTGAAACTGAATATCAGAGCCAAGTGCAGTGGCGGTACACGTTCACTCTTCAATGATACATCCAAACAGGTGTGAACAGAGCTGAGACTCAATCGGCAGGGCTCATAGATAGGTCCCTAGGATCTCTGACACCAGAATGAAATGCAGACAAGATTCAGCAGCTGTTAGAATATCCGGTGCTTGAGGCTGCATTCCATGACTTTTCACTGATTGGTAGGTCTCTTTGGGACGCCTTAGCATTTTGATACCATGTGGCAATGTTCCATATGCCTTATCTTCTGAGTGCTTTTTGATGATTAACTGGTTAAACTTTAGAAAAGCAGCATAGAGCAAACAAGAGCAAGCAGTGATAACTTCCTCTTAGCTAGAGATAAAGAAGTACTCAAGTATTGGGATGTTAGATGACTCATACAAGATTGCAATGCCACAGATTCTGATACCAGATCATACGTTCATTTATTAATTCACATTATTTAGCAATTTTATGTGCTGGGAACCAAGTTAAATACTGAGCTTAGAGGAATAAAAAAGACAAAGACTGCCATTGTGGTGTTCCAACACTTATAAGGAAAACACATAGACACTTAAAAAGTTGCAGGAATGAAGCATGTAAAAAGCACAACAAAAATACCTATGAGATTGCAAGACAGGCTTCAAGGAAGCAATGTCTGCCTTCAGTTTTCAAAGACAAGTGTGAATTTGCCTTAATGGCCACATATGCTTGTATGGAATAGAAGGGGATGGGGAGAAGCAACTTCTAGTGTTTTGAATAATTAGGGAGCATTGTGCAAAGAAGCACCAACACATGAAATAGCACATTGCTCAAGTCTGCACATTCTTTAGGCTAAAATGAGACCTGTGTAGCTAGGGCAATATACCAGTTTAACTCATATTAATTCACTTTATCATACCACAAGCTTTGAATCAATTATTATTATTATCTTTGTTTTGGAGAATGAGAAAACTGATTTGGTTGAGGTAAGTGGTGGAATGAGGTGGATTTGGCTTCCACCACACCCTTAACTGCTGCACTCTATGGTCATTTCAATCTGACTAGCACAACCTGGTAATTGTGAACTGAGAGGGAAAACCATGGCATAAACAAGGGCAGCAACTGAATTTTCCTTTCCCATGAGTCAGAGGGTATTTGGGGCTTTGCAGCCAATGAAGTGTAGTGCAGTTAAGGAACACTATCTCGTATGTTGGCATCTGATTGTCTTGTCTTCTGAGAGTTGCTCCAAGAGATAATGAGAAAGCCCACCCTTCAAACCCCTTGCCCCCTGCCCTTGGAAGGTCACTGTGGTGGCTGATACCTGCTGTGTGGGTAGAGATTTAAGAAAGCCCCTTATCATAAAGGACATAGGAACATTAGCCTAGACATTGGGGTTTTTAGTTCTGTAATAACTTATGCACTTTCATGTATTAAATATCTTTGTTACAGCACATTAAAATAATCTGGCCTTAACTGTTATTTATATGAGCCTCTTTTCTTTTTGACTGTGCTTGAAGTCAAAGACTGGGTCAGATTCATTATCCTTTGTTTAGTGCCTATCCATACCTTGCATTTAGTCGAAATCAATATACGCTGATTGAATTTCATTTAGCAACCTCAGTGTGTCTTTTCCTCTCCACCTTACATGTGTTCTTGCTCCTTTATTCAGTACAGAAAATGCCATTGTAGTGGTCCCCTAAAATTAGCCCGTTCTCATTCTTATATTGCCTATGAAGACTATATATAAATATATATCCTATATTTATACTATATATATATCTCCTAGTCTTAGCAGTAAGAACTTCTCCTTTTAAAGATTCTGAGTGGTGGCATAGCAAGTCCTTAGGATAACAATTCCAGTAGGATTGGGATTGAACACAGGATGTGACATTTCCAAGTTGTGTGCTCTATGTACACACCTAAAGTCCCTCATTGCCAAATAAAAATAGTAATGCTATTGCAGAGGTTGACTGAAAGGATTAAATTAAATACTATATATCAAATGCTTAGCACCATGCCTGATACATAATAATTGCCAAATAAATGATATATAGTGTTACTACTATTACTACTACTACTACTTCAATATGTGGAATATAGTTCCGAAGATTGAGTCTTGACCTACAATTGCTGCCTCAGTAACTTAAAGCATGTTAGGGGATGGTCTTGCTCATAAACAAAGGCCATATGCCACTAGAAACAATAATGACAATGCACATTTCAGATTAGCTCTGACTGAAGGACAAGAGAAGTAGAAATCATAGTTTTACAAACATGAAGATATAAAGTTAGTTAACTCAGATTCCCAAAGAAACCTAGTGTTATTTTATTTGGTTTTGGGAGTCCAATTAGCTTGTGAAGGCACATCATATTATCACTTTCATTTTGATTTGGACTGAGAAAGTAGAGAGGGAGAGGTAGTGGTAAGAGGGAAGGAGGGAGCAAGGGAGGTGGTAGGAGAGAGAGAGAGAGAGAGAGAGAGAGAGAGAGAGAGAGAGAGAGAGAGAAAGCATGCCATGCAGGCTGCAGGTGTACAAATGCAGCAATAGCTACATTGCCTTGCATCTTGCTGTGCACTAAACACATCAGGGTCATTGTAGACCTTTGGTAAATGCACATCCATGTACATGTACACACACCACACACACACACTCAAACACTTCATCTTATTTAACACAAGGGAGAAAAAAGAGAAGAAGTGTCTTGAGATTCAGAGACATGGACAGCTTTATCTAAGAACTCAGGGATAAAATGAAAATTTCAATTTTTGGTGAGTGACTTATTTGTTCAGCCTCACAAAGTCCATTTTTCTCCCTGACTGATTCCATTTTCAGATAGAATCATCATATGTCCAAATGCAATTGCCTAAATTGAATACGTGTGACTCACAGCCATGTTTACATAGTATTCTTTCAACTCCAGAGAGAAAGCTACTGATTTTGTCATCATCACAGAGACTCAGCCTCTTCCGTCAAACATCCAGAACTCATTTGTTCACATTAAGTAATAAAATTACTGACCCCTTGTGCCACTGACACGTATGACTATGGAAAAAGTACAAAACCTGCAGGGAGTTGAGGAAAATGGCTTGCAGGCTATTAAAAGTCATGCTTTCTGAGCCTTACAAACCTGAACTATATTCCCTTTTACTTCTTTATCTTAAACCTACTTTGCATACTTATATCAGAGTAATTTTCCCAAAGCACAATTCATATTCAACACTCCCTAGGCCAAAAGTCATCTCTAGTATTTTGATTCTCAATAAGTCATTTGTAGAGAAGATAACATTTGAACCGACTTCTACAGGAAGGGCAGGATTTCTGTAGGAGAGAGCCAGGGTGGTGATAACCAAAGGGAAGGAAAACAGCATGAACAGCGGAGGCAGAATTAGTTTGAAGAAAAGCAAATAATTCTATATTGTTGAAGCATAAAATTTCTCTAGTCAAGCTAATGTTGCAAAGCTGACAGATTTACCTTTGCAGATCCTTGAATTAGATCAGATTAGATTCGATTAAATAGATAAATGATGATAGATAGACAGAACAAGGTTTAAAAAAGGAGGGGAGAGAAAGAGAAAGAGGACAGAAGGAAGACAAAATAGAGAGCAACAGAGAGTCAGGGAGAGATACAAAGAAACCGCATATAAACAAGTCCAAGAGCATGAAGAAAGTCTCAGATTACTTGGATGCATGTTGCTTTGTAGTTTAATCTGTCCTCTCTACAGGTGAGGCAGGTATTTATGGTTATTGGATCATCTGGTTTATGTTGGAAAGTAAGAAAATCTTTGAATTATTTTCTTCTATGTTTTCTAGCCTACTTTTACAATTACTGCAAAGAAAGAAAGAGTGGGAAAAATGTGAACACAATAGCAATAAATTATGTTGTATGTGAATTTCAACCACTATGAGGGTGCCTGCAGAGGCTCTGTCAAACAAGTGTCCAGGATGACTCTGATCCTACCTCTCTCTAAAACTCTGCCTACAATCCTTTCCCATCAGCACCAACATGTTCTAATCCCTGCCTAGTGCTCCAAATACATCCAACTTCATCTATTACAGCTTTTCCCCAGCTTGCTCAGCAACAACCACATTGGCTTTCCTGGGATTACCAAAATAAAGCAAGCTCAACCCTGCTCAGAGCTCTTCACTCTTCAGTGTTTTTATTGGCAATCTATTTTCTTGCACTTGACAGCACTAGCTATTTCTTTTCATTCAGTTCTCCCAAATGAAGCTCCTAAGGAAGTTTTCCATCATCACACTTGCGAAATTAGCCCCCATCACTCTTTATCACTATCCATTACCTCCACTATTTGAAATTGCCTTATTTATTATTTTATCTTATTTTATCTACTCGCTTATTTCTGTCTTTTTTTTCCCTTACCCTCTTCCCCTGTATTATAGGCAAAGCTATTAGAATATTTTCACATAAACTTACTATACTCTTGAAACTAATGAATTCTACTGCTTATATTTTTAATTTTTTATTATACTTTAAGTTCCGGGATACATGTGCAGAATGTGCAGATTTGTTACATAGGTATACATGTGCCATGGTGGTTTGCTGCACCCATCAACCCATCATCTACATTAGGTATTTCTCATAATGCTATCCCTCCCCTAGCCCACCACCCCCCAACAGGCCCCAGTGTGTGATGTTCCCCTCCCTGTGTCCATGTGTTCTCATTGTTCAACTTCCATTTAAGAGTGAGAACATGCGGTGTTTGGTTTTCTGTTCCTGTGTTAGTTTGCTGAGAATGATGGTTTCCAGTTTCATCCATGTCCCTGCAAAGGACAGGAACTCATCCTTTTTTGTGGCTGCATAGTATTCCATGGCGTATATGTGCCTTTTTCAATGTAATGTAAGCTCATTGAGGCATTATTCACTGTAAAACCCTCAATACTTAAATAATACTTGGCAGGTACTAAGTACTCAATTAAAAAATAAAAAGAACTGAGACCTTTTCAGTTTAATTGCAGCATGTAAAGAACTTGGAACCTATCTTCCTGTCCTTACAACAATGAAAACTGCACAAAATGAAATCAATGATTTGTTTTTGATCCATCAGATAAATGAAGTTTCAGGGCAAATGGTCACCTCTAAATCTGGAAAGACAGGCATACCCAGAGAGTCACAGCTGACATCTGCTTATGTGGAGCAAATGCTGTTAAAGCTGTAAACTGGTCAGAATAGCAAAATGGTAAGTTTGATGAGTTTAATGATATGTGGTTGGGTTTGATAAAACAAGAGCAGTTTATACCTAAAACACGCAAAGAAATGAAATAATAAAAATCAGACTACTTATCAAATAAAATTGAAACAGAAAAACAATAGGAAAAATCCGAGAAACAAAAATCTAGTTTTTTTAACATAGATAAATAAAATTGATAAGCTTCTAGATAGACTAACCGAGAAAAATAGAGAAGATACAATTTACCAATATAATAAAAGTGGTCATCACTACAAATTCCACTGACATTAAAACAATAATTCCTTTAGCAATACTGTTAATAAATATATGCCCACAATATAATAACTTAGATGCAATGGACCAATTTCTCAAAAGACACATGGTTCAAAAACTTACATAGGAACTTTAGATTATTTTTATAGACCTGTGTTAGTTTCCAGTGGCTGCCATAACAAATTACCACCAACTTGGTGGCTAACAACATAGAAATTCATTCTCTGTAATTTCTAGTCCAGATGTCCAAAATCAAGATGTTGACAGAACCACCCATCCCAGGAATTTCTTGATTTGTGGACACATTAAGTTTCTTAATTTGTAGATACATCACTCCAATTTCTGCCTCTGTCTTCATATCATTTTCTCTGTTTCTCTTGTGTCCTTTTCTTGTAAGGATACTCTCACAGGATTTAGGTCATGTACTAATCCAATATGTCACTATCTTGTTCTTTACATTGGTTACATATACAAAGATCCTATTTTCAAATATTAATAAGGTCACATTTTGAGATTCTGGATGGATATGAATTTTGGAGGATATTATTCAATTACTAGAGACCTATATCTATTCAAAAGGTTAAAGCAATACTTCATAACTTTCCAAAAATAGAAAGAATCAAGCCCAATTATTTTAATTCTGAATTATACCAAATATTTATGAAAAATGTATGCCAATTATTCACAACTTCTTTTAGAAAATAGAAGCACAGAGAATGCTTCCTAACTGATCCTATGAGGTTGGCGTTACCTCAGTACCAAAACCAGATGAAGACATTACAAGAAAGAAAACTACAGACCAGTAATACTCATAAACACACATGCAAATATTCTCAACAAAATATTAGCAAATCAAATACAACAATGTATAAAAATAATTATATACCACAACTGAACAGTATTTATTATAAGTATGCAAGGCTGAATCAACTTTTGAAAATCAATCACTGTAATCCATCGCATCAACAGCCTGAAGAAGAAAAATCATATGACCATATTAATTGATGTAGAAAAATATTTCTCAATATTCAACACCAATTCATGATAAAAACTCTCAACAAACAAAGGATTAGATAGAGCCTTCCTAAATTTTGAAAAGAA
Source organism: Homo sapiens (assembly GCF_000001405.40). Lineage (NCBI taxonomy): Eukaryota > Metazoa > Chordata > Mammalia > Primates > Hominidae > Homo > Homo sapiens. The sequence continues at coordinate 35,826,030 of NC_000003.12, read as the reverse complement.
CTTCTACAAAAAAAATACATATAGCTAACATTATTTTTAATGGTAAGAAACTCGAAACTTTCCCCCTAAGATCAGGAACAAGACAAGTACATACCTTTCACCAGTCCCAGTCAACATTGTATGGGATATGCTAGTTATTAGAACATAATAAGAAAAGGAAATAAATGGTGTGTAGATTGGAAATTATTAAACAAAAACCATTTCTATATACAGACAACATGATTGCTTATGTAGAAAATGCAAAAGAATCAACAAAAGCATTCTCATTTCTAATATGCAAACATAGCAATATTACAGGATATAAGGTTAATGATCAGAATCCATTTGCTTTCCTATATAATAGAATGAACAACTGAAATTTGAAATTTATAAAAAATGCCTTTTACAATAGCACCACAAAAATTGAAATATTAGATATTAATAAACAAAATTCATACAGAATTTATATGCTTTAAACTACAAAGCACTGTTAAAATCAAGGAAGATCTATTAATAAATAAATGGAGAAATAATCTGTGTTAACTGATTGGAAGAATCAATAATGCTAAAATGTTAATTCTTTCAAACTTGATGTACAGATTTCATGCAATTCCAATTAAAATTCAGTAAAATAATGTTTTGTAGATAATGACAACCTGATTCTAAAGTTAAATAGAAAGGCAAAGGACCTAGGCATCAAAACACTGAGGAACAAAGATGGAAGACTTACCACCAATACCAAGACTTACTATAAGTTTACAGTAATGAAGACAGCATAGCATTTTTAATAGAATATCTGTCCTATAGACCAATATAACAGAATACTGAGCCTAGAAATAGTCTCACACAAATATAATCAACTGAAGATACTCAGCCCTTAATGTGGAACATGTAAGATGGAATTTCCCGACTCCTGAAGTATGAATGGTTCCCAGTAACTTTCCTCCAAGAGTACAGAAATGTGGGAAAAAAAAGAATAACTTTACAGTGGCGTAGCATGACATAAAAGATCAGCCAGGTGATTAAGGTTAATATTAACATCAACAGTCATAAGTCATATTGATATGATGTACCCTTGATATGATGTGATGAAAATAATACTTTACCTTGTCATCTCCTCCCAAGATCCACAACCCCAGCCTAATCACAAAGAAAACATCAGGTAAACCCTATTTGAAGGACATTCTGCAAAATACCTGAATATCAACCTTTAAAGCTATTAAGTCCTCAAAAGCAAGGAAAGTCTGAGAGACTGTCACAACTGAGAGAAGCCTCAGCAGACAACGCTACTAAATTTAATGTGGTATCCTTGATGAAACCCTAGAACAACAACAAAAAAATGGATAGGTGAAAACTAATGGGGGAGGAGCCAAGATGGCCAAATAGGAACAGCTCCGGTCTACAGCTCCCAGTGTGAGCTACGCAGAAGATGGTGATTTCTGCATTTCCATCAGAGGTACCGGGTTCATCTCACTAGGGAGTGCCAGACAGTGGGTGCAGGTCAGTGGGTGCACGCACCGTGCGCGAGCAGAAGCAGGGCGAGGCACTGCCTCACTTGGGAAATGCAAGGGGTCAGGGAGTTCCCTTTCCTAGTCAAAGAAAGGGGTGACAGACGGCACCTGGAAAATCGGGTCACTCCCACCCGAATACTGTGCTTTTCCGACGGGCTTAAAAAACGGCGCACCAGGAGATTATATCCCACACCTGGCTTGGAGGGTCCTACGCCCACGGAGTCTCGCTGATTGCTGTGATCTCAGCACAGCAGTCTGAGATCAAACTGCAAGGCAGCAGCGAGGCTGGGGGAGGGGCGCCCGCCATTGCCCAGGCTTGCTTAGGTAAACAAAGCAGTGAGGAAGCTCGAACTGGGCGGAGCCCACCACAGCTCAAGGAGGCCTCCCTGCCTCTGTAGACTCCACCTCTGGGGGCAGGGCACAGACAAACAAAAAGACAGCAGTAACCTCTGCAGACTTAAATGTCCCTGTCTGACAGCTTTGAAGAGAGCAGTGGTTCTCCCAGCATGCAGTTGGAGATCTGGGAATGGGCAGACTGCCTCCTCAAGTGGGTCCCTGACCCCTGACCCCTGAGCAGCCTAACTGGGAGGCACCCCCCAGCAGGGGCACACTGACACCTCACACGAGAGGGTATTCCAACAGACCTGCAGCTGAGGGTCCTGTCTGTTAGAAGGAAAACTAACAAACAGAAAGGACATCCACACCAAAAACCCATCTGTACATCACCATCATCAAAGACCAAAAGTAGATAAAACCACAAAGATGGGGAAAAAACAGAACAGAAAAACTGGAAACTCTAAAAAGCAGAGCACCTCTCCTCCTCCAAAGGAACGCAGTTCCTCATCAGCAACAGAACAAAGCTGGATGGAGAATGACTTTGACGAGCTGAGAGAAGAAGGCTTCAGACGATCAAATTACTCTGAGCTACAGGAGGACATTCAAACCAAAGGCAAAGAAGTTGAAAACTTTGAAAAAAATTTAGAAGAATGTATAACTAGAATAACCAACACAGAGAAGTGCTTAAAGGAGCTGATGGAGCTGAAAACCAAGGCTTGAGAACTACGTGAAGAATGCAGAAGCCTCAGGAGCTGATGCGATCAACTGGAAGAAAGGGTATCAGCGATGGAAGATGAAATGAATGAAATGAAGCGAGAAGGGAAGTTTAGAGAAAAATGAATAAAAAGAAATGAGCAAAGCCTCCAAGAAATATGGGACTGTGTGAAAAGACCAAATCTACGTCTGATTGATGTACCTGAAAGTGATGGGGAGAATGGAACCAAGTTGGAAAACACTCTGCAGGATATTATCCAGGAGAACTTCCCCAATCTAGCAAGGCAGGCCAATGTTCAGATTCAGGAAATACAGAGAACGCCACAAAGATACTCCTCGAGAAGAGCAACTCCAAGACACATAATTGTCAGATTCACCAAAGTTGAAATGAAGGAAAAAATGTTAAGGGCAGCCAGAGAGAAAGGTCGGGTTACCCTCAAAGGGAAACCCATCCGACTAACAGCGGATCTCTCGGCAGAAACCCTAAAGCCAGAAGAGAGTGGGGGCCAATATTCAACATTCTTAAAGAAAAGAATTTTCAACCCAGAATTTCATATCCAGCCAAACTAAGCTTCACAAGCAAAGGAGAAATAAAATACTTTACAGAAAAGCAAATCCTGAGAGATTTTGTCACCACGAGGCCTGCCCTAAAAGAGCTCCTGAAGGAAGCGCTAAACATGGAAAGGAACAACCAGTACCAGCCGCTGCAAAATCATGCCAAAATGTAAAGACCATCAAGACTAGGAAGAAACTGCATCAACTAACTAGCAAAATAACCAGCTAACATCATAATGACAGGATCAAATTCACACATAACAATATTAACTTTAAATGTAAATGGACTAAATGCTCCAATTAAAAGACACAGACTGGCAAATTGGATAAGGAGTCAAGACCCATCAGTGTGCTGTATTCAGGAAACCCATCTCACATGCAGAGACACACATAGGCTCAAAATAAAAGGATGGAGGAAGATCTACCAAGCAAATGGAAAACAAAAAAAGGCAGGGGTTGCAATCCTAGTCTCTGATAAAACAGACTTTAAACCAACAAAGATCAAAAGAGACAAAGAAGGCCATACATAATGGTAAAGGGATCAATTCAACAAGAAGAGCTAACTATCCTAAATATATATGCACCCAATACAGGAGCACCAAGATTCATAAAGCAAGTCTTGAGTGACCTACAAAGAGACTTAGGCTCCCACACATTAATAATGGGAGACTTTAACACACCCCACTGTCAACATTAGACAGATCAATGAGACAGAAAGTCAACAAGGATACCCAGGAATTGAAGTCAGCTCTGCACCAAGTGGACCTAATAGACATCTACAGAACTCTCCACCCCAAATCAACAGAATATACATTTTTTTCAGCACCACACCACACCTATTCCAAAATTGACCACATAGTTGGAAGTAAAGCTCTCCTTAGCAAATGTAAAAGAACAGAAATTATAACAAACTATCTCTCAGACCACAGTGCAATCAAACTAGAACTCAGGATTAAGAATCTCACTCAAAACCACTCAACTACATGGAAACTGAACGACCTGCTCCTGAATGACTACTGGGTACATAAAGAAATGAAGGCAGAAATAAAGATGTTCTTTGAAACCAATGAGAACAAAGACACAACATATCAGAATCTCTGGGACACATTCAAAGCAGTGTGTAGAGGGAATTTTATAGCACTAAATGCCCACAAGAGAAAGCAGGAAAGATCCAAAATTGACACCCTAACATCACAATTAAAAGAACTTGAAAAGCAAGAGCAAACACATTCAAAAGCTAGCAGAAGGCAAGAAATAACTAAAATCAGAGCAGAACTGAAGGAAATAGAGACACAAAAAACCCTTCAAAAAATGAATGAATCCAGGAGCTGATTTTTTGAAAGGATCAACAAAATTGATAGACTGCTAGCAAGACTAATAAAGAAAAAAAGAGAGAAGAATCTAATAGATGCAATAAAAAATGATAAAGGGGATATAACCACCGATCCCACAGAAATACAAACTACCATCAGAGAATACTACCAACACCTCTACACAAATAAACTAGAAAATCTAGAAGAAATGGATAAATTCCTCAACACATACACTCTCCCAAGACTAAACCAGGAAGAAATTGAATCTCTGAATAGACCAATAACAGGATCTGAAATTGTGGCAATAATCAATAGCTTACCAACCAAAAAGAGTCCAGGACCAGATGGATTCACAGCTGAATTCTACCAGAGGTACAAGGAGGAACTGGTACCATTCCTTCTGAAACTATTCCAATCAATAGAAAAAGAGGGAATCCTCCCTAACTCATTTTATGAGGCCAGCATCATTCTGATACCAAAGCCAGGCAGAGACACAACAAAAAAAGAGAATTTTAGACCAAGGATATCCTGGATGAACATTGATGCAAAAATCCTCAATAAAATACTGGCAAACCGAATCCAGCAGCACATCAAAAAGCTTATCCACCATGATCAAGTGGGCTTCATCCCTGGGATGCAAGGCTGGTTCAATATATGCAAATCAATAAATGTAATCCAGCATATAAACAGAGCCAAAGACAAAAACCACATGATTATCTCAATAGATGCAGAAAAAGCCTTTGACAAAATCCAACAACCCTTCATGCTAAAAACTCTCAATAAATTAGGTATTGATGGGATGTATCTCAAAATAATAAGAGCTATCTATGGCAAACCCACAGCCAATATCATACTGAATGGGCAAAAACTGGAAGCATTCCCTTTGAAAACTGGCACAAGACAGGGATGCCCTCTCTCACCACTCCTATTCAACATAGTGTTGGAAGTTCTGGCCAGGGCAATTAGGCAGGAGAAGGAAATAAAGGGTATTCAATTAGGAAAAGAGGAAGTCAAATTGTCCCTGTTTGCAGATGACATGAGTGTATATCTAGAAAACCCCATTGTCTCAGCCCAAAGGCTGAGCTGATAAGCAACTTCAGCAAAGTCTCAGGATACAAAATCAATGTACAAAAATCACAAGCATTCTTATACACCAACAACAGACAAACAAGAGTGCCAAATCATGAGTGAACTCCCATTCACAATTGCTTCAAAGAGAATAAAATACCTAGGAATCCAACTTACAAGGGATGTGAAGGACCTCTTCAAGGAGAACTACAAACCACTGCTCAAGGAAATAAAAGAGGATACAAACAAATGGAAGAACATTCCATGCTCATGGGTAGGAAGAATCAATATCATGAAAATGGCCATACTGACCAAGGTAATTTACAGATTCAATGCCATCCCCATCAAGCTACCAATGACTTTCTTCACAGAATTGGAAAAAACTACTTTAAAGTTCATATGGAACCAAAAAAGAGCCCGCATCGCCAAGTCAATCCTAAGCCAAAAGAACAAAGCTGGAGGCATCACACTACCTGACTTCAAACTATACTACAAGGCTACAGTAACCAAAACAGCATGGTACTGGTACCAAAACACAGATATAGATCAATGGAACAGAACAGAGCCCTCAGAAATAACGCCACATATCTACAACTATCTGATCTTTGACAAACCTGAGAAAAACAAGCAATGGGGAAAGGATTCCCTATTTAATAAATGGTGCTGGGAAAACTGACTAGCCATATTTAGAAAGCTGAAACTGGATCCCTTCCTTACACCTTATACAAAAATCAACTCAAGATAGATTAAAGACTTAAACTTTAGACCTAAAACCATAAAAACCCTAGAAGAAAACCTAGGCATTACCATTCAGGACATAGGCATGGGCAAGGACTTCATGTCTAAAACATCAAAAGCAATGGCAACAAAAGACAAAATTGACAAATGGGATCTAATTAAACTAAAGAGCTTCTGCACAGCAAAAGAAACTACCATCAGAGTGAACAGGCAACCTACAAAATGGGAGATAATTTTCGCAACCTACTCATCTGACAAAGGGCTAATATCCAGAATCTACAATGAACCCAAACAAATTTACAAGAAAAAAACAAACAACCCCATCAAAAAGTGGGCAAAGGACATGAACAGACACTTCTCAAAAGAAGACATTTATGCAGCCAAAAAACACATGAAAAAATGCTCGTCATCACTGGCCATCAGAGAAATGCAAATCAAAACCACAATGAGATACCATCTCACACCAGTTGGAATGGCAATCATTAAAAAGTCCGGAAACAACAGGTGCTGGAGAGGATGTGGAGAAACAGGAACACTTTTACACTGTCGGTGGGACTGTAAACTAGTTCGACCATTGTGGAAGTCAGTGTGGCGATTCCTCAGAGATCTAGAGCTGGAAATACCATTTGACCCAGCCATGCCATTACTGGGTATATACCCAAAGGACTATAAATCATGCTGCTATAAAGACACATGCACACGTATGTTTATTGCGGCATTATTCACAATAGCAAAGACTTGGAACCAACCCAAATGTCCAAGAATGATAGACTGCATTAAGAAAATGTGGTACATATATACCATGGAATACTATGCAGCCATAAAAAATGATGAGTTCATGTCCTTTGTAGGGACACGGATGAAATTGGAAATCATCATTGTCAGTAAACTATCGCAAGAACAAAAAGCAAACACCGCATATTATCACTCATAGGTGGGAATTGAACAATGAGATCACATGGACACAGGAAGGGGAATATCACACTCTGGGGACTGTTGTGGGGTGGGGGGAGGGGGGAGGGATAGCACTGGGAGATATACCTAATGCTAGATGACGAGTTAGTGGGTGCAGTGCACCAGCATGGCACATGTATACATATGTAACTAACCTGCACAATGTGCACATGTACCCTAAAACTTAAAGTATAATTAAAAAAAAAAAAAGAAAAGGAAAAAAAAAGAAAAGGAAAAAAAAGGAAATTAATGACATCTGAAAAATGAACATGCTTTGATTAATAAGTGTAACAATACTACTTTACAAATTATGACAAATGTATCATGCTAATGTGAGATATTTACAATAGTGGAAACTGAGGGTGGCATATATGAGAATTGTCTGTGTTATTTTCACAATAATTTTATAAATCTAAAACTGCTCTAAAAATACATTTGTAAAAAATAGCAAACTCTGTAGTGTCTCCGTTTTTGGAATCAATATGAGCATAAGAATATTTAAAGCTTTAAAAAGTTCTCTAAAAATGAATACATAAACCAATATACAGGCAATTGAAAGCATTAGAACCAACTAGGGATTAGGACTTTCTCCGACTTTTGCATTTTTGCCCTCCACTTGTCTTTCACATTAGGCTTCTAATGTTCTCTCAAAGTGAATACGTGCCCACTCTTCTTTGCCTCCACATCTTTATCCAGGTTGCTTTTTGTACCTAGAAAAGCCTTCCCATTAACAATAAGAAGTCAAACTCGACCAATCTCTTAAAACTGAGCAAGAAGGGTGAATCATCTTCTATCAACTGTTTCTTAATCCTCCCTTTCAAACTTTCCAAAAAGGAATAAAGCTCCTGGATTCACAATAACTGTAAACATTTTTCATAGTATCCTTCACGTGACATGACTTTTTACCTCATGTTTGTCCATGTCTTATCTATCTATAGAAAGTATAAACTCGATTGCCCATGCCCAAGGCTTTCATCTTTGTATTCTTTTACAGCCTTTTGTGCTAAGCAGCAGATTTCTCAGTGGTAGGTATTTGATAAACTACCTGCTCCATTTTAAAGGAAAAAAAAACAGAGTTCAATTTTACTAGATTATATAGACATTGTCAATTGTGTCTTAATTTCTAATCATATAGGATAAATAGACCCTGTGAGATTAATGTTACACGAACAAGGCAATTGATGTCAAAGGAGAAAAAAAATCAACATGGACTTCACTTCTGATTTTGACACATGTATTTTCTTGGGCCTCTGGGCATCAAAGCTTCCGTGCAAGCTTTGATGCATCACTTCATGACTAATGAAGATCTTCGAACTCTTCTTGTTCACACATCTAGCGTCTCTTGAAAGATCTGAACAAATGTCAATTGCTTTCTGCTCCAGTTCATCACTCAAGATGCCTGACAGCATTTGATTTTAATGAATGCCACCAGAATGCCTGGTCCCTGTAATGCAGCTCTCTTCCCTTCTTGGCTCATGGCCCACACTAACACTGCTTTTACGGTGTGGATACAGCAAAATCTGTAGAAAAGATGTAATCACCAGCTACCCTCCATTTAGCAGTCAATCAATTTAGCTGACACCATGTCCTTTTGGCTAGGTGTTTGTATACTTATAACTGTTCTTGACCACCTATAAAATTGTTAATCAGATTGATCTGTTTTTCTAAACCTATGCAGTGGTTATGTTCCTTTATCTACCACACAAGACTTTGAAAATGCAATATTAGGCTGTGCACTGTGGCTCGTGCCTGTAATCCCAGTACTTTGGGAGGCTGAGGCTGGAGGATCCCTGAGACCAGAAGTTCAAGACCAGCCTGGGCAACACAGTGAAACCCTATCTACACACACACATACACACACACACACACACACACTCACACACACACACTCACACACACTAGTTATGTAAATCAAAGTAAATTTAATTCTAAGCCTGTACTCATCTAAGTGACGAAAAATTCAGGCTCAATCTTGTTTGAGGACTCCCTTTTCTGAGGCAGCAGAAATGTATTGAGACTTAGGTGACATTAAATGACACTCAAAGGTGATGGAGGAATGGGGAGTATGGAGGTGTGGGGTAGGATGAGCTTAGAGATAAGTTCACAATGATAACTTTTACATGTTTATTATCTGAACCCAAGAATCACCTCTCAAAGATGGGTGACTTCCTTCTGCTTCTTTTCAAATGGGGATCTTTTGAGGTAACTTTCACGGTACTCAGGAACAGCCACCTAATTTGTGGAGCTCAGGGCCAAATGAAAACGCAAGGCTCTTTGTTCAAATTTATTAAGGATTTCTAGATGGTAACAGCAGATCTTTAAACCAAGTGCTCGCCCTTCTGAGCATAGGGCTCTGTGTGACTGCACAGGTCCTGTGTTCTTGAAGCCTGCTCTGCTACCACTATTCTTTATGTCAGAACCTGAGTCATCTTTAGTTGACTTACCAGTTTCTTGTTACCCCTGTGAGGCTGGCTCTTGGTAGAAACAGATCCCTACTAATTACAGGAGCTCTTTTCCAGGCCTAGGAATCTTCCCTTTGTACTGGACAATTCTTCCTATGCACTGTCCAAACAGCAATCTACCCTCCTCCTGGACAATCCAGTTTTTTATCTTCTTGAACTTTAGGTTGTGAAAAAAAGCCTCTTAAATGTTGCCCTGGAACTTAGGGAGGTTGCAGTTCTTCAGGATTTTGCTGCTCATTGTGGGATCCATACAGCAAAGACATCACCTGGGAGCTTGTTAGAAATGCAGAATCTCACACTATTTATAATAGCAAAGATTTGGAACCCAAATGCCCATCAGTGATGGACTGGATAAAGAAAATGTGGCACATATACACCATGGAGTACTATGCAGCCATGAAAAAGAATGAGTTCATGTCCTTTGCAGGGATATGGATGAAGCTGGAAACCATCATTCTCAGCAAACTAACACAGGAACAGAAAACCAAACACCCCATGTTCTCACCCATAAGTGAGAGTTGAACAATAAGATCTCATGGACACAAGGAGGGGAACATCACACACCAAGGCCTATTGGGGGTGGGGAGTAAGGGGATGGATAGCATTAGGATAAATACCTAATGCATGCAGGGCTTAAAATCTAGATGACAGATTGATGGGTGCAGCAAATCACCATGGCACATGTATACCTATGTAACAAACCTCCACGTTCTGCACATGTATCCCAGAACTTAAAGTATAAAAAAAAGGAAATGCAGAATCTCAAGTTCCAACCAGACCCACTGAGTCTGAATTAGCATTATTACAAGATCTTTAATGTAATGCATTGCTAATTCTTATTGAGATAGAGGGCAGAGAATGGGGAAGAGATAACTTGTTTTCATTATGTTTCATTCTTCTACACTAAGAAAAATACATTAATTAATTATCCTGTCTAATATTGATAGTTAATAACTGAATTAACAAGAGATTTGAGTATATAGTATAGAGCAAGGGGTTACAAACTCCAAAGCTTCTAAAGGTTAGGAAGGTAACCTAAAAAAGAGAAGCTAGTAACGTGAAAGAGGCATGCCGAGGACGCATAAAACATTATCTTATGCATTAATAGTTGATGAAGCAGCATGATCTTAATGCTCTGGAACTTCTATTTCTCAAGAGAAGACTAGAATTTGGACTTTACTTGAAATCTTTAGCAACTAGTGCAAAACTGAAAATCTTCTAATAACCAAGTGAAGCGTATGTTAAGACGTGTGGCTAGAAGTGTGATCACACATCTAGAATTTTGTAATGAATGTTTCGAGACAGGCATTTGGAAGGCAGTGTATTATAAAAGATTGAAGTCTCTACCACTCCTTTTAGTTTTAAATTTACACGACATTCTTTTTTGTTAATTTTTCTCATTTCATAAAACATAACCCAAACTATTATCATGAAATAGAAGAAATGGCATGTGTGTACAAGAGTTCTGATTTTCCTGGATAACATTAGTAAATTGTTCACAAAATTATCTGCAATTATTCCCCTCCCCATATCGACACTCCTATGAGTGTAGCTTTGCAGTTCATTCCATTAAGAACTAAGACTATTTTTCCACATTTTGAATGTAGTCTGGTCCTGTGTTTGGCTGTGGCTAATAGAATGTGGTGGAAGTTACATTGTGTTAGTTATCAGCCTTCTTCCTCTCTTGGAACCCTGCCTTGCTACCATAGATTCGAATAAGCAAGATAGCTTACTGGAGGACAGACGACCATGCAGAGCAGATACAATACATCCTAGCTGAGGCCATACTTGCACCATCCAGCCATCAGTCAACTTGGCAGCTTATCATGCATGCCGATCCATGAATGACCCCAGCCAATATCAAATAAACTGCCCAGCTGTGCTCCACCAAAATAGACTAAGTAATTGTATAATTTTCTTTGTATTAATTTTTAGTGTTTTTTTGTTTGTTTGTTTGTTTGTTTGTTTGTTTTGAGTTTGTTGAATCTGTGGGTTGATAACTTTTAGCATTTTAGAAAACACCTTGACGATTTGCTCTTTGTCCTCCTCTTCTGGGCCTACAATTTCATGTATGTTAGACCATCTGCAGCCTACATATTTCCTATGCTGTTCTGCCCTTTCCATCATGTTTGTGCCTCTCTCCTTCAGTTTTTATATTTTCTCATTTGTTTTTGAGTTCACATTAATCCTACCTTCTTCTAAATGTCTCTTTCTATCCCTCCAGTAGGTCTCACAGTATTACATATATTTTTTTCAGTTCTAGAATGCCCATTTAATTAGTTTTTATAGATTCCAAATTTTAATTAAAATTCTTCATCATTTCAGCCATTTAAAATGTCTATTTTCTTTAACTTATTTATTATGGCCATGTAAAATGTGTTCACTAACTCCTATATCTTATTTTATTTATTTGTTTATTTTTTGAGACAGTCTTGCTCTGCTGCCCAGGCTGGAGTGCAGTGGCTCAACCTTGGCTCACTGCAACCTCTGCCTCCCGGGTTCAAGGGATTCTTGTGCCTCAGCCACCCAAGCAGCTGGGACTACAGGCACATACCACCATGCCTAGCTATTTTTTGTATTTTTAGTAGAGACTGAGTTTTGCATTGTTGGCCAGGCTGGTATTGAACTCCTGTCCTCAAGTGATCTGCCCACCTCGGCCTCCCAAAGTGCTGGGATTAGAGGTGTGAGCCACTGCACTAGGCCACTCCTGTGTCTTAATTATTTTTGAGTTTGCTTCTATTATTTGATTTTCTTTCTTTCTTGAGAATCTTATAATGTTTTTTGTTTTACTTGGGCATTGTGAATAAAAAGTACAGAGACTAACGATAATGTTTCATTTTCCCAGTGAGAGGAGAATTATGGAGTAAATTCACTTTAGAATGAATACATACTAAGACAGAAAGCAGGACATCTGAATTCTAATTCTGACACTCTCACTATGATCTTTCAAAATTTACTCTAGGGGCCTCAGCTAACTTTAAATGCTGTCTACAGTTTTGTTAGTTGCAAAAGTTTACAATTCAATAATTTCCTACTGCTATGGTGTGGTACAAAATTTTTTGTAAACAAGAAAAAAAAATAATGTTGAAGCTTAATAATATCCTTAGATGAGAAAATCCAAGCCTGAAACGTTTACTATTTTGCCTGAAATTGCAGAAGTTACTCAGGGCTCCTGAGCAGCTTCACTAGTGGATATTGGTAGTTATTAAAAGAGTAATCAGGGCCCTGATGGACCATATGCATTTTCAAAAAATCCTAAATATAGTTAATCTAATGGTCTTTGGTCTGTAGCCTTTCCTATGATCTGTTTCATTTAGCCTGTGATGTTGGTATTCAATGTCTAGTAAATAGTATTTGCAGCGATAATAAAAACAGATATGAAGTGTTATTTCAATTTAACTAAACTTAAAAGTATCAGTGATACTCAAATGCCCCAGGAAGTTATGAGAAATGTAATTTTACTCATCTTAGCAAAAAATGAGGCCCTGAGGTGAACACATACACGCGTGCGTGCGTGCACACACACACACACACACACACTTCTTTCATAAATATTGCTTTCCCTCTACTTTCTCTGCTAAGAAAGTTTTATGCCTAGCTGGCTAGTATTCAGATGATTATGTGAGGCAACATGTCTCCTAAGACAGGGGAAGGAATGATGGCAGTGCTCATGGACCAACTATCAAGTCTCCACACAGTTGTCTCTTTAATAAGTTATAATGTTTATAAGAAGGAATGTAGGATATTTCTCAATAACAAAGATTCACCAATACCATAAGTGAAGACTCAAAGGTGAAGAAATAAAACTAAAACAAACAACACAACACATTTTGTTCTATGTATCTTAAAATGTTTATTTTGAAATGTCAAAGTTTCAGGAAATACAGAGAATAAATTTTGCAAACAATCAGGTGTTTAGCCATCTATTTTTGTGAAATCATCGTTTTTTTACATTTGTGTCATATCATGTATTTCATACCTATTTGAAGCTTCTTGTGTAAATATACCCATTCCATTCTTTACCCTGTTCTCCCCAGAATTAACTACTAGCTTGAATATAGTGGTAATTATTCACATATATGTTTTATTACATGTTTTTAATTATACTGTATTTACTTATATTTATAAATCATATATAGTAGTATTTCTGCTTTCAAATTTATATAAGTATCATATTTTATTTATCCTCTATTTGTATATTTTATCACAAATTTATGTTTTTGAGATTTTTCTGTACTATGTACAACTGTAGCTCACTCATATTACTGTTGTATCATATGTTATGTTATTAATGCAAAAATTTGTCCATTCTCCTACTCTTAGGCATTTTGGGTGACTCAAAGTTTCCTCTTTTAAAAACACTGGCCATTAAATATTCTCATGAACAAGAATATTATTTACCTGTGCAAGTAAAAACACTGCCCATTAAATATTCCCTTGAAGAAGAATATTATTTACCTGTGCAAGGGGGTATTCTTAGGTGTTCTTCTGTAAGTAAAATTTTAGGTGCTGAGGTATAGCATTTGCAAAGAATTAACAAAGCTGTGGCTCCCACATTATAGGATTGCTTATGTAGAAGAACCAAATGACTATAAAGAAAAAAAATCGCAATGTATACAATAAAAATGTTATACCAAAACATAACATATAATGCAACATATAATGCGATTAAGAGTAAAATGGTATAAGAATTTTAAAATTGTCGTTTCCAAGATCATTTGTGAGATTATTTACTTAAATATTTATTCATTATCAAGTTTACTACTTTATAAATTGGTTGTTCAATTCTGTTCTGTATCTTTCCATTGGATTGTATGTCTTTTTCTTATTGATTTACAAATGTTCTTTTTATATTTTGAATACAGACCCACAATCTCTTGGAGTTAATAGTATTTCTTTTCACCTTGAAATGGTGAAATTTTGTAGAGAAGTTTTACATGTTATGATAATCAAAATGTATTAATAACTTTCCTTTATTGTGATATTTTGTCCTCTCTAAACAAATCTGTAATAACCTGAGGGCATAAAGACATTTTTCTTTAGTTTCTCCTAACATTTTATGACTTTGCTATTTTTTTTAAGAATTTTAATTACTTCAAGGTTATTTGTGTGTCTCTTGTGAAATAAGAATCTAGTTTTATTTTTATAGAGATTAAAAACAGTCTCCTTTGTGGTTTTAGGTGAAATATTATTTTCCCGCAGTTGGCATTGCATTATTTTCATATATAAATGTGTCTGTTTCTGGGCCCTTTATTTTATCCCTATGAATACATTAATTTATTGTTGTCTTAACATCTGTATGAAATTGAGTTATCAGTGAAATATACATCTTGAACAAAATGTATGTTTCATTTATTTAGGTCTTTTACATGTGCTTCAAAATTTTTACTGTTTTTGATTGAAAAGTTCTTTCATATCATCGGTACAGATATGTATTTTTTTTAGTCTTGTAAGTTACATACACTTTTTATGTATATCTTCTCTATTTTTTCATGTTTGCTGCTTATGTTTTACTCTAATTAATAAAGTACATATTTTAATCTGTTATATGTTGTGTTTTGATTATATGAGATTTTTATTTTATAAATTATGATATTTTATCTTTATAGTTACGTGGTTCTTCTATGTATGCAATCTTATTATGTGGGAAAGACGGCTTTGTTAATTCTTTGCAAATCTTTATATCCCTTATTGCTTCTCCATACTTAACTGCATTGGTTTACATAACCAGTATGATAATCAATAAATATGTTTATTACCAAGCATCCTTGAGAGTCCTTAATTTTAAAAAGAATGCATCTAGTGTGTCATTTGTAATATGTTTTCTATAAGTTTGTGTTAGATACATTTTTTCTTCAATTAAAACACTTACTGTTTTAGCCTAGTGAGCTAGATAGAGATATTTTGTTGTTTTTAATCAATGGCATGTTAGACTGTATCAAATAGTTGTTTTTCAGCATCTATTGAGATAACTTTATATTTTAATCCGTTAATATGGCAAATTATATTAATTAATTTTACCAATTTTAAACCGTCCTGCATTCCTGGGATAAAACCAACTTGGTTAGGATATATACATAAATGCATGTGATCTGTCAATGCAACATATATAGACATAGTTGAGTTCCATTTGTTAATATTTTAATCTGAATTTTTGCAACTATTTTCATAAATGAAGAGGACTGTAATTTGACTTTTTTCTTATTGTTTTGTTTTGATTTCATGGTTTTAGCAGACTCAGATATTTTTGTGGGGGCTGCCTTTTAAAAACATCTCTGGAAGAATGTATGTAAGATTGCTTAGTAAAATTTTTGGGACTGGTATTTGGATGTTGGAATATCTTTAATTATAATATGTATTTTTAAAAATTTTCATCATGTTTTCCAGATTTTGTATTTACTTGTCAGCAATTCGATAATTAATAATTTTCAAATACTTTTTCTCTTTTTCAAATGTATTGGCATATAAATGGTCAGAGTATTGACTTATTTTTTATTTACACTGTATTCTCTTTTTTTATCAGTCCCATCAAAATTATAACATCTCATTAGTCTTTTAATTTTAGCTTTATTGATTCTTAGTGATAGAAAAGACTCACTTTCCACCAAAGGTTTGTGTTTCTATTTCCATATTGTAGGGTTCTTGCTGTTAAGTGGCCCTCTAATCAGCAATGTATTTCCCAGACTCTACTTTCAGTGAAGTGCAGCTACGTGACTGAGCAGACTGACTCTTAGAGTCCTGGAAAAGCTGATGGTCAGCCCTGAAGAAGAAAAAAAGCCCAAGCTTCCCTGAGAGATGGTAGAGGGAAGAATAAGAACGGTGAGGAAATGGGCTTGGTGGAATGGATATACTATAAAAAGTCAGAGAACCCACCAGAGGTTTATCTTTCATAGGAGGGCCCAGAGGACATCAGGACATTATGATAATTCATGAAGATCAGCAGGGGATGTGGTGGTGAGAAGGAAACTAGCATTTTTAAGATCAGTGGTGGCCTTCTCTGCAGGCCAGGCTGATGGTAGGAGAGAGAGGTTATAGAGCTAGGTGTGTTAATATCCATAGAAATGATGGTTCCCTGGACTGATAGTGTAAGGTGGCTATGCTTAGCCATTGGAAGCTAGGGGCCACAGTTACTGCAATGACAGATCAATTTGGAAAGGCAGCCCAGAATGTTTGCCCTGAAGGGAGTTGTAGAGATGGTTGACACAGTATGATGCTCCTTGGAACAAAATAGGCAGACAATATCTACCACCAAAAAAAAAGCAAAAGCGGAGGAGAAGGAGGTTAAAAGTGATTGATCCAACAAAAAGCTACAATCTCTTGCTCAGTTCCCATATTTGAGCCAGTTTTCACATCCAGAACTTATTCACCGAATACACAGAAGGACCCTGCAGCACTGTGGCAAGCATATACTGTGATGATTTTTCTCAGGGCTTCCTCAAAGGGACTTATAGGCATTGTATTAGTCATGGTTTTCTGAAGAAACAGAATGAATATGATATAAATACAGTTAACATGTTGCTTAACGAAGAGGATACATTCTGAGAAATGTGTCATTAGGCAATTTCACCATTGTGAAAACATCATAGAATGTACTTACACAAACCTACATGGTATAGCCTACTACACACCTAGGCTGTATAGTACAGCTTATTGCTCCTAGGCTGCAAACCTGTGCAGCATATTACCGTGCTGAATGCTGTAGGCAATTTCAACTCAATGGTAAGTATTTATGTGTCTAAACATATGTAAACATAGAAAAGAAACACTAGAAATAAGGTATTATAATGTTTTGGGACCACCATTATTTATGTAGTCTATTATTGACTGAAAGATTGCTATGTGGCACATGACTGTATATATGTATATATATAATACAGTCTTGGCTTACATTATTATGGAGGCTGAAATACTCCACAATATGCATTCTGCGAGCTGGAGACTCTGGAAAGCCAGTGGTGTGGCTCAAAGTCACAAGAGCCAGACAGCTAATGGTGTAGATGTCAGTCTGAGTCTGAAAGCCTGATCACCAAGGTCAAAAAGAGACCAATGTGCTAGGTCAAGCAGTCAGGCAGAGAGAGAGTGAAGCCTCCATTCCTTCCCCTTTTTGATCTATTCAAGCCCTCAATAGATTGGATGATGTACACCCACAATGGGGAGGGAAGCACACTTTGCTAAGTCTATAGATTCAAATGCTAATCTCTTCCAAAAACACCTTCATAGTCACATCCTGAAATTATGTTTAACCACATATCTGGGCATCCTCTTATCCAGTCAAGTTGATACATAAAGTTAACTATCACAGCTATTTACTGGACTATATGCTGGAGACAGGGGCATATCCAGACATTTCAAGGATTATTGGACACAGAGTCCACATTCATGTTGATAGGCATCTGGACACCTAAAATGTCATCACAGGTCCTGTCAGAATAGGGTTTACATGGTCCAGGCAATAAATAGAAACCCGGCTAATTTGGGCTCATAGTGCACCTGCTGGGCTTACCATCCCATGTAGCAGTCATTTCTCCAGTTCCTAAATGTCTAATGAAAATTGTCGAATCTGGCAGTTGGAGTAGCCTCTACATAGAATCCTTGACCTGCACATGAGACCATCATAGTGGGGAAGGCCAAGAGGAAACCTCTGAAACTGTCCCTTATCCTTGGCCAGGACAAAAAAAAAATCAAAATAGTATCCTAATTGTGAGCCAGGTGGTTGGCAGAGAGTTGTATCACCATTAAAGACCCAAAGGGTGCAGGGATGATTGTCAACATCATAGGTCCTCTATTTTTTTTTTTTTTTTGAGATGGAGTTTTGCTATTGTTGCCCAGGCTAGAGTGCAATGGCATGACCTCAGCTCACTGCAACCTTCGACTCCCGGGTTCAAGTTATTCTCCTGACTCAGCCTCTCATGTAGCTGGGATTACAGGTGCTGGCCACCATGCCCGGCTATTTTTTGTTTGTTTGTTTGTTTTTTGTATTTTTAGTAGGGACTGGGTGTCACCATGTTGGTCAGGCTGGTCTCAAACTCCTGACCTCAGGTGATTCACCCACCTTGGCCTCCCCAAGTGCTGGGATTACAAGCATGAGCCACTGTACCTGGCCCATAGCTCCTTTTATTCTCCAGTATGCCCTGCAGAAAGGAAATAATGGATGAGTCTCAATGAACCAAGTTCAACCAAGCTCAAACAAGGTCTGAGCACAATTGCTGATCAGGCCATAATATGGGTCTTAATACCAACAACACAGGGGGTAGGATTAACTCCAACCTATGAGACACCTGTAGCATGAGTGAGTAATAAATTCTGCTTTGTAGGCCTCTAAGTACTTGGGCTTTTTGTTGGTGCAGTATTATCCAGTGTAAAGCTGATTGATACAGAAATGAAGAACTGCTTCTGAATGATAAAAAGCAAATCCTTTTAAAATCTCTTCTCTTTTATACACGGATGTCATTGTTTTCAAATTTTAAAAGTTGAAAATATGATTCTTAGTCCAAGATGTCAGAGAGAAGGCAGTGGGTCCTCCAATTTTCACACAGGGCTGGAGGGAGACGCTTCCACCTTTCAAGAGAAAGGATCCAATTGAGGGTGAGAGGGAGCATCTCATACACACTGAATATATTTTCTGTCACAACAGGACTTAACACAATCCCATCTCTGTTGGAACCAGGACTCCAGGCAGTTCTAAAGAATTCTAAAAAGTGGCGTGGATCTTCTATAATCAATGATTTCAAGAGACAGTCATGATCAATGTAGTTAAAATCACAACACTGAGTAATCCACAGAGATAATTACTAATTTGTAAGATTTCTTAAGTTTGCCTTCCATACTTGAACAAGAAACCAACCAACACGTACAAAAAATAGAAAGTACTTTAAATCAACCCCCTTCTCATTAAAACATATTCTACCAGATGAAAATGTTATTTTAAAATACTTATCACCAGAACACTTCTTATCATTTTGTCAAGAAGATGAAAAAGTGAGAATATTTTACAATTGAAAGGGGTTGGTAGGAGGTATTTCCCAGAGAGAACTAATTAATCATTCAATAATTTGAAAGTATAACAGACATACAGAAACGTGATCAAAAAAAGAAGAGGGGGAAAGATTGATGAATTTCTATAAACTGAGCAAACCTGGATAACCAACACATAGATAAAAACATATATAAGACTATCAGCACCCTTGTGTCGCCCTTGTATAGCTCTCTAAAGGTAAAAACTATACTGGTTTTGCAGCATAGATTACTTGAGCTTTACATGAGTGGAATCAGATGATATGTACTCTTTTATAACTGACTTCTGTTGTTCAACAGTGTTTATAAAGTACACTCTTGTTTTTGCAGGTAGCACTAATTGATTTATCCTCATTGATATATAATTTTCTATTGTATAACTTATGGAATTTGTGATATTTCAATAAATACCACAAGATATTTATCCATTCTATGTTAATGAACTTTCAGTCATTTCTAATTTTTTTTTTTGCTGTTACACATGGTGCTGCTGTAAACATTCTTGAACACATATTTTGTTTAGTGTATGCATTATTTTTGTTGAATATACAAATAGAGGGTTATGCCTACATTTAATGTTAATGGATACTACCATACAGTTTTCCAAAATGACTACCAATTTTTACTCCCACCAGCAATGCATGAGAGTTTTCAGTGCTCCACCCCCTTCTAGCACTTGATATTTTCCTTTTTTTTTCATGTTAGCTATTTTGGTGGCTAGATAGTAATATTTCATATGGTTTTAAATTGCATTTCCATAACGGATAATTAGGTTGCACATCTTTTTCCATATTTATTGGAAAGCTTCATCTTTTTTGAAGTACATATTCAACTTCTATTGCTCATTATTTTATTGACTTTACTGTTTTATTCTTATGGATTTTAGAAATATTTGTATTTTCTATATGTCTTGTACCGGTGACTTGCAATTTACATGGATTATACATAGATTAACTTATTTTGTGCCTCCTTTTTCAGTATTTTATTAGTGGACTTTTGATGAAAAGAAATTATTCATTTTAAAAAGTTTAAGTTATAATCTTTTCCTTTATCATTAGCTTTTTTTTTTCTCTTTAAGAAATCTCTGATTACTTCGAGGCCATAAAAATATGATTCTGTTTTATTCTAAAGGCTTTATAGCTTCAACATTTACAAGTACATTTACAATACATCTGTCATTGAATTCTGTGTATGGTGTGAGATAAAGATTGATTGATTTAATAAATACCTTCACCTATACCTAAAAAGTTTATGAAGTATATCTTACTAAATAAAACATCTTAGTGAGAATAGAAACAATTTATACCATAAGGAAAATATACCCTGATTAGCAATAGTGGAACAAAGGCTAAACTCTGTTAACATTTTATTGATGAGGAAAGCTTTAAAGAGCAAAAACTAGCTACAAGCTTCCTAGCAGCCAGGGTGAAAAGGTAAAAATAATGAATTTCAAAGACATTATTGTCTATTAGAGAGAAGAATGCTATTTCCTAGGTGAAAATAAATTATTCCTGTGTTTTGCTCTGAGAGTAATTTTCTATGAAGACAGGTATAAAGGCATTAATTGGAGAACCATTTGTTTAATTTCAGAAAAAGGAATGATAAATTACAGCCACAGGCAAACATTGAATCACAATTGTTTTCCTGCCCGTTCAATAAATATAGAGATATTATATTTTTTCAGAGAAACAGAAAACACAGAAAAATTCAGATTTAGATTCTGAAATGTAAGAAAGGCTCCTTGGAGACCACAACAAAATTAATTTGTATAACATGAACATATATTTAATAAATACATCAAGAAGCCTTAATTTCAAAATAGCAAAATAATTCAGAAAAAAATAGAAGATAAAAATTATTTCCCCTTGTCTTCTGTCATTGACTTCATCTCCAAGGATACAATGCCTAGGAAAAACATGCACTGGACAAGAAGGGCTGGTCATTCCTGGCAGCCTGGACAAAGCAGGCTTTCTGCCTAGTTTGCCTTTAATTAAAACATCGACACACATCACCCTCACCTTCATGCTTGTTGCATCACCCTCTGAAGCACAATGACTACTATACAAATGTTGTTATTCCTTATAGTATAAGGCCTGCAGGTGGACAGTAATATTAATTTTTTAAATAAATTCTGTAAAGGATGACTAAATTTTTTGCAGATCTCTCCAAATTCTATCTGTCCCTGAAAGCTTTGTACCTTCTAAAAGAAAAAAAATCTCCATGGCCTTGAGTATCCCTTATTACACTCAGAAAATTACCCTAAACACCCTTATTGCCCTGAATAACCTAGATGAATTGGATTTTGTGTATCATGATCTAGAAATAGTCTACATAGGTCATTAGTGTCTCTTAGAGCTGTCATGGATCTCAAAGGTCATCTAACCCTAATCTAACTGATCATCAGAGACACTTTTAGATCTTCCTAAATACATGAAATCGTAAAGTCTCATTCCCTACCACCCACTCCATTTACTGGACATGAATCACCGAAATTTCACAATTGATCAGAGCATTTAGGGACATGGTACTGCACTGGAAACTCCAGGGATGGATGCTTAGACAGAGCTTCCTATCTGAAATCTCACTTTGTTCCTAAAGCCATCAAGTGATGGAGGAGTCATTATCTCTACTTTGGAGATTAGTAGATAATGACCCAAAGACTGAATAACCTGTCTAAAGAAAGAAGATGGACCCCACAGTCAGGAAGATGGGGTTTCGAATGCAGTTGTAGTGAAAGGAAAGTGGTGAGAACCAACGGAGGCTGAGTGAGGGTCAGGCATGCCCCTTCTCCTGAATGAGTTGGGAAACAGCCTGATCTTAACAGAAGTCTCCAAAGAGGAATTCCTTTGTGAAGGCACTTTAAGACAGCATAAGAGAAAACTCAAAATATCCACTAAAAATGTATAGGTTTCCAGGAAGTACATTAATAGTAAGAATTTCAGGGAATCTTTCAGGTCAATATGTCAGCCTTTTGGTTCATTTAGAACAATATACAAAAGTATAATAAAAATTGGCTTAACCTCTATAAATGAACACTGCTTAGCCAATATGGCATTTTTCTTTTCCTTTCACAAATGTAGAATGTAAAATCGCAGAAGGTTAAGGAGCTTGCACAAATTCCACAGCGAGTGTTTGAGTGTGTGTATGTGGTGGTGGTGGGGGATGGTATTCAAATTCAGGACTTCTTACATAAGTTAAAGGATGCTTTTTATATCCCGTGTTGTAGGTATAGCAATATGGCAGTGTGGAGGAATCCACATCATATCCTTGTTATGTATGCGTCCCCAAGCCCAGGAATACAGACTGATGAAGAGCCACCAATTTGAAAAAAAACCATCAATTAATTTCTTGAAGAAAGTTTAAATAAAATTTAATAATATATAGATAAATACTCAACAGAATTAGACATTAAATAGACATACATGTTTGTTTGTGTGTATATATGTGTCTGTGTGTGCATATGCATGTGTATGCCAAAAATAACCCTAGGGCACTAACACAATGTAGATTTTTCACAACACTAGCTCCCTACATTCCACTTGCCTCTTTCACCAAATTCATTTAGAGCTTTACATTTTGCATAAAGAAAAATGGAATACAGACATCCTAGTCCTCTGGTACAATATGAGTCTTGCCAGCATGTAAAGGAAGCTAACCAAGCCAGGTAAATCTCCAGTGAGAAAGACATATAGGCATAGCAAGGCAATAAATCATAAAATGATCCTTCAGCAGATTCAGCTGCAAGTGTTTTTTATCTATGTTCCTTTTAACAACTCTTTTAATGGCATCTCACTGTTTCTCCCTTAGGAAGTTATTTCACTGTATAATTGGCCTTGCTTTAAGTGAAATGTTCTTAATGTCCAATTTAAATCGCTACTTTTTTCAGTCTCAGGCCATTGCTCTCTGTTACATTACTATTAAGCACCTTAACTAATTCCTTTCTCTTTCAAAAGGATGAAATTGGCTTGCACATTTCATTTGAAAATGTAGCTTTATTCTTCTGAATCAAAAATTTAAAACACTTGAAAATGACAGATGAGCATCCTGTTTTTTGAGAGAGCAGGTGATTTTCCTGTTTCTGAAATTTCCACAGATTGCAGCAGCAGCCTGTCTGTAGCGGTAGCTGTGAAGATAGCAGCTGCAGCAGGGAAGGTGCCACCAGGGCTGCATGCTCCACGGAGATTGTGGGATCACCACCTAAGCCTTCTGAGTTTGTGGGATGGGAGCCCCATCCTCCTGGGCACAGCTGCAGCCACCCAGCCACGGCTGCAAACACCGGCATCCCTGCCAGGCTGTCCCCCATGTTCCCAGTGGAGTCGTGGCTCCAAGTGAGAACTTATGGTTCTTTTACTGGGCCTGCCTGTGGCCACCCATGGACCAATTAACACAGACTTCCTCCCTTCTGAACCCCATAAAAACCCCCGGACTCAGTCAGACTCAGGTAGAGTCAGGCGGCCTGCCTACAGATAGGAGCTACCCACTCCGGGTCTCCTCTCCACTGAGGGCTGCAGACATTGGGATGATCTGCCTGTGGAAAGGAGCTACCCACTCTGAGTCTCCTGAGGGCTATACTGAGGTGCTCAATAAAGTACCTCTCCACCTTGCTCACCCTCTAGTTGTCTGCATACCTCATTCTTCCCTGACATGGGAGAAGATCTCAACACCTGCTGAATGGTGGAACTGAAAGACATGTATGTAATGCAAACAGGGCTGAAACATGCCCAACACTCCCCACCCCTGCTGCCTGTGCTTGCCACATTGCAAGTGACAAGGAGAGAAGAGCTCTGGCCTTTCAGGGAGGCCAGACTTAAGGGCTCCTTGAGCCAGGGTGTGACACCCCCTTTGGGGCTCTGTGGTTCCTGGTGTCTCCAAGCTTCCAGGCACCATTGCATTCCCCACTGCCCGCAGTGGAAGCTGCTTGTGTTACACCTGGTCAAACCACAGCCTTGCACAGAGCTGATGCCTATGCTGGTGCCTGGAGCTGCCTACCCTTCCACAGCAACTGGTGTGCCACCGTGTGCACAATGGCTGGATCCCATGCTCTCTCATTCACACACCCCTTGCCACTCCACACCCTTGGCAGTGTGGCATCTGGGCTGGTAGCATGAGCCAAGTGCAGCCTGACAGGCTGAGTGGGCAGAATAAGCCCAGCAGGCCCAAGCAAAACTTGGGCAAAGGTGGCAACAGCCACAGAAACTTCCAGCTGGAGGAGCTACACTGTAGGGATCCCATGACACCACTAGCTTAGAAATAATTAATGGGACTGAGGCAAGTGACCAAGAATGCACTATGTACATAGAGTTTCTCTAAGTGACCCTCTAATGGAAAGGCAAACACACTGATATTTCTTCAAAAAATGTGAACCTTGTACTAGTTGAGGTTCACTAACCTTTTACACAAAGGGGAGAGACACATTTGCAGACACAGAGATGCCTACTGACTGACTTTCTCAATAACATGGGAGAAACAACTGCAAATATCATGTTAAAAAATAGAACTGCAAGGGGGTAGAGAGTCTTATGGTAGCATCATGATAACACAAACGTTGGTGGTTTCAAACTATTAGTGCAATAAAAACCTTGGGAATACAGGGTGAGTGATATGGCCATAAGTATCACCTACATTTAACCATCAGATCTATTTTATTAGGCTATTCTGATGGAGGCTCTGGATCTTTTAGCTAGAAACATGATTCAGTGCTTCACAATAAACTTCCCTACTTTTAATTCCAGAACCTTTATACATATATGCCTTACCTTCTTCCTCCCTGGTCTCCTCCCCATCCCTAATCCCTACGTGCCCTCTCATCTATATACGCCAGACGCTAAAGGTGAGAAGCCTGGAGTATTTAAAAAGTTGAGCTCTTCCCCAGTAGGATGCTATCTAGACAAATTGGACTGGGCCTGTGGGTCATCTGCCCACACATCTTCATGAATACTTGCTGAATTTGTTCATTGACTATCCATCAAATTCAGATTGAGCCTCATTCCTACTCAGATTTATATCTCCTTCTGTTTGCTGTATCTGACCTCTTCTCTCTCCCATTCCAACACTGAGGGTAAAATGGAATAAAGCATTAAAACAAAACAAACCAAATAACAAACACAAATGTCAAAGTATTCCCTGAGCTTCTGTTGTCAGGGAGGTGTTTAATATTGTCGTAGAGGAAGCACCATCAAGCCCAGCAGAAGAATCAGTTTTCTGTTACGATATCAATAAGGTAGTGATTTTCCTCTACAGAAGAAGAGTATCAGCTGCCTCTCATTCCTACAAGGTACACATTATTGGGAAAAGCAGAAGACCCATCTCAACGAGTGAAAGCTCTTGCCGCTGATGACACAAAACAGTGGCAAATATTTCTGTGGAAAAGATTGGAGGTTGCAAAACCCCGCTGAAATCAGGCGATAAAGATTTGAACTTGAAACAAAAACTAAAGCAGAAAACTAGAAAATAATGCTAAAACTCTAAAGAGAACAACCTTTCTTAGTAAAAGGTGGACAGAATAACATGGGAAGAAGCAAAGATTTCTAATCTTGTGTGGAAGAAGTGGCATCCAGAAGAGTCCAGAAAAAAAGATTCTGAGCCATAATGAAAAAGTACTGTCACCATTTTTTTATACAAGGGGGAATAGGGAGCTGATATTAGATTTCACTGCATATTGTGCATTGATACTGAATATATTGTGATGGAGACGTGGCAGCCCTTCCAATGCTGCTTCCAATTCCAGCTTAGTCTCTATTTGTTTTTCCCTGACAGATTATAGTGACTATGCCTTGTGATGCAGCTTAAGACAGGGCACTTATGTGCCCTGATGCAGAAGGTCGTGTCCAAGAGGGAAAAGTGAGACATATATCTCTAAAGTATTGCTGTGCATCCAACCATCCAACAGAACTGCTCAGTGGCTCAGTGTTAAGAGTCTGGAGCTAGAAATCATTTTTGAATTTTCCCAACAATGCTAATGGTAGCTGTAGCTCAGTGGCAAATTTTAATTATTGTTGCATTCGTCTCCACTTTCTGAAAGAAGAGGACTTTCAAGTGTAACCTATCCTACTTTTTGAGACCTATACTTCTTTATAAACCATGCTGAGGTCATATCATCTTGTAATAAAAAGTCTGCAGGAGTCGGTGGGTGCCTGTTAACTCTGTGCCTGGCGTTTAAGGTCGTGCCAATCAGGCCCATTATGAATTTCCCTGTACGCCTCCTCTTTTTGTTCTAGCTGTCCACTTCCTACTCTAAGCAACCTAAATTATACTGCATACTTTCCCATGTTTCTTTCTTTTCCATGCAGGCATTTATCTTGGTTGGGGTTATAACCCACCCATCCTATCTCTGTGTGTTCAAATTTCATCTACCCAATAGAATCCACGACAAAAGCTTCATAAAACCACAGCCAGAAGCCATCGTTTCTTTCTCTAAGATATTTTTACAACATTTTTCACATGAGACCTATAGTTAATTTCCTATATTTTTATTTATTTATATACTTATATAATGTATTTCAAAAATTCATAAGCTTCTTAAGGGTAGGAGCTCCATAGACTGTGGCTCGAGGTCTTGAAATTAGTAAGTGTGAAATAAAAACTTGCTGAATAAATGAATGCGTAATCACTCTCGTTCTCTTTTACAATCACATAAAGGTGTAAGAGATCAGTAGAGACAAGTATATCTATATGACTATAACCATAATTGAAGATATAAATATAGATATCAAGCCCTTCAACATTAAGAATTAAATAAAGATCCAGAAAGTCTGGCACTATGGCACGACCTTCCAGATTCACATATTCACAGAAGAAATAGTTCAATAGTTCACACTACAGCAGTTACCAAAATATGCCACCGTTGGAAGTAGGGTTGCGATATTACATTTTGATACAGAACACTGTTTCTATGGAATTAAAAGAGATCTATTTGTGCTCTTGTTTTGGGATTCTCTAACACAATTAAAAAAAACAAATGGTTCTTGCAATATTAGTCTTTTGATATATTCTGTGAACAAAAGATACTGTGTTCAAATATGTTGGAGAAACTATGCAAATTATGCCTTCTTCTTAAAAATTTATAATATAAAGTGATAAATTAAAGGTTTCCAAAAATTTGGTAGCTTTTGGAAAGATTGTTTAACCTTGTTTTACCTTGTTTCTCAATTATGATTGTCCTTGCAACAGTCTGTTTCATATAACTATACATATTCCAAGGAAACAGTCTTCCATGGAATTTTTAAAAATTTCTTCATTTAATATTTATATAAAATGCTTACATTTATATATAAGATATTACTTGACTTCAAAACCCAAAAGATCTGTTTTAATAACACCTTGAGGGTTAAGTATTTCTAATGCTTTATTTTTTATTTATAAATGATCAAGGTGCTGTGATGTGAGTGCCAAGGCACAGGTAAGAGGTAGGCCTGCAGCTTTGTCCACTGTTTGTACCTGTATATATGTGATAGGGTTTGGTTGTGTCCCCACCCAAATCTCACCTCTAATTGTAATCCCCATGTGTTGGGGGAACAACTGGTGGGAGGTGATTGGATCATGGATTTGGTTTTCCCCATGCTGTTCTCATGATAGTGAGTGAGTTCTCATGAAATCTGACAGTTTAAAAGTGTGTGACAGTTCCCCCTCGCTCGCTCTCTCCTGTCACCATGTGAGACATGCCTTGCTTTCTCTTCACCTTCTGCCATGATTGTAAGTTTCCTGAGGCCTACCCAGCCATGAAGAACTATGAGTCAATTAAACCTGTTTTCTGTATAAATTACCCAATCTCTGATAGTTCTTTATAGCAGTGTAAGAATGGACTAATACAATGTGGAACACAAGTAATAGGAGAATGGGAGTATGAAAGTGTCCCCTTGCACTTTAGCTGTTAGCAAAAGTGGAAGCAGAGTCTAAATATGCATTTATTAAATCTCAAAATCCATTTCTGCTGCAGCATTTTTTTCCTTGATTGTATTTGCTTCATTCTTCAATTCTCTCTTGAAAAACTGCTCTGGTTCATAGATACTGCACTTGTTTTTTATGATGATTTACAATTCTGTTCTAAGTCTTCCAAATATTTTTATTATAAACTACATAATCACATTTCCATAAAGTTGTATAACACACTTTGCTGCCTCACCTCATACCCTGTAGAACTATATTAAATCAATAACATGATTATGGCTTAAATGTGTTGGTGTTCTTGTTACAACATTTAGTTACAACTATCAAACAATAACAAAATGTATGATAACATTTACAAGATAAATTTAAGTGCTTTAAATTTATATGTACTCTTGTTTTGAGTGGTGCCACATAATTGGAATATAATCCAGTATGCAATAAAATTTTGCTGAAAAAAATGAATGCATAAGTCATTCTTATTCTCTTTTACATTCATATAGGGTTACAGAGAATTATTAGGAATAAGTATAGCAATATATCAATATATTTATATATCTATATGTTTTCCTATATCTTGATATGTTTATAAACTGAATAATCTGTACTTACAAAATGTGATTGTGATAAGATTAGTAACTAAAATGAGAAATTAAGGGTTCTCCTGATAATAAGTTTTGGAAATGCTTCACTAATAAAACCATCTTTCTACACAGCCATCCCCAAAATTCTAATGCAACAAAACAGTAAGCATAATCTAAGATTTGGAATACCATGATGCTGATGCTATGGTTTGGATGTGTTTTGTCCCCACAAAAACTCATGTTAAAATTTGATCCTCGGCTGGGCATGGTGGCTCACGCCTGTAATCCCAGCACTTTGGGTGGCTGAGGCGGGCGGATCACCTGAGGTCGGGAGTTCGAGATCAGCCTGACCTACATGGAGAAACCCTGTCTCTACTAAAAATACAAAAAAATTAGCCAGGCATGGTGTTGCTTGCCTGTAATTCCAGCTACGCAGTAGGCTAAGGCAGGAGAATTTGCTTGAACTCAGGAGGCAGAGGTTGTGGTGATCTGAAATCATGCCATTGCACTCCAGCCACTGCACTCTTGTTCCAACAAGAGTGAAACTCCGTCTCAAAAAAAAAAAAAAAAAATTGATCCCCAATGTATCAGGGTTGGGAGATGGGGCCTAATGAAAGAAGTCTGGGTCACTGGGGCAGATCCCTCATAAACAGGTTAATGCCCTCCTGTGGGGTTGAGTGAGTTCTCACTCTTGTTGGTTTCTCTTTCTTGCTTCCTTCCTCACCATGTAATCTCTTTGCACATAGCTGCTCTCCTGCTTTATGCCACGAGTTGAAGCAGCTTGAGGCTCTCACCAGATGCAGCTGCCCAATCTTGGACTTTCCAGCCATCAGCACCTTGAGCCAAATAAACTTTGTTTCTTTGTAAATTACCCAGCTTCAGGTATTCTGTTATAGCTACAAAAATGGACTAAGACAGATGTATAGGAGTATTTTGTGAAAGTAGGAAAGAAGGTTTGGCCTGCAACAATATCCAAATGGATTTATACAATAAATATCAAATGTCTAAACATGAGATACTGCTACATCTTTGGAGAAAAGTGGTCAAATGAAATTTCTTTAGGTGTAAAGCCCTGTCTTTACCACTAACATACCATATATTTCAAATCCATAGAAAAGAAGCCTCAGTAATTCTAAAGATCTTGAAAGAAAATGTCAAAAGTTTGCAAAATTTTATGGAAAAAATAAATATTCAGGCTCATATTTGGATTCTTAAATTTAGGATAACTGCCAACATCAGAAAGCTAAATGGAGAATATTTGCCAATCCCATATTTCCATTAGGGGAAGGTATTAATTAAGCAAACACAGTGCTTTTTTCAGAGTAGCTAATGGCTCGATAAGAAAAAAATGCAACATCCTTTTGTTACAACACTTTTCATGGTCAGAGTAGACCACGGAAATACTAGTAGACTGAAATCTGAAAAAAATGGAACAGACTTCATAAGGAATAAAGCCAATTAGAGTATATGTAAGAGTTCCCTTTCAAAGGAAAAAGAAAACAATAGTATAGAATGAAGTAATGGTAATCTGCTAGATAGAGTTTTTAACCGGCTGCTTAACTCTACCCACAGCTGAACAACATAAAAACAGCAAATCTAACATAGAATGTGATAATATGAAAAACAATAGAAATTATCCAGATATACTCCCTATATTCCTCTCATTGGTAATCATGGTTTTTAGATAGAAAATATAAAATACAAAACTATTAGTCATTGTACTGTGATATTAAAGTGAAAACACAGGGGTTTTATTTCCCCATTAATATCTTCCAGGAGGGCCAAACCTCAGAGTTCACAGCTCTGTTATTTCTCAGAGAGACATTAGGTAGACATGGGCTTCATCTAAATGGAATTGCCAATGTTCTAGATCTTTGCAATTAAATCATTGCTATATTTACTTTGTTTTAAATTACTGGGACAAACATTAGCACTTTTGAATTACTGACTCACTGTCAATACTAGTGGCACTTTCCATTCTATGACCCAATAAAACAGGCAGGATTAGACCATGCCTCTTCTGATTTTCCTCTAAACAAAGTTACCTTGTTTTCAGGTACATAATGAAACTCACATGAAGGTAGAACAGGGTTTGGTATATGGCTGCTGTTAATGATGACATGCAGGTTTTCCTAGTTGGTGAAGTATAACTACATACTTTTAATAGTCCTATAATTAATAGGAAGGTATATATTTTAAAACTGCAAACTCCATGAATGAATCAAATGGATGCCATCTTATTTTCAGGACCCTTTAGTATTATGACAATAAACTACAGTTCGTTAAGTCTTTGCTACGGCATATTCCCATGTGATGGCAGTTTACTTATAAATGCCTGAAATACCTTTTCCATGTGGTATTCATGAAATAGTGTTTGAAGGGAATACAGTGACACATAAGAAAACACACATTGGAAGACATAGTGAACCAAACTGGTGGTAAAAACATGACCTTCCTCCATAAGGTCAAATAGTTTTATTTTGATTAAACACTACAATACAGTATATATCCATTAAAAAAGAAAACTCTATAATGTATATAAATTATTCCTTCAATTCATCAATTCTTCTTTGCTTTTCCATTACAGCTTTGGTACAATGTGATTTAGTATATAATTTTTAAATACTTTTAGCATCACAAACTCAACACAAAGTACAAAACTAATCCAAATTAGGGATATTATAATCTACACAGTGGTATTCAGTGGTAGGAGAAAATCTTACCTTGATGAATTCATGTCACTAGCTAAGCTATAAAGGCATACCTAGCAGACATGACAGAAATATGCACCATTAACCAGCTAACGTGTATATTAGTCTTTGTTTATTTTTTACAGAATACCAGCAGCAATCATTTGAGTGTTGAGTGAATACTTAAGTCCTCAGCCAGTTTTCCCACCTTGTTCCTCTTCCATCAAAGGCCATGAGAAATATCTGAAGAAATGTACCACAGCCAGAGCTCTCAGAATTTGACCTGCCAACCAGCATTGCTCATACTTGCACAGTTTGTTCTGCAGCTAGCTGACATCACTGGGACAGTGCTGGAGGGGCAGTGTGGGCCAATCAGCCTAAGGTTGTTCTGAGGGGTGGGCGGTGTGACATTACAGTAAACAGGCATTCCAGTGGCTGGGAGTGACCCTTGACCTGCCTGGTTAGGTAGCATGATTGGCTGTTGGTATGACTGCTGGGGCAGTCCTTGAGAACCCTGGGTCATTGGCACCTGTAAAAAGACACAAGCAAGAACCCTGTATGAAGAGACTATTTTGGTCTGTACAATAAACAACATGGTGTCATGAAAAATATTCAAACTTTTGAGTTAGACCTAACAGGTCATCAATTCCAGCTCTGCCATTTATCGGCTGTTTCACATTAGGAAAGTCACTTAACCTCTCTAATTCCCTAGTCCATTGCGATAATGACATACATGCTTCAAAGTACCATTGAAAGGATTGAAGGGATGGTGTACAGTGCCTGGCACACTGCCTGGAATGCAGTAGATGCTGAGAAGGTGTTAGTTCTGAGTTTCCTTCCCTTCTCTCTCAATGACCTCTAGAAACTATAGTCTAGATCTTCCACTCTGGGTTTCTCTCAGTTTGAAAAGCCATGTTCCCTTTCTGATTTTATGCAAAGTGGCCTGGAGTCCTCCACAGTGAAAAGGGCTTTTGTCCTGGGCACCTACTATATTCTCAACCTGCAACTTTAGAGAACACTTATTGTGGAGGTGGAGGTAGAAGTTGATGCAATGTGAATCAGAATAGTAGGGTAGGGGCCCTAGAATAGGTCCTTTAGGGTCAGAAGCACCTGGTACAGTTAAATTTAATTATTATACCATTTCACTAACTCTTTATTTCTACTTCTGGGGTATTTTAGAATATACATCACAAAAGGATACATAACACTTTTAAAATACTTAACTTGGGTTTAGTCCAGAGAATGTAGTTGCTAGGCTCCAGAAATGCCCTTTAAATGAATCTGAGATGCCATATTAAAATCTCTTATAACTTAAAGTTATGGAAAAATGAAGTTTATTTGGGTGTGTACAAAAATGAATGGGAATTTGTCATGAGGACTTTCTACCAATAAGCAAAATGCAATAAAATTTCCAAAGGTCTTTATGAATAAAACTGTAGACTAATGTATTTTCTTCCATGAATATGAAGTTATATGGAAATAAACTTAGGAGAGCATTCAAAAGCCACAGTAGTGACAGAAGCATGTATTTTGCATTTTCTACTTTTCTATTATAATCTTGATTCAAAGTAAATTATCAACAGTTATGGACCAAGCACGCATTACCCAGCCAGCCACCCAAACCAGGGACAGACCCACAGCTTCCACTTTGGCAAATTCTACTTTAAAACCCACAATTTTCCAAGCTGCTTATGAGCACCTGATAAGAAGACATTGTTGGGTAGGAAACCATCACGCTTTGCACCGGAGTTCCTTGTTGGTTATTTATCACGTTCTGACTCTGAGGTGGCTGCTGCACTCCTATTAGGCCTTGGAATCCCTGTTGACCAGACAAGACTGGCTGGTAACCTGCGAAGAAAAGAGATCTTTTGAACTGGTTGTGCAGAAAGAACACAGTGATGTTTCATGGGGTAAAACTACTGGTTCAAAAGGCAGCCTTCAGACATCTCAGTCTCCACATTCAGAATGTGTTATCAGATGTTTATTCCCTAAGAATGCATTTTCTCTTTTTTTTACTTCTAAGAGTGAACAAGATTATGGCTTTAAAAATTCACTGACATTTCTATTGTTATGCAGAATGGTCTATTGAATACATGTGACAATGATAAATTATTCATGGCACAAAAACAGAAGACTCTATTGATACCAATTGACTACTATAAATTACACCTTTCATATTTGGCTTTTTCTTTGGTTTTGAGGATATTTGGAGAATTCACAGATTATCAAGTTATTTTAAAATTAAATTGACTCATTCCCTGACTATCCTCTTCTCCTGGACAATCTCATTTCACACATAGAGACCACCAAACAGCCCATTAACTTTGGATAAATTCTATTTTTTTATGTCCTAGTGAACCAAATGACTTGCTACCCTGAGGAATTCACGATAACCACTGCCTTAGACAAAAAGGCAACAGCAAGTGGGACGCATGTGATGCTTTTCTTCTGTTTCACCACTAGCTTCTGAGAGAATTTTTTGGTAAAATACTCCAATATGTGACCAAGTATTAATACATATAATAGATAATAAAGAATACAATATTCAAAAATTTATCTGTTCATGTCTTTCTGGGTGGGTCAGTTTGTTAGCCTTCATTTGTCTTTTTTTATTTTTTTAGGTAGGCCAGAATTGATTTATTCTAGTTATTTAAATCCTCACTTCAATGAGTGGTTTAAAATGCATCCTTATAAAGGAAGCCTGTCGATTGTTCTTATAAATGTTGGGAAGAAAGTTATGATTTAGGTGAAAATGACACAGTGGTAGAGAAATGAAAGACATTCATTTTATGCTGTATAATAAGCTCCTTCCAGAGCTCATATTATTAACCATGTAGAGCACCTAAGAGTAAGTGGAACTGCTATCTTAATACAATTCTCTGAGAGAAAAGAATCTTTAAAATCCTAGATTTTCTTAACACAAATATGAACTAACTTTCACAATCGGATTTTAAAAATTGAAACCAAAAGTTAAAAACTAGCTAATCAACATGCATCATTCATAAGTAATCTATATATTGAGTGCCTCTGAGAGTCTTTATATTAAAGAAGGACCACATTATATTATAGTCTTTATAAAAGAAAATACTTAACTATCCTTGGATATACAAAATGTATCTTCATTCATTTCAGAAATATTATGAAAATTTGGCTTGCAAATAGTCACTGAATTAGGAGATTGGCTCAGTTCATCAAATGAGATAGAAGCAAGGTGTCCTCAGTTTGGAGAATTGGAGAGCAAGCTTGGGAAAAGGCCAATTTGAGAGGTCTGCCCTATGCCTACAATTGGCAAGTGGAACCAGTGTGTAATCTAAAAAGCTACCCTTTGACCTTCCTTATGTGTCCCATTGTTTTACATTCTTATTACCCTAAATTATCTTCATAGTGGTTTCAATTTACTGAATTATTTTAAATTATTGTAAAGACACCACATATTACGAATATAATTAAGGGTAATAACCACATTTCCTTGAGCTACATTCTGTCCACAGCAGACAGTCAGAACCTTCCTTTAATATGCTTGGCAGGTCTATTTAAGAATAACAAGATCAGCTCAGAGTTCTGCATACCTACAGTGTTTGAAGTTTATACAATAAGGAAAAACCATCAGACCTGGGAACAAGAAATGTGATTAATCCCATATTACCATTTTCACTACTTCTACTTCTCTGTTCTCATTTGCAGAGAGACTTGAGAGAAAATTATTTTCACATTAATTGCAGAAAATTGTTTCCGATTGTTTTTCATTGTCTAGGTCTCCCATTGTGATTCATACATCCAATTGCCCTGAAAAATTCTGTGGCTATTTTACCATTTTATTATGACATTGTTCCAAACCACACCAAGCTCTTTGTAGCATGAATTATTATATACATAAGAAAATAACTTGGGATGATCATAGAAAACTTATAACCAACAGATTTCCTTCTGATTTAGTTCTACAGCAAAGAGCAGGCAATGTACACTCATTCTCAAGTCCATATAATTGTGAATATAATAAGGCCTTACTTCTGGCTGAAGATTGAAAGCACAAGTTGAAAATGAGAGGAGTGCCATTTAGTACTTTGGATTATATTTGTTTATACACTGAAAGGCCAATTGGCCTCAATGGATCTTCACAGAATATATACAGTTACAATGTAAACAAACAACAACAAAAAAGATGGAGAGGAAAGGAGGGAAGGAAAAGAGGGAAGTGGGGGAAAGAGAAGCGGGTTGCTTAGCGTCTGAAGATTATTTACGTATTTCCTTATTGAATCCTTCCATCCTTTCACAGAGGCATTTGTTTGAAAATAAATTAGGTGGCCTATAAGAGATTCACTTAACACACCATCTTCTAAACCAAAATTGGGTGAAGGGAAAATAATAGAGCTGTTAAGACATTCAGAAAGCAGAATGTCTTGGTTGGAAGAAGAAGCAATCCTTAATATTAAATAATATTTAAGAAGAGAAAAAGAGTGGGCAGGTTGGGTGGCCCCATCCTAGTAAAGGTGCAGAGCCTGTGAGAGCAGAATTCGTCTTTGCTGCCAGCCCAGATGCAGCTGCCCTGCCACAGCATCTCCTTCTCCAGGCCTCCTCTGCCTAATGATTTGTGAACTTTAATATTCAGTTATGCATAGCAATGGGCTACGAGCTTTACACTGGGGTTCCCATGGTAAACACACTTAAGGCAAATACAGATTTATGTGGGGAGTGAATACTCTACCATTTCAAAATGAAAACTTTAGTGTAAGGAGAGCCCAATTTATATTCATGAATCCCATTCATTTCTCAATTCTCTCTCCAGGCAAGAAATTTACACCTGCAATGGTTTAATTGGGGCTACTCATTTCTTTAAATTATGTCACAGAAGGTAGAGCAGAATGGTCTTTAAGACAGGCAGCTGTCTGGATGTGAATCTGAGTTCTGGTCCAGAAATAGACAAACAGAAATAAAATAGCAGTGACCTATGAATGAACCGACAGTGCCTGCCTGGGACACAACACACCCGAAGGCAGAGATGGCAGCACTGGTGAGAACTGCTTATCTTGTCTATTCAAATGAGAAATGTGTTCCAGTTTGTCAATTCTTAGCTGTGAAATTATCACTTTTTCATATTTATTGAGGATTAGCAAGATATAATGCATCTTGCAAAACTGAAGCAGCAACAGTATCTGCCCTGTAGGCTTGCTACAGAGATGATAAAGACATTAGCTATTTTTATTATTTCTTTTTCAGTCAAGATCGATTCAATTTTCAAGTCACATGTGTCATTTATTTTCTGGAGGTAAAAAGGTTAGGAATGGACAAATGCCTCCTAGCAAATAAAAGAACGCACTTGGCAAAGATCGAGGAGTTTATAAGATTTAAAATGTCTGCATTGTATCAATCTGAAAATGGAATAGGTTTTCTACTAAAATACAACAGTTGCATACTATTTGTAGTTTGAGGGCATTTGGTTAATATTCAGTCAAGAAAACATTTATCTTCATGTAGCACAATTATGAACAATTAGAATGTAAATTGATTAGGGATTGTAGATTGGCATGGTTGTGACTGATATTATTTTAACTCTTATTTGAGTAGTTTGTTACAGTTTCAATATTTTGGAAATGAATGAAATGACAGACAAAATAGTAATCTCTATTTCTGCATTTCTAGTATGCCTGCTGTTAATTATGGAGGTTGAAACAGGGAAGGCGGTATACTGAAGACAGCAAATTTCTATACCAAGCACATTTCTTCAGAAGCTGGCCAATTCTCACAGCCTCTCCCAGTCCACCCAAGCAGTGTGATATACATGTGTCTATTAAGGGAAGTAATCTTAATATGGTAGAATGTCTTTTCAAATGATTAGAGTTAGCAAGCTGCTTCATATAAAAATTACTTCTCTTGAAGACAAGATACGAATATTTCTCCAAATTTCAAAGGAACCAGCAAGAGCCCTGATTCTGAATCAAACTCTGCTCTTTGTACACGGTGTGAGGTAGAATTACAGTAGCTTAGCTTAATAGTATAGCTGGTGAAGAATATGAAGAAGAAAATTGCTTATCCAGAAAAGCCCTGTCTTTAGCTGCAGTTTTACAATTTTTGCATTTTGCCACTTTACAGTATCTGCCTGGTTCTGTTTTCTTGGCTCCCTGTCAATTCTTCTGTACTTTATCTTCTTTGAGGATTTTCCATTATAAACTAGCTATATTTGTTGATCACTTACTCTAAGCCAAACAGTGAATTAAGCTCTTGTTATGACAATCTTAGGAGGCAGTCAATATTACTAAACTCCATTTGCAGAAGAGAAAACTGTGACTTAGGAGGATATAGTAACTTGTCAAGGTCACAGAGCTATTACGAGGAATTGTAGCTAAAATTTAAATTGTGGTTTTCTGACTTTGGCATCCTTGCTTTTCTGTGCTAAATTGTAGTACCATTTATTTATACATTCTTCTAGTTCTCATAGCCCTCACATCATCCCTTTTATGTGGCAAGTATTCAATGACTGCTTATTATGTTAATTGTTTTCTCAATATTTAAAACAATTAAGTAAAAAAGATAAGAATTATGCTCCACAGTTTGCTGAACAAGACTTTATTAATATCAAATAAAGAAAAACAAGAGAAATTAAATGTAAAACATGACTGCCTATCAGAATCAACTCATATCACTCATTAACAGTTTGAAGACATGTTACTTAGAGAGCGAAACACCAGGAAGACAGTTGAGGGGTGAGGTATGGGTGAGGCTATTCAAACAGACTCTTGTCCCTTCATTTACTTCATTTCTAATCAGTGATACTATAGCTTTTAATTACTAGGACCATTTCAAATAATGGCTTTCCTCACAATCTTTGAAGAGACTATATTTATTCTGGTTTGTTTTCTCGAAATAATCTTAAAATCTTGAAATGTGCAAATAGCTTAATTCTGCTTAAATATAAGATCAATTCAATGATTTGACTGTTCCAGGCTACTGGCTGCCTCTGGGAAAGTAACTTGGCCTTTAGAAACAAGAATAGCATTTATATTATTTGAAAGATAAAATTAGGTTATAAAAAAAGAAGATACACAGGGACTCTGCCAAACAACCTGGGACATCAGATGAAGGCCTGGAGAAATAAAGACCTCTCAGGCCACTTCTAATTTTGGAATTCATAGACTACTGTCAGTCTGCTTTCTAATTCTGTGAACACTATGGATTTTTTTCCTGTCTCACTTCATTACTGGGGCACATCACCTTTAAGACAGAAATATTTTCTAGCTTCATCTATTGATAGCACTGTGGTGTTCACAGTAGCCTTAGGTGGAGAAAACAGACACACAGCTTGATATTTTA
Source organism: Homo sapiens (assembly GCF_000001405.40). Lineage (NCBI taxonomy): Eukaryota > Metazoa > Chordata > Mammalia > Primates > Hominidae > Homo > Homo sapiens. Next base: position 35,786,921 of record NC_000003.12, on the reverse strand, counting down.
GTATCACTATGGTTTGGTGAAAGAGGAGTCACTGCCTTATGCCTCAGAGAGGTGAATTTTGGGGTCATGGATGTTCCTGCCTCCAACTTCTCCCTCACGTAAAGCAGAAGACAGCCTCCACAGTTTCACTCACAATGAAGCCTATCAGAACCAGGGGTCCTCGGGCACAAGGAAGGCATCGATTTTACTGGCCTTTATAGCCTCTATCTTACTCTAATTCAACTCCCAGGAGATAAATCCAAGGAATGACAATGTAAACGTGGTTTGACAAACCACTTGGTTTGTCAAAGTTTGTTAACTTTGATAAACAAGGTGTGACTCTTTCTTTTGCCTATATGCCAACCTCCCAATTTATGTAATCTAAAACCCTAAGTAGAACTTTTTTTTTTTTTTTTGAGATGAAATCTCACTCCGTCGTCAGGCTGGAGTGCAGTGGTGCAATCTCAGTTCACTGCAACCCCTGCCTCCTGGGTTCAAATGATTCTCCTCCTCCTGCCTCAGCCTCCTAAGTAGCTGGGAAAACAGGCACGCACCACCACACCCAGCTAATTTTTGTATTTTTAGTAGAGATGGAGTTTCACCATGTTGGCCAGGATGGTCTCGATCTCTTGACCTCATGATCTGCCTGTCTTGGCCTCCCAAAGTGCCGGGATTACAGGCGTGAACCACCACGCCCGGCCAAGTAAAACCTTTAAAACAAGAAAGCAGTATAGACTAGACTGGAGACATTATTTTTAAACATGTTTACAAATTAAGATACGGTTAAAATATATATACTTGAAATCATAATTAGGTACTGTTCTGTTCTTATATATGAAGTAAAATAGCATAACGTGGAAAGAGGATGTACCAGAAATTGCTTTTTTCCCTTTAACTTTCTTTTTTGCTGTTGAAGTTCATTACGACTTCTTTCATCTTTGACGTAAATGTCTTTTTTTAACTTATTTATTGGCAGTTGCTGTATCCATCCTCTTTCTTTTCCTCACCATTTATTACTCGCTGGTTTTAATTCCTTAGGAACTTGGTACAGGATGACCTGCAGGGAGTGTGCATGGGCATGGGGGTAATATAGTAGTCATCCTAGTAATGGCCTGTCTATCCAAATGAATTTGAGGGGAGCTGTGACAGGCCCTACCTAAGTGGAACCATGCTTCCTGAAGCAGTAGTTTTTCTTCGTACTTCCTCTTTTGCTCATTAGCTTTCATACTACACAGAATGTAATTCTTAAAAGCCTCTTTACTGTCCCCTGAGAACATTCATGCATGGGTCATTTTCTAATGGCAGTACACATCAGATGAACCATCCTATTACTGCAGGCTCAGGGGCCTCTTCACTGCAATTATACTATCCTGATCCATGTTATCACAAATACAAAGCTGGTTTTCTTTCTTTCTTTCTTTCTTTCTTTCTTTAAATCAGGGCAAACATGAGACACATTGTTAAATGACTAGAGGAATGGATCATGCACGGAATTTCAATGAATGCCTCCAAGGGAAGCCAGCATTGAATTCCATTTTAAATGGAAGAGGCTGTCATATTATTGAAGTAATTCTCTGAACTTTCCTGGCCCATAGTGCTGTGCTGACATCCAGAGAGCTTCAACAACCCAGAGGGAGAAAGACCGCATGAAAGACTCACAAACGTTTTACTTTCTTAATGAGGTTGCATGGCTTAGAAGAAAATGTGGCATTCTTGCACCTCTACCCGTCGTGTTAATTATGGATATACTTAAAACCAGGCTGGGAGGCAGCAAACTACTGCTGAGGCAACTTTAAGAAGCTTTTTCCCCAGACCAAGCTTGGGGCAAAGTCAAAATGGAGGTGGCTCTAATAACTGTCCCCATGATAATATTCCTCCTGGTGGATATTTTCATTGATGAAGTGCTGTTGGCCAGCTGACTACAGCAAGATAATTATGAAGTCAAAAGTCATGGGGTCAGCATTATTGTGATCAAATTACTGTCACTGTTGCATGGCTACAGGATGTAACCTAGCCTTGGCCAATTATCTTGAAATAAGTACTATGGCCACAGATTCAGTCTGTAGAAATCCACCTGTCACTGCAACTGAAAAAAAAAAAGAAATTATTTCATAAGCAACTGATGATAAATTAAAAGTGCCCTCTTTATATAATAAAGCATTATACATTATTATTCCCAAGGAGTCAACGATAACTAACTTCTTCGATTCCAGACTGGCAGGACTCTTGCTCAAAGATTGTTCTAGTGGTAGGTTTAACAATAATATTGTTCTGGTGGTACCATCTACTGGGAGGCAACAGTAGTTTTCTAGGGCAAAGACAACGAAGACAGGAACTAAGGCAAGGTGGTATAGGAATGGAAAGAAGAGGCACAGAGAGTTATTTAGGATATGAACTTTCAGAACATGAGTCTATGATTTCTGGTGCTATCACATGGTTGATGGACATAGCATGAATTAACTGACTGCACTGTAATCATGAATATCAGTAGTCTGCTGGAAAACTGTCTCTCTGAAAAACAAAAGCGCTGATTTGTGGTGTTTGCTGATTTCCCTAGTGTAAATATTCCCACCATGCCTACTTTCAAGCCTCAAAGGGCTTAACAACTAGCTGGCAAGATTCCTGGTTTTTAAACATTTGGCTCTTGTGAGCCAGCATGAGATAGCTCTGGCATGCTAATGACCTAATATTCAATGTCAAGCAATCATATTTTCAGTTCATGTACATTTTTGTTGCTTTGATTCTTTTTTCCACAATGTTATTGACTATTTCTTCTTGCCACTTGGTATAAAAATGACCATAAAAGCCATTTACAGAGCTTACACAAATGGTGGAGACAGGCCATAAACAGAATCTTGCAGTACACTTGGATAGGCACCTGTCTCCAACTCTAGAATCACTGAAGAAAGAGTACTTACTTCTATTGTGTGTAGGGATATGAGAAGCATGCAGTGGAAAGCTTCCAGGAGGTCATATTGAACCTAGTATTAGATGAGCAGATATTTGCTAATGGGGTAGGGCAATGTGGAAATAATCAGAATAAAAGAGGCATAAACATAAGGATCAGCATGTGCAAAGGGCAAAGATACAAAAAAATGCATTCGAGAATTGTAAATATACAGGCATAGCAATAGGTTAGAAACAGGCAGAGGAAGTAGAGGATAGAAATGGAGCTAGGCTCAAATCCTAGAGTCTTGAAAAGCGTGCTATAAAACTGGAATTTAATGCTGAAAGACTTAAGGTGCAATATAAGGTTTATAAGCAGAGCAATGAAATGATCAACAGCCATTTCATAAAACTTCTCCATGAGACAATGTGGGGTTGTATAACTGGAAGTAGAAAGTCTACTGGAAAGCAAAAGCAATAATCCAGGGCAGAGATGATGAAGACATGAAGTTAAGAAAAGGGTGGCAGCAACAGAGAAAAGAGACACATCAGAGAGAGAGATAGATGTAGGATGTGAACTGTCAGAAACTGGCATCTATGAGCGGCAAGGAGGGGGTGAAAGAAATTAAAAAAAAAACACAAGAATAAATTCCAGGTTCAAGTTTGGGTAAGGAAGTGGAATGCAGTGCCTTAGCTATAAATACAGAAAGAACAAGTATATAGAGATGATCGGTAAACACATGAGCAAAAAGTCTGGGGTTTGGGGCTCAGACAAACAGCCTGTCTTAAAGGCATAAATTTGGAAGTTATCAGGACATAGTTGCTCTAAAGACAATATATTTATGAGTGGGTACCAATTGAGAAGACTATCAAAATGGAGTTGTAAGGCACAATCATATTCAAATACTGGGCTGAGAAAATAAAACCTGGATGGGGAATGAGGAGTAGTAGGAAAATGAGAAGAACCAGAAGAGAATGGTATCAAGTAAGAAGTAGGGGAGTGTTTCAAGAAAGAAAAATGTGACAATGACCACAGTTGCAGAACTGCCAAGGAAGAAAAGACAGCAGACCCTAGGTTAAAAAAACAAACAAACCGGTGACCTCAATAAAAGCAAGGCTAGTGATGGGTACATCAGCCAGACAGGAAGAAAAAGAATTCCTTTGAGAAGCTTGAGAAGCCTGGCAGTGAAGCACCATGCTGGGCAGAGAAAGGAGCAGAGAGCCAGAGGGAGGCATAGGGTTGATGGGATTTTATAGTTTTGTTTTTCTTGCTGTTTTAACATGGTATAAATGTAAGAATTAGTATATTTTAAAAGGAGAGATTAAAATAATGAAAAACCTGGGAAAGAGTAAGAAAATCTATAAACCTGTCATAATTCATAGCACATTCAACATCAACGGTTGCATACAACCAAGAAGGCTGGGATTTGGGTGACAGAGAGTTTAACTTTCCCTCTGAATCATCTAGTAGCTCTCCATGTCACCTACTACTACTATTTACTTTATTTGATCCAGCAGCAAAGTGTCCTGGGGTTTTTCCTCTTGAGGATACAAGACAGGTCAGAGAGCTTATTAGGAGTTACAACCAAATGCTGTCACATCATTCTGGGAAGACAACAGAAGCTACCCAAGATAACTTCTGAGAAGAACCTGAAGGAAATATGTGCTTATTTATTTTATGAACATGATTAGTGTTGTTTGATCCACATGGAATTGCAATAACCCAGGGAAGACTTGGTTAAAGATCAAGGAGAAGTCCATGGTCCCACAAACTCTCCACTGCAAACTAAATTAATTGACAGGATCGGTTGATAGGAATAACATGCTCTATATTATTTACTAAAATGGACAATCAACTGAAATTTCCATGAAGAAACTGAAACAGGCTTCAGTAAGATATTTTTTTGCCATACCATGGATACATATTTGAGCATATGTACGTACAAAATGCTAAGTGCTAATGTTTTCAGGATCAAGTTTCCTCTGATTTTTCCTTAAGGTTCAGTTAGCTACAATCAGTTAGATTTAAATTTCAGAATGCCATAAAAAATACAAGGTCCACTTGTTTACATTTCATTACAGCTCAACAGCAATTGATTAGTTCTAGGTTATCTAATGTATAGCTCATTGAAAACAACAACAACACAACTAAGTTTGATATAAATTTATGTATTTTACCTGTAACCAATGTTTTCCAAGGAGAATTTGGGACTAAACATTTTTAAAGTTTTCATTATAGTTAGAGTTGGGGAACATGACCTCTGATTCTCCATTATTTTGTAATTTCATCAATATTACAGCAATGATTTACCCAAAGTAAAGATAGTGGACACCAGATGATGTCACAACCCCAAGCAATAGCCAAGAGATACTTTCTTTTCATGTACATAATCAACTAGATCATGATTTTCCTTGGTAACAGCAAGAAGAAATATCTTTAATCTCACCTTATGAGGAACTGTTATTTAAAAGGGTTGTATTGTCTGGCTTGAGACAACAATAAGAAGTCTGCAGACTTGTCCACACAAATACAAATGTGCTTATCTTTTCAGCTGGCTGGAACTGGAGGCTATGGTCAACACTTAAATCAGATTTTATAATAATTAAAGTGAAAATAAAACTAAAGGACAAATGCCTGTCCTGAAGACTCTTTCAATCATCCCTTTGGGGCAGGCTGTTTCCATCTTGACTAGAAGTTTCATTCTTTTAATGGCTTGCTCCAGGCTAAGAAGAGAAATGATTCAAATCATTCACTCGTTAACTTTTCCCTTCAACTCAAGGCATTCAAAGGCAATACTTGCATTTCATCATGATTAAAAGTGCTTTATAAGCATCCAAATGAAGCCATGAGTATTTTTAAGTGGTCATAAACCTCTTTTCTTGAAGTTCCCTTGAGGCTGCAGAGGAGCTCCCTCACAAGGGACAACCAGCTATCTAAATTCTCAGGCAGAGGGATCCCTGTCTTCAGAGTAATGACATAGCAGGACCACGTGGTCTAAGAAAGCTGGGAACAGTCCTCACATTTTATCCTCAGCAGGACACCAGGCTACTCACTGAGGGGTGCTATAGTAGGCCCATTCACACCCAGCCAGGTCTGCAGGCTGCCATCTCAGAGCTTTGGATTATCACTGCTTGCCACTCAACCCAGCCTCACCATCTCGCCTCTGTCTCTGATTGCCTGCTTCCCCATCCAGCTGAAATACGTTGTTCCTGGGTCAATGATTCTCAACTTTAGCCTGCCTCCAGATAACCTCTGGGGCCCTATTAAAATACGAATTGCTAAGCCTTAATGCCCAGACGCTTAGATTCTGATTGAGCAGGTTTCGGTTGCGGCTCAAACATATGCATTTCTGACAGGTTCCCAGGTGATGCTGATGCTTCTTGTCTGGGTACCACACTTCGAGAATCTCTGTTGGGCCTTGGCTTTCAAACACATTACCTTGAATTCCTATTGTTTAGCCCACTCATTATTTTTTTTCCCTCACAGAGTAAGTAGTGGGATCTGGCAAATTACACTGCGGGGGAGGCCATCTCTACTCTCTTAGTTCATTGTTCTTATCTGTAAAATGGGCACAATATTTTCATCAAAAGGTGTCAGGATAGGCTAATATCTCTCTTGTAGGACATACACCAGTGGTTCAGCCTCTGGCAATAACCAATATATGCAACTGCCCATTCCTCATTCTTTGCACTCCCCACTTTTATGACTTTGAATTGCATTTTATTACTTATTTAGCTCCTGCTTCTTAGGTAGATTGCAATCCTCTAGGAAAAGAAGCATATCTTAAACATGTTTGCTTAGCCCTGTATTTCACATGCAGTGCCTCAAGAACATTCATTGATGATGCTGATAAAGAAACTGTCCTATTCCAGCCACTCCATAAGTATCTTGCAATGGCACATAGGTAGAAAAAAAGCTAGCAAATAAAAACTTGAAGAAAATGATGAAGAGGCAACGTATACAGAACACAGAGTCCAAAGCCTTGCCAGTGCAGAGGGGGAATGATTTATCATTATCACAATAGTGTAAAAAAATCTGGACAGACAGTAACTACTTTCTCTTATCCCCTTTGCCTCTGGGCAAGGGGATGTGAAAGAGGTTCCTTCTAACAGCACAGTTTTTAAATTCTACTTCTTGATTTTGGCATGGGGCAATGACAGGTCCAGAAAGGGAAAGGAGGAGGGAATATGGAAAGGGACTAAAAGGAGGAGTGAGAAAAGGGAGGGAAAAAGGCATCTGAAACAGATTCTGTTTGGCATTCTCAAACTTGGCAAGGCATTTGGAAAACAAGATGAGATTCTTATAGCCTGATGTTTTTTAGGTTGTAAATGTGAGTTTGCTCCTTTATGAATATGCTTTAACAGTTTACCTAAAAGAAAAGCAAACAAGAGACTGGATCTCACCTACTCCTCCTTGAGGTGGTATTACTTGCTTTTCTAACCACCACCTGCCCCCCACTTTTTTTTTTTGACCCTCACTAAGCCTACATTCATTTATCTTGAGTATGCACAATGGATGTGGTGATATCCTGGCACAAGAAACTCTGGGTGCTGCAGCTGAGGTTTAGAGGAGTAAGACAGCTTCTTGTTCAGGATCACACACAGAATTTCTCATAAATCAGGGACAAAATCCCAGTTTTTGGTAACTAACTTCCCCAACATACATGCCACGGTGCTTCCTCCAAATGTGGCAGACTAGACTGCAATAAATATTTTTGCTTCCTGAATGCTCACACTGAGGAATTGTGTTCTGTTTTGTTGGTAATAGTCCACAAGTACTTCATAATTGGGAGAAAAAGCCATTTTCTTCCCCCAATTGTGCCACTTCTGCTGCTATTGTGTCATTACTAGGAACCCGGAGAATACATCTTTTATATGTGAAGTGGACTTACCTAATTTGCCCCCAGTATCTACCAACAAACTTTTCTAAGATAACACAGAGTAAGCCATTAGGGAGAAAGAAAATATAAGTTTTGGAGGTTCAAGAAATGTATGAGTTGTAAAAAATGGAATCAAACCATCTCTTTTAAAACTATCAGCTCATTTCTATCATTCTATCCCAAAGTTTAGAAATACATATTAGTAGTTAATTACCAATAGACAAAATTTCAAGGAGGCCATATAGTGGATTACACTTACACTAACTCAAACAGGAAAGCAAGCAGTCTCCTTTCTTTATTCAAACTAATAGTAACAATTCCTGGTGCACCTTATTGTACTCACGGGGCTCAGTGCTTTGTGAAGTGGGTATCATTATTATTCTCACTTTATAGAAGATAAAAGTGAAGCTCGAGGAATTGTGTAGATCGTTTCAGACCATACAGTTTAGTAGTGCCAGAATTAGGACACAGGTATTTTAGTGACTTTTCCCCCATCTCCTCAGAGTCCTGTCAAGCAATGGAATTCCACTGAAATGATTCAATTGAAGAGGTTTTAACAAAGGGAGTAGGTAAGTTGAGGGATCAACAAGTGAGGAAGACACCAGAGCATAATAACAGTAGGGAACTGTTTTCTCCCCTTGTCTGTAGGTCTTAGGGGAGAAACCAGTGTTAGGAGCAGTTAGCAAGAGCTGAGAGGAGGGGCTGCCTGCCAGAACCAGCTGCATCCCAAGGTGAAAAGGGAACGGTGAGGACTGCTCGCTGGCTCTCCCTCTGCCTGCTCTCTCTCCCTCTGCCCTTTGATCTCTTGCAGCTGATGCCTTCCATTAGCAAAACCCAGGTGGAAACCAGGGGGCAAAGGAACCTGACAGATGCAGCTCATGGGGTCAGGAGAGATGGATAGAGAATGGCTATGTGTTGGGAGGAAACACAGAGAATAACCAGCACTCCCCTTCCCTTCAAAGATTACAGAAATATGTTTCCATGTCAGGGACCATTTCCCAAACTACTGAGGCAATCTATTTAACTGAAGATTTTTTAAAAGAGATGAACAACGCTTTTAGTGGAATACTGTCTCTTGGTTTTAGAGACTTTTTTCCCCTCAGAAATTACCCTTTTTAACACCTGGTAATATGTCAGATGATGCACTTAGCATGACTGCTTCAGCAATTAAAGTAAATGTTAACTCTCAAATTTATATGTCATTAGATATTAGGGTAGAGTGTTTGACTCATAGTCCTAATGCTTGCCTTTCCATTTGGATGAAATGGCAACGTTTGTAGGGAATTGATAATAACTTAGGAAGTATTATTAAGCAATGTTACTGTTTAAATATCTTGTAGAGCAAAAAAAAAGTTAAATTATGATTCATCTCAAGCAGTACTACTCATTTTGTTGAATTTGACATTTTCCTTCTCTGGCTGCAGAACCAGATGGCTGAGATCAAATAGATAACAATGGGTGAAGACTATTTCAGGGAAATGAAAAAGAAAAAAGGAGGATCTAGTTTATTTCTACAATGACCTTAACTGGTCCTTGCAATTCTGACATCATATTTGGTTTAGAAATGCTATACTGGAAGTTAGTCTCAAGTTTAGTACATTTAGCCATAATTTGTTCAAATATTTAAAGCAATCATCTTCAAGGTGAATAGTATGAAGTGATATTTAAATGAGACTAAATAGTTTTCTGGTTTAAATCTAAGGAATTTTTGCTTTCTAATGGGAAATTCACAAGCTCCATGCTAGTTCTTCCAACCACTGACTCTGTGAGACTCTGGGAAGTTGCCTGATATCTCTGAGCTTCACTTTTCTTGCTTATTAACTGGGAGCAAGTTAATTCCCACTTTCCCAGGGCTTTTGTGAAGGTCAGGTAGCTATCAGGTAACGTGACTTGCTCAGCACATGGCATTTACTGTGTAGTAGTTACCATTAGTTTCCACTAAATGGTGCTCAGTAAATAGGGGTATTTTCATTCTCTCCAGAATTATTCCATAGATTTAGAACAAACTGGGTGTTGGTAGTATCAAGATGGATCTGCCAAAAACAAAGGCACACACACACTATTCCTGGAACTGCTCCTTCTACGGCTTCCACACTCTAAATTTCCACAAGAGCCGAGGTACAGCCATTATGTGCTAGTCACATGGAAGAGAACATGGGTCAGGCAATGAATGCTCTTTTCTGCCTTTGGATTATAGAGAAATTTTAATCCCTAGTAGCAAAAGTGGCAGAAGCAGCTCTGAAAATGATGGTAGGCAAAACTCTCCATACAGCAGGGAGTGGAAGGTCAAGCTGGTCCTAACTGGGAAGCAGATATCCAGGCAGGAACCACCTAGAAAGGCACTTGGGCCCAGACTCCCATCCCTGGGAGAGCAGTGATTTCTGGGCTGTAATTTTAGGACAGCCAGTCTGCTGTATTCCTTAGTTAGAAGCTCTACTCCATATGTGTCACCAAGTATTCGGAGAAAATTGAGGTCTCCTTCTTGTCCTCATATAAGGAATAAACTCAGTTCCACTGTGTCCTTTGTCTCCTAATCAAAGCTATGCTTACACTTCCTACAACAGGCTACATTTTCTCCCCATCAAAGGAGAACTGTCTTTCACCCAAAGCCATCCTAGGGCAAAAGGGTGCTGAGTGCACTCTGGATTCAAGCAGGTACCTTTCCAACTTTTTCTGGTGACTTATTAAGTGGAGCTCCGTGTCATTGCATCAAAGATAAGACACAAAATGTTGCCCACCCTTCCTCTGCTTTCCCTGGCCAGCTGCTGTCATGAAGGGCTTGTCTTCTAACTTGTTAGACTATTACAGGGCTTCTCAGTACCTAACACATCTGAGTCCCTTGCAGAGGTATAGAGAATCTTCCACTTTCCCAGTGTTTCTAATGTAACCATTTTGTAAATTTTTTGTGCACTAAAAGATTGAGCAAGTGATTTTTTTAAAGAAAGCATAATATTTCAATTAACATATTATTGATAATATTCTAATATTCTTTAAAATGCAATGTTTAATAACATTCTCAACACACATGGAACAATTTTACTTTTCCCCATTTAATAAATGATAAATGGTGTTTTATTTATTTTCTATTTATGTAAAAATATGATTTATAAACAGACATATTTTGAAATGTTGGGCTTTAGGGACTGAAGAAATAGTAAAATGGACATTAAATTAAAGACATGTTAAAGTACCAAAATAGACAAAATATCCAAACAATGTTTGAAAATATTACACTTTATGCATTTAAAAAGTCAGCTGGCTGGTTTTGATCTTTGTGTTTTGTTTCTAATTGATCAATAAGACAAAAGCATTTATGCTGCTCACTGCAAGCACTTATCCACAGAAAAACATATTACAGATTATAGATAGCCTTTATTCTTTCAAAAAAAAGGAAATGAGATATAAATGTCACTATTTTCTGTCTCTATATTTTGGAATTTATTTGCTTATTTTTAATCAGTAGCTTATATTTAATATATATTGTAAAATATATTGCATAAAATGAAGATTAAAATCCAATCCAACTTTCTGACTCCTAACTTTGTTTTAATAAAACACAAATTTTCCAGTTTTATATGGGATGACCAGATATGTCTGTTAATGGCTATAGCTCTAGTTTATTTATTAATAGCCCTCTTTTTCCCTGTCAAATGTGGATGGGCTCAGATGGTAAATTGTACAGTAACTACATATATATACACACACATATGTATATACACTCACATTCACACACATATGTACATTTACACACATATGCACATACACTGTGTTTTCATGTGTATGCATATGCATATACATTTTTATAAACACAGTGAAAGTTTTGTTGAAATGAACTTAGAGAAATGGGATTCATTCTGCGCTCCTGATAAATTGCATTTGTTTCTCATTTTCTTTGTCTTTAACCAATTGTTCACTATGCATGTAAGTTAATCAGTGTAAGACAAGGGATTAAAACTATTTAAAACAGCTTGGCATCTAATTAGGTTCAAAACAGTGCCTACAGAAATGAATGATTAAGTTGTGGCATGCTCCCTCATCGAATTTCTACTACCAGTCACTCAGAGAGCATTTCCAAAATTCTTTCTTTGGGGAGTGGGGTGGGATAGAATGGTTATATTAATTTGTATTAATCTTATTTAAATTGACATATTTTACTTACTATCTTTAACAGCAGAAACTCCCAGAAACCTTCAGTCCTCAGTTTAGGAACTGCTGCTTAGTTTTCTCACTCATCTTTGAAATGGGAAGAACAGGGCACTACTAAGAAAAATTATTGATCAAGGACACTGACATTTAATATTTATAAAGAAATATGGATCACATCAAAGATTTGATAAAAGTATTGAGGCCCTTTTCTAGTTAACTGTACCTAGCCACATACAAAAGTTATTTTGCATAAAATTTCTCTGAAACTTTCTCCAGAGAAAATTTCTCTAGAACCACTTTTCTACTTAATTGTACATAGGCACATATAAAAGCAATTTGAATAAAATTTCTCTGGTTTCTTCTGGAAGCCCAGAAACCCAGTCACAAGAATCCAGAATTGAAAATCCTTAATTCAGCAGGAGAGATGAGTAACTCATTCTTTATCATCCAAGTATAACACAATTCAAACGGAGTCTGCTTCTCAATACACTCCTCCAGAAGGATTCTAAGTATTTAAAAGGGGGTAGAAGAGGGAGGGAGAGCTTGAAGAATTCACAAAGAATGCATATCCATTGATAAAGAGCAATTCAATGTCACTTAGATAAGTTCAGGCATCTAAGACTGATCCAAGAGGGACAACCCACAGCTTGGAGAGGTCTTTGTAAATTTAATGTAGAAGCAAATTTTCCTGATATGACATCCCAAAGTATAAATTTTGTCTCACATAGTAATATTTTCAGCCATATTTTAAAAACATTTTTTATCATATGGGAAATTTTCTTATAAGGGCCTTGCTATGTTGCGCAGGCTGGCATCAAACTTCTAGGCTCAAGCAATCCTCCTGCCTCAGCCTCCCGAGTAGCTGGGACTATAGGCGCACAGCACTGCACCTGATAGGAAGTCATTTTTAAACTGTTATCAAGTCAGTAAGCACATTTTTGGAAATGATCTCTATCTTACCATAGCTACATTTGTAAGGAACACTTAACTGAGCAGTGAAGCTTTAGTACCTCACCATCAATATGACTTACAGCAAAAGCGGGACACAGTCACTGCCTTACAAATGTGTCTGATTAAAATGTGTCCCCAGTACCTCCTGATAGAATCATCAGCTTAGTTGATATTGCCTTGTTAATGATGCCAGAGAACACAAAGCTACAAGTGCCCATATTTAAAACAGATGTAGTCTAAGATGTAGCACAATAATTAGTTTTATTATTAACTAACTAAAAAAACACATACGGCTGTTACTTTTGAGGATAAAATTTTAATTAAAAAAAGTTGTCATTTCAGCAGGTGAGGGCCCTTGGAAAGCTTACATGATGAAATTTCATGAACTATAACTCCTTAGTGGCCTGGCATTATTAACAAGATCATGATGAAGGACATAGTTCAGTAGCTTAAAAATAAATGATTACAACCACTTTACCTAGGTGTGAGAGAGCTGCTATTTGATACCTACTATCCATGACTAGACATCTAATGATGTCTCAGGGGATGCAAACATTCTAACACTGGTAAAAACCATTTTGAGGGAGGAAGTAAATACAATTATTGTTTGATTTTGTAGGCATAAATTGTCAAGTCATGAGAGGCAATTTATTATGGAAAGACCTGGTCTTTAAGACAGACTCCTTGTATATCCTACGGCAGTTACTTCCCCTGCCAAATTTCTACTTCCATCATCTGTAAAATAGGGAAGGTGACACAATTAATGATATCAATCTCATACGGTCAGGGAGAAGATTAAGCCATGTAATACCCTTAAGCAAACTGTCTGGTATATAGAAAGCACTCAAGTTGCCCATAATTATAATTTAAAAAACGATTTGAAGTTGAAATTCACTTCCTGCTAAGAGTACGCCACTCCCAGGGTTCACCAAAAATGCATTATATTGTAACAATATGTTTTATCCTTAAGATGATATACTTTCTACTCATTTTCAAGACCCTGCTTGAGTCCTATGAATGATAAGAAATTCAATGCTTATGCTCAAGATATGGCCAAAACAGCAGCTTTTCAAGCACAAAATCCTTTTTATCTCACTTTGATAAAAAGTAAAATGGCTATGAAAAATAGCCAGCTGTAGGCAAAAATAATTGCAACCTAATAATGACAGACTGTGTTATAGGAGTGCAATTCTGTAAGAGCAGCTGATCCAGACTCTGGCACACACCCTGAGCTCGGAGGCTGACATCAATGCATCAACCCAGGCAAGCCTGTGCAGCTGTTTTCAGGCATCCAAAGCTCTTTCATTTATTTGCAACTAATAAATCTGTGATTGCCACACAGATGACTGCCCAAAATAAAGTGGAATAAAAAGAGAGGAGGACTATATCTTGTAGAGTAAGTTCACTGGACTAGAAGAAAAACATGTTGGGATTGAAAAAGGCATAATGGAAATGTGGTAGAGAATGTGAGATTTTGAGGTCCACCCAGGAGGATGCTGACTCATCTCTGAGCGCAGAAAACATACCTGACTGCTAAAACAAGGAGTGCTGGAGTGCTGGACTAATCACCAACCAATTGTTCAGCAAACTGAATATCAGCTCATGACATTTTACTGAGTAGTAAGGCTCTGAGTAGGTTACTTAACTTTTTTTGGCCTCAGTTTCCTCATCATTAATCTGACTGTAAAGCTAGGGGCCTGGGCTAAACTGGATCTGTTTAAGATTTCTTTTGAGTCTAACATTCTAAAATTCAAACAGAACTGTTTTATTAGGACAATTTGGTAAATATTATTATGACACAATTTTTTTCAGCTCTGGAAGATGTTTGCCATTTAAGTATTCTTTCTTTTCATTTCATTTCCAAGAATAACTGATACGGATACTTCATACTTCAGCAGATGCCCACAAATGCTTCAAATTAAACTTGTCAAATTCATCAGTTTTACATTTCTGACTGGGTGCAATAACCAGCTGCAGCCAAATTTAGTATTTTAATGGCTTCAAATAACAGCTACATTTGCTAGTTACAAAGATAATATTAAGCCTGAACCAAATCTGATATTAAGTTGTTAAAAAAAATAAATCTTGCCTGATGTGAATTAGATTTTCTTAAGGTCTGTTAAAGTCAGTCTACATTAACATGATTAAGAATAAACAAACAAAAAACAAAAACAAAATAAAACTCTTGATCTGAACATAATATAGTCCAAAGGCCTTTGAAAATGCTTTAATTTATATGATTATGCCATGATTTTCAGTCACTTTTCCTTTCCTTCTTGACTATAATTCCCTTAAGAGACTACTTCTATATTATTTATCTTTGTCTCACTGTTCACATTTTGCTTACCCTGCACATTCTATGCAGTGTGATGCCTGCACACAATAGGTGCCTAAGAAATGTATTGTATTATTGTTGAATAAATGTTGATAGATAAAATATCATTACCTCCTGTCCAGGCACGGTGGCTCATGCCTGTAATCCCAGCACTTTGGGAGGCCACGGCAGGCAGATTACCTGAGGTCAGGAATTGAAGACGAGGCTGGCCAACATGGTGAAACCCCGTCATTACTAAAAATACAAAAATTAGCCAGGCATGATGATGGGCGCCTGTAGTCCCAGCTACTCAGGAGGCTGAGGCAGGAGAATCGCTTGAACCCAGGAGGTGGAGGTTGCAGTGAGCTGAGATCATGCCACTGCACTCCAGCCTGGGCAACAGAGTGAGACTGCATCTTAAAAAAAAAAAAACAATCATTACCTTCTGATGTTATGTGATACTTCACATAAACTTCTTAACTCTAGAGAGTGGAACCTGCAGGTAACTCTGAGGCAATGGTCACCAATGTGCCCAGAGGTCAGGAAACGCCAGCCTGCAAAGAACTGTGACCATCAACACTCTGACTTCCCATGCTGGCCAAGTGGGACTGTAGGTCCTAGGGAGAGATAGCACTCGACAAAAGAGAAAGAAAATTATTTCTAAGTGGAGCCCCAGGGCACTCGCAGATGAGCTCTGTAGCTTTGAGCAAGGTGCATATCCAACTATTCCGCAGTTTCTTCAGGTTAAAAATGAGAGTACTGGATGACCCTTCCAGCTCCCTCAATTCATGACCTTAATGTTTACCCAATATTGATGAGTATTGTCCTGCTTTACTTTGAAAATCCTGGATCCTCCTTATTGACTAGTAATTCATTCTATTTGTTGCACCAAACAGCCATCTACTAATCAAAATGATATATTACTGCAGTGATTCTCAACATAGCCTTTCATTGTAGAATAAATCATAAATGACACAAACTGTTGATTAGGGCATAAAGAATTGTGGCATAGGATACATTCAGCAGGCTACTGTTTACAATTTAAGCATTTTATGTTTAATTCTTCTGGCAGGCTATCTACCAAGCTCAAAAATAGTGCTCAGCAATTGTGAAATCCACACAAGGTGGGAAAATCACTGCCCACCAATGAAAACTCATAGTCAAGTGCATTCACTTTTCTAAAGGCTGGGTGTGTCTTCAGACCATTCTTCAAGAGTCTTCTAAAAATGTGGCAGCAACTGTTTGACTACAAACAGTAAATTCTGCCTGTGGTGAAAAGAACCATATGCTATTCTAGAATGCTCAGTTTCCAGATAATTGAGATGAAAGGCCACATTTCTAAGATTGGAGGCAGCCTGAGCTATGAAAGCATCAAACTGTTCCAAGGCTAAGAATGCTGAACCATTTTACTAATCTTGCCAATATATATCTTGAAATAAACTACCTTTGGTAACACCAACCCACTCTTTCCTAGGACAAGTTGATGAAGAAAAAGAAATGAATAAAAGGAGGAATTTTAGACATCTACGGAACTAAGATGTTCTTTCTATAAGATAATTTAGAAGCATAGTTTGGGGCTATGCAGGGAAGCAGAGTCTCATATAAAATAGATTTGGATTTCATCCCAGGGAATATAAAAAATGTTTTTTTGAATGAGTATTTTGTAGTCAACAACTGTTTTGATGGAGAAGGCTTCTAGCTTCTTTTAGATTTGCACTGATGCAGTGTATTCTGTTAACTGTACCAACATGGCAACTTTAAGTAGGGAGTCACCTGGATTGTGAAACTTCTTCGTCGCTACATACTCCCACACTCCCACAAGAGTTGTACACTTCTTATTTTGGTAGTTAGCAATAAATTGTTTGTACATTTTCAAGCCAAACCACCATATGCCCTTCCAAGCAATGACTCTGCTACCACTGTTTCCATATCAAATGGCCTTTTCTGTTTCTTAGCAAGATAGTATGGCTTTAGTTACGGGAATGTGTTCTTTTCTATGCAGGGAACAAAGAAAGTCTGCTCCAAATTATCATCAAAAGGGCTTGGAAGGATAGATAGAGATAGTGTTAGCCTAGCGAACCTAAGATAACCAAGATCAAAACTGCAGTCTGACAAATTATTATTCTTTGCAATGAGGGAGGCAGTAAAGCAGAGGAGCCACAGGGTATCTCAGCAACAAAAGATAGCGAACTCAGGACCATTAAATAATTTTTAAATGAAGCAGTGTTTTGACAGACTTAAAGCAAAGCGGGGCTGTGTCAAGGAGTCAACATCCTGCCTAGACTGCATAGCAGACTCAGGATCCTATTTCCTTTGGAACCACAAAGCTAAGATAGATGTGGAATCTTGTGAGCAGAAATGTCTACCTGAAGCTCCACCCTTGGGTTGTAAATTGAGGCTGCTACTTTATGTTACAGTAACATAGGTGTTCCAGGCAAGAGTGGAGAGGGCAGTAGTCACTCAAATAAAAGGGTTATTATGATACCCTATGGTTGCAGTGCCTCTTCGCGGGCATGTTGTTTCCTGTTAATTTTTCTCCTGGAATAATCTGTGTCTGCTACTGCAGCCTGATGAAAGGCTGTGCAGCTTTCTACTTTCTCGGTCTCAGATGATTTTTACTTTCTCAAGATATAGGTATATAATCATATGCATATATAATCATGTATATACACATACACATAAATATACACATATGTATAGACAGAGAGTGAGAGAGAAAGAGAGGAAGAGAGAGAAAGAAATTTCTTCAAGGATTATTGATAATCATTTCCCATTACCTTTCACTTAGGCTTAACATAGGTTGACACTCAAAGAAGAGATTCTTATATACTAGCCTTTTCTAATATCTGTAACATATAACATTTCTAATTCTTTAGTAAACTATGCCTGTAAAGTGAATTTAGGATTTAAAAATGTTATTCTAGTGTTTAAAGGATACTCTGATAACATGACAATAAATAGCAAGCAGTTAATGATAAAATGATTATAGTAATAACACTGTATTATGGTAATGATTTAGAAAAGGGTGCAGGTGGCCTTTCAGTGATAAGACAAATCAGAGTGAGTCATGCTTAATTAAGCCTTAAAAATGTAAAACTCAACATGCTAAAATGGGATTTTTAGTAAAAAGCAAATTTGTGAATGGGATTCCTTATAGAAGCAATCATACACGAAGTAATGCTCCTTTTGTTGTATATTTCTTTTCTTCAAAGACACACTACTATTGAAATTAGTGATGCTATCATAAATCAAATATCGGTTATTTTTATTTTATTAAATGAGTAATTATAAACTAGTGATAGTCTCACATAATTGGTTTTCTAGAAAAGAATTTAGACTATATGTCCGTGTTAGCCAATGTTCCATATTTCTGAAAATGACCAAATCTTCCAAATGATAGGCCTCCTTCCACTTACTGTTTGGAGTAGAATTTGCCAGCTGAATCTATCCTGGAGAACAGGAAACCACTTTCCTTCCATGGATTAAAAGAGAAAAGGGAATGAGGTGAGGGTCTGGGGAAAAGAGGAAATGGGAAGGGGAAAGGCAAAATTCTATCTACTTAAAACAGTGGAGAATCTGAATCCTCATCTCAAGCCTATCCTCTCCATCCTTCATTCATCATGCAAACACACACACACACACACACACACACACACACACACACACACACACACACACACACACACGGAAAAGCATGGGGCACTGGGCATGGTATGAGCCTGGAGCTGGATGCGTTTATTGGGTCAGGCCTCAGACAAGCAAGGAAGTTGTTGATAGAGCCAGAAACTGTGTAAGTGTGAGTGATGAGGTGAAAAGCATGGGTGCACCTGAATGATGGGGATGATGGCAGAGTTCCCATGCTGATTTGAATAATAATGTTTAAGGACTGGTGGGCTGGGAGTTTTGTTCAAGGGTTTTATGATGGTACCACCACCTAGAAACACTGGGTTAGAGATCCTGTAGTCAGGCATGAAGAGGAGGTTTATGAAGTTCTTAGTAATGGCTATCAAGGAGTGTAATATAAAAATAAACAGCCATTGCAAACTGACAGAGCTGCATGGAAAAGTCTGAAATTTCATGATAGGACATATAAGTCCCTTCTTGTTAATAAATGCAGACAGAATTAAAGCTAATTCAAATATTACCATGTACATAGGAAAACACTTGGCTTTGAAACAAATAAATTAGTTTCTAATTATAAAACTTGGCATTTTTATAGACTTCTTTTCTCTGCTTGGAGTGAACTATTGAGGCAATTACAAACAAAATTATTTTCTTATCATTCAAGAACTGATGGCAAATTAATTTATAAATATTAAGCAGTTTTTCAGTCAGGCCAACAAAAAAGAGCACACTTTATTGTCCATCATGGTGAAGAGAGTCCAGAAACAGTATAAAAGTTAGATTATTTTTGCCTTATTAGAAACTTAAGACATGATATCTTCATATAGTACATTTACTTCCTCAGAAGTCTAAAGGATTTAAGTCAGGTGCATTCTGACTTGTGGTTTGGTCATCGTGAAATAAAGAAGAAATTGAAAGTAAGTCCCAGAGATCACTATGGCCAAAAATTTGATTCCACAGCTTGATTTATTGAAATGACTGTCTGTAGAGTTATCAGTAGAGGTGGACAATATGTTAAAACATCAGGTTTCTCCATCTCATGCATGGCAGGCCTAACAGGAATGATTTGTGCTTAGTCCTATTTCTTTACAGAGTGGTTTCACTGAGACACTGGAGCAGTAAAGAGCTAAATGAAGTTTAACCCCAATTCCAAGCATTTAATGCTCACACCATTATAGTAATTGCTGCTATAAAATAAGCAGGATAAAAAATGCCCCATTTCTTGGTAAGCTCACACCATTGCCTTGGAATACTTCCTTGCACCTTAAAATATGTTTATATATTCATGTACACACACACACACACACACATATGTATAATATGAGCTTCTTAATTGTATTTTAAGAAATAGGTGATGGTGCATTACAATTTACACAAATAAAAGTCTTGGAAAGCATTGCATCTATAAGGTAAAATGATAACTTATTGTTCTGGCAAATGATAAAACTGCTTACAGTGGCAGCTGTGATTTATTGAAGCAATTCAAATATACTTGGAGAGTATATTAGCTTTGCCTCTGCCCACAAAGGGTGCGTTTGAGCAGGGTAGGACACTCCAGTGATAAATTACAGACTACAACCAAGTGAAGGCAATTGGCACGTCAAATGCCTAAAGGCTCAAAATTCCAGAAAGAATGCATTTTCTATGATAATCCTTCACATACAGTGGCATCTAGGGCAGGCAAAGAAACAAATTAGCACCTGATTATTTCATTCTGTGTTAGTGCTTCTTCTCCTTCTTCTTCTTTTTTGTTTTTTAAGTAGCAAAGCCTCTCTTGTTTACATCAATAAAGAGATTGGCACCTCCATGCTGCATTCAACATTACCTTAAGTATGTGTGCCATTACTACTCCAACTTGTGAAGATTTACAAATTAGTTTCAGAATGGAACTTGGGAGAGCCATGTGGCTGTATTTAACCAAATGAATAGAATTCAAAATTCCCATTTTGTTTTCAAAGAATAAAAACATGACTCTAGTTGCATGTGAGTAGCATTTAAAATCCAGAGAGTTAAATTTCCGTGGAAGATCACTGAATGCATTGGTTATTGGATACTCCACATAAATAATAGAGGGGGTACTTAGAATAGTTTTCAGAATCAGTGCTCATTTCTTGTACAGGCTCTACATGGTACCCAGAGCTACATTAATAATCAGTCATTGCTCTCTATGTGTCAAACACTAAATGCCCCTCACTTGCATTACTGTATTTAATCCTTGATGAGCTAGTCCTCAGATCTTCTTTATTTTACATATGAGAACACTGAGCCACAAAGTAGTTACTTTGTTTAAGGTCACACAGATATAAATGGCAGAAATTTTAACTCAGGAAATCAAATTCCTTAGTTCTTATGCTTAACCATTCCATTATGTAGAATAAATTATTTATATGTAGTAATTATTGAGGTTAACCTATTTTAAAAGACTTATTTTTGTCTTTTCTATCTTTCTCATTTTATAACTCACTAGGAAGAAACTCCTTACATTTCAATTTATTTTAAGAAGCATTGAAAGCACTCTGTCTTCATTTACATTTACATGTCACCTCTTTGTTTGGAATGGTGGAGTTTTGTTCCTTGGCGAGAAGGTGTGTGCAAAATTGTATCCCAGCTATGCTCAACTGACAAGAAAGCTTGCTGGCTGATTTCAGTATACTGATGCTTCACTTATGCAATAAACTGAAGGACTCAGGGTGAAAGAGGGGATCCAGTTAACTACACATTACAGCATTTCCCTTCTACCCCACTCGCTTGGTTTCTGTTCTTAGCTGAGCTTCTTAACTATCTCTCAGAATCAATCTCAGACATGTTTCTAACAAGCTTTGCTATCACTCTCTCAACACAAATTACCGAAGAAGAAAAAAGATGAGGGCAAGGCAATCCTGCTTAGAATTTGACATTTTGACAGATGTAAACCTTGAAAAAGAAGGGTAAGCTCAGGATATTTAAGGTAACAACAAATAATAATATTATCAGTGTATATATTGTTTAGTAAGGTGTGAAAAATGATATAATTTCTGCAAAAATTCCATATAAGTTCAATTACTTAAAACGGATAATTTTGATTTAAAATAATTAACCTAAGTAGAATTTTCCTTGTCCTTTAGCAATAGTAGGTACATGAGAACATAATGTATTGCTTATGATTTTAGTTCTGATGTTATAACTTCACATTTAATCAATGGAATATAGAACATTAAATCAGATCCTGTGAAGTGAAAAGGTTTTAGAAATAATGAATGTTAAACTGCTTGCCACACTCAATAAGAATGTAAAATTCCTCTATATTCCTCTATGCATATGTATTTCTATGATATACAAATGGCAGAACTATAATTTTTTAGTAAAAGTGGTGTCCTTACATTTATCTCTCCAGAACCAGTTAGAAAAACAAAATGTATACATATATGCAAACAGAACACTAAAACCCCACAAAACATTATCTAGGCTTGCCTTTTGGCTCTGTATTCTGAGTCCTTAGTAATCTCTTTTGTGACCAAAGAAAACTATGCTTAAGAAGGTCACCTGAAGTATGGGATGCAGGTGTGTCACTTTCTGTGGTCAATCCCGGAATATCCACTCACTGTCATAAATCAGTATCTCACCTCGGGAATGCATGGAGGAAAGCACATAAGAATCCAAATTTAACTCAGAAGCCCAGGAGCATACATCAGCCATTGAAGAGAAGAAAAGAAAATACTTGGAGGAAAAAAACCTCATAAAATCTTTTGCCACACACTTTATGTAGTTGACAACTTTTAAATGTTTTAGTGCAAGCTGTCAGCATTTGAAATCAAAGCCATGATAATAAAAGTAAACATTTCTAAAAACGCTATTTATCATGCAAAAGCATGCATATTATACTGTTATAATTCTTCTTGACCAAGATATGTGTCTCTAAGAGATTTCTTAGAGGTTAAAATTAAATGTTATTTTTTCATCCACCTTATATTTTTAGGTTACCAAAAAAGTGAAAACTTTTGCCATAATCTTCTATGAGGCAGGAACAGACACTAATATTTAATTTCATTTCATAAAACAGGTTATTCTTTCTAAATGTACTTTTTTTTTCATTGTAGCCATCCTTAGCAATTCAATCCTCTCTGAAAATCATATTTCTTTTGTATGGTTGTTTGTTTGTTTGGAGATATGGGGATTTCCCTATGTTGCCCAGGCGGGTCTCAAACTCCTGGGCTCAAGTGATCCTCCCACCTTGGCCTCCCAAAGTACTGGGATTACAGGCATGAGCTACCATGCCCGGCCTGAAAATAATATTTGAGTTACAAAGTAATCATCGCCAAATTTTACTGTTGATGAAGATTTTTCTGAATAGTTCTACAAATACTCAAAGGTGATGAAAACTTCGGAAATAATACAATTTAACACATGGTTTCTATACTGGTACTGTAGGATGGCCCTACCCAGACATCTAAACTGCCGCTAAAGTCAGTTATGCCTTCAAAGTCAAGATCAATGCACCAGATTCATTTCTGTAATATCTATTCAATTTTACAATAGCCGCTAAAGGATTTTCAGGGGTTTTGTTCCATTCTAGTGACCGTCCAAGCTCCATGTGGTTCCATGGGATTAGATAATAGCTCTTGTCCATAATATTGTAACTGCATGGTGACAAGCATGGCAGAGGGTCAGCCAGTACTCAACTCCACACCTTGGTGAGGCACATCAATGAGAGACAGTTGAATGTTAAACACATATCAAGACTTTTAAAATTTACCAGATGCACAAACTGCAGTTCCAGGTGGTCCTCACGGGACTTCAATTCACAATATGACATTAACTCTAATGTGTCACCCTAAGGCCATGTAAAAATTCCACCTTCTATCAACAGCCCAGTTGTAAGGGAGATACCCAAGAGAGGCAGAAATGAGGCAGGTAAGAGAACTATTAATCAAAACCAATGGTGTTTTAACGCACCTGAAGAGTGCCATTTAATTAGATCAGAGACTTTTGAAGGATTTTTCTCAACCCTAGCTGTGTAATTAAATTTTTAAAAAGACACACAGAGCTATTATTATTAGAACTCTTGTCTAGTGGTTCCCCATGTTTAACTGTCTGATACTATATTTATGTACCCCATTGTAGCCTCTGACTCAATTCTCCAGATGCTATTTTAAAAGTCTAAAATATTCTTCTAATACTCAGAAGACCTGGTGTGTCTGGGCATCAGAATCAGTAATGTTTAATGAAAGAAGGCATTGAGGGACAGCAGAGAAATGGCCCCTCCTCACCAGCATTGAATAATCTCAGAGTGTGATCGTGTCTTACAGTTTACTTGGCTCTAGTGTCTGAGTCTGGTTTTAAACTTCTAGCCATTAAAACATTGCTAAATTAGGGTTTTATAAAACCTCAATATATGCCTGCCTTCAAATTAAGAATAAATTGGAACCATCGTCTTAGAACCCTCCTTTTTGAACCATTTTTACTAATACTTAGTGTTATTTTAGGGAAGTGTGTCATTTGCTTATTCAAGAAATATTGACTGCATGTCTGCTGTGTGAGGTCTGTATTGACACAACTCGTATCAAATGGTTGTAAGTAGTCACGAATGTTTTCCTTTCCCAGCCCTTTAGCCTCTATGAATCCAATATTTATCAGAAATAAGTAGATCATTGTAATAAAAGAAAATATATGAGGACCTGAAAGTTTCATAATGAGTGGCCAATATACTAGTACCCTGAATAGTATCACACCTGCATATATAGGCAATGCTAGTTGTCAATTTTATTGATTCTATGTAGAAAGCAAATAAGCAAAAACTCAGAAATAATATCAGCACTTCTCTGATATTAATCACAAATATCATTTTAACATGTTCAAGATATAGTCCATCTTGTTTACTAGCACAAAGGAGAATATTTTTACCACAGAATATCTCTGTAATTTTAATTGAAAATATTTGAAGAATAACAATTGACTCTTGACAAAATAAAATTTTAAGTGTAAGAATAATGATATGTATTCCAAAAGCGTGTGTGTGTGTGTGTGTGTGTGTGTGTGAGAGAGAGAGAGAGAGAGAGAGAGAGAGAGGAGAGAGAGAGTCTGTGTAGTTATTATAAAGTTTTTGACCTTGGTGTTGAGGGATATGTGTTTGGAAAAAATTCTTTGTTATTTAAACATGTTGTAAAAATCACAGCAGGTCTGAATGGACTCATGGATGGATGGCATCAACGGTTTCAGTGTGGAATGATGCCAGTCTGTGTCTTCAGATTTCCTTGAATGTGTGCCGTCCTAGTAGGGGCTCAATAAACACTTGCTGAAATGAATAAATAACTGCCTGGCTACAAAGTTGGTGTTCTGCTTCTACTTAGAAATTAAACCTGTAGAAACAAAACTTATGACATAAGCTCTTTTGCTCACAGCTTTCAGATGACTGGTGACTGAGGTGCTAATCCTTCTAGTCTCCATATACTGGGAATCCATCTTATCTTAGCTTCCACTTTTCACCATTGAATAATCAAGAATCTCACTGGAGCTTAATTCCACTCAGATATTTTTCCCTCTGAGAATATTGAAATATGCCCTTTAAAACCAGAGGTTTGGTTTTGTTTGTTTGTTTTTTTAGCAACAGAGTAAAGCACAAACTTTGCTGACAGTGGCAACAGGTCACCTCCATAGACACTAAGGTACAAGGCAGAGGTGGTGCAGGAGGGCTGTTCCCAAATAAACAGCCCTGTCTTCATGTGTGTGGGGTTACTGTATAAAGAAGAAGCTCTTTTGAAGACACAGAGGTCTTATGAATAGATTTGTGTTAAAAGTAGCCAAAAACTGCTAGCCAGATGTCAAATTTTTCACGTACCTTACCTACATCTAAACGTTGCCTACCCACCCACCTTATAGTTTTAATCATCTCCAAATGCATCTCTAAATATAGAGAAAGCAAACATTTGCTGTATTAGACAGTGTTCCTGACAACCTAGATGCCTTTGAAAACGTGGAAGAAAATTTGCCCTCGATTTGAACTCAGTGGTATACTTGCCAACTTGTATTCCTTTGAACATAGAGAAGAAAATAAAACTCAGAAGAATTCTCAAAGTAGATTAGCTTTAGGGCAGTGGTTCTTAAATATTAATGGCATATTAATTGCTTGAGAATGCATTTTAGAAAAGCGGATCTGCCTGAGCATTAGAATCTGTTACAGTCAGGGAAAAAAAGTGCTTTTGAAAGAGACTAGAGAAATGCACTCTTCCCACAAAAACTGAGTAGTCTTTTGGGGAAGGTGGTGCCCAGCCCTCAGAAATTCAGGAAGATCCATTTATCTGCATTTTTTTTATAAGCCCATTCACCACCCTGCCAATCCTAATGTGGGTGGGACATCTCTCAAGAAACAATGATTTAGGAACCATGAAAATGCACTTTTTCCCATGGCAAATTTACATCACATTCACACATTTCCTTAGGAAAGTCTAATATCCACAGTGCCATGATGGGCTGCTTAATTTCAAAATCTTTAAAGTTTCAGTTTGGTTTCACAATGCCTCCAAATTCTTCCATGCACATACTACAGTCCTGATCAATCAATGAAGTTCATCTTAAGTTCTTTTAAGAGGAGCAGACATCAAACTCCCAGCGGATTTTTTTTTTTTACCTCCTCCTTCTACTTCTGTGCCTGTTATCTTCCCCAAATAAAGCCATCTGTGGTGATTTCAAAGAGGTTCTTCCTTCCCTGGAGAATCTCGCATCCCCCAAACTCAACTGAGGCTTCTGCTACAAATCTAGCAGAAAGAGCCAGATGGCAGTTGTCATCGTACAAGTGCTGGCTGTCACCAGCAGGCAAATGGACAGAATTCAAGTATCCAGTCTTCAAGACAATGCCACCAACCCTGAGGGCCACCAGTGTGAGCAGAGACAGGAAGACAGCTCCCTGGGATCCTGAGAGCTGGCATTACTGAGTCACATAATTTACAGTCAGATACTGTCGCTACAAACCAACAACGACAACAAGGGGGAGAAAGGAAAGCTTTTGGATGTCTTTTTAGTGTTTTTACAGCCTCTTGAATAAACCCTGGCATGTCATTTTTAGGGTTTTAAGATCCATTTATAAATACACATGAAGATACAATGTGATGCTTAATATATGCCTTCTAGTTCCTGAAGGTATACTGCAATTCTTACAACAACCGAGTGGCTCGACATGGGAAGAACACAGGATCACTGTTTCTATTTTGGTTAATGCTAGCTGGTGGTAAAACAATCCAAAGTGTTAGTGTTTGTTGGCCATATTATAAGAACACTTTGGCATAGCACATTGGTTTTCCACACTTAATATTTTTCTTTAATTCTTCAGTTTAAAAAGAATGGGCAGACATTGGCAAATCAATGAGAAACGCTTCGGAAGAAATCAAATCTGCCAATGCTTTAATTATGATCTTTTAGCCTCCACAACTGTGGGAAAATAAATTTCAGTTGTTTAAGTCATACACACACACACACACACACACACACACACAGAGAGAGAAAATGAAAGGAAAAAAATGAAAATAAAAAAATGAAAGAAAAAAATGGCAGATACTAATTCTTTTGTTTTTTCTACTTATGCGGAAGACTTCTTCCTGAATAAGATACAGTAAATATATTGGCAAACTCATAGATTCCTAAAGTTCCAAGCTGAACAGGTGGCTCAATTACCTGTTCAATTACCTGAAAAAAAGAGAAAGTCTACAACACACCAAACATTCTTCAATAGCTGATAAGCTCAGCAGTAAAATAATTTAGAAATGAACAACAACGGTATATGCATATTATGTCATTGCTCTGAGTAAGTAAAAGATACAGGAAAGAGGGACAAACTGTATTGGGAAAAGGTTGTGCTTTGGACCCCAAATGATGTGGGTTTATTGGTTTCCTAGGCATAGCGAGCATTTAGGACTGAAAATCACATCTATTGATCTCCATATTGCTGAATGATGTCCCTGGATTTAGACCTCAGTTAGAGTCTTCTATCTGTAAGTTCATATACCTACGTTTGTCTTGCCAATTTTTAATATACAGAGAAAACCACATTAACCTCATGGGGGTTTATTCAGAAGCACACTTAATAAGTGTGTCATAAGTACTGCCAAATTAATACATTACTTTTCATAGAGGTCACTAAACATGTCATTGCCTCCTGCCAGAGTTTAAAATATATCTTACATGCAAATTTCAGAGACTGGAAATAAATGTAAAAATAAATGCTATCAGTTACTTAAAATCCACTTATCTGGACAATCACATTCATATATCCACCCACCACCCACACACACATAAGCATGCACACACACACACTTTTTAAAACCCAATTTCCCTTTCTCTGCTTTACTTAAATATATAGAAAAGAACAGCTAAAGGCACTAATGAGAAAATGACCATTCCACAGCTGAACTGGTTTCATTAATGAAAAAAATAGAGCAAGTGGTTTGTAGAGGGACTTATAGACAATGGTTAAACTAATCAGGAGCTTGAATTCTTGTCAAAAGCGTAGTTTCTGTGCCTGGCAAACAGCAGGGCTGAAGGGTGCTGGGGAAGGAGTTAGGGAGCAAATATTTCCATGTTTTTTTTTTTCTCATCACATTCCTGTTGCTAAGGAAACCGTCTCCTTTGTGTAGCATATTCAGAGAGGCACTTGAGGTAGACTCCAACTCAAAGAGTGTGAGCTCCTTGAATTGTGTCATTTTTAACAATGGGAAATTAAAAAGACAAAAGCCCTTGACAGAAGGTGGAAAAATACTCAGAAACTTCTATGGCATTGTCCTTGTTTGGGGAGAGAAGCAGCAAAACCAAAGTTTATTGTGAAATATTTGTTGAATGTAGAAGCTAAAGAAGATACATGAGAGATTTGAAAGCTTTAGTTCCCCCGCCCCCCAAGTATATGCTTCTTTATTGATGAGGAAATCAGGAAAGCAAGGACTGCATGGAGAAATATTTCAAGTTGTAATTGCTGTTTCTCTACAAGACACTGCTTTGTGTCTAGGGCTCAAGGAGTGGTTCTCAGATGAATGAGGCAATGATCTAATCCTCCCTGGGCCACAAGGTCAGGAATGTTGTGATTAATTATTACTATTAAAATTGTGTTGCTATTATAAATAGAATTTTTAAATTTTCTATTTGTTTTCCACAAGTATGTAAAAACACAGTTGATTCCTGTATATTGTCCCTCTATTCTGCAACAATGTTAAATTAACTAATTAGTTCTACCAGTTGTTTTGTGAATTGCTTTGAATTTTTATGTAAAACACATGAAATCTGAAAATACAGTTTTACTTCTTTAAAAAATTTTCACAGAAATCAGAATCAAGTGTAAAATAATGAGTTTTGAATAAATATAATACCAAATAAATAAGAAATTGCGATACTCTATGATCACAATACATGTTTAAATCTACAACATGCATATATACATAGGCTCAAAGGCAGAAAGAGAAGAGTCAAAACTAAAAATTCATTGTTGTGTTAGCATAAAGTTTTGAGGTCTTTTCAAAAAGCCTTCTTTATGCACTGCATTGTTTTCACAATTTATAAAATATTCTACATATAAAAGAAAACATAACAAACATAACAAAAACCACCACTTGGATTGTCTTCTCTTTCTCCTGATTCTTGCTACAATTTTCAGCTAGGCTGGAGCTTTTTTCTCGGATTTATTTTTTTGTCATTGGATTGTTCTCTTTGACTCATCTCAATTCCACAGGCCCAGGTCAGCAAAAGCTGAGCCTTTTCTAGCAGGTAGACCTACTAGGTCTTAACTTGGGAAAATTGAATTATTCATCAAGATTCATTGAAGGGGTCTGGGTGTGGTGGCTCACTCCTGTAACCCCAGCATTCTGGCAGACCAAGGTGGAAGGATCAATTGAACTCAGCAGTTTGAGACCAGCCTGGGCAACATAACAAGACCGTATCTTTACAATTTTTTTTTTTTTTAATTAGCCAGATGTGGTGGCGGGTGCTTGTAATCCCAGCTACTCAGGCTAAGGTAGGAGGCTTATTTGAGCTCGGCAGTTCAAGGCTGCAGTTCTCATGCCAGTGGACTCTAGCCTGGGTGACAGAGAAAGACCCTGTCTCAAAAAAAAAAAAAAAAATCACTAAAAGGCACTTCAAACCCTCTGAACTCTGTATCATAATACCACACCACTGGCTACTTAACACTGCCCATGCATAAATGAGTAATGAAAGTGATATTTGTTTATAAGTTGTTTTCCTTAGGAAACAAAAATTAATGCAAACCTACTTGGAGCTAGCTTGACAGATTTTACTGCATATTCCTACAATACTCAAAATGTGTGTTCTACTGCAATATCCTGCATTCTGCAAGGTGTGCTTTTGGTTTTAATCTGGACCTTCTTTCTGCCATTTATTTTTTATTCTCAGAACAAATATGACACACAGTGGCTTATAAAGGGTGCAATTGTGCTGGACCTATTACAACAACAACAACAACAACAAAACAATCCCCAAAGCAGTAAGAGCATCTGGGAGAATTACAAGTCTCTAGGTACCTGTAAAAAACAGTGTGGGAATCATGATGTCGGCTGACATCTTCCCCATGATTAAGCATCTTCCTCATGATTAGGGATTGGTGGGAGTCACTGAAGAGCCATCAAAACTATCACCCACCAGGAAGGATTGGCTGACAACTGTGAATAGCACCTAAATGAAAGCATGGGGAAGGTCTGTGGTGGTTTCGTGGCTTTGGACAGGAGCATAAATGTGAAGGCTACTGCACGTTGGTAACATACTCTCCCAAAGAACGTTTGTGCAAATATGCCTCAGCCATGGAATCATACTATAACTACTGAACCAACTAGTGAACCCACTCATAAGACTGTCACTCGCATAAGCTCTAAACAGAGTGCCTAAGTTACAGTGTTTCTTTTAGAATTATACTAATTCGATGAGTTTCAGACAGTATTGTAGCCTTCCTAGGTTACAGTGATTGTTGCTGTGGAACCATTACATTTATGTGCCACTCATTTGGACAGAAGCGCTCTTGGTATTTCAGAGCTGGAGGGGGTGATTAAAACTGTGATCTTATGCTGTTGGTCTGGGGAATAGACAAACTAGGAGGTAATGAGTAAAATGAGCCCATGCTGATTGGTTTTGCTGAATTTGCGTTTGTGTCCCTGTAGTAAGCAGTCATGTCTAAAGACAGTAGAATGAAGAAAGAGTTTTAAAAAGCAGCGTCTTTCAGGGGTACTTACTTCTGAGATAGTGTCTTATAAGTTCAGCAATTTGCAAACTGCTTTCTATTCAAAATTGGAATACCACTAAAGTTTTTACCCAAATGTGTAGTTCTTGGAAATGAAAAATTTAAACACCATCCAAAAGCCTTGCAGTTTTCCCATGGGTACCACTGCATCTCTGAATTTGGAAAGCAAGATAAAAATAACACTACTTAAGATGCTCTTCACTCTTTTGTCACAACTAATTGCTACGTGAAGTCACAAATCCTGAGGGCCAAATTTACATTGGCTCTAGGGATACCACGGTGAACAAGAAATAGCATGGTACTCTTTGTGGTCTTTTACTAGAAAAGGAGAAAATCCCAGAAATTCTTCTTCATTATTTGGCTGTTAGATTGAGACTGTCTCTGGAATAATGAAGTGTCCTATCTCATAATGGAGAGACATGTGCAGAATAGAAAGAAAAAGAACTGATGAAGAGAAAAATGCAGACAACTAAAACATAACATGAGCAGCATCCTGAGTTTGAAGTGCAAATTTTATTTAATATAAAAAGAAAAAAAGAGTATAAAGAGAGTTGCAGGGAACTTGTGTACAGTCAAGAGTTAAAGATAGAAAATACAATGAGAAAACAGACTTAGGTTTGGGAAGGTGGTGGAGACAATGAAAAAGTTTTGTTTGTTTGTTTGTTTTAAATGTGCTTCAGAAGAAAAGTGGGACTGAAAAACAGGGTAGTTCATAGATGTAGGTGACAACTGAGAACAGAAATTGCTCTCAAAAAATTAACAAGAAACAAAAGGAGGAGAAAAGTAAAAGGGAGAGTCAAGATTTCATTCAGTTAAATAATCAGGTAAATCACATTCTTGGAAAAAGCAGTTTGAAATTTTTAGGGTTATTTTGTTTTTTATTTAGTTTGTCTCCTAGAAAAACTGCAAAGAAATGCTAGAGCTTTCAATAACATATATGTGTATGCTTTACTTGCCACCTTTCTTTTCTTGCCATCTTTAATCCAAATCTCCTTTTTCTTTCTGTTTTCGCCAAACGACTGCTTTCTACTTTCTTTTGTATAGTAAAGAAAACAGATAATGCTATAATTTGTCTTACTTTCCATCTTTACAGAAAATTCTAATAATACCAGTAGTTCTTAACTGCATAACAAATGTAAATTTAAACACCAAAAATCACATAAAATACAAAGTGCTAAAGCAATTACTGCAAATGTGCTGAACAAATTCCTTTTACTGTAACCTCCTAGGGGATAGAGAGAACCTGGCCATCTATACCGTTTTTGGGAATGTGTAAGATTTTTAGGTCTAAAAATAGCATGATTCTTATTATTTCTCTTAATAATGTTAATTTTTCTCTTAATCCCAGTGTTATACTTCTCATTCTCATTTTTGTAAATGGAATAATTAGACCAATTAATGAAAGAAACACATGAACATTTCCATAGAAACTTTTTTCAAACTAATATTTTCAGAACAGCATGTTCCACAAGGATTCATCCATGTGACTCCTCCCACTGATGTTAATAGACATCAGACAATTAAGTCCTCGTGTCACTCTTTAATAACTCACCCCTCTGCTTTTGGAAATATAATAATGCAGACACCCAAAGTATAAATCATGTCCTCAGAGCTGTCAAGTGTAACAACTTTTGCATTGCTTCTCTTAGTGTTATTAGTTACACCTATTTCCTCAAATAAAAATTACAAAGAATAGTGGACTCTAAATATTAAAATGTATGTAACTTATTAGGAAAATACATCTTTTTAAAGAATCATCAACTCTTAGAGAAGGCAAATTAAGGTATAAAGACAAAAATCCTACTGTTTATAAATTAATGCATCTTATTGGTCATACCAGTATTCCACATTCTTTCTTCAGCTCTGATGCTCCTTCTCCCCATCTCCAGCCAACCCCAAGGAGCAAAAAAATCAAGGTGAAGAACAGCAGAAGCACAAAGAATGAGAAAAGCGATATTTGAAAAAAAAAAAAAAAAACCTTCTCAATTACATTGACAATTACATTAATCAGTCAAGCTAAAAATATTGAATTCACTGTCAACCCTTACTCAACTGCTTTGGTTAAATAAATTTGTAAATTCCATTAAGGTACATTTTGCCCCATCCCAAATGTGTTTCAGAACAACATTAAAGAGGCAATAACCTTATTTCTTACTTGGAGCTGTTAATACTAACAGCTCGCTATTATATCAGAAACATTACTTCTAAAAGAAGGAACAAAAAAACTAAACACGTTACTATTTATTGAATTTCTATGAAGAACTATCAGAAAAGAAATTGTGGCTTTGGTCTCTTTTCAAATATACATGTTCCACAGATAATCATATCTTCCTGCCAGCCATGCCACTAAGTCCATTCCACTATTATTCATTCAAGAGTAAACTGAAATGATTGAAGGAAAGAGCTGCCAGGAGCAAAGGGTGATAGGGATACATTTTCACAGTCTGGTTATTTTCTGCCATCCGAACAACTGAAATGAGCTTTCATGGAAGTATTCTTATTTTAAATTTGTTGAAATTCCCAAATCACTAGGCGTACCAAAATTGAAACATATTATACCTTTGAAAATTTCCCAAAAGGTCTGAGACATATTCCTTGGGTGTTTGAACTTTGAAACACAAAATGTGTATATTCATATGTTGACATGAATTGATTTGTTAGGCTGTCATTCTATTCTATTTCATAATATTTAACCACAGTTTTGCTCTTATTTATATTTGAATTAGATGGTTGAGAGATTTCTGTTTTAGCCTTTTAAATATTCACACAACAACTTTACCTGAAGCACCGTATTTTCCACAAGGGAAAAATAAACCACCAAGAGATCTGGCTAAAATGAATATTCTCTCTTTCTCTCTCTCTCACTTACACACACACACACACACACACACACACACACACTTCCTGCCATACCAAAGTGAAAATAGGTACACATGTTA
The DNA here is from genome assembly GCF_000001405.40 of Homo sapiens. Classification (NCBI taxonomy): domain Eukaryota; kingdom Metazoa; phylum Chordata; class Mammalia; order Primates; family Hominidae; genus Homo; species Homo sapiens. The sequence continues at coordinate 35,753,003 of NC_000003.12, read as the reverse complement.
TTCATGCATTTATGAGTGTCTGCTATGTTATAGAATCACATTATATTCATATGCTTTCTTAAAATTTGGATTTGTAAACATTAGCATATTAATTCTAAATACTAGCTGTAATTCACAAGATTAGAAATGTTGACTATGAAATATTAGAATTGTGCCTAATACAAATAATGTGAAATAAAATAATGAATTTGGGTAGGTCCTCTCCCTTTGCAACAACTTGTATATGAGCTGGCAATGAATAAAAATGTACTATTTATTACATTGCTTTCAAAACAGTAGACCAGTAGCGCCAGCATCACCTGGGAGTTTGCTAAAAATGTAGAATCTCAAGACACTCCAGAGCTTCTGCACTGAAATGCATTTTAACAAGATCTGGGTTTCCATGCACATTAAAGTTCTAGGACCCTGGTTATAGTAACCTTCTCATCTCCCATGAGAGGGCTTGGGGATAGCATTTGCAAGATGTTTTTACGAATCTTCAGAGGCTTAGAGTTGATTTGTGTACAGAAGAGCTAGAGGGAATTGAATAACTATAACTGAAGAGTTGAAAGGCATTTTGAATTTTTGTTCCAGAGGGAAACAAAAACTGGCCTATTTTAAAGTTTGTATTTCTGACAGGCTGACCCCCTCCAACTTCACAATTCTTCACCAAAGAACTCTTTAAACATACATCGTTTCCTCAGATGTAGAATACAGGATTGATTCAATGGCATCTAGATCCAAAAGGTCAGAGTGCTGTCTGCAGATTCCTGATTGATACTGTTATCATAGTATCAGTCAGCAAAATAAAACAAACAGGATATACATTCCCTGACCTGGTTTCCTCTTCCCTCACCATTCTTTCCTATATCTTTTATTTGCATGTATTTTTAGTTCATTGCAACCTGATTTATCTGCATCCATCGTTAGCTTCCCCAATTAGCTCAACAAACAAGAGGCCTGTTGCAAAGGCTCATTTCCACCTTCTCTATCTGGGAAGAAAAAGATCATACTCTGACAGTTGGAGAATCTCCAGTTCTTTTCTTATGAGTGGGGATAGGTAATGACGTATTTCCAAATTATTGAGATACTGTTTCCTCTTATTTGTGTGCTCTCTTTACAACTTGCAGGTATTAGATGGTTTTGAGTTTACATAGGCAGAGTAGACTCTGACAAGTCAGACTTTGTCAGACTGAATAAACTTGCTGAGTTTCTGAAATCTGTATCTGTCATTAATTCTGTAGGTGCTAAAGTAGCAGAAGACCCTCTCTGGCTCTGACAAGAGAGACTGCATTGGACCAGAGACTGGCCTTCTAGCCTCACTTTCCTCATTTAGCAAAATTAAGTATTTAAACTCCATTTATATTCATAGTACTCATATCTCATTCTGGCTGTTGAGCAGACTGTAAGGGATAGTCCAAAGTGAGGTTTATCTTAAATGTAAGTGAAAAGAGTGAGTAAAGACATTCCAAAAAATTCCAAAGACTTCCACTATTGTCTTCCGTGAGAAATTCCAATTCTACTACTGCAAGGCAGATTGGAGTATCGCTTACTTACTCACGCAGAACAGAGGTACATTAAATCACCATAAGAAAGCCCCATAAAAGCTGCATGGGTTTTGCAATACTATGCATTTTTAGGATTTCTTTTTCATGGCCTCCTTCTGAACTGTAATTTCAAAAGTAAAACATTTTAATGGAAAATGCTCTATGAAACTGCTTTTTACCCAAAATGAATCATTCAGCAGATAGTTGGGAGTAGGGGAGGGTAGAAGAGAAAAGGGATTTTATAAAGCAGAGGTGAGACACATCCCTACAGTTTCAGAATCCATATCAAATGATTTGCTGCAGTTATAATTTAATTTAACTTAAGGTTCCCTCATGCTCTTTTTTACCCTCTTTACTCTGCTATGTAGCTGTCTTGATTTCGTATTGTTCTATCTTCACGGCATTCAAGAATATAGACCCTCCTGGTCTATTAGGAAGGCAGATTGTTGAACTGTCCTTTGTAAACGGTCAACTTCATCACTCCTCTACCTAAACCTAAAGTAGTATTACTGGCATTAAGCAACAGGGCTGAAAGCCTGGCAAGTGAGAGATGCGGGCAGAAGCTTATAGGAACAGCTCACCCAAAGCCCAATCACTGTTCACAGGACTTTCACCTTCCAGACTATTTTTATGAAATGTTAACTTTTTTTTAGGTGATAAAACATTTCTTATTCAATTGCAAAAGGAACTAAAAGATAGCATGGTCTGAAAAACCAAGTCCCTCCTCTGTCTTTGCATGTCAGGGACACTGGAGGCAACTTTTGCCTTGAAATTCATTCCAGGGCTTTAGAAAGTCTTATGGTGGGGTTGTGAATATCCACCTCTCAGCAACTGATGGAACTGTAAACATAAAAACAGAAAAAATACGGAATACCTGAACAACAAAATAAACCAACCTGATTTGGCTGATATATATAGACCATCCCACCCAACAACCACAGAATACCCAGTGTTTTCAAGTGCTTATGGGACATTCAACTAAATAGGCTATTTCCTGGGTCGTAAAACCACCTCAAAAATTTTATAAGAACTGAAATCATACAGAATATGTTATTTAACTATCACAGAATCAATCAAGAATCAGTAACAGGAAGACAAAAGGAAAATCTCTAAACACTGGGGCATTAAGCAACACACCACTAAATAATCCACGGGCCAAAGATAAGGTCTCAGAGAAAATTTAAAAATATATACAAATGAATGAAAACGAAAATACAGCATATCAAAATCTGTGGGACACAGCTAAAGCAAGACTGAAAGGGAAATTTATAGCATTAAATATTTACATTAAAAAAGAGAAAAAAATCTCAAATTAAAAATCTAACTTCTTATCTCAAGAAACCACCAAAAAAAAAAAAAAAAGCGAAATAAACCTAAAATTAACAGAAGGAAGAAAATAATAAAGTAATAAAGATAAGTCAGTAATCAGTGAAATTGAAGCTAAAACAATATAGAAAAATCAATGAAACAGAGCTAGTTCTTGGAAAAGGTCAATAAAATTGATAAATCTAGCAAGGCTGACAAAAATAAAAAGAGAGAAGTTAAAAATCATCTATACCAGGAATGAAACAGGATATCACAACATATCCTGAAGCTACAAAAAGATAGTAAAGAAATAAAACTATCAATTTTATACTCTTAAATTCAGCCACTTGGAAGAAATGGGCGAAGACCTTAATGATCACAAACTACCCAAACTAAGCAAAGATTAAATATATAATCTGAATACTATAATCATAAAAAATTAACTCACAATTTAAAATCTCCAGAAATTATCTTAAAATACAAAGTTAAAAAAATGTTTCTGAAAATCTCTAGGGTCAAATGGATTTATTGGAGAATTCTAACAAACATTTAAAGAAGATTTAGTACCAATTTTATACAATCTCTTTCCAAAAATAGAAAGGGAAGGAACACTTTCCCATTCATTTTATGAGGCTAGTGTTACTCTGACACTAAACCAAACTTCTTCCCCCAATTCCCATTTAAGAACACACATAGAACACACATAGGATTTTATAAGTTCCTTTTTTTTTTTTTTTTTTTGCTTTTAGGAATGACCAAGATTTTGGAGAGCCGAGAATGAAGCTAAGTATATTTCTTTTTAAGTCAAACTTCATAGGAAATTTGGAGTTGGAAACCATTTAAAAGGAACTCTTTTTTGTTTTCTTTTCCTTTCTAGTGTGTGATTTGAATGTAAATGTCTCAGCTGCTTTCTGCCATTTGTTGTTATTGATCATCTCTACAAAGTGATATGGAACCCCAAGCTCAGTAGGGAGGCAGAAGACCAAGGCTCTTATATTTTCTGCTTTTAGGTCAACCTGTGTACTTGAACAATTAACTAAATATTACCTGCCTCTATAACATGGGCATGCTGGTTTATTTCTCACATGCCAGTTTTTATGCAATCATCCATGTTAGCATATAAAGGCAAAACTAGTAACCATGTTTAAGTTGTTCCAATAAAATGCTTAACACATGGGCTTAAAACCAGTCACGTCTGGGTGCTTTTCCCTACACAGTTAACCTTGAGACCCAGGATAATTTATTTCACCTCCCTGAGCAATAGTTTCACCTATCTGTAAAGAAGGAACGGTGTATTTCCCTTGCAAACTTGTGGTAGTGATTAAACTAGCCCACTAGAGATCCCGAGTCAATGGGAGATGTGATAATTGCTAATATTTTTGTGGCCTTAAATATGTTTCTCAACAAGAACAAAACCATAGCAACACAGGTACTAACTAAAAAAATGGCATGAGAGCTAACTACTAAAATAAACTTAAAACATTAAGGAATGAAATGTTTGTTCATCAACACTTCATTTCAATATCTGAAGGTTGAGAAACTCTGTTTCCAGTTAAGATATTCTCACTTCCAAGTCTTCCAAAGATAGAATGATTTTAAAATTACAGTCTTTTTATAAACAAGCCATAAGCTGATAACTGCTTTTCTTTCCTCTTTCTTTCCTTCCTTCCTTTCTTCCTTCCTTCCCTCCCTCTCTCCCTCTCTCTCTTTCTTTTTCTTTCTTTTCTTTCTTTCTTTCTCTTTCTTTCTCTTTTCTTTCTCTCTCCTTTCTCCCTTTCTTTTCTTTTTCTTTCTTTCTTTCCTTTTCTTTCTCTCTCTCCTTTCTCCCTTTCTTTTCTTTCTTTCTTTCTTTTTCTTTCTTTCTTTCTTTCTTCCTTCCTTCCTTCCTCCTTTTCTTTCTTTCTCTCTCTCCTTTCTCTTTCTTTCTTTCTTTTCCTTCCTTCCTTCCTTTATTCCTTCCTCCCTCCCTCTCTCTCTCTTTCTTTCTTTCTTTCTTTTCTTTTCTGTTCTGTTCTTTCTCTCTCTCCTTTCTCCCTTTCTTTCTTTTCTTTCTTTCTTTCTTCTTTCTTTCTTTCTTTCTTTCTTTCTTTCTTTCTTTCTTTCTTCCTTCCTTCTTCCTTTTCTTTCTCTCTCTCCTTTCTCTTTCTGTCTTTCTTTCTTTTCCTTCCTTCCTTTCTTCCTTCCTCCTTCCCTCCCTCTCTCTCTCTCTCTTTCTTTCTTTCTTTTTCTTTCTTTCTTTCCTCCTTCTTTCTTTTTCTTTTTTCACAGGGCCTCGCTCTGTCACCTAGGCTGGAGTGCAATGGCATGATCATGGCTCACTGCAGTCTCAACCTCCCAGGCTCAAGCAATCCTCTCACCTCAGGACTTAAAACTCTACACAATGAATTTTTATAAAGTGAACTGGACACTATACTATTGATTAAATAGGAAATCTGAGTTCCCCTGAGGCAGAGTAGGGAGACATAAGTTCTTTATCCTCGTGATTTTGTACTCCTCCAAGTTGCTGGGACTACTGGCAAGTACCACCATGCCTGGCTAATGAGGCCGTGCACCTATCCTGATAACTGCTCTTCCACACAGACTTGGGCTATCAATAATTCCCTCAGAAAGAAAACCATCTCCCCACTATTGGAGGTACCTGATAATGCCAGATTGGCAATAAACGGATTCTTCTGTTGGAGATATTTGTAAATTGAAGGTTTTTTATTTTTCTCACAAATGTAGCTACAAATTCCAAATATCATTTTGCAACTCCACCATTTGATTTCTCTAAACTTTCTCGACATTAGTGTTCTTTTTTTTTTTTTTTTTTTAGATGGAGTCTTGCTCTGTTGCCCAGGCTGGATTTGGAGTGCAATGGTGCAATCTCGACTCACTGCCACCTCCACCTCCCAGGTTCAAGCGATTCTCCTGCCTCAGCCTCCCCAAGTAGCTGGGATTACAGGCACCCGCCACCATGCCCAGCTAATTTTTATATATTTTTTAGTAGAGACGGGGTTTCACCCTGTTGGTCAGGCTGGTCTCGAGCTCCTGACCTCAGGTGATCCACCTGCCTCCACCTCCCAAAGTGCTGGGATTATAGGTGTGAGCCACCACACCTGGCCCCAACATTAGTGTTCTTTATTTATAATTACCACCAACATAGGCTTCCTCTTCCACATGTTTAGGACCTTTTACCATGTGCTGATCGGATGAAGAGTACAAAATCACCAGGATAAAGAACTTATGTCTCCCTACTGTGCCACAGGGGAACTCAGGTGTCCTATTTAATCAACAGTATAGTGTCCAGTTCACTTTACAAAAATTCACTGTGTAGAGTTTTAAGTCTTAGGAAAGATGTAGTAACTGACAGAGATTTCAATTCTGGCAAGAATGTAGGAGAAGGAAGAGAGGCTTTTTACTGCAATTAAATAAAGATTAAGAACAGCGCCAAGAAGCAAATTCAGATTAAAATCTCATTTGACTTTAACTGACATAATTCTGTCTCACTCTAATTTTAACCACGTGATAGCTGAGGATGTTATGACATAATCTGGTGTCATTATCAGATGAAGATGGAAAAGGGTCAGATCCCAAGACACACAGCTGCAGGAGGCAGGAGGAAGAACAAGTTAAAACATGACTGTGGGAGGGTGACATGCTGATAGTAGCCCATAGTTTGACTTAAAGATGGAGAAGTCTTATTTTCTAGTTCTTCCAGAAAATATAACTTATACAGTTATCTGAAGAGGCTCTTTCCTCTATGAGATAGTCCATCCACATAGAGTTGCTCTCACAAATGACTGCCATGACCATTTGGAAAGTTTCTGTTAGTCTCCCTAGGCTCAACAAAAGGACGCCCAGCTGTAGGACCCAGAGCCTCTGTGCACTCTCAAAGAGCCACTGTGTGGTCTGGTTACTTGGATTTTATTAGCAGAAGTGATTCTCTGTAAGGTCAGGGAACACCATCTGCTTTCCCAAATACTAGGTACATTCATCACTGTGGTGGAAACTGTGTTGGGATTTTAGGCCAGGTATCCAGTGTGGTGGTCACAAAAACTAAGAGCCCAAAGGTCTCAGTGTGCATGTGTATACTAATGCCATCATTTCTGGGGACAATACTGTTTATGATCATTTCACTTTTCTCACTTCCTCACCCTGTACAGGCCACATTAACTGGCACTCACTTCCTTGACACCCTAGGCACTGCCTTGCTTCTATATTTAGCTTGATGCTGCTCTAGAGTGCACTCTTCTCATTACAGTGTCATTATCTTACCTTGGGAGGGTCATTTTTGCGGTGATGTGGGAGAATGTGACAAACCAAAGCTACCAGGTTGCCATGGAATGTAGGTGGAGCCAGTGAGGTCTCTAACTGAATGGGAGAGGGTGTTTCCACATCCCTAAATTCTCCCATTGTGCTTTATTAAAGAGTAAAAAATGCCTCATATATTGTCTCTTGTTTTGACATCCACTAACAAAGTTAGTGAAGAGGAGAAAAAGCAATGGAGAAGTCAGTGGGGGAGGCCTAAACTTTTTTGAAATCTAATTCTGTTGCCCAGTTATCATATTCATCTAACTTTCTCATCCCCTCACATAGATCTAGAGTTTATGGGTTTAGTGGATTGCAGCATGTTTTGTAACTGCGTTTCTTTGTATGATGACACTCTACCACAAGACTGAAATAATCTCTTTAAAAATTGCCACACAATGGCACCAAACCTAATAAAAATCATTATAATTAGATATCTGCATCTTTTTTCTTCTAAAGGCATTAGTAACCAAGTAGAAAACTTGCACATAGCCTCTAAACCAAGATCCTCAAGATTGTAAATTAACCCTTTAATTAACGTTAGCATAAAATAAGATAGTCCAGAATGCAAGCAACACATTTCTACAGCATGTATCTAAACTGATAGCACCGTTACCACCAAAATGATAAAGGTAATAACGTTTTCCACAAATTAGAGAAAATATTGCCAAGTGATTTTTTAAAAATAAATAGTTATTTGAAACCCTTTAGTGTTCTCAAAACACTGTAAAAGTCTAAAGTCAATTCAGAGGTCAAATATATTCTTCCCCAAACTAATACAGTGCTGAAACAAGACAAAATCTGGCTGGAAGATATAGGTTTCTCTAATTCTTCTCCCACAGACTTTAAATAGGCCATGAGATAAACCAAAGAACATGTAACCATCCACAATACGGGGGAATTTAATTCTTTCTCCAATCTGACAGGATGCTAGCAGTGTCAGCATTGGTATTCTTAGGATGTCTGTGATTGGTGCTAATCCTTGGCAAGAACTGCACTTTTCTCATAGGTTATAAAAATGGTACATATTGTGTATATATTACATACATGTATCTGTATACATTCCATATGCATAACATAGATTCAGTGCAGAAATCAGATCACGGAGCAGGCATCTATGAGTAGCAGCAAGGAGCACGTGCTCTTTACATGACCTACTTACAGAAGGCAGAGTCTCCCCGTCAGGCAGTCTTCAGCATGACAATTAGCAGTTTTTCCTGCAGTTTGGTCAGCAGGAATGACACAAACCTCTCCCTAGCACAAGCCACTCAGCCCTGTCGGGTTCGTGCTGCTCTTTGGATAACGGCATTCCATTAGGAGTGTGACACAGTAGGGAAAGAGACCGGTTCACTGTGAGACCTGCTACTCACTCTCGTACAGTGTATCGGCCCCCCTTCCCACTGCACAGTGGCTGCCGGGCTCTGGGCAGGAGGCATGTGGCCATCATGAAAGTGAACCATGGAGTCAGAGTTCCACCGAGACACGCTGGATTGTCAATAGCCTTCTTCTAAAGGCAGTATCTTTTAGCACGATATTGAAACAACCTAATTTGGTTCCCTAGCCTTAAGAACAGAGGAAGCACTCTCTTCAAATTGAAAAGAAAAAAAAAATTAAAAGAAGGTATGAACTAGAAAGGTACGGACATGGTTGACTTTCTGCTTTAACAGAAGAAGGATCAAAAAATAATTTATGGAGACTGTTTAACATGCATGCCAGGGATGCTAGTCTGACATATGCTTCACCTTCTTGTACCTACTACTTTTCCACACAGAGTCAATCAAATGCTTTGTTATCTTCTCTGGGTAGAGAAAATGTGCTGGTTTAAATTGCCAAGCTTGGACACTCATCCAAAGAGTACAAGATTCACCAGCAAAAATAACTGGGTTGAGAAGCAAATGGGAAACAGATTCCAAGTACCTGCTTGCTGTGCTGCCTGTGGCATCTGTTGACTCCTCTGAGCGTTGTACTGAACCGGGGCCATGGGCCGGTACTGTTGCGTGGTTGAGGTAGGGTACTGACCAGATGGGTAATAATATACAGGCATCTGTGGAAGAAAGGAGGAAGAAAGCAGAGAATGAAAATGTAGATAATGTAAATTTTTAAACTTAAAATATGCTTTCGTCTTATAATTGTGGTAGGTTGTGAAGATGGCCACCGCAAACTTCTCCCATGCCTATGTGTATGTGCATGCTACTTCTCCCGTAAAGAGGCAAAATCCATTTCCCAAACTTAAATCTGAGCTGGTTCTGTGACTTTCTTTTACCAACGCCATGAGGCAGAAATGATGTCTGAGTCTTTCAAGTCTGATCCTAAAGAAGACTTGCAGCTTCCACGTCTGTAGGCGGGGAACCCAGCCAAGAGATAAAGAAGTCTAGACTATTCTGCTGCAGAAAAAGGCCATGTGGGGAACACAGGTACCCCCAATTGACTGGTTACCCTCCAGTTCCAGGCATGTAAGTGTAGCCCTAGTCAAGCCACCCCAGCCATATGGAGCAGAGATGAGCCATCTGTGATAAATCCTGCTCAATTGCTGACCTAGTCGTGATCATACAATGGTTGTTTTAAAACAAGACTTTTGTGTTTTTTAGATGAAACAAGAGAGAGTGAAACAGTTATCATCAACAACGAAAACCTACATTTTAAATATTATATCTAACTTGAATTGCTTTTCTAATGGAAACAGGGGTGAAACATGAAAACTGCTGATCTGTAGCCTAAAAGGAGCAGAGAATGCAATCATGAAATATGGTAGTCTATCAAAGCACATTGCAGAATGATTGGTACACACCACTATTCAAAAAAGTATGTTCAATCTAAAAGGGAAAATATGATAAAAATGTTGTTTATGCTACCTTCTTAACTTTCTTATGACTGAGAATGAATAAAATTATTCTGATTATTTGATTATGATCCAAATCAAATGTTTCCTGATCTGATAGACTTCTTTGCCTGCCTCAGTTCATTTATATTAAGGTCACTTTCTTACTGATCTTAGTTAATTATTTTCTATCTCTGGGCTTCTGAGTTTTCGCCTATCATATTCTCTAAAATAACAACTGAAGTACCCTAGTAGACCGCCTACAAACATTATATACATAGGATAAAATTACAAGTCAATTATTTGAGAACTGTGATTTTCATGGTTATTTTGTTTTCTGATTTGCTCAGGTCTAATAGGAAACACTTTTCTATTTCAATATTGCTGTTGAAACATATGTAACATATTTTGCTGCCTGAGGATAAAGTGGGAACAAAATATAACTTAATCTGTGTGAACCTGTAGCTCTGCAATTTCATGGAATCATGATGAATTATAACTGTGGCTACATAACATATGGATATTCAAGGGCAAGAGGCTGAATGAGTCTAAAGCAATCTTGGGTCAGTATCTGGCAACTAAGTCATTGTATACCTTGCTTATAGTGATTCGCTCTTACTACTTCTCTCTTTTTTGTCAGGCAGTTTATAACAATAAAAAACAAATAATTCTGGAGTAATAATAGCATTTAGCTATGCTCTGGCAAACTTTGGTGGTATTAAAGATGACTACCATTATGCATCAGATGCCTCCCAATATTAAAAATAGGAACAACTTTCATCTAATTTATTTGTCAGCATTTATATTTACATGTCTTTTAGGAAATAGCGTTTTGTTCCTTTAGAAAAGACTGTCTTGCTTAAATGTAAGCTCATGAATGTGATATCTATTCCTTGATCTCCCTTCTTATGTTCAATATAAAACATAAAATATCCTCAGGGATGAAGGAATTTATACTTAAAAATGTTCTGATGAGGACTAATGGTTACAATAAAAGTACAGCTGCATGGAAAAAAATTTTGAACTCAATTTTTGTTGTTGTTTGTTTTGTTTTTTTTCTTTTCCCCAGACATAGCTTCTGTGATACCTTCACAAGCTGTGCTAGAGATTTGGCTACTTGAATCCAGCGCCACTCCAAGGTGGCGCTTTGGTTAGCTCTTAGGAACTATGATCCCCAACCGGATGAAGCAAATGAGATCTTGGTCTAACCTCATCCTCTCTTAGAGAGGATGGAAAGAAAGCCAGGTTAACAGCAATCTTTTAAAAGATCAGTATGAAAGGTTTGAAAGGAGAGAGGTGAAGGGAGAAAGGAGTAAGAATAGCCCCAAAGCTCAGAAATGTATATTTTCAGCCAATCATGTTAAAATATGGAGAATCCAAAAAGGAGTGGATTAGAAGAGAAAAGAAAGAAGAAACTATAAAAAATATGCACTTCTCCCATTTCCCTTCTTCAAATCCCTCTTTGTCTCGTCCATGTGCTTTTCACTTCACCTTTCCAGTGGGCATTTAGGAAGCATACATGATGAGTCAGATGAAATCGACCTTTACATTTATTAAATAGATTCATTTTCTGCAGAAATTTAACATATTTCCACATATTTGTGGGCTGAATCTGAACTAAGTTATTTCCATTGTTCCATAGTTGGGTAATCAGATTTTAAAATGTTTACTAAATTGAAAGTTACTATGGGTTATAGCCTATACCTTTATCTGTGATTCTTCAAAAAGAAGTTCATAAATGTCTAGACTGATTATGAACCATGGACACCTGTTTTATCTCCCTCTCTTTCTATCTTTTTAAAAATCTGTTAAAGAAGGAATGAAAGTATTTCTGTCACAGACACAAGAGGGGTTATGAATTGCTTTTGTTTCTGCAGTGGATTAATATTGAAATTCCTTCAGTGAAGAAAGACTTTCCTATTAAAATATTTATCTACTTATTTACTCATTTATTTCATTTTCTGAGATAGGGTCTTGCATTGTTTCCTAGGCTGGAGTGTAGAGATATCATCATGGCTCACTGCAGCCTTGACATCCCAGGCTCAAGCGATTCTCCCACCTCAGCCTCCCAAATAGGTAGGACCACAAGAATGTGCCACCACACCCAGCTATTTTTTTTTTTAATTCTTTGCAGAGATGAAGTCTCCCTATATTGTGCAGGCTGGTCTCGAACTCCCAGGCTCAAGTAGTCCTTTTGCCTCAGCCCCCCAAAGTGCAGGGGTTAAAGGTCTGAGCCACTAAGCCTGGCTAATTTTTCATTTATTTATTTATTTATTTTAAAGATCTTTAATTAAACATTCTGCTTACATTTTGTTTGACAGCAGAAATTAGTAAGGACACTTAAACGCTTTTTAGGCCAAAAGAGCTAAATTATTTTTCCCAATAATTAAGCTTGAAGTTATTAATTTATTGGTAAAAGTATTAATACTTTAATGAAGCCCTTTCTCCTGTAACTTAAACTTATTTTACACATCTTTTAAGATCCCACTTCTGAAGAGATATTACAGAGAAGGCAACTGAAGATGAACTATTAATTAATCACTCAAAATAAAATGAACAATTTAGTGACAATTATTTCTTGGTAGAGGGTTTTGTGTGGCTTGAAAAGAAAATAATTTATTCAAGATGTTAAGGCAGTGAAACAAATGATACGAAGGTGACACTGCACTTTAAACAGCTCATCCAATGCAATACTTCATAATTAGGATGGAATTTTCTTGGGATCGGTGTGCCTTGAAAATGGACCAGAAAATGCCTCTGTGCATTTTATATCTTGACAGTAATCACTTCTAATCTTCTGCAAGGGATACCCAAGAGAGTACCAGAGATGTTTGGTGGTGAACAGTAACACATAATCAGTCTTTGAGAAGACAGTAAAAATCAGTGATCTGTGGTGTCTTACATGCTCAAGTCAATTAAATATGATTAATGGCTACCTGTGAGAGATGTGTGAGCTCTGCTTCCCCTTAGGGAGAGAAAAGGACTGTGGATATCAGCTTACCTTCCTCCTTTATATTCATAGAGGAGCTCCTGCCTGGAGCAGCAGATTAGCCCCAGAAAATGCTTGAGAATTGATAAGAAAGGAAAGAATGCATTTTTGGGGCAGCAGCAAGAGAGTATTGAAAGTCTCCTAGGTGCAGACCTTTCCCTTCCCCAAGGCTTTTCCTTCCTAGGCAATCCCCTGAGCTGGATATCACATGGGAGGGAATGCTTTCTTATGGTCTCTGTACCAGCAGCCTGGAAAATGGGATATTCCCCTGTTGTTTTCATGGGCAGTTGGATCAGTTTCATTCAACTCACTTTCTGAGCCCTATAACTTTGAACAACTGATGCATGAAAAAATATACTACTTCCTGTTGGTGAGGAATATTAATATAGACTAGAAAGGGAAGAGGGAGTGAATCTGGTTATTTTCTACATAGAAAGATAAAGGTCAAAATGCATCAGAAATCAGCTGTAGGTCACAGGCATGAGGAAGCACACCTACCTGTGCAGGCGGAGGCTGTTGCACAAATCCCTGTGGTGAGGGAGGGGGCTGGAGGACCTGCTGGGAGATGGGAGGGCCAGAGCCTGAGAATCCTCCTGTAGGAAGCTGCTGGCCTGTAGAGGCGATTACATAGCTGGGCTGCTGGGCCGGCTGTGGCATAAGGGAGGATGGGTAGACAGGACCTGATGGGGGTTCAGGAGTCTCCCCCGAGGACTGCCGGCTCAGGGTCATCTGGCCAAACTGTGTTGCCACATCATCTCTCTGCAAGTCATGGAAATAAATGAGGGAATTCACAGGATCAGCTTGGTAATAAGAGAGGCACTCTGAGGCAGACACAGGACACATTCTTGGAGTTGTGGGAGAGACAGGAAGTACAATTTGGAAAAAATAAAATAAAATAATTCTTCAGCCAGAACATAACAAGAGAACACAACATGACAAATCAGGTTTTAATCATCCCAAGAGAGTCAGAGATGACAAAAATTTTGATCCAAATATTTCTCTTTCAATGGAAACAAATTATTTTTCCACTGAAGGCACAGGCTCCTCAGGGTGGTGTTGCACACAAGGAAGGCTTGATGTTCTGTCCTGAAGGGTCAGCTTGTCTTCCCAGCAGAAACCACAGAATTTGCCTCTCGAGAACACCCATAAGGCAGAACCAACTATACTCATCATCCCCAGTGCTGTTGCAAAGATGGAGCCAGGACCAGTATCACCAACAGGCTGGGTGGGATTATATTACTATATGAGGGAGTATTTATTCACTGGCCTGATCTAAAATTTAGGAGCAATGTTCATCCTTTAAGCTGTTGCTCAAAATGACCTGGTGACTTGAGGGAAAAATGAAAGAAAATTGGGAGATTGGAATTGCGGGGGCACCTACATCAGGAGCATAGGGTGATAATGGTTCCCATCCCAACACCATCCTTGAGATCTTTCCCGAACCCTCATGCAAAGTTCCTGTATCTCTCTGTTCCTGATTTCTAACTCTGAAGGCATTCAGTTCCTTCTTTGCTGGTATACTCTGAAAAGGGTAACAGACCACAGAAGCACTCAGCATGGGACAGACAGATGACAGAAAGGAAACCATTGTTTTGCAGAGATGGGCTGTAATGTTCAGAAATGAGACATTCGCACATACCCCCTCACAGTCAGCCCAGGGCACCCACCCCAGTGTCAGCCAGTGGCACACAAAAAAGTAGTAAAATCAGAGAATATGCTTTCCTAGGGGAAAAAGTCATATACACATAATACAGTACCATGGGAAAGTGCTGCGTTGGAGACACAGGTAGGAGGTGCTGGGGAGGAAAAGAGACTGCTGGATATTGCACTGACTGGGAGGAAGCCTGCAGCCCCTGGACAGACTGGAGGAAAGAAAAAATTGATCAGCTGACAGAAAAGCACTGGGGTTGAAATCTCACAAGATGCACACCACTGTCCTTCATAGGCTCTCTAGGTTCAGTGCACTCCAGAGAGGGGAACTAGCCACCAAAGGAAAGTCAAGGCTCTGAAAGACCAGAGCCAGACACATTTGAGAGAGGCTCATTTGCACTTAGTGATTATTTCTTTAAGAAGTTACTGATGTACGTTTGATATTGTTGGTTAGATCCTCTGGGTCTGAAAATACTGCCCCAAAACAAATAAGTAATATCAAGAATTTAAAATGAGTTTCACTCTAGCAGCCTACCAGAAACACTTCAGGTTTCTATGGACGCATCTGTGTCTTCCCAGCAAAGGAGGGCAGCTCCGCATCTCTCTAAGAGGAGTATGTAGGAACAGCCAGTCCTCCCTGGAATTGACTGATTTCTGTTCTTCCCATTGATGAAGAATTCAGTATTGACTCTTTGCAGACATGAGCATTTGATCTGTGACGGGAATGGGGGAGGAAGGTGACGCAAAGACCTAGAGTTCAGTCTCTGAGAGAGCCTCCTCCATACATTTAAAAAAAGGGCATTTAGACCTAAGAAAAAATCATTTATTCTCCCTACTTTCATGCCTTCAACTTGCAAGTTACTGCATGGGGCACTCACCTCTATCTAAACTTAAGGATTCAGATAAAATCCTGTCAATCTGCAAAGAACTCTATGCTGCCAGGTTTTATTTGTGAGGCTTGAGTGTAAAATATACGCTTCTCCCTGATTCTCTGCTGCTCTGAGGACTATGTAGCCTTCATCTCAGGGTACTTCCCTTCCCTGCCTTCCAACCAGCCCCCTACCTGAGTGACCAGAGGGCCTGCCATCTGTGGCTGCGGTGGCTGGACCTGCTGTTGGGGCTGCGGGGAGGGCTGCTGCTGTGGTGGCTGCTGTTGGGACTGCCCCACCATGGCGCTTCGCAGGGGCTGCTGACTGGTGGGTGGGTTGTATATTGCAGGAGTTCCATCGGGATTCACAAAGGGCTGGCCTGCAATGGAATCAGAACTTAGTCCAGGTAAGCTTCTCAATCTCTCCTTTGACATGAAGAACCACTCTGTTAGATACTCAAAAAGTAACCTAAAGTAAAGGGGCAGGGCAGTGGAAATCTAAGACCCCAAAACCTTCACCAATGTGAAGACCTTACTGTTTGTGACCCATCGCTTAAGCTAGGTGACAGTGGGAGCCCATAGCAATTTAAGAAGCAGCAAATAAATCGACCCCCTTCAGGGAGCTTTGCCAAAGCTAAATGTATCTGTGGACGGAGGTACCCAGTAGAGAGACCTGTGGAGAAGCAATCTTCACAAAGCTAGATGTTTTGCTGCACTGCACCTCACAGCCATTAGTGAGATAACATACACTGAAGGATAACGGCTGCTTTCCAGTTACACACCTCCAGCTACATTCAGTCACAAGTTATTTACCAATACATTTATTTTGCTGCTACTAAGCCTTGTCACCAATTCAGAATCATTATCAGTTCTTCCAATAAATATACAATGGAACATAACATATCCATTCACTCATTTCTCGAAATAGACATAAGCAAGGATACCCGGGGTTTTAGATTTTAAAAGTAGTACATCACAGAATCATCTTGTAATGGAAAAGCTAATATATATTCTTTTGCCTTATGAAATAATGGCATGGTTTACTATTATTAATACTGCTATTCGTCATAGTATTGCTTTGTCTTTGAGGAGTATTTTATAGTTTACAAAATAGCATCATTTGAGCCTCATCACAATTCCTGTGAGGAAGAAAGGTATCATTTCTCTGTTTTTCAGAAGAGAAAATGAAGCTCCATTCCTGGAAAAATTATGGGAATAAAAAGCTGAAAGGAGAAGAGCAAAGTGCAGTCAAGGAGCGGGTGTGGGGGCATAAAGGAGAGAACAAACCGATTTTCTATGTGGCAAGCACAGTAACAGGCACCTTACATGTATGATCTTAGCTCTCCTAACAACCTGCAGAGGTATATTCTCATTTCCACTCTAAAGAAATTAGGAGTCAGGGGGACCAAGCAACCTATTCAGAAATATAAAAAAACAGTAAGTGAGAGAACTAGAAAATGACCCTGGTCAGTAAGACTTCAAAGTCTATTCACTTTCCATTATGCCAAATAACTGAAGTGAATTATCCAATTTTACATAATGAGTACATGGAACAACTGGGTAACGATGAAAAAAAATGTGTCGTAACTGAAAATTATTAATCAATGAATGAGAAGTCAGGTGAGGTGAAGGACATGTTTCAAGGTGAAGTAACACCCAGTATTGGCAGATAAATAATGAGAAGCATCAGAACATGAGGGAATGGATAGGCAAACTGTTCATTGAACTACTTGTGAGTCTTTTCTTCCCTTTTCAGTAAATCCTGTAACCCTATTGGAAAAGGAGCAGTGGGAATATTTGTTCACAAGTTGAAGTCACAGAAATATTCTCTAGGAACCTGAGCAAAATACTTAGAGAGAATGGGGCTCCCAGGATGGGGTTGATATTTCAGTGGAAAGTCCTCCTTATCTTGGCATAAGGGAGATGGTGGAGGCAGCATGCTGAGCTCTGCCCTAGCACATGTTCTAAAGCATCTCAGTCCATACATTGTTCTGATACATAAGGCTTGCATGAGCATTCTTATCCAGGGTAAGAAGCGTGTGATGGCAGAGGAAAGAACAACAGCCTTATTCTTCAACAATATAAATAAAGAACAACCAAGGATCATCAGTCATATGAGAAAAATTTGCAACAAAAGGGAGCAAGGGACAGGCATGGTGGCTCATGCCTATAATCCTAGCACTTTGGGAGGTCAAGGTGGGTAGATTGCTTGAGCTCAGAAGTTCAAGACCAGCCTGGGCAACCGGGCAAAACTCTGTCTCTAAAAAAAATACAAAAAATTAGCTGGACATGGTGGTGCACACCTGTGGTTCCACAGGAGGCTGAGGTGGGAGGATCACTGGATCCCAGGAGAGAGGTTGTTGTGAGCTAAGATTGTGCCACTGCACTCCAGCCTGGGTGACAGAGTGAGACCCTGTCTTAAAAAGAAAAATAAAAAAGGAAGACAGACAGGTAAAGAATTTAAAAACTGACCCAGAGAAAACGAGACATTCTAGTGAAAAAAAGTACATACGATATTCATACAAGAACAGACTGTTATAACATGGGAACTAAGCTAATTAGCTAAGTGAATATTCTAAATAAAGGAAATCAGTACTTCTGGGAGAGCCTGAGGAAACTGATAGGAAGACTAGATATACTCTAGGTCTCATTCTGAGTGAAGTCACACTGATTTTCATATACGCAAAAATTTATTAAGGTCTGGACTTCAGATGTGTGCAGGTCATGCACTTCGCCTATATATTGTATAGCTCAATAAATTAGGAAAGTAAAATGGAGCAGGTTGGGGAGGAAAATGCTGAGATTGTAGTAAGGCCAAACAACATGCTCACTCGTAGAGAGCAAAAGCCTTAACTTCAGCTCACTTACGAATGGCAACCAGAGGTTAGTATTTCCCATTATTACCACAAATTTTGAGTGCAAATATATTTGTGTGTTAGTAACAAGAAACTTTGAATGTTGCATATTCAGAAACATATCTAAATTCTGATCTGTTTCATAACCAACAATAATGTGCTGTGATGGGGAAGCAAATGTGCCAGAATTATATTTGCAAAACAGTGACAAAATCAACTGTTTGGTCTTGCTCTCTCTTTTTTCTATGTTCTTCATTTTCCAGGCACTTGTTTTCCTATCACGTAGATGCATTTTATTGTTTTAAATGAATATTCTTTTTGAAAAATAACTTTCTTCTAGCTTCAAAACTGCAACCCATTTTTCCTCCCAAATCAGCAATTTGGAAAATGATTTTTAAAAGCTCAATATTAAAAAATGTGTAAGTCCATTTAGTGTTCTAATCTTTAATTTTCTTGTGTTTCATTTGTTCTATATTTTAAAAAGACAAGATAAAAATTGTAAGTACTTAACTTTTGTTAAAAAATCAGAGAGACAGGCATACGACTCCATCTGGAATTATTTCAAAATAAGTCTCATGCTGTGCACACACACAGCCACACACACATACGCACATACACATGTACATGCACAATGGAAAGGAAAAAGAAAGGATTTTTACTATATTTCTGTATGGCTTTTGATTTACCCCAATGAAAACTAAGGAAGTATGAAAAACTGATCATAACTAGAATTTTAAAATATAATCCCAAAATATTCATGTGTCTTTTGATAAATTCTAGGTCCTCCATTTGAAATATGATTAATATGCTGTGGGCTAGAAGAAGGAGATGTTTCTAAATAATTGCACAGAAAAAGCACTAAGGATTCGCTTAAGTAGAGAGAGATGGCAGGTTCTTCTGGAAAGAGAAGGGAGTACAAAAAATTGATTTTTATGCTCACCAAGGGGAGATGGAAAGAACTGAGAAACATAAAAGAAGATGGATGCTAGAGAACAGAACAAAAGCAATTTCCTAAGAGACCCGGGATAGGTGACGATTGGTTTTCAATTCAGGCAATGACAGCCTCTCTATATTCCATGATTTCTACCAATCCAGATGCAATTACACTGAATACAAGCAATTAGTTTGAATGACAGCTGCCGAAGACTAAAGAGGAAAAACGGACTGGCTGGCCCTCGGCCTAGTTAGCCTAGAGGAGGTTTTCACGTCAGAAACTGCACAAGCACGCTCAGCAGGCCTTGGCATGGGTGCTGGCATAGGTGAAGAGAGTGCAATGACAGAAATAAGCCGGGGCACTTTGAATGCAGAGCAGGCGCAGAGAAAAGGATTAAATGCAGAATGCTCATTTCTCTCCAATATATGACATTAGGTGAAAAACTGCTTTACTATCCACATCAACATGCATAATGGGTAGTAGATATTATTTCAATAATAATGTAATTATTGAGCACCTGCACAGTGCCTAAGACCTTGCCATCAATCTCAGGAAAGGAAAAAAAAAAAAGCAAATAAAAAATAAGCATGGACCCTCCTCACAAAGAAATGAACCAAAGGGCAATTCACACAAGAAGTGAAGTAATCATGCGCTCTTGGTTTTGAACACCAAAGCATTTCTGAATTTACCCTTCTGTCAAGAAAGGTAATTATTTAAAAAGAGAGAGAAGGGGTGAGAGAAAGAGATTTTCTTTTCCTAGTCTTTAGAAGATGATAGTTAAATTATAAGGGAGCTACTGATTATGGATAGACAAGGATTAACTTAGACCTTGCAAAGATACATTTATAGACAGAACACAAAATTCATGATTCATTTAATAAAAAAAAAGTGTAAGCAGTTTGGATTAATAGATGCTAGAAGTCCTGATAAAAATAAAAATATAGAATTATGGAAGTCCATCAGAAGCATTTGAAAGAGAACAGCTCTAAAAGGCTCCTCAAAGTGAAGTCACTGCAAATGGCATGACTTTATATAACACAGTCTTGAACTTGCACCAGATAATGGCCAAGAAAAATATCAAAATAACATATATGAACATTAACAAGTTTTTGAGGGATGCCAATGCCTGTTGACATTTCTGGATTGCACTGAGTTGAAGTAAAATAGCCCAACAAAGCTGAGCTTTCTGCTAAAAATTTCCAAAAGGAGGCTAGGTCCAAGACAACCAGAGGAAGATCAAACCCAAGATTCCAGGCTTGCCTTGGAAGAATGAAAATGTTATACAGGGACAACTTTGAAAAACAGCCTCCGTGACACCTCACTCATCCAGATGCCTGAAAAGCAAAGAAAGAACAGGCAAGAGGTCCTAAGTTAGAAATGGACCTGTTGAAAGCTGAGTCTGAGGCCAGACAAAATTAAAAGTTATGGTTATATTGGGGAAACTGCAAGGGTATATGTGAGTAGGTTGATTTCAGTGTGCCAAATATTTAGTACTTAGTAAGAGCCAAGTCAATTGTGCTGACAAAGGAAGTTTCATTTTTTTTTCATTTAGTAGGCACATGATTGGCAGATACCTTAGTATTTTTAAATCATTACTTGTCTTATTCTTGCTTAAAACAGATGTTTTATCAATTATAATTTTGCACATGAACGACATTCCAAATATATGACATTAGCTGAAAAACTGCTCCATTATCCATCCCACATATATAATGGGTAGTAGATATTCCTTCAATAATGATGTAATTATTGAGCACCAGTACAGTGCCTAAGACTTTTTTATCCATTCTGGAGAAGCAACAAATAAAATAAAATAACTAAGTATGGCTCCTCTGCACAACAGCTTCTAAGTATGGTTGTAAAAAGGAAATGAGCCCAAGGGCAGTTCAAATGAGAAGCAAAATAGTCATACAATCTTGGTTCCTAACACCCAAGTATTTCTGTTGTGTACTTGGCAGAAAGATACTTTAAAAAGGGTGAGAGGTGTAGTTTCTAGATTCACAGCAATGACAGAAAAAGATGAGTTCCAGCCCAGAGGAGGCAAACCTTTAGCTTCAACAGTAAAAGTCATATAAGAAATTTGATAGGTAGATACACGTACATCACACACATACATATACTAAAGATAGACCTATATATATATAACATGCATTATATATAATGCATATATGTACATACACATACATGTGCATATTTTTCAATTTACAAAATAAATATATTCTAGAAAAGAAGAAACATAATTCACCCTGCATCTCATTGTATAGTATACAATATATGCATACATTTCCTTTTGGTTTAGGATATTTTAAATTTAGCATTTGTCAGATCAGAAAAATATGTATGGAGAAGCTGTTCAACAGTGTTATTAAATCCTTTTCCTTAGCTGGGATCCTTTTACAAAAGAGATATTTTGATAACAGCTCTAAATGACTCGGTCCAATGAAAAAGAATTGGGACTTGGCATCAAACAACATTCTGTTTCTTTTTTCTACAAACAAGATTATAGATGATAATATACACATACACATGCACAACTATGCTGTCATTACAAATAATATTCCTGCATTGTACCCTAAAAATACTCTGTTGAGCTTTTTCAAAACACTCTGTAATTTTGCTTAAAACAAACCACTCAAAACAAGTGGTTAAAATGTTCTCTTTTCTGCAAGCCCTCTATCTCAATTAAAAGTGAAAGAATTTAAGCCAACAAAGTCAGACAGTACTTTGATTAGTGCCCAAAGTAAAGAATATGATCCTAGTGTTCTTTTGATTTTCTTTATAGTGCTTACAATAATCCAGATAAAATAAAAGCAATCTAAAAATCCTCCTTAGAAATATCTAATCTGAAGCTTTCAAACGGTTTTCAATAAAATGATTATGCCTTTCTTCCCTCAAGCTTATGGCATTTTCAATATGTCTCAATCAAACACCATGACTTGGGAATGTGCCATATGTTTTATGAAAATGTGGCAATTATTCAAGTAACTATTTTACTACAGTTCTCATATTTCTCTGAATTTCCTAATTACTAGTAGCATTACATTTGTGAGAAGATTGAGTCAGATAATTTTTATGAGATACTTATCCAGTTTTGCATTTTTGAGTTTAGCTAATTGAAGAAATAGTCTGGAAGGATCGAAACCAAACTTCAGATCTCTTTCAAGACAACTCCATTTATTGCCAGTCTCTAATAAAGACATCTTAAGAAGTGACTAGTCAATGTCAAGCTTTCTAAGCCGGGGATTCTCAACCATGGTACCACCAACATTTTGTTCCGGATAATCTTCTGCTGTGGAAGTCTGTCCTAGGCCTTGGGGGATGTTTAGCAGCATTTCTGTACTCTACCTACTGGGTGTCAATAGCAGCCCTCTTCTCCCCAGGTCATAATAATCAAAATGTCTCCAGATATTGCGGAATGGCCTTGGGGCCAGAGACAAAAATGCCCCGGGTTGAGAAGTTTCCCCTGCAAATTGGCAGATGTTCCTGAGTTCATTGGCTGATGTTAGAATCTCAGTGCCCTCAGTCTTTTGAAATCAATGTGGAAGTCAACTGACCCACTAGAAAAATGCAAAATTAAAGAACCAATGGCCATTCATCACAGAAGAAACCGTAATCATAAAATGAACAATTTTCTAAACCCCACCAAAATCAGTCTAAGCCTGACATTTCTAAAATACATAATAATTTTCTCTCTGTATTCTCTTCGCCACTGCTGTTTCTTATTCCTTTCATAGGAGCTGGCTGAAATTCTAAGGTTAAAAAGCAACTTCTAGAGTTAATGGTCACTATATGTCTCAACTGATACTTCAATTCCAGAAAGATCCTTGGATGCAAAAACACTTTTGACATAATACAAGCTAACTGGGGATTTAGATTGACAAACACAAAGTTTTAATTAGTATATCCCAACTCATCACACCATTTTCTCTCGTCTTAGCTCTTAAGCATGCATGAGAGACACCATAGTAAAAGAAAAAAGACAGAAAAGTGGATGCTTCTGGAAATATCTATATCTATACATCAATATAGATATTGATATGAAGATATAAATATAGAGTTATAGATACTGCTGTAAATCTGCTCTTTCTAAACAAAAATGCTTCATAACAGTTCATGCAACTAGCTTTCCTGTTCAGGAATTTTCAGAATACTTGCTAGCAAATTCATAAGATCAAACATAAGAACAAACATCTGAAAGCCTTGTGTCCCTGATAAAGCAGGTAGTAACTCACCTGTGTGTGGATTAAGAAGGATGCTTCCAGGCGGGATGCCTGTTGCAGCTTCAAGTGGAAGGAGGATGTAGCTGGTGCTGCTGGGAGCAACCTGGCCCCCTATTCCATTCTCTGGATAAGGCACACAGCCTGGAGAGCCAGCTGCCACACCTGAGACTAGGGGTGTGCTCTGGAGAGGTGGATGGGTGCGGGACAGCGATCCTGAGGAGCCTGCACTGCTGGAAGACTCGGAACCTGGCATAGGGATACAATCAACAAATCATTGAACACACAGAGATGAGAGAAAGCACCAATCTGAGTCTAAATGCTCACTTTTCTGCGACACATCATTAAAGAATTTGAGACGCATGCTGTAGGATGAGATTAACTAATGCCCCTCTCATATTTTGGCCTCATATTTTATTGAAATATTTGCTACTTATTTTTCAAGTGTGTCAATTTTCTGGGAAAAGAGGAATTAAGAATGAGAACTTTCTCTCAGCCTTTTCACAAACTACTAGGGTGATAAACTGGTAAAGGGTACCCTAAAGCTCTGAACTCAGTACCTGAAAAATCCCTCCTATATCCCCAAGTAGTTAGTACCATGGAAATGTCTTACTAAGCTGAAAAATATGAATAAAATGACAGGGATTGTGGTTAAAGAGACTGCAGCTTAAGGAAGAGCCCTATGATGTGAAGTTCATGTGCATGGTTCTGAAGTACTGGTTCTCCGACACCTATACAGCTGAAGTCTGAAGGGGCCTAGTCATAAATAATCTTTTACCTTCATGTGTGAGTAGAAGACCTGGGATCATAGTGTATATGAGCAAACACATTTCAAAATCAAATAGGATCCCTTTTAAGGAGTGGCATGGTTTAGCAGAATGTGATTGAGTGTCAGGGAGACAAAGATGAATCAGGACACTGACTTTTTCTAACCATCTGACCAGAGGCAACTTTAAACCATTGAATGTTATTATTTTTGTGTGTAAAGTTGAAACTTTAGATATTAAGGATTTAAAAAAAAAAAAAAAAGGATGGGCTGGGCACAGTGGTTCACGCCTGTAATCCCAGCACTTTGGGAGGCCAAGGCAGGTGGATCACAAGGTCAGGAGATTGAGACCAGCCTGGCCAATATGGTGAAACCCCATCTCTACTAAAAATACAGAAAATTAGCTGGGCGTGGTGGCACGTGCCTGTAGTCCCATCTACTCAGGAGGCTGACGCAGGAGAATCGCTTGAACCTGGGAGGTGGAGGTTGCAGTGAGCCGAGATTGCACCACTGCACTCCAGCCTGGGCGACAGAGTCAGACTCCGTCAAAAAAAAAAAAAAAAAAAAAAAGGCAAGGAATCAAATAGATGGTGGGCATTATTATTATTATTATTATTATTATTATTATTATTAATGTAATATATTTAAGTGTTTATGGTACTGCATTGAATTTTACATATTTGAAGAAGTCTTATCAATATAGCTAAGAGGTGGACCAAAGAGGGCTTGGCCTTATAATGACTGAGTATCCTTTAAATGACACAGAATAGTAAAATAATCGTGATGTTTATGGATTCTGAATTTTTCAAACACACAGGTAACAGGAACAGTGTGCAGAAGCCCCTAAGGTGAATCTAACAATCTCTTCTGTCCCACCATTTATGGATAAAAATAGAAACATATCCCAATATATCCATTGGGCACTCACTGGCATTTCACTACAGCAAGAGACAAGCAACCCCAGTACCCTTAACCACAGCTCTTCTGGGTACTAGGTATTAACCAGAGAAGCCAAGAGAAAACACACTAAGTAAAATTTATATTACTGCAAATTCAAACTAATAGATTACTTGTGTAATATCACAGGTTGCAAGAATGTAGTACACGAGGTTGATTAAATCATCAGCCTACACTATTGATTATGTTATTAAAAATGCATTCTTATGTATTATTAAAGTCAAAATATATAATCCATCACTAACACTCTTTTCAAGATTCTACAATATGCCCTTAAATTAAACTGGAGTTCTTTTAAAATAAGTGATAGGAACATAACATGTAAGTGCAGAGAAGAGGGGCAATTGGAGAGCATGATAATCTTTAGAAGAATGATAATATTTATTGACAACTTAGTATGCGTAAGCACTTGAATAAACACTTAAATGATGACTAATACTGCCTCTACAGATAGGAAAACTGAAGTAAAAGGAAGTTAGGTAATTCAGGTCAGCTAGATATAGCTAGATAATGGCAGAGCTGGAATTTGGTCTGTGCAGACTGATCTATAGCTCAAGCTTTAATCACGACCCCACATTGCCACTTGAAATTGTACGTATGCATATACCATGGCCTGTCACAAGTGTTCTCAGTTGGGCATCTTCTCTTGCTTTCCCCATGACTTGATTATTAATAGTGATAGTTTTATGTCAATTCAGGATGCTCCATCTAAGTGGTTTAGAATGCTCATGGGGCTACGAATAAGGCATGGGGAGAAAAAATAAAAAATGTAAAAAGAATATTGAAAATGCTAATAATAGTTTTGAGACTATATCACTGAAATTATGACTCTGTGGTCATATTCCCAATGCAGACTGTAGTGTGTGTTTATGGACCTGCTGTGTATAATTTGATGCTACGTTACACATTTGACACTAGAGTCAACAGCAACAATGTAAACAATTCAACAACAAAACCTCCTGTACCAAGGTATTTAATGTTATGCAAACATGATTCAGCTCATCTCCAGACTGAGGGGCTAGGCACTGAAAAAGAGTTGGGGCCAAGGGAGCACGTCCTAACTCAGATTTGAGCTATAAGCCAGTGATGGCATGAGTGTGTGTGTTAGGAGGGATGGGTTGATGCAGACAGACTGAAGTGTCACAATCCAATCCAAAGAGTAATTTAATTTTGGTTTTAGAAGGATGGCCATTAATCACTGATTTACAACATTATACCCTTCCCTTACCTGAGGGAAAAAAAAAGCAGCATCAATAGGAGAAATGAGAAGACAATGTAAATGATTTGATTCCACAGGTTAAAGGAAGGAAGGAAACCTAAATTTGGCTTAAATTCTCTGCACATGCAAAGATGAAAATAAAGTCAAACCTCTTCAAAAGGATGGCTCAGCAATCAACATATGGCCAGGATTTACTAACTGGCCCTTCTGACTGGCTTTGACCAGCATGTAAACATCAATCACCAAGGCCAGGGAGAGCCATATTCCACACACAGCCAGTGTTGCTAAAGTTTGTGATAAAACACAAATGCTACTAAAAGGCAAGGGACTGGAAGTGTTCAAAGATTTTTTAAAAAATGAAATTGATATTTGAGAACTTTTGAGATTTAGAATGG
Source organism: Homo sapiens (assembly GCF_000001405.40). Taxonomy (NCBI): domain Eukaryota; kingdom Metazoa; phylum Chordata; class Mammalia; order Primates; family Hominidae; genus Homo; species Homo sapiens. Next base: position 35,726,214 of record NC_000003.12, on the reverse strand, counting down.
CTGAGAGTTAAAAGTATTTCTGATTCCCTTTCTTCAGAGGTTTAATGATAACCATGACAAATATTTATACAGTATGCATATGTGACAATCACTGTGCTAGTTTCTCTATAAGAATTGTCTAATCTAACTTTTACAGCAGCCTCATTTTGAAGATGAGAACTGATCTTCAGATATGTTAAATTTCCCAAAGCTCAGTTTGTGGCAGAATCCAAGCTCAAACCCAGGCAACTTGACTCCACAGATGGCTCTCTAAGCCTGTAGGTCATGTTCATCTTCTTATCATTTAAGCAAGGCACAGACGGGGGCCAGGGCCCTGACCAAGCCTGTGCCAAGTTCTAGGAGATACTAGATTAAAATTCCATGCTACTCACAGTGGAAAGCTCAGAAACTGAAGCTGAACCCTAGGGGGTAGCCACAGGGAGGAGAAAAAAGAAGACATCCAAGTGGCTAGGTGAGGGACTCAGGTGAACCCTCAAGAGAAAAGCAGAAAAAAGAAAATGGGAAACATGACAAAAGATAGAAAAAGAGATCACAAGTCAAAACAAAATGAAAAGCCAGGAAAGGACAGGGCAGAAGGGGAAGGACATAGGCAGATTCCCTTGGAGCAGAGGGAACATTCCCAGGGAGGAAGGATACTTCCCAAGGAGGAAGGATACTGGGTTTTAATTCTGGTTCTGCCACTTACTAGCTGTGTTTTCTTCAGGAAGTGACTACTTTAGACCTCAACATACCCTTTTGTAAAATATAAGGTACCAGACTAAATGGTGAGCAATGGTAAGGAAGATGACCTTAATGTTCCCCTCAGCTTGACCAAACTTTTCACTGGTTTCTTCCAGACTAGAGGCTCCTCACCTCCCTATACTTAGAACATTTATGCTCCTTTGAGATGTAAATCTCCTAGCCTCTTGCCACTTTTACAATCCAGGAAGCTCTTTCTTAGGTACCTGGGAGCCATCCCTTTGAAATCTAATCATCATGAAAAATAGAGCCCCTATCTCTCAATTTCTGTGGGAGGATAGGAGCCTAACTTCCACAGCACCAATTAGCAAGCACATGGAGCCTAATCACATCACCCAATTTCCTCTATAATGTCCTCCAAAATTTTGCCACTAGCTCACCCCAGTGCTTGAAGAGTCTCCTGCTTTTCGATTCAGTGGAGCTCAGTTCTCTCTCTAAAAAGAGAGATCATAGTCTTGATCCCTGTTGCAATAATAATGAATACATTCTCTTTTGCCTGTACCATCTGGTGCAATTTTTCTTTTACAAGGACCACAAATCATAAAGGTTTTATTTCTGAATTATATAATTCAAGAAAATATTTCCAGATTCAGGGGGTCAGTGTTCAGTAGAATAACCTAAAGCTTCCAAAATTACAAGAAGGAAGAGAATATCCACGATGTGTTAGTGCAGTAATAAAAATAAAGACAAAGAAGAGGAAGTGGTAGAAACATGGGGTGTCTTGCATTGGATCAAAAAACACTCCAGGATGTAGGCAAGGAATGTGACAATAGCAGGAATAGCCTTGCATCCAGAAAACATCAAGCCAGACCACCTAAAATTATTATAACAAAACAAAAGTACATTTTATTTCTCCAGAGCAGTTGTTTTTGAAGTGTGGTTCCCAGGCAAGGAGCATTGGCATCAACTGGGAACTTGTCAGAAATGCAAATTCTCAGGCCCCATCCCAGACCTATGGGCTCAGAAACTCTGGGGGTGGGTGTTGCAATCTGGGATTTAACCAGTCCTTTGGGTGATTCTGATGGAGCTAAAGTTCAGAAACCCTGCTTTGAAGATCAAGATGGGGGAACAATAGTGACAGTATAGCTAGGCCAATGTGGTAAGAAACAGATGTCATACTCTTATTTCTCAACCACATTGCTATTAACAAGAAACAGCTGAGGTTGCCGCACAGGTGTCATTCAAGTGCTTTCGGTAAGGAGGATACAATCGCATCATCTGCCTCCAGAAATGTGTGTTGGGCATCTGGTAGGCAGCCCAGGCCTCAAGAGAATGTGCTTGTACATTCATACTTCAGTAATATGCTTCCTTCCAAAACGTAGGAAAATGTGTTTCCAATGTGGAAAAAGTCTCATTATTATCTATTTAAAGCTAGAATCTATGTAATTAGAGGAGGAGAAGAGTAACTTAAATGTCACAACTCCAGACTTGGTTTCTGAAAGGTCATAAAAAAGTTTGCAATTCCACTGTGAACAATTAGGTAAAAAACTGAAAACTTGTGCTGTTCTGAAGCTCCATGACAGCCAGACTGACAGCTTTGCTTCATAAATCCATCTTGGGAAACTGTAAGTTTGTTTTGACATCCTACCTTGATCTTCTTTAAGTTTTTATTCCCTTCCCATGCCTGCACTTTGACAAGCTTTCAAATGGAGACACTTAGATTAAAAGAAAAAAAATTCTGAAGCACTTACAATCTCTAATCATTCTTCAAAGAACATGGCATTTTAACATTTTTGAAGTGTTTTAAATGTTTCCAAAGAGCTTTGCTTTGGAAGTGATTGGGGGTTGGTGCATGAAGAATGACTATTAATTTAAAAATCTTAAGAGCTCTTTTGGTGTGCTGGAATTTTTAAGTGCACCATTTAAAGTACTTGGTTTTCACATTTTAAGGAGATTTAAAACTATTAAACCTATCTTAGTTTACAAGAGCTCAAGTGTACTACAGTGGATTTTCTTTACTTCAGTTGCTACAATAGTGGAATATGAGAGCAATTAATTAGAGTAAGAAATCAAGAACTCACCAATTAGTGAATAAAAATTGCAGAAAGGCAGTGTGAACCCATCTGAATCTTTCCAAGAATCAGGGTGTGTGTATTATGTAGTGACTGTAACTAAATGCTATTAATTTTCTCCTAATATAGGAAAACATGAGATAATTTTTAGAAGGAATTTGTCAACAACCTAATTATGTTAAACCATTAGCAAATGAACCCAGATTTTGCATGGAGGTGGGGAACCCCTTGGCCCTAACATCAGTGTAAAGGGTGATTGGGAAAATATCCACAGTCCAGGGCAGCCCATGTCTAAACTCTAACTGGGGTTCTCCATTCTTCATCCCACTCCTGCCTTGGCCTCCCACTCACCTGTCACTTCAGGAGCCTGAATGCTCCACCCATACAATCTGACACCCAGAGCATACAACAGAATCACAACTCCCAACCACCTCCCCACCCAAACCAAGAGAGTGTCAGGGAATTTGATTTTCTAAGGCAGAACCAAAACAAAGCAAAAACAATTACATACTAAAATCACAAACTTCAGTTCATGGAGTGCTACTGAATGGTCATTTGTCACCTTCCTGAGATTTTAGGAGGTATTTTAATTGTGAACATTTGAAAATAATCAAAAACAATAGTGAATAATCTTTGGGAGACAGAAGAGCTAGAAATGGCCGACCATGAGGGCATTTTGCAGACTCATGTGAGCATCGTGGTGTATGCTTCCATCAGTTTAAAGTTGTTTCAAGTTAATGGCTCTCCTAGATCTCTCATTATCACTCACCTTCCAAAGACTGTTCATGCAAACTTGAACTACCTACCTCAGAATATCGTTATTTGCTTCACTTGGAAAAAAACATACAAGCACCTGGTAACTTGGAAACTCTAAACCTCTCTGACACTCACCTGTCTTATCTGCAAAGCAGGGGTGCAAACATTAAATGGCAGTAATAAAAATGAATAATAACTAGAGTTTATTGGGGGTTTATAACTTGACAGACATTATTCAAGTTGCTTTGTGTATACTGACTCTTTCAGTCTTCATAATATTTCTACAATATAGGTACTATTATTATTTCTATTTATCAGATGAAGAAAACAGAGGCACAGAATGGTTAAAAACCAGGTCCAGGATCGTACTAACAGCATTCCAATGCAAGAACGAAAGCTATTAATATTATAATTATCCTACGGCGTGTTTTTAAGGAATAATTCATATTACTAAATTTAAAAGGAACAGCAAACTTTTGCTAGGTAGTTACTGTAATGCAGGTGCCATGGTAATCATTTTTATATAAATAATGCAATTTAAACTTCAGTTTACTGAGTAAACTTAAATAAGTAAACTTAAGTGCTTAAATTAAATACATAAACACTAAGTCTACTGAGATGGGTTTGAATAACATTATATAACCTACATTTTATAGATAAGAAAACTGAAACTTGGAGAGGTTAGTAACTTGACCTAGGCACATAACTGGAAAGAGTCAGTAACCTATTTAAATTGTACCTTCTGATTTCCAGCTATCCCTGTGATTAATATCATCATTATCAGTCAACTGAAAGTCAGAGGGAATGGTGACCATATGGCTTGGGTAGAATCCAAAAAATACCACAGGACATAAACACATTCAGTACTAACTACCTGCTTTGGACAGCTTCCCGGTACTCCTAGTACTGGAAGTGCTGTCACCCCTGGTCAGCACCGTGATGCCCCCAAAACTCGCCGTCTTGGTCATGGCGGGCTTTAGATTGCGGTTGGAACTGTCGGAGTCTGTGCTGCTCCAGGCCCTTTGGTGGTCAGACCACTTGAGTTCATTTTCTGAGCTGCTCTGTCGACTCCCAGATGTTCTCCCTGAGCCATCTCTGTTGCCCCTGGAGTACGACCACCAGAAAGATGCACAGGGACAGGATTACCTTACATGCATGGTGTTGGTAGGCACAGAGCAAGGCTTTTCTTGGAAGGTGATCCACACAAGACCCTTCCTGCCAACCCTTTTCATTAAACCAGTTGCCTCCCAGTGTTACAAATACTTTGATGATGTATAGACAGATGACACATCACATATAACACATAGGTTACAAACAGAAAAACCAAACCTAGAAATGTTACATGATCCCTCTGTCGGTGAAGGAGAAACAACTAGAAAGACATGTCATAAAATGTAATTGTTAATTTCTCTTGCAAATAGAATAGGGGGATAACTTCTCCTGACTCAAATCAATAATTAATTAATGTTCAGAAGTAATTGTGATCTTAAATGATTCTAAAAGTAACTCCCACCAAAGAAGACTTTTTCTCTCTCTTTAGCACAAAATAATTGTCAATGGAAAAATGCACATAGATCCAGAGAAGCTGTTAATTCATGTTCCAGCTTTATGAGATACACATCTGAAATCACCAAGGCTTTGACAGATAGGATAGAAATCACAGAAATTACTCTATTAACCTATGGTAAGAATTTTGCCCACTGAGTTTAACCTTCATGGTCAGAGGAAAGAACCCTTTAATTATTTTCACGTAGAAAAACTTTTGAAAATAACAACAGTGTAAACACTATACACTGACACAAAACTTTCCAAGGGGAACAATGGAAATAACAAAAAAAGCTCCTCAGGTGAAAGAACACATTTGTTCAAACTTCAAATAGAAAAAAGAGTAAATGTATTGGAAGAGATCCAATAGCCAGAAGTGAAGTTTGAAGACTGTAGAGTATCTCTAAGAAATATGCAAAATTGCATGTGTTTTATAGAGAAATTTGACGAAATTTGCATTTTCATTGGTTTCCAATCTGTCTAAAGCATAACTTTGTTAATAAATTCAAAGCTTTTTCTGAAGATAAAAATAATGCATCCGTAAAATACCTTAAGGTTTAATGGATTATAAATAAGTAAAGGGAATATAAATCTTGGTCAGTAAATATAACACCTAACTCATATTAACAATGAGACATATTTAAGCCTTGATTCAAATCTCACAGATGTGATTGGTAGCTTCATTGAAAAATATTTTAAAGACAATAATGTACTGTTGAGATGTTTGAAGTGCACTATGTGATTGAAATACTCACCGACAAAATTGTACAGACAGTACAAAGAAAATTTTAAGTGTTGCTTTAACTTTACTCACTAAACTTTTTCTTTTATTTCAGCCAAACATAAGAAGATAAATGGATCCAAGAAATAAAAATGAAATAACTGATTTGTGACAGGAACTTTGTAAAGCAAAGGGAGGAAGGGGTACAGAATATTCACAAAACAAAAAGCGCTTTCGAGTGAAAGATTAGATGAAAATACTCAGTGCCCTCCATCCTCTATTAATATTTTACATTCTCTCTGTTCTCAGTACCACACGGATGGCTGGTTTTAGAAATAAGAACCACTTGATGAAAACCAAGTTGTAGGTATGAATGCCAGACCTTCACCAATGACCAGGTGGCTTTACCTCTTAAACTCCTTTGACATTCAAGAAAGCCTTGGGAGATAGAGCGGAGAAATAAATAGCCTTTTCAAGGGCTTGCTATTCCATTTCTGATTGTCTTCTCTTTAAATCTCCAAATTCAACTTCATTCTTCTCCCATATAATCATGAGTATGTTAAACTATGTTTTACAAAGTCTAGCAAAATCATTGTTTAGCAACTGTGAATGCACCAGAAATATGACAATAATCTCATTTGCAGCTAATTTGAAATATTTATTATAGAAAAACATTGGCTTGATGATTTGGGAGTGGTGCTTAGCCTCAGAGTACAGGATGCATGAGATGGATGCTCTCCATATGGGGGTGATCCCTTGTTCCCATTACTAATTCTGCTTCAATAATCTCTTTAGCCATGAACTCTGCACCTCCATGGCAGGAATCCAGACTTTCTGTAAAAGCCAGTGTGACTGTGCCTTTTAGGTAAAGAAGGTGGCCACCACTATTTCTGGGTGCAATTTAGTGTGTTGTAGTCTACACCCTTCTCCCTGGTAGAGCTAGTTTTAGAGCTGTAAGAAGTTCCTTTAGACTTATGTCACATCACCTGCTCAATAAGGCAACCTAAGATTTCTTTAACTTCTCTACCTCTACCTCACTAGCTCAGATCACTGTCCTAAGCCATAATCTGTACATTTAAAAAAGAAAATTTAAGTTGCCGCTTTAGGGAGTTAGCATTAATGAGATTCAAAAATAATGTGTAACTCTAATTTATGATTCCTAGGTATTTATACATTAAAATATATTTTGTACTCCTCTATTTTATATTGCACTATCATCTTAACAGTGTTGAAGTGCGGTCCAGTATTGAATTCCAAATCTGTTTGGGTGTGGGATCATAGGCATTGTAGAAAACCACATGCACAGGTGTCTTCCCTTCTCTCCTAAGCCCAGTCTTGTTCCTCCCCTACTGGAATCCAGGAAGATGATAGCAATGGGATATCTGGTCATTGGAGCTTGCCCTCTTGTAAGTAACTAGAATTTCATTCCAAGGTAGTTATAAAGCATATATTTTAAGCTCTGTTTCTGTGCTGATTAACATAATTGAAAATATTTATTTTCCTTTATGTCTATATGCATTTTTTTTTTTTTTTGCACAGGTTACTCTCCTACTGGAATCACCTACTGGAATCCAGGAAGATGATAGTAATGAGATATCTGTCATTGGAGCTGGGCCCTCTTGTAAGTAACTAGAATTTCATTCCAAGGTAGTTACAAAGGCATATATTTTAAGCTCTGCTTCTGTGCTGATTAACATAACTGAAAATATTTATTTTCCTTTATGTCTAAATGCATCTTTTTTGCACGGGCTAGGGATGATCTACATCTTGAATTGCTTTTACAATTGTGTGAATGGCTTTGTGCTAAGTTACCCTTCTGAGTTTCTGTGCTTGGTTATTTGGGTGGGTGATGAAATCCATATTTGAGATGGCTAACCTGAGTATATGGTAGCTCTGGCTTGGGGACAGATTTGGGATTATGTAAAACTAACTGGCCTTTAGGGGACAAGAACCCATGTTTTATCTATATCACCCTAAACAAACTAGGTCACAGTGTGTGAGCGCAGGACTAATGGTAAATTTTAGCTTTTCTCTGAGTTTTCAAAAGAAGTGCAAAGTTATTTTCTTAAATCTTCAAGTGTGGAAAAGAAAATTAATTGTCTAATGATACATAAGGAAGACTTCATAATAAACTTAATAGTTCAATCTAGAAAAGTGAAAGAAGTCCAAAAAGAAGCTTCTGTTTTTTGTTTCAATCAAAGTGTAAGATAACAAATTAATTTTACTCATAATGAGTTCTAAAGTCCAGAATTATTGCAGAAAATGTACTTTCTCAACATTCAATTCATCTGATTTTCTTAGTATTTTCTTTCTTTTAAGTGGATAAGAGTTTTGTTGTTGTTCTTGTAGTAATTCCTGCAACGGAGGTAAATCCTAACACTCATAAACACATTAACACATTAAATATATGTATTGGATACTGAGTATACTTATAGTACTGTGTACACTTTTCTCTACAATGGATGTCAGATATACATTGAATAGAGCAGTGAGAAAATGGGTATGGTCGCTCTGCTTTCATAGAGCTTCTAGTCTAGTATAGAACTTTAAAAAAATTATCATCCTATCCCCTTATCCTACACAGATTTTAATTTAAGTATTTCATTTTAATTGAAAGGAACCTCATATCTTTCTTCAGAAATAAAATTCACCCTTGAAAACACACTGTTTGAAATAATATAACAGATAAAATTAAAAATTAGTTGCCCAAGTAGGGCTATCATTGATTTATTTTCCAGTGTTGAGAATGTATGTACAATTGCAATCTGTCAGTGAAAATTTAACTCAGTGTAATTTACTAAAGTTAATTTGGGAAAATCAAAACAGTGTGCTACCAAAGTTAGCCCCCAAAAAGCAGAAAACCAGAAGAACCCTAACGAATTGTAGACGAAGTGATAGATTTCCAGTCTCATATCTCATACTACCCAATATGACTTCCACGCTAGCTATTTAACAAGCTTTACAAAGAGATAACCAGACTTTTTTAAATGAACAGATATATTTTACACGAGTACACTAATATTTAACATTGATTCTACCACATAATTTGAAAAAAACACAGTTTAAGAAAGTAAACCATACCAACCGAAAGAGCTGTCTTTTCTTATAGGTCTCATTGCATATGTTACTGTCTTCCAAGAGCCTACTGGAAATGAAAAACATGATTTTTATGATATAAAACCTAAGGGTACTAAATGCCTTGTGTTTACATGGATGTGTACTCTACTACAGCACAAATCAATCCCATACAAAGTTTTATTTATATGATGTTGAATTTTGCCATAATAAATTAATGCCCATAGGATAGGATTAAGATCTCTACCCTAGGATTAAGACACCGATGCTAGGTAAGGAGAAAAGAAGGAAAGAGGAAGCAGAGGGAATAGAAGAGGAGAAAAGAGATTGATATAGGTATAATAGAGATTTAATTAAATACATTAGTAGTGATTTTTTAGAGTAATATATTAAAACTATTCTTCATATTTTGGCATAATGAAATATTGGCATTCCAGAGGCACATATCCAAGAAATGTATTTATTTTTGGTGGTAAGTCACTTAGATTTTTGGTTTCCAGGACCATCAAGACCTGTTAACCTAAAGAGAAGGCAATACATATATATGTGACCAATTATTGTAATGTGGGATATAATCCAACATAATATAAGGGACACTCAAGTGTAAATGGATAAGATTAGGGAGGAAGATAGGGAAAATCATTGGCTAGAAGACGAGAGAATAAGGTTTCCCATGAATCTGAATTGTGAATGCTCACTTAATCTTTCTGGCAAAGATAGAGTATTTTTGGAATCCTTTAGAAATCACCTGCAAGATGTCAATGCTTATGGATTACTGATTTTACTGTAAATAGGGAATATTTGTCTAAATATATATGGACTTTGAAGTTTTCTGTGAATCCCTTTTATGTGTTTCTCAATTTTATCTCTTCTTCTGAAGAGGTTATTCTATTAAGGGGTTTAGTCACGTTACTTGAAGATTTCCAACTGCAAATATGAATGATGGAATTTTTTAAGCCAATCATCTTTAATGTCCAGTTTAAATTTCTCTGAGTACTGGCATTTAATCAAACAGTCTTCATTTTAATCAATGGTATAGGAATACACATTAAGCAAAACCCTGAAATAAAATTAACCACCACTTTATTTATAGATACCACATTTTCAAATCAAGTTGCTCATTTTGATGCCTCTTAAATGTGATTAGTGCAGTTAATTTGGATTCCTTAATTTGCCCTGAGTATCCGCAATTAAATCAATGGGGCATTTTAATATATATGTCAATTTAGAATGATTTTTGAAGGGTATATATTAAGTTTGAAAAATTTTTGCTCTTATCACCAAGATTTTCTTTAAATTTTATAACCCATTTATTTTACAACAACTACCTCCCCCTACTAACTCCTATGCCAGGTACACTGCTAAATCTAGGCCAGTTTAGATAAGATTTTCAAGGTCAAGTCTTTTATGAAGAAAAATAGATTGTTTAGAATAAAAAAACTGAAAATATTATTCCAATTGTTACTTGTATAGCTATATATTGTTATGGGGCACAGGAAGTGGCCAATAATACCAAATATATGCATGCCTCTAGCAGACTACTAAATAAGCCAATGAAACTGCAAGTTCCTGTGATGTCTCCATATTTATTATTCTTAATGCCTGGTGAAGGTAATAGGAAGTATACCTTTGCAAGGACCAGAAATTGAGACTTTAAATAAGAAAAAGTTTTACAATTCTGTTTGGAATTAACTGAAAGAAAATTTTTTTTCCAAATTAGATCATTTGTAGATGTGTTAAATAACATATATGTGTGTACGCATAGATATATGTATCTGCTAATACATATATTCAAGCACACACATATATGGGATATATATTTATGAATACACAAGACACACATGACAGACGTTGTTCCTCTAAAGACATGGAAAAGTAAATTTTATTTTACCTGTTTTCCACAAAAAGGCTTTCCTGGGAGCAAACTGACTGAAAAATAAAAAAAAGGCATTGGATCAGAAGTTCTGGATATGCTGAGGGATCCCAAATACTTGCCTGATTTTAAAACTAACTTTCCCCTCATAGGGGAAAAGAATTAAGAAAAATAGGTACAAAAGATAGAAATAAAAAAGGAAAAAGGTTGGTTAGGATTAGAAAAGTAAACAATTCTCATGCAGCATAGGGTATTTTTCCTTCAGGACGTCTCCAGGTTTTAGATTTAGTCTGTTCGGCATGGAGGTCAGAAGAAGAGAAATGTGAATGAAACAGCTGGAGAAACGTGTGGCCGTCGGATTCCGAGCTAGTGGTTTCTTCTGGAGCTGCAGAGCTGCAGCCACCAAACAACAGAAGCCAAGGGAAAGGGTTCAAATCAAAGCAGAGCGTGCAGACTCCATGCGATCCACGTTAAGAATGGGAGAGCCATAAAGCCACAATCCTGAAATTATTACCTGGTGATGATAAACTCTCATGAAATAAAGAGATTGACTGAAAGACTCTCAAAATAGAAGAAATGCCATCAATTATTGATCTTAAGTAAGAGGGGAAGGCCAGAAGACAAGTGAGGATGAAAATACGCTAATTAAAAAAAAAAAATCAAGCTCCATCTAATATATGCCAGTTTTTCACATAGAAAATCAATGACTTTCTTCTTAGCTTCTATTCACCGAGCATTCATTTCTCTTCTATCTTGTGTTTATGCACAATGTAGGGAGGACAAAATTCCATTACCATTACATGCTGAGGAAAGGTGGATCAAATTAAATTTAAACAAATACAAAAGAGAAGTCTAGACAAGATATGGTGCTGTGGTCCTATAATAGGGTGACTGTATTTAGAAAGTAACACAAAACCATTTCCAAAGTACTTAAGTTTCTAAACATAAATAAATACACATCCTGCTATATACGTAGATTTTCCAAATGATGAATAAATGACTTGTTACAGGAATAAATAGAGACTTAACAGGTCAATTTTAAGATAAAATAAAACTAAAGAAGTAATAATAACCTTTTAATAACCAATTATTGACTTAAAAGATCCTGCTAATGTAACCACTTCTGAGAGGCAGGCAGAATATTGGTTTCTATGTTCATTTTGTTAGAGAAATAATTTCCTTCCACTAAGCCAATGGGCTAGATTTAGACATGGTGTTTCTCTCAGTTTTATGAGCATTTCAGTGAAGGTGTCTCTAGAATCGTTTATGCTTTAACCTTGCTGCACTTAACATGCATCCTGAATTTCAAGTATGCAAAAACCTCATTTAAGAAAAAGCAAAGAGAGACAATTAAAAGATAAAGCTTTTCAGAGAATAGCTTTTTTAAAAAACTTGACATTTATATATGAAAGGGAAACAAGCATAAATGATGTGCCATTGATATGCCTATGAAGGGCTCTTTACAGTACACTAAATGTCCTAACTTCTTTTATTTCCTTTAATTTGGTTTTACTATTGGCTGGAGTCAAGTAAGGTATGTAAAAGAAAGCGAGGTTAGCTTAGATATACATTATGAGTTCATACTTTGCTACTTCTCAGCTCTCATAGTTGGAAAGTGGTTGATTGTGTTTATAATGTTTTGTCTGGATATTGGAATTATTGAGACTCTATTTGTCTGAAGGAATTAATTAAGGACATAGTGACCTCTTTAGACTCAATCTAATAGCATTTGGGGGAGAGTTAAGAACCCCAAACTCTGTATTAAAAAGTAAGACACAAGCAAGTCAAAGATACCTTGCCCATGCCAAAGTGGTGGCTCACACTTGTAATCCCAGCACTTTGGGAGGCCAAGGCAGGCAGATCGCCTGAGCTCAGGGGTTCAAGACCAGCGTGGGCAACATGGTGAAACCCTGTCTTTACAAAAAATACAAAAATTAGCGGGGCATGGTGGTGCACACCTGTGGTTCCAGCTATTGGTAGAGTAGGTGGGAGAATCACTTGAGCCCAGGAGCTAGAGGATGCAGTGAGCAGAGATCATGCCACTGTACTCCAACCTAGGTGACAGGGACTTTGTCTCAAAAAAATAAAAAAAAAATACCTTACCCAATAATATCTCAAGTATTTTTCTGTTTTCTTTGGAAAGTTCCTAAAAAATTATCTCATTATCCCCTCAACTACATTTTCATAAATAAGATAGATACAGTTATGGGCTGTGATTCACTAGCTGATGAAAATAAACTTTTTTTTAAAAAAAGTAGTATTAATAATTTTAATAGCAGAGAAAGATAAAATTGTCACAGTAATTAAGTGCAACATTCAAAGCTGTCACTTATATGCATTCTCGGATATAAAAGGCTTGCTTCTTTTCAAAAGAAGAAAAACGATTTTGCTTAATGGGTTATAGAGTTCTCTCCCACATCCCACCCTCAGCTCTGGTGGCACCACATGCCCTTATTACCCATCCCCACTGAAGAGGAGTCCCAGCACATGTTAGGAGGACCACAGATGAACTCTTCACTGAATCTCTATTTATACACAAATATCCTTCAGAAATTAGCCTCCAGGCAAAACATACCTTCTCAAGTATATTGCTTTATCAATTTAACCTTCCCAAAGTCAGTTACATTGCATAGAATTAACCATAAAATAAGCCTAAATATAAAGTTTTGCCAAAGGAAAAAAGAATTACATTTCAAATATATTGACTACAAAAAATACATTTATTATTTAGGTACTAAATTCTAAATTGTTGTTTTGACTTACAACTATTTAGTTCTCAAATAATGAAGAAATTTGTCTTATCTCAAAATCTCAAAATTCTCAAAGTGGATTTGAATTTTTTTCTGGAAAATCCCCAAAGCAAATCACATATTTTATGTGCCTGTATACAAAAGCACACACAAACACATACACACACACACTCTCTCTCTTTCACACACACACACACACACACACACACACACACACACACACACACACAGACACCTTAGACACCAAGATATATTTGGAAAATATTCAAGAATGTTTCTGATTTTAAAATAAATTTGACTTTTGCTAAATTGTAAATACCAGGAAGTATTTCTGAACTTTCTACTTTTACTTCAAGTAGCAAAAAAATACACTTAAGCAATATTTGAACCTATTTAAATCACTCCACTGCTTAAATAATAATTGCCAAGGAAAGCCGCTTTGTTAGCTCAGTTTTCAAATTATGAAGAAACTAAACTAAAGACCAGCTATGAAAAAGATTAGAGTTCTGTAACACAGTTTCCTTATGCTGGATTCTTTGCATTTGTTCTCTAATTGATTTAATATACTGTAATTATCATCTTATGAAAGAATGATCTTGTGCCTCAGCCATTTGGGCACTAGTAATGATCATTTGGGGATCTGGAAGTACTAGATGAGGGTCCCCTAAAGTGTGCTGCCTTTATGTTTGTGTCAATAGAGGATACAGTAATAGCCTCTTTATACAGGGTCACCCCCAATGATCCCTGCCTTTTGATATTCACAACCTTGTGTGGTACTTTCCACATTGTTCCAATGTTGATCTGAGTGTCCAAGACAATATAGCTGGGAAGATATATCATATCCAAGATTAGGTTATAAAAGACTGTGGCTTCTTCCATCTTGGGCTTTCTCTCTCTTTCTCCCTTAAATCACTTTCTTCAGGGGAAGTTAGTTGCCATGTCATGAAGACACCAAACAGCCTATAGAAGCCTACATTGTAAGGAACTGAGATCTCCAGCCTATAGCCAGTGAAGAATTGAGGCCTTCCAATAATCATGTAAGAGAGTTTGAAAGCAGATAACCACTTGATCAAGCCTTCAGATGACTGCAGCCCCAGTTGACAGCTTAACTGCAACCTCATGTAAGACTCTGAGCTAGAATCACCCAGTTAAGCTACTCCCAGACTCCTGACCCACAGAAATTGTGAGATGATAAGTGTTTGTTTTCAGCTGCCAAATTTTGGAATTTTTTGTTATAAGGCAACAAATAGCTAACACATAGAAAATACCAGTGGTATGATTGCATATCTCTAGCAGAGCTATACAGATAGAGAAAGACACTAGGTGTTTCTTGCCCTCTAAGAGAAAGGGTCTTAGCCTTTTAACGGTTATGGAAACTTGTAAGAATATGATATACAATAGGGACCATTTCTTTAAAAAATGCACACGTGTTCATGAACATGATTTGCAAATGATGTCTGGGACTTCAGTTAATCCTTCAAGCCCTTCTGTGAGTATAGTCTGGGTACCTGATGCCAATTTAAAACGCTGCCCTAGGATATCAAGTTAAAAAGCATGCTAGAAACAGGCTGGTCCTCCACTCAAATTAGTAAAGCCGGAAGAGCTGGCCACTAGGGAGGCTACCAAAGGGGCTCACACCTCTATTCCTACAGAGAGAAGAAGCCACAGCATTTTAAAGAAGGCTGCCAAATGATTTCATGGATTTAAAAAGCTATGGCAATAGCTTGACATTTAAGATTTCTCACATTTAAATGTGCTTTTATTTTTTAAAAACTGTTGATACAGCATGTGGGCATAGATGCTTCAAATAGCAACACTTGCCTAAAATGTTTAACCCAGATCCCCAGCTGTTAATCTCGTTAACAAGGTTGTAAGGAAATGCAATGTATAGAGAAAGTCATGCAGACCCTGTCTCCCAGTGACCTCTCTTTGTCCATGAGAATTGGCAAATGAAATAAGCAGGACAGGTGTCATCTTCATTACAGACAGGCATTAGTGACAGACTTTGTCACCTAGCTGTCAAGTGTCTAACAATGTGACACAACTTTAAAAACAGCATAATATTGCATGTGCATTTTATGTGTGATTTGTATTTTCTTTTCAACATAACTCATTCATAAATTACTTGACCTGCCAGGACCAGAGTGTGAGAGAAAATGTGTGTGTGTGTGTGTGTGTGTGTGTGTGTGTGTGTGTGTGTGTTTGAGAGAGAGAGAGAGCAAGAGAGAGAGAATAAGAACAAAAAATGAATTAACTTTCAAAAAAATTATCTCTATGAAGCTCTATGAAGGTCTTCAGACAGGAAAATGCTACTTTCCAGGCCACTGTAGGCATCCTTATTATGACTGGAAAAGATCATCTCATCACTTCATTCTTGTATCCACCAAACACAATTAAAGGCCCACCATATGTCAGGCTGTATTTTGCATTATCTAAAATTCTGACCATAATAAAATTCTAAGTAGCCTACACATATGCAGAGTCTCCTAAAATTGCATCCAGACCTCCAACAATGGTAACTTCCATCTCCCTCTCTCTCACACTCTTCTAATTTCAGAGCTCTTAGCTGGATCATCCAATCTTCAAAATTCTATTTCAGTGTGTTCAAGAAAGGTGGCGGGGGTTGTAGGGGGCGGGATATAAACGTGAAAGAAGTGCAGTGCTGGAGGAGGTTGAATCTCCCCTGCACTTTCATATTAATGGAACCAGACCAGCTGGAAGATCAGAGAAACTGGCTTTGGCCTGAAACTTTTCAGGACAGCAGTCTTCCTCCAAGCTAAGCACTGAAGCCTACTTCTCTGGGCTGGCTTTGTGTTGTCTCCAGAAGCAGATCACAGCAGGAGATCAGATATTCCACTAGACTCAGCAAAGCTTGCCATGTTGGCCACGGAGTCTTACAAAGGAGCTCACACTTCTACTGACGCAGGGGGAAGAACCCACATCATTTGAGGAGGCTGCTAAATGATTGCATGGAATGAAAACGCTATGGCAGTTGCTTGCCCTTTTCCTTGCATTTAAATCCAGCCTCTACTTTTTTTTACCTTTTAATGTTTAATTAATTGCATTTTATCTTGACCATAGTGGGTAAAGATAAAAAATTCCAACCATTTTTTTTGTTGTTCGGATTTGTTTTATGATTATTCCCTTGACAAACTGTTCACAGATTTGATTTGAAATTGAGGAGAAAAATAATCTAAATTTAGTATAATGAAATGTCCATATTTGCTAACAACCCAGAAAATACTCGTTGTATATGGATGTGTGTGTGAGATAAACAGATTCTCTCTTCTTTGTAATTCTTTACCCTGTACAATGTTGTTATTAAAAAGAAAACAACACTAGGTAGGTAATCTGCTGGCTAATGTGGAGGTGAAGGCATTTCTTCAAATCTGACAAACACTTTCTGTATTTAAGGTCTGTATCACTGACCAAAATCATACCTCTCTACATGCCCCCACCAGTCATATCCTAAGAACACACCCAAACCCTTGGCTAGGTTTCTATCACTTCCCTGAACCAGATCCTCTTCCAAAATCACCTCTAGTTTTCTTCAGTTTGATTTGTTCTCTGGCTCCAGCCTTTTTATTCCCTGCCACCTCGCTGTCTGGGGAATGAGGAAGCCTTACTGCTGTTGGAAGGAGCGCACTAAAGAGGCAATTAAAACAACTACTCACATCGTGTGCAAATATTCTCTCCCTCACTCTCTGATATTCCTCTTCTCTCTCTTCAATTGATTTACTTCGTCTGTCATCTCTAAATGGATGCATTCTGTTTTGCTGAACAGAAAAAAGAAATCAGGAGGGTTATCCAAGTTGCGTTGTTAGAAATCTGTGGTTAAGCAACTGTCAGCTAAGAATAATAAATGTTCACTTAAACAAATGGAGCCTGAAAAATCTCATTCTCTCTGTTTCCTGAGGAGGCTGTGTTGGGTGCATGTACCATGTGTGTGCATGACATGCAATGGTGAGAGGTGTTTACTGCTGCTGGTTGGTTCCTCACTGGATGCAAGTAGCACAGGTGTTTCCAAAACGAGTGCACCTCACTGTGCCTCAGGTATTCAGCCAATTCACATACGTGATGGCTCATCACTGATGGACTCTGTCTGTCTTGCTTACCTGTGTGGTTCTGACTCCTCAGAAGGAGGCAGAATGCCGGTGAAAAAAGAGGAAGTGGCTAGTTCAAGGTAGCTGAGGGAAGAAATCATTTTGAAAGCTTGGGGACTGGAGAAAAAGCAAGTGAGCAAAGAAAGTAATTAACAGAAAGGAAGATGTGGACATTATTTCTTCATCTTCTAATTTGTGTAATTCATTCAGTGACTGATCCCATGAATTGCATTTAGCATAGAATGAATGACCTCAGGTTTACAGGCTAAATTTTAAAAACCTGTTTGTTGACAAGAGTCAATACCAAGAACTCTAAAGTAATGCTTCAAAGAACCCAGCATGAGGACTGCTCTTTATCCTATTTTCTGACTACTTCCTGCATCTTAAGTCTCCTTCCATCTATTCTTTCCATTCCTCACAAACTGCTCTGCACTAACCACATTCATCCATCCATTCAACAGACACCCACTAAACATGACACAGGCACATGTTTCATAGTCAACAGGAGCCATGGTGTAGCTTGGTGGCAGTGGGAGGAAACGAGATACAAATGATGAACAAGTTTTTAAAAAGTGCGTCAGAGATGCACATACTGGCTGAATGACTCACCGAGAGTGATTAAAATGATAACTTGAGATGCATATTGTCTTACCTTTAAGAATTCTAAAGCAAAGTCATTTTCAAAAAAAGTCTATTTTGATTGTCAGAGACACAAAGTATAATTGTAATGGCATTTATATGACTTTCTATTGTTATCATCATTTAAAAATTTATGGAATTTTTTTTTTTTGCCATTTACTTAGCTTTCTTCTAATCACCCTGGATCCCATAGCCCCCCGCCAATCTAAAGAAGAGATTTAGTAAGGTCTCTTTGCTCCTGTCCGGGTACCACAAATAAGGCTACTCTAGAACAACATAATGTTTTGTCACAAGCAAAATACACAAGGATAAAGTTCTGCTACACTTCATGCAAAACAAGCAGACAATTTACATGGACCATAAAACATGGGAAGGAGAGGGGATAAAAGACTAAAACATGAACTCAATTCTTTTCTCTGAAGACTTATTTTAGGATAGTTGCAAAATCCACCTGTCCTCACCATAACAAGGTTTGTTCTTTACAGCTACACCGGTTGATCATCGGTCCGTATTGATAATCCAGCTCAATTTGTGCACAACTGAAGGACAAAGCTGTAGGGAGTGGAACGACTGCCATAGTTACACAGACATCTGGATATGCGACTGACAAAGCTTTTCTCCACAGCTCGGAGCCTGTGGCATCCCGACCCTCCCAGACATGCAGCGGAAACTGCGCCAAGCACCACCCATGCAGCCCAACACAGAGCCATTGCTAAAGCAACCAGGACATATTTTTTTTTGCTACCCATTGAATGCCAAAGGGGGAGGGAAGGAGGAGAAGGAGGTTGGAGATAGGACAGTGGTATCAGAGGCAGGGGAGGATTGGAGGGAAGGCAGGGACAACAGAGGGACGACATGAACATCAGTCAGCCCACCTTCAAAAACAACAATGTCAGCCACTCTCAAACTTGAGAACCAACCTGATTGTCTTCTTTATCAATACTAGAGTTATCTCGCTTCAAGATAAACCGCTTCTGGGATTCTTCACCTTTTTCATCTTTTAAATGTTCACAAAACCTTTGCTCTGGTCTGCCAGCAAAGTAAAACATATCAATAAAAAAGTTTTTCCCCCTTGTTTAAAGTTATTTTTTAGTGTTGTTCTTCCCCCACAGTGTCATTTAACTTAAAAGTTTACAAGTGGTTTTCATACTAGAGTTGCTGGCAATATACAGGTAGGTAATAATATGTCACTTCACATGTTAGAATACTTTTTGTTGTTTTGAATTTGGGGTCTTGTTTGCTACATGCTGCTCATCATGGCTGAAATTGAAAAACAAATTTAAAGGCCTGCCTGTATATATTGTATAGATGTTTTCTTTAGTTATTTTGACCTCTATTACTCCTAAATTCAAATAACTTCCTACCCATATTCTCAAACAAATATACATGTTTAGAACTTGAGAGTAACACATTAATTCACCAATGTCTGGAACTGGCAGAATATCTTCTATCACATCTTCCCTTTTAAGAGTCTTTAGACTGTGTAGTGAGAGAGGATCACTTAAAAATTATTTTCTGTCTCCTCCAATAACGAAAGCTCTGGAATCTGGCTCCAGTAGACTCTGACACCCTTGACCATGTCTTGTAAATCGGTTCAGTAATTGGAGAAAATGGAGGTATTTAGTTTAAACAACTTAATGGTTGATTAGCATGGGGAAAATGCTTCAAGCAGTTACACACTATTGATTAGTCAATTGATTTTTTTTAGGTCTTTTTAATCATTTGGTATTATTAAAGGAAAGGGCTCCACTTCCTTGTTAATTTCTCACAGTTGTCATTGCAGACCACAGAACTCAATGAATGATCTGGACTTGGGTTCATCCACAGAGGAAGTGCTAAAACGTTTGTTTCTGGTTTAGACAGTTAAAATTTATGACTCTCATTAAAGGGTCTCTGTCATATCTGATATATTACTTCTGAAGCCTAGAAGGTTTTCTGTCCCTACAGCGTTCATTATGCTTTGAGTCATTAGGAAGCCACTCACAGTGTCTGTTGTGTAATATGAGTGACCAGTAATTAAGAGAAACTTATCATTTGCTCCGAGCTCCAAAATAAGCAAATAGCACTTTGAAAATAAAGAAGTAGTTTAAGTGTATAATTCAAATCTTGATGAGAAGCATTTTTTTCTTTCCTTAAATACGTGTACATAAATTATAATAATTTTGATGAGCAGACAATAGCAAAAAACTGGAATAATATCAGTTAGAGTTTTTTTAACTGAGTATAATTTTTGGAACATGGTGTCAATATCTTATTCGATCCTTACAATAAAAGTTTGGTGCAGAAGCAAATAATTTTTGCCTCTTTTAAAGAGAAGGAAACCATCCCTCCATGCTTCTTTTGATTTCACGTTTATGAATTTGCCCAGTAAGCCACAGGCATCACACAGCCTGGTCACATCCTTTCAGAGACTCAGTTTTGTTCCTCTATATTGTACACAGTGGGCTGAAGGCCCTCAAACCTCAAGATAAAGAACAAAATTCCTCCATCAAATTATCCTACTTTTCAATGTAAATGTTTTCCACCAAACTTAAAATGTAACCAAAAACCTGAAAGTGCGAATATGACATATTAAAATTAGTATTCTAAAGAAGTAAACCTGTACTTTACAATGAAAAGGCCATTTACAGTAGAGAAATTAAACATGTTTCAGTGTAGCATAGTCACAAGACACTTCAATTTCTTATTACACTGTAAAGATATTACAGTGTAGACTTGCAGTTCCCTGTAAACACTAGAAATTCTCCAGATTGTTTTTAAGCATTCCAACATTTTCATCCAATATTTATATGTTGTTACACATTTTTTTTTCCATAGCAAGTGAAATTAGGATGCTGACTTAAATACAGATGTTGATTGTATCAATGCTATTTTGGTGTCTTCTAATATCCCCAGGCTCTGTAATCTGATAAACTCCAGTTAAGTGAAATGATTTACTAACTTCTAAATTTACAGAAATTTTGTTTGTATTTGTTTGTAATAGTCTGTAATTGTTCATTTACAAATAAAATTATCTCAGAATGTGGACTTTCTGATTCATGAGCATAAAGTGAATTTGTTATAGATTGACTTATTTAGGTTGAAAAGCATTAAAGTGAAAAGCATTAAAGCACTAACCAGAATTAGAATTTAAGTTTCATGTCAGTACAGACCTTGTCTTTTTTAAATACTTAAGTCTTAGTGCCTAGAACCATGCCTGGTACCTGAGAGGCATTTGGCTGAATAAATAAATTAACCAATGTATAAGCAAATGAACATTTAGCGCGGCTATTCATAAATCACTATAATTCAGGGACAGATTAAAAAAGTCACAATAATATATCAAATTTTAAATCCTATAATTATAAATCAGAAGATAATTTGGTTAGTAGGAGTATAAATTCAAATTTAGAGCATTAGTGAGATCTTTAAAAATCAGATTTATGTTTCAATTTATATTGACCAAAATTAAACATGTTACAAAAACAAATGTTTTTGTTTGTTTTAAATCTGAGAGTATCTTGGGAAGACATGGAAGTGTGAATGAAAATCGTGGCCTTCCTAGTTTTGGAACTTCTAAGTTTCAAGTGTCATTGTATCTTTAAAAGAGCTATTTAAACATTATTTTAAAAATATCATTTCCATTTCTTTGTAGTAGTCATTTATTTGTTTTTCATATATTTGGAAAAAAATGCATCTACAACATAACTAAAATGTAATCATAAGGCTTATTCTAATTAATAATATAAATATTGTTTAGAGCAAAAATATTTCCCAATACAAATTATGCAAAATGCATCCTTAATAACTGCATTTCAAACACCTTAGGTTTTTCTCAAATATTGGAATTTAATAGTTCAAATTATTAATCCTTTTGTATTTTTCCAGAAATATTGAATGATCATGGAGAAACTATTTGAATTTTGCTTAAAAATTCAAGTGAATCTAATAAAATTTTTCTAGGTTGATTTTATAGAGAATTGTTTATGATTATAGTGCTAAAGAGCAATTTTGCAGTTTAAGCTCATGCAAACTAAGGCATATACCTGAAGTATTGCAAGTGATTAAACTAAAAATTACTGGTATTACTGGTAATGTACCATTATATTATAGCTTTGAAAACTCAACTCCCTTTCAAAGTTAATTTACCACCGTAGCAATATTATTTCTAAGCAATAAAATGAATAGAACTAAAATAATGTATTGTAGACCTTTATTTAAAATGATAATGGATAACTTTTAATGTATTAATATGTGAATGTAATTGGATGAAAACATTCTCAAAACTGCAAAAGGTGGTGGTATTTATTAAATCAATGATGACTAGACTTCACTATATATTTTACAGCCCTGCATCATTCATGCCTAACTTTTTTTTTTCTGGTAGATTTTAGTACATATGGCATTATTTCTATCTTTCTCTATATTATCATCAAAAAAGCATGGAAAATAAATGTAATGCTTATTCTAGGTGAAAAATACTTTCTTCTTCTGAAGGTAAAAATATGTTTTTCCACAATTTGTAGCACATAACTACTGTGAAACTCATTGTTCATGTATAGTGAAGAGCACTGGCATTTCTGGTCAATTTCTTGGCAACCCCAATCAAACCTCTGAAAAGTCAGAATTAATTCTTCATTGTTCCTTCACTGGGCATAGCTCATGAATTGACAAACAGTGTGGCTGAGTGAAGATAATCAAACTCTTGTGTTCTAGTCATTCAGTCCCAGTTTTAGTTTTTTCCCCCTTGAAGCTTGAAATAGATGAGCACTCATTATTATTAGTATTTTTAATCTTTCTTATCTTGAAGTATTTTAATAGTTTACCTTACAGTCAGGTTCTTAAGACCAGATTTATTACTTTTCTTCCAAATAGTTAACCTTAATCCTTCCCTTATTTTCCAAACATAAATGAAGAATTTAATTCTACTGAATATGTAGAGTCATAGAGAAAAGTCTTGAATTTCACCCTGAGTAACTGAAAGGTGGTTACCAATATGTATACGTATCTCATAAAATTAAAAGTTTCTATGCACAACAGTATAAAGTATTTTGATGGTGTAAGACACCTATCAAAAGCACTTTAATAGTCAAACAAATTAGAGAAATCTAATGACACTGTTCCCTTAATATTTCAAAAATTTTCAATTAAAAGTATGTACATTTTGGATGTATTTTATTGAAAATAGGAAAGTCTTAGTTCTTCTTTTTAAATAAGTGTATCTCACAATTTGCATTATCAGTTTGTCATTTTATACCACCTCATTTTCTTTTAAATGAGACTATACCTTATAAACTTAATATGTGCAGTGCTAAGTAGCCAATGTTCTTTATTAGCATCTCTCAAACTCTTGTTCCAAATTTTGAAACACCCTTGCAAAATTCATTTTATTCTTCTCTGTTTCTATAGTGTACTGTATATATAAGCAGAGGAATGCAAACCAACTCTTTGACTCTCCTTTAACATAAGACTTTTCATGAACAACAACATTAAGCACAACATTTAAAAACAACATGCATTTGGAAGATATCTCTTACACCGGTACCTCTGCTGTAGCAAACAATTTGGCTACGTGGATTTGGAGACTTAAAAATTTTTAAATATCATTTTGTCCTGACAAAGTAGTTCGATTTCTAATAATGAATCCAAAGAAAATAATAAATGAATGCAGAGTTCCATCATTCACAACAGCAAAATAGTGAAAAATCTATAGTAGATTAGGTAAGTAATTTAAGGTATGTAATGTAGGATATGTGACTCTATAAAATTATATCCAATAATATTGAGTAACATAGAAAAGCAATTAATACAAACATAAATATGCTTTGATCATATTTATGTTGAAACTATAATATGTAAGAATAATAATGCTAGGAGTAAGTATGTCTGATGGCGGGATAACAGACAATTTTATTTTAACCTTTTATATATTTGTGATTATGAAAATAATTATTATTGTATAACAACAAAATAATGCAAATTATTAGCTTAAAAAGATAGAAAACCAATTCAACAACTTAGTAGTGGTTTGCATCCAATTACTGGATAATAGATATTTAACATATTCACATATTTTGAATATTTAGAACATGCTCTTTCATAGCATGTATTATTACAATCACCTAAAATAGGTATTTAGATATTTTGTTTTGTCAAATCAATTCTTAATTGTTCTACTGCGCTGCTACTTTAAAAAATATCAGATTTAATTATGATCCCTGCTTCTAAGGCCATCTAGTATATGTCAACCACTCCTACCCTGTCAATCACTCCCTTTATTGCTGTGTCCTTTTTGATTTATCTATCTATATAAACATCCATTTACTAATGATAATATAATGAGAATAACTAAATCATACTGTCCACTCTGAAGATCTCTTTTCTCTTATCTATAGGAGAATACTAAATAATGATGTTATAGAGAAAGATTGCAAGGATAAGAGAAAAGGGGAAAATACGAAGTTTTAAAAAGGGAAAGTAATCACCCGCAATTCAGACCTGGTATATTATATACTAGGTGCGTGAGCTTGATTATCTATATTGAGCATGGTGTTGGCGACAGCACCTAACAGTCACACAGGTCAGATAGATATACTTAGCTTAACAAAACAGACTTATTTCTTCAAGTTTACCTATATACTTAGAATTTCCACAAATGAAAATAATGTCTACAGTAGAAAAATTACTTTATAGAACAGCAATTCTTCTAAATGATATGAGGATGATCTTATATGAATTATCTAGGAAATACTGCACACATATATTCTAAAATATGAGGATAACATCAAATATATGCCTAGGTTCTTGAGATTATCAAAACATTTCAAGTTTTACATGGGGATCATTTTACAGATTGTTTGGCCCCTATGTAAAACTTGAAATGTTTTGGATTAGCCTAAAATTGAGGATTCCACCAAATTGATTCCATTGATCGATTTATCACCAATCTCAATCATGATTAAGATTTAGGATTAGCCTAGGACAATTTTAGGCTCCTTGAATTTTCAAAAACTCTAGGGTACATGTGCACAACGTGCAGGCTTGTTACATAGGTATACGTGTGCCATGTTGGCTTGCTGTACCCATCAACTCGTCATTTATATTAGGTATTTCTCCTAATGCTATTCCTCCCCCAGCCCCCCACTGCCCGACATGTACCCTAGAACTGAAAGTATAATAAAAAAAGTAAAATAAAATTTTCAAAAGCTCCAGTGGTATTTTCTAAGTAAACCTATAAACAAATAATCTAGTGTTAATCTACAAATGTGATATTTGGTTCAATATATTTGATCATTTACTTCTCTCTGGTGCTACTTTGACAGAAAGGCACAATACTTTGCATGTTGAATTCACTTCTTTTCACTTCCAACACTGAACTGATGATGAGTGATTTCTTCTTCAGCTCCAGGGTACTAATTTCTTGCAAGTTTTCTAATCTCAGGCTTTTCTTATCAGTGGTAATAAACTGACTAAAATCAGGGATAAAGTATTGGTGTACTTTTTTTTTTTCTTTAAATTCTCCATCCTTCAATTTCAGTGCTATAAGAACATTAAATGATAGTAGCATTAATACATACAATGACTCAAAGCTCCACTCCCTTAAAACAACCATTGCATTTTAATACATAACCTAATTTCTTTATATAAAATGGGCATAAACTAGCATACTATATTTGAAATAGCAATAGTTTCAATAGCTAAAATAGTTTAAAGCATACAGACATAACACTGAGAAGCAAGCCTAAAAACAATTACGTCTTTTCAGCTCTGCATCTTACTGTGTGACTTTCTGCAATATATTTAACCTCTCTGAGGGAGAGGGCTGTTGTTTGGTTTCTTGTAAAAAATAGAAAATAAAATACTTAACTTGCTTGGGAGGATTACGTACATGCACAATCATGTGAGAAAGCTACTAAGCCCAGTGCTGGGCACTAGTAAAGCACTTAACAAATTTTAGAAACTATGGTTATACCGTTCATATTTTTTGAGTAGAAAAAATCTAAAGGCACAACATTATTATTGATCCAAAATTTTCTTTAGAGTTAACCTTAAGTAGGATAGATATAATCTGTATTGTAATACTAAAATAATGGATTGATCTGTG
This sequence comes from Homo sapiens, assembly GCF_000001405.40. Taxonomy (NCBI): domain Eukaryota; kingdom Metazoa; phylum Chordata; class Mammalia; order Primates; family Hominidae; genus Homo; species Homo sapiens. The sequence continues at coordinate 35,699,919 of NC_000003.12, read as the reverse complement.
TATTTCCAAATATGGCAGTCATATTTTTCTGAAAGTGATGTTTTCTTTGGAAACTGTTGAATATAATTGTTGTGTTTTTTTGAGACAAAAGGCTTTCTGCTTATATATTGTAATGTTATATAAAAAAGCATTCCATTGAAGCCCATATGCAAATACAGTATTTCAGTCCCAGTGAAGGTACAGACTTACTAGTGTAGTTTACTTGACAGGGAATTGCCAAATATTTTTGGTACGTGTAAATAAAAGCTATATATATTTTTTTCATTTTTCTGGCTTGAAGCCCAGAAGGTGGGAAGTGAAGATTGGGAAGTTAAAGGCTATGCTCCTCTGAGAACACTGTGGTACCTGAAGGGCTGTACATTGAAAGAAGTCAGGTTGTGGGATAAAATGTGTTACATAAATGTGCACTGCTCTTGATAGATTCCAATTTATTGTTTGAAGAGTTGTACTGAACATTAAAACATGTTATTATTATTATCATATTCATTATACACAACCAGAATCTCACCTTCAAGTATTCTCTAAAACTTCCCAAAGTACAAGTGCTAAAATCACTGTCAGCCCTACAGGAGAATTTAGAAGAAACAAGGGAAACCCTCAGGTACTGGGCATAATTCTCCTGCCTATAGCAAGCAAAGATGCAGATTGAGGAAATCAAGCCACAATAATCTTGCTTCTTCCAAAACTATTATACATTTAGGACAATACTATCTCTAGTAGGTATATGTATGATGAACTTTTAACTTCTAAACTGTATGATACGTAGTATGTATTTACACACACAGACACTCCTGTAGTTACATACTATGTATTCACACACATACACACACACACAGTCTTGATCAAAATTGTCATGGCTCCTCAAATAAACTGTGAAAAGAATTAACATGTGCTATAGGCTATACTTCTTTTGTTCAAAGCGCAGTACCGAACACTTGAGAAATGATTTTCATCTGACATAATTTAAGAACATGAAACAGTTTTGTGTCACTTCTAAGTATGCCAAGGCAATTGTGAATCCAGTGTGTCCGGTGATTCTGGAGACTTTTTTTTGGCATCATATTTTTACCATCTAACTTAGTACCGATGTTGTTTAATTTGGTTCTCTGCTGAATTTTAAAGGCAATAAAATGCAAATTAGAATTTGTATAAGTGAATCAATAGGTACGAGTTAAAGAACAGTGCTTGGTTTACTTCTGTTTCTCTTTCATCATTATTTAAGAGTATTAAGCCTGTTAATGTTAATTCCTCTTTCTCTAACTTTAGGAGAAGAGTCATGGCTGAGTGACAGTAGTACTGAATTTTGATCTTGGTCTTCTGTGAATTGACTAGATAAGAACAAGAGATGGATCTCAGTTTTCTCTCCTTTAAAATGGCTTAGCTTTATCTACCTAGGATGTCATGAGTAAAATAGATAAATAAATAGATAAAATTATTAAACATATCATGACTCCACAGAAAATCTCTATAAAATATTATATTAAGGATACTATGTTATAGAACATATACGCATGTTTCATTTTCAAAATAGTTAATTATACATTCACACTCAAAGGCTCATAAATAATTTCGAGTAGGGAAAGGAATACGACAAACTTATGTTCCTTCTTACGGTATATTTCTAGTATTTACCTATCTCATCTACAGAATCTTATATTCTCTAAGGTATTTGAGAATAATAATATGGAGAAAATATAATATTTGAAGAAAATGACATGGAGTTTGACCAATGTGAACAAATACGTCTCATTTTGAGCCTGAGTATAGATTAAAAAACGAAGTGTCTTGCTCAGTAAATAAAGTTTCATAGTTTTCCTGAGAACAATGTGATTCTTAGGTTTCTGATCTTTGGCAACTAGTCAGATGATTTTCACTGCCATTCCTGTAAAAAGTGCAGAGTAAATTTACCATGTTTAGAAATGACAGGATGCCAACCAACCACTCATAGATTTTTAAGAGGCACTTAAATAAATTGATGCTTGGTCTTCTTCAGAGGATGATTAAGGAAGCATCCACATCAGGATGATGCTCAGTTTATTCACAGAGCCACGCACATTCCTAGCCAAAGGAAGATAAATATAATAAACACGGAAGGAAAAGCATATTTTGCTTTATTTTGTTTTGTTATAAATGTACTTAATCACCTGCAGGGAGTGAAATGCTTAAGGGCCAAACACCGAGGATTCCCATTTTCAGCTTTAGCCTCTTCAGAAAACTAAGCACAGTAGATGTTCTGTGACCTTGGCATACTGCTGTACACTGTTGTCTGGGTCTACCCACTGAGAAAGTGGAAAGTCCCATGATCCTCCTTTCTGATGTAGTAATAACTATCCATCACTTCAGGGGTTCTTAATAAAATCAATTGGTTTCCATTGCTCTATCTATAGGGAAGCTTTGTTTAGTTCTAGAATGAGTTTCATGGCTTTTATGATTTACCAAACAGCCAACTCAGTTACTCATCCTTTCTGGAACATACAACAAACAAACTGCCATAGTCACTACACACCATTCATCACTCCAGGCAAAATACCCAGGCTCACACTTCTCAGGATCACTGGATATGTCCTTGGGCACTTAAGGTATAGCCTCAAACCAATGCCTGTCGGCCACTATTTTTGTTTCACAGTTTCTAGGGCCTGTATCCACTCTCTTTCAGTGGATTTGCTATTTCCTTTATTTGCTCTGCACTGTCAGAGCAGGGGATTTGAGGCAATGACAGTGGGTGGATGTAAAAGACAAGACAAAAAATGTTCAAAAGATGACAATCTTTTAACATGAAAATTATCTGGGATGAGTTAAACAGTTGCTCTGACATATGCAAAAACATTCAGATAATACATGGGATTCTCATTGCCTGTGGCTGATCTTGGCTTTTTGGAAAACACTTGTGCAAGAGGATGGTTTCTAGTCTCCAATGGTACACTCTAAGTGTGCTTCCTTTCTCTGGGATGAAGAAGAGGAAGGTTAAAAATATATCTAACAGGACAACAATAAACTGCTTTGTGTCAAACACAGAAAATGAGTAAAAGAGAGAGAAACTGAAGATCGGAAAGTGAGAGAAAGAGAAGGGCAAAATTTCTTATATAGAAAGACACACATATTTGTGGCATTTAAAATATTTTGATAAGATCACTATTCATATTTTTAACCTAAATCCTAAATATCAAAAATGTAACATTATGTAGAGTAAATCTATTATAAATATCATTTATAATATCAAAATAACATGGACCCTAATACCTTCACCCTGGCAAGGGTCTCATTCAGCAGCATCACCTAATCTGACAGCTGACAAAAAATTCCATAAAAAAATAAAAAAGTGTCAGAGCAAAACATATTTCTGGCAACCTACAATGGGATAGAAGACAGGAACTAACTAAAGATGAAGGAACACAACGTGGAGGGCTTCTCAGCTCAGTGACTCTATTTGTTACAGGAGTCCCAGCTATTAAGACCCAATTTGTAGACCAAAAAGTGTAGTTGGAGGCTACTGGTCACATACACAAATCTGTTCTTACTCTGGTTGGCTCTGAGCACCAACAAAAATGCAGTGCTGCAGAGGAAAGATGACTTCCTTTACTAATTCTCTAAAGGCATCAGTTTGCTCAGGTGACAGTACCACCTTGAACTGTTTCCCAAATGAACACAAATATTATTTCCTACTTTTCATAAATGTTCCAGCCCCATGCCTTGGTGACAGCAGCACTCACCTAAGTCTTTCTACTCTTGGTCATTTCCTTTTGAATACATCCCATTAGTCAATACCAGACTAACCTTTCTAAAGTATCAGGTTATACACATCAAGCCTCATGTTCTAAAGCTCTAAGAGCTGCCCGCCTTCAAGATTCTATTCAATCTTATGTAGCCTCCTACTGTCATTGACAATATCATTCTCTCCATATTTGCCTCCAGCCAGTAGAGCATTATTTTAAAGTCTCCTGGATTTGAGGTCAAATATCCTGAATTAGCATCCTGCTGCCACTGTGCAGCAGTATGACTTTAGACAATTCACTAATTTCCCTTTGGTACATATTCTCTTCAGTAAAGTTAGAAAAATAATTTTAAAAAATCCTTTTCATTAGGTGGCTCTGAAAACCTAACACAACCATCTCAACAAAATGCCCAGCTCTTAGTAAATGTTAAAAAAATGTAGAGATTTTTATCTTATGTTCGTTTATAGCCCATACTCCAGCTTGCCATGTATCCCCCTCCTTACTACATTTGTTTAAGTCTTACCCTTTCTCAAAGCCTTCCTAAATGCCTATTTGAACCATGAAATGGATGGGCAGGTAGTCCCCAATGAATCTGTTACATACATTCTGCTGGATGTTTGGTATACTGTTCCTTCAGTTATGGAGCTATTGTCCAGACATTTGTTACGTGTCTACTTTGGATCTACAAAGAGTTGCACTACATTTTTCAAGTTTTAAGAGGACTGAGATTCTGAAGTTATTCCCCCACTATAACTATAGTGTAAAACGTTTGAGGACATGAATCCCATCTTGTAATTTTTTGTGTGACCACCGCCACCGAAGTCTGTTGTTGGTGAGTTGTAGTTGCTGGAAATATGTTTTCAGTATCTGGAAAGTTTTGTCTGTGTATATTATATGACTGCAAAAACATAACATCTCTGCTCTTATCAGGTAATTTACAGAAACCTGGAATGTATTAATGTAAAATCTCTAGACAGTTGACTTTACTTCAACTATCTTTCCATCTTGTCTCATTGCTTCTCACCGCACTTGATGCTCTTGTAGATGTGGCATAAGTCTATGGAGTTGAACAATCAGATTGCTGTGGCAGTAGTTTTGTAATAACAAAATGAAGAGGTTCACCCCCTCTTACGAACATAATTAATAAATATGGCTTTTTCATTCTTAGAAAAAAAGAGTGAAATGGAGTAAAGCTTACATTTTTATATTTATTTAAACTTCATATTTATTTAAACTTTATATATAATATACATTTATATAAATATATATATTATGTATAATATCTAAATATATATTTATATATAATGCATATATATATGCTTTCCTTCAAAAAATCACATCTTGTGGCAGTAATAAGCACAGCAAATCTAGCAAGACCTATCAAGTTGTAGGGAGGCTCTGTTACTTAATGATACCATTGAGTTAATCTTCAAAAATATCTTGTCCATCAATCACTGTTTTTTATCAGACAACAAAGGACTTAAAAGGATTGCAATTTTTAGCCAATCCAGGGACTCTTCTTGAAGGCTCTGCTCAATAATTTCTGGGTATTTTTGCTTTAAGAGAATAAGATTATTAAAAAAAATCTTTTTGATATTAGACACATTGGTTTAGGTCCCAGTCATGCTAACCATTGCTTCCCTGTAAGCCCCAAACTAAAACTCAGTTTGTGCCTAATTTTCTTCTTCTGCAAAATGAAGCTTTAATTATTTATATGGTAAGGTTTTTTTGTATTAAATGTAATAATATACATTTACCTCATGAAAATGTATATTATTACAAGATGTAAAGTGCTTGGCGAAATGAATTAGCTGTAGGCAATGTTATTATAAGTAAGGGATGATATCTAACAAACAGAAGTATATCCTGAGACAAGTTGTTTTCATCATAAAAGAGCAGATAGATTATATCTGGGTATATTATTAAAAATACCAGAGGTCAGTGCAGTACACACACATATGTAATCCTCACAGAATGTATTGTTATGATCTGAATATTTTGAACTTTATGTGAAATTCTTTCTTCTCCATGAAAAACCCAACCTTCTCAAGTCACATTCTATAGTTACTTAACCTGCCTATCATCTAGAAAATCAGGATTCTGGGAAATAAATTCTAGCCAATAAGGAGCTGAAATAGTTACAATTATTTAAACAATGATGTCAGAGTAGTATTGAAGTGTCACTGAAGAAGAACAATATAAAAGGAAGTTTTTTTTCCCTCTACCTCTTAGTAAACAAAAATACCCTCAATCCACATTTTTCTGCATTTCTCTCAGACTATAGTGCCATTAAAATATGCATTTCATGTGTTTGCACTGGAGTAGCATTAAAACTCTAGATATTGAAAAGGTATTCCCCAAACACAAAACTCACATGGGATTCTCATCTCAGTATTCCCTCCTTTAAATAAATGAAGACATTTCAATCCAGAAATATTTTGAAGTTAATATGGTTCCCATGACCAACACATGTTGATTGCCCTGATAAGACAACTCTGAAGTTTTTCACAAAACCAAAAAAACCAAGACACTTAGAACTTAAATAGAATGTTTTGAATATAATGCCCCATTTTGAACTTCAACCCCAAAGAGCATGGCAACAGACTTTTAAAATCAAACATAATTTTCCACAAAACAACACTTCTTTTCACTAAAATTGCTGACAATGATTCAGGTTCTGAAAACTGTGATTTGTTCCTATTTGGATACAGAGATTTAATTCATCCTCTTTTTTCGTGTGCTAAAATACATCAGTTATCCACCCCCACCTCAAGAACTACTCAAATAGAGGATGAACCACCACCATACCTCAACAGCCACTCAAATAGAGGATGGTCAGAAGTGTAGTTAGAATAGAACAGTAGAACATGACAGCTATGAATTGAACATTATTGAGCTCAACACTTCAGTAAATACCTTGAAAGTCCATGACATACAGTCATTTGCCTTTTTTATTTAGGCATGATTTGCTTTGACTCACGAAAGGGTGTCTAAATGGCGGTGTGTAAGAGTAAGGAGTTAGCCAGAGACTGAGCCCTGGCCTTCCTGTTGTAGCAGTTGTACCTTCGAGAGGGTGTTCTCTGCACACACTTACTTTCAACTCTTCCTAAAGGTATAAACATGTGGCATCTATTTTTAAATGGCCATTAATTAAAAAAAAAGCTGGCACTCTTCTAGAAGTGAAAAATTCTAGTAATATGATACCTACTAGCCAGAAAATAAAAGTTTTAAAGGACAAATTATGTTCTCCAGTGGTATTTGGGAACTTGCAGGAAACACAAGGATTTAAAAAGAGCTGATCAATAGAAAGTTCTAAAATCATATCAGTGTTCCATATCTGCTCTATCCAATAGCTGCTTGAAATGTGGCTCACCTGATAGAGGAACTGAATTTTAAAGTTTAAATTTTATATAAATTTAATAAATGTGAATTGAAATGTAAATAGCCATATTTGGCTACCATACCGGGCAGATCAGGTTTAGAGCCAGCACTCAAAGATGACCAGGAGTCTTGATATAATGCTTAATTTTCTCAAAGCCATTCTCCGAGGAAACATGTCTAAAACATATGTACCAGTATTTATGACTATGTGATTGCAAAATTGGTGTAAGTTAAAAATAAATCTACTGTCCACCAGTTGAAACTGTATCACATTTAATATACTTGAACTATGGGAGTTTTCCATGTTTGCTATGACCTTATAGACAAAGAAGAAGAAAAAAATTAAAAGGAAGTAGTCAACTGCTTTTCTATTTTGCAATCAGCATGTCCCTGCATGATGATATCTAAAAGCCATTAAAAAATGAAGAATAAGAAACAACAACACAACAACAACAAAGAGTATTGCATGGAGAGGGAAGATATAAAGGATTCTAAAAGTTACCTTTAATTTTTACTACTATTCAAATATGAGGCACATGTGTAAACAACCAGATAAAATAGGAACCTGATAAATTTTTAAAATGTGTTTTGCTAACACAGTAGAATGCAACTACAGGACTGAATGATTCTGAAACTTCAAGGGCCCTTAAACACGATTCAGTTCAAACTATCCTGCAGATATATAAGTAATTTGAAGCCCACAGAAGTGGAGTGCTCATTGTCCCTGAGATATTAATAATAGCCATGCTTGGTCCCAGATCTCTCAGTTTGTGCTCTCTTCACTATGACTTTCCCCCGACCTCTGCTGAGCACAGACTGATGCTTGAGTTGAGAAAGCGCCTCATCTCCATCCCCACTTGTCCCAACCTCTGGTGAGCAGAAAATATAGAGTATTTTAACCATGATACTCTGCTTGACACAAAAGCTCCCTTCAGTAACATTTCTAAAGAGCATGCAATTTACGGTTTACCAAGCACATTGTGAAAAAAGAAAATTATAAAAATGGATGCTTTATGTGGGCAGTTTTTTTAGTTTAACATGCCTTTTGTTATAAAATTGGCTTGTATGGTACTCCAAAGATATATAGGTTCAAGAAAAACAGCTCCAAGCTTCAAAGCAAATGACTACTCATGTTATTATGCTTTTGGTGACTCAGTGAAACAATGAACCGGTATTAAGAGAAAAACAAACAATTATTTTAGGGGGAAAAAACTTGTCATCCTCTTTTTAGAGCTAAGTCTTAGATGTTTCATCTAGCTTAAAACTCTCATTTTACAGGTGAAAAAACTGAGATGGCAGATTTTAAATGACTTGCTCCAAGTCACACAACTAGTAAGTAGAATTGGGTTTTAGAGGCAGGATTTCTGCCTCTAGGTTCGGAGCTTTTTATTACTCCAGAAACTACAATAAGATAGATGTCTAAAAAAGCAGAAGAAAGAAGAAAGAAAATAACAATTATTCTGTGTATGTCATGGTCATTTAAAAATATCTATTGTTTTTAATTTAAGTTATATTTTGACAAAATTTTTCACAGCTTTGTATGTAATTTCATAGAGTACTGATGGAAGAAAGAAAATTATGTTTCAGGAGCTATGTAAAAGAGCAGGAAATAAATCCACTTTATTGTCTGAATTTTATAAACTTTCTTGGTTCTCAGATAATCTTCTACAGATAAATGCCACACTACTTCTGATAAGAGCAAGAGATAAATAACACTGCACATTTTAAATGTCATGTACTGTGAATTTTATACTGTGATCTTATAAATGAATCCATAGGAGAAAAAGAAAATGCTAAATAAGTACAGTGATGGGGCTTACATTCTGGTGCTGCTGGTCTTGTTGATGATAACAGATTTTCCTGTTTGATCCACATTGTGATCCAATCCAAAATAAGCTGCCACTCGATGGACAAGCATCCTCTGATACGATGACATCTGAGGGAACTTTTTATAATGATTACTAGAACATAATTCAAGAAAAAGTGGAATCAGCATTTTCATTTTTTGCCCATAATACCTTTTTACAAGTATACACACAAAACTATTTCTTCTTCATCTAAACCACTAAGCCTATTGCATTTCTGGCATCACTTAATGTCCTAATTTCTAGAAAAATTTTCTACTTATTATAGATTTATTGATTAAGCCACAATAAACATCTTTGTTTCATAGTTGCACATTTCTCTTGCCAAAGAGAATGTAATGTCTGTTGGACAGTATTGTATTTTAGTCCATGATACCTTATCAACGGGGCCAGGCACAGGACAAATGATGTGACATAATACGTGATTGCAGATGTCTATATGGAGATGTGTCATTACACGGTTTATACTGAAGCAGCACAATTATTTCCAGGCATAACTGACTGCAGCCAGCTGGAGCCCATTAAAAAACTATAATAAAAATGAAAAGGGTCTCTTCTTGTTACAGCTACTCTATGCTAATCAGTGGCCCACTGTTTATAGCCATTTTGTCAGGAATTTAACAAGCAGAAGCACACATGGTCCAAGCAACAATTCTCATCAGCGTATAGTCCTAACTCCAATAATGTCTCCATTTAACAAATCAAGGAACATATTAAACAATGTTTTGTCTATCCCTAAGTCTTTCCAGAATGGACAATTTAACTCCAATACCAAACTAGGATACATGATCAAATTAACCAGCATTGAAGTTTAACATACTTGTTGTCAGCAATGAAATCAATAATTTCCTGCTCCATTTTCAAAAGTATCATCCTGTCCCTGCAAAATAAATGTTAAATTTAAAAGGTTTTATGTATGTTCCACTTCCAAAAACCTAAAGAATTAATTAAATGTATGGAAAAGATTACTTAAATGTATGCTGCTACAAACTTATACCTAACTCTTCTTTGGAATATGCTGACCATTTACATATTATTTCATTTCATTCATTACAATTTATTTCATTGTTTAAGAGTATTCCTTATCTTATTTGTTAAGTATATTGAAATATCTAAATTTTGTAGTCTTAATGTTAATTATGGCATGCAAAGTACTAGGATCAAAAAACCCATCAAATAAATAGTATATTTCAAATAAATAGGAAACTGGAACAAAACGAAGGCCAAGTATTGACTGTAAATGAATACATAGCTGCATTAAAACATAATTGGCTTATTTGACAACAATAATTTTTATTTGCTATTTTTCCACCTTAGCCAGTATCTCTTTGTGATCTGAAAAGCAGAACTGTTAAAGTATAATTTATTAATTGGGTAACTACCCAGTTACTAAGACTCTCTATAAAAAGTAAACATGCAAACGATTAGTAGAAAAAAAATACAGGAGACAGTTTAAGACGTCAGGGAAGGTATCTGCATTTCACAATGGCTTTCTTAGAAGTGTTGGATTAATAACTTTGATTGTAATATTCTATTTGATCCTTCTAAAAATAAGAGGCTCATTTAATAATTTACCTGGAATTATTCTTTAATGTGTTAATCAGAAACTCGTGTAAGTCTATGCCTGTAGAATCCGTGTATTCTTGGCTGCAATCTGAAACAAATAGCAGGACGGAGCTGTCAGGAATGATGGTGGAAAGGTGGGGTAGAAAAGGTTTCCCCAACCTATCCTGTTTCCCCCTGCTCAGATAAATTTTAGGTGAAGCTGTTGGTATAAAAATACATGTTTCAAAACTAGCAATCTGGCAATATAACATCAGAATGAAAATTAGATTCCGGGATTGAAAACACCCAATAAATCCTGAATATGGAAAGATCCAAATGTCATAGGAGGGGAAGTGGGCACAGTCTGGGTGTGGGGGAGAGGTGGAGTCAAATATCACGTGTTCATTCTGCATTGTAAATAACAAGGGCACAAACCCCACATGACAGAACTCCCACCTACAGAGAGAGCTCTCAAGAGTTTGAGATCCCATGGAACCCTTTTTCTCTTAAAACAAAGAAGGCAAAAAAAAAAAAATGAATGTTCTGTTATGAGACTATCTATTAATCGGTACAAAATACAGGAGGACACTAAATATTCCCAAGACTTTTAAATATCCTAATGCTGTCCAAAGCTTAATTTCTAAAACTGTTTTAGAAACCTGAACTTCTTTACTGTCATATACACCTTGGATTTTAGATATTCCTCAGCAGAAACAACAATTATAAGCAGATGTATGGTTATAGAACACATAACTGTTAGAGGCGGTTGTCATTTCTCAGTTGACCAGATGCTCTATTCTTTCCCAGTTGTCCAGTTTGTTTGTTTGTTTGTTTAAGTCTACTGCAAGCCTGTTTACTCATGGTACTCTTCATTTCAACTTAGTTTTGTTTTGTACCATGATAGGTATGGCAAAAATTTGGACAGTTTGGACTGTAGGTTTTGAGTTTGTAAATGTATGACTTTTTGCACAGTGATTTATTGAAGTAGAAGTGGGTATTTCTTAAATAAACATTACTTGATAGTAGATGGGTTCAGAGACTAAATTCTGAGCCAGATAAAATGTGAATCATGTATTCCGTTGACATATACATCTGTACTTTGGGGACCATATCACTTATGAACTGAGAATTGCTAATCCACTCTCTGTCTTTTAAGATAAACATGAGAGTTAAGATATCAAACTTGGTATCATTACTGTTCACCAATCCAAGTTAATCGGTCCAAGAAACCTAAATTTAGGGCAGATTTATATTTATTCCTTGTACAAGCTTGTCACTGAAAACAGAAGATTAAAATGTGAATCCAAAGAAATATGTGATCCTAAAAATAACCTGTCTAGCAACACAAGTAATGACACTATAAACAGAAAGAAAATCAAGTTCACATTTTTTACACACACACAGATACGTACACGTATAGAATCATATGCAGGGTTTGGTGGGAGGTGAATATGCATGTGAAATCTAGAATGTGTTCTGTGACTATGTGTGTGCCCAAATTGAGTAAGTTAAGGAAATATTTTCACATTCACCTTTTGATAACATTCTGATCTTGGGTTTTTCAGAGGTTTTATCTTTGTTTTTATCCTTTTCTTTTTCTCTTTCAGAGTCATCTTTCCTAGATTTATCCTCCTCTTGCAGGCTGGAAAAACTGGAAAGCTGTAAATGAATTGATTCCTGTTGGGGAAAAAATATAATAATTTAGGGCCAGGTTTAATCATCTCTGTCTGGCTCCCATTTTGCATAGAGGTTATAAAGTATAGAAAAATGAAAACCAGGTGCAGATTTTTTTTTTCTAAATGGTAAAAATTAAACCTGTCAGGAAATTAATTGCCCTTTAAAATGACTTAATCTTCAGGAGTCAATGGGAGGTCATAAGGAACATCTAGTACTAAAACTTTGCCTTATGAATATTAACCTTAACCAAGTTGAATTCCTGTAGATCACAATACTTATTTTTTTCTACAGGTTTATTTTTAAACATCTAGAAAAAATTTCTTTATCAGTAAGCTCTCATCACAGCCATTGTATTAAAAAAAAAAAGTCCTCCGTAGTTCTATTCTATAATTCCTTATAAGGGGAAATTGGCACAAAGACAGACATATACTAGGAATCATAATTACAAATAGAACAGACATAAAGAAAGCCCCTATTACTGAATTTACAATTAAAAACTCAATTTTAGACCCAGGTCAACAATGATTTCTACTACTATGAAAAAGCAGACTATAGAATTGCAGGAATTCTAGGTATAAACTTATTATAATTGTTTATAAATACTACTAATAAATCATTATAATGAATAGTTACAATAAGCATTGCCTTTTAGAAAAGGTAGGAAGTAGAATTATATTTTTCATAAATAATATATAAAATTTAATATTATTTTATTTTAGCATCAGTTAGTCCTTTCCAAAATATAATATTGTCTTGAAATGATGTTTGATTTAAGATTGGCCATTTACAGCATTGGGACTGGATCCACTTTTATTCTTATTTATTTTGCACTGAAAATAGATTATTTTGTATTAACTCACATATATCAGCAATTTGATTGATAGTATGTTCACTGTTTTGAAGAAGAATGAGCCAAATCATATTTTTCAGTTTTATGTAAAACCTATGCTATGATTAAAACTATGACAAATTAACCAACGTTAAGCCCACTTATTCTTATGTAAGAGATCATTTGATGGCAAAGCTTTCTTCCACTAGTGACATTAAAATTTATGATGTAGGAAAAAATAATCCCAATGACTAATAATGTCTCTCACTGAAAATTAAACTAATGCTCACACTACATGTGACTAAATTGATGCTTGTACCCTCTCAAATTTGGGATTCTTAATGGTTCTCAGTAAACCTGGCTAATCTAACAAGCATAAAGAAAAGTTCTCTGAAGCTAAGTTTCTTTTATGGAAGGGGCTCCACTGTGAACTCCCTGTTTCACTATGCTTATAATGTCACGCAATATAAATGATGAAATAAAACATACTTTCATCATAAATATCTTAGCTGAGTTTTCCAACTTCAACACATTTTTCCTGGGGATGTACATATATAAACTTTGTAAAACCTGAGTGTAATTTGATTATAGAGTCATTTATTGCAGTTTGGGACAGAAATGTCTTAATATGCAAAGGTTCAGGCAGGTTCTAGGGATAGGATTTGCTTCTACTTGCTAAAGAAATCACTGGGACATTTCTGGTCCAGAAGACGTGGCTGAGGTGGGGAAGATTCAGTTTGACAGTTAATCATCAAGGGAAACTGAGGGCTCCCAGGCCACGAAGGTCATCTCATTGCTTCTTCAAAACTGACTGAAACAACCAGCCTCTGTATGTATGAATCTAAAATCATAGAGGCTTGGACATATATTATAAATGCATGAGCAGAGGCTAAAGAATATCCACTATAAAAAAATGTACAAACTGATGCCATGTGTTGACAAATACTATACTCAGGAAAAAAAATATCTTTTCTATGCATATATATTACGGTGTTGAAAGAACACACAAAAGTGCTATAGAGTTGGTAAAAAACAATCTGTTATTTTTTAATATTTTTATTGATATGCTCAATAATAAAATACAAGTGTTAATAAATACATTGGTACAGGATAAGTTTATATCCAACAACAGTAAAAGAGTGATTCAAGTTGCAGTAATACACTGACAGGTAAATAGTATAACATTAGAAAAGCAAAATTCTTTTAACTTAAGGACAGACTGAACCATCAGGTATGGGTCTGAGATCAAGTAATACAGGTAGCAAGAGTTTTTCCCACACTGGAAAATGAAGGCAGTTTTCCAAATACTGTGAATTTACAAACATTGGGGAAGCGATACAATCCATATACTGTATACATCTGCCAGTGTTCTCTGGGATTCAGTCCGCACATTTTGTAAGTGCCGGTGGTACCTAATGAAGGCATTGCATATAAACTCAAAAGTCTGTTTCTTTATTCTCTAAAAAGGTAGCACGGCCACTTGCTTATATGTGTGTCTGGATGTTTTCTATCAACCCCCTGCTCCCACCACTCCTCAGCCAATCCAAAGAGAGGCTTGCAGGCTCTCATTCTCTCCTACAAAGCTAGTCTTGGTTTCTGAGCTTGGAACCAGCAGGAACAAAGCACCATTTACACCTTATTTCTCTGCACCAATTGTATGGATACACTAGACTTAGGTCCAGAGTGGGCACTGTGATACAGTTGATCCCTTAAAAAATTTCCTCCTGGTACCTTGTCAAATGGGACAAAAAGCAGATTAAGTCTATAAAGGCTGTCCTTCTCTGCCTGGCATTAGGAGTGGGGGACAACTGGGGCATTACTTCTCCCAGGGTCTGTCATTCTGCAGAGTTAACATATATTGTGTGCAGTACATTACAAGCCATCAATCAACATTTAATAATATAAGCCGTGATATTCACATTATTCTCCCTTTTCAATCTCCATTAAAAAGAGAAGCACAAATAAAATGCTGAAGGAAAGCCACACATTTCTCAGAGCCCAAGTAAAATAAAGCATGTGTACGAAACATAGTAATGGCCACTGAAAGATAGCCTGTCCATGCCTTATGACATGAGTGGCATGTAAAGAAAATGATGCTAGAAAAAAAAACACTCTCTTAGGACAAAATCTATTAGGAATTTATTTTTGGTCCTTTTAAAGAAAGTGCTCTCAATGCTCTCTGTTTCCATGAGGGGAATTCAGAGTATTTCAATTAAAGTAAGAGGAAAAAAGCAAAACCAAACCAAACAAAAATAATGATATCTTAATCAATTTTCCCTCCCCTGGGCTCAGGTAAACCATTTTACTTTTGTCTTGACTGCACCCAGCCTCTGATAAAATAAGTACAATTTCAGCAGCAAGACCATTTTTTATAAAAGCTAATATGATGCCTGAAAGGCAAACAAAAATAAGTATGATGTGAAGTTTCCCATTTTGTCATGAAATAATTTTGTTTAAATTTAAATTTTTATAACCTACTAATCTTGCTGTAAGGAGCAAAAATAAGGGTAAAAATATGCAGTGATATATTAATAATATTAACTTAAAGTCACCATCAGCTCAGATTCATTTCTGGACAACTTTTGCAGTATTGAGAAATCTCCACCAAAGCCATAAAAGTATTTCTCCAAAGTTAAATGCACCTTATTCACTATTTCCTAAGTTTCATATGAACCAGCAATTGTGTTTCTTATAGGCAAGTGCATTTTGGGGAGCTGAGAGGTAAGACATCTCCAACAAGGAAGGAGAGAGGATACTTGGGATTATATTTGGTTCAGCCTTATCAAAAGAGAGCCTTTGAGGAAAATTCAGCACTACTGTGCCTACTTTTTATTTAACTTTTAATCTAAATTCTTTTGAATTCCTTTCCATTTGCAGTTTTCAGAGAGTCTGGAAAAAAACAAATTTAATACTCTGTGACAAACCATTAAACTATTTTAGAATGTTGCATAAGCAGGGGATAAAGCCAAAAAATGAATTATTTTCTTCAATTATATTTTTCTCCCCCAAAACACTGTTTAACACCAAATTAAGAGTCATGCACACAAAGGTGGATCCCATTCATGCAATTAATGATAATGGCAAGGGGATATACCTGATCCTGAAGACTTTCACCTCCTGGTCTGGCAGAAGATTCCTCACAGACAGCAAGGCTGCGAGTCAGTTTACCTTTTCCTGCTCCTGACTAGGAGGGGGGAAAGAAAAGGGAAGGAAAGGAAAATAAAGAAAACAAACAGGAAGCATTCTCAGACTGCCAAATCATCTCCACATTTACATAACTTCCCCAAATGAGATTTTTAAAACCAAACTTCAAGTCTGCCAATCAGTACTGTCTACATTGGCTCAAAGCATCATACCTCTGTATTGATGGGGATAGAAGTAAAGAAGAATGTGAATAGATAAATTAAAAAAAATACTTTTAGTAAATTGTGTGCATCACATTGGGAACATAGGAAGAATGAATTGCTGTCATTTCATGAAAATATCAGGAGGAAAAAGTGATAAAATTAATTTTTACTAAAACTAAGTTTGCAGGAGATTTGACTGAGAAGATGGTTAAAAGGATGAAGAGTGTGTACTAAACAGTAGTATCTGTTTACTTCAAGGCAGAAATCAAGTAGTGAGAATAAAATTTCTACTCTAAATTTTATTTAAAATAAAAACAAAACAAATGGTCATTTGTTTTGTAAAATACTGTCAAATCTCTAAGTGTGAACACAAAACAAGTGGTCATTTGTTTTGTAAAGTACTGTCAAATCTCTTAAGTGTGAACACAGGATCAAATACATACATTTGCAGCTATTTGAACACTAAATCCTCTAACTAAAAAATATGCAGTGCCATAAAGTAAGACATGCATAAACATAACCCCATCAAAAACAGCCAGCACCAGTACAGCCGAGATGCCCCACAATATCTGGACACAATCATCTGAAATGCTGGCAAATCCTTTAACTCTGATGTAAAATATGTAATTTATACCCATGATATCAGGTCTACCTAGAATGTTAAGAACCCTACCTTGGATTTTCTTCTTTCTTGATTCTGAGCCTCCAGCCGCCTCTGTATGTTGGAAAGAAAATAAAACAAAATAAAATAAAACAAACAAAAACGAACAGTAAATCAACAACCGAGAGAGAGAGAGAAAGAAAGAGAGAAAAATGTCACTACCGGCTACAGTAGAGAAGTCAATAATAATAGCAACAGAACATCACAACCATTAGGGAGGACTCCTCCTTCCCTAGCTTTAAAAAACTTTTGACTAACTTTTAGCTCTTTTCTGTTTATAACAACTATTGGAAAGGGGACAAGGAAAAGCCAGCTTTGAAGTTTTTTGGCCATCATGCAGTTATCTGCCTTTGTTAACTGTTGGTATATAAAGAGTTAACACTTCTGTAGTTTAGTTAAAAGAAAATCAATACTTACAAGCTATTTGTAAGTGCAGTTTGCTTTCCTTCTACCGAATCTCTTTCCCTTGTAAATCATGATATGTTTCACAGCACTTTTTCATTTCCTTTAATCACTCCCAGTCTTTTTTCCTCCTTCAAGTACTCTCTCTTTGGCTGGGAATTCTAGGGTTTAGCTTGTTTGCTACTAAGATTTGAGCCTTAGCATGCCCATGAAAGTCAAAGGAACACCTGCCTTTGATTTTTCTTAGTTTACCATGAATTGAGTCTTCATCTTTCCACAGAATAGCAAATTCATTTTTAAAACTCAGCTAGTCTAAAGCTGCCTTGGGAGAAGCCCTCTATGTACACCTTGAGGTGTTCTGGAAATTGGTAAGGGGATGCTGTGTGCAAATTCAGAAAATAAATACTTTCCTATGACTTTTTTCCCCACAAAACACATTTTAGAGCACGGTTGGGTTAGGACAAAAAGTGACAAAAATTGAAAAAGTAGGAGACTAGCATTTCCTAATGATATAACCAGTGAAACTCTTTAAAAAATAAATCTCTAAAGTATTCTGAAAATAAAAGAAGGGAGCTGCACACAGTTGTATGAGAGTCAGGGTCTCTTCATGCTCACTCACCTGCAGTTCCAGTTTCTCCTCTTCATCCAGACTTTCTGATTTAACAATGCCGTTCTCTGGAGTGGCCGTCTCCTGCTCAGTCCCTCCTTCCTCTGCTATTGCCTGATTCAGGTCTCCTTGCTCAGACATTCTCCCAGATGCAAATTAAAATAACAAGATTTTATGCCCTAGAAGGTTAAGATATCAGAAAATAAAGTCAGTGCAAGGTATTTACTATCATTCTTTAGAGATTTCATTTCTCCTTTCATATTCAAATCCAAATGAGCAATTTTGAGAATTTTATACAAAAGGGGGAAAAAACAAGATGAAATCAAGTACCCAAGGCATGCACAAGAGGCAGATGCAGTTGTCCCATCCACACCCCCTTTACACACACTTGTGAATACACCTTGCCATCAAAATGGGTCGACAAATCTTAGAGACACATAACTCCCACACAACTACCAGTTCCCCATTCTCCACTACAGAGTAGAAGAAGCAACAAAAGAGGATATTTCTCCAACTTTTGAACAAATGACCCTCGACTTCTGACTCAAGATGTGGCATTGATGTTCTGCAGCATCTCTAAGATGACTGAAAAATTATTTGCAGGTTCCAAACATAGACATGCTTCCCTAGGTATAAAGAATACAGTAGTCTGCAAGGTCAAAAAAAACTATTGAAAAGGTAATAATTCAGCATAAATATGGTATCTAATTTTGGCAATAAACCTTTGAGGGTCAACATTTCCAGGCTTCGAACTGACAGCTACATTATTAAAAACATAAGCCCTCTCCCAAGCTCCCGAGCTCCCAAGCTCCTGTCAGTTGCTGGTGCGACAAGATCCTGTGGAAGGAAGTCTTTGGCAGGCAGCTCTAGTGAAGCTATCCCAACTAAATGCTACTTCTCCAGGCTCACAATAGTCTATAGACACTGGAAATGGCTTTTCAGAGTTAAAATCTGTTATTATTTTTTTCTCCCTACCTTTATAAAACCCCTGACACTTCCCCTTCTGATGTGCTGTCAAATGAGGCTCATGAATAATTTAGCATTTACTTCCTCCTCACTTTTTTAAGCTGTGAGAAAAATAGAAAGAAAAAAAAAGAAGAAAGAGAAGGAGGGAGGAGGAGGAAGGAAGAGGGGGAGAGAGAGAAGAAGAAAGTAAAAAGAAAGAAGAAGGAGAAGGAGAAGCAGAGAGAGGCGCTGTAGCTTAGAAAGTTAGTTCTTTTCAAAAAAATCCCAAGCAATAACTGTCCCATTCCCAGTCATTACAATGGTAATTATTACTAGACAAATAAGAGTTTTAATATGTTTCTTTGGGAGTATTCAATTACCATTTACTAATTCAGTAACTTTATTTCCAACTGAAAATAGGAAGTATGAGAAAAATACAAACCACAGAAATTTTGCTAAAATCTACCATGACAAAACAGATGGTATCTAATGATATCTTTAAAATACACAGGCTTATTCAGCAAAGGATTGTGGGAATGCAAAAGGAGGTTTTCCAAAAGGATGGTAGTTTGAGTCTGTAAAGTGACTAGTAAGCAATGCATTCAGGTTTTGGGAGGTTTTAGGATATTTCATCCAGTGCATTCTGACGGATTTCTTATATTTCAGTGGCACTCAGTATGCGTGGTTAACAAAATAAAAAGTTCCATTTTCCACTGGCAAACAGCTTGTTTCTCAGTGCATTGGATAGGGGACTTCTGTTGCCCTAACTTGTTTTTTAGAGTATTTAAGTAAAAAACAGAACATGACCAGATTTAAAATGGAGTGAACAAATTGAGCTCTAATTCTCCAAACTACAAGCCAAATGAGTCTCTGATACAGATCCTGTCATGGTTACATTCAGTGAACTGCTGGATGCAAGCAGGCACATTTATATAATAATAAATCTAAAATGCAGATGAGATGACAGCCAGACAACAAGACCTTTACCTTTGGTGCAGAATTCCTGCTGTAGGTCTTGGCGACTTACTAGCGGCTTCTGTCGTTCTACGCCAGGAAAATCCACACAAGTGATCAGAGACAACTGGAGTCCCATGTCCCCATTAACAGTTCGGAATGCCCATCTCCATGCGATTCCCTTACACAGTGTGACACATCGTCAACCTGAAAAAAGATGAAAAATAAATAATAATAATTGCAATAATCATGGTAGGGTGAAGGATGAAATAAATAAGACGGGGTTTCTAACACTAATGACCAGCTTCCAGCAAATCACGTTCACAGCTTGATCCAGCTCCACCTGTCTCAAGCTGCCTGCTTCTTCTCTAATGAAGGCTACAGCCGGCTGTTCAAGTCAGAACGGCACCCACGCAAGGAGCTAAAATTAACAATTGCATTATGCACCGAAGATTACTCACTTCAATTTTAACCTTTTTTAGTGAAATCTCGCACTTTGTATTAAAAAAAAAAAAAAGCTTGTGTGTTTGCCTCAATGAGGATCAGGATCACCTATGAGCAAAAGTCTTGCCTCTTTTTCTAACCAAAGCCTTTGTCTTAATTATAGATTACATTATACATTTTAATGCTGTTTATGTGGTTTCTCTCTTTATGAAAGCTACCTGAATAAAGTGTACAGAAAGGTTTTGATTTAATGAAACATTCTCTATAAAAGTTAAAAAAAAGAAGAAGAAAACTTTTATAATGGCATGGCTGAGAAAGCTCTTTTCTCTCTACTTATAGTTTGGGAAGAAGAATTCCTAATATTCTTGTTGCAGGGTGAACACAATCTATCCATAGCCCTCCCTCCCCATCGGGATTGCCACTGCCAGCTGGGCATTCTGTTTGACAGCAAAGAAACACTGACAGAGGGATTCAGCAGATTTGCAAACTTCAAGCCTGTTGAAAACAATCCACGCTATAATGTGCACTTTCTCTTTCTCACAACTCCTACAGGAGCAGCGGCAAAGACAGCTTGAATGCAAACACAGAGACGGGCTCCTAATAATATTTGCCCAAATCAGGCTGCATCTCTTCCTTTTCCCTATAACGCTATTCTGGTGCACAACGGCTAAATCCAACAGCATGCACACCTCTTCCAACACATACCTATCTATGAAAACACTAAATGCATCCCAGTTACGTAGTTTGAGAGTTAGAAACCCTCTCTCCCTCCTCCTTGCTACCCTCTTCTCCCAAGTTTAAATGAGCACAGCTGGTTCCTTACAGGATTTTACTGTGGCTATATTAATAACATATTGGGTTACAAAGCCATTTGTTGTGCAAGGGGAAAGCAACTGTTGAAAATGCAATCAGTAGTACAGTCAATAGTTTCTGGATTTATTCATGTTTTATGAAGATGGATGATTAGACTTTAAACTATGTTTCTTCCATTTTTGGAAATTATATGGCTTTTGAGAGCTAGACATGCATTTAGGAAAAAAGTGGATTGCTAATCAATAGTAATTTTAGTTTTTCAATTTTGATCAGTTTCACCATAGCTACTATAATACTCAATATTAAATAGAAATCATCGTGTCTTAAAAATTAGAAACTATTTAACTAAGAAGCCCATTATCTAATATGTCTTAGCATAAATGTCAGTGATGGTTACGAAAAGCATTCTGGATTCTGTTGTACTTTTTCCAAGTTGAATGAAGTTCTCAAGGATCACAGAAACTCTTTTGATTTCTCTTTAAGACCCTCATATTTGTACAGTTCACTCAGCAGGTGAACAGCAATGTAATTTCCAAAACTAAGTCTTAGATGCATTATTCCAGCCTCAGTAGGAGGATGCAAGATATAATTCTTTCCAGGAAGAGAGAAAGAACAAACTGATATTCACATAACTAACTCAAAGCAGGGACAGCCTGGATATATGTGTATGCGTAATTACCAGGACACGTTTTGAAATAGCACCGAGCTCTAAAGTCAGCGAGGTATTATTCTTGCATGCCTGAATCATAAAGTCATCATCTACCAAGATAAAAGAGAAAATGGGCATATGGGAATGAGCAGAGAGGAACATATGGATCACAAATATTTTTGTAACTGATTAAAATTGTTCTCTTTGCTGAGAAAGCAGTGCCAGGAAATCAACCCTACTTCAGCTTTCTGCTCACCAGACTAACCGGACTCTTCCACTGCCATTTCATTTTGATCTGTTTCAATTTCTTTCATTTTTGTAAATAACCCAAACTATTTTCAACAAATATCTTTTCTTCAACATTTGGTTAATAAATATTCTGGCCAAATTTCAACTGTTACAGTTTGAAGGATGGAAGGAGAAAGAAGAGACTATATATAAATGCACAAAATAAAAGTTACTATCTTTTTTTAGTGGAAATACTATTTTAAACATAATTTTATGGGTAGCATTTAGAGAAGGTTGTCAATAGTTTGCAAATTAAGCTACAGGAAATTAATCAACAATGCTGTAAACTATTTACCATGAAGAAAGCAAGTAAAATAATTGCTATATCACTTTATATTCACGCTGTTTCTTATTTCTTTAGTTTAGAGTTGAACACAGTAACAATTCAGGTTGTGGAGATGAGGAAGAAAGGTAGGGAGAACAAAGGCAAAATGCAAAGCACCACATATGATATGCTGTCTTTCATCATCACTATCAAAATAGATATGTCCTAAGTGTATGTGTGTGTGTCTGTGTGTGTGTGTGTATTACACATATTAATCACTGTGCTACCAATTGGGAAAGAAAGGTCAGATTTGATTCAAATTTCGGCAATAATTTAGTTCACCGATGAAAGGGAAATTAAAGGTAAATTTTTATCAATAAGTTGGGAGTGTCACTGTATTAGTCACTTTCTTCACAATATTTATGCTAAAAACAAGAGAAGGACGAATATTAACCCAAATTAGCAATGGGTACTTTATGATGAAACAACACAGTCAAGATTTACTTATTGAAATTGAAATGTTTTGCTTATATGCACTGCTTCTTCTTTTTAAGCTGGGCATGGTTCTGTAAATGAAAACCACTTGTATATTGGGGTGATGATTGATTTGTCAAATTGCCACATAGATATATAAATATTGCAATACTATATAAGCCAAGCATATAACCCATTCTCAAAACAATTATTCTGTTAAAGTTTAAGAAAGATTTTGAACCTTTAAAATTAAGTTTAAAGCAAGTAAAAAAAAGTCATTGGGATGTAATCATTTCAAAAATAAGAGCAACAACGCCATGAATAGAATGCACATACTAATATCTTTAGCAAGTCTGAAATTTTCCCAAGGTGATCAAAAATATCAATGAGAAATTTTCACATTAATTACACACCCAAAATGCAATCGTTCAATAGTGTATAAGAAACACTCAACCAGGAGCTTTACCCTTTAATTAAACTCAACCTCATGTGCAGGCATTCTGTTAGATTCTTGAGCCATCATGAAAATGCCAAAATTGCCAGAGAACCATTTTATTGGAAGAACAGAGGAGGACATTTAAGAAAATAAATTTTCTGGTTAAGATTTCAGGGAATATAAATGTTTTAATGAACATCCTTGTTTAAGCTTTAATCTAAGAGCCTGACATTTTATAAACATGTAGAAGGTTATATATAGGATCTCACATTTTCTTTTTTAAGTGTAGTAACCTGGATCAAACATAACCAAGATCAACATTTAGCAGAATGCCAAAAGTGGAAGGAACTGATGCCAAAGCTGTGCAAAGGAGTAGCACCATAATAATCATGAATGCCATTAAAACTAAGGAAAGTCTGTTGTCAATAAAAACATCTGAAGAAAGGCCTTGTGCCAGTGTTTTATTTCTTCACTTGTATAACAAGTCTTTACTGAGCTTCTACTATGAGCAAGAATGTTCTACATTGTGACATGTTATTCAGAGGAACTAACACAATCTCACATTTCAAAATCTTTTTTTCTTCCTGAATACAAATTAAAAAATAAGCAAATTAATATACACACCTACAGATCAAAGGCAGAAAATGATACTATAAGAGGGGAAATTGGAATTCTGCTTTACAAAATTTCCTCTGACATATTGATGACACATATGTATACAGACTAGTTCTGTGGATGTAACATTCCATGGTTAGTACTTGACTCACACCAGTACCTACTAAATGCTATCATCATCATCATCATCATCATCATCATCATCATCATCTTCATCTTAGCAGTACCTGGTGACATACATTGCTATTTATCTATCCAATGTGGACACGGCAAGAATAAAAAGGTTAGATAGAGAAAATGCAATGTTCAGAGAACACCTGCACCTCCACCAGAATCAATGCATGTACAGCCAATGTGCTTTCACCAACAAAGGGTAACAGACATCATATTTCACTGAAAAAGACAACTCTATAATTTTTTTCCCAAAGCTTACCCTGGATATGGTCCTGGAACAATACAAACATCAGGATGTCAATAATCTGAATGAGAGAGCTGGATGGAATGCAATAGCTGATGGGCAGCCTTGTCACAAGACTGGCCCAGTTTGTGCATATTTCTGCTACAGATAAGGAGGGTTTTTTTGACCAAAATCAATGTCACAGAGAAAGAAGCCAAAGGCTCTGCTCCCATGCTAGAAAATAAGCCAAGAATCCGACAGCATCAAGGTTAGTTTCAGTTTGAGTGTGTGACCATTGAGACCAGTCCAAAGATTTTTAAATGGCCTAAACTTCCATAACCCATACAGGCAAATCACCACCTTACATTTCCAACATCATTCTATTAAGAGTCTGGCATAATTTACCCACATGAAAGGTGGTGTCATCAACCTCCAGCATGATGCAAACTTTAAAAAAAAAATGCAAATTCCCAGAAAACCACAGAGCTGCAAAGGAGCTTGAAATTAGTTAGCCTAACTGACATTAAATTCAATGATTTGGACAAGATCTAGAACCAGACTTATCTACAAGCAGAGATGGTTCAGGAAACATAATCGTTTTGACTGGGTGTCAGAGCTCTTTTCAATAACCTGTGTTTCTCTAGTGATGGTTCTATTAGAAATATAGGGCAAGTTTACCTAATCTGTGCAATTAATTCCCAGTATGTCGCAAGAGAGACCCACACATTGTTTTTCACAGGACCGCTATCTTTTCTCCTTGTGAACGAGCCTACAAATACTGCACAGAAATGTCCTGAGCATATCATCTGATGATGGCATGTGTGTCTCTTTCTTGGTTTTATCCCCCAAATCACATGGACACATTTGGGTTTCTAAATATTATGCTCAGCTTCTCCTTTTGAAAATCCTTAAGGCCCATTTTTCATAGCTATCAGAATGCCATAAAGTTGTCTGAGATCTAGCTGCCCAATTTCCTCCTTCCACACCTATAACTCATAGTGCCCATCTTTCCAAAAGCCACATAGAAAATCACATGCCTGCATTATTCCCAGATAAAGTATACCCAGGTTTTGTAGGTAGGCATCATAATTTTTTAATGTGGAACAATTAATTACAATCCATATTGGTGCTGAAACACGGGTAACATTTCAAAAAAAAACATCTCCTTAATCTTCAAGCAAAAAGCCAGGATCTCAGACTTGAGCAATGGCCTCATGATTCCTTGTGTAACTGAAACAAATTTCACAGGTACTTAAATAATACTGTTGGGATCTTGTGGATAACGATACCATATAACTTTTCTAAGACAAAAATGTTCTTAATCTCAGTGAGTTACACACTTATCCTATATATTTCTCTCAGTATCACTGTTCTATGATCTCCTATATCAAGAAGTACTATTTCAGGGATGAAAACGTGAAATGATCCTCTGAAATGATGATACTCTTGTTTGGGCATTATTAATCTAACTGGTACTGGAAATTCTGCATTCTACATCCAGTTCAATTCAATTCAATAAAATATTTAAAAGTTTCTTCTTTATCTGGATGTCAAGAAAACAATTCATTATTTATTTTCAGTTATTTCTATTGGAGACACTCTCTAATGGAACAAGAATTTTTCATAAAATGCATATCTTCAATTCTGGTTTAAAGGGTTCAAAAACATACAATTCAACACAAAGAAAAAAGGCATTTTTTATAAATGGGGGAGAAATACTAATTTTAATAGTAATCATTATATCTGACATGAACTCTTTTCTTCTTCATTCCTCCAAGATGTGAAAGAAGCATCTGTCATTTCAAAAACAATGAAATAACAAATGTGATGCAGTTAGAGGTGCCAAAATGGGAGCTAAGTGTTTGAGTTATTAAAACCTTTCTCAAAGAAAGTTAAAAGGAAGAGACATTTAGGTAAAATGAATAAAAGCAAACAAAAATTGCTAAGTTGTTATTTTGTCTGATTTTTGAAATGTCCATAAAAGCCATGTTTACTCCTATATATACATTAGGGAAAATAAGATGTTTCCATTGCTATGACATCTTTGTTTTATGTCAATACTTTGTATTTGCTACCATAAATGACTATTTCATGCCTTAATATTGCCTTTTCAGATTTATTATTACCAAAATCATCACTCCCAAACCTTTTAAAAAGGAATCAACATAGAAGTTTAAATTGCCCATCTATGACCTCAGCTCCCTCCTTAACAGCAAAACGAATGAAAGGATTTTCTTTCTAGGGGCGCAAAAGAATGAAAGGGGGCAAGTCCTCAAAATTAAAAGGCAAAATGTGAGCATATAGAATCTGTGATCACAGAAGCTATGGTCACAGGAGGTGTACTCCACTTCCAAAAGGGAGGGACAGAGGGCAGAGAGAGATTAGCAGAAACGGATGTATGCTGCCATCCTAAGCATAGCTTGTGGAATTTCAGAAGACACAGGAACAAAGGGAGTTTCCAGTTATATAGGGCAGCTCTGAGCTATAGTTTTGTGTTAACATCTTAATAGCATTCTCTTTCTGCAAGATTCAACAACCACACCAATGAAACAACTACCTTTTATTGAGTACTACAGTGGTATTTTTTGACTGAGTTTTCTACGTAGATTATTACATCTATTAATAATTCTACATAGATTATTACATATATCATTACAACTACCTTTTACTGAGTACTACAGGGATAATTTTTGACTGAATTTTCTACACAGATTATTACATCTTATCCTCACATCAAATACATCTATTCATTGCTAGCCTACAGCAGGGAAGACAGCAAGCTGTCTGCCTGTCCTATATCTTTAGTGTTAAGTTGGCTGGCTGATGGCTCGTTCAATCACTGGATTCCCCAGGTCTCAGAAAAAGCAGATGAATCATTCTTTAACAAAGCTCAAAATTTGAACCAAGTAGTAAAAAAGATTCTCTTCCCACTATTATGTAAACTCCACAATCATGGGGATTTTTGCCTATTTTGTGTATCTCTATATTAACCCCAATACTAAGAATAGTGCCTGGCACATAGTAGGATTTGTTGACTCAGTGAATGAAAAGAGGCTTAAAGCCCTACCTGGATTCTAATCAGTAATGGCTATGTGACTTTGCTGTGTTTCTGCATCCTCCACCTAAAGGCCAAGATATCTAATCATGCAAAGACCTATGAAAACTAATGTGGCAATAAAGTTTTTTCTTAAACTAAACCAACAGCCACTAGAAGGTACCTGAAAGTAAAACCAGGACATGTTTCTGGAGGTTTGGATCTCATGAAGGTTTTGGTCTTGTTAAGCTCTGTGATAGTGGGTCTATCCATTCACAGAGAGCTAGGCATATTTATTGATCTCCTACTGTCCAGAATATTTTGTGGCCTTCTGGATAGGATACCGGGGAAAGGAAAGAGATGGTGCTTGCTAGGAAGCAGCTATGAAACTAATTACAGAAGTCAGCAGACAAAGGGATTTGAGAGCAAAGCAACTCAGAGGACTGAAGCATATAATATAAACACATATGACACTACTAACATTAAACTTAGGGTTTTCTCAATGTCTTCTTGAAAGCTAATTTTGAAAATCTATCTTAATGAAACTAAAGCATATAAGTAAGGAAAAACAGAGACAATGGAAAAGATATTCTCATTAAAGATAAAAGGAGAGTGCTGAACCTTTGAACTGATGATGCACATGTGGTTGAGTTTCTTCAGGCTCTTGGTGCTTTCTGAGTTTTTCTGAGAAAGTGATGGCATCATTAATTGCATGATTTATCATAATTAAACTGGCCAAACATCTAGGCCTTGCTTATATTGCTAGGTGACAAAAATACTAGATAAAGCAATGTCTTTCTCTCCTTTCTTCCACACTTGACTTCTTTCAGTATTGCATGAGGTTTCCTCTGAGTGCTTACTCTAACAGGGTCCTCATCGAACTGTCATTTTTCCCCTTAGGAGGAAGTGCCACACAGTTCAGGGGCAACGGTGTTCCTACTACAAAGTGGAAGATAATATATTCTCATCACATGTGCCTGCTCTGCCTCCTCTTAAATGCTAGGGTCTTTTGTTTTTTCTCCCTGTTTTGTTTCTTCCTTTCTCTACATTGCCCAATATAGTGTTACATAAAATTACATATTAACACCACTGAAAACAGTCATGAAAACAAAAAAGGGCTGTGTTGAGATCAACATATTTGCTAGAAAAAAATGTAAGTGTTCAAGAAATCATTCTTACTCTCCTCAGACTTTCTGAAAATAGGTCAACTTGAAATATAAAATAATTCATTTGACATTGGCATTTATTTTGGTAGCAACATTGTGTTGGAATTTTTCCTCACCACAGTTAAATATCTTTCAGTGTGTTTAAATGGAAAACGCAAGAGAATAACAACAAAACTACCTGAGAATGGGTGTGGATGTACTGCAGGAAAAGTGTCCATGTTCAGGACCTCAAGTGCTGAAGAGCGGGTTGCAGAAGTGTTTTTCATCTGATGTCTCTTTTCCTGGGAGACAAGGAAAGCAGCCAGGGGAGTGAAAGGAGCTATGTGCCTTTACAGAGACTCTGGTACAGCAAATGTATGGCATATGAAAATAAATATGCAAAAGAGTGTCTCAAAGCCTTTATTTCTAAGCTGTCAAGGATTTGACTTGTGTTTGGGGCCATGCTTTAAATACTAGCGTTTTGAATAAATGTTCCAGATGAAGAATGCCAGCACTAGACTCTAAGTTCCTTGGACAGAGAGGGCC
Source organism: Homo sapiens (assembly GCF_000001405.40). Lineage (NCBI taxonomy): Eukaryota > Metazoa > Chordata > Mammalia > Primates > Hominidae > Homo > Homo sapiens. Next base: position 35,670,887 of record NC_000003.12, on the reverse strand, counting down.
CGCAGGCCAGTGTATCTTCCAACTGTTGTTTAGTGCAGAGCAGGAGCACTATCGATACCAGCTTGTTGAAAGGATAAATGAATACATTCCTGGGAGGAAAACATTTTCAGGAGCCTCACAACACATTGATGGAGCAGAATCTGCGTGTTTTTCTTTTTTTTCAATGTGTCCACAGCTTAGCCAGAAGGTACTTTCCCACTTAAACCATCTGAATTGGCGTGTGTTTGTTTGTGGCAGGCAGCACTCAGGCTCTGGGTCCATCTGTGGCAATGCTGATCGGACTCCAGATGCCCTGCTTTGAAAATAACTGAAAGAGATCATGTGGTTGGTCATCTGTAAGAGAAGGGCTGCAGTTTGAGTTTGGCCGACCTATCATCATTCAATGTGAGAATTACGATCACAGGAGCATGCTCTACCTAAAAAGCCTGATATGACCCGATGATGTCAACCTCCTCATATCCCCTGCCTGCTGTAAGACTGACTTTATCTGATATTCCTTTTTTTTTCCTTTTTAAACAAAACATTCTTGTTTGAAGGAGAAGTGAGAGAGTTGAATGTAACTACATTCAAGACTAAAAGCATTTTCAGGTGAACATCTGCATGATGGACTCTCCTAATTGGGTGTTCCCTGCACAAACCTGACAATAAGACCCTTCAATCCTAGCAAGCCAGAGTCAAAGAAAATGGGTGTTTGCTTTTTGTAATGTTCATGTTTCAAAATATTTAATACTTTTCAATGATCTTATAAAAATAAATGCTGGTATAATCTCTGTGAATTATTAGAACCTGCTATCATTACCTGTTACTAAAGAAAGAGGAAAAAGCAGATTCTCAAACTATACTAAATGAAGGACCTGGCAGAAACTATTGATATTTTGGAGGGTCACAGTCAATCTGAACTCAGATGATGACAGACATTGGTGTGTGGTCCCAGGGCTGAATGGTCCATGCAGTACTGAAGAAAAACGGTTAAACTGTGCTCAGAAACTCCCTGGGGAGTCCTGTTGATGAAGTTGAAGATTTGGGGATTTTATTTATGGATTCTACAATGCCTAAGCTAAGTGCCTGGAAGGGGTAATTAGCTTTGTACATGGTTGTGATGGGCACACAAAATAGTCTTAAAGTGTACTTTACAGACACTTCAATAGAAGAAAACTGTTGGTACACCTAGTGCAAATTGACACTTCAGAAAGAAAGATGTGAAGTTAACCCACCCACTTGGGTGTCTGTAATGTGTAACCTTGCACTTGAAAAGAAAATGTGATGTGGCATTCCTATGACAAATGGAACAATCTGATCCCTGAAATGGAGGCTGAAAATCTGGCATTACACAAAAGAACGGAAACATAAGAAAGTGTGGTTTTGAACGTTTAAAAGAGTGTACATCCAAACTATGGATGTGGAAATTGCTAGGATAAAATTATCCAAAAAAGAATCAAATTTACAATTTGATATATCACAGAAATGAACTATCTGTCAATCTTATGTAATATAAAATACTCAGCTTCTGAGCTGTGGGCTTATTTGTGAAACCTTCAAGATTTTAAAGTAGATAAGAAAGGAGAAGCCAGTAGTTGCATTTGTAACATATAGCAAGGTACTTTCAGAAGTGGAATCTTTTTGTTGAGTAGTCTCCTTAATAAAGTCTAAGGCCTAATATTTGGGAAAAATCTTATGTAGTGGGAGAAATTATTACCTTTCTTTGCTCATAATTATAATTAGGAAGGAAAGAAGGAGGGAAGGAAGGAAAGAAGGAAAGAAGGAAGACCCAACTGTCAAAAACTCTCCTGCAAATATATGAAAGTAGAATATGAAATATTTGGAGGAATGTATTAATATGATGAAGGCTGCAGCAAAAATAAATGTAAAACTGTGAAAACAAAAGGGGTCATTTATTCTTTATTGCTAGCACCTAGCAGAGAGGACTGTTCATAATTATAGTTAAGTATTATATTAAGAATAGCATTTCCCCGTATTTGATAAAGTCTGCTAAATAGAAAAATGTGTTCTATGCCTCAAAGATTACATATTTTCAGTGGAAATAAGATATAAAGAAAGTAAAGAACAAAATGAGATCCTGTTGCATCTCAAAACATGCATGATGACGAGAGAAGTAACTTGAATCTCCAAGTACCAAAGAAGTCTAAGCATATTTACATAAATGACTACTTTTAGTCAGTCTCACAAGGCATTATTAGTATCATAATTTTAAATATTTATGTGTGTGCATAGATAATTTGTGTAATTTGAATCTTGGCAATTTGCAAATGTAAAAACGGCAGATCCCAGGTATCTAAAATCCTGTGTGGTTCAAAACTATCCTCATATCCTGGTAGACTTCGTTTTCAGTTTTGGGAGCACTAGCTCTCTGCTGGCAACTCTGTGGCCTGACCACTCATATGGGGCTTGGGCATACTCCCAGATGCCAATTCCAGATTAGGCCATGATTGCTCTACACTTCAGAGACTCCAGCAGGAGCAAGGAGAAGATAGCATGCCAGCCAGTGGACTACATTGGCTATTTGCTCTACTGGCAATCCACTAGGCTCACCAAGATGCCACACTTAAGGTGATGCTGCAAAACTGAAAAGAAATGCTGCCCATCCAAATACTAAAAATGCTCTGTTTTTTAGGTTTCCATTTTATTTTAATTTATTAAAAAATATACACTTCCAAAAATTTACACTTCTATATTTAGGAATACTCTTCCCCCAAAATGGATAAGAACAAAGTCAGAGATGATACTTTACCATGAATAGTAGCAAGAAATTTCTGAGGGAGGGACATTGTGAATTTCCTGAGAGGGAAATTTGTGTTCTCACTTACTTTATGACTTTCTTCTTTCTTCTTCTTCTCCTTCTTCTTCTTCTTCTTCTTCTTCTTCTTCTTCTTCTTCTTCTTCTTCTTCTTCTTCTTCTTCTTCTTCTTCTTCTTCTTCTTTTCTTCTTCTCCTTCTCCTCCTCCTCCTCCTCCTCCTTCCTCTTCCTCTTCCTCTTCCTCTTCTTCTTCTTCTTCTTCTTCTTCTTCTTCTTCTTCTTCTTCTTCTTTGAGAATAAAAGTACTGCAGGTGATCTTCAAGACTTACTGACTTCCAAAGTGCAGTATTTTGGAGTGATACTGCATCAATACCATTGCAAAATTTCATTATAAATTAACTTGTCATGCATTATGATCCAATTTAAGACTAGATTACATTTCCTTTTAATTAACTAGAAGGACTCTTACATATCTTTTTCTCTTCTTTTAATCTAGCACCTCTTTCAAATATATTAAGAAGTGATTGAAGCTACAAATAGAGTCCAACTTCCAAGAGTCAATGCAAAAAGATTACTGCTTCTTTGAGAAGAATCTGAAAGTGACTTAACCCTCTCTCACATAAGTTATTTTAAAATGAGGAATATTGTACTAAAACATCTAGTAGAATGCTTGGAATTCAATAATAACTTGATGAATTAGTTATTTAATGAATTAATACATAAATTTAACTAGTCATGAGATTATGACACGTAATCACAATGCAAAATGACTGTGGTTTCATTCTTAAATTAGTTTACCATTATCATTATCACTACCACAAATCAGATTGCTAAATAAAACTAGTTTTGCTATGATACAGTTTGAGATTTTGAATAAAACTTAAGTTAAATGTTAATATAAATAGTATCAATTTAAAACAATTTAAATATACTTATTGGAGACTCACTCTGTGCCTGACAGTATTTTGATTAAAGAATGTAGGATAATAGGACTAGCCCTTAAAGAGTCACATTTTAGAGTGGAGGAAGCTGAGTCATAGATACATTAAGCATATCAAATATTTCACTCTAGGGGTGAGGCAGAGCCTAAATTCTGACAGATTGGTTCTGGGACTTCAATTTTATCCATACGCTTTTGAAATGAGTGAGGATAATAGTTACTACATGACTGGCAATAAATACTGAAGGCATGCCATAGTGATGCCAGTGGCAATTCAGGTGGGTAGAACCACAGGGGATAGTTGAGGTTGCATGTTTATTCTAACCTTTCCAAATCTCAAAAAAACCTGTTTAATTTTATATTTGGAAAAAGTAAACATAAAGACTGAGAAGAGATAGAAAATAATGAATTAATTTGGATGCCTGTTTGCAGTGTTAATCACACTGTAAAGCATGTTTGTGGTTGAAATATAATTACCCATTTAATCAAAAAATAGAAAAGTAAAGATAATGGAAAAATTGTTAATAAAGCTAAAATTAAGAAGAAGTACATTTAATAAAATGTGCAATAAAAGGAATTTAGTCTATAAAAATGTATGTTTGAAATTAATGTCAAAGACAAACTAAAATAAAAACCCTACACCTACACACAACCAAATAATTTAACAAAAATTTTAAAACTAGTTGAATAATGCCAAAAGAATGTCAAGATTAATTAAATAGACATTTAAATTATCATAAAATATGTTTTGTGCTTGGAATAAATGTCAAAATCAAAACAACTCAAAATCACTGAAAACAAAGTCAAGAATAATTTTGCAATATGACTTGGGCTAAAATTTCTTAAGAATTCAGGGATATTTTTGTGTGGAGCCACTGATTGGAATATTTTGTTCTAAGCTTGCTTCCCTCTACAAGAAACCAGTAAAAAATTTTCAGAAAAAAATAGCAGTTTGTGGGAATACCCTATAACTCCATTTAAAGAAATTAAATTCCCTTCTGCTTGGTAGGTTTAGATTCAGGGAAGGGTGTATAAGTGACAACATCGGTATTCATTTGTATCATTCTCAGTATATACTATTTATTAATCTCCTTGACTGAGTATCCCCCAAGTAGGTTTGCCACTTTTAATCAGCTCCTACTTCCAACCACTATTCTTTGAACCGTAAGGTTGGAGTTGAGGTTCTGAGGATATGGGCACAGCCCAGTTGAGCCATCATACAGTGAGCAATGATCTGGGTGTTTTAGAAACCACAACAATGCACACATTCTATCACGTTTCCTTTAAAAAACCATTAATGAGCAGGATACATTTTACTGCCTTCCACATATTGTGCATACACTAACTAAATACCTTGATGAGAACAAGCATTACAACGATGACTGGAGTACAGCCCTGCCCTCTAGGAGACTCCAGGGGGAAGTTGTATTAACTTTTTACAAAATGGAATAGGGTTCATTAAGTAGCTCTTCATCTGCAGCTGTGCTTTTGAAAATGAGGATGGTTTCATGAACAAATGCAATATTTACCCAGAGGATTCTTTTCTTGTTTCTCAAATATAGGAAATGACTAAATCCTGAATGTTTGATATAACCTCTTACCTCCAAATGAATGTTTTCACTATACAAAACAACTCAGTGTTAAAGTCATTTGAAAAGACCTATTAACTACTTCAATGTAGAACTAGATACATGGATGTATGTGTGTGGTATCTAAGTACACATTTTGATTCTGCAGATATTTTTAGAGTGTCCATGTATAGCACTTTGCTCAGAACTTTCCACTTACTTTAAATTTTTACTTCAAAAACAAGCTCTCATAATTTCATGAGAGTTTTATGATCTTGTTATCATATTAAAAAAAGCTTAGGCCGCTTATGATCTTGTTATCATATTAAAAAAAAAAGCTTAGGCCAAGGGCAATGCTGTTGTCCTTTATATTTATCTACATAAAGGCCACATAAAGCCTAAGACTCTGTTCTTCTTCTAGTCCTGTATTCTTTCCAAGTTGCTTTTGTGCATATGTAGACAGACATAAATATAAACCAAGACACACTTATATTAAACTCATGTATTCTGAGTTAGGGTGGTCCACTCAGCTTTTAACTTTTAAAATCATTCCTTTAAGATCTGCAAATTCATTGGCCTCCAAAGGAGCGAAAAGTTTGTTTCTTTCAGTGACCTAACATTTTTCATGTAATTCGAATGTTGGAGAAGTCTCACTTGAATTAGGTTACACACACACAAAATAGCAGGTGGGCTAAGTCACTCAGAGTATGCAAGTGACACTCCTCTGAAGCCCCTCCCTGAATGCCAGATCAGGCCACATAGCAGCCTGGAGTCGGTTCCAGCTCAGAGAACAGAGCAGCAGCTGCTGGGAGTTGGCAGCAGACCAAGTCTCAGCTGTATTCTTGGCCTTCTGCCTCCTCCAGGCACTTACCAGGGGCGCATGACCAAGGAAACAGCTGAGCCCCCACCTCAAAGAGGAAACGCAACCGCCACAGCCCCCGCCGCCACCTGCTCCGGAGCCAAACAACCAACAAATTCCTGCTCAATTCGAAGGGATAAAGCGGACTGCTGATTCACTCCTAGGAACGCCCGGGCTGTTTCCACTGAGGATAGAGGCATAGCTTAACAGGAATGGGACGTCATCGTGAACGCTCTGGCAGAGCCACCTGGGGACTTGAAGTTGCAGGGTATCAGAAATGATAGAATAGCAGTTACCAGAGTCTAGGGATCGTGGGAGGGATGATGGAGAGAGTCTGGTCAACAGGTACAAAGTTACACTCAGGAGGAAAAAGTTCTGTTCTAGAAATTGCTCTATAGGGTAACTACAGTTAACAATATTGTATTGCATATTTCCAAATAGCGAGAAGAGAGGATTTTTAATGTTCTCACCACAAAGAAATGACAAATATTTGAGGTGATGGATATGCTAATTACTCTGATTCGATCATTACACAATGAATACATGTGTTGAAATACCACATTATACCCCATAAATATGTACGTGTCAATTAAAAACAAAATCAAACTTTAAAAAATAGTTTAGGTGTTCAAGTCACAGGGTTCTATTAAGATTTCAAACATTGCTTTAGATATTGTCTGCAAGCTTTTTTGAAGATACTCCTTTCTTAAACAGAAATTTTGATTTTCGCTTTATAGTGGGCTGAAAATTTGCCAAGAACACGGACGACTGGACAGTTCACTTTCATTTGCAACAATTTCCAAGAGGACCCTCGGTTACACAGCATAATTACAAAACTAAAGCAAACATGTTAAATGCCCTGCACCTTTTTTGAGATGCCAAGTATGGCCTTCTTGGGTGCCATGAAGCATTAAGATAGCCTCAGGCATCAGCACACATTCCAGGTCCAAATCCAATTCCCACGGCCCAGCAGGCAAGCTGGGACAGTGGAAATGCGAGTATATGGCCCAGCATTACTCCGGAGGACTGTGGGGGTGAGCGTGCCACTTCCCAGAACCGTGGCTCTGACAGCTTCAACTGCACTCACGTCAGTGCTATTAAGAGATGTTCCTACCTTCAAACATTGTGAAATCTCACCCCGCTCCGAGGACACATCCCTCCAGATCTGTCTCCGATCAACACGGGAGGCTGTGCTTTGTGCTATTAAAAATTTCTCTGGAACAAGAAGGGCAAAATGCTGATGCTTCATGATGCATACATGGGGGTTTGTTACACAATTATCTCCATTTTGTGCACATTTAAAAAATTTCCATAATAAAAAGTTCAAAGTATAAAAATTTGTCTGGGGATTAAATCATTGTCAGATGCAAGAACTATGCGCCCAGACTGGGCTTCAGTCCAGGTGGGAGAGACTCTGATTTGTAGGTGATTGATTGTTATTTCCAAGGAGAATGTTAGGGGTTTAAAAACCGTATAGATCACAGCTTTTTTGAAAAAACTGACCCAAATCCAGTGAAGCCTTTTCTCCCTAGCAGCAATACACAATTTTTATTCAATTCTGGGGTAAGCATTTAGATACGTCTGCTCTAGGCATCATGAAGTTTCTGTTGTTATTTTTTTTTAATTTGTACAAATTTATAGGGTACATGAGAAATGCTACAACATGCATACAATACATAGTGATAAAGTCAGAGTATTTAGGGTGTCCATCGCCTGAGTACAGTATCTTTTTGTTAAATATAGTCACCCTACTCTGTTATCAAACATTGAATCTATTCCTTCTATCTTGCTGTATGTTTGTACCCTTTAATCAACTTCTCTTCATCCTTTCTTCCCTATGCCACTCACCCTTCCCAGCCTCTGTTATCTATCTTTTTACTCTCTGTCTCCATGTGATCAAAATTTTTAGCTCCCAGATACAAGTGAGAATATGCAATCTTTGTTAATTTTTTTTACCCTTCTGGTAGATTTCACTTGGTGGGCACAATTCTCCCTTCAAGGTCTTGTTGCCTCTTGTTGAACTGTCTCTGCTGCAGAGAGCTGCACTACCTCAAGCACACTCTTTCCTAGAATAATCCATATCCAATAATTCAATAAATGATCAAGAGGGTACTAGAAGCCCTGAGATCTCAACCCTTTGTGGGACTCTCTGAAGGTCATTCCAGTGGCAGAGCTTTCTGCAGGATCAGCAGAGGCTGTCCTCATCCTCTGGCCTGAACTGCAGCTCACCTTCTCTCTCTGCCCAGTCCTGCTCCCCTCCCTGTCCCTCTGTGGGGTTGGTCCCAAGAACTCTCCTTAGTAAACATCCTGCACACTTAACTCTATCTCAGAGTATGCTTTCCAGAAACCTACCTGCAACATCACAGGACATCCTTTCAGAAGGGTTGAAAATGCTTTGCAGTAGTGATAAAACCCAGGTTAACAATCACCATTTTGCTTTAAGCCATTGTTAGCTCCTCTTAATCACCTCTCTAATACCTGGCACCTCATCACTGCTCCAAATCTTGCAATATTTATAAAAGTATTAAAACTACATACAGTACGCACATGTATGCCAATTGGTACTGCTAAGTTGGTTTATATGGGACCACATATTTAATGCTTAAAAATAAACCACACACACTATGATTCTTTCCAATGGTGTGAATTATCTTCTACACCTGAAATCTCATCCTATTTTGACCTTTAACTCTCAGAGGCCACTATAATGCTACATAATTCTCTAATCTCAAATCCAAAGTATGTCTACTTGTGAACACCTCCGAAAATTATATCCTCAAACTTAATTTTAAAATCACCAATAGCTAACACCAGGCCTGACACATAATAGGCATTCAAGATACTATGATTACAAATTAGTTAGTGCCCATGAAGTGTTTCAAAACTTTTACAAAGTATCTCATTTATTACCTCACAACCAGAAACAGGTATGTCACTGTCTCCTTTATACACATGGAACAACTAAAATTCAGTAAGGTCAAGGAACTTGCCCAAGGTAACACAATAAATACAAAGGCATCCACTGTGCCTCATTCTCTCTCCAGGAAATATGTATTATTGTTGCCTACAAAAGTACTCTTTTGAGAGATGAGGCAGGACATAAAAAGGTCAATGAGAATTGAATACTGTTGATTTTTTGAATTTTATAGCCGGTCATAAGAAATTTATAAGTGTTCTGATTTCTTTATGCTGTATTTATTTTCAAGTTTCTATACTCCATGCAGAGAATGTATACTAGCAGTTCAAAGATTCTAATAAAGGAGCTGCCTAAATAATTATAGCAGCAACTAACACTTACAGCATGTTTCTATGTGCTGAGCAGTATTCCATGACTTTTACTGGTAAAGACTGACAGAGTCACTTTATCTCTTTTCCTCTTTTTGTCCCATTGTTTGCCATTTCTCCTTGTGGATATGCCTGGAGGAGGTGAAGTTTTAACAGCACAAATTCACCATTCTCACGATATAGCTCAATAACTGATTTTCATACTATGACAATGAATCAATGAGAGAATATTAAATTATATTCTGTATTTGATGTTTTACAAGGCTGAGATTTGTATTTAAATTGGTCAAAGTAAAGCACTCGCTCTCCTGGAGGGTCCAGTTTCAATTGTACAGGTAATCCATGTGTATGTGATCATGTGTGTAATTAGGCCTTGTTATGCCAGTGAAGTTGATAAACTATTATTTACCCAGCTCCTACTAGGTGTAAAAAAGTCTGCTAAAAATTGTGAGATGCAAAGATAGATTTAGCCCTGTACCTGCCTTTAAGAAATTTATAATCTGCTAAAAACAAGGAGTTACTCAATTTAGCTTTCCAACTACATATTTTCTTTGTTTTTCAGTAAGTATGCTAAGCAGTGACTTCCAAATGAGTCATTATAGGATTGTTCACTAATTTTCAAGATAAAGGGTTAAATTAGACTAATTCATTATTTAGGGAAAAAAACCCACAACTATCTCCCATCCAGTAAGATAAAGAGAGTAGTACCCCACAAAAAAGAATAGAAGCATTTACTCAAAATCCTCAGTCAAAAGTTAGTCATTCTCCTTACTGATAAATACCCATCAAGAATCTGATAATTATCCCCCAAGAAGTGAACTTTGAGAATGAAGTTAGTCATTATCTTAACCTCTTGTTACACACACTTGAGAGTTAGAAGCAACTTTCCTCTGTCTTTCCTTGAGAGTTCAAGTATTGCTCTCCTTTTCCAGACCTTTCTCCAAGGATGGCACAGAAGAGATTTCGAGGGCAAAGACTATAGCCAATAGCAAGGATAGTTTGAAGGGGCAAAAAGTGAGGTGCACTTTTATGGTGTATGTGCGGATAAGGGGGTGGAAGCAGAGTAAGAGTTTGGCCTGCTCACATCTGGAAGGATGGGGCCCAGAGGCAGAAGCTGAGGCTAAGAACAAATTCAAAGAAATGCAGGAGAGCAAGAGGTCCTCTGGTGGCTGGGCCGATCATTTATAGATACCATCTTGTGTTTTATTCAGAATTGGGAATAGACCAGCCCCCTGTGTTCTCCTGGAGGAAATGGAAAGAACCATGTAAATGCAGATATTTAAAAGATTTTTCAGTAATTTAGAAGTGATACCTCATGATTATTTATTAAACCACCTCTTGCTTTGCTCTATGTCAAAAAGGGGAAAGAAGTCAAGGTCCAAAAGCTGAGAATCCCTGAGAAGGATGCCAGGAAGGCTTGTCAGGGCTAGAACATTGATCTGTCCCTTGGCAAAGCCTCTCATGCTCTCCCTATGCCAGCAGATGGTGCAATGCACACCTGTGACTCTTGTCATAAAACAGCTCTCTGATGTTTTTATTACAAGAACTTATGTGACTCTTTACACACCCAGGTGTCATTGTGGACCAATGTCTTTTGACTGAGCTGCTCCTGAACAATACAGTGCTTTTGGTATAAAACAGGAAGCCCCTCCATCAGTCAGAACAACACACCAGCCACCTTTATTCTCTAAAGGTTTTCTCCTTTTGAGAAACTCATCTTACAACATGTGATGAATTACTGCTTTAAACTTGTATATTAACCAACAAAATGAGATTCAACCCTTTACTAACAAATCTCCTAGCTCTCTACCGCCCACTTTTCATGATCTGTTCCTCCTCTGTGTTCACCTTGATGTCTCTATCAGGCTACACACCTGCACTCCAGCACTTATCCTAGGGCCTTGAAATGATATGAGAGTCAGGCTGTAAGTTCACCAAGGGCAGGGATTGTGCTTTGTTTATCTCTGGGTCTCTAGGACCCGCCAAGATGTCTAGAATACAATAGGAAATGAATGCATGTTTCTAAAAATGTAAATGTCTTCTATAAATGTCTTCTAATCATCTAAACCCAGAAAGGTGTATTAATTTTTCAATTGCTTAAAATATTAACTATTTATATTATATTCATATTATCATATTTTAAAATGTGTTTTGAAGGCATAAATTTAACCAAAAAATCTGAGCTTGTGTGCTGTGTCTACATGAAGAACACAAGTGTTTGTGGACTCTGTGTGCATTCACAAGCATGTATGTATGTGTGCTGGGACGTAATGTTAAAAGTATTTCTTAAAATGGGTCTGTGTAAAAAATGTTGCAAGAATAGATGACATCGTGTTTTCATATCTATTTGAAGAAAAACTTGCAATATACATAGCTCATGTCTTGATTATCAAAGTCAGCAAGAGAGAATATGTGCTGTGTGGGGTTCCCGCTGTGAAATCCAAACATTATCTGTGAAATTCAAAGACTTTATCATTTAAATATGAGGATTGATGCCTCTGATGAAGATAGAGCATCTTAGTTAAAACAAACAAATGATTATCTTGGACAACAGTGTAAACAAGACCCTAATTCATGAAGCTGCTAATTGCTCTTCCCAGCTGCAGAAGATTGGCCTGCACTCCATCTCTCACTACTCACACTGTGAGTAACATTTGTACACTCTCTCCTGAAATTCAGCACAGCACAGGTCCAGCCTTACACATCAGAGCCTGGGGGCCAAAAAGGGGTCAGTTCAGAAAAGAACCTAAAAGGCAGCTACTTAAAGGAATTAAGTGCTTCATTTTATAGACATGTATTTACTTCTATGGCTGTGCTGGCATTAAGCTCATATTTAAATTACTTTATTTCCTCACAAGGCTTATGGGTATGTCATCAGGAGAAAAACCTTGGCACCAGTCTTTGTAACCAAGAGAAATTGATATTGCATATCATTTTTAGATTTTGAAAGTAAATCTAAAAATTGGTACCTGGATAACGATCATCACAAACTCCCAGAGTTGTTCATATTTAATTCCACTTAAATACAGATATCTTAACTCATAGCAAGCAGATAATAGGTATCATGTTTTCATACATTATTTCATGTACAAAATGCCAAAAAGAACACTTTACACATAGTGTTTTTAATCCTCACTACAACGAATCATTCACTCATGGAGGGAAGAAGAAAGAAAGAGAAAGAAAGAAAACGGTTCAGAAAGGATAAAATTCCCTGCCCAAAGTCAAACTGCATAAAAATTATTCAAACACAGTTCTCAAAAACCCATGCTTTTTCCACTGCCTGCCATCACCATGCCCAATCTATGAGTCTGGAATGTGTTCACCAAGAAGGGAATGCAAGACTCACCTATATAATCATGGGTACTGATTAAAGAAAGATGCCAAACCATGTAAAAACTGTATCTTTTATCACAAGAGAGTATTATTCCAGTTATCACTATCCAGAAATGTGCAATTACTTTTTATCAGTAATGTTGCTTCAGATATCCCACTAACATACAAAAGTGCATACTCAACATTTGATTCTCTAGTAATCTTAAAACTGAGAATCAAATTAACTATAGAAGCCCCTGTTACTGTAGAGTGGATGCACGACCACTGGTCCAAGGCCCAAATGTTGTCATATCTGGGAGAGCTATTTCTAAGGTTTATGGAGCCTCACCTCTACCACCATGCTAGGATTCGGGCTTGGAGATTACTTTGAGGAATGAAGCAGACCAGAGGCTGTTGGAACCTCAACCCACAGCTGCCTTTAGGACTAAGTCAACTGAGACTATCTGCATGGACTCTGAAGCTGGACATCAAGGGCTTGAAGACTGACTCCACCACTGACTCTGAGAAAGTTACCAAATGTGTTTGTGCCTCAGTTTTCTCATCTGAAAATGCAAATAATAAGGGTCCCTACCTCAAAAGTGGCTGAGAGGATTAAGCACATTAATATACATAAAGTACTCAGAAAAGTACTTCACACAGAGTTGCCATTATAAGTGTATTAGCTATTAACTCGTTCACTGAGAGAAACATATGCATTTTTTCAACAGATGTTTATTGATATCACCTGATCAGATCCCTGGCTAGAATTAAACTGCCAATTCTTCTGGAGACCTGATCTTCCAGACATTTCTAGAGACCTTAGTGTCTTTAAAAATTATAGCTACTTCAGAATGGTATGGGCTTCCTTCAGAAGCCACTGGGCTCTTTAAGTTGTGAATGGATGGCAATTTCTGAGGGCGTGTACATATATGTGGGAGGTAACTGGATGAAAGTTCTAGGCTGTCAGTTTTTCACAGTTAGTCTAAATGAGAGGAATAAACGTGTCCATGAAAATCATTTTTAAAGCAGCAAAGTTTACAGGAAAGGATTCTAAGAAAAATACCGAATGAGAAAATAGGGGAAGGGTACCAGGGGTAACACAGTTAAGGACTATGTCAGTCAGATTTTTCCAAATTCCAAAATTTGCCTAGGATCTCTGCCTGGAAAAAATGGAATTAGTACCATTTTTGAAGAATGATTCTCATAGAGATCATATCTTCTTATCTATTTTGTTTGAAATAAAGCATATTTTATTTATATAAATTGATACTTTTACCTCATACAACTGCAAATTCAGTTACTTGATGTAACTAAATGGTAGTGTAATTCTGCCTTTTTTAATTTTAAAACTATTATACAGTAAATTTGACTTTTTTAGGGGCTGTATGGTTTTATTAATTTTAACACTTGTATAAATTTATATAACCACCATCACTATCAGGCTACAGAACAGTTCCAGTTTTTTAACTTCCTCATACGACCCCTTTACAGTGACACCCCTCCCTTTGTCATATCTCCTAGCAGTCACCAATCTGCCCTTTGTCATGATAGTTTTATCATTTTGACATGTGATATAAATGGGATCATACAGTCTGCAATGACTTGAGATTGGCTTCTTTCACTCAGAATAATTCCCTTGAGACCCATCCAAACTATTGTGTCGATTAGTAATTCACTCCTTTTTACTGCTGAGCAATATTCCACTCTATGGATGTACTGCAGTTTATCCACCTTCTAAAGGACATTTGAGCTGTTCCTAATTTGGGGCAATTAAAATAAAGCTGTTATAAATCTTTGTCTTCACATTTTTGTGTTGACAGTTTTAACCTCTAATGCTCACCAATTTTTATTTTAAAATTTTCCTTGATTTTTAGAATATCCAGTCTTGTGGATTAGGGGATTATTATTATATCTCAGTGGATTTTGTAATCCTACACTGGAAACTCTTAGTACACACAATCTTAGAGAGAAATTTGTATTCAATAGTCATTCAAAACAGAGACTGCGTAACTCTGTCTAGTGGAATCTACTATCCTCATCTACTCCTTTAAAAATATGTTTTAAAAATAATTTTTAAATGAAAGTAAATTCAAAGTTATTCTAAGATTAGTTTGTTTTGAAATTTTATAATATTCCTTTGTTTTTAGATTATAAAATCTCAATCATGCAAATTCTACATTCTGGCAAAAAGTTTTATGTTTTAGATCAGTAGTTGTCAAATTCTGGTTCATGTACTGGCAACATCAACATCACTAAGAACTTGTTAGAAATGCATATACTTGGGCCCCATCACAGACCTGCTGAATCCAAAAATTCTGTATTTCAATAAACCTTCAGGTGATTCTCATGTATATGATGTTTTGAGAACTACTGCTTCAGAAATAACTCTCCTATGTGATAAAGAAGGAG
Organism: Homo sapiens; assembly: GCF_000001405.40. Lineage (NCBI taxonomy): Eukaryota > Metazoa > Chordata > Mammalia > Primates > Hominidae > Homo > Homo sapiens. The sequence continues at coordinate 35,655,756 of NC_000003.12, read as the reverse complement.
GGCCACCATCTGAGATTTCCCCTTGAGGTGACATAAGAAAACTCACATTTACTTCCTTCTGTAATGGTATTCACTTAAGGAATAGGATGGCTCATTTGTGTTAAAATATGGGCCCTGAATCACCAATTGGCATTTAAAAGACATACAGTACAGCTCATTTTAGTCACTGGGGCAGAGCTATGAAATCAAAATCTAAAGTGTACAGAAACCCCTGAGTCCTCATTTGAAACAATAAATTCATCATCTTACTCTCTATTACTATCTTGCCATTTCATCAGCTGTGACGTGCAGAGAAGAGGGGTACAGGCAAGTTTCCACTCTTCATTGATTCTCTTCTATTATCCTAGCCTTAATGGGATATTGTTTATTAGCAATGAAAAAAGTGAATTCAGAAAGAAAAAAAGTAGAAAATAAGCTAGCCTGGAGCACCCCATCAGTCATAATAATAAAGATTATTCTTTTTATAATAAGAAATCTCAAATATATACATATATAAATGTAGATATCAATATACACACATATATATTTATCAAAGAGTATGCACATTTATTTTCTGTTATCTCTGCAGAAATATTTCTCAAAAGTAAAATAAAGTTTATTTCCTTGTCATGGGTTAAAACTTACCGGAGTAAACCTAGCTAATGCATATGATGAATTAGGTTAAGAAGTTTGTAGCAATATGTTTTATGTACATAATGTAAAATATATTGATATAAAATAAATCCTTATATTTACCTATAAATATTATTTCTAAGATTTTCCATTTCATCAAGTTAGGTAAATGGGAAAACAAAGAAAATTATTTTGGTTGTTAGTTTACTTCAGGTCATAAAATAAGATTTAATATTTAATAAAAATTAAGCATTGTCTTTAAATTTCTCTTTCCAAATGTTTTAACAAAGTCACTACCTTTGACAAATAATTAATAAACATGTTTATTATACCTACTATGCTTAACTTTTATTTAATGGTAAGGCTGAAACATCCGTTATCCTCACCACTTCCTTTATCTGAGAAACTGACTCCTTGAGGGTAGAAAGATAAAAAGGCCACCCTGATCCTGCACATCTGCTAAAAGCAACCGTCACCCTCTGCCAACAAACACTGAAAGCACAGTCAAGGAATGAGCGTGTGCATTCCAGGTGTTTGGTTTGCTTGGCAGAAAACAAATTGAGGACAAACAATCTGCGAAGAAAGCTCACATGGGCTAATTCTTATATAAGTTTTTCAGAAGATAATTGCAGGAGAAACGTATTAGTTAGAAAGGATAATTTCATGCTCAATATCGGTAAATTCCATACCTTTGTCTATCTGGTGTTACTTCTCCCCCATGGGGCAGAAGACAGGTTGTAAATAAATAATGTAGTGCCTTTCCCTGAGTTTACAGAGGAATATCTTAGAGCACGTATTTGAAGAGCAAGGTAATATGCCTTAACTGTAAACAATCACAAAAGAGTAACTTAAAACATGCACTTAAAAGCTCAAACCATGTGAATCCATTAGGAAAAAAAATGAAAATGCAATTTTCCTTTAAACTTCACTCATCACTTAATATGCATCTTTAAAACCATTTTTCATCTATTTTATCACCATTTATTTTCTGAAAAAATAATATTTTCTCTTAATCACTTATTCCTAGGCATCTGTTTGTTCTTAAGTGTGAATCACTGGGTCCCCTAAAGAAACCTCACTGCTTCAAATTAAGATGGGTGGTGAGTGCAAATATGGATTTAGATATGCCGTAGTATTTTTTCCTTATTTTTTTACTTAATTATATATCTTGTTGACACTTTATAAAAGCCAATGCTATAGAATGTGACAACCCTCCAAATTTATTTTACTTTTCTTTTCCAGTTATTCATGGACTGATACAATATTTGTGACTCAAACCACAACTTTACAGTATTTTCAAAACAAATATTGATATACATACAATTTCAGTGTACATATTCTTAGAAGTTTCAATGTTTTAATGGATAGTCAGTACATGTAGAGAAAGCAGGAACAAGCTATCATTTCTATTATGTGGCAAGTATTTTATACGTAACTCATGAAGAAAATATTAAACTCACAATGGTTAATTAACTTTGCTAGGTGAGTAAGAGGCAGAGATGGAATTCAAATTTAGATCACCATGATGTCAAACCTACCCCCTTCCTATGACACCGGGGGAGAGTGTGTCCCAAAGATATGTAAAATCAGGAGCTGATAGTCCGTGGCATCATTCGTGCCATAAACGGCAACCACAAGTATAGATCTGTGAAGCATGCAGACAAATTTCCGTGTACTTTGCGGCAGTTTCAAAAATTAATTTCCATGGCCTTCTTTGTCATGGCTTCACTATACCTACTTCCCTTAGCTCCTGATTCTTAGTTAGATGATACCCAGATGAGATAATTGAATTCTCTGTTTTGTGTGGCCGTTACATATTACAGGGTAATTCATATTACAAAGAAAAAAATTAAGGATGAAATAACTTCTTTCATTCTTCCTTCAACAAGAATCCCTAAATATATCATAACAGAGATAATGTCACTGCTATGACTACAGCCAAAAAGTAGATAGGTATGGACATTACATAGGCACACAAAGTCCCTTTCACACAGGAGGGAGTTTATAAATATCAGGTAACATTTACAGTACAAGACAATAAAACAAATTATTTATTTGAAATCACAATGCCACATGTAGCTTTTGATCAAACATAATCCAAAGGTAAACTCAAAATCAGTAGAAGAATACTGACTTTTCACTTATCACTGTCCCTGCGCCTTCAGCAAATAATACTCACAAGGCTACAGAAATCTTGGATTTCTATACAGATAAGAATTTTTGCCTGGAGAAACAAGGTAATTCAGAGTGCAGAAAGAGCAAGCCAAGTGAAGTAATTCCCGCAGAGCAGAACAAATGGCACAAATGACCTAATCAATACAGAAATAAGTACAGATTTCCTCCACAAATGGCCACATGGTAGCTTCCCTAACAAGTTCAGAAAAACATCACACTCCTTTCATGTAGATCTTCTTTACCATTTATCGATGTACCTCATCAGGAATACCTACATTTTAGCTGTCAATTCAATATATTAGGTAAATTTACCCAGTAAAATATATAAGCCCATTCAAGTTTGTAGGTCTGCTTCTGTCTCAATGCTGTAAATGCCTTGGCTAACAGTGCAAACTGTTTGATCCCTGCTTAAGCCTAAGGATCCAATCAATAAATGATGAAACAAGTGATATCTCCTCATCCTTTCTTAAAACATAAAAAACAGTCTATTTTCACAGCTAGATCAAAACAATGAGGTAATGTTTTCAGTGATTTTTAGAAAAATTGATTTTAGAGCTCTCTTCTCTTGCTAGATCCTTTGGGCAAATCTTTTATTATACAAATGGCCTTCTGCTGGATATAACCATTGGTTTTATCTGCAAAGTGAACAAGTCACAAGTTTACTGTAATTTTATTTGAAATCATTCTTAGTTCTTAGATAACAGTCCCAAATTGCTCCTGGAAGGATGCTAAGACTAAACTCTCTACAGTATTACTAGACAAATCTAGGAGACCTCTGTGAATCACCACCAGAACTACAATCTTACCCAAAGCTGAGTCACATTAGTAGATTATAAAATACTGCATGGAATCTTGTGTACACATAGAATTCTGAATCACCTATGAATACCCACATCTCTTTTTCAAAGTCTCTACTGCCCATCCAAGCTTATAAAAGGTCAAATCCTGCTGTCTGTGCAAGGAGTGCCTTCTAGAAACAATGACCTGCACTCTGTGTTCACAGATGGCCTCTCCTCACAGAACCATTGATGTGGAAGCATTCATCATATAGAGTATAGCTGTGTTGAAAACGGATTCCAATTATGCCTGAACAAAATATCCAAGATAACTGCCACATCATGAAAACATTCTCAACACTGGGAGGGGTTTTATGGGGATGCTTTAATTATGTGAGGCCTATGCAATCAAGAAAAAATAGTGATAAGGACATAAGAAACTCCAAAACTATGATCACCAGAAAAAAATGAGTACCAAGAAATGAGGTAAGAAGTTTATATTTAATTCTTAGAACAATCCCCTTTTAGAAATGAAACAGCTGAGGTTTAGAAAGCTTAAGAAACTTTCTACTAAGTTGCAGAGTTGGATCTGAGCCCAGGTCTGGGAACCCAGATTTTCTTTTCTTAACCAACTATTCTTGATAAGAGCACCTTCTAAAAATTTCACTCCTGTTGGGTAGCATTAGTGCTTACTTTCAGCGCTAAAGAACAAAGCATAGTTAACATTTATGAACAAGCCAATAAAAATGGATGCATGAATATTATACAAAAAAGTGTCATTAAATAATGGAAATTATAAACTGGAAGAGATCTTAGATATTATCTGGCATAATCCTGTCGCTTACAGGTAATTTCAAAAAGTAGGTTCTTTCTCAGTATTTCAGAGCAAGGTATTTGAACAAGAGGCAGGTCAGAGGCAATATATATTTCTCCAGACATCTCTCTGCCTCCAAATATCTAAATTGTTTTTGCTGCCAATGAAAAAATAATGCATCTTTTTCTTTAAAAAAAGATTATCCTTCAGATGACCTACAGATCAAATCTTTTATTCCTCTGTGGTTTTCCTACAGAACCATTTAAATTTCATCTTCCTCTGATCACAGGCACTATTTTTAATTTATTAAGGATTAACAGATTTTATAATATTTTATCATTTTTTTCTGAAATAATTTTCCTGTTTCCTTTCTCAAACACACAAATGTGGAATCTCACAACAAATTCAAAGAATAACTTGTCTTTTGATAAACCTAATTTTTAATTCTAAATACGTAGGCTGGTTCATGTATTTTCTATACTTTACTCTGATCAGGTACCTTAAACTGTGGATTCAGTTCACAATCCCAATGTAATTTCAACCATTTACTTGCAGCCCTAGTAACTAATACAGTAAATGTATGATTTAATGGGAGTGAAAAAGAGAATATGACTGGCTCATACTAATTTCATATACATTTGTCTTGGTTGATGGTGTTTTTTCTTGTTGGAGAGCAACCTAAATGTTGGTTTTACTTTGTGGCCTATTCCCACCAACAGAACTTTCCTCTCCACCAAAGCTTCTCAGTGGTGCTCACTCTTCCATGTTTGTTTTCTGGAAACAATATTTTTCTACCCTCAAAGTGTACGCTCTAGGGATTACCTAATTAACTTTATTGGTAAAGAAAGATTTTTCTAATTTGTTGGAATTAATTCATATTACTTTATCATCCAAGATATTGTCTACCTATCACTTTGGATTTTTGTGAAACTCTCAATTACTCAATTCATTGTTCAGAAAAGTTAAAATGCATTCATCTCATCCAAGTGCCTATAAAATCCTACACATCAAGTTTTCCCAAGTATTTAGCCTGAGACACAATACATAGAAAACTTCAATAAATACTTGAAAAATAAGAATGAATAAATGAGTGATGGTAATGATATCTGATGCAAAGACAAGCCTTGTTAGCCGTCACCCAAGAACTCAGCTGGCTACTTAACTTGGCTTCCATGGAAGTTCCCTTACTTTGAAACAATGTGTTCTCGAATGTATTTTGCTGGCTTCCTGATGAGAATATCAACGGTGTCAAAATCTATTGCTTTCTACATGTTCCTAAAGCCTGCCACAGTCTCAGAGAAGATAACGTGTTCCTCTTCTAAGTTAAGGTATAAGGTTTTGTTTTTTGTTTGTGTGTCTGTGTGTGTTTAAAGTGGATGGGTGAATGGAAGTTCATTCCATCAACATTACACTTAGCATTTCTTAAAATGTTGGAAACAAATTAAGAAAGCAAACTCATTTCATTTGTAATCATCTGGACCCCTTCCTTTCAAACAAGATTATTTTTATAGATCGGGTAAAACGTGAATTCAGTTCTCAATGGTCCAGTTGGATTAAATGATTTTCTATTTAACTCTGGTTATTCCTATCATTTTTCCAAAGTAGCAGGAAGAGAAGAGCTTCCTATAGCTTGGTGGCACCTGTTCTGCTTAAAGCAGGAGGGGGGTCTGAAAGTCTTGAATTTGTTAATATTCTCTTCTCCCTTTGTCCCTCACCCCTGCCTTCTAATTCAGCACTGCCTACTTGCTTAGTTCTTTGGAGGAGTGAATTCCTTCCGCACATGCTGGGTGTCCTTCACCATGGTTAATCTCTCCAAAGGCACACATCCAGTAAAGATGGGTTGCCTTTAGCTCTGTGTAACAATGATTTGGAAATATTTGTAAACGTGCTTTTGCCTCATTCTTTCTTCCAAGACCATATTAACTGAGTGTTAATGAATTCCCTCCCACTTATATGGAAAAGTAATGTTTGTAGTCAGTTTAAGCAGATTGAACTTTTAGGAGCCTTGTTATTCCCATAAAATCCCTAGTCATTGTCTGAGATCTGAGGAAGAAACTATTTTGTAAGAACCAAAATAATAGCTAGTGCAGTTACAATTCTACATATAAGGGCAGGTTTTTGTCCTCTCAAAAAAATGAATATCAAATCTGCTTAAGCTGAAACTTCAGGGAAAAAATACAATTAAAACCTTATTTAGAGTAGGTTTTAAATTCTGAGTATCAGTAGAAAGGTCAATTTTTAATTCAACAAACTTTGATTAAATATCTGCCACATGCAAGCACTATACTAGCCAAGAACTGCTAAGGACAATGAAAAATGGACTGGGAAATAGGCCTTTTGTTTGTGTATTTAACGTAAGTTAGTTAAATGACTTGTGCGTAAGCATGTCGACTCTAGCAATATATATGTATCCATATAGGAACAAAATATATCTACACTTTCCTTGTTTTTGTTTGTTTTCCAACAAATATTTGGATAGCAAAGAAATATAAATTTATTCTCTGACACCTTCTGATAAATTTTATTGGATAAATAGTTGATTAGGCTATTCCCCAGAAGAATGCTGACATCTGTTTTATAATAGGAAATAAAATGCAATTATCTGATGGATTTACTGCTTTGTATAACTCACCTTCTCCTGTGTTGAATACTATCTGTGGCTCTCAATTTTTTGATAGGGGAACCAATTGTTTAAACCTCAGTTACGAGAGAAGTCTTTCCCTCCTCTGGCCATGTTCACAGAGGCACAGTGCTGACTCATTTCAGCAAAAGTAATGCAGATACTTTAGGATCAGAGGCCAGATCAGCGGCCCTGTCCAAACAGCTCACTCAGTGCTTGGAGACAGGAAGCTGAAGCCTTCTGTGGTAGTGCCAAGGACCCCTTGGTGAGGCCAAAGCTCCATTTGCTTTGTTGCAGAATAGAAAAATGTTTCTCTCATGTCACCTCAAATATGTTGTTAGTCCCAGCTCCCATCCACTAGTGCAGGATTTTAGGTTTTTCCTTCATGGATTCATTCCAGTTGTTTCCTATTCAATGATTTGGTTATTTATTCACCCCATTTAAATGGTAGAAATTACACAACTAAAATGTTCTAGAGAAATAATACCCATATGTTAACATTTTAGACAACTGAATTAGACCATTTCTTCCCTTACAAACTGGCAGAAGATTATGGCCTTGTTAAGCATCATGTTCCTTATGCAATGAACACTTCTGAGATTAGTTACTACCTTGGCTTGGCCTTCAATATTTCATAGCACAGAAAGAGTCAAGCATCACCAATTTTAACCATCAGAAACATTATGGGATAGCAATGAAGGAGAGCTGTATTCCAAATTACCAAAATATTTTTTTTTCTTAAATGGAGGTGGGGATCCTTAAATGTAAGAAAAGTAAATCTCTTTCTGAACTTTTTATGTGAAAGAAAAGTGGTTTCTTTTAAGTGAATAATATCCATGTGTCAAGTGCTTTGTTTCTGCTTTGATCCTGCAAGGTAGGTCTTATTCCCACCTCATAAATGAGAAAGTTGAAGCAATGAGGAATTAACTAAGTTGCCAAAGTCACACAACTAGCAAGTTGTTGAGTTGGGACCAGTGTTACTATACAACTTTAACTGTAGAAACTGTGAAGCACAGAGAGGTTTAGAGCTTTGGCCATAGTCACACTATTTACTCAGACCCAGAAACCAAACACCAGTACCACGCACCAATTCATGTGGTGAATTGCATATTTATGAAGGTAAGTCACAGAAAATGCGATTCAGATACACCACTTTTAGCCCTTATTTCCCTGGACCTTTCATTTTAATCCTAATTTTGTGCATTTCTCTAACCTGTAGAATCTCGTGGAGGGCCATGCGCCTCCTTGGTAAAGCCTTCCTTCATTGCTTACAGCTCATTTACCTGCTCCCTCTCAGATAAGCTACTAGCCTACCTTTGGTATACAACCTCTCTATTACTTTTAATCTGAGTTTCAATCAGAAGCTCCACTGAATTCAAAACATCTCTGTCTACAGCTTCCCACATTATATCAGACAAATAACACAGGCATTACAATTATTTCTGAAATAAAATAATTTCCCTATTAGAGGGATATTTGTATTCTTATCCTGGAAGATGTATAAGTTTGTTGCAATATACACATTCTATCACATTAGCTGTGTATACTCTCCTACCTCTCGATGATGACAAAACACTAAAACACTAAGTTATCCATAGTTCTGGCTGAAGACAATAATTATAATGATAATTAAAGATTAAGGCATTCAGTTGTCAGAGTGCTTAACAATGCTAAGGGTAAGCAGATAGCTGCAGCATGTGTATGCAACATGATTATATGCTAGATTAACTTATCATTCCAGAACACTGTTAGTGATTACGTGAAAATTTCAGTGTTGGAGAGAAATTTGAATCTCCACACAAAAAAGTGTTGTGACCAAAGTTAAATGACACGGGAGTGAAAAAAATGATGAATCATTAATACCAGCTAGTTCTTTGCTGTGAAATTTTTGAATTTAGTACAATGCCAGTTGTTTGACAATTTCCAAAATTTCTTACAACATCAGCATATCTAAGTAAATTTAAAATAAACAAAATATAAACAAAGTCATCGAAGAGTGTTAGCTTGATCATTCCTATAGGCCAGATATATGAAGTAGTCCAATATGACTGCAGAATCCTAACAATTAATTAATTTGGCAGAATTTAATAGCAATTTTAATACAGCTATGTGCCACATTGGCTTAAAGAATCATGATTTGACTAAAAACCTTAATCTTCTTTCTTTAAACAAAGAAAATAAAGTTCCATATTTTTAACCAAAAGCTTCTTTACACCCATTTAAAAATTGTTTTAAAGAAGCATTGAGTAGTTAAAGCTTGCAAATGCTGCAGAATTCTTGATTCTGTCACATACTCACATCAAATCTACTTGTTTTCTGTCCAAAAGCTCTTTGATGATTAAATCAAATCTGATGCTAGCAACGCTGGGATTTCCATCAAAGTTACATAGATATTAACAAGCAAAACACTAAGAAAAACATGTAAATGCAGAGTATAGTTTTTTTATCTCTCTATGTTAGAACTTTTTGTGAGGACTTTAGCTTGCAGTTTTAGAAACATACAAAAAGCTGAAAAATAAATGTGTTAGTCTTCCATTTTTCCATTGAATTTATGGGCAAATAAAATTTAAACAATTACGAGGAGTCATTGAATTTCGGTGAGTTGACATGCTCTTCCTTCACCCTCTATTGACCAGTGGCTCGATTTTTCTAGGTCTATGTAACAGTAGTGAGATAATCTGAAAGCAACTTGAATCACTGAACATTTAGATGATAGCTAGGCCTTCTGATTTACGTGTCAAAGCATATTTTATCACAATTCATAGGACCATAAAACTTTTAGAAATTGATGTTCAATTTTGTTCTTTAAAGATGTTGAAATTTTTTACCTCACTTGTTGTTTCTCAATTTCAACTAGACCAAAATATATCAACATGGATAAACTATTTTTTTTTAGTGTATGATCCAATGGACTAGAATGTTCTGAATGAGTATTGTATCTTAGCAATTAAAAGGAAATCTGCTAAGTATATGAAAACCACTTCTCTTGTTTCTGTTTCCCTAGGGAGAGTTCTTGATCTTATCTCAAGTATTTAGTGTATAATAAAGAAGCAACCAAGGATAACACAAATGTAAAAGAATGCTTATCCATTATTAAGAGTTCCAGCACTGAATTTGGAACTAGTTAGTTCTTTTAAATGTCCCTACCACAAGGAATTATTTCCTAACTTGTGTGGGTATCAGTGAGAGATGACTAGGCTTATCTAGGTAGATATGCTTTGTGAATTTGTTTTCAATGAAAAAGCTGCAGAAAAAAAGATCATATATTACACTTTACAATTCTTCATAGAAACATTACCCATAATATACCAGAAAACTCTAGAAAATTCGCTGGAATATTTGAAATAAAAAGTGACGTAATTGTTTTCTTGTGAAAAATTTTGAATGTTTCCCTTAAACTAAAAACAAATTTTATTTGCAATTATCTTAAAACCAATGTTTACAGAAGGGATTTTGTTAACAAAATCTTAATATTTTGTGTGTTATTCATAATGGATTTCTAATTTAAGAATTGTATCATCTTGAAGTAGTGTGAAATGTGAGAATGTAGTAAAAGGCCTGTTTTTAGAGGGGATAATTATTAGTGGACACTTGCCCTCTTTATCTGGATAAAAAGAAATGATTTTCTTTTGCTAGATAACAGGAACAATTATAATGTATATTACTTTTAAAATGTATGAATTTATGACTGATAAATAATTATAAATATATTCCTTGAATGAGACAGTTTTGGACTAATGCTTCTAATGCTTCAACATTTTAATGTCGCAATTACAATTGTATCCTAATATATATCAGTTTATTACAAAACGTATACAAAAATCTTCTAAACCTGTCACATTGAAAGGTATATTAAATGGGGGTTATACAACTGCCAAAAGACATTTCTTTGGGCAAATCGTGTAAAGATATTTAAAAATATTGATCTACTGTGACCATGGACAGTGATTAACATTCTCTCCACCTGGCAATTCCAGGATCTATACTGGTGACTAAAAAACAGGAGCATAATATGATGCTAAGGATTCAGTCTGAAAGTAGAGAGCAATTCGATGCATTCAAACAAACCCCTTTGTTTTTGCAATATCCCCTCCACTGTCTTGATGTAATTATTTCAATTCACTTTTTTGGTTTGCTGCATAGCTATTTCTCAAAGCACAGATATGTCTCGGTAAGTTTAGAGAAAGGTGCATTCAAAATGTTATATGAGCATGTCATGCCTAAAGAAAATATCTTCAGACCACAGATTTTGAGACTATAAGATAACAATGTTACCAGACATTTAAAAACTGCTGAATGAACCAGATATTCTTTCTCGTGCACTTTATTCTTAATGAAACATATTATGTATATAATTTAAATACTTCATATCTCAGCTCATATCTAATCCTCATAGATCATTGGTTATGATATAAATACAAGTAACATGTACTTCAATATCTAGGGCCAAAATTAATCCAAGATGAGCAAAATTAATTAAATTATAAGACTAAGGCACTACAAATAATCAATTTATTAGAACTTGGCATAAAGCTACCTAAAGGAAACTAACACTCAGAAGCAAAGACACCCTAAGCAAACAAATCTAGTTACAGATACATCTTGTTAATATTTTCTTTTTCCTTCAACAGTCCTTCAGCATTTGCTTACATTGCTGCTTGAAATTCATTTATCATATTTAACATAAAATGCTAGAATAAAAAATAAAATACAAGTCCACAGAAATGTAGAGCTTCTAGAATCATAAAGATCCTTTGTCTAAAGAAAGGAAGTATATGTTTTACAAATGCATCATCGCTGACTTAAAATATATTCAGAACTTTCCAGGTGATATAATATATTTTTAAGGAAGTCAATTCTTTTTGTGATTAGAGATTCACAAATTTCTAAATAGGCTACTACCATGTGATACCAGTTAGAATGATGCCAGTACTTACCATAAGAAGAAATGGCTTTCATTGTCGACATCACCTTTAAGCCCCACATTCTCTCCTAACCTTGTCACAAAGCAGATCTGAATTAAACTGACTTATATACAAATGATTAATTTGCAATTTCCAACCTTATGGACTTCAAACTGTCTCCTCACACTAATGAGAATTCTCAATCATATTCACTTCTGGCTACCTTGTATATTGTGTCTTCAGTGGCTGACTCATTCTACACTCTACTTATGTAGCTTATCATTATCTTGTCCACAGACAAAATAGACATTGAATTCCGATGAGGATTCCCACTGATTTGAGAAGCTTGAGAAAGGTATCAGCATTGTGGTCCAAAAGGCATGACCACTAAGGGAAATACTTTAGCCAGTGTGAATTGTCTTCCTCCTCTAGAACTAAGTCAAAAAGACAAACAAACAAAAAATCACAGTAACTCATTGTGATGTATTTTCCTTAGTAGTTTATTTCTGGGGATTATTTTTCATAGGAATTGGCAAAAATCCAGATCAACTTTGCACATTGTTCTAACAGCTTCATTTAAAAATTATATGACTAACTTCCCCATTTAATAGAAACTGCTTACTTTCTCTTATGTTTATTAACCTTGCAACTACTTAAGCATTTTGTCTAATTAGCTTTACTCTGAACAAAAGAATAACCTGATTATAGTATGTTGTTAATATGAAAATCAACACAAGACCTTTCTGATTGAACATTCTCACTTTCTACCTCAAGACAGGTGTTCTGCATATATACAAATGTTGCAGACAGATGGCTTCTTGCATTGTACACACTATAATGTTAAGATATTTTGCCCTTTATTGTGACATTACAAAAGTTACCAGTGCTGCCTCTGCTACTTATATTTTTAAAATATTTAGACTTCAGTAAGATAATCTGTAGGGCTTATCTTAATTCTAAGGAGAGAAAACACCCCAAATATTCTATCAAGTCCAAACAAAACTTCCTGCTTCTCTTAGTTGTGACAATTCTGGACCTAGACTCCAAGTTCATAAAAGAAAATGAAGCAATTCACAAGGCAGAGCTTCAGGTTATTGTAGTATCTTAGAAGCATATTAGTTATTTTATTCGCAGAACGTTTTACAAGCTCCAAACCTTTCACCGAACAATATTTTAGGAATTTGAAATTATTTCTGTACTTCTCACCACCCAAGAATATGACAGCTTGTATTAAAAATAGTCTGCATGCAGGAACTCCCTGGTTAGTATGTCCCTCAAGTTTTAAAAACTCAAATTATTGAGTCTTCTTTCTAAGAACTAGTGAAGAGGTTTACGAAAACACCTATTGAACTATTCATGTATAATTCTCTAACAAAAATCCATATTTCCATTCATATGATATATTAGGACTTAATTAAAATTACCATATCCAATGGTCAGCCTTTACCTTTCCAAATATCCTTGTCCAGTATCCATAACCATGCACTGCTCTGTCTTCCCTCATGCTTCTTTTATTGCTGAGTGAGGCGCTCGCTCCTTCATTAAATAGCATTAAAAATAGACTGCACAGAACTCCCCAGTGGAGCATGCTCTAACATGGCTAATACCACAGTTCTCAAGGTAACCATACTCAACTGGGATCTAAGAGGGAAAGTCACTGGGAGATCAGCAATTTGCAAATCTAATAGCACATACAATTCTGTCTTGGTCTGAGCTAAATACTGCAAAGGACAAATCAGCATGTAGTGAAATTAAGTCACTGAGGAAGTGAAAGTCAGTTTCTTTAGCTGTATAAGTTTATTTAAATATACGTCCTCTAAACAAAGTACTCTGTTTAATAGGCACTTTTTCTAAAGTAACTTAGTTATTTTAATTATTGAATGGCATAAATCATGCCTGGAGAGGATAAATCTAAAACATGAATGCATAGCAATCCACGTATCTTAAACATTTCATTTAAACAAAATCAAAATACTATTGATAAGCAAGTGTAGTAATCAATTATGTTTCCATATCTTTTGTAATGAGGAAGCATATTCCTCAAAGCATATACCCAAACTCACTCTCCAGAAAATTTACAAATATTCTGTCAAAGTGATGAAAAGCAGAATGTTATAACAAAGGAAATATAGGATCAAACACAAATACATACCTTGAAAACCCACATACACTTGAAAAGAGTGTATTCATAAGCTCTCACATGCAATTCACATTAGAAATGCAGCAGAAGTAATTACTGCCAAGATAGTAGATTACTCGGCTATTTGAACAAAACATAGATAGAGCTCTTGGCTTCCAAATGACTGTCTTTCATGAAAATGACATTAACTAAAATCTTAAGATATTTAAGCCCTGTGGTAATACATACACAAAGGATCAAAGGAGTAGGTGTATTTATCTAAAAGTGTGTCAAAGGTTTTCTGATTTTTAACAAATGAAAAATGATTTCCTGTCATCTCCACTTCTCTGTTTACTTAAAACAATCATAGCAGTTTTTATCTCCAAAGTAGATGAGGAGGGGTTAGGAATCATTTGAATTTATTCTGCATTTGAATGAAATCTTATACAGATTCATTTCAACTTTGGGGAATGTCCTTCTTGTTTTGAGAGGCTGAGTGTCATACTGGTAGAAAATCAAACATCAAAAAACTTAAAGAAATCAAAGATTAAAATGAATATCTGTACTCTAAACACATTCTTAGGAAAATGATTTCTACCAGCCTTTTAAGAAATATAACTGCCCACCCCTATAACTTTCAATTCTCTCCTTGTTTTTTCTTTTAGGCTTGGATTCTGTCCTTACCCTACATCTTCAGGAGGTGATCAGGTAGCAAACCTGAATAGCTGACAGCAACCACATCCACCTCAGCTATATTTCTATGCATAAACATTGAATGAGTTAATTCCTATTCCTAAGAAACTTTCTAAACACCTGCCTAATTCAACTCAATTCTACCACCATATCTACAACCTGAGACAGAAAAGAGTAAATTGGCGATTGCAATGAAGCACAGATTTCATGCATGTAAAAATAAAACTGAACATCTTTTCTATTCTTCCCCTTGAGCCCTTTGGGACCTAGGACCCCAATCCTTCCAGGACAACAAACAGAGTATAACTTTCTACCTCTTCAATAGGTCTCTTTCAAAAAGAGCATTGCAAACTTTCTACCATAAAGCCTATACAAATCACTGTAGACTTCTCTGATGAAAATCATTGCCAACTTCCAGCTTTCCATTTCTGTCTTTTCTGGGGGAAGGAGCGTCCATCCCTCCTTGACGAAACATAAAAAACACAATACATGTATAACAACATCAGCTTTCTACAAACACGAAGAAGAAATACAGACAAGAAAAAATTCAAAAGAAACAGACAGATATATGGCAGAAAGAAAGAAGGAATTCTAAAAATCCACAAAAGGCGTGCAATGTTCACGTCGGAAGACCTTGATTATTACCTTGATCGAACTGTGGATATCCCCCCTGCGTCTTGGTGCCTTGATTGGTTTGATTTAGTTTTGGATTTTATTAATATTATTGTTTCTCAATGATTGATTTGGCTGGATTTGTTTGTTTTGGCTTTTGGCTTGGCTTTTGTTGTTGTTGTTGTTGTTGGGTTTGTTTGTTTGTTTTGTTTTTGGTCGATTTATTTAACTGCTAGTAAAAGGAGCTTTCTGCAGTGTCGGCTGGGATCCCACACAGCTGTGGCAGCCAGGGCTGCGGCGGCGGCTCGGTCGCGGCTTGTGTCCCCGCTGCCCCTGCTGCTGCTGGTCTCTGCTCCGGACGCGCTCAGAAGGTGCCACCGCCGCCTTCTCTGGCCGGCTGGCCGCCGGGAGTGAACGCGCCCCCGCCTCCTGTCTGCTCTTCTGTCCGTCTGCACGTCTGTCAGTCCGACCGTCTGTGGGTCCGACTAGCAGCTCGGCGCGGGATTCTCGCTTTGCTGCGCTCTGCTCTCAAAGCTGCCACTCTCGCAGGCTGCCAGTCTGTGCGCTGGTCTGTCCGTCCGTCCGAATCCCTCCGTCCCACCAGCAATGCAGCGTCCCTCTTCCGGTCTTCTGTGCCCACAGTCCTCTCCCACTCTGTGCCCCTGGCCGCTTCGCTCGGTAAGAGGAGGGCGTGTGGAGGGAGGGAGCACGCGAGTGTTGCTGTCTATCTTTCTGTGTGCCTCTCCCTGCCTACTTAATGCTCTCGCTCTCTTTGCGTTCTGGTCTCCCTCTCTCAGGCTGTCTGACTGCTCCCACCTGTCCGTAGCTCTGCCAGTCCCACCCCTAGCCAGCCAGCCTCGGTCGATCCCTCGGTCCCGTTCCTCCAGCTTGGCCGCCTCCGTCGTCTGCCCCTCCGCCGGTCCGTGCCCTCCCACGCGGCTGGCACTGCCGCCGGGGGCGGCGCCCGGCTCCTCCCCGCAGCTCCGGATGCGTCCGGTCCCCGCCCGGGCTGAGGGCAACGCGCGTGTTGCACGTGGCTCCACAGCTGCTCTGGCCGGAGACCCCGGGCCCCAGACCCGCCACACCCGGGAGGTGGCGGCAGCCGGACGCCTGCCAGTGTCGCCGCCTCTGCGCCACTGGGAGCATCCAGAACTGGCCCATCCAGAGTGATGGCACCTGCTGGGTGCGCCGGGCGCCCGCGGTACCACTCATTCCCTGGGCCGTTCTCCGCCAGCCCTAAGGCTGGAGACAAAGCGCATGAGCCACGCGCAGCAGCGTGAGCATCATTAATCAGAAAGAAAACTGGCACGTTGCCCCCTGCCCCGCCACACCGCCTCCCTGCTCCCAGCGAGCAGGCATGTATTCTCTCTTGTCCCCCGTGCCCAGGCCCTCCAGCGTACCCGTCTCGGGGGCGCCCCTGGACTCCTGGGGACTCTTGACGAAGCCTTGTTCCACTCCCTCCACCGCTCACTCTCCAGGCCAACTCTGCAGAGACAATCCCACAATAATAACACCTCGCCCCACCCGAATGAATCCGTAGCCTCAGCGCTCTTGGAGATTCTTTGCTTTGAGCAAGACTGAAAGTCCGAACGTGCAGCACCAAGTGTACTCCCTGTGGGTGACTGCCCAGACCGCTGCCCACCTGATCGCTGATTTGGAATCACAGAGGTGCCACAGAAACCTGGGCAGGGTAGGACCTGGGGAAGGAACAGAGTTGACACCTGAAGAAATAAAAGCCTTGATTTTACCGCTTGTTCTAGAGATGCACTATTTTTATTGTCTGTAATTCATTGTTTTTTTTCATTGTCTCGGAGCACTCACTAACACACTACAAGGAAGGAAAAAAAAAAAAAAAGGAAAAGGCGTAGTGAAGGAGAGTGAATAAATTTCCGGAATTCCACCTACTCCTTCTGAGTGAATGTAGAGCCTACTTTTCCAACATTATAGGTCACCAGCCAAGATATACCACTCTAGCTTTCTGCTCCCAGCTGAGAGCAAGGCATTTGATTCTGGGCTTCTTTGCAAGGTTGTTATTAATGTGCAGCAAAATTATAGTTGTACACTCACACATGGAATTGCCAAAGCTCATTTTGACTATATCCAGCAATTCAGCTTCTGAAATGTAGACACTGAATAACTGTGTATCTGGCGAAATGAACGCCCCATCCCACAATAAACTGAAGAGGAGAAAATCAACTTTTACCAGTTGTAATTAGTAACCCCATGAATAGACAACAAACAAATAACTAGCATAAAACATGTTATGAAATTTTCCACATCCTTTTAGTTTCACTTATTGACACCCAACCATAATGACAGAGATTACAAACAGATTTATTAACATAAATGCCTTTGCATTATTATAGAAATGTGATTTCTACAGCTATGGCTGTGTTCATATACGCTAAGATATTGATTATAAATCTCAAATAAATGATACATGTACTTCTAGAAACTACTGTAAAAATGGAATGAGGTTGTACCGACCCTTGATGAGTAGGTAATTATTTTCCAACTATTCGAAATTGTCTCCCTTGGTGTTCAGCTCTCACTAGAATAAGAATGAATCTGCTGTATGAGGTTTCAGGCAAACCAAACCCAAATAATTCAAAACTGTTACTTTGATCTACATCCTGATCATTTCCACGTAGTCATCTCCAGAAGTGCTTTTTTACAAGTATTTTCTCCTTCCTTCCAAACATATAAAATTTAAAGGAAAATTATGAAAGCATTTCTAATTTACTACCCTTCCCTTCATCTCAAGTCATTCTGAAAAACCTATTTTTCTTTGAGGGAAATTGAGACTGCATAGGAAGAAAGTTGGCGTATTTGATTTCTCTTCTGGACAGAACTACATCTCGGCATCTCCTGAATGGTTGGACAGGTAATCTATTAACAGGAAACCTTAGCAGATTGATCATAACACAAAGTCTCTACAAAAAAAAAATCAGAATTCACTCAGATAGTTTATTTTTTTTAAATGGAACCCAGTTCTATAAACTGGATGAGAAATTATACCTAGGGAGAACTCAGTATTCTTAGTACATACTCCAGTGCCTATGTGAAAGAACGAAACAGTGATTTCATAGCTTAACTGCGTATTGTCAAACTTGATGACAATATTTATTGTATTATCTCATGGATTTTAAGCTTTATTTTTCAAAGAAAGCATCCCAAAGAAGAATAATTTGCTTCAACTAAATTTTCTATCTTTTCTCATAATATTTTGTCAACATAGTGGGAACTGTAGAAGGCTCAAGTTTATTTGAGGCTATGTAGATAATTAGCATTCAGCTACTCAACTTTAAAATTTTTGTCCCAATGTGGGACTGAAATATACCATTGGGAGTATCAGGCATGCAGTGAGCAATGAGTGATTCTTCTAGGTGTTCAGAAAGTTTTTCTATTTTTTTAAACTATTTAAAACAGTTATCATGCTTTAAGTCCCTTAGATTGTCATATATTAACTATCACTAAACTAAATAAAACCTTTGTCCTCCGTATTAGACCTCTAGGTGACAGATTGACTATGTCAATTGCAGATGTGTTTATGCACCAAGAGCACCCTACGCTGAGGAATGGGAGGCGGTACTTGGGAAAGAGGGAGTGGTACTGTTACTCTTTTGGTTTGAGGACTTTTGAATCTATTTTGTATTATGTTTGAAATCAAGGAGCATGCATGTAACCGGGTAACCCCAGCTTGGGGAAATGAGCTCACCTATACACTGGCAAACATCTAAGATTGTTGACAAGCTCCTTTAAACATATATTCCCCTAAGACACTAAATTAGTGCCCTTTAATGAAGCTACCAAATTGGATTTTCAAAATAAGGCAAATTGCTAAAATAGCCCAGCTACCTTTATAAGCACTTTTTAGCTGGAGCGAGAAGTAGAGTTGCCGTGCTGTTGAACTTTCATCACTCGTCAACAATTAGGCTGTGAGGAGCTCCCCTTTAGGGCATACTCCCACACCACAATAAAGGCCCACAAATCCCCTAGAGAGACTTCTTATTTGCCCTGTTTCCAACAAAACAGTCTAGGGTCCATTACATACCATTCTTGGGTGTAAAGCTTTACAAATATGCATAGTACCAAAAAGCAGGAGAAAAAGAAAAGAAAAAGCCCCAAAGATTAGCTTTTCAACCAGAAAGTTTTGAGCCCCATTCTTATTTTGTGTGAAGCCAAAATAACTCTAAAACACATTTCAGAACATCAACAAAGAATGTTACATCATGTATGCATCTGAGCATGAAGAAATGTCACGATCAAAAACAAAGAGGATTTGGGAGACTAGAAACCAAATGTTCTGATGGCACAGATCCCTTGATGACAGCCATGTCTCTTCTGTAGTAGGCTGTGTATAGGATGAGAAAATTATCTCCATGAACCCTTGGAGTTCTCACAGGCAGGCCACAAATGAACACTGGCCTGCACATGCACAAAGATGCTTTGCTGAAAATGCAAACCAAGAAATTTCCTCAAAAATGAATGTGTGTGGTACTTTCATGGAGAAGCATGAATCAGAGGAAGGACAAAAAGAATAAATAGGAGAAACAGCTAAAGAGAAGGTTAGGAAACCTGTCACTAAAAGATCTGAGCATCAGGAGACAAGAAAGGTTGCTGACTAAATTTCGTATTTCTTTTCAGCATCTCTTAGGATAGATATACCATTTTTTCAGACACATCCTTAATATTTGGGGGTTTTCTCCTCCTGGCCCACAGAGCACTGTGTTTCTTCCTCTGCCCTCTCTGCCCAGAGGGATCCGTGGCTTTGGTGTGGCTGAGGCAGGCCAGGCAGCCAGCAGAGCACAGATGCAAGGACTTTTTCTGATGCAGAACAGGGCTGGAGGCAGGATGCCCAGCAGCAGGCCCTCTCTACCCAGCCTATGTTATCACCCCCTCCAGGACCTGCTTCAACACAAAGCGTTTGCAGTCTCCTATGGAACCCACAAAAGATGTTTTTAATTTTTCAAAACCTAGCCTAGAACTGAAAGCAGGAGCATTAGAAGCATATGTGGGGAAAACAGAGGTAAATGTTATCCCTCTGAAACACAAGAAGTGATGACACAGAGCATAACCTAACATTTGCCAAACCACTGTCTATGATCCTGCCTCGCTTGCATTGCTGTTCCAGAGATCACACTTTCTTCTACGATGGACACAGTTCTCTTTTTCACACAAAGAAAGACAAAGGTTACCAAGCTATTCAGAACTTGGAATAATATATTTGGCTTCTTGACCCTGAGATGATATTAAAAGGTCTATCAATTAGCCACTAGAATAAAACAGCTTCAATCCACCTCTAATGAGGTACAGGACATTTTTAAACTGTTCTTCATACCTTAAAATGGTGTGTGTGTGTGTGTGTGTGTGTGTGTGTGTGTGTGTGTGTAGTTAAGAGGTAAAACATATTCATAGTGTTAATATTCCAAAAGAGAACTTAGGTCTTTCCTGGAAACCCAATTGTAGTTCAACACCCAGCAACTGCAGAAAAACAATATACGGATATATAATTCTGCATAAATGCACAACTTGTTTTCCAAAGCTACTCTTTAAGTTTTTTGTCTTTTCAAAATAAATGTACATTAGCAAAATGTATAGAGATTTGTAAAAAAAAAATAAAAAAGTGAGTGGACAAAATAAAAAAGGAACAAAATTAAAGTCTCCCAGTATACCACCACCCAAACTGCCATCATTTTTGTGCTTAGCTAATCTCTCTGCATATATAACCATAAAAATATAGCTATAGTTTTCATATATGGATTACAGAATGCATATTACTTTATAATCTGCTTTCCTATTTTATAATCTGCTCTCTACTTTAGAATAACTGATGGGGTTTTTCCCATGACATTGACTATATAAATGCATTTATAACAGCATAGTTGTCTATTAAATACAGAACATGTGTATGTTATACATAAATCAAGGCTATTGATGGGCATGGTTTCCAAGTTGGGAAATTTTTCTCTTTATGGCAAATCTTTAAAATTTGAATTCCTCATTCTCAGAGTATCTATATTTTACATTTTGGCACCACAGCAGATTTGAAGATGCTGTATCAGTTTCAGAATCGCTTTTGTTTTGATTACTAATCTTTATCAAAGAGTTGACTGACCTTTGACTTCTTGGTATAAATTGTATAGATTTAAAAATAAATATATCAGTAGAAATGTTTAAAAAATTTTTTTTCTATGTATATTTTGAATGAATTGTACTAAATTCAGGCAAAAACTTTTCTTATGAAAAAAGAATTCTTAAAATTCTATGAGTTTACTAATTATCTTTTCTCTTCAGACTTTTCCCTGAAACAGGCTCTAGTTTCTGTAAAAAGGGTAAATATTGGGGGAAGCTGAGGGAACATTTTCAGGCCAAGAAGTTAGAATTCGGTGAACTAAGGACCAGCCTTTTTCCCTTCTATAAATAAAGCAGATCCCTGGGAACCATGGGCAAACCTCCGAACCATGGTTTTCATCCTCCTTCTTTGCTTATCATTTTAAACAGTTGAACCACAGAGTCAAAAGCACTTATTTGATTTACATTGTCATATGTTTATTCTCCAAATCCTAGGATAAGGATACAGATATTCAGGAATACATTAAAAAACTAGAAACCTCAATGGGAGAGAAAGAATTTTATATGAATCATCAGCTGAACAATGCAGACTTACTTTCACTTTACTACATGTAATTGTAATCTAGAGCCCACCAGTATCTACCTGTTCTTACCCGCCTGCACATACAGCTCAATACACTCCCCAGCCATCCTGGAATCAGGCAGGGGCATGTGACAAGTTGTTGCCAGTGAAATGTGAATGGAACTGACATATAATACTTTTGGACTAAGGCAATGAAAAGCCTCTGTGGAGTCCTCTAGGTTCTTCTTGACCCTCACACAGTGACAGAAAAGGTCAAATGACAGAAGAGGTTCAGACAGTTCAGCTGTAAGATGATAGAGACTCCATCAGCCTAAGTTGCTAAGTGACTATGTGGAGCTGACTTCAACACTGACCCAGTCAGATATGTAATTAAGCAAGAAAAAAATATTGTGTTTTAAGCTACAAAGATTTGGAATTGCTTATTACTATAGCCGACCCAGACTGTTCTAATTTATAAACTCTCTACTTGTCTAACAGCATGTGAGAGAGTAGCATGTACTGTAGGAAACAGAGTCCAGGCCTGGGATTGAGGAGACAAGAATTTTGGTCCTGAATCTGCCACCATAGCTATGAGATTTAAGTCATTTCTACCTTTGCCTCAGCTATTTATATTTCTAAGTTTCTAAAATTAGGTGATAAGAATTAGTTTTCATCTAACCAATGCCACGATATTCTAATTACTGACAATTTATAATAAAGCTTCATGTCTTCCAGGCAAGACCCCATTCTTCTTCTTCTTTCAGTATTATTTTGACTGTATTTTTTATTTTACTTTTTGTCTTTTATTTGATTTCTAGAAATAGCTTAAAACATTTTATAAAATATCTCATTGATATTTTCATAGTTATTGCACTGACTTTATAGTTCGATTCGGGGAGAACTGAAATCTTTTGCTATTGTCTTCCCAAAGATCAATTGATTAATTTCTCCTTTTTTTCAGGTTTTTTTAGTGTCTTTTGCTATATATTCATGTTACTTCTCATGATAACCTTATTAGTTTCTTAGAATTTTTAAATTGTGCCATCTCTTGACTATGTTTATCAATATAATCGGATTTTTATTCTTTCTTCCAAAAAACAGATTAAAACATCTACATTCTCTATTTTATTACTCTTTATAATTTTATCTTTTAAATCTTTCTAATATTTTAGGGTTTGTTTCATTATTATTATTTTATAGCCTCTCTCTCTCTCTCTCTCTCTCTGTCTTTCTCTCTTTAGAGAAGATATGAGGTTTTTGCTATGTTGTCCAGGGCTCAAGTGATGCTTCCACCTCAGCCTCCCTAGTAGCCGAGACTACAAGTTTGTGCCACCATACCCAGCTTGAAGAAGAAAGCTTAGCTCATTAAATTGTATTATTTCTTATTTCCTATTATACCCACTTAAGTATATATTTTTTCATCTTTGTACATTTTAGCTGCCTAACAAAAGTTTTACCATTGGAGTTTTCTCATTATTTTGTTCAACATTGTAATTCTCATTTTTATCCCATGGATGATTTACTATAATTTTTTACTTTTAGTTTATAAAGGTCTTTTTGAGGGAGTGCTCACTATTTATTATTAGGTTTAAATTAATTTAATTGTAGTCAACAATTTCGATTTGTTGAGAAATCAGGTAGCATCTGGATATAAACAATTTCTGTTCATAGTCTGCGTGTTCTTGAAAACAATGCATGTTCTTTATTTAGTACAAAATTCTATATAAATCTATATGTTCAGATATATAAAATTAAACTGTTTATATTATTTAAAATATTTTCATTTTATTAGTATAAAATATTAAATATAATAATGTATCATTTATTTATTATCCTATCAATTCTATCTGTTTTGATCTATCTGTCTCTGAGAGAACTGTGGAATTTTGAATTTTTTCTTACAATCATTTCAATTTTCATTTTCTGTATTTCTTTATGTTTTGTTAAACAGGGACAAAGTTATAAATAATATGTCTTGATAGATCATTGTTTATTTCAATGTCTTTTATCTCTATCAATGCTTTTACTTTATATTCTATTTTGCCTGCTATTCAAAAGTTGTCCCCCAATAGTCCCCAACTTTTTTGGCACCGGTGACCAGTTACGTGGAAGACAATTTTTCCACAGGGGATAGGGACATGGTTTCAGGATGAGACTGTTTCACCTCAGATCATCAGGCATTAGATTCTCATAAAGAGGACGCAACCTAGATCCCTCACATGTGTAATTCACAATAGAGTTAGTGCTCCTATGAGACTCTAATGTCTCTGCTGATCTGACAGGAGGAGGAGCTCAGGGAGCAATGCTGCTGCAGGCTGCTCACCTCCTGCTGTGCAGCCCTGTTCTTAACAGGCCAGGGATCCATATGGGTCTGAGGCCTGGGGGTTGGGAGCCCTAATATCCACTCTAGAAGTTTATTTTGGCTAGCAGGTGCTAATATATATTACAGTCCTTCAAATTTTCTGTATTGTACATGAGTATTTTCCGTACTCTAATCATGCTTTACTTAAAATCATACAGCTGGATGTCTTTTAAAATAATATAATCTCAGGACAGGCACGATGGCTCACACCTGTAATCCCAGCATTTTGGGAGGCCAAAGCAGGCGGATCACCTGAGGTCAGGAGTTCAGGACCAGCCTGGCCAACATGGTGAAACCCCATCTCTAATAAAAATACAAAAATTAGCTGGACATGGTGGCACATGCCTGCTACTTGGGAGGCTGAGGCAGGAGGATTGTTTGAACCCCGAAGGTGGAGGTTGCAGTGAGCCGAGATCACACCACTGCACTCCCACCTGGACAACAACAACAACAACAACAACAAAAATATATGTGTGTGTGTAGACAGATAGATAGATAGATAGATAGATAGATAGATAGATATAGATATAGATATAGATATAGATAATCTCAGAGTTGGGTTTAGGTTAGGTTTATAGATTTGTTTTCATTTATCTTACTAGGGACTTCATGTACTTTTTTGTTTCATCTGAAGAGTCTTACTTTTTTTATTTCTAAATAATTTCCCCATATGATTATTGTCTTTTTAAAATTCTTTTTTGTGACACATATTAGATATGAGCTATGGGTTTTCCTTCACACCATTTCCTTATCTCTCTGCATGGATTTCTATATGATTTCCTCATATCTAGCTTTGTCAGTTTTCAGTATGTTTAGTATTCTTAAACTATCAATTGGTTTTTAATGTTACTTCAATGACTATATATTTAGAATTTTTTGTTTTGTTTTCCAGTGATTTATTACATGTTCCTAATTTAGATTGGTCTATACCTTTCCATCTTGGGTTGTCCTTATCTATTTCAGGTATCGGAGAACTCAATAAAATAATTTTGTGCTAACTCTCCAAGATTCTCTATCTTCCAGAAAAGTGTAAATAAAAAGGAGAATTATCTGGATCTTGAAAGTCTAAGTTTGGCAGCTTTTTAAAACATAGAATTAAAGATGCATTTCAGTTTCAATCATGATTTCTGACATATTCCAGTTTTTTAGTTATTCTTATAGTAACTTTTTAACTTCATATTTATTGGGAAAAACTGTACTTGTCATCCACATACTCAGATCATTCCTACACTGTATATTTTATTCTTTCATACATAAAAAACAAATGAAAAAACTACTGCTGCTGCTATAGTCATGTACCTTTTTATTTATTTTCTCATGCTGCCTGACAAAAATAGGAGTGAATGAATGAATGTGTTAGTATCAAACTATGGATAACAATTGTGGTCTTGCAAATTGCTATCTTTTCAATTGCACTGAACTCCCTCTGTTTTTTAGAAAGCTACTACTTCTGGGACAGAAACTCCTTTGAAGTGCTATTTTTAAAGCAAAGGACTTGGATTACTTCCTCAATGTAATTTCCTCTTCAATATATGTTTTCCTTTCTATAATTACTAATGCACTGATAAAACAGCTTCTAATTTCCCTGGGCAGTTTTGTCATTTGTATAGATTTAGACCAGGAGGAAGAGACTTCACAGTGTATTTAGTATGGCATGGTAAAATGAAGTAAGTAGTTTTTTGAAGTCTTTTTTTTTTTTTTTTTTTTCATGGCTCATAGCAGCCATGATCTCCTGAGCTCAAGGGATCCTTCCACCTCAGCCTACTGAGTAGCAGGGACCACAGGTGCACACCACCATGCCTGGATAATTTTTAAAATGTTTTTGTAGGTAAATGGTTTCACTATGTTGTCTAGGCTGGTCTTGAACTCTGGGTTTCAAATGATCCTGCCTTGGCCTCCCAGAGTGCTGAGATTATAGGTGTAAGCCACCATGCCCAGCCTAAAGTTTTTAGCAGGAAGAAGCAAGAACTTCACCCTTTCTCCAAAATATCTATAACACTATAACCTAGATTTACACAATAAAACATATTACCATATTACTTTCTACATAACCTGTCATTGGCAAGCAATATTTCCTTGGTTGGTTTATATTAACCAGGCTAAAGGCAAGAATTTCATATATATTGTGTGTATGTGTGTATTTTTACCCATATATGTAACCATCTAACATATTACATGATATAATATATTACATATATACATGGTATAATATATATAATATATACATGGCATAATATATATTATAGATATGTTTTATATATATCATATGAAAAGTTTCTAGATTTCTTTGACAGCTATGTGGTATTATATCTAGCTCCACTTTTTTTCAGTTGTGCTAGCTTCTTAAAACATGGACTGGCAAGTGTACATATATAGCATATTACAAATATATAACATATGTTATATACCATATTTTATATGTTATATACCATATTTTATATGTTATATACCATATTTTATATGTTATACAATTAACACTGTTTATATTTTATAACTATTTATATATACATATATAGATACATCCATACACATATACTAATGAACATTTGAAGTATATAATACCCTATGACATGTAATATACTATATAAATATAACACATTATATATTATATATAATAAATATATACATACATATACATACCTACATATCAAAAAGCTTTTTGAAGACTTCTTTGATAACTGCATAGCTTATTTTATCTGAGTGCTTAAGTAGTGTTGCAAACTTTTATTTCTTATATAGTCTTAAATCCACCAGAAACAAAACGTTCTCTTTACCGTGATTAAAAGTCACTTTTATCCAGTAATTTTTTATTTCAGCTACTATAATTTTCAGGTCTAGAATTTTCATTTTATTCTTTTTACATCCTCTATTTCATTACTTAGGTTGCCTATCGTTTTATTTATTATGTGTATTTTCCTTTATCTCATCTATCTTAGTTAAAATAGCTGCTTTAATGTTGTTATTTATTAATTTCAAAATCAGGGCTATCTAGAAGTCAGCCTTCACTGACTTTTTTAAAAATTGAGAATGATTAACATATTTCTGCATCTTTTTCTGCATCTTTTCAAATATCAATTAATATTTAATTGTATCATGGATCATATGAATGTTATATTGTTGAAAGTCTTTGTACTATTGTCCAATGAAGACTGTTGATATTTTTGTTTTACCAGGTACTTAACTTGATTGGGTTCAAACTTCACATTCAATATCTAAGTCATCAAATGAAATTTTAGATTATTTCTCTTTTTCTTTAACTGGACTGCTTGCAGTCTGTCCAGGGTATGCATTGCCAGGGATCAGTCTAAGATTTCAGAAGAGTTTATAGACAGAATTTGGGCTCCTTCTTTCTGGATATATCATTTCCAGACATCCTTCCCTACTATTCAGTGTTCCTTCATGCTATTAAGCCAGTGGGTTTTTGAATGGAGTTTTAGTTGCCACAGAGGGCTGACTTTTGATTCTCCTCAGGCTGCAAGCCATAAAAAATATTTAAATCAATCCATGCTGATCCCTTGTTTCAATATTCAACTCTCTTCCCAAATGTTCTGGCTTTGATTCCTCAATTTATTATTGTCTCAGGAAAATTTGATCTTTTAAATGGTTATGCATCCATAATGGAAGCAGGACTCAATATTCCCCTGAGTTTCACTGAGAAAGTGAGAGGAAAATTGGAAGACAAATAAGGAAAGTCTAACTCATAAGACTTTGCTTCTGGGGCTAGTGGGGAGACACTAGTTTCTGCTGCTTATATCTTATTGCCACAAACTATGCCCCATTACCATAACTCCACATAATAGAGTCCAGGCATTCACATAGTTCCCTTTTCATCTTCCACAGTGAGAAAGTCTGGAAAAAGAAATCTGAAATAGTGTGAAGTAGGCTGTACTGCATTGTCTGCCACTGTCTCTATTCTGGTTTCTAAACTTACTGCATGCCTTGTCTTCCTTATGAAACTTAAGAGACTAGATCTGTCTCTCTGAAACACAACCATATTTGGTGCAACCAACTATGATGCATGTAACAAGTTGGATAGTTTCTAGAGAATAAAGTTTGCTAGAAAGAGAAGAAAAGATCTTATCTCAGCAGCTCTCAAGCTTAGATGGCAGTAGAAATCCTTAAATCCTCTCACTAGATGCATATAAACAGAGGAACTATTTCTCAGGGCTTATTGAAGTGTTTTGTACGTCTTCCTCCTGGATCTATTCACTAATTCAGGGTGGATAAAATCTAAGCTAGTCCCTCTGCTTAAAATAAAAACGTTTAAGAATGTTTCTTGGTGCTCAATGGTTATTGACAATGTTTTAATATACCAGAGTGTTGCAGTCAGTTGTGAAATGTGTCTCAGTTTCTTACAAATAATATTTAAATTTTATTTTCTAGTTAATTTAAAAATAAATTTAGTGTTATTTCTCTAACAATGCCATGCAAACTCCTTGCACTCTAATGAATTGACTTGAATAGAATGTAAAAAGATACATTTAAAGGTTTTAAAATTGGAGGAATATTCCACACATGTGAAAAATTTCTAGTATATATCATAAAAATATTTTAGAAGGACTTGTCTTGCTTACTAGAGAACACAAATGCCTAACTTAATCAGAAAGGTTGTTAAATAAAATGAATCCAGGAACAAAAGGTCCTGAGTGGATGGAAGCTATTTGGCAGCAATATCAATGAGGATATAAATGGAAGAACACCAGTAATAAGCACAGTATTACATAAGTGAATAGGGTATCCCACACAGCACATAGCTATGACAAGAAGAAGCTCATGATCTGAAAGAAAACAATGAAAGGATGTAACTTATTCAGAATCTTTAGGTCTATTAGGAGAGGAAGAGTAGTACTAAAAGTCAAAAAGATAAACACACCTGCAATGTGATTTTTGAACCAGGCCAGAGAGCACTTAGGTGGAAAAAAAGAGAGGGGGCAGTACAGTGAGATTATCAAGGGAATGACTATTTAGCCAGATAGATGTTAGGGTCCCAGTGTTGATCATAAAACTGACACAAAGGGAAGACACAGCAGTCATGAGGGGCCTCAGCCACCTTTTATATTGATGAAAGTCTCATTTGCTTAAAAGTAGCACACCTGATAAACTCTTGATGTGCCTTGCACACAATTCTATTTCTTAAGGGGTGGAAAAAAGTTTGTCTTAAGCTCAATTTTGTGCACCAGGGAGGAATTAGTTGACAAAGAGGAAGTTATAGCAACCTTTGGATATGATACATGGGGTTCGGTCAGAAGTATTCTCTAGACTTTAAAGAGACAGATGTGTAAAAATGAAGAAATATAATAGGTACAATGTCCGGACGCGGTAGTTCACGCTGGTAATCTAAGCACTTTGGGAGGCCGAGGCGGGAGGATCACGAGGTCAGGAGATCGAGACCATCCTGGCTAACACGGTGAAACCCTGTCTCTACTAAAAATACAAAAAATTAGCCAGGCGTAGTGGTGGGCACCTGTAGTCCCAGCTACTCGGGAGGCTGAGGCAGGAGAATGGCGTGACCCAGGAGGCGGAGCTTGCAAGTGAGCCGAGATTGCGCCACTGCACTCCAGCCTGGGCGACAGAGAGAGACTCCGTCTCAAAAAAAAAAAAAAAAAAAAAAGAGAGAAAAGAAAGAAAGAAATATAATAGGTACAATATACATGGCCTGAGTCTCTAAAATGAAGAGTTATTAAAGAAGTTTGGACTACTCCAAAGAATAAAAAAACTCCGAATTGTTGGTAGACTTTCTTCACATGTATGTTTACTGCAGTACAATTCTTTATTGCAAAGGTATCGAACCAACCTAAATGCCCAATGACCAATGAATGTATAAAAAAATTGGTATATATACAACATGGAATACTACTATGAAAAAGAATGAAATAATATCTTTTGCAGCAACTCGAATGAAGCTGGAGGCCATTATTCTAAGTGAAGTAACTCAGGAATGGAAAACCAAATACCATGTGTTCTTACAATGGGAGCTAAGCTATGGCTATGAAAATGCAGGCAGAGTTATATAATGGACTTTGGAGACTCAGAAGTGGGATGGTAGGAGGGAGCTAAGGGACAGAAAGAGAACTATATATTAAGTACAATGTACATTATCAGGTAGTGGGCACACTAAAATCTCAGACTTCACTACTATAAAATTCATCCATGCAACCAAAACCCACTTGTACCCTGAAAGCTTTGAAGTGTGCGTGTGTGTGTGTGTGTGTGTGTGTGTGGTGGGGGGGGGGGGCGGGTGTAAAAAGTTGGTAGAGATTAATATGGCCACCCAAGCAGCTCTCCAACAGGGTCAAATTCTAGAAGACCATGAATTAAAAGTGAGAGACCATGACCTGAGTCTTGTGGAAAAAAGTAACAAGCACAGCTGCATGTTCCAAGAAATTTGCTGCCACAGTGTGTGACACACTGGTTACATGGTGCACAGCTTCTGCTGTGACGTGTTCTGGATTTATCTTCTCTAGAGTTCTATGTAAGGTGTCACTAAGATCATATCAGCCATTGGTTTTTCGTACTCTCATTGTTGTTGCAATTGCAGATCCCTTGATGTTCCTTTCAAGTACCCAGTTATGAGTAATTGTTTGCTCTGGAAGTTTGTTCCCTCAGACACATTGCAAAATATCTTTTAGTATTTTCTCCTTCTCAGGAAAGGGTTGCTCTCTATATTTAAACTGAGAATTTCAAAAGTGTGACATTTCTTCCAGGCTATGTTCTCTGCATGGAGGAAAACAAAAGGATCTTGTACCACTCATTTTCAATTAGGAAACTAAAAAAAATGGGAGGCTTAAAATTTTCTTTTCAATATTATTATGTGTATCCCTTCTAGCCGGCTGTAATATTTGTGTCCCCCGCCCAAGATCTATATATTGAAATCCTAATGACTATTGTAATGTTGTTAGGAGGCAGAGGCTTTGGGAGGTAACTAGTTTATAAGAGTGCAGCCCTCATGAATAGCATTAGCGTCCTCATAAAAGAGACCTTAGAGACTTGCCTCTTTCCTCCAAGTGAGGATACAGCAAGAAGTTGGCAGTCTGAAACCTAGGAAAAGGCCCTCACCAGAAGCTGACCATGCCAGCACCTTGATCTCAGATTTCCCGCCTCCAGAAATATGAAAAATAGATTTCTGCCATTTGAAAGCCACACGGTCTACGGCATTTTGCTATGGCAGCCTGAAGGGTCTAAGACATTAGCAACTCCAGCAAGTTTCCTGTTTAATTATTAAGTCCAGTCTCTCTCATGACACTAACTCAGAGACACTGCTGTTATTCCACTGCTCAGGCCCAATATGGTATTAGCAAAATTGAATATTATTTTTTCTGAACTTATTTTCCTTCCTTCTTTCTGTTTTTTTTTTAAAATGTAATTCTCAGATATAATTATCTGCCAGTAAGAAAACTATAAACTATGATTTTCATCAATGGATAAAAAGATGTGATTTGTAGAAATGACTTTTTCATTGTATTTTAATTTTAAAAATCAAATATATGATTACACAAAAGAATTTTTGAAATACATATGAAATTTTAACACAAAATAAACATCTCTAAATTCTCTAACCAGATATTATCCAGAATATTGTCCAGAATAGCATCAATACTGTTGAAATCTACCTGTGACATCATCCAAAATCCCATCCCATAGCTTTACTGCCAAATTTCATCACTATCTTGGTTTTTGTTTAATCATGCCCCATTTTAATGGCTTGACCCTATATATGCATATATTTCAAGTCAATGTGTTCAGATTTGTTTCTCTTTGAGATTTTTATAAAGACTAAAATATATAATACACACATACTTCATATAGTTTTAGGGATATGCTCTTTTGTACCCAATATGATAGTCTTAAGATTTACCCATATTTTTATATACATATTAATAGTTCATTCCTTCTCATTGTAATATAATACCATAATATAAGTAACCATTATTTTTCTGTAATTAGACATTTGGGTTGCTTCTGATTTTCATTATTGTAGAATACATTCATGTTTAACTTTTAAAGACTTAGTCCACTATTTAGCCAGAAACAAAAGTATGTTTATTATTCTTTTAATAAATGTCTTATGTATTTCTACTGATTATTAAGTGGACATACTTATTTAAATATTTAAACCCAACAAAAATTGATGAATGGGACATAATTAAACTGAAGAGCTTCTGCACTATCAATAGAGTGAACAGACAACCTATAGAATGGGAGAAAATTTTTGCAAACTATGCATCAGACAAAGGTATAATATCCAGCATCTATAAGGAACTTACATTCAGTTTACAAGAAAAAAAAAACCATTAAAAAGTAAGCAACAGACATGAACAGACACGTTTCAAAAGAAAATGTGGCCAACAATCATATGAAAAGAAGCTCAACATCACTGATTGTTGGAGAAATGCAAATCAAAATCACAATGAGATACCATCTCACACCAGTCAGAATGGCTACTATTAAAAAGTCAAAATTAACAGATGGTGGTGAGGTTATGGAAAAAAGGAATGCTTATGCATTGCTGGTGGAAATGTCAACTAGTTCAGCCACTGTGGAAAGCAGATTGGTGATTTCCCAAAAGAACTTAAACCAGAATTATCATTTGACCCAGCAATCCCATTATTGGATATATACCCAAAGGGAATAGAAATAATTCTACCATAAAGACACACGCAGGCGTATGTTCATTGTAATACCATTCATAATAGCAAACACATGGAATCAAGCTAAATGCCCATCAATGGTAGACTGGATAAATAAAACTTGGTACATATATACCATGGAATACTATGCAGCCATACAAAGAATGAGACCATGTCCATTGCAGCAACATGGATGGAGCTGGAGGCTATTATCCTAAGTAAACTAACACAGGGAAAGAAAACCAAATACCAGATGTACTCACTTAAAAGTGGAAGCTACACTTTGCATACATATGGACACAAAGAAGGAAAGAACAAAACCAGGGCCTGCTTGAAGGTGGAGGTAGAAGAAGGAAGAGGATAAAAAACTGTCAGGTATTATGCTTATTACCTGGGTGATGAAATAATTTCTACGCCAAATCCCTGTGACACACAATTTACCTGTGTAGCAAACCTGCCCATGTACCCCTGAACCTGAAATAAAAGTTAAGAAATAAAATGAAATAAAATAAATATTTAAATCCCAAATAAAAACTTCATGCTATACATTTATAAAGCATTTTATTTTAAATACTCAATACCATTAATATTTGCTGTAGAAATTATTGGATTTAAATTCTGATTTTGTTCATGGTAGCCAGGCTACAGATGATAAATCAAATTTATCTAAGTCAATCATAAAAATCTTTTTGCCTTGTATAAAGTATTTTCTAAATCTCTCTTACAGCCGAAGGTGGGGAGAGTCATATTAGACATAGGAGAAGTTTGTTGGAGTGCATAGTAGGACATAATAAGACATAGGAGAAGCTTGTTGGAGAATGTCCGAAAAGGCTTTTCTGTCTAGATAAACATAGAGGAGAAACAGTTAAGAGAGAAAAATCACAAGGCACATAAAATGTTTCATTAGTTGTAACAAATAAAAAATGATTCAAAATATCAGAAAAAAGTAATATAGTGCAAGAAACTTTAGTTATATATTAATTTTTTACAATTGTTTAGTCCCTGTAGAAGCATTATACTTCAGTGGCCACAATCCATGTGGTCTAGTACAGAATTTTTAAATAATTCAAGTACTTTATTTCCATTTATTAACAGAATACATAATTCATAAAAACACTGCTTAAAATTCTTTCTTCTCAATCCTGTCTTCCTTATTCCTAACCAGCTGCCCCATTATTCTCCCTTCCCAGATTTTCCCCAAATTTTCTTTCCTTAGCTTAACATGTTTTTTCATCTTTTCTCCATTGCTTTATTCTCCCCATACTCCTAATTCTGTATCCCAAAGTCAAAAGGCAGTGGTATAAGTCGGTCAAACCTATCCTAAAATATAAGGGACAGGACGCTTTTACACTTATGGAGACTTGTTTCGTGGCCTGGAATATGGTCTGCCTTGGTCAATCTTCCACGTGCACTTAAAATGAATGTGTATTTTGCCACTGTTGACTGCAGTATTCAAATAGTCAAGTGTGTTGATAGTGTTTTTCAAGTTTTCCACTTTCTTACTGATTTTTCTGTCCACTTGTTTATGAAGTATTGAGTGTGGGGCATTGAAATTTTGCTATAATCGTTTCGTCTATTTCCCCTTGCAGTTCTCTGTTTTGCTTTGGTATTATAAAGCCCTATTTTTAAGGCACATATATGTTTGAACTTTTATGGCCTCTTGATGAATTAATTTCTTTGTTATTATGGAATAACTTTGTTTTTAACTTTCAAGTTCAGGAGTACATCTGCAGGTTTGTTATATAGGTAAACTTGTGTCATTGGAGTTTATTGTGGAGATTATTTCATCACCCAGGTATAAAGCCTAGTACCCACTAGTTACTTTTCCTCATCCTCTCCTTCCTCCCACCCTCCACTCTCCAAAAGTCCCCAGCGTGTGTTGTTTTCCTCTATGCGTGTCGATATGTTCTTATCATTTAGCTGCTAGTAATAAGTAAGAACACGTGGTATTTGGTTTTCTGTTCCTGTGTTAGTTTGGCAAGAATAATGGCCTCCAGCTGCATCTATATTCCTGGAAAGGACATAATCTTGTTGTTTTTGAGGCTGCAGAGTATTCCATGGTATATATGTATCACATTTTCTTTATCCGTCTACCATCGATGGTCCTATAGGTTGATTTCATGTCTTTGCTATTGTTAATAGTGCTTCAAACATACACATGCATGTGTCTTTATAATAGAGTAGTAATAGAATTAATGGATCCATGGTAATTCTCTTTTAAGGACATCGAGGAATCACCATACTGTCTTCCACAATGGTTGAACTAATTTACACTCCTACCAGCAGTGTATAAGCATGACCTTTTTCTCCATAATCTTGCCAACATCTGTTATTTTTTACTTTTTAGTAATAGTCATTCTGACTGGTGTGAGATGCTATCTCATTGTGGTTTTGATTTGCATTTCTCCAATGATCAGTGATGTGGAACTTCTTTTCATATGATTGTTGGTCACATTTTTTTTAACACGTGTCTGTTCATGTCCTTTGCCCACTTTTTAATGGGTTTTTTTTTCTTGTAAATTTGTTTAAGTCCTTTATAGATGCTGGATATTATACCTTTGTCTGATGCATAGCTTGCAAAATTTTTCTCCCATTCTGTAGGTTGTCTGTTCATTTTATTGATAGTTTCCTTTGCTGTGCAGAAGCTCTTTAGTTTAAGTAGATACCATTTGTCAGTTTTTACTTTAGTTGCAATTGATTTTGGTGTCTTCTTCAGGAAATCTTTGCCCAATCCTATGCCCTGAATTGTATTGCCTATGTTGTCTTCCAAGGTTTTTATTGTCTTGATTTTTTTTTTTTTTTTGAGACGGAGTCTTGCTCTGTTGCCCAGGCTGGAGTGCAGTGGCAAGATCTCGGCTCACTGCAAGCTCCGCCTCCCGGGTTCACACCATTCTCCTGCCTCAGCCTCTCAACTAGCTGGGCCTACAGTCGCCCGCCACCACGCTCAGCTATTTTTTTTTTTTTTTGTATTTTTCATAGAGACAGGGTTTCACCCTGTTAGCCAGGATGGTCTCGATCTCCTGACCTTGTGATCCACCCGCATCGGCCTCCCAAAGTGCTGGGATTACAGACGTGAGCCACCACACCTGGCCCTTGATTTTTATATTTAAGTGTTTAACCCATTTTGAGTTAATTTTTTATATAGTTGTATTAGTCAGGGTTCTCTAAAGGGACAGAACTAATAGGATACGTGAATATATGAAGGGAAGTTGATTAGGAGAACCTATTCACACAATCACAAGGTGAAGTCCCACAAGTTGAGGAGCCGGGAAGCCAGTCCGAGTCCCAAAACCTCAAAAGTAGGAAAGCTAATAGTGCAGCCTTCAGTTTGTGGCTGAAGGCCTGAGAGCCCCTGGCAAATCACTGGTGTAAATTCAAGAGTTCAAAAGCTGAAGAACTTGGACTCTGATGTCCAAGGCCAGGTAGCATCCAGCACGGGAGAAAGATAGAGGTCAGAAGACTCAGCCAGTCTAGTCTTTCCACATTCCTCTTTCTGATTTTATGCTAGCTGTGTTGGCAGCTGATTAGATGGTGCCCACCCAGATTGAGGGTGGGTCTGCCTCTCCCACTAAACTGACTCAAATGTTAATCTCCTTTGCAACACCCACATAGACACACCCAAAAACAATATTTTGCATCCTTCAATCCAATCAAGTTGACACTCGATATTAACCATCACAATGGTGTAAGGAAAAAGTCCAGTTTCAATCTTCTGCGTATGGCTAGCCAGTTATCCCACCACCATTTATTGAATAGGTAATTCTTTTCCCATTGCTTGTTTTTTGTCAGGTTTGTCAAAGATAAGACAGTTGTAGGCATGCAGCCTTATTTCTGGTTTCCATATTCTGTTCCATTGGTCTATGTGTCTGGGAATGACTTTCTTTATCTAATTTTGTGTTTCTGTGTGCTTTGAATCTGTTTTGCATACCATTTTAGGTTTTTATAAATCTAGTATTAACATAGCATACCTTCTTCTATTATTTTATTTTTCTTATTTGTATCTTTATATTATATTCAAGATGCATTTCTTATAGTCAGCTATATATCCTGTCTGTTACTGTTTTATTTTCCCTACTTTTTCTGCAAATTTTGCATCCATTGAATATTTTATACTACCATTTTATTTCTCTTATTGACCTATAACCTAAAACTCTTTAAAAAATTTTTAAATGGTTGTTCTTACTATATAAAATACATATTTTAAATTACTATAGTCTACATACAAGTGATAATCATGCCACTTCATGTACAGACTATGAAGCTTACAATAATATACTTTCTTTTCTTGATCTCTACTTTAAATTTTGCATTCTTATCAAGTATTTACATATACAAGTAACTAGTTAACTAGCTAGATACATGCATACATAGATGTTCATTGTAGTATCATTTAACAGTAAAATATGAGAAAAAACAATCCTAAATCTCCAGAAATATTTATGCACCATGTACAGAGCTATTAGTCATAATGACATATACCAATATATGTTGATATGTTAAGATACACACACAAACACACACACACAATGTGAACAGATAAAAGCAGACTAAGCATTAACTTGTTTATGATTCTGTTTTACAGTTTTTGTAAAAAAATACATCCATATGATTATGCCTGCATAATTCGATATGTGAAATAAGTCATACGTTCACAAAAAGGTAAATTACAGAGAATAAAATGTTATGTAAAATCTTAGAGGAAAGATAAATACTTTATGACAGAATGTATAAAAAGCAC
This sequence comes from Homo sapiens, assembly GCF_000001405.40. NCBI lineage: Eukaryota > Metazoa > Chordata > Mammalia > Primates > Hominidae > Homo > Homo sapiens. The sequence continues at coordinate 35,618,067 of NC_000003.12, read as the reverse complement.
TGAAATAAACAAAAGGCATAAAGAATGAAGCATATTGTTTATTCTTCTTGTAATAGTAAACTAGGTAATTTGTACCAACTCTCTTGTTGAGTACAACTACTATCATTATTATTTTAACATTGTTCTGTTCTAGAGAATGCAATAAAATAGCCAAACTGGATGTAGTAGGCTGAAAAATGCCCTTGTTCACCACTACTAAAGAAAAAAAGATATTCACATCCTAATACCTGAAGTCTGTAAATGTTACCTTATTTGGGAAAAAAGGGTGTCTGCAGATACGATTAAATTAAGAGACTTGAAATAAATAGATCATTCTGAATTATTTATGTGGGTCCTAAATCTAATGACAAATGTCATCATTAATAAGAGTAAGGCATAAGATTACACAGACAGAAGAAGAGAAAGCAACATGAAGATGTAGGCTGGATCGGAGTGCTGCAGCTAGAAACCAAGGGAGACTGGCAACCAACAGGAGCTGGTAGAAATAAGGAACAGATTCTTCAGTAGAGCCTCTGGAGGAAGTCTGGCCTGGTTAACACCTTGGTTTCAGTCCAGTGATAATGATTTCAGGCTTCTGACCTCCAGAACTATGAAAGAATAACTTTCTGTTGACTTAAGCCACCAAATTTATGATGATTTATTACAGTAGCAATGGGAAACTTAGACCCTCAAAAAATAGGTGCAAATATTGGAAAAGAAAACCTTTTTTTTTTCAAAATTTGAAATTTTCAAAATTACTTGCAAATCATTATATATATCCAACACATCTAATAAAGCAAACAGTTCACTAAGATAGTTCATTTATAAATAAAAAAGAAAAATTAAATAGCTTCCCCACATGAAAGTGATTGCTTTCCAATTTTCACATAAGTTTAACTCTATTAACCTTCAACAGGGAGTGGATGAAATTGTAGTTTTGCCTAAGGGTATATTTGTATGTGATTGTATGCATTCAACCCTGCCTCCTCCCATTAGTAAAGATTTTTGCTTTTTCATTTCTTTTCATTAAAAATTAAATTCCTCTTTGCTACATGTCTAGTGTGAGTTGGTGAGGGTTTCTTCTCCTCTTGGTCACAAATGGAGGCTCTACCATCTTGCAGTGCTGTCATCTCAACATCTCGGGGGCAAGCAACAGTTGAAGGTTGTCAACCATATCTGAAATGCTTTGAGGCAGGATATGCCACACAGCACTTCTGTTCACAGTCCATTGGCCAGAACTCATTGCAAGGACAAAAGGAAAACTACAAGGGGGACTGGAAAACATGTTGGAGCATGGATATTTGGAGAGAACTATATCTCTAGTCTATTTTATTGGTCTTAGTGTCTTCACACGGGCATAACAAATGTCTACTCTGGGGCCCAGGTGTTAGAGAGTTCAGGATTTTGTAAGAACACACATCCACACACCATAAACATATACTTATTAAAGGATATATGTGCCCTCATGTTATTCAGGATCAAGGACTTAGCACGGGTAGAGTCTGAGTCATAACTCCAAACGTTCACTGTCATAACCAACAACATTCCAGAACCCATGGGGACAACCCTTCTCTAGGACTTTTGCCCTATGGCCTAGAAATAAAAGACAACTGTGTTTCAATAGCATGAACATGTTTTGCACTGCTAAATATGAAGATGAAGATCACTTCAGAATACAAGCAGAATTTGAACAGTGGAAACACATAGGTAAGAGAAAAGACAAATTAACATGTCAAATCTTTCCTCTGGGTGTGAATTCAGTGGTTTTTTTTAATATATTGAAAAATGTTCAGTGTATTGCAAAGTGTCTGTTTTATTGCTATTCATTGTTTTTTTTTTCAATTAATTGTTCCTTAGGTATTTATCTATGTCTATCATCAGAAACATGTTGTAATATTAAGAAAATTCTATTACTCTTAAATTTGTTATCTATATTAGTGTTGTTAGATAAGGGTTAGTTAAATTTGAATTTTAGATAAAAAATGGATATCTTTTTATAATAAATATGTCTCATGCAATATTTGAGACATGCTTATACTAAAACATTATTGTTGTTTATCTGAAATTCAAATTTAATTGGGCTTACAGTATTTTTATTCAAGAAAATTGGCAATATGCCTGAAGCACAACGGTAGCTGATTGTTTACACTGGCAACTAGAAGGACATTAAAAGCTGAAATTGTGAATAGCTTTGTGTTTAAAAAGTACTGGACATAAGTAAGCTTCAAAGTATAAAAGTCAATTATAGTTTTACTAAAATTTCATCAGTATTTGTGATTTTCTTTATTTTCTAATAGCAAATGACAAATACTTTAGGAGAAGAATAACATTCCTGAAAACATACATTCTACAGGGTTGGATTGTTTAGATTTGTTTTATATTCAAATTTTCTGCACTTAATATTTCTACTTCATGTTTTAATATTTTATATCACTATTGTCACTTGAACACAAACTAGAGGACAAACTTCATGATAACAACATAATTATTGATTTTACCTGAAGTAAAGGCAAGTAAAGCACATTTTTACATTGATTTTTAAAAACCTTTATAATATTACTCTTCCAAACATTGTTGTCATTAATAACACTCTTAGACATGAGCAATAATTATTAAATTCAGATGTTCTTGACACCTTTTGACTTTCAGTAATATATAAATACTATAGCTTTACATACTACTGGTCACCAAATATTTCTTTGTTTCTTTCTTCCCACTTAAAAAAGACATTTCCTCCCTTATCACAGGAGACAACCCCAAATACTAAGTAAACATCACATTTCTTTCTTTTTCTTTTCTTTTCTTTTCTTTTTTTTTTTTTTTTTGAGACAGAATCTCACTCTGTCCCCCAGGCTGGAGGCTGGAGTACAGTGGCGTGATCTCGGCCCACTGCAGCCTCCACCTCCTGGGTTCAGGCGATTCTCCTGCCTCCACCTCCCGAGTAGCTGGGACTTCAGGCGTGCACCACCATGCCCAGCTATTTTTTTTTGTATTTTTAGTAGAGACAGGCTTTCACCATGTTGACCGGGATGGTCTCAGTCACCCGAAATGATGATCCGCCCACCTCAGCCTCCCAAAGTACTGGGATTACAGGTGTGAGCCGCCATGTCTGGCCAACAACACATTTATTTCAAAGTCTAGGACCTTTCAGTGATGTAGAGTAATTACTATATTAAATCTAGAAAAGGGTCTAGCTAAAGTTACAGAAATCAGTGGATTAAAAGAAATTACCTGTCCCAGTGGCCCCACCACAACCAGTACTAATAGGCAGTGGTTGGACAAGAAGAGGATAACCACAATAAACATTTCCATTTCCAAAGTGGAAAAACGGGAGATAACAGGTGTCACAGTTTGCAGAAATTCTGAAATCCTTCTGGGCAGACATTCTAAAGCTCTTCTATGCTCTGGGTACAGAGAATTCTTCAAATCTTGATTTGGCTATCTTGTCGTTGCCCTAGAAGTCTCTAGGTAATGTCCTCTAGGAGATTCCTCTTTTTTTTTTTTTTTTTTTTTTTTTTTATGATACTTTAAGTTTTAGGGTACATGTGCACAACGTGCAGTTGTGTTAAATATGTATACATGTGCCATGTTGGTGTGCTGCACCCATTAACTCGTCATTTAACATTAGGTATATCCCCTAATGCTATCCCTCCCCACTACCCCAAGCCCACAACAGGCCCCGGTGTGTGATGTTCCCCTTCCTGTGTCCATGTTTTCTCATTGTTCCATTCCCACCTATGAGTGAGAACATGCGGTGTTTGGTTTTTTTGTCCTTGCGATAGTTTGCTGAGAATGATGGTTTCCAACTTCATCCATGTCCCTACAAAGGACATGAACTCATCCTTTTTATGGCTGCATAGTATTCCATGGTGTATATGCACCACATTTTCTTAATCCAGTCTACCATTGTTGGACATTTGGCTTGGTTCCAAGTCTTTGCTATTGTGAATAGTGTCACAATAAACATACGTATGCATGTGTCTTTATAGCAGCATGATTTATAATCCTTTGGGTATATACCCAGTAATGGGATGGCTGGGTCAAATGGTATTTCTAGTTCTAGATCCTTGAGGAATCGCCACACTGACTTCCACAATGGTTGAACTAGTTTCCAGTCCCACCAACAGTGTAAAAGTGTTCCTATTTCTCCACATCCTCTCCAGCACCTGTTATTTCCTGACTTTTTAATGATCACCATTCTAACTAGTGTGAGATGGTATTTCATTGTGGTTTTGATTTACATTTCTCTGATGGCCAGTGATGATGAGCATTTTTTCATGTGTCTGTTGGCTGCATAAAGGTCTTCTTTTGAGAAGTGTCTGTTCATATCCTTCGCCCACTTGTTGATGGGGTTGTTTGTTTTTTTCTTGTAAATTTGTTTGAGTTCATTGTAGATTCTGGATATTAGCCCTTTGTCAGATGAGTATGTTGCAAAAATTTTCTGCCATTCTGTAGGTTGCCTGTTCACTCTGATGGTAGTTTCTTTTGCTGTGCAGAAGCTCCTTAGTTGAATTAGATCCCATTTGTCAATTTTGGCTTTTGTTGCCATTGCTTTTGGTGTTTTAGACATGAAGTCCTTGCCCATGCCTATGTCCTGAATGATATTGCCTAGCTTTTCTTTTAGGGCTTTTATGGTTTTAGGTCTAACGTTTAAGTCTTTACTGCATCTTGAATTAATTTTTGTATAAGGTGTAAGGAAGGGATCCAGTTTCAGCTTTCTACATATGGCTAGTCAGTTTTCCCAGCACCATTTATTAAACAGGGAATCCTTTCCCCATTGCTTGTTCTCGTCAGGTTTGTCAAAGATCAGATATTTGTAGATATGTGGCATTATTTCTGAGGGCTCTTTTCTGTTCCATTGGTCTATATCTCTGTTTTGGTACCAGTACCATGCTGTTTTGGTTACTGTAGCCTTGTAGTATAGTTTGAAGTCAGGTAGTGTGATGCCTCCAGTTTTGTTCTTTTGGCTTAGGATTGACTTGGCAATGCGGGCTCTTTTTTAGTTCCATATGAACTTTAAAGTAGTTTTTTCCAATTCTGTGAAGAAAGTCATTGGTAGCTTGATGGGGATGGCATTGAATCTATAAATTACCTTGGGCAGTATGGCCATTTTCACAATATTGATTCTTCCTACCCATGAGCATGGAATGTTCTGCCATTTGTTTGTATCCTCTTTTATTACACTGAGCAGTGGTTTGTAGTTCTCCTTGAAGAGGTCCTTCACATCCCTTGTAAGTTGGATTCCTAGGTATTTTATTCTCTTTGAAGAAATTGTGAATGGGAGTTCAGTCATGATTTGGCTCTCTGTTTGTCTGTTATTGGTGTATAGGAAGGCTTATGATTTTTGCACATTGATTTTGTATCCTGAGACTTTGCTGAAGTTGCTTATCAGCTTAAGGAGATTTTGGGGTGAGATGATGGGGTTTTCTAGATATACAATCATGTCATCTGCAAACAGAGACAATTTGACTTCCTCTTTTCCTAATTGAATGCCCTCTATTTCCTTCTCCTGCCTGATTGCCGTGGCCAGAACTTCCAACACTATGTTGAATAGGAGTGGTGAGAGAGGGCATCCCTGTCTTGTGCCAGTTTTCAAAGGCAATGCTTCCAGTTTTTGCCCATTCAGTATGATATTGGCTGTGGGTTTGTCATAGATACATCTTATTATTTTGAGATACATCCCATCAATACCTAATTTATTGAGAGTTTTTAGCATGAAGGTTGTTCAATTTTGTCAAAGGCCTTTTCTGCATCTATTGAGATAATCATGTGGTTTTTTTCATTGGCTCTGTTTATATGCTGGATTACGTTTATTGATTTGCATATGTTGAACCAGACTTGCATCCCAGGGATGAAGCCCACTTGTCGTGGTAGATTAGCTTTTTGATGTGCTGCTGGATTCGGTTTGCCAGTATTTTATTGAGGATTTTTGCATCGATGTTCATCAGGGATATTGGTCTAAAATACTCTTTTTTTGTGTGTGTCTCTGCCAGGCTTTGGTATCAGGATGATGCTGGTCTCATAAAATGAGTTAGGGAGGATTCCCTCTTTTTCTGTTGATTGGAATAGTTTCAGAAGGAATGGTACCAGCTCCTCCTTGTACCTCTGGTGGAATTTGGGTGTGAATCCATCTGCTCCTGGACTCTTTTTGGTTGGTAGGCTATTAATTATTGCCTCAATTTCAGACCCTGTTATTGGTCTATTCAGAGATTCAACTTCTTCCTGGTTTAGTCTTGGGAGGGTGTATGTGTCGAGGAATTTATCAATTTCTTCTAGATTTTCTAGTTTATTTGTGTAGAGGTGCTTATAGTATTCTTTGATGGTAGTTTGTATTTCTGTGGGATCGGTGGTGATATCCCCTTTATCATTTTTTATTGCATCTATTTGATTCTTCTCTCTTTTCTTCTTTATTAGTCTTGCTAGCGGTCTATCAATTTTATTGATCTGTTCAAAAAACCAGCTCCTGGATTCATTGATTTTTTCAAGGGTTTTTTGTGTCTCTATTTCCTTCAGTTCTGCTCTGATCCTAGTTATTTCTTGCCTTCTGCTGGCTTTTGAATGTGTTTGCTCTTGCTTCTCTAGTTCTTTTAATTGTGATGTTAGAGTGTCAATTTTAAATCTTTCCTGCTTTCTCTTCTGGGCAGTTAGTGCTATAAATTTCCCTCTACACACTGCTTTGAATGTGTCCCAGAGATTCTGGTATGTTGTGTCTTTGTTCTCATTGGTTTCAAAGAACATCTTTATTTCTGCCTTCATTTTGTTATGTACCCAGTATTCATTCAGGAGCAGGTTGTTCAGTTTCCATGTAGTTGAGCGGTTTTGAGTGAGTTTCTTAATCCTGAGATCTAGTTTGATTGCACTGTGGTCTGAGAGACAGTTTGTTGTAATTTCTGTTCTTTTTCATTTGCTGAGGAGTGCTTTACTTCCAACTATGTGGTCAATTTTGGAATAGGTGTGATGTGGTGCTGAAAAGAATGTATATTCTGTTGATTTGAGGTGGAGAGTTCTGTAGATGTCTATTAGGTCTGCTTGTCTATTAGAGCTGAGTTCAATTCCTGGATATCCTTGTTAACTTTCTGTCTTATTGATCTGTCTAATGTTGACAGTGGGGTGTTAAAGTCTCCCATTATTATTGTGTGGGAGTCTAAGTCTCTTTGTAGGTCTCTAAGGACTTGCTTTATGAATCTGGGTGCTCCTGTATTGGATGCATATATATTCAGGATAGTTAGCTCTTCTTGTTGAATTGATCCCTTTACCATTATGTAATGGCCTTCTTTGTCTCTTTTGATCTTTGTTGGTTTAAAGTCTGTTTTATCAGAGACTAGGATTGCAACCCCTGCCTTTTTTTGTTTTCCATTTGCTTGGTAGATCTTCCTCCATCCCTTTATTTTGAGCCTATGTGTGTCTCTGCACATGAGATGGGTTTCCTGAATACAGCACACTGATGAGTCTTGACTCTTTATCTAATTTGCTAGTTTGTGTCTTTTAATTGGAGCATTTAGCCCATTTACATTTAAGGTTAATATTGTTATGTGTGAATTTGATCCTGTCATTATGATGTTGGCTGGTTATTTTGCTCGTTATTTGATGCAGTTTCTTCCTAGGCTCGATGGTCTTTACTATTTGGCATGGTTTTGCAGTGAGAAGTTAAAAACCTTGAAAAAAGATTAGACGAATGACTAACTAGAATAACCAATGCAGAGAAGTCCTTAAAGGACCTGATGGAGCTGAAAACCATGGCACGAGAACTACGTGACGAATGCACAAGCCTCAGTAGCCGATTCGGTCAACTGGAAGAAAGGGAATCCGTGATGGAAGATCAAATGAATGAAATGAAGTGAGAAGAGAAGTTTAGAGAAAAAAGAATAAAAAGAAACAAACAAAGCCTCCAAGAAATATGGGACTATGTGAAAAGACCAAATCTACATCTGATTGGTGTACCTGAAAGCGACAGGGAGAATGAAACCAAGTTGGAAAACACTCTGCAGGATATTATCCAGGAGAACTTCCCCAATCTAGCAAGGCAGGCAAACATTCAGATTCAAGAAATACAGAGAATGCCACAGAGATACTCCTCAAGAAGAGCAATTCCAAGACACATAATTGTCAGATTCACTAAAGTTGAATTGAAGGAAAAAATGTTAAGGACAGCCAGAGAGAAAGGTCGGGTTACCCACAAAGGGAAGCCCATCAGACTAATGGCAGATCTCTCAGCAGAAACTCTACAAGCCAGAAGAGAGTGGGGGCCAATATACAACATTCTTAAAGAAAAGAATTTTCAACCCAGAATTTCATATCCAGCCAAACTAAGCTTCATAAGTGAAGGAGAAATAAAATACTTTACAGATAAGCAAATGCTGAGAGATTTTGGCACCACGAGGCCTGCCCTAAAAGAGCTCCTGAAGGAAGTGCTAAACATGGAAAGGAGATTCCTCTTTTTTCATTATCTGCCTAGTTTATCTGAGCCGGTTGTGTAGCTTTCTTACTCTGCTTCCTGCCTGCAGAACTTTGAGAGCCAAAGGGTCATTTTGAATCTTGAGCTCTTGATTTCTTTCTTTTTTTTTCTTTTAATTAATAGTAGCTATCTTTCAAAACTTACTAGGCTTCTTTTCAGCAAATTTCATGTGCCAATAACTACACTCACAGTGGTTTTCTTAACTGTTTTTTTTTTCCAGTCCCCTCCTTTCTCACCATCCCACCGTCTTCTCCCATAGTTCTCTCTTTAGGCTGCTTCCAAGAGGATATCTGCAACAACAGGTATGAAGGTCATACCCTTTCTAATCTTTTCCCTGATTACATTTATCCACTGAAAAACTTTAACAAAAAGTATGTAGGCTGCACTCTTATTTAGATGTTTACATGCATCATTTTAATCACATGTTTAGGTTTATTGGATATGTTTCCATTCAAAACCTCTTTATAAGGCATCTTAACCAGGGTTAGAAGCATTCTGCTTTTCTAACACGTTTTCAACATTTCTATTTACACACCAGCCAATTCTATCTGGAGTTTAGCTCCATCTTTTAACACTTTGCCAAAGGTATCACATAATATTCTACAAATACACATACAACTGACATATTTGTCTCCAGCTTTTTGTACAGCCTCTCATTTGTAAGGCATGTGATTTGCTTTCTAGATTGCTGCAGGTAAAAATTTTACCAAACATTTTTTCATCTTTTCAACCTGCGATATCAGTTTTCTTACCACTTCCTGTCTGATTGCTAAACCAATGCCTCCTAGTTTGGATTTTAGTTACACAGGTCTTCCTTCTGTTATAAATTTCATAATTATTATTTATAATTTTATTATATTATTATGGTGTTACTATGATAACACCAGGCTGTTTCAGATTCCTATGCACAAAACATATTGAGTCATGTTATTTAACGCCACTTCCTATATGATGAAGACAATGAAACCCAAAGAGTTTATGTCACTTCACAAATTCACATTCTTTACAATAGTTTAGTGTTGAAATCAGGATTATAATCTAATTTCTCTGTTTGCTAACTAGTGTTCTTTGATCTTTGTTATGTAACTGCCTAAGAAATGGTTGTTCTATTTCATGGCTATGTCGGGCAGTTGTGAAGTTGTATTTTGCATCCCATTCAAGGTGTTATTTTGAAAAATGGAATGTCAAATTCTTAAAAATGCCAAATATATTATAAATTAGATGTCGTTAATGTGTACACTAGACCTCTTTATGGAAACTTTTCTTAATTGCCTGAGCCATTTATTGTTTACACCTTCCAGGTCTCCATAAGACTTTATACAGAGCTTGTTACCCTTCACAATAAACCACACTGATTTAACTATCCACATTTTACTTTGAGCTGTAAGCACCCTGAGGGAAGATTCTCTTCTTTCTGTCAATGCTTAATACACTGCTTTGGACATAGTAAGCATATAACAAATACAGAAATAATGAAGGATAATTATGCTAAGAATTTGTACAAAGTATCAGGTGGGAGACAAAATGTTAGGATTCGGGAATTTGGTTACCATGTTTTCATCCTTTTCCTCCCCATTATCTAGTATTTCCAAAATACCTTATGCTTGTTAAATTAATCCCTAGCTAGGAGCTGGTTGGTCATTTTGAAATAAATAATGATAAATAATTTATTGTTTTAAAGTTGTTCATACCCTTTATAAAAAATTCAAGAAATAAACAATCTTTCTAGTGTGTGTTCTCCCAAAAATATAGAAAAATCAGTAGTTACATAAAGAAATTGTTTTTAAAAAGATTTATGATATGTGCTACTTTTAATAACACATTACTTGAATATAGAGGGAGAAGAAATGGAAATAAAATAAAAGAATTTGTTGAACACTAGATACAATAAAACATTGAAATGTTGAGATTAAAACATTTTTAATAACTATATGTGTTAATTCTGAGCAATATTACTGGGCTCCATGCTAAGAAACAAGAAGAAATAGACATTTTTGCACTTCTTCCTAATCAACTCCCAAGTTATGCTACTCAGCAAAAATAAATAGTTGTTTGTCAAATCTGAGTCACACAATGATCATACCCAATCTCAAGCTTGATTAATAATTTTAATATACAAGAATTGAGAGGCCTAAGCAAAGCAAACAGAGGTCCCGGAGACCCTGCATAGCTCCTTGGGTTCTTCCTTCTTTTATGGGACAAAAGGTCCTCACACCAGAGTAATACATGAGGCCTCTAATGAAAATTTGCCAGAGTCTTACAGAGTGAGTAATGTCATGAAACATTTTTATTTGAAACTTCAGATAGTTATATAGCTTCTATGATATTCTTTGAGAATTATGCTTCATAAATCAATTTATACTAATGTTATCCATCATAAGCAACCTAACCTAGGAACATTTAGTTAGCAGTACTTCATAGATAACAGCCTATACTCCTAGAAATTATCATTAGACCATTTACCAAGAGGTTCATTTATCAATATGTTTACAAGAAGATTAGGCTGAGTCAACAGCCTTTTTCCTGTCTCAATAACATTCTTTCACTAATTACTAGATATATGGATTATGGGTCAGCGGTTTTATCTTCTTTCTCCCCAGTGACATATTTCATTTCTATTATAGCAGTACAAATTATTTACTTACTGTCCTGTAACTTCCTGTAACTATAATTGGTTAATCATATTTTGATGGATTCCACTTATCATAGCTTGTCTAATGCAAGGTTGTTTAATTTTGATTCACTTCTTTGTTATCTAGATTTTGTCAAGTAGCTATTTCAAGAAGGTCCCATAGAAACTTTGTACCTTGAGATTGCCTATGCTTAACAGTGTTGGCCTATTTCCTTGAATAATAGCTTGACTGAGAAAATATTAATTTGATGTTTTTCTCTGAACCTGGTAGACACTGCTCAATTGCATTTTTTTTTATCTTGACTTGACAATGTTTTAAGGAGGAAGAGAAAATAGGTTTTATTGACTGAAGGGCAAACTGTTATCAGTTGGTAGCAACTGACTTGAGTGATATGTTCCAAAGTAGCATCTGGACTCTGCAGGAAGGAAGACCTTGATCAATTAGCCAAAGCTGACAAAAACCCAGGAGGGCAGAAGCATGGTAGAAGTACCTTGTGTTTGCCAGTGTAGCTGGAAGTATCACCTTTTCCAAGACTGATGGCATTCCAATAGATATTTTTTGATAATGAAATCTATTTAGATAAAAAGAAATTTGTTTCTAATGCTGGAATTTTGAAAATGCAAAGACATTTTGTAATAGCTACAAGTATGTATAAAGCTGAAATAGGAGAATTCATAGAAGGAACTGACAAATTTACAAAAATGGAAAAATAGTAAAAAATTAGAGTTACATGACACAATTAACAAGTATGATCCTGAGGCTTTCTATAGTACGTTATACCTTCCAAAGAAAAATATGCATTATTTTCAAACACATGAAACATTTTGAATACATATCATATAAGCCACAAGAAATCATCACTGATTTAAAAAAAAAAGAAATGTATTTCCTAACCTTATGAAATAAAATTAGAAATCCACAATAGTTTGATGGTGAATGTCCCTCAAAACATGTTGGGAGATTAAGTTGCACACTCTTAAAATAATCAATTGTTTAAAAATGTAATCATGAAAAAAAACTGTTTAAAAGAGAAGACCTTTGTATGTCAGTGGGAAGGAGCTAAAGCTGTGCTCAGAGGGGATTTCATAGCCCTATAAATGACAGATGGATAAGTAGATAGACAGAAGATAGGTAGATAGAATAATTGAAAAGTGATTATTTAAATATTCAACTGAAAAAGAAAAGTGCAGACTTAAACCAAAAATTAAAAGAATAAAAAAGATAGACTCATTATAATTTTAACAAAGATTTTTTTCCAAAATAGTTTATACTTTGCAAACCAGACAATTTTCTAAGAAAAAAGAAAGAAGATACAAATAGGCCTTCGGGAAGTAGAGGAGGAATATTGCTACAAATGTGATGTTCTTTTTTTTAAAAAAATTAAAAATATAAACAAATTTCTACAAATAATCCTAAGTGTTTGAAGGAATAAATATTTTTTAAAAGTACAAATTAAAACACATAGACAAAAAGCAGAATTAAAAATTCTAAAAACAAATAAGTAAAAACATTATCCACTAATACAAAAGAAGCTCTAGCCCAGCAATCTTCCCTACTTAAGGGAAACTTCTAGGCTGAGCAGGATGGGTTGAAGATTATTAGATTTTTAAAGGGCTAATGTATTTGCTTCTTTTTAATTATGAGATTATATTCAGATACTACTTGTGAAATTTAAAATATATAAAAATGTAATTTAAAAACAAGTAAGCAAAATTAAGCCAAGTTCTAGCTTCTGCATGTTCTTCCTCAGCCCCTTTTACATAAGTCCAGGTTTTGGTCTCTTTTATTTAGAGTTGCAAATGAGGTTTCCTAAATCAAGAGGCACTGAAGGTTGTTCTCTACATAGCCTTCTCAGCCCAAATGTTGCCCTTTTATGACTCCCTTTTCCTTCCTCCTGATGTTGTTGCTGTTCATTTTAAACATAATTTTTTTCTACATCAAAACACATACACGGGGATTGGGTGCTGTGGCTCACGCCTGTAATCCCAGCACTTTGGGAGGCCGAGGCAGGTGGATCACTTGAGGTCAGGAGTTTGAGACCAGCCTAGCTAACATGGTGAAACCCTGTCTCTACCAAAAATACAAAAAATTAGGCGGGAGTGGTGGCGCATGCCTGTAATCCCAGCTACTCGGGAGACTGAGATAGGAGAATTGCTTGAATATGGGACCTGGAGGTTGCAGTGAGCCGAGATGGCGCCCCTGCACTCCAGCCTGGGTGACAGAGTGAAACTCTGTCTCAAAAAATAAAATAATAATCATAATAAGAAAAGCACACACCGGGGGAAGTTCCGCACAGTACAGAGGTGCACAAATAATGTCCTTTGGTTTCTGGCATGCGCCGCACAGTACAGAGGTGCACAAATAATGTTCTTTGGTTTCAGGCATGATCCTGAATGTGGGATGGCATCTTGTCAGGGTGGGATGGAAATATTGACTAAACTTCTTCAGCCCCCTAAATGATCCTGCTCAGTGTGGATATTATGAAATCACTTAGGTTATTATCATACCACTTCCCTTAGCAGATTCAATTCTCTTACCACTTGGGGTCCCTGGGAATCAGATTCTGAGCCAGTTTAGAGTGTATAATGTTTATTTAAAAGAGCACTTGGGGTGAACTCCTGTGAAGGGAGAGAAAGGACTGTGGGATTGGATGTAGAAGTTGAGTCACGATGCAGGTCCAGTGACAGCTGTAGCCAATGCCCCTTTCTCCCAAACACACCAATGAGGAGCTCTAATGGCCCTTTAGAATTTTTCATACTGAGTTGGGATGTCTAGGCCTTTATATGCCCATAGCCTTCAGTCATCAGATATGGACTGTATCAAGGATAGCCATGACCTCGTATCAAGTGATTCTTGACAAACAAAGCAATCCTGAAGGGAAAACAACAGAAGACTCTCTGCTAAGTCTTCCCAGGAGCCCAGACTAGTCTTTCCTTGAAAGGAATGTGCCATACACGTGCACTACAAAAACCATACTTCTGAAGGACTATTGCAGAGATTTCCACCCAATTTTCTGGCTGCAGTCTTCAAAGTCTTACCATTTATTTAATTTCAATAGCTCTAGGGGTACAAGTGTTTCTTTTTTTGTTACATAGATGAGTTATATAGTAGTGATTTCTGAGGTTTTAGTACATTGTGCTTAATGTGTCTTTTTTAAAAAATCTCTGCCGCCCTCTCACCCTCCCCCTTCTGAGTCTCTAAAGTCCATGATATCGCTCTGTATGCCCTTGCATAGGAATACAAAAAGCCTTGCTCTTATATCCCAAGCCTTCACTATAGAATGTCCATTTGTGAGCTGTAGATTGTTCCTGGTGAGTCAAGTAAGAGTCAGCTTGGTGTCATTGAAATAAAAAAGAAAGGGATTGAAATTTGGATTCTTCCAGTAGATACTGGTGTGACTTTGAGCATGACAATCATGAGAGGTAATGTTCATTGAGCATTTATTATGTGCTGGTGACTGTTATACTGCTTTACATGCATTGAACTATCCAATCCTTTGTCTCCTCAACTGTAGTCAATAACACCTAATGAGCAGCTTTGCAATAGATTATACGAGCTAACATATTAGCTAAATCTCTTTGCATGTAGTAGGCTTGACACAGATATCAGTTTATCCCTCCCTCTTTCCCATCATGCATAAATAATTTTAGATTCCCAAATATATGGATTGCTCCACCAGGCCTGATGTACAATAACAATAACACTTATAATAATAGTTATTATAGCTCCCATTTATTCAGGACTTACCATTTGTCAGTCAGTGTACTAAGCCTTTAATGTATATAGACCTATTGAGTCCTCATGATACGCTTGTGTGTCAGGAATATGATCCTGTTGAGTCTGCACTACCCTGAAAAGAAATCCCAGAGAGGAACATTTTTCTTCCCAAACCATCACCAGCATTTATCACTCCCTTACTTTGAACACACACACACACACACACACACACACACATTTTTCATCTTAATTTTTTTTTACAACTGCCTCCTTTTTGTTTCTCTGTGCTTCCACTCTACATATATTTAATTTTTTCTTTTGTTTTATACTCTGAATTATTTCCTGCTCAAAAATTACAGTCTTGGAGAGAAAGCAAAAGAAAAAAAAATCTTCCCCTTTGCAAAGCTCAGCACGAGTGGGAATCCTGCCATTGAACAGCCTGTCCATGTTCAATTTTAGCATCATATAATTTCCTGCATAATTGTTTAAATGTCCTCATTCTCATCCCTGTCGCTCCCCCCACACTTTGCTATTTTTTAAAGAAAGCATCCAAACTCCAAACTGGTTCAACAGGGAATTTCACAGAGGAAAAATGCCAGACCGCATCATATGCCTTGAGTTATCGCAACAACCAAGGAAAAAAAGTCGTGCCTCTGAGATGGAAGTCCTCCAGTCTGCCACTGCGTTCAGTGACCTCTCTTCTCTGCCAGCCTCTTCAAGGCCAGGCATGTGAAAATTCCTCATGTGTTTGTGTCATTTGATTCCCAAATATCACATAACCAAAAATATTAAAATAAAACTGCTCATAACATTTTCCTGAATGCCATCTGGGCCCCACTGGAAGCTGACACTATCTGTCAAACCCAAGATAACCACATTTTCCCCGTCCTTTGTATGTGTTAATGTTTGTCATAATGGATTTCACTTTAATGTCCCAAGTACATTTATGACATTCTTTCAACCAAGTGGCACTAATGACTTTCATTATTATTTATACTCCTCCTTAATTATAAGACTCTCACCTCTCTCATTACATACACTCCTTCATAACCCCCTCACTTGCATACATGCTCTCTGGTATGAGGCTAATGTGCCTTGGCTTCCAATTTCAGAAAACACAATGATTAATTACTCCTGTTAAATCACCCTACCCTAGGGTAATCAGATTGGCAAAATGATAAGAAGGGCCAGATTGCTGCTCCAGAAGGATTTCCCAGGACACCTGTCAGAAAGAAATAAAAGGAGAAGCCCCCAACTCCCAAATAAATAAATGCATGGCATGCATGCTTGTCTTAGCCCTGGGATGAATCACAAGGAGATGCAATTTTAAATTAAAATAATAGAGCATTTGGTACAAATGCTCTGCACTGTGGATGATAATAGTCAGATTCAGTGAAGTGACCAGGAGCCAAGCATTCTGCCATGTAGTACCATGCTTCTTCCATCAATTAAAATACTGTTTAGAAAGAGCTTACCTGCTTTTTCTTGCATTTCAAAAATTGCACCAATTTTTTTAGCTTCTCCATCAAGAGATGGAATTTCTTGTGTAACCCATAAATCTGGGCTGGGTTTATGATTGGATTTATCCAAAACAAACTCACAGAAGAGACATTGCATTTGTTCCAAGCCTGGACTTCAAGAGGTCTTACAGATCCCACTCTGCTTTCTTACAGTTTCCACTCTGATCTGCTTTCTTGGTGCCTCCATTATTTTCATGGGAACAAGCCCCAGATCTCCACACGAAGTGAGGCCCCCTGTGTCTCAGACAGCCCTGATTCACTTACTAGCTGAATGAAGAGGCATGAGAAACGCCAGCCAAGATTAGCCAAATCCATAACACACCATAAAGTCCAATTGAAATTGCCAATCTACAGAACCATGAGCTCAGGAAATGTTTGTTGTTTCAAATCTTTTGGGCTGGTTCATTATACAATACAAGGTAACTGATATACGTGTCAAAGGAAAGACATTTGGGCATGGAGGCTATGGTGAAGATAGAAGAGACCAATTATTATGAAAAACTTATTTTGCTTCAGGTATGAAAATAAATAAACTCAGCAAATATGAGACAGAGCTAGTATTCTCATCTTTATCCTTTTGAAAATGAGAAAACTGAGGCCCAGAGATGGCACAAAATCAGACTGAAGAAATAATTTGTGCAAGATCTTGGGGAGAAAGCAAAGTTCAAAGCTATTGCACTATTTGGTTGTGAAGACAATGTCTGTCCAAGTACCACACTTGCTGCCTTGGCGCACAGACTGAGACCACCTCACCATCCAAAGCAGCATTTCTGGTATCCCCTATTCCTTTCCCACTGCTCCAGCCAGGGCTGGCAAAAAGAGATAGCTGCGAGTGGGAAGGCAGTGAGGACAGCACAGTCTCCTTGATTTGCTTCTGATCAGGAAGTAGAACTGCCCCTTTCACATGCCTTTCACAGGAACTGTTTAAGCCATAGCCAAAGTCACATCCAAGTAGATCATGAATATTGTCCAACACTGCATTTCAGTGTATAAAACTCATGTATTAAGTGGGAGTTGAACAATGAGAACATATGGACAAAGGGAGGGGAACATCACACACCAGAGCCTGTCAGGGGGTGGGGTGCAAGGGGAGGGAGAGCATTAGGACAAATATCTAATGCATGCAGGGCTTAAAACCTTGATGACAAATACCTAATGCATGCAGGGCTTAAAACCTTGATAGGTGCAGCAAACCACCATGGCACAGGTATACCTATGTAATAAACCTGCACCTTCTGCATATGTATCCCAGAAGTTAAAGTAAAATTAAAAAACAAACAAAAAAATAAGTAAAAGGGTGTGCATATCTGCTTAAAAGGCTGAGTATTTTTGTTGTTGTTGTTGTTGTTTTGAAAGCTGTTAGAATCTTTTTCATTATTATGCTGGCCTTTTGCTTGTGTTTTGTAGAAAATTTTTCATCTAAAATCACAGCATCTTAAGAATTGAGTGTGGCCTTGCTTCTTCTTCTCCCCTTTGCTGAGGAACTAGAGAGGATGAATTGCTTCCTTTTATACTACTGTGTATCCAAATTTTATTTAAAATCAATGCAAGTTGAAAAACAATAGTGATTATTTCCAAAGTTTCCAGGTAATCTGTTTGCTAATTTGAATTTAATTTCCTATTTATCCCATTTGGTTTTCACTTATTCTGACCTTATTCAAATTTCATGTATACATCATTCTTGGGGAACTTTATTTTGTATCCCATTTAGCAATTCATTCAAAATATTTACTCTCCCAGCCTTTGATTCAAATCTTAACCCTGCTACTAATGAGGTGTCTAGGTATGGACCTCGGACCTGATCCTTCTCTGTAAAAATATTGGGATAAACTGTTGATCTCTAAGATCTCTTCAATTTCTGTAAAACTAATTATTTTACAAAGAAAAGCATCCCTGCTTTACCTTCTGTGGATGAATTTGAATTTTCCGATGTAAACATCATGAAGTTAGAATACATATATTGAGCTTTCCCAAGAGACCTTTGGCAGTCTTAATTTTGGAGGCCAAAATCCTACTCTAGCAGATTCTCACTGTCAGATGCTTACATATAGAGGGACTACTGAAGGAAGTTATTAGTATAACTTCCATAGCCCTTCCCATTGGACTTTGTGATTATGTGATAATGTACAAGCAATGAGTTTTAAGCAGCAGTATGTAAAATGAGACAAGTGGGAAGATAACTGCTTGTCCAAACTACAGATGTTAATAAACTCAATATGTAATTTTTCCCCAGCTGAGATCATCCTGTCTTTGTTAAATACCATTCATATATTCTTCTGCACTAGTTCTAAATTCCAAAGTTTTATAAGTCACAATGTCCCTAGAACAATCATCCTAGTGACAAAAGCTGAGCCCAGTTCCTGGTGGACCGCCTCAGAATCACCTGAAAAATCTTATGCGATTTCTGATCTCTCCTTCTGACCTGGGAAATTTTAGTTCATTAATTCTGGAGTCATGTGAGGGAACTCACATTGTTAGTATTGTGTTGTTAACAAGCTCTTGAGGTTTTGAGAGTAATTGTTCGGCAAGTTGTTTCATGTGAGGAGATGGCATAAAATGAGCTTCATTCTAAGTGGCCAAACTAATATTCTTAACTATGTGCCCAATCCATGATATTTATTTCTAAAGGGACATAGGATATTAACTATGGTAGAGTAGAAGGTGACATGAATCTTGGGTAGCAATGACAACTCTTTTCTGTGTGACCTCAAGTAATCAGTTAACTTTTCTGGGTATCAGTTCCCTTGCCTGTAAAAACAGGTTTTACATAAGACTGATTTTCACTGTCTTTGAAAATGCGACAAGATGCCCTTGGGGTTCTTTTGGGGTCACTACAACTATGAATCTGGGCAGTGGTTGAACAGATCAGGCCACACAAGGCTCCTCAAGTAGAGCACTCCTCTTTGATTTGTTTACAATGTTAAATAGGATTATGTCTGGAGAAAGATCTCTGATGATAGAATTCTGCACAAGATGTCTCCCAGGGCCACTCTGGCTCTGCTGTTCTTTGGTTCTGTACAAATAGCTATTAAAAGGAGAATTACACCAGAACAGGATCACTTGAAAAGTAAGGTTGATAACAGTCAGACCTGCAGTTAAGGAGCAATTAGCAGCATCACTGTGTGAAAGACTTACAGCAAAGCATGGTATCTCATCGATTTCTGTAGCTATTAAAATTAACTCCCAAAGCTAAGGAAACAGCCCTGGAAATCACAATTAGAGTTCCATAATTGTTACCCTTTACTTGTCATGCTATGCCTCTGTTATACAAGGCAGAGCACAAGCCATGGTTGCTAAACAATCACATCTCACAGCACACAACTTCAGTATTCAGAGATAGGCAGCACAGAATATGTGGCATAGTTCTACTCGCTCTTTAAGACCTTGCTCAAATATCACCTCATCAGTAAAACCACTTCTGATACTGCACATCTCCACTCAGGAAATTGCAAATCTGAGCATTCTCAACATCTAATAATAATCATAAATAAAAATGACAATAACGAATATAATTTCTTCACAGGTCTAGGTTTTCCTTCCTATCTTGGGAAATCACTTAAATTTTACCCAAATAATAACTTGGAACAAGATCATTTTCACTTTAATCTGTCTATCTCTGCCATCAGACTAAGTGCTGTTCCAACCTTAGCAATCTTTTTGGTTGATGAATACATAAATACATTTTTTTATCCCTTCCATGTTTTCCCCATTCTTTCAATTCCCATAAACTCTCTTGGCTCCATTTCAAGTCTGCTACTCCTGATTCAGTTAATCAGCTAGGCTGTGATCTAATTAAAACAAAAGACACTGAAGTAGGCATGACTATTCGACCAACTCATTGGATATTTTCCTCCTCAAAGAGAAGCTTCCCTAATCTTTAACTAATGCAAGTATAGATGAAATGTTTTGAAGCTGGACTTTCTTTCTAGATCCACTGTAGGATTCCTTTTCCTCTAAAATCCAAGGCATGAAGCTCGAGTTTCACACATGTTTTTATTCTATATTTCCCAGCTATTTCAGTGCTCAATGAATTTAGGCCACAAAGGCTGTCAACTCTGTGATGACATGGACTTTACACTCTTGCTCCGCAGAGCACCTTGCAAAGTAAGCTTAATCATCATTGCTAGAAAATATGAGCTGTTTCTGGAAGATTTTGAACTGTGAATGGGGAGAGGAAATTGGAAATGTATAGAGATGCCTTTTTATTGAAGTGGTGACCATTATCAAGAGATTTTGTGTTTACAACTTAAAAATGATTTACGCTTGTAAGCAGTGTTTCAGTCCCTGTTCCTTATAATGTCTAAGACTCAGTTTTCTTTTCTGTAAATTATGAGTAATAATAGCATTTATCTCCTAGTATTTTTGTTACTATTTAAGTAAGTTAATGGATACAACACTCACCATTGTACCAGATATTGTTGTGAGGATGACAAAAGTAAATGTTCTAAGTACACAAAATTACCCTTTATCTGTCAATGCACTAAACTATAAAAATAGATTTTAAATGTTAAGGCATCTTTTTATTTCGGGCTAAATCCTGATATTCAAAATAGATTTATAATTTGTCTTGGATTTGACATGTAATGATGAAGGATCCTAAAGGAAATACAAAAATGTATAGTTAAAAGGATAACATAGATCATTTACGAAAATAGTTGCAATTATTTGATTCCTTGTATCAAAGATGCCTTTTAATATGACTTTTCTCTTCTTCCCATCAAGAGGTAGAGTTCTTGAATACAGTTTAGGGGTATTGGACATTAGAATGTAGCAGACATGAGTAAGTGTGGGTTTCAAGCTTAGTCCTTAAAGAGGCTTTCCATGCTTATGTTCGCTCTCTCAGAAGCCTGCCTAGCCATTTTGAGACTCACTGTGGCTTGGCTGTTAAGGATAAGAGACACATTGTCCTACTGCTTCCACATCAACCCAGCTAATAGCTGGCCTACTCCCAGAAGCAGAATTATTCTGTGGAAGTGCAGCTAATAACGGATTCAAGGAGGAGTCCAGCTGAGAACAAAAGAACCGTTTAGCTGACTTAGGCTAAATTGTCAACCCAAAGAACTGTGAGCTGAATGATGATTTTTGTTTTAAGCTACTGAGTTAGGGGTGATTTGTTATGCAACAATAGCTAACTAATACAAAAGGCATGGGTTTTGAAATCTGCCATTGAAGATTTCACAGAAACCCCATGAAGTAGGGGTTTCTGCTCTGCATGAATGTAACTGATGGAATACTGTTGGACACTTTCATATGTATATTGAACCAGATTTTTCTGTTGTGAGATAATCACATATTATCTCTGACTCAGAAAGGACTGATAATTAAGTACAGGAGTCAGATAGATTTGGCTTGATTACATAGCTCAAACTGTGTTCCTATTTAAAAACTAAACCTCCAGATTACTATAAAGGATGGTGAGATCCTCACAATTATCACGCATATGCACACACATGCACACACACACAATTGCACATATGCAAAAACACTTTCATTTCTTATTCTTTCATAAAATCCTCGAGCCCTCCCTAGATACATCTATAGAGTTGCAAAGTGAGGGTTTTGAATTATAATATGTAGTAGCAAAATAAAAGCTGGAGGGTAAGGAAAATATGATTTAAGCCTTGCTGTCATTCTGTGAATCACAATTCTATCATATCACAAACTTTCTTATTGTCTTCAGCTTGTTGTATGTTACCATGTTTAATAAGATAATGCCTACAAAAACCAGTTTCTTCCCCAGAGAAATGTTCTCTTTTTAGATGTTTTATACAAGAAGTGTTACATGTTTTTCAACCCCCATTGTCCTCTCTCTCCCTTCCTCCTTTCTTCTCATCCTGCCCCCTTTCCTTAATTTTTCTTTTATTTTTCTTTTTAATGCAAATTGTCCATTGTGATTATAAAGGAACAGCTTTGCTGATTGCCTATGTTCTTCTGTTTTGAATAAGGTTGCTCTTTTGATGAAGCCTAATTTTTTTAAATTAGTCCTTAATCAGAAAGAAAGAACAAGAAAGTCATGAGCAATACCTTCCAGTCAGCAATTCTACATCTAATCAAAGAAACACTGAGTAGAAGGCAGGTCATGAAGAAAAAAAAAAGACCAAAAGATTTAGAGGGAAAGATAAAAATCAAGTCCACTTTCTGGCCCAATCTAGGAAATAATAAACATTCCAAAGGGTATAAGATTTATATGAAAGATAATCTTAGAAATATAAATGAGAAGAATATCATAACATAGAAAGCTTAATAACTATAAAAGACACTTTATTTTTACTAGTGAAGAAAACTATTTGCAAAGTTTCTCTGCTATTTTTCCTTTTAAAATTACTGTAAAAATAAAGTACTGCAAATATTTTGTAATTCAATGTGTACTGATAAAATTAAACAAGATTTAAAAACTTGCCTCCCTTCTCTCTCCAATCTATTTTTACTCCCTAAGAGTAAACAATCATTTCATGTGATCAATGCCATAACTGAATGTGGAATTTCTTTTCATTGTCCTTCTTGGTTGATCTGTTGGATCTCTGAGTTGGATCCTTCATATTATCTACTCTCTTTTCTTCATCTTCATTTTTCTTTGTTTTGTTTCACTGTAGCTTACTTATTTTTTTTTCCAAGAAAGCTAATTAAAATTAAACTTATGAGCCCCTATCTGAGTAAGTTTTTATTTTGCTCTTACACATTTTTTTTTTTTAGTTTGGCTGCATATAGAAATCTTAGCTAACAATATTTATCCCCTAAGGAGTTCAAAGACATTGCTGCATTTTTGTCTAGCTCAAGCAGTCTTACTATTGGTGTATCTAATATAAGATCACTTAATTTGAATTTCTGAAATTTCATGAGGATATATTTAGGCATGAATCACTTTCATTTTTGTTCACTGCTTTGTGTGTCTTCTGTAATCTAAGGCCTCCTGTCTTTCTTAGCCTTTGGGAAATTTTCTTATATTATTATTTGATTATTTTCTCTCTTCTGTTTTCTGGGATTTTTTTTTGGAGATCCTATATTGAATCTTAATTTCCATTAATTTTCCTCACATATTTTTCACTCCTTGTTCTCTATGTTCAATAATTTTCTTAGTGTTTTCTGCTACTGGTTATCTTTTGTTATTTAAGTTTGTTGTTTAAGTGATTATATTTTTAATTTTCTTTTTTTATATATTTTTATTATACTTTAAGTTCTACAGTACATGTGCACAACATGCAGGTTTGTTACATATGTATACATGTGCCATGTTGGTGTGCTGCACCCATTAACTCGTCATTTAACATTAGGTATATCCCCTAATGCTATCCCTCCCCGCTCCTCCTACCCCACAACAGGCCCGGTATGTGATGTTCCCCTTCCTGTGTCCAGGTGTTCTCATTGTTCAATTCCCACCTATGAGTGAGAACATGTGGTGTTTGGTTTTTTGTCCTTGCGATAGTTTGCTGAGAATGATGGTTTCCAGCTTCATCCATGTCCCTACAAAGGACATGAACTCATCCTTTTTATGGCTGCATAGTATTCCATGGTGTATATGTACCACATTTTCTTAATCCAGTCTATCATTGTTGGACATTTGGGTTTGTTCCAAGACTTTGCTATTGTGAATAGTGCCACAATAAACATACGTATACATGTGTCTTTATAGCAGCATGATTTATAATCCTTTGAGTGTATACCCAGTAATGGGATGGCTGGGTCAAATGGTATTTCTAGTTCTAGATCCCTGAGGAATCACCACACTGTCTTCCACAATGGTTGAACTAGTTTCCAGTCCCACCAACAGTGTAAAAGTGTTCTTATTTCTCCACATCCTCTCCAGCACCTGCTGTTTCCTGACTTTTTAATGATCGCCATTCTAACTGGTGTGAGATGGTATCTCAATGTGGTTTTGATTTGCATTTCTCTGATGGCCAGTGATGATGAGCATTTTTTCATGTGTCTGTTGGCTGCATAAATGTCTTCTTTCGAGAAGTGTCTGTTCATATCCTTCTCTCAATAAATTAGGTATTGATGGGACATATTTTTAATTTTCAATAGCTATTTCTTCTGTGATTCTTCCATTTTAATGGCAATCTGATCTTGTTTTATTGATATAATACTTTCCTTGATAATTTCGGTCTACTAATTAGAATGTAGTTTTTAAAAACCTTTGATTTCAAAAGTCGCTGCTGGTAGGTTGTACCAACAGTCTATCTTTGTTTTTCTCTCTGTTCTTTGTTTTCTTTAACTATTTCATGCAACAAGAGCATATGATGGGGACAGATTTAGTATCCCCACATGACCCTTTCACTGGAATGCAAGAACTGGTTACAAGTTCTATGCATACTAGTTCACTATTGGGGATTGGAGGAAGAAACAGGCAGGCTACCTGTTTCCAAAAGTAAGCAAAGTGTATCTTCTTCTAAGTTGTTGTAAAAGTCTATTGCTTTGACTCATGGGATGCCAGTAAACTTGAAGTGAGCAAGACTTGTTCAGGCCTTGAAATCAGGGTTTGTGCATGAGAAATGATCTCCCTGAGAAGCCAGATGTGAAAGATTTTGGAATAAACTACTGAATGATGGCAGACACTAAAGAGAGAGAGGAAAAGAGAGAGAGAGAGACCACATGGAGGAACACTAAAGCCTTACAGCTCAGACCAACTGCCAGCTGAATGCAGCTGAGTGAGCCATCTCAGCTGGTGTCATGTGTAGGAGAACCACACGGCTGAGCCCTGCTCTAATTCCTGACGTACAGACTCAAGAGAAATAATAACAAATAAATCACTGTTTTCAGTCATTGCAATATGAGGGAATTTGTTCCAGGGACAATTTTCTATCATCATTCTGGCAGCTTTAATTTCCCACAGGAAGATTATCTTATTTGTTTGTAGAGAGCTCCCTCGATTTCATTCTGGGGGTGAAATGAGCTGTATCAGTCACTCTTCATACACAAGAGTAGGAAAAGAAAGGGATATGGTGACACATATTTGTTCTATAAATGGTTCTAAAATTAACCTAAAGTTCTATTTCTGTCCCTCACGTTTCCACTCTCTCAATCTCAGTTCTTCAAATTTGAACTTCTTTGTTCAGAGAGAAACATTTCTCATCTTTAGCCGTTTCCCAAGGACACTATTTCCTGTTTCTCTCTGCTTTAGTTTGTCCATTAATCCATTTCTATCCATTTGTTATCTTTAGAAATATGTCTAAATTCTCAGTGCTGACAAGGACATAAACCTTTTCTCTCTTCTCAGTGTGGTTTTCATTCTATCAGCTTAAATAGAAGACATTCTTTGACTACAAATATATGATCATTGTTATTTACCATATCTTTAACATTGAAATTACATGAGATGATAGATATATCAAGAAAGTCCCTGATCCTAGCACATTTTATTGTTCTAACAGACAGTTACATCTAGAATAACAAATATATAGCTGTGGTATCTTCTCATGCCATGCACTATGATTTGTTCCTTTGTTTATTGCATGAATGCATGAGCATGCTAAGAATTTTAAAAAGTCTACCAGAGATATCTTTTTTCATTACCCACCATAAAATTTTAAATATGCTTTAAGTTGATTCAGGATCCAATGCTTTTCTTCTTCTTCTTCTTCTTATTTTACACAGTAATAGAAGTTTTTCTTTCTTTTTGCTTCTGGGAGATTACCTCCAGGTCTTTTCTCCAGTTGCCTGAAATAATTGGATTAGGAGCCCTCTGGATGACAAGGCTAGGTGATAAATTTTATTTAGGTTTTAGATTAGAGAAGTTGTTAGATTTTGGGTTAGGAAAAGTGATAATACTAGTAACGTCTATTCAATCTTTGTGGGGCCTCACCTTTAACTTTCCTCACCAACCTCATTTTCAGCTCTCCTTCTCATATATTCCATTTACCAAACTGGACTATGCTTCATCTTTAAAAGATATATAATGCCTTCACGCCCTCATGTCTTTACTCAGGAGATCTTTCCCATCTGAAAAGCACTTTCTATCCTATCCTTCCCTGTAAAAACCCTCCTTGACCACCTAAAATGCTGCTGTATTCAGTAAGCCTATACCACTGTCAATTGAATTTTATTTATTTCTCTTCTGAATAATCAGTTATAACAGAGTGTTGATCACCTTTTATAGTTTATTGCTTAGAGATATTTTTGGTTTGTATTTTTTCACTAAAATATGTGTGATAATTTCCATTTCTAATGTCTTTTCTGGTCTGTTTCCATCACCTTTTATCATAGTAGCTTCTTCCTTTCTTTGCTTTGATGCCTTCATGGTGTGATGCTTATTATATTTTGTAGAATTATATTTATAAATAATATCAGGTGATGGATGAATAGGTACTCCTCTGCAGATGATTTATACTTGATTTTCTCACATACCTAGAGCCATTATTTGTCTTAAGTCACCTTAAACAAAATTCAAATAATGAGATTCCTTAGACTACTCAGTCCACATGAAACTAGGCAACAAAAATACCCAAGACAATCTGATCCAACCTTATCTAGAAGATGTAGAGCTTTAGGAAACTAGACAATGTGGGGTTATGTTTCCTACATTGTGTAAGTCTTGCTCTTTAACTTCTTTTCTGTTACCCATGAGAGAATGCAAAAAGGAACATCCAAATTTTCAGGATGAGTTAATATCTTGAAGGAAAAACTAACTTGTTCATCCCTGAGTTTCCATTTTCCCTTCAGGTTTTGTAGAAATAATACTGTATTAGCTTGCCAGGTTTTGGATGCTGTCAATTTTCTTTTAAGAATACTATGCCATCTAGAATTTTTTGGTTTTCTTCAGTTGGTTTGAAAAAATTATGGAAAATCAGAAGTTCTCAAAATACAATATCTATATGTCTTTGATTCTCTATTATATTCTCCATCTTACGAGTCAATTACTCCACTAGATTACATGCTGTTTGCAACCAAGGAAATATTTTCTTTGCTTTTGTATCCTTCCTGACTCTTGTATTCCAATAGATCTTTAAAAAGTCAGGTTTTAAATTTCTGTTTGTCACTTTTTGTGGCCTTTTTAGATAAGTTGCCCATTTTATATAAAAATTTTATGTATTATTAACATAAAGTTGTCCAGAATAACCTATTACTATTTTTGTGAACATAGAATCTGTAGTGAAGACCCCACTTCCCTTATTTATATTGGTAATAAAATATTTTTTATTGCTCTTTGATTATTCTTGCCAAAATGTGTCAATTTGGAACACTTCTCAAAAAGTGTTCTTTTTGATTTTATTGATACTCTCTATTGTGTGTTTTAAAGGTTTCATTATATCCTAAGCTTATAATATTTATTATTATTTCTCTATATTCCTTTAATCTAACTATTTTATTTCTCTACTTTCTCTTAATTAAATTTATTCTTTTTGCAATTTCCAATTTCTCAGAATAAATGACTTATACCTATAACCTCTCAGCTTATTGATTTATATTTGAGCATTCTTCTTTTCTAATGTATACATCAAAGACTATAAAGTAATGACATCTAATTTCCATTATATCATCTTTGTCCTATGTGTTACTTAGGAGTGTATTTTAAACTTTCCATATAGGAAAACAAAACATATTTCCATTAGCACTGGAATGGATAGATTATGGAATATGCACAGAATGAAATGCTACTGACAATTACAATGAAGGAACATTTTTTTCCATACAGTGGCATGCATTTATATATATTGTTAATCAGAAGAAAAAATAATAAACACTCTTATCTGTGTATGTATATTATACATAGATACACATGGTTAAAACACAGACAAAACTAAACTACTGTAGGTTGTTAGATGTCAGGATAGTGATTATCAGTGTGGGAGGTGGGAGCATTGATTGGCAGAGTTGAAGAGGAGGTTTCTGGAGTGCTGGTGATATGCTAGTAATATCTATTATTTTACCTTCGTGGTGGTTTATGTGGGTTTGTTCATTTACATCTCATTATCATCTTGTACACCTAAAATTTAACGACTAAATATTTGTACGTTATACTTCCATATAAGGCTTGAAAGGGTGTGGAAGTTGTTCAATACATGTTTTTGGGTAATTAATATCAACAAGTTACAACACTGGACATCAATGGGTATAAGTGGTAAATAAGATATGGATTTTACCTTTACAGCATTATAATTTAAGATATAGAAAAATAAATGACACAACTTTTTATGACATATTGGAATAGGTATTAAAATTATATAAGAATAATTATACTGCACAACTATTTATTTGACATCTATTGAAACATGGGACTAATAAACACATGGGAGATGCAGAGAAAATATGTCTATTAAGACTTTAAGGTTTGGTGATGCAAATAACAGTAGAATTGGGTGTCCAGGGCTGAGAAGATTAAAAAATAGACATAATCATAACAAGGGCCCTTTACTGAACATGTGCAATTACAAGGCATTAACTCATTTAACTGTTACAACAATTGTATACAAGTACTACTATCTTGATTTTACACATAAGAAAGCCAGAGCTCTCATAAATGAAATAAGTTGCACACAAGCAGCATTTAAGAGCAGGGGAATCAAACCTAAGTTTGTTTGACTGTAGAGTCTAGGTTTATAGATCCTAGTCTGTACTGTCTCTTATGAGGAGAAGGGCATGACAATAATGAGAAGTAAAGGAGAAAGAATAAGTACAGAGTTGCACAGCACAGTAAGTATAGGGCATAGTTGGGGAAAACGATATTTCAGCTTATTATTTTGTACTTACAAAGAAAAAGCTCCTCTTCCTCTGCCCATTCTACTCCATGCAGTGACGGTTAAGGAAAAGCCGCTCTGGAGGCTTGTGGTGGAGGAAATAGCAAGAGCCATCTCTACGTCTTTGAATCTCAATGTTTGAATTCTTAAGTTTAGAGGGCGGAAGTCCACCAATGAAGTGAATACTTCAGGCTTTTTTTTTATTTCTAGGACACATCTGCACCTGGAAGGTACGAGAACAAAGGACAAAGAGATAGGGCAAGCTTTGTGAGCACTGTCAACCATTTATTGTTTTCATAGTTGATGCATGTGTTAATCGGAAATTATCCACTTATTTCTCAGAAGAAAAAAAAATAGTAAGACTGATTGTCCAGGTTTGACTTTTGACAAAGTTCATGGACTTCATCCCCTCTTTGTGTGGCTGCTAATTGGCAAACCGTGCTGAAGTTTTCTTTGGCCAGTAGATGCTCTTAAATTTAGAAAATAACAAAACAGGCCCCGGTGTGTGATGTTTCCCTCCCTGTGTCCATGTATTCTCATTGTTCAACTCCCACTTATGAGTGAGAACATGAGAGTTTGGTTTTCTGTTCCCGTGTTAGTTTGCTGAGGATGATGGTTTCTAACTTCATCCATGTCCCTGCAAAGGACATGAACTCATTCTTTTTTATGGCTGCATAGTATTCCATGGTGTATATGTGCCATATTTTCTTTATCCAGTCTATTATTGATGGGCATTTGGGTTGGTTCCAAGTCTTTGCTATTGTGAATAGTGTTGCAATAAACATATGTATGTGTGTATCATTATAGTAGAATGATTTATAATCTTTTGGGTATATACCCTGTAATGAGATTGCTGGGTCAAATGGTATTTCTGGTTCTATATTCTTGAGGAATCGCCACACTGTCTTCCACAATGGTGGAACTAATTTACACTCCCACCAACAGTGTAAAAGTGTTCTATTTCTCTGCATCCTCACCAGCATCTGTTGTTTCCAGACTTTTTAATGATCACCATTCCAATTGGCGTGAGATGGTATCTCATTGTGGTTTTGATTTGCATTTCTTTAATGAGCAGTGATGATGAGCTTTTTTTCATATGTTTGTTGGCCGCATAAATGTCTTCTTTTGGGAAGTGTCTGTTCATATCCTTCATCCACTTTTTGATGGAGTTCTTTTTCTTCTTGTAAATTTGTTTAAGTTCCTTGAAGGTTCTGGATATTAGACCTTTGTCAGATGGATACATTGCAAAAATTTTCTCGCATTCTGTAGGTTGCCTGTTCACTCTAATGATAGTTTCTTTTGCTGAGCAGAAGCTTTTTGGTTTAATTAGATCCAATTTGTCAATTTTGGCTTTTGTTGCAATTGCTTTTGGTGTTTTAGTCATGAAGTCTTTGCCCATGCCTATGTCCTGAATGGTATTGCACAGGTTTTCTTCTAGGGTTTTTATGATTTTATGTTTCATTAAGTCTTTAATATATCTTGAGTGGGGGGAAAGGGGAGGGAGAGCATTAGGACAAATACCTAATGCATGCGAGCTTAAATCCTAGATGACGGTTTGATAGGTGCAGCAAACCACCATGGCACATGTATACCCATGTAACAAATGAGGAAGTTCAGCACATGTATTCCAGAAGTTATAGTTAAATTTAAAAAGAAAAAAAAAAGAAAATAACAAGACAAAGAACATTAAAATAAAACATTTATAAGGAATAAGCATGAGGTTGTCTGTTTTCCATAAGGCCCATCACTCCTGATTGTTTTTCACTCAATTTGTGTCACTCGCTCACAACATCTCCTGGCTAAAATGGGCATTTTAGTTTCCCATTTCTAACTGTAAGGTGGCATTAAAGTACCTCAACTTCAGAATCAGAGTGCCTGAAATTAAATCCTGGCTATCTGTGGCCTTAGGTAAGTTATATGTGTTAATTAATCAGTTTTCCCTCTGTAGAATGGAATAACATGTTTCCTTTGAGTTACTGTATATAAAATTCTTAGCACAGTATCTAGCAGAAACTCCTAATAAAGGTTACTATATATCTCTTGGCTTACTGCCATAATTATGGATAGGGAGTCAGGGCCTGGTATATCAAAACCTACCCTTCCATGATGTCACAATGCCTGGAAGCTTTCCACCCTGCTTGCTTCTGCCTACTTATACTTGGCTGAAATAGTCCATCAAAGCTAACTACATCTCACATTTGAGGTCTGGCCCATGACAATTTTCAGTGTGACAATTTTGCTACTCTAATAAACTCACCCTTGCTAACTGGGGAAAGGTAGAAGTTATGTTGAGTCCACCCATTCCCATTTCACCTAGTAATCTCATAATACTGCTAAAAACAAAAAAAACAAAACAAAACAAAACAAAAAAACAGCTTACTCAAAACAATGGCTCATGTTTCAAAGTCCCAAATTTAGCAACATTAATCCTTCAGTTAAAATATTACTACACAATTCCCAGATTACCAGAATATTGCCTAGTTTTCATTTTGGCTATTTAGATAATGTAAACCAATTCTGATTTTTTTAATCAGAGTTTCAGAGAGCCATACAATTCAAAGGTATTTTCTCTATTAAAATGCAGTAATGAGCTCTCAGGTCTTTGAAATTATAGGGTTTCAAGTGAAAAAATCTTCTTGGTAAAAAACGGGAATGGAGATCTTGAGGTCTTTCAGCTCTTTTATAAATATCTTAAAGTTTAATCTCTTATTACAAACATATTAATAAGCCTTGTCATCAGGTAACTAGGTGTATCATATTTAATATTGCCTTTGTAATGATGATTTTCAAAGGAATTTTGGATTTGTCATACTGTGCATAAAATTAAATCTTATGCACAGAAAATCTTTCATTTACTCAAAAAGGGGGTAAAACATAGTGAATTAACTTGCTGTTCCATGTTTGCCAAGTTATGCTAGATTGCTTGATAAATAAGATAAATGTAATTAAACTTTATCTAGGAATGCCAGAATAACTCATAATTTTGCCAAATCATTACAATGCTAAGTACTCAGAATATGATGAACAGTGATTCTGAACATGACTTAAAGTGATTTCTTGAATCAGAGTTGGTAATAACATTTATTTCACTTTTCTTCATACAAAAAAATATTACAAGCAGAGTATTCCAGAATTATAGGTTGAAGTTTCAATCCTGAGTCACTATTCAAGGCGTATCTTGGGATCTATTGTTCAGCTGTGTGGTAGGCCTCCCTCCATTCATCAACTACATCTCACCTGTACTCGTCTTTGTTACACAGGGGCTGAAGAAAAGTATCTACTTGCACAGTGGTTTTATTTCACGTTTATTACCTTAAAATTCAAGTAACTTTTATAAACATATGGTAGCATAGTGATATGATTGTCTATGTAGAAAATTTTAAAAAATCAAAAAATAACCCAAATAAACTCCTGGAACTAATAGGCAATTGTAGCAAGGTTGCAGGATACAAGGTTAATATACAAAAATCCCTTGATTTTCTATATATCAGCAAGGAACAAGTGAAATTTGAAATTAAATTTAATACCATTTATATTAGGACCTTTTGGTGCTAATAAAATACTTTGGTACACATCAAGTAAAATGTATATATTTCCTCACATATGTATAAGACATATATGAGAAAACTGCGAAACTCTGATGAAGGAAATCAGATAACTAAACAAATAAAGATATATTCAATTTTCATTGGATAGGAAGATTCATTATCATAAAGGTGTCAGCTCTTTCCCACTTGGTCTATAGTTCCAATGCTATACCAATAAAAATCTCAGTAAGATATTTTGTGGTTTATTTGGAGATGTAAAAGACTCAGAATAGCCAACAATATTGAAGAAGAATAACTAAGTCAAAGGACAGGAATTATCCTACTTCAAGACTTCCCATGGATCTACAGTAATCAAGATAGTATGGCAAAAGAATAGATACATTCCAGAACAGAATAAAAAGCCTAGGAACAGATTGACCTAAATATAGTTAACTGATCTTTGATAAATGAGCAGAGGAAATAGAATGGAGAAAAAAATAGCCTTTTCAACAAATGGTGCTGGAACAACTGAACATTCATATGCAAAAGAATGAATCTAGTTAGACCTTCACTAAAATTAACTAAAAATGAATCACAGACATAAATGTAAAACA
This sequence comes from Homo sapiens, assembly GCF_000001405.40. Classification (NCBI taxonomy): domain Eukaryota; kingdom Metazoa; phylum Chordata; class Mammalia; order Primates; family Hominidae; genus Homo; species Homo sapiens. The sequence continues at coordinate 35,584,951 of NC_000003.12, read as the reverse complement.
CAAAACCATAAAAGTCATAGAAGATGACATAGGAGAAAACCTAGATGACCTCAGGAGAGGCAATAACTTTTTAGATACAGCACCAAAGGCATAATCTATGAAAGAAATAATCATTAAGCTGGATTTCATTAATAAATGAAAACAAACAAACAAAAAACACTCTGCTCTGCAAAAGGCAACAGGAAAATGAAAATCCAAAAAAAAAAAAAAAATGAAGAGGTGATATCACCAAGATGGCATCACCATCAGCAGATGGCGAAATAGGAGGTCTCAGGCTTTATTCCTTCTACACAAAGAAAATTTAAAAAGCAACTATCTGTAACCTAGAAGAACTTTCTGAAAACGCCAATACTTGAGAACAAGCCTGAGACACTTGTGTGGTCTTCCCAACTTAATGAAAACAGAATTAGAAGGGTAAGAAGATGGTCTCAGGATGACATAACACCCCTCACTCCTGCAAGTAGACACAGTGCCAGAAAAAGGGGATGTCTCTGGGCCTACAGTTTCTAAAGGATGAGAAAAGCACTGGAGGCATTTGTATAGCTTCCCTAGCATTCTGAGATGCTTCCCAGGAAGCCTATTCCTTCACAGGGAACACTAGCAGTAAAGGCCCACCTAGCCTGCCCAGGTCTGGTAGAAATAGAGAAGGCAAAGGGCATATTTGCCGGTTTGTAGATCTTGGTGGTAACTCTGTGTTCTTGCAAACTATGGCACAAGATCAGAGGTAACAGCTAACTTCATAATTCACCTGCAAAGATGAGCTGATTGCTTTCATAAGCAAGGTGAGAAATTAAAACTAACTGTAATTTCTTTTTTTATTTAATTTGTAATTTTTGTGAGTACATTGTTGGCATATGTATTTACTGGGTACATGAGATGTTTTGATATGCATGCAATGTGTAATAATCACATCATGGAGAATAGGATATACATCCCCTCGAACATTTATCTTCTGTATTACAAACAATCTAATTATACTCTTTTAGTTATTTTAAAATGTACAATTAAATTATTATTGACTATAGTCACCCTCTTGTGCTATCAAATAGTAGATCTTATTCATTCTTTCTAGATATTTTTTTCTACCCATTAACCATCCCCACCTCCCCCAACTCCCCTAGCACCCTTCCCAGCCACTGGTAAATATCCTTCTACTCTCTATTTCCGTGAGTTCAACTGTTTTGATTTTTAGCTTCCACAAATAAGTGAGAACATGCAATGTTTGTCTTTCTGTGACTGACTTATTTCATTTAACGTAATGATCTCCAGTTCCACCCATGTTGTTGCAAATGACAGGATCTCATTCTTTTTTATGGCTGAATGGTACTCCGTTGTTTATATGTACCACATTTTCTTTATCCATTCATCTGTTGATAGACACTTCAGTTGTTTCCAAATCCTGGCTATTGTGAACAGTGCTGCAACAAACATGGGAGTGCAGATATATCTTCAATATACTAATATGTTTTATTTTGGGAATATACCCAGCAGTGGGATTGCTGGACCATACAGTAGCTCCGTTTTAGTTTTCTGAGTAACCTCCAAAGTGTTCTCCATAGTGGTCATACTAATTTACATTCCCACCAACAATGTATGAGGGTTCCCTTCTTTCCACATCCTAGCCAGGATTTGTTATTGTCTGTCTTTTGGATATAAGCCATTTTAACTAGGATGAGATGATATCTCAATGCAGTTATCATTTGCATTTCTCTGAGAATCAGTGATGTTGAGAACCTTTTCATATACCTGTTTGTTAGTTGTATTTCTTCTTTTGAGAAACACCTATTCAAATCTTTTGCCCATTTTTTGATCAGATTATTATATTTTTTCCTATAGAGTTGTTTGAGCCCCTTATATATTCCAGTTATTAATCCCTTGTCAGATGGGCAGTTTGCAAATGTTTCTTTTCATTCTGTGGGTTTTCTCCTCACTTTCTTGATTGTTTCCTTTGCTGTGAAGAAGGTTTTTAACTTGACGTGATGCCATTTGTCCATTTTTGCTTTGGTTGCCTGTGTTTATGGAGCATTGCTCAAGAAATTTTTGCCCAGAGCAATGTCCTGCAGAGTTTTTCCAGTGTTTTCTTGTAGTAACTTCACAGTACGACATCTTAGATTTAAGTCATTGGCAAGAGATTGTATGTTTGCTTTGGCTATTCTGGGTCTTCTGTGGTTCCATATACATTTTAGGATTGTTTCTTCTATCTCTGTCAAGAATAGCATTGGTATGTTCATAGGGTTTCCATTGAATCTGCAGACTGCTTTGGGTAGCATGGACATTTTAACAATATTGATCCTTCCAGTCTCTAAACATGGAATATTTTTCCATTTTTTTGGAGTCTTCTTCAATTTCTTTTATCAGTTTTTTACAGCTTTCATTATAGAGATTTCACTTCTTTGGTTAAGTTAATTTCTAGGTATTTAATTTTATTTGTGGCTATTGTAAATGAAATTACATTTTTATTTCTTTTTCAGATTGTTCACTGTCAGCATATAGAAATGCTACTGATTTTAATATATTGATTTGGTATCCTGCAACTTTACTAAATTTGCTTATCAGTTCTAATAGCTATTGGTAGACTCTCTAGATTTTTCCAAATATAAAATCATGTCATCTGCAAAAAGGGATAATTCGACTTCTTCATTTCCAATTTGGATACCCTTTATTTCTTTCTTTTGTCTGATTGCTTTAGCCAGTATGATATATTCCAGTATTTCCAGTACTATGTTGAATTATAGTGGTGAAAGTGGACATCTTTGTCATGTGAGAGGTCTTAGAAGACAGGCTTTCAGTTTTTCCCCATTCAGTATGATACTAGCTGTGGGTCTGTCGTGTATGGCTTTTATTGTGTGGAGGGATGTTGCTTCTATGCACAGTTTTCTTTAGGGTTTTTATCATGAGGGGATGTTAATTTTATCAAATGTCTTTTAAGCATCAATTGAAATGATTACATGGTTTTTGTCCTTCATTCTGTGGTTATGATGTATCATATTGATTGATTTGCGTATGTTGAAAGATTCTTGCATCCCAGAAATAAATCCCGCTTGGTTATGAGGAATTACCTTTCTAATATAATGTTGAACTCAGTTTGCTAGTAATATGTTAAGGATTTTTGCATCAATATTCATTGGAGATATTGGCCTGTAGTTTTCTTTTTCTGATGTACCTTTGTCTGGTTTTGGTATTAGGGTCATACTGGACATATAGAATGAGTTTGGAAGTAGTCCCTCCTCTATTTTTCGGAGTAGTTTCAGTAAGATTGGTATTAGATTCTCTTTAAATGTTAGGTAGAATTCAGCAGTGAAGCCACTGGGTACTGGGCTTTTCTTCACTGTGAGACTTTATTATGGCTTTGATCTTATTTGTTATTGATCTGTTCAAGTTTTTAATTTCTTCATGGTTTAAGTTTGGTAGGTTGTATGTGTCTAGGAATATGTCCATTTCTTCTAGATTTTCCGATTTATTGGCATATAATTGCTCATAGTAGCCACTAATGATCCTGTGCATTTATGCATTATCAGTTGCAATGTCTCCTTTTTCATTTCTGATTTTATTTATTTGGGTCTTCTCTCTTTTTTTCTTAGTATGGCTACAGGTCTGTCAATTTTACTTAAATTTTCAAAAAACCAAGGTTTGTTTCAGTAAGCTTTTGTATTTTCTTCATTTCAAGTTCATTTATTTCTCCTCTGATCTTTATTATTTCTCTTCTTCTCCTAATTGTGGGTTTGGTTTGGTTTTGTTTTTCTAGTTCTTTAAGATTCTTCATTAGATTGTTCATTTGAATTTTTTCCTCTTTTTTGATGTAGGCACTTACAGCCATAAATTTCCCTCGTGGTACTACTGCTTTTGCTGTATCCATAGGTTTTGGTATGTTGTGTTTCCATTATCATTTGTTTCAAGAAGTTTTTCAATTTTCTTCTTAACTTCTTCATTGACCCACTGGTCATTCAGGAACATATTTTAAAATTTCCATGTATCTGCAGGGTTTCCAAAATTACTATTGTTATTGATTTCTAGTTTTATTCCACTGTGGTCAGAGAAGATGCTTGATATTACTTCAACTTTCTTGAACATTTTAAGACTTGTTTTGTGACTTAACATATGGTCTATCTTTGAGAATGATTTAGGTACTGAGGAAAAGAATATGTATTCTGCAGCAATTGAATAAAAAATATATATCTATTAGGTTAATTTGATCTATAGTACAGATGAAGTCTCTGTTCCTCCAGGATTGGTCCCTGGTGACTTATTTAGTTAATTTGGTGAGTTCATGGTTTCCTGGATGTTCTTGATGTTTGTAGATGTCGATTAGTGACTGGGCATTGAAGAGTTAGGTATTTATTATAGTCTTCACAGTCTGGGCTTCTTTACACCCATCCTTCTTTGGAAAGTTTTCCAGATATTTGAAAAGATTTGGGTGTTGTATTCTAAGCTGTGTCTACTTTTAGGGGCACCTCAAGCCCAGTATCATCGTGGTTCTTGCAGACTTGTAGAGATATCGTCTTTATAATCTTGGACAAGATGTGGGAGTATTCTCTGGATTACCTTTACTTTCACTCAAACCAACAGAGTCTCTCTGTTCTGAGCCACCTAAAATTGGGCATGGGTTAACAAAACAACTCCTGTGGCCACTGCCACTGTGACTGTGTGGGTCATATCTGACACCAGCACAGCAATGGGCCTCACTTAAGGCCTACAGTAATCATTCCCTTGTTATTGCCTATGTTTGCTCAAGGATTGGGGGCTCTACAATCAGCAGATGGCAAAGCCAACCAGGTCTGTGTCCTTACCTTCATGGTGGTTAGTTTCTACAGGCCCTGGGTGAGTCTAGAGTTGCTGTCTGGGAGCCAGGGACCGGAGTCAAAATTCTTAGAAATCTACCTGTTGTTCTTTCGTACTGTGGCTGAGCTACACTCAAACCGTAAGATCCAGTTCTTCCCAGGGCAGAGGAGTCTTCCCTTTCCAAAGGCAGAGGAGCCTCACCCAGGGGCCATTACCACCGCAGGCCCACAGTGAGTACTACAAGACTACTGCTAATGTTCTCTTAAGGCCAAGGGGCTCTTCAATTAGCTGTGGTGAATGCTGCCTGACTGAGGCTCACTTCAGAGCAGTGGGCTTCCCTCTGGACCAGAAATGCTGTTCAAGAGCCAAGTTCTAGAACTAAGGATCCCAAGCACCCACTTTGTGCTCTATTCCCCTGTGGCTAAGCTGGTATCTAAGGTGCAAGACAAAGTCCCCTTTAATTTTCCCTCTGCTTTTCTTAAGCAGAAGGAGTTTCATGTAGTCACCTCAGCTTGGAGTGTACTGAGTCTCTCCTGAAGCCAGCAAGTCTCAGAGGCTCACCCAAGGCCCTCAACATAGCACCTGGCTATCACTGCTGGCTATTTGGGGCCTACGGGCTCTTCACTTAGCAGACCATGAATGCTGGCAGGACTGGGTTCTTCCTTCCAAGGCAGTGGGTTCCCTTCTAGACCAGGGTGTGTCTAGAAATGTCATCTGTGACCTAGGGCCTCACAACCCTGACCCATGCCCTATCATACTGTGGTTAAGCTGGTATCCAAGATGTGAGACAAAGTTCTCTGCACTCTCCCCTCTCCTTTCCTCAAGTGGAAGGAAAGGATCTTTTTTGCAGTTGCAAGCTGTGAAGCCTGGGTTTAGGGAAGGGGTAATGCAAGCACTCCCTTAGCCACCCTGGCTGGTGTCTCAGTAGGTTATGTGACCCCAGAGTCCACTGTCTCTGGGCCAAGTTCAGCACTACTACTCTCCTAGGAGTTGCAGTTCTTGTAGCCTAGACTGCCTGTCAAGTTCATTTAGGGGCCCAAAGCATTTTAGAGGCTCTTTTCCCTCCTCAAATATACCATTAACTATACAAGGACCCAGTGAGTATAAGGAATCAAGGAATCATGATACCTCTTAAAGAAAATAGTAAGGCTCTGAAAACGGACCCTAAAAATGGAGATCTTTAAAATGGCTATAAAGAATTGAGAATAATGGTCTTAAAGAAATTCAGTGAATGATAAGAATATACAAAAATAAAATTAAATGGAATTCGGAAAATAATACTTGAACAAAGTGAGAAGTTTTATAAATAGAAACAATAAAAAAGAATGAAAAACTTCTGGAGATGAAGGATACAGTGACTGAACTGAAAAAATCAGCAGAATAACAACAAATTTGTTCAAGCAGAAGAAAGAATAAGTGAGCTGGAAGACAGAATGTATGAAATTATCCAAAGTTGCCATAAGACAAAAAATGACAAATAATAATAAATAAATCTTATAGTTATTGTTGGAAACCATCAGAGACCAAACAGTCATATAATGGAGTTACAGAAGGAAAGAAAAAGAAAAAAAAAAGAATAAGAAGGTATTTTTTAAAAAATATAATGGTTGAAAACTTTCCTAATCTGGGATTAGATGCTAACACTCAGGCACTAGAGGTGTAGAAATCTCCAATTAAATGCAACCCAAAGATAGTTCACCAAAACACATAATAGTCAAACTGTAAAAGATCAAAGACAAAAAAAATCCAAGAGTAGCAGGCAATGTGACACACACCACAAACAAAAGAGTACAAATACAATTATTAGCTGATTTCTCAGCAGAATTCCGCAGGCCTGGAGAGAGTGGGATGATATATTTAAACTGCTAAGGGAAAAAGAAAACTCTGCCAATAAAGAATGCTTTACCAAGTAAAGCTGTGTTTTAGAAATGAGGGGAGGAACAAAAGACTTCCCAGACAACAAAAATAAAGGGAATTTATCATCACTCAAGAATTGCTAAAAGGCGTTCATTGAGCTGAAACAAAAGACTCCTAATTAATAATATGAAACTCATAAAAGCTCAAAACTCAATGGCATACATGAAACAGCTATATTCAAAATATTCCAGGACCATGGTGATGTTCTGCAAAGCAATTTTATTCTAGTATGAGTGTTAAAAAACAAAACTATTAATTAAAAGCATAGGTCATATAAATTGTCAAGGTATACACATTACAAAATAATGTAAATTCTGACATCAAAAATAAAAAATGTGGAGGAAGAATTAAAAGTGTAAAGTTGTTTACACAAAGTTAAGTAGCCATCGGCTTGAAATAGGCTGTTATATGTATAAGATGTTCTATGAAAGCCTCAAGATAATCACAAAACAAAAGTCTTTAGTAGAATCACAAAACAAAAATACAATGGATTCAAAGCATACCATCATAGAAAACCATAGAACCACAAAGGAAAACAATGACAGAGGAAGAGAGAGACAAAATATTTACAAAACAACAAGGAAACAGTTAACACAATGGAAGTAGTAAGTCCTTATCTATCAATAATTACCTGTAATTTAAATAGACTAAATTCTCCCATAAAAAGACAGAGTGGTTGAGTTGATTAGAAAAAAAAAAAAGACTTAATTATATGCTGCCTACAGGAGAGTCACCTCATTTTTTTTTTTTTTTTTTTTGAGATGGAGTTTCACCTCACCCAGCTGGAGTGCAGTGGCACAATCTCAGCTCACTGCAACCTCGGCCTCCCGGGTTCAAGCCATTCTCCTGCCTCAGCCTCCTGAGTAGCTGGGATTACATGCATGCACCAACAGGCCCAGCTAATTTTTGTATTTTTAGTACAGATGGGGTTTCACCATGTTGGTAAGGCTGGTCTCAAACTCCTGACCTCATGATCTGCCTGCCTCAGCCTCCCAAAGTGCTGGGATTACAGGCATGAGCCACTGTGCCTGGCCAGTCACCTCACTTTTAAAACTAAAAGTAAAGAAATGGAAACTGGTCAGGCACGGTGGCTCATGCCTGTAATCCCAGCACTTTGGGAGGCCAAGGTGGGCATATCATTTGAGGTCAGTAGTTCAAGACCAGCCTGGCCAACATGGTGAAACCTTGTCTCTACTTAAAACACACACAAATGCAAAATGAGCCAGGTGTGGTGGCACACTCTTGTAATCCCAGCTACTCAGGAGGCTGAGGCTCAAGAATCACTTGAACCCCAGAGACAGAGGTTGCAGTGAGCTGAGATCCTGCCACTGCACTCCAGCCTGGGTGACAGAGTGAGACCCTGTATCAAAAAAAAAAAATCCCTCAGGAGGAAATCACAATTGTAAATATATATGCACTCAATATTGGAGCACTTAAACATATAAAATAAATATTGAGAAATCTAAAGGGAAAGATATATCACAATAACAGTAGCAGAATTCAGTATACCACTTTCAACAATGAATAGATACTTCCAAACTGGGGCCAGCATTACTCTGATACCAAAGCCAGACAATAATATTACAAGAAAAGAAAAACACAGGCCAATCACCTTCATGAACACAGATGCAAAAAATCCTCAACAACATATTAGCAAACTAAATTCAGTAATACATTTAAAAGGATCATCCACCACAATTAAGTGGGATTTATTCCACTTAATGGAATTCAAGGATGATTCAATATATGCAAATAAGTAAATATAATACCTCATATTAGCAGAATTAAGGAAAAAAATTATATAATCATCTTATTAGATACAGAAAAGGCCTTTGACATTATCCAACCTACCTTCATGATAAAAACTCTCACCAAATTAGGTATAGAAGGAAAGTACATCAATACCATGAAGGCCATACATGAGAAGTCCCAAGCTAACGTTATACTCAATGGTGAAACATTAAAAGCTTTTAATCTAAGATCTGGAACAAGACAGGGATGGCCACTCTCACTAGTTCTGTTCAACATAATATTAGAAGCTCTTACCAGAGCAGTTATGAAAGAGATAGAAATAAATGGCATCCAAATATAAAAGAAGTGAAGTTGTCACTACTTGCTGATGACATGATCTTATATAAAGAGAATTCTAAGAATTCCACTGAAAATCTGTTAGAACTAATAAACAAATACAGTAATATTGCAGTATACAAAATTAACACATAAAAGTCAGTAGTATTTCTATACACTAACAAGAAACTATCCAAGAAAGACGTCAATAAAACAATCCCAATTATAGTAGCTGCAAAAGATTAAAATGTTAAGATATCAATTTAACCAAGAGTATGAAAGACTTGTACACTGAAAATTATAAAACACTGATAAAAGAAATTGAAGAAGAAACAAATAAGTAGAAAAATATTTCATGAACATATACTGAAAGAAACAGTATGTTTTCCAAAGCACTATTTTACATTCCTATCAGCAATCCATAAGGGTTGATATGGTATATTGCATTAATTAATTAATTTCAGATGTTAAACCCACCTTTCACTGGTGGAATTAATCACAATTGGTCATAGTGTATAACTGTTTTATATGTTGCTATATTTGGTTTGTTGGTATTTTTGAGGAGTTTTACATCTGTATTTATAAGAAATATTAGTCTGTAGTTCCTTTCTTTGTATGATGTCTTTATTTAGTTTTGGTATCAAGGTAATACTGGCTTCATAGCTCATAGCATGAGCTTGGAAGTGTTTTTTCTTGCTTTTAATTTTTGAGTTTGTGAAGGCTTGGTATTAATTCTTCAAAGTTTGTGTCTTTCTAGGAATTTGTGTATTTTGTCCAAGCTATCTAATTTTTTGGCATAGAGTTACATTTCTTTACTTATGATCTTTCTCTTTCTGTAAGGTCAATATTAATCTTCCTTCTTTACTTCCTAATTCTCCTCTTTTTCTCAGCAGTCTAGCTAAATGTTTTCTTATGTTAACATTTCCAAAGAAACAATTTTTTTCTATTGCTTTTTAAAATGTTTATTTTATTAATATCACTCTAATCTTTAGTGGTTCTTTTTTTCTTTTTGCTCTAGAAGTATCTTAATTTTCTTTTTTCCTATATATTAAGGTAGAAGGTTAGGTTATTTGTGATCTTTTAACTTCTTTAATACAGGCATTTAGAACTATACTCTAAGCAGTGCTTTAGCTACATCTCATACATTTTGTTTTGGTGTTTCTTTACTTTCATTCATCCCAATGTATTTTCTAATCTCTGTTGTGATATCTTTCTTACATAATCTGTGACTTAGAAAGTAGTATTTTATTTCCACTGGTGAATTTTCCCAATTTTTCCTGTTGTTGATTTTTATTTCATTCCATCATAGTCAGAGAAGATATTTTTCATATTTTAAATATTTTAAAATTTATTGAGGCTCGTTTTGTGGCCTAGCACATGCTGTATTCTAGAGACAGTTAAATGTGAACTCAAGACAACTGTGTATTCTACCATTGTTGGGTGGAGTGCTCTATAAAATGTCTGTCAGGTCCTGTTGGTTTATACTGTTTTTGAAGTCTAATATTATCCGTTAATTTTCTGTCTTGTTGCTCTATCCACTACTGAAAGTGGCTGTTTAAGTGTCCAATCATTTCGGTTGAATTGTCTATTTTTCTGTCAATTATGTCCATTTTGCTTCATGTATTTTGGGGCTCTCTGCGTACAAGCATACCTTTGTGATGTTGTGGATTTAGTTCCAGACCACTGCAATAAAGCAAATATTGCAATAAAGCCAGTCACATAAACTTTTCTGTTTCACAAGAATTAAAGTATAAAAGTCATGTTTACACTATACTGTAGTCTATTAAGTGTGCAATAGACTATTAAGTGTGCAATAGACTATTAAGTGTGTAGTATTAAGTATGCCTAAAAAACAATGTTCATATCATAATTTAAAATACTTTACTGCTAAACAATGCTAACAATCATCTGAGCCTCCAGCAAACCAAACTCTTTTTGTTAGCAGGATGTCTTGCCTCAGTCTCGATGGCTGCTAATTAAACAGAGTGATACTTACTGAAAGTTGGGGTGGCTGTGGTAATTTCTTAAAATAAGATGACACAATGAAGTTTGCCAAATTTTTTGACTTTTCTTTTCATGAAAGATTTATCTGAAGCATGTGATGCTATTTAAAAGCATTTTAACTTCTTTCAAAATTGGAGTCAATCTTATAAAACCCAGCCACTGCTTTATCAACTATGTTTATGTAATATTCTCAATTCTTTGTTGTCATTTCAACAATATTCATAGCAACTTCATTAGGAGTGGATTCCATTTCATGAAGCTCCCTTTTTCCTCCTTTATAAAAAGCAACTGCTTATTCAGTAAAATTTTATTATAAGGTTTCAGCAAATCAGTCACATCTTGGGGCTCTACTTCCAATTCTAATTCTCTTGCTACTTCCACCAAATGTTTAGTTACTGTCTTCACTGAAGTCTTGAACCCCTCAAAGTTATTCATGAAAGTTGGAATCAACTTCTTTCAAACTCCAGTTAATGTTGATATTTTGACCTCCCTTCATGAATTAGGAAAGTTCTTAAGTGTATCTAGAATGGTGAATTCTTTCAAAGGTTTTCAATTTACTTACCCAAATACATCAGAGGAATCAGTATCTATGGCAGCTACAGCCGTATTTCTTAAATAAGACTTGAAAGTTAAAATTTCTTGATCCATGGGCTGCAGAATAGATGTGTTAGCAGACCTGAAAACAGTGTTAACCTCCTCGCACATCTCCATCAGACCTCTTGGGTGAGCAGGTGCATTGTCAATAAGCAGTAACATTTTGAAAGGAATCTTTTTTTCTGAGCAATAGGTCTCAATAGTGGGCTTAAAATATCCAATAAACCATGCTGTAAATAGATGTACTGTCATCTAGGCTTTGTTGTTCCATTTATAAAGCACAACCAGAGTAGACTTAGCATAATTCTTAAGGGTCCTAGGATTTTCAGAATGGTAAATGAGCATTGGCTTCAACTTATAATCACCAACTGCATTAACCCCTAACAAGGGAGTCAGACTGTCCTTTGAAGCTTTAAAGCCAAGCATTCTTCTATTGAGCTATGAATGATCTAGATGGCATCTTCTTCCAATAGAAGGCTTTACATTGGAAAATCTGTTGTTCAGAATAGCCACACTCATAAATTATCTCAGCTAGGTCTTCTGGATAATATGCTGTAGCTTCTACATCAGCGCTTGGCTGTTTCACCTTGCACTTTTATGTTATGAAGACAACTTCTTTCCTTAAACCTCATAAACCAACATCTGTTAGTTTGAAACTTTTCTTCTGCTGCTTCCTCACCTCTCTCAGCCCTTATAGAATTTAACAGAGTGCCTCTATATTAGGCTTTTGGCTTAAGGGAATGTTGTGGCTGGTTGATCACCTATCCAGACCACTAAAACTTTCTCCATATCAGCAATTAAGCTGTTTGCTTTCATATTATTCATGTGTTCACTGGAGTAGCACTTTTAATTTTCTTCAGTAATTTTTCCTTTGCATTTACAACTTAGCAAACTCTCTGACACAAGAGGCCTAGCTTTTGGCCTACCTTGGTTTTTGACTATCTTTTTCACTAAGCTAAGCCATTTCTAACTTTTGATTTAAATTGATAGATGTCAAGTTTTCCTTTCACTTGAACACTTAGGAGCCTCATATGATTATCTATTGGCCTGATTTCAATATTATGTCTCAATGAATAGGGATGCCTGAGGAGAGGAAGAGAGACAGAGAATGGCTGGCTGGTGTCGCAGTCAGAATACGATTTATCAATTACTTTCAACATCTTATATGAGCACTGTTTGTGGAGCCCCTAGACAATTGCAATAGTAACAATGATCACTGATCATAAATCACCATAACAGACATAATAATAAAGAAAAGACTTGAAATATTGTGAGAATTACCAAAATATGATAGAGATAAAAAATGAGCACATACTGTTGGGAAAATGGTACTGATAGACCTGTTCTTTGCAGGGTTGCCACAGGTCTTCAATTTGTATTAAAAAAAAAAAAGAAAAGAAAAAAAGCAATATCTGCAAAATTTAATCAATTGAAATATGTCTGTATATATTTAAAATTGTTATAGCTGCCTAATGGATTGACTATTTTATCATTATAAAATGTTCCTTTTTATCTCTAGCAATAATTGTTTAAAATTTTAAAGTCTATCTTGTCTGACATTAGCATAGCCTCTCCTGCTTTTTTGTGGCTTCTATTTGCATTATATATCTTTTCCATTTTTTTACTGTCAATCTATTTGTATCTATTAATCTTAAGTGTATTTACTTTAGACATCATGTATTTGGATGTTTTTTAATCCAGTCTGACAATCCTTGACTTTTGGGTTATTCAGTCCAACAACATTTAATACTATTATTGATGTAATTTTATTTATGTCTGTCATTTAACTTTTTTGAAAAAAAAAATATCCTTTTTGTTCCTCTATGTCTCCTTCATTGCTTTTTTTGTACTAAGTGAATTAGTTCTAGTGTAACATTTTAATTCCTTTAATAATTTTGTTACTATAATTTTATATTATTTTGGGCTTATTCTGATAACTTCTTGATAAACTTTTCAGCTCTTGTTCTGTGATTCCTTAACTGCATCTCTGTGCTAACACTTGCTTTTCTTGCAATGATGCTGATATTGAGAGGTAGTGGAATTTGGGTGCCTATAAAGCAGCAGTGTGCATGTTTATACATCCATGTGTCCAGTTCCTCATAAGTAAACATATTAACACGGTAAAACCTGGTGAAAAGGTCTGTGCTCAGGAGCCTTTTCATTTGTTCTCATTTACCATGACTACTTGACATGACCCAGTCTGAACCTGCTGTGATCTCTACTCATGTACAGTTAATTCCCCAATAGCCAGTGCAACTTACCGGGTATAACAAGCAATCTGTGAAAAGCAAACTACTATAGATCTTTGATTTGCCTTGTTCTCCCTGCAAAGCATGAAGAAATTAATGGAAAGCTTTATCTTTATCATAAAACAATAATCTCTGTAGCTCCGAAAATGCAGGCAGTAACAAAACAGAAATATGCTGCAAAGATTAGTGCAACAGAAAAGAAATGAATAATGTAACAAGATCTTAAACGGGATTATCACACCAAGCTAGCTTGTCAGAGCACTGGGTAGCTTATTCGACAATCCATCTTCCTCAGCAGTCACAGAGAATGTGTTGGTTAGCCTCATTAGAACACCTCGGTGCAGCTCCTGTCCAGCATTCTTATATATTAAGTTCATGCCAACAGACAAAATGGTAATTGGCCAATGTTTGAAGCCACAAATAACATAGTATGCTGTACCCATATCCAAATTAGCCAAAAGATACTGGCTTGGAGGTCATAAAAATCAAAAACTCTTCCATTATAATCGTTTATTTCACCCAGAGATAGCATCTTAAGTACTCATAGAAATTCCACTGAATACTCAAATAGCAGCAAACTGTTTTGAAGTAATTAAGACATTATCTTTTTAGGCCCATGCCAAAGTAGTAAAAACAAATAAAACTATGCAGTTACACTAGCCCATTACATTAGCTGGGTCTAAAACTTAGGGTATGCAGTATCATAGCATACAAATGCTTTCTGAAATATTTATATACTCAGTGATATTTTCAGATTAAACACCACCTAGTTATCCCAAAGCCCTCTGCTAGACATGCTAAGTCCTTTGCAGGAAAAGGAGTGGAGAGTAATAAAATTTATATAGAAAAGCATGATCTAAATAGAATACATCTCAAAGTCAAGAGGCCCTAATTGTATTTATTTGACTCCATTTAAACCAGAATTTATAAGTCTGATTCACAAAGCAAAATATCATCCTCCTTGAACATGACTAGGTTATCCAGCTCTATCTTGCTGAGCTGTGTGATTGCTGGAGTAGACATAGGTGCCCAGGTGACAGAGCCTCAGGACAGTGGTTTATCCAAGATGTGCCACAATCCTTCTACGACCTATGCTTGGGGGCCAATAGTATAGATTTTTTGTTAGTTTGTTTAAAACAAATTAACTTAGTCAAAAAAAGAAAAATAAAGGGCATTTGTGTTTACCACATCTAGGCCTATCCTTACTTCCCAGAGTGAATTACAGGGCAGATTTGGCATAACCCATCTAAGACATTGCAGAGATATGAACATCTCTCACCAATCAAGTATCTGATTTATCTTCTCTAGGCAGTGACTGCCTGATGTGGGCTTTATAGAATCTAGAACACTCATCATCCTGAATTTGTTAATGGCATTCATGATAATATTACCAACAAATTAATTTAAGTTAAAAAAACTACTGCAGAAGTTATGTGTTTATAACTGTCAGCCTTTGCTAACAAATTTATTGTAATGAACACTGTTGAGATGAATTAATGTGAATTTTACCTCATAACATTTGGAAAATTAGAGATGTCTCAATTTGCTAAATTTCCTTGCAAAACTTGACCTCAACTGTTCAGGATTAGAATCTTTGATTAATATCCTTCTTACATAGACTAACAAGGAAGACTTGATCAAAGAAGCAGAACTACTAGGATCTATGTCTACATCTATGTCTATATCTTTGTCTGTACCATCCATAAAATCTCAGGAATAGGGGATTTGTTATAGGGATTTGACCTTACACAATTGGCTTCTGCCCTGGTACTGGGCAGGGCAGGCAATACCAATTAATAAATACTCAGAAATTTGTTAAACTGTGAGTAGCTAGATACCATAACTCCACTGGGAAGATGGATAGGATGCGAGCGAGAGGACGAACAAACTGGAAGCCTGCAAAGATGTGCTAAAATCCACGTGGACAATCTGGAGTTCACATCAGGCTTTCACTTCCTAAAAGTGTACAAATTCAATGATTCAGGTTACATACACCATGGTGTTAAACACATACCTGGAGCAGGAGTGAAGAAACTGAAGGAGAAAAGTTGTTGGTAACTGGAGGAAACATGGATCTGGCTGCTATCTCAGTTAGCCAAAAAGTCGAGCAAGCAAATCTATGACAAATGCAGCAACAGCAACAGTGCCTGACCCTACACTGACTTTCCTAGTGTAAACTGCCAGTCAGAAGCTATGTATATATGGTTAAGAGAGGGAGGATCAACTTTGGGATTCCCCAAATAATGAGACATTTTTCTATGTCCTTAGCTGTGGAGATATAAGCCTACCTGCCTCATTTCAGGCAGCCACAATTTGTAGTTCAGCCCCCTTTTGCATTCTTCAGACTCCCTCTTTAAGAAGCTGTGTTGGGCCTGCTTATATGGGATTTGAAGGGGAGCTAGGGATTGGACATTCTTCCATGCAAGTTTTAAAACAGTTATCCAGGTAGAGAGTTTCACCAACTACTAATTCATCAATACTCATTGGACCATTTTGTGTCTTACAACAGTTAGCTGCTATCTCTCGTCCACTGTCTGCTCTCAGTATGTCTTGTAATCGCTTTGGTAAAAAAAGATAAATATGTGTGTTTAATCTATAAATTTTACCTACTAGTGCCCTGACGGGGCTTTTTCACCACCACATATTGCAGGGGAAATGTCTAGGAAAAACATGGTTACTAACTTCAATCAAATGCTTTATGCTTTTGGGAATCAAGGTACAGGAGAATCAGATGATACTTTCTCATCTTTCTTCCTTTATCACATACGGCAAGATTGAAATTATTATTTCATTCTCATCAATATATAATATATACTATCTGGGACAATTAAATTTTACTGTGACATGTGGCCTTCACAAATAAGAGAGTTAGATAATTTTTCAAAAATCTTGAAGCTAGTGAGTGAGACAGACAAGAAAATTCAGTAAACTAGGACTAAGTTTACTATGGTTAGAATGATGTTTGAAAGAAGTAGAGGCCATGGAATCACAGTGAGGTGCCATCTAGCCCACACTGGGGCAATCCTCAGAGCCACATAAACAATGATGTATTAGTTATCTATTAATGCATAACAAATCACAAATCTTAGTACTTAAAAAAGAAAAGGTACTCTTTCACCATTTTGGCGGGTTAGGAATTTAGGAATGGTGTGGCTGGACACTGTTAGCTCTGGGTTTAATGTGGGATGCAGCTAGATGTTGACTAGGGCTACAATCATCTGAAGGCTGGACTATGGCTGGAGGTTTGGCTTTCAGGGTGGATCGCTCACATGGCTGCCAAGTTGGCAATGGCTCAGATCTTCTTCATGTGGTTCTCTTGAGTTTTCTTGCAACATGGTATCTGTTGCACAGATACCCACAGCAAGCAATACAAGAGAACAAAACAGAAGCTGCAGTGGCCTGTGAAGTCCACTTGGAAGTCATACATTGTCAGTCATGACCATTCTTGATCAAGTCTGAGAGAAGACTAATAAAGGTGTAAATACCAAGAGACGTGAATCTGGGGAAGGCATCTTGGAGGCTGGTTATTACAGAAGTGAACCCCATCTCTGGATGTAGAAAAGCCATACAGAACTAGTGAGAGAAATGGAGGGGGCTAGGCATTGCTGATAAATACTATTAAGTAAGGAAAGGGAAACAATGTGTATGAAGACTTAGTAGTAAGAAGATGGTAAAAAGTGGGAAAACATCAGAAAGTGTTTGCACTTTTCTATATGTTATTTCGATTTTTGCTATCTTTTAAGTTGATGAGCATTCTGAAGTTATAGGATTTTGAAGAATTATTAAATAATACAAGACTCACTTAAACCTTAGGAAATAAATCTATAGGAATGTCATGATGGTGTTTAACAGGTGTGAACTCATTTTATTAACTGTATAATATGATATCTCTAATCCTCTAGCAGAGTCAGATTTATTTTTTACTTGTTAGTTATCTCAGGTACTGTTCTGCAAAATGAAAGAACCATCTGACTTGGAATAGACAGTGGAATGAAAAGTTCTAAAGCCCACAGGATCAGATTTTAATACCCTAATGAGGTTTAGAATGATGAGAATATCCACACAGAGGGATTTTGTTTGTTTGTTTTTTGCCTTGGCAAATCAAATGTTTGTGCCACAGACTTTCTCAAATCTCTTTCTCTCTTGGTCTCTTTTCTCAGTCTGTCTCTCTGTTTCTCTCTATTTATCTCTCTATAATTGTTTGTCTGTATATTTTTAAATTTTGAGACAGAGTCTCACTCTCGCACAGGCTGGAGTGCTGTGGCACGATCTAGACTCACTGCAACCTCTGCCTCCTGGGTTCAAGTGATTCTCCTGCCTCAGCCTCCCGAGTAGCTAGGATTACAGGCATGCACCACCATGCCTGGCTAATTTTTGTATTTTTAGTAGAGATGGGGTTTCACCATGTTGGCCAGGCTGGTCTCAAACTCCTGACCTCAGGTGATCCACCCACCTTGGCCTCCCAAAGTGCTGGGAATACAGGTGTGACCACCATGCCTGGCCTCTCTCTCTCACAAGACATCTTGTAAAACTCACCTTACAAGATATTTTCCAAGCTGAAGGATGTGAGGTTAAATAGAAAGTGAGTTAAGAAATGCCCTGGTACATTCTAGTCAGTTCTGTGAACTAGGCAGAAGAATCTTTGCTACTTCCAGAGCTTTCAGTCCTCACATACAATAGTATTCTCACTCATTCCTATCAGATCTTAATTTTTGTAAATTGAGTGGAGTAGTAAGAAAAAGCAGTTAAGAGTTTTAACTCACCCCTGACACTGTCTAATGACTAATGTCATATAACCTCCCTATTATTGTTTGTTCATCTTTAAAATCCTTTTTAGTTGCTGTGCAATCTGTGTTTCTATAATTTGAGCACCTTCTCAGGCATTTGGGAATGGAGTAGTGATATTTTCCTGTATAAGAAAATATATCTATAAAGGCATACCATAATCATGAAATCATGTAACATAGATGGTCATTGTCTATTTGCAGATGATTCAATTATGTGACAGAAAGTTTTAAGAATAAATGACTAAATTATGCAGTTAGCATAGTTTATCTTGTGAAGTGGCAGTTTGTAGTGAACGAAAGGGCTTCTGTTTTCAACTCACATCTTGTGCCTCTGAGTTTTATAGAGTTATAGATAGAAAAAGACCTTCCCCTCCTATTTTGGAGGAGCATTGAGATTCAATATGAGACCATCCTTTCTTAAAAATATAATCCACATTTGTCTTTTGGTCATTTTTTTCCCTTTGTTTATTGGAATTTCCATTACTAGACTAAAGCTTTGAGTAAGCATGCTGTGTATATTAAAACAGTCATTGAAGTTTTTATGTATTCAGAAGAAAAAAGATATTGAAATAGCTGCTTTCTTTTTAATAACAGCCTGAATTGGTTCATCTACTTAGCTCTCCAGCACCATGGAATGGAGAGAACATGGTTCCTCAGAATTTATAGAACAGGGAATTTTGTCAGTAGCTGGAGGAAGTATTATATGATACAGCTTTTGAGATATTGTCTAAGGAGTAAAGCTGAAAGGTGGTTGCCTGATTAGGGGAATCCTGAGGCTCTCAAGACAAAAGGATGCTATTGGGTGAAAGAGTGGAGGACCACTAACGATCACATTTGATTCCTTTACTACTTTGCCTTGAGCAGACTAATAATTTGAATGAGTAAGGATGGCTGAAGCAAGTAAATGATAGCCCAACTACTTTTTCTGACCCTGCCTGAGATTACTTCATAGCTATGCTTTCAAGACACAAAATTTTCTAGCATATGTTACATTTGGAGATGCTGTTTATGATGAGACTAATGAAGTTAATAAAACAACAAGAAAATTTAAATAAACTAATAATGTTTTGAAAAAATCATGCCCAGAATATAAATTATTTTAAATTTAATTAAAGAGGTAGTCATTCATTCCATAAAGAGGATTTTCAAATTTATGGCAGTCTATTTATACCCTTTGAGTTAACCAAAGAATCTACCTAAGGCTTCAAAAAGAAGACTCTAGAGAGCCAGTCCCAATAGAATATTAACTGGACAAGTCAGGAATGCACAGCTGAATGTTAAAAATAAAGATCTCTTTGTTATTGCATGAACCAAAAGACATAGTCATCTGGAATGATTTATAGCAGAATCACAAATAAAATCTCTGTAAGAAGAGGTAGCTTTCTGGAAATCTAGCCAAAGTTGATTTTAATAGATTTTTTTCCCTCTACTTATGTCAGACATTAATACACATTGCTTAAAAACATAGAAAGTACAAGTATTATAGAGAAGAAAATAAAAATCACTCCCTACTACTGCCGATTGTATTATGTTGTCTTTTTCCTATGAAATAATACATTTAATTATGATAGATACTGGGGTTTAATCCATTTGCATTTTCTAATTTTTTTAATATCTTTTTCATAATCATATACTCCTCTTTGGATTATAGCAGTTAAAACTGTGGCTGACTATGATATCTGTGATTCTTCTGTAACCTTTTTCCATGAACATTAGTAGGAAATTCTTGTTTGAAATATTTAAAATACCTCAGATCCTGTCATTAGGACCTCTAACACATGGCACAATTAGTATAACCTAAAATATTTATGCTACTTGTGATTTATTTCTGAGAAAATAATTATATATACATAAATATAAATAAATTTATATAAATATATTTATATTAAATATATAATATATTTATATTATTTATATTAAATATATATTTATATTATTTATATTAAATATATATTTATATTATTTATATTAAATATATATTTATATTATTTATATTAAATATATATAATATATTTATATTATTTATATTAAATATATATAATATATTTATATTATTTATATTAAATATATATAATATATTTATATTATATATATTAAATATAAATAATATATTTATATTATATATATTAAATATATATAATATATTTATATTCTTTATATTAAATATATATAATATATTTATATTCTTTATATTAAATATATATAATATATTTATATTCTTTATATTAAATATATATAATATATTTATATTCTATATATTAAATATATATAATATATTTATATTCTTTATATTAAATATATATAATATATTTATATTCTTTATATTAAATATATATAATATATTTATATTCTTTATATTAAATATATATAATATATTTATATTCTTTATATTAAATATATATAATATATTTATATTCTATATATTAAATATATATAATATATTTATATTCTATATATTAAATATATATAATATATTTATATTATATATATTAAATATATATAATATATTTAATATATATATTAAATATATATAATATATTTATATTATTTATATTAAATATATATATTTATATTATTTATATTAAATATATATAATATATTTATATTATTTATATTTTCTGTTGCAATAGCTGAATACCTGAGGCTGTATAATTTATAAATAAAATGGCTTTATTTATTATCATTCTAGAGGCTGAGAAGTCCAAGGTTTGGTGGCTGCACCTGGTTGGCTTCTGTGAGGGCCTCATGCTTTGTCATAACTTGGTGAAAGGCATCACAAGGCAAGAGGGTTGAATGTCTCTGCTCAGGTCTCTTTTTCTTGTAAAGCCACCAATTCCATTCTTGTGGCAACCAATTAATCCATTAACCCATTAATTCATGAATTAGTTAATTCATTCATGTGGTCAGAGCTGTCATGACCCAATCACTTCTTAAAGGCCCCATCTTTCAATACTGTCACGTTGGGGATTAAGTTTCAAGATGAGTTTTAGAGAAGACACACATTTAAAACATTGAATCCCACCCCGGCCTCTCAAAACTCACATCCTTCTTATATAAAAATATATTTATTTCATCTCTCTAGGCCCAAAGCCTTAACTTATTCCAGCACCAACTTAAAAGTCCAAAATCCAGATCTCATCGGGGAGTCTGTAAAATCAAAACAAATTATCTGCTTCCAAGACAGAATTGGTGCAGCAGGCACAGGTTATACATTCCCATTCCGAAATTGAGAAAAAGGACAGAAGAGAGGAGTAACCAGCCCCAAGCAAGTTTAAAACCCACAAGGATGACATTAAATCGTAAAGCTGGAGAATAATCTCTTTTGACTCTATGTGCCTCCTCTGGGATACACTGGGGCAATGGATGGGCCCTCAAGGCCTCATTTTTTCCTCTCACAGCTCAATGTAAGCAGTTAAAAGGATGCAGCACTTGAATTCTTTGCTGCTTAGATATTTCTTCTGCCAAATGTTCTAATTTGCTGTTTTTGAGCTCTATATTACATAAAGCCCTTGAGCATGAACACAATCCAAACAAGTTTTTTGCCAGTTGATAACATGGATAGCCTTTACTCCAATTTCTAATGCCTTGTTTCTTAGCGTTCTATCTGAAACTTTGTCAGAATATCCTTTATTTTCCATATTTCTATTACCATTCTGGTCATGACAATTTATTAAACTCTAAGGAGTTCTAACCTTTCCCTAATCTTCTAAGATCTCACCAGAATAAACTCTTGCAACCTCTGCCCATTACCCAATTCCAAAGCTGCTTTCACTTTTACAAGTATCTTTATAGTGACACCACCACTCCTGTTATGAATTTTCTATTTTAGTCTGTTTTCTTTTGCTATAACTGAATACCTGAGGTGGAGTAATTTATTTTTTAAAAAGAATTTATTTCTTACAGTTCTGGAGTCTGAGATATACAAGACTGGGTGGCTACACCTGGTCACCTCTGGTGAGGGCCTTATGTTGTGTCATAACATGATGGATGGCATCACAGGGCAAGGCAGCTGAGTGGGGTTAGCTCAAGTCTCTCTCTTTTTAAAAAGTCACTAGTCTCATTCCCATGATAACCTATTAATCCATTAACCCATTAATACATGAAAGGATTACTCCATTCAAGAAAGCAGAGCCCTCATGACCTAAGCACCTCTTAAAGGTCCCACCACTCTGTACTGCCATATCGGGGATTAGGTTTCAACATGAGATTTAGAGGGATCAAACACCCAAACCATAACAGCTGGGAAGTTTGGTAGTAATGCGATGACTTGTATTTAAGCCTATTTAGTTCCCCAATGTTAGTGATTTTCTCAGCTTTCCTGTGAAGTCAAAAAACAAGCAACTCTAGAATCCTAGCAAAACATGAACTCAAATGCAACTTGGAAATATAAACACAGAATTTTAAGTATTGAATTGCCTCCTTTCTAGCCATGGTCCATTCTTAGAATCTAATCTATCAACTTCGAATTTCAGAGACTTTGGCCTAGATTGCTTTGTGTTGTATGGACATTTAAGTAAATATTAATTATTTTGATTAATAAACATGAAATATCATTTTATTTATTTCTGTCTTTTTCAGTGTTTTTCACCACTGTTTTATGATTTTTCAGTATATAGTTCTTTTACCTCCTCAGCTAAATTTATTCCTCAGGGTTTACCAATGCTATTTTAAGTTGGATTGTTTTCTTAATTTCTTTGTTGTGTAGTTTGTTGTTAGTGTAAAGAAGCACAACTGATGGCTAGTGTACCCTGCAATTTTACTGATCTTATTAGAGCTAATGATTTTTAGTGGAATCTTAAGGATTATACATATATAAAATATTATCTGCAAATAGACAGTTTTACTTTTCTTTGCAAGTCAGATATCTTTTATTTCTTTTCCTTTTTCTTTCTTTTTTTTTTTTTTTGCCTAATTGCTCTGTGTAGGACTATAAATACTGAATTGAATAGAAATGATCAGGGTGGGCATCCTGATTTCAGATAAAAAGCTTTCAGCTTTTTACTGTTGTATATGAAGTTACCTGTGGGCTTGTCATATATGGCCTTTTTATGTTGAGATACAATTCCTCTATTCTAATTTGTTGAGAGTTTTAATTATGAATGGATATTGAATTTTGTCAAATGCTTTTTGTTCATCTATTGAGGTGGTCATATTATTTTTAGCCTTCATTCTGTTAATGTGGTTTATCACATTCATTTATTTGTGTATGTTGAAACATCATCATTGCATCCCATAGATAAATCCCACATGATGTTGGTTTATGATCCTTTTAATTTGCTGTTAAATTTTATTGCTAGAATTTTATTGAGGGTTTCTGCATCTGCGTTCAACAGGCATATTGGCCTACATAATTTTCTTTTCTTGTGATGTCATTGTCTATAACTGGTATTAGGGTAATTCTAACTTCATAAAATTAGTTTGGAACTGTTTCCTCCTCATCAAAGTTTTGGTAGTGTGTGAGAAAGTTTTGTGTGGATTCTTCTTTAAATGTCTTGTATAATTCACCTGTAAAGTCATCAGGTTTTGAGATTTCTTTTGTTGGAAGGTTTTTGATTACTGATGGAATTTTCTTACTGGTGATTGGTCTGTTCACATTTTCTATTTCCTCTGATTCAGTTTTCATAGGTTGTGGGTTTGTAGGAATTCATACATGTGTTCTAGATTATACAATTTGTTAGCATATAAATGTTTGTAGTAGTCTCTTAAACACATTTATATTTCTGCGGTATCAGTTGTAATGTCTCTTCTTCCATTTATAATTTTATATTATTTGAGCATTATTTTCTTTTTCTCTTAGTCTACCTAAAGATTTTTCAGTATTGTTTTAAAAATGTTGTTTTCAAAACATTTTTTAAATGTTTGACATTTTCAAAATTGTTCATATTTTCAATTGCTTTTCTAGTCAGTGTTTCATTTATTTCTGCTGTGATTTTTATTTCATTCCTTCTGCTGATTTTGAATTTATTTTATTACTTTTACTGCTTCCTTGAGGTATTTAGTTAGGTTGTTTACTTGAGATCTTTATTTTTTTCTTAGTATATAAATTTATTGCTATAAACTGTCCTCTTAGAACTGTGTTTGCTACAACACATAAGTTTTTCTATGTTGTGATTCCCTTTTTATTTATTTCAAGATACTTTTTATCTTTTGACTTTTTTCAACTCATTGGTTGCTCAAAAATGTGTTGTTTAATTTTCACATATATGTAAAATTTGCATATTTAGTTATTATTTCTGGTTTCATACCATGGTTGTTGGAAAAAATACTTGAAATGATTTCAATCTTTTTACATTTGTTAGGGTTTGTTTTGTGGTCTCACACATTATTTATCCTGTAGAATGTTTCATGTGCACCTAAGAAGAATATGTGTTCTTCTGTTGTGTATTTATAATGTATATATCTGTTAGGTCCATTTATTCTACAGTGTTGTTCAAGCCCACTCTTGTTTTTTAAAATAAGTTTTCTGTCTGGATATTTATTGTTGAAAGTGAAGTATGGAAGTCCTGTACATTATTGTATTGCCATCAATTTCTCCCTCCAGTTCTATTAATATTTGTTTTATATATTTAGGTGCTTTGATGTTGGGCATGTACATATTTATGATTCTTAAACCCTGTTGATGAATTGACCCCTTTATAATTACATAATAAATTTGTTTCTTATTAAAATTTTTGAAGATTAAAAGACTACTCTGTCTTATGTAAGTATAGCCATCTCCAATCTGCTTGGTTTTTATTTGCATGGTTTATCTTTTTCTATCCCATCACTTTTAGCTTATCTGTGTTCTTAAAGGTAAAGTGAGGATTTCGTAGGCAGCATATAGTTCTTATAGTTGGGTCTCCTTCTTTTTCTTTTTTTTTTGTGGTCTGTCAATTACTCTATGTCTTTTGATTGGGTAATTTATTCCATTTACCTTTAAAGTAGTACTTTATAGTTAAGAACTTAATATTTCCATTTTATTAATTGCTTTCTGATTTTTTTGGAGTTTCTTCCTATTCTATCTCTTGCTGTCTTCCGTTGTGATTAGATAATATTTGGTTGTGGTAGGTTTTGATTTCTTTTGTGTATGTGTAAAGGTCTTTTAGCACAAGGCTTACACAAAGCTACTTATAGTTATAACTGTCTACTTGAGGCTGCTAACAGCTTAACTTTGACAGCATACAAAAATTCTATCATTTAACTTCTCCCTATATATTTTATGTTTTTGATGTCACATTGTGTATCCATTAACAAATTATTGTAGCTACAGTAATTTTTAATATTTTTGTCTTTGAAATTTAATGCTAGAGTTAAAAGTGATTTATATATCACAATTGTAGTATTAGATTATTTTGAATTTAACTACATACTTACTTTTACAATGAGTTTTATACTTTCATATGTTTTCATGTTTTAAGTTAGAGTCCTTTTATTTTCACTTGAAGAACTAGCTTTAGCACATTTTGTAAAGGTTGCCTACTGGTGGTGAGCAGCTTTGGCTTTTGTTTGTTTTGAAAAGTCTTTTTAATTTCTCCATTTCTGAAGGACATATTTGCTGGGCATATTATTTTTGGTTGGTAGTTGCTTTCTTTCAGACTTTGAATATATTATCTCACTCTCTCCTGGCATACAATGTTTTTGTTGAGAAACCTACTGATAGTCTTGGGGAGCTCCCTTGTATTTGATGAATAACTTTTCTCTTGCTTCTTACACAATTCTGTTTGCCTTTGACATTTGAAAGTTTGATTATAATGTGTCTCAGTGAAGATCTATTTATTTTTAACCTATTTGGGGTCCTTTTGGCAACATGAATCTAGATGTTCATTTTCTTCTCCATATTTGAAGTTTTCTATTATTGTTTTTTTAAACAACCAGATTATTTCTTATTTCTGCTCCTTTTAGAGCTTCTATAATGCTTATATAGGTCCATTTGATGGCACCCTATAAGTCCTATAGGCTTTCTTCATTTATTTTTGTTCTTTTTTGTATGTTTGTTTGTTTGCCTGGTTGATTTCAAATGACTTGACTTTGAGTTTGCTAATTCTTATTATTGATTGCATCTGCTGTTGAAGCTGTCTGTTACATATTTTAATTCAGTAATTGTGTCCTCCTTCAGAACTTGTGTTTGGTTCTTTCTTATGGTTGCTATACCTTCGTTGAACTTTACACTTATTTCTTGTATTGTTTTTGTGATTTCGTTTTGTTATATATCTGCAGTCTCTTGTAATACATTGAGCTTCTTAAAAAAGATTATTTTGGAGTCTTTGTCAGGTAGTTAATAGTTCTCCATTTCCTTATACAGGTGCTTTTATATTTTTCCTTTGGTGGTGTCATGTATCTCTGATTATTCCTGACCCTCCTGGTGGTCCTGAATTGGTGCCTTGTGTGTTCGAAGAAATAAGCACCTCTTTAAGTCTTTACAGATTAGCTTTGGCAGGAAAGCACTTCTTCAGCAATCTTATCTAGAGATTCTGGGTGGGCTGGCTAGTGGGGCCTAAATGTATACTTGCTGCCTAAATTCTTCAAGCATGCTGGCCTAGTGCCTGCATCAGTGGGCTGATGGGTCTGGTGCCTAGCTACACATGGGCCAGTCTAGTACCTTGTCTGTAGGGACAGGCCCAGAGCCTGGGTCCACTGGTGCAGGCCTGAAGCTTGGATTTGTTGTATGGTTCTAGAGCCTAGGTCTGAGGGAGCTTGCCTGTAATCTCGGTCCATGAGGGTCAGCATGGCACTAGAGTCCTCTGTGATGGGCCTGGTGACTGGAGTCATTGGGGAGTACCTGGAACTTAGGTACATGGGAGCTGAACTGAAGCCTGGGTCCATGAGAACTGACCTGGTGCTGGGCCAGGCCTTGAACTTAGGTTCACAGAGGCACAACTATCACTGAAGCAGGCCTAGTACCTGTGTCCATGAGGATCTGCATGGTTCTGAGTCCACAGTGCTGACTTAGTGCCAGCGTCCCCTTGTGTAAGCCTTGTGTCTGGATCCAAGAAGATGGTTCTAGAGCCTGGATCCACAAAAGCAGTTCTTTATCCTGGGGCCATAGGCACCTGCCTGGGGCCAAGGCCACAGGAGTCAGCCTGGAACTAGGTTGGATCTAGAGTTCGGCTCCATGGATGCTGGTTTGGAGCCTGGGGTCATGGGAGCTAACCTGGTACTGAGGTGGTCCTGGAGCATGGGGATGCAAGGCCTGGTCTTACTCTGAGGTTTACTTGGAGTGTGTCTGGGGGCTAGGGAGTAGGATGGTCTGTTTCTTGGTTTCACTGGAATGGGCCTGTTGCTGGGATCAAAGACAAATTCAGGTGCCCACTTCACTTTCTTCCTCCACATGGAGAGTATTTCTCTTTGAGCCATACTGCAAGGGGTCATGGGAAGGGGGTAGTGTGAAATTGTCCTTCCTAGTGTCTTCAAAGTGACTTTTCTCACATTTGTGCTGCATCCAGATACTATAATCTTTTATTTAGATTCCTTAGTTCTTGTGAAGGTATCTTCATTCATTAATGGTTGTTCAAATATATGTTTCTGTGATGGAACAAGTTCTGGAAACTCCTATTCTGCTGATGTCACTCCAGAAGGATACCTCCCTTGAGTTTTATAGGTATTTGCCTGTCCTTCATGCAAATGATTGGATCATGTGTTCAGAAAGGAGTCATACCTTTCACAGTAATTAAGTGGAACAAATATGTCCATTGAACCAAACATACCTTGTTTTTATTTTCTCCTCAGTGCAAAGTTCTCCATCTGCTAGGCTCTGGCAACCCAAAGATAAGGCATTATCCTCATCATGCAGATATTTTGTGAGGAGACTTTCCCACATAAGAGTGGTATTAAGCTGTGGTAATAGAAGAAAAAAAAACAGAGAAAAAGTATTTAACTCAGAAGAGTCACTATGAAAAAAATTAACCTAGAGAATCATCTAAACTTCTAGACTTTTCTGGCTATATAGCTGGGGATCTTTGTCTTAAAGATGGCTGTAATAGTTTTTGCTGTTGTTGTTGTTTATTTTGTTTTGTTTTTCTCTAGTGAGCCATGTAGAAAACAGTGCTGGTTAGTGTCATATAAGACAACTGCTTCTAAAAACGTGGTTGATTAAAATAACAGAATAATATGCCCAAGTAGTTTTCAGTTTGCTTTTCTGTGACTTGATTTTGGTGAAATTATAAACAAGGTAATTTGGCGAAATATCAGATCTTTTACCTAGAAACCTCTTACATTACAAGTAGAAAAGTCAAATAGTAAATGTACTCCTACTGAACCACTGCATGAAAGAAAATTTAGTCTTATCTATTTTGTTTTTCTCATACCACACTATCTTATTGCATTACTAGCTCTGGCACATGACTTCAGAGCTTGGGGCTTACTTCTGGCATGTTCAGTGACATTCTATAGGCCCTTGTGGCCTCTAATAAATAATAAAACAGAAAAAGTTCCTGGATACCCAATGAAACATTTATTTCAGTATGAACCAAGCTATGTCGTTGCAACTTTTGTATTAGCAAATGAAAAGCTTACAAAACAACACCTAACTGATGTTCCCCAGCAGGCAGCAACTCCACCTGACATGTCAAATAATTAATGTGAAACTGTATATATGCTGGTTTCAAGGAAATATTGATGAACGACCTATCTATCTTTATGCCATATTATGTTACAGCTTTTATAACATATTGCTAAAAAACGTCATACTTGATGAAGTCATTCAAAATTGCTGCCATCTCCATCAGCTGCCTTGGATTCCACACATATATTTTAATATTGTGTCCTCTATCTTCTCAAAGCAGCAAAATTCTTATGCAAAGGGGATAGTGAAGGTAAGGGGATTCAAATATTCATAGATAATACAGACCAGAGAAAGCAGAGGAAATTTATTAGTATTCTGCTTTCATTTTAAAAAATCCACCATTAATAGAGAGCAAACATAAATCTCAAATTGGTTCTCCAGGTAAATATAAAACCAAGGGTTGCTGTTGTGTATATCTGTGCTCAATATGGCACTAAATATTTGGAATCCTACAATGACTATAATGGATAAAGAAGAGAATCACTCTGACCCCAAATCACCTTGTGCTTTATAGCAAATTACATATTTTTTTAGCCCTCCATTTTAAAAAAGTTATTAACCTAATAACCAACTTAAAGATAGAAGCTGCTTTTACATGCTCAACAGCACGACCATACCAACAGTGTCTAGCTCTCAATTCCAGGCACCATTATTAGGGTTTCCTTTCTTTGAGGATATGACATGATGGGGGACATATTCATAAGCCTGTCTGCATGGTCCCTGAAATGGAGTCTATGGATCTCTTGCATTGAAGGCAAGGTATAACTGAAAGAGGTATTTGGAAATACCAATGAATGATGGACATGAATACTAGCCTAGCTATAAACCTATTAACATACTCAATTCTTTATGTTTATAGACTACTAGGATGACTTAATATTAGTCCAGTGTTTCATATTTTATTTAACTTTTACATTTATTTAACTTTTATATCCAAACCACACAGCAATTCCATAAAGGAGGTAAGTTAAATATTATCTTTTTAATGACAAGAACAGTGAATTTAAGGAATTAATGACTTGTTCAGGTTGTACAAGAAGACTAGAATCTAGATTTCTCATTTCCTAGTTTAGGCCCCTTTCCAGCTAGCAAGAATAGCTTGAGGAAGTTGTTCTCATAACAAATTAATAGATGAATAACACACCTGCCGCTACACACTGAATATAATATGTCAGTCCTGGCTGGGCATGGCGGCTTATGCCTGTAATCCCAGCACTTTGGGATGCTGAGGCAGGGAGATTACTTGAGGTCAGGAGTTCGAGACCAGCCTGGCCAACATGTTGAAACCCCGTCTCTACTAAAAATATAAAAATTAGTTGGGTGTGGTGGCAGTTGCCTGTAACCCCAGCTACTCAGGAGGCTGAGGTGGGAGAATCACTTGAACCAGGGAAGCGGAGGTTGCAGTCAGCCAAGATCACACCACTGCACTCTCCAGCCAGGGTGACAGAGTAAGACCGTGTCTCAGGAAAAAAAAAAAAAAAAAAGAGCCAGTCCTTGATCCTAACATAATCCTGTAGGATTCCACCAGTTCTTGAAAATAGATACAGAAATGTACATTTATTAAGAATGTGATATGTGCTAAGCATTATTCAAGGTACTTTATAAATGACTTCCTTGGATATGTCTAGGGCCCATTGTTGATGTCATTACAGTAAAGAGTTTAGATCAGGACATCTGATGAAGACACTTAAAAAGGTCCAGCTTTAAGATTTTAATTCAATGATTTGAAACGTCAACTGGAAACTTAAGAACAAGCCAAAAATTCACCTATTTTCTGATCAAATATTTAAATCAACCATGTTGTCCCCACTTTCCTCCCAGCTGTGCTCAACTGTGCTCAGGCCACCTTCCCCTGTCGCAGTCAAACCTTCTCTAATTGGGTAAAGGTGGTACTCATACTGGATTAAGTATCACCACAGAATAGCAATTTTATCCCGGGGCTGGTGATTTACTACCTGTTTCTTCTTTCCTTGAAGCCATCAGGCCATAATTAATGCCTAATATCTTCAATTACTTGTCACCCGCTAGAACATATGTGTTAAGAGAGTACAAATCTTGCCTATATTGTCTATTACTGAACCACCAGCAGCTGAAATAGTAGCTGGAAATCAGCAGAGCTCAATAATTGTTGGCTAAATGAAGGAATAAATTAATAATGTTTATTAAGTAATTATTCTAAATCAGAGGTGATAAGGCCAAACAAGGCACTGTAATTTTCTTTAATCAGTTTCTATTTTCAAGTTGATCTGGGTTGAAGAACTTAATAAAGGTAAGAATTTTATGTTGCAACTAACATTGACCACTTACAAAACATTTATGAGACTCCCTGAGTCTCAAGATGTTTAAATTTAGGTGTAGCTCAGTTATCCCGTGGATTGCACATCCCATGGTAGGTGTAGGTATGCCAGGCCTGCAGCCTTCACATGCATTATTTAAGGCTTTAACTCTCACAGTGCCAGTCCCCAATAAAGCAATGGCAGAGAGATAATAAAAATGGTACCTCCTTTTTCTTTTCTTTTTTTCCTTTATGATGCAGTTTCCTCACTTTGAAAATTATGCTTAATGATTAGTCCTGGCTAATTTATGAGGTACTCTGTTAGTAAGAATCAAATTAGATAATTAATGAGATGTCCTCTGAAAAGTAAACTGTGAGATATTTAATCCTTTGTGTTTCTCTAAGTATGCAGTGTCTTTTATTCAAATCAAATATGATTTTAAGCATTTTCTAATCACTGGGAAGAACACCAAAATGTTTTCTAGAAATAAATTGTAACCTTTCTCCCTATCCCCCAAAATGTCAAGTCTAATCACCTGGTACCTTCGCTATTGTCCACACCTTACAGACAAGAATTTTCACCAGTGATCCCTCTTTAAGGTTAGATGCTGTCATCTTGAAGACACACAATTTTCTTCTATAGTCAGCAATAAGCATTGCTATAATCAACAGTGATAAGTAATGCCGACTAATGACTAATAAGGACTGGGAAGAAAGAATCTGACAGGAAACACTTCATAGAGGTGGAGGAAGAGGGTGTGCCTGAATGGTTCAGGATTGAAAGGATTTATTATAAGGAGTTCAAGACGAAGGTGGAGAGTTAGTTCTGAGCAGCAGTAACACAATGGCAAGGCCTCAGGGATCTGAGTGGATAGAAATACAAGAAGCTCCAGGCTTAATTTTATTAAATTCTAACTTGGGCAAGCCAAATCCCCGCTTGGATTAAACTTTTAGTATGATCCATGTGCCGTTCAGCATGTGGAAAATCTGAAGATATTTCTTACTCAGTTTCATTGGGATAGCAATTTAGAAAACCCATTTTACAGAGAGAGAAAAGGAGGCATTATATACATGATAAACTCGTTGGATGCCCTGCATTGATTGAACTGATGTTAGAACCTTAGTCATGATTTAAATGCTATCATATGCCCATAATTTCACTTAGAAGAATAAAGCCTAGCATGGTCAAGGCTGAAGGCAAAACCTATTATTTAACAATCTGATGAGGCCTCTGCTCCTTTCTCAATCTGTTTAACATGTGCTTCCCTTTCCCTCCTTTTTATTTCAGCCAATACATCTGATATGGTTTGGATCTATGTCTCCACCCAAATCTCATGTTGAAATGTAATCCCCAATGCTGGAGGTGGGACCTGGTGGGAGGTGATTGGGTCTATTAGTTTAGCACCATCCCACTAGTGCTGTTCTCGTGATAGAGTTCTCACAATATCTGGTTATTTAAAAGTATGTAATACACCACCCTCCCTTCTTCCTGCTCTGGCCATGTAAGATGTGCCTGCTTCCCCTTCACCTTCCACCATGATTGAAGGTTTCCTAAGGTCTCCCTAGAAGCCATCATACTTCCTGTATAGCCTGTGGAACCATGAGCCAATTAAACCTCTTTTCTTTAATAAATTACCCAGTCTCAGGTATTTCTGTATAGCAGTGCAAGAACTAGCTAATACAATATCCAACGTTGAAGACAAAGAAATGAACTCATAATGAAGCCAATGAACCCCAATGAGCACCAGCTGTCTTTAGAAAGTATTTGACAGAAAACTATGCAAGCTTTAAATTGTTCCTCAGAATTTAATTGTTAAAAAGCACTTGAAAATCTTGGTTTGAGGATGCTGTATACTCATCAATGCATTTTCATGACTTCACACAAAATCTATTCTCAGAACTGGGCAAAAAAATTAACATGGGCCTACATAGTGAATTTTTGTGATGTTCTATTTAACTAGCATGTATAAAAAACTCAATAGGTCCAAGAACTGGGGGTTAGATGTATAAAGGTAGATAAAATTTTTCATATCCTCAAGAATTTTACAGTTAAAGACAAACACAAAATAATTATAACACAATGGCATATATATTATATTGTTATATTGGTTATTTAATAGAGCATGTTATTCTGAAAAAAAAATCCAAGTGGTGTTAGCATTTCCTTTCTATATCCACCTACAAGAAAGAAGTCATCATTGTGGATCTAAAGTCTGATGGAAGGGGATTGTATTAGATTTGGGTTGTCTGGGGCAGAGAGAGGGAATGTAGCAAAGTTTTTGAGCAGGAGACCTTGAAATGTCTGAACATAAAATGTGAGCTTCCTAAAAGTGCTGAGCCCGGAGATGGGAACTGTAGTGAGGTATGCTCCTGATACCTGGTGCTCTAGATGGTGGGATGACAGAAGGATAGATGTGATATGGTGTCTGTGGTCAGTTTTGTGGACCAATTAATGGTGCTAAAGGGACAGATGGTTGAGACTACACCAGTCCAGGATCACGGCTTTTCTTTTCTCTTCTGCTAATATGTAAGTTCCAGTTTCTCATATATTTCAATGTAGAAGGAGCGAGGCCTTCATAATAACTAAGACTGAATAGCCAGTCATTCAGAAGAGAGGGGGCTCTGTAAAGAGTACATATAATTAGAAGAAATAAAAAGAGACATTTCTCACACTTAAAATTTGGAGCTATATCTATTATGTTTATATATAACTTGTAGGAACAGAGAACAAGGAATAATTAGCAAGGAATGTGGGAATGGAGAGGAGGCTATAGAGAGACCAGCATTTCCATTTGTGATTTCTGTATCATATCCTAAAATGGCCAGTTGTTGTCTTGACTCCCAGGGTATTAGCACTAGCACTCTTCCAAATCCTGAATCACAGTTCACAAGATTGGCTAGTTACTTTTATCTACTATGTTTATTTGAGAAAAATATATACTTTCTTATGGAGAAAAATAATGAGTTCCTTGTGGTAGCTTGGGAAGTCTATTTCAATTTCTTTCTCGAGAGATGAGATTGGAACAGATGACCCCATGAGGTCCTATTGAGCTTAAGAGCAGGGGACGATTTTCTGAGATGTATATTGCATAATTATGAGCAATTTTTCCAGTAACTTTTATGGCATTGCATGGAATCAGCCATCAAAAGTTGCATTGACAGCCTTCACAGTTATGGGAAATTCCTAGTAGTATGAGACTCAGATAAAAGAAGTTTAGCCATTCTTTTATTCATCAGCAACCTGCCTGAGCCACCTCACAGACACACTTGGCAACTTGTTATGTGATATCTTACTGTCATCCCAATGTATTCATCCTCAATACCCTTTCAGTCTCAAGAATATGTGTTGACATTCACCTTCTAACTTTCTCATTTAACTTTTGATGGCATTTGTCCACTGAACCAGTCTAGGATCCTCGGTTCCCAGTAACAGAAACTTACCTTTAATGAATTTAAACTAAATGAAATCTCCCATAAGGATATTAGGGGCTCATTGAATTGACAAAATGTTAAAGAAGCAGTGCAGAAAGTCCCAATGGGTCAGGAAACAATCACAGAAACAGAGTGGACCCCAGATATTTCAGTCTTTTTGTTCCTCTAAGTTTCAAATCCCAGGGGAAAAAACTTCAACTGACATAATTTGTTCACATGCTCACCCCCCCCTTTTTTTTTTTTAGAACAAAGCCCCACAAATTGTGGACTTTCAGACTGATTCCAATGCATTAGGCTTATTTATTCAAAAGGGAAGTCAGGGTGTAGATTGACAAGAAAAATTGATAGTAGCCAAATAAAAGAGAATAACTATGCAGCTTGTATCTTTACGGCCTGGGCTCATGGCCAGCTGCCAGTCTTCCTGCACTGCATTCATCCCCAGGCCTGCTGCCTGCCATACCCTGCTCAGCTCACTGCTCTTGTGATTCTTCAGACTTGGCACAATCCTTAAGTTTCAGATTCTTCCCATCATGTTCTACATTCTACATCATAGGATTGTTATAATAATAAAACAAGAAAATGCAAGCCAAAGACATAAAACAGTGTGCCTTGAACTCTGAAATAACAATAAATATTATACGCTATCTGAAATCTATTAACTAAAACATAATATTTTCTTGGGGCCTTCTAGGTTATAAATTGTGCTAGAAAGACCCATCTGGGCTCCAGTAGAAGCAATCTACTGAATCGGGGAACTCTTCCTTCTCTAAATAAAGGTCCCATGGTTACTTCCACCTCTCAGGCCCTGTCTTACCAGAGACCAGTCATGTGAGTCTCTCCTTGGGTCAAGAGTGCTTGTCTCTGAGTTTGGTCAAAAGAGAAAGTGGTTCTGGGATCTGCGAGGCTATGTCAAAGCCAAATTATTTAGGAATCACAAAAATTTTAGAAAAAAATTTAAGGCATGAGACAGGCTTTGGAAGCACTGGTTAATAGTTTGAGCTCGGCACCACTTAGCTGTCTTCACAGTCAATTTCCCTTCAGGGTTAGCACAAATATTGCTCTTAGCTGCAGCCTTGGTTCATGTCCTTCTGCTATACTGCCCTAGGTAGAATGAACAATGTCCTTCTTTATCAACCCAATTTCTATGTCATAGAAATTGAGTTGAGATTCTCCCAACTCAATTTGCCTAAATGCTATCCTTAGGCTCTGGATCCAAATAAAGAGCAACCCAGGGCTACCAAGTGAGGTTCTATAAGCCATAATGGACTAGAGGGCTCCATGAGTTGCAAGTAAGTTAGCATTAAATGAAGGCTAGGAATGGTCCAGAGAGCACCATTACTAGTTAGTTTTAGTAAAAACAACAACTGTATTTCGTAGAACTGAATACTCTAACCTCCTTAAAGTGATCCCCTACCTTTTTTGCCATTCTTCTTCACTCACCTTAATAAACTCCTTGTTCTTTCCCACTTTAAATTCTGGTGTCCTGGGTTTGATGGTAGATCCTCTTCTCTTTACTTTATTTTTTTCATACATTTTCAAGGCTTTAAAATGTCATGTATACGTGGACCACAACAAGAAGGATATTTTTACCTCAAATCTGCCTCTGTGTGCCAGATTTTCTTATTGAACTATTTGATTTTTTTATTTGGAAGTAACCCCTGCATCTCAAATTAAGTGGTCCTAAACAGAAACTTTAATTTTCCTATTTTCTTCTTCATGCTTATTCTTTTTCTAGTCTTTCCCATGTAGTTAAATGTCACCTACAAGCATTCTGTTGCCTAAGTCAGAAATTTAGAAACACCCCGGTTTCTCCTTTATCCTGCACTCCTAATCCACTACATCTTTTTTCCTTCACTCCCACTCTACTAAGTCCTGTCAATTTCACTTACAAAGCTATTGTATTTACACCCATTTTTCTTTATTGCTACTGCCAACACTTTAAGGCACTCTCATCTCTTGCGTGATATATTTTGTGAAAAGTAATATTCTTCAAGACACATGGAAATTACTTTTCCATTCATTAGTCATGGGGAAAAATTGAGGAGTTGTCTTCTGATTCACTCAAGCCCTGATCCTTTCCTTTCTTTTGCTACCTTCTTTCAATAAGCAATTTTGTTTCCTCCCAATTCCTAGAGCCTCTGGGTTTCTCACTGGTCTCCAACAACTATGACTTGCCACTGTGGTTCCCCCCAAAGCCCAGTGGTGCCCCATACCTTATTCATAGTCTGCCTCTCATGTCGAGTTGAGAAAGGACCTTCCCATTCTTCTGAAACAACCTTTTATTTTTTATGAACAAGCAACCTAAGACTCACAAAGGCAAAGGTATTTCCATAAAGACAGATGACTTGGATAAAAATCCACTTTTCACATTTATGGTCCTTTGTAGAATTCTGTCAAAAGGATGGAAAAACAAGATTAATTGTCTTTTTATATAAGATATTTTAATAAAATGCATATGAAACTTGATAATGAATATATTTAAATAGAATCAGATATTCAAAATTTTATAGAATAGAAATAACATATTGGGATCTTCTGGTTCAATGTGTATGCTTTATAGATGAAGCAATTTAGCCTCAAAATCTACTGGGCTCAGCATCCCACAGTAAGTCAATGGCATTTGTGGGACTTGACTTTTGATCTCCTGAGGCTACTGCTCTTTCCAAAATGCCTCACTGTCTCCATCGCAATGCAATGTTCTAAAACTATTTGCAGTGCAATAGATATGGAAAATAAATATTTAATAATAATATTTAATGTTTACTTCAGCAATTATGGCATGTTCTAAACACATTATGTATGTAAATTATTTTCTCTCTAGGCTTTTGTTTGTAATTGTTTAACAAATGACAAAAATTGTCTATGTTTATTATATACAATATGTTTTGAAATATATATATATAATGGAATGGCTAAATCAAGCTAATTAACATATACATTACTTCATTATGTTAACTTATTTAATCCTTGCAAAAAAGTATAAGTTAAATTAGTATCCATATGTCATCGGTAAGGAAACTGAGACCCTGGTTGTTTAGTACATTGCCCAAAGGCAACATATGGTATTGACATTGTGAGTATTCTTAACTTATGGCAATATAGTAGTTTGCATCAGTGCAATAAGAATCCATTTTCTTTTGCAACAGGACACAATTCGAGAAACACTTGTTTTACCAAGGTTTTGATTGGAAGGGTATGCTTCCCTTTAAGGAGTCAAGTGCAACTTGCAGAGCCAATAAAAGCCCCCGGTGGGGGGAAACCTGGCCTCATAACCTTGTCTACATGGTCCTTATTCAAGGTTCTTGACCTGCGGCTAGTAAAGAATGTCATTTTCTAACAGGCCCAGGAACTCCAAGTTCATTTTGGGCCCTTAAGAGGAGATGATCACCCATCTCACAGGTGTTTGAAGATACAAACCCGACTCATGGCTGGGCTCAGCTTAAAAAGGTCTTATCTGAGATTCATTGTGGAACAGAGTTCCATCAAAGCCAATCTAAAAGGCTTATGTAGAAATAGTTATTCTTGCTGCATTTTATGCAAATAATCAGGCCAAGTATAAGACTAAAGTCTATTTTGCAAACAACTCAGTCCTATCATGATTTTTTAACAAAATACTTTTTTTTTTTTTAACAAAAATGAGGACTGGAGAGAAATTATGTTTCAAAACTTATCACACATTGGTCATTAAATTCTAAACTCATTCGTTGTTTTTAAATTTTTGCCTAAATTTAGACTAACCCTGCTGGTTCCTGTTAACCAACCAGCAATCTCCGGCTGCAGCTCACAAAGAGCAAAAGGGATGAATAATGCAGAAATACGGATCAGTATTCTGGTTCTGAGCAATTATCCTGCAAATCTTGCCAGGTGATGAGAATAAATAGGGTGTCCATCACCCAGAGGTTTCTCTTTTGTGAAAGTAAGACCAAGGGAGCTAACCAAAGGCAAGCACCATGCACCCAAATCCTAGAAAGCATAACTATAGCCACCAGTTATCTTGATATGTCACAAGACATCCTTTTCTCTCCCTTGTTGGGGGAGGACTCAATTCCACAGTCTCACCATTCAGCTTATGATAAGGAGTCTATGCAACCCCAACCCGCCCCTGCCCGAGACACATTTTAGTCCCAAACTCAATTCCAAGCTTTGAGTCAAAGCCCTAGGAAAGAAAACTGGATCTAAGGGATCCAGAGGCAGACAATAACAAAGTTTAAAAGGCCCAGTGCAGGTAAGCATGGCTAATTCTTGACGATTAAGCCAAGCCTCACATTTCATGGATAAAGTTCACGCTAGTATCTATGGCATAAATGAGGTCTAGGGAGCTCTGAGACTACTGAGAGTAGTGGGGGTAGAGGCATAGGGGAGAGTGGATAATTCCTATTTTCTAGGCCCTCCCTGCTTCATGGGTGCAAGCCACTTTGGCACCCATGGGTGGTACCCTGTCCCGGTCACCAGGACTCGGGGATACAAGGACAGAGGAAAGTAACAGGAACACCTCACTTTCCCTCCCTCACGTACCCCAGGTATCTGCTAGGAAGAGAAGGGAACGAGGTATGCTTGCTGTCTTCCTTCTAGAGAGTAGCCATCCATCTTCAGTCTGTTTGCCTTTCAAATGCATCCTGAAACCCTGGGACTCCTTTGAAAAAAACACCTTCTTTTTTCTTTTCTTCTCCTCTGTCCTCTCTTTGCTGATAGGTAATTGTGTCTCCATACTATTGGACACTCCCCTTGGATGCATCTTCCAAACTGGAAAAAGTTAATTTCCCAAACCTTAAACCAGTTGGCTTAGGATTGAGCTCAGGGGAAGGGAACCCAGAAGCCTGACATGCCAGAAAAAGTGTAAAAGTTTTTTTTTTTTTTTTTACCATTTTGGCTTTTGGCCTCCCTCTTTTACCAGTGTAAACTGGTAAAAGGCCTCAGGATTTGTGAGCTATCCTTATACCCACACCCCTTGTTTTGTTTTGATACTTGTTTTCTAATAACTCAGTTTGTCTCTTCTTGCCTCAGGCCATCAAACTCCAAATAGTCATGCAACTGGGCCTTGGATGATGGCCCCTTCTGTTGAGGACCCTTAGCTAGGCCTCTGAGGGAGCTCTGACTGCCTTTTCCCCAAAACAGCGTCCCCTGTCAGCAGGAAGTAGTTAAGATTGGTCTTCAGCCTTAGCCTTAACCTTATCCTTATCCTTAGCCTTAGCCTTAGCCTTATCCTTATCTTTATCCTTATCCTTCTAAAGGCAGTTAGGTGTACTTCTTTAGAGGGGGGAATGAGACAGCCAAGTAAAAAGGGCTCACTGGAGAATCTCCAACCAGCTTCCCCCTTGCTCTGCTAAAAGTTTTTCTCTTTTTCCTTTTTTACCCAATAAATTCAATTTTTCTCATCCTTCTATGTTTCCATCCTCCTGGTCATGTGACAAGAACCCAGTTTTTAGCTGAACTGAGGAGAAAGTCCTGCAACAACCTTACTGGCCAAACTATGATTATGAAGCCAATCAATGAGGCTGCATTTTCAAGCACTACTCTGTAGGTCATTCGGAACTAATATTCGTTGAGGACTTGTTCTGTTCCTGGCATTGTGGACCACTCTTTACCTGCATTACATTAACACCCCAGATGCAGCCCAGATGCTACCTGGTGGATCTCCAACATTGGTGAGAAACTTTTGAATGCCTATAGTAGGAAGCCCAAAATTTATCTGGAGTTTCTCGTAGATTTTTACATGTTGTTTACTATTTATCCCTCCAAAGACACCTTCCCAAGCATTCATTCACCAGAGTCCCATGGATTGAAGGCTTTCTCTGGAATAATTCTTGACTGAAATTTCTGGATTCTGGGCATAAGGATGTCATATTGTAGTACAACCAGTGAACAGATTAAGACTGATTATTATTAGCAGCTGTTTTCTGAATAAGGCCTTAAGATATTTTCCCTGACTGAAAGCCTACAGAGGCCCCACTTTACTCATCCTACTAGGTTTCTTCTTTCCATTCCTGGAAACTTGAAAATTATAATTTATTGTGTAGGACAATTTAATCCTCTATTTCATAGATTCTCTTTTTAATCATGCCTTGAGAACTATATTGTCAGAGCCAAATGTCCCTCATTGTGTTTTGCTATTCAGAAGGTTATTTTCTCCAGAGAGAAATGACACCACTCCCTAAGGAAGTAGAAGCTGCTGTAGTCATGGTTTTAAATAACAACCTTTTGCACTGCCTGTCTCTCTCCTTCCTTTTATTCTTATAATAATTTTATCAGGTAGAAATGTTAGCTACATTTTAGCAGAGGGATATGGAAGTTTAGAGAGTTTAGTGACTTTTCCTGGATCAGTCCTTTAGAATATGAAGGAGCAGGGATTCCATGTCAGGATTCTCCTTCTTCCTAATCCTACGCTTTTAAAACTAGCTTTTGCCTCTCTGCTATTCTTCATTAGCAATTTTAGATCAAAATTTCTGCATGAACTGTATTAAACCCATACTTGTTCCCACACTTTTTCCATGTTCTATTCATGTTCCATGTAAACATATATATAAACTTTCCCAAGTTATTTTTGTAGCAAAATGATTCAACAGTAAATTTGTAAACTTAAAATGGTTAGATTGTATTCATGTCTCCAGAATCACTGATTTTTTTAAAAAAAATTATCGTTTTTTAAGGTAGCAGTTAAAAAGCAATCTTTCTAATTTTTATGTAAACAACTCTCCAACTGTTTGATTCAGCTTTATAATTTTTATAATTCAGATTTGAGATGTGAAATTATCGTTGCAAAAATAAAAATAGAAACAACTAATACAAGAGTAGTTCATCCACACCCACAGTCAAGCCCACCCTGTACCCCAGTATTAACTCTCTTGTCTGTTGGGCATGTTGCCTTCCATGTCTCTCCTGAGAGCTTTTAAAATAGGCATTTACACACTCACATTCACGCACATATACAGTCTATATTATGTGGTTGAAAGTACTAATTTTGCTATATTTACATAACTAGGATCACAGTGAGAAATGTTTTTCTTTTTTAAAAAATCAACACTATGCCATGGAGACTTTTTATCATTTTAGACAGAATTTTCTTCCAGCATCGTCTTTCTTCAATCTTACAGCAAGGACTCTCCTATTACTCCTCCTAGCTGCCAATATGATCTTTAAAAACATACATATGATGGGCCGGGTGGGGTGGCTCATGCCTGTAATCCCAGCACTTTGGGAGGCCGAGGAGGGCAGATCATGAGGTCAGGAGATCGAGACCATCCTGGCTAACACGGCAAAACTCCATCCCTACTAAAAATACAAAAAAATTAGCCAGGCGTAGTGGCGGGTGCCCGTAGTCCCAGCTACTCGGAGGCTGAGGCAGGAGAATGGCGTGAACCTGGGAGGCGGAGCTTGCAGGGAGCTGAGATCGCGCCACTGCACTCCAACCTGGGTGACGGAGCGAGACTGTGTCTTCAAAAAAAAAAAAAAAAATGATGGTTATTTTCTTGCTCAAAACTTTTCGGTGATTTCCCAATGAAACGGAAATAAGACTCCTTTACTGTCTGTGGCTTCCAAGGCCCTTACATGATC
Source organism: Homo sapiens (assembly GCF_000001405.40). Taxonomy (NCBI): domain Eukaryota; kingdom Metazoa; phylum Chordata; class Mammalia; order Primates; family Hominidae; genus Homo; species Homo sapiens. The sequence continues at coordinate 35,542,756 of NC_000003.12, read as the reverse complement.
TGCACTTTCCTTCTCATGACTTTCTCTCTCACTATTCTACCACTCTGGCCTCCTTGCTCTTACTCCATTATTTCTTTTAGCTTGCTGTTCATTCTGATTGGAATTGTATTCCCCAACCTCACTCCACTCGGCTCAAATGCTCATGGCTCTGAAAGCCTTTCCTTGGACAACACACTTATATCTTCTCCATCTCCTTGTCTTGTTTTAATTTGCTTGAAGTTATTGCCCAGTAACTGCAATTGTACTATTTTAATTTTAATTACTTTTGTTTGCCTGTTTCTTGTCTGCCTCTCTCATTTCCATGTCAGCTCTAAAAGGGCATGAATCTGTTTTATGTTTTGTTGTTGTTCATCACCATACCCCCAGAGGCCAGGACTGTGTGTGTACATTTATGAATGAAGGATTGCCTGAATGATTCAGTCTCAATCTTTAGTAATGTTCTGTAACATTCCACTGAATATCTATGCCTTATTACCAATTTCCCCCTTTTACCTTATTTATTTATTATGCAATTACAGGCAATACTGCATTGAACCTTAAGAGGGTGGTTACATCTGGAGATAGGAAGGGACTAGGTGATTGCAAGGGGGCACTATATGAAAGAATTCTGTGGTAGCTTACGAGTTCTATTCTTTTAGCTGGGTGGTGGTTATAAGAGTGTTTGCTTCATAAGAAGTCACTTCATTTGTTATGGTGGCTTTCTGTATGAGTTTTATTTTATAATAAGGCACGTGTGCGAGAGAGAGAGAGAGAGAGAGAGAGAAGAGAGAAGAGAGAGGAAGAAAGAGCGATGGTATCTAAGTCACATAGTTGATTCCAGCCCAAACCTCAGACCCATGGGGTATAGAAGAGAAGGTCAGCCCAGGGAACACTGGTCCTTAATTTTCCTGTCCACAGGTGTTAAGTTGCTGCCATCATCTGTTTATTTCTCTTTAAAAGGACCATTTACCAAGTGGAGCATTCATCTGGGATTCTCTCTACTTGATGAGTGAAACTGTAAGTAAAAGAACCTGGGAATTCTGGGTCTGATTTGCTTATAATAGCTGAGAAAATAAGTTCCTGAGATAAAGCAGATTATGAAAAGAGAGGATCAGCAACATGTTAATACCAGATTTAAAAATTAAATAAAATAAAAAACAAGTCCTGGCAGCCACCGCAGGGTATTCTCCATTGTATCTGCTCTGCTCAGATTTTTAATAATTTAAACAAAGTTTCCATCAGTCACTGATGTAATTCTAACTATATTTATTTATTACAACTCATTCCACTAAATCTGCTGATGAACTCTTTCTTCCTCCTGGGTTGTTATGATTTGGGTGTCAGGATTTATACTAATATGAAAACCTACATCCAGGGAAATAAATAGTCTTCTAGCAAAGTCTCCTTGGGTCCTACCTCTCAAAACTCCAGTTTAAAAATCCAGAAACTAAGTGAAATAACAGGAAAGAAAGAAGAAAACATATTGATGAACTGTAAGTACAAATCCAATAAATATCATTTGAATATTTAGACAAATTATTTTATACCTATAATTAAACATTATGACAGAACCTTGTTTCATAAAAGTAAATCTCATTACCTTTTTAATCAAACCAATCAGAGGAAAGAATCCAACAATTCTAGATTAAGAAAACAAAATATCTTTGCCCTAGAGGGAAATGCATTAACTACAAAAAAGACAACATTGATTGACCTTGGGCTGAATTTGGTCAAATTCTTAGCAGAATATTTTGTACTTAGGTCAAAGTCATAATAGGATAATACCAAAAGGTAGCTATATTGATTTGGGTAACCCATTTTTTTCCTCACTTGAAATGAGTCACTTCTAATATTCTAACTATTATATGTATTAGACCGCTAATATTCTAACTATTCGTAAAATTCTTGAATAAATATCTACTTGGCGGAGCTATGTGGGACATTATTTTTAAAAGGTAAATGTTTCTTAATTTGAGAAAGTTTGGAAAACAAATCCTTGACATAGTCTTATTTTTCAATTTATTTTTGTTGGAATGTTTCTAGCCCAGTGAAAGGATATTAACCCAGATCAGACTTATGTCCTAGTTCCAGAAGCAAAGATTTAGTCTGTTATTACTTTTAAAGGAAGAAAGCTGTTGGAACCATCCACTTCTTTCCAATGTTTTTAAGTGGACAGAAAATGTAATTGCACCTCTTGATGTTATTGTTATTTATTGATTTATATCTCATTCTTCACAAGATTAAAAGAACTGTAGAATTTCAAGCAACTCTTTTTCCTCCTAAGACTTTCCTATTATTTCTCCAGCAGTAGCTGGTTACAAAGGTTAAGTATGTACAGCTTTGTGTTCCTTTTGATGTGAGAATCAATCCACTATCATCCACAGAACTGGGCTTAGGGGAAGCTGAAATTCAAAATCCAGGCATACACTCCAAAGTGAAATACTTCCCCAAGTTGTCATTTATGTGATGGGTATTCTGCTGAGGATTTAAATTAAGGCAGGACTTTACTGCTAGTGAAAGTGACTCTTGTAATAGAAAAATAATTTTCCTCTTGAAGCAAATCCACTATAGGTGTACATTACAGACCTGTTATCTTTTCTTCGACTGTGAGCTCCTCAAGGGCAAGGCCTATGACTTATTCATGTCTGGGTTCTCAAAGAGTTTTGTCCCTGACATGCATGTGTGCATCGTAAATGCTTTTTGAACTGATTGCTCATGATTTCTTTCTTGATATGGAATCATGTTGATGTACAATAAGCAAATGACCTGGTGAATCTGCACATTCAATTTCTTTCATTCATTCAACATGTTTATATTCTTCATATGTGTAAGATACTGTCCTAAGTTTTATATATATATATAAAACTTATATATATAAATATATATATAACTTATATATATAAATATATATAAAACTTATATATATAAATATATATAAAACTTATATATATAAATATATATATAACTTATATATATAAATATATATAAAACATATATATAAATATATATATAAAACTTACATATATTATTAACATATATATGTTAATGTGTTTGTATGTGTATAAATACACACACACAAACATATATAATAGGTTGTATCTTATTTCTGTGTGTGTGATATGTATACACACGCAGAAATAAGATACAATGTAGTATTAAGGACAAAGTCTATGACAGATAATTACAAAAAAATAAGAAAAAATATATAAGAAAGAACGAACATTGCAATAACAATTTTGAGGAAATGTTACTGGAAAAAAAGTAAAATTTTTAATAGCAATGGTGGACTTCAACAATACAGATTGTAAATTTCTATATTTGATATCCACACAGACAGGCTTCTAGATGAAACACTGGAGAGAGGTGAGGGCTGCAGACAGCTTGGGAAGATAGGAATTCTTTCTTGGAGATGCCACTTGAAGTCATAATATTGCTAAGCGAGAACGTAGCAAGAGGAAGAGTGGAAGTCTTTGGGAAACACCCACAGGGAAAGAAGAAGATTCAGTCAGGAAGCTCAAAGAAAAATGGGAAGAGCACAGTACAAGTGAAGTCAAAAGAGAAAAAATTCTCAAGTAAGGAGTCAGTGGTGTGAAATACTGAAGGCTTGTGAAAAGAGATTATTGGATCTGGTGATTGGTGGTAATGATGACTTTAACATCAGTGTTCGTCAATTTCTGGGGACGGAAATACAGCTCACGTAGCATTATAATGAATGTCAGTATAACCCTCCTTTGATGATCAGCAAGGTATTGTGTTAGAATTCTTGGGTAGTTTTGTAGATATCAGCTATAAGTAACTAGCATAGAAGGTAAAGGGAATTGTGAGGAATTTATATTTGTCCTTGAATTTATTAGGCCAAATTTTATATTACAGTGTCTAGGACAGGTATAATTTAATATTTATTCTTATAATTAATGTTTATCTCCTTCACTAAAACGTAAGATTCATAAGAGCAGGACCTATGTTTATTTGCTCAACATTGTATTCCTGATGTAGCAGTGCCTGCCAGGTATATTGCGGCATTTAATAATAAAATGTACTGAATGACCAGAACATTCTGTTTTCTTCTTTCCAATCTGCTTGATGAATAAGTTTTTAAAACATACCTACTACAGGCCGGGTGCGGTGTCTTACGCCTGTAATCCCAGCACTTTGGGAGGCTGAGGCAGGCGGATCACGAGGTCAGGAGATCAAGACCATCCTGGCTAACACGGTGAAACCCCATCTCTACTAAAAACACAAAAAATTAGCCGGGCGCAGTGGCGGGCGCCTGTAGTCCCAGCTACTCGGGAGGCTGAGGCAGGAGAATGGCGTGAACCCGGGAGGCGGAGCTTGCAGTGAGCCAAGATTGCGCCACTGCACTCCAGCCTGGGCGACAGAGCCAGACTCCGTCTCAAAAAAAAAAAAAAAAAAAAAACCTACTACAGGTTCCCTATTCTTGATATTCTTGAATTCAAAAAAAATTTTTTTTTTTGAGACAGTGTCTCACTCTGTTGCCCAGGCTGGAGTGCCGTGGCACAACATTGGCTCACTGCAACCTCCACCTCCTGGGTTCAAGCTATTCGCGTGCCTCAGCCTCCCGAGTAGCTAGGATTACAGGCATGTGCCACCACACTCTGCTAATTTTTGTATTTTTAGTGGAGGCGGGGTTTTCACCATGTTGGCCAGGCTAGTCTCGAAATCCTGGTGATCCGCCTGCCTTGGCCTCCCAAAGTGCTGGGATTATAGGCATTAGCCACCGCGCCTGGCCAAATTCTATTTATTCTATTTCATAGGAGAAAAGGTTATGACATCAGGAAAATTTTCAAAGAATAATATACAGATGCCATATTTTCTAAATACTTATACATCTGAGAATGTCTTTTTGTTGCCTTCCCTATTGTTGGAGCTTTGCAATGAAACCATTTCCTCTCAAAACCCAGTAGGTATTATATCATTAGAAGTGCTTTCACTTATAAAGGAAGTTGATGCAGAAGTACAATTTCACTTTAAAATTAACATATGCTCTTTTATTATATGAAATAAGAAAGTAAACTAAATAAATTCCTTACATCTCGGGTGAAGTTCTTGAGAACCAGCACTTGAGATCTTTATGCAAGCAATGTATTAAGGAGTGCTACCATGAACATTAGAGAGTTAGGGAGAAGTACAGGGAAGCACAGTAAGGCAATCAATGGTGCAATCTCAGTCAGAATTCCATGAGGAATAGCTGCAGTCCTATCCCATAGGAGAATTGAGAAGTGTAGGGTGTGCATCAGTTATACTGACACAATGCAAGGGAATTGTGCTTTCATACACTTGCATCAGCAGTCATTGGCTAGGGGCCAGCTCAGGGGAATGAAATCCCTAGGCACTTCTCAATCTCTACCCATTTAGGCAAAACAGGCTATAACAGCCTGATGGCAGTCCACTGACAACGAGTCATAGGTGCTGGCTTTTGGGAGGGAAAGCACAACCAACCTGGAGGATGCACTAAAGTGATCAAAACCTGGCTCAAAGGGAACTGGGTGCAGCACTGGCAGTCTGCTACACACCCCAAATCATAACCCTACGTATCACCATCCTATAGAACATACCTCTTATATATTCCCAAGCCAGCTATCCATCTATTTTTTTAAAAAATATAGAACCACACAGTTCAAACTGTTAAAAGAAGGCTACTTCAAAGTAGGTGGTATTCTGATTGGCAAGTCCAATGGCGCCTTGCTTTAAATAGCAAGATTAAATCTCAAGAGTTTCTCTGAAGCTGGTGTGAAATTCATGGACTGTCAGAGAAGCCTAGCTTACCTAGTGAGTATGCAGAGATGTCCTCTTTGCAAGGAGCTGGCCATTATTGTGGTAGGGTGGAAGAGAAGCTGTGTGTGGTAAGAAGCAACACCGCTCTTAATCCTGGGGCAAGGGAGAGACATAAGCCTAAAGGATGCCACAAAATTCACTTTCAGCTCTCCTCCCTCATGCTAATTTTGTAATTATTATTCAAATAACATCACCTCAATTCAAAAAGCATACAGGCTGAAACTGAAGTGTCCACCAAGGGGAAGATGAAGGAAGCAGAATCTTCCTGCAGAACTAGAGAAAGATTTATTGTTTCACACACTAGGTCTATCGGGAGGCAGGGCTGAGGCACACAAATTGAACCTGAGGGAATTCACCCAGATTCCTTAAACAAAATGGTTTAGTCCATTCATATTGGTCCATTATATTTTAAAGCTAGCTATTTCTTCTCCATCCACAAGGTCCTGGAGGTTTTCTCTCTACAGACATGGAGCTATAGAAAATCTGGACTCATGGAGAATGGGTTTTTAATGGAGCTCTAACAGAATGCAAGTTGTGTTGAAAGCAGAAAAAAAATTGCACTGCTGTGGAAAACAGAGGTATGGGAGACAGACTTTCAGAAATTTAGCAAAATGATATGGAAAATAATACTATCTGAAGGTCTCTCACAGATAAACATGCTTAAGCATTCATATACCGTTTACAGTGTTTCCTAATATATTCACCAATTCACATCACTGGCTATTTAGTTTTAAGAGTCCAAGATTACAAGCATGATCATTGTAGCCAGAAAGTATGTAAAAACCCTTCATTATTTACAACAGTATCCAGCTCTTATCATTTTCTTAGGATACATTCTGCGAGTAGAATGACCATGTTAAAAATATATACACATTATTAAGAGAATTTTTTAAATCCTGAAAATTGTTTTTCAGTAATGTTATTCAATATAGACTCTATCCTTCAGAGTAACCCACTGTGTAAAATAGACTCCTTTAAAAAAAAACTTTTTAATAGATAACAATGGTATAGAATGTTCTTAACTTACTGTTAAAATTGAACATTTTTATGTTTTCATTTCTTTTCTTTCACAAACTTTTTGGGTCTTTTCTCCATTTTCTTATTGTGATTTTTATTTCTCAATAAATACAATGTACTAATGACCTTAAACACCTGCTTGTTGTATGTGCTGGACATTTTTATTGGTTTGCAATATGTTTTCCAATTTTATCAAACTTTTGTTTTATGACAAGAAAATTAAATTTTATTTTATCAAATTATTATAAGATCATAACTTAAAAAAGTAAAAAAGAATCGCAAGGCTTAGAATTTAAAAAATAGTATCTTACCTTACTCTTTCCTTCCACTCTTACATTTTCCTCTAAAATTTTAGTTATTTATTCCAGTATTTTTTCCATATTTCTAAACAGATTCTTATGGTACTATTTCATGATTTTTAGTGTTTTACAAGATGTAGTGATTTCCTATTTTGGATATTGATAATTCTTTTTTTTTAATGTTTTTCTCAAATCTATGCTACACTTTCTCTCCTTTCATCCTTTCAACACAGTTATATCAAAACAGTTCTGTTAACTCATTAATCAGCATTTATAATATTTTGACTTTACATATTTTTCACAGGTAAGCCTCAGCAAATCTATAATGAGATTTCCTTTCTTATCTCATGTTTTGATACAATTAACAGTTCCTTCTTTTTTTTTTTTTTTTGAGATGGGAGTCTCACTCTGTGGCCCAGGCTGGAGTGCAGTGGTGCAGTCTCGGCTCACTGCAACCTCTACCTCCCGGATTCAAGCAATTCTCCTGCGTCAGCCTTGCAAGTAGCTCGGACTACAGGCATGCACCACCACTCTGGCTAATTTTTTTTTTTTTTTTTTTTTTTTTTTTTTAGTAGAGACGGGGTTTCAACACGTTGGCCAAGATGGTGTCAATGTCCTGACCTTGTGATCCGCCCACCTCAGCCTCCCAAAGTGCTGGGGTAACAGGTGTGAGCCCCTGCGCCCGGCAAAATTGCTTCATTTTTTACTGGCTTCTTACATGACTTGACATGTCACTAACTTGCTCCAAATTCTTTTCCAGGTGGTCTATATATCTGTTGATCACTCAATTCCCTTTTCTGTTCTCCTCAGTTCCACCCTAGCTATCTCTCTGGTACTCTCATCCTCTTGCTTCAGTCCAAACAAGTTACTCTCTGGGCCTGTTACTTTATTGTCCTTCTGGGCCAATTTTATTCTGGAAATGTTCTATCTCATTATTGTTGCTGTTATTTTAATCCCTTTGGCTTAGTCACTTGCTATGGTGGAGCACATCTTCTCAAGAGTGGACTCCTGTACATTTTCTTCCCTTTGTCAATTGCTTTCCTAGGTTTTATATTAATTTTCACTGCCTTATTTTATTTACTAGTTTTTAAAATTATTTTTTGAATTGCATTTTGAAAACTTAAACATTTTGCTTATGATTTTTTTGAGAAAATATATCTTCTGCTTTTAATAGTTTAGCCATATGGGTACACAATTCTACATTAACATCTTTTTCTCAGATTTGGTAAACATTGTAAAATTGTTTTCAGGCACCCAATGTTTATCATAAGAAGTATGGTGTATCATGATTTTCTTCCTCTTGTATGTAGCCTGTTATTTTTCTTTCTTGGAACTTTAAAACTTTGTATTTAGTTCAAATGTTCTGAAGTTTTTCAATGACATGTCTTGCCACTAGTTGTTTCTATTTATAGTGCATATAACCTTATGGGGGTTTTCAATCTGAAAATGCTGCTATATTAAAATTATAGTAAATTTATCCTATCTTCTTCCTCTTTCTTAATTAGGATTTTTTTCCTTTTTTTAGCTTTTTAAGTTTTTTTTATTAGGAATAATTTACTTGGGCATTATACTTTCTAGATACAGTTTCCACTTTTTTCTCTTTTGTTATGGAGATATATCTTACTTGTTGAAGTTACCTCAAATTTACCATGCTGTCATTTTATTAAATATTTTGGAATTATTTTTTACTTTGCAGAGATATTTTATGTACTTTGATTATTTTTTGTAACATCCTCTTCTTTCATAAAGGTGCAACATTCCATCATTCAGAGGGTTTTTAATATGACATTCTTAATTTTTTCCCTGCATTGTCTTGGCTTCCTCTCAATCTCCTCATTGTTGTTTGTTTTTTTTTGTTTTTGTTTTTGTTTTTTGTTTTTTGTAACAGTTTATAGATTTTCCTAGGTCTGGTAATTCCTGTTTATACATAAAATTAAATAACTAAAGAGCTAATTGGAAGCAAAGTGTATTTATAGGATAGGTCAATGGATCAACCTTCCTGACTTTTTAACTGGGATCTTTTCTACTGAGTTTGTTACTATCCTTTATATGGTAAATTGTATCATTCTTAGAATAAAATTTTTAAATATATTCACTTGTGGTTTCTGCATTTTTAAATAGACTGTATTTTTAAAAGGGTTTTAGGTTCACTACAAAATTTAGCACAAGGTACAGAGATTTTCCACATACCCCTTTATATCCGTACATGCATAGACTGTTACATTGTCAACAACTACACTTCAGTGGTACATCTGTTACAATTGATAAACCTAAGCCTCTGTTGACACATCATTATCACCCAAAGCTTGTAGTTTTTATCAGGGTTCACTCTTGGTATTATACATTATACGGGTTTGGGCAAATGCATAATAACATGTATCCACCATTATAGCATCATACAGAGTATTTTCACTGCTCTAATAATTCTCTGTGCTCCACCTATTCATCTGTTGCTACTCCCTAATTCATTGCAACTACTGATATTTTTATTGTCTCCATATTTTTTCCTTTTCCAGAATGTCATACAGTTGGAGTCACATAGGGTCTAGTTTTTTTAGATCAGCCTCTCTTACTTAGTAATATGTGTTTAAGTATTCTTCATGTCTTTTCATGGCTTGATAGTTTATTTTTATCACTGAATACTATTTTATTGTCTGTATGTACAATAGTTTATTTATTCATTTGCCTCCTAAAGGACAAGTGATTGCTTTCACAGTCTGGCAATTATGAACAAAGCTACAATGGCCATCTATGTGCAGGTTTTTGTGTGAACATGTTATCTACTCCTTTGGGTTAATATCAAAGTGTGTGATTACTAAAACATATATTAAGAGTATGTTTCATTTTGTAAGAAACTGCCAAACTGTCTTCTGAAGTGACTGTACCACTTTGCATTCCCAGCAGCAATGAATGAGAGTTTCTGTTGTTCCATATCCTCACCAGCATTTTTGTTGACAATGTTCTGAATTGTGGCCATTCCAGTAGACATGTAGAAGTATCTCTGTTGTTTTAATTTGCATTTCATATGCTGTGGAGCATCTTTTCACATGCTTATTTGCCATCTGTAGATCTTATTGGGTGGGGTGCTCTTAAGGCCTTTGGCCTATTTTTTAATCAGGTCATTTTTGTTATTGTTGAGTTTTAAGACTGCTTTTTACACTTTGAATACAAATCTTTTATTAGATATGGCATTTTCAAATATTTTCTACTAGTCTGTGGATTCTCTTTTTATTCTCTCATAGTATCTTTCACAGAACATTTTAAATTTTAGTGACTTCCAGCTTATAAATTATTTATTTTATAGATTATGCCTTTGGTGTTGTATCTAAAATGTAATCAACAAACCATAGACCACCTAGATTTTCTTTTATGTTATTTTCTGGAAGTTTTATAATTTTGTGTTTTACATTTAGAACTGTGATCTATTTGAGCTAGTATTTGTAAAGGATGCAAAACTTGTGATTATTTCTTTTTCACATGTAAATATTCAGTTGTTCCTGTACAGATGGTAAACTGTCTTTTCTTCATTACATTGCCTTTGTTCTTTTGTCACGGATCGGTTGACTATATTTATGTGGGTCTCTTTCTGGGCTCTCTATTCTGTTCATTGATTGGTATTTTTATCCTTTTGCCAGTACCACATTGTCTTGATTAATGTAGCTGTATAGTAAGACTTGAAGTTAGGTAGTACAGTACTACAAGTTTGTTATTCTGGAATATCTTGTTAGCTATTCTAGGTCTTTGGCTTCTTATTTAAAATAAAAAATAAAATATAAAAACTTTAGAATCAATTTTTTTGAATCCACAAAATAACTTGCTGCAATTTTGATTGGGATTACACTGAATCTACAGATCATTTTGGGAAAAACTGATGTCATCACAATATTGAAAATCTTTCTATCAATGAAAATGTAGTATATCTCCATTTATGTAGCTTTATAACTTATTTTATCAGAGTTTTGTAGTGTGTTTTGTATTCATCTTGCACATACTTTATTTGATTTACACCTCAGGATTTCATTTTGAGGGTGTGATAATATAATGGTATGGTTTTAAATTTCAAATTTCACTTATTCATAGCTGGTATTTAGAAAAGAGATGATACATGTATATTAATATTGTATGCTGCTACCTTGCTATAAATGCTTATTAGTTCCAGAGGTTTATTTGTCAATTTCTTCAGGTTTTCTACATAAGCAAGAATGTCCTCTGTGAACAAAGACAGTTTTATTTCCTTGTTTCCAACCTGTATACTTTTGATCCCTTTCTCATTGTGTAATGCCTCTTTCATTCATGATAAGTTTCCTTGCTGTGAAGTTGGCTCTGTACGAAATTAATATAGCTACTTCTACTTTCTTTAGTCTTAGAATTTTATACCTTTCTCCACCCATTTAGTTTTAATCTCACTATATTTTTATATTTAAAGTGGGTTCTTCTCGAGAACATATTGCTGGGTCTTATTTTTTTTAATCAATTCTGACTTGTAATTTGTATATTTTGTAATCCATTCTGACTTGTAATTTGTTAAATCTGTCTTGTAATTTGTATATTTAGACCACTGACGCTTAAGGTTATTACTGATATAGCTGGATTAATATCTTCCATATTTGTACTATTTTCCATTTGATTTCCTTGTTCTTTGTTTCTATTTTATCTTCCATACTTTTTCTGCTTTATGTGGTTTGAACTGAGCATTTTATGTGATTCAATTTTCTCTCCTTTCTTGGCATATATCAATAGTTTTTACCTTTTTTGGTTGCTTGCCCTACAACTCGCAATATACATTTACAACTAATTCAAATCTGTTTTTAAACAACACTACACAGCTTCATGGGTAATTCTAGTGACTTATAATAACAAAATCTTACCAATTCCTCTCTTCTTGTGCTTATATCATTGCTGTCATTCATTTCATTTATACTTAAGGATACCTACATATATACATATATATGTATTATCTCCCAATATGTTGTTGCTATTATTTTGAACTTATGTCTTAGATCAATTAAGAATAAGACAAATAAGTTTTGTTACCTTCACTTATTTCTCCCCCAGTTTTCTTCCTTTTTTTATGTAGATCCAAGTATCTGCTTTATGTCATTGTTATACTCTTTAAATAACTTCTTTTAATTATTCTTCAAAGGCTGTTCTGCTAATGATAAATCTCTCAATTTTTGTTTGAGAAAGTATTTTACTTTTACTTTTGAAAAATTCTTGCAGGTTATAAAATTCTAGGTTGGTGGGTTTTTCTCTCAACATTTTAAATATTTTACTACATTCTCTTTTTACTTGCATGGTTCCTGAGAAGAAGTTGGATGTAATTCTTATCTTTGTTGCTTCTCTGTAAGGAAGCTTCCAGCCCCCACCACCCTCCACCCTCACCACTGAGCCCCTCCTGGCTTTTCAAGATTTTTTTTTTCTTATGTTTGAACATGTTATATCTAGATGTAGTCTATGTCTGACATTTTTTTCTGCTTGGTGTTTTTCAAACATGCTTGATTTGTAGTTTGGTATCTGACATTAATTTGCTGAAAATCCTCACTCATTTATGTTTCATATATTTATCTTCTTCCTTTTCTCTTCTCTTTCTGAAATTTTATTTTGTGTGTGTTGTACCTTTTGTAGTTGTTCTATAGTTCTTCAATATTTTGTTCTGCTTTTTTTGCAGGGTTTTTGTCCTCTTTGCTTTTCAGTCTTAGAAGTTTTTTATTATAATATTCTCAAGCTGACATTATTTTCTCAGCTTTGTCCAGTCTACAAATTAGTCCAATAAGGACATTCTTCCCTTTGTTACAATGCTTTTGGTCCCAGCACTCCTTTTTGATTACATCGCTTCACTTACATTTTCCATCTGTTCTTGCATGTCTCCTGTGTTTTCCACTAAAAGACCTTAACAGCTTAAGCTTAGTTTTTCAAAATTTCTGGTTTGATAATTCCAACACTTCTGTCACAGTCACATTATTCTGATTCTGACGCTTCTTCGGTCTCCTCAAACTCCGTTTTTTGCCTTTTGGTATGCCTTGTAATTGTTTGCTGAAAGCCAGACTTGATGTACTAGATAAAGCAACCTTGTAAATAGGCTTTTAGTAATGTGGTGGTAAGGTGTGAAGGAAGGTATTCTGTACTTCCACAACTAGGTCTCCCTCTTTCGGTGACCACGATTAGGTCTCTATCTTTGGGTGACCTTGTGCTTTGGAAAGATGATCTTCACCTGTGCCTCCCCACTTTTTTTTTTCCACCCCTTCAGGTGTGACCAGATGCCTGGAGGGTGTGGAGATGGGTATTTCCCTTTCCTCAGGTAGATTAGGCTCCGGTAAAACTTCAGAGGTGAGATTCTGCCTGAATAATTTCTCCTAAGGACAGATCTTGTTAACAAGAACGGAATGCTCTGGTATATTTCAAGATGGTTCTTCTCTCCTCCTACCCCATGTCCCCTTTGACTAGAAGCAAGATGGGTTTTTTAACTCTGATATTCACTGTGAGATAAAGCTCCTGGAGGTGAAACTTACAAAAAAAGTGGGGTCACTGTGACTGGGTCCACCGGAAGATTTTAACTCTCAAGAATTGCCTACACTGAGCTTCAAGCAATTTGTCAATTACAGTTCAGGTTTTCCTACCCAGCACTGGTTCCGGAGGAGGTTGCAAGTTGTCTGAGTTTCTGCTCTAGTAAGTTTTAGTTCTTTGTATCAACCTTTCTCTTTAATTTTTGTGGCAGTGGTTTGCCCTGTGACCTCGCGTCTTTGCTGAATCTACAAAACATTGTTGACTTTTCAGTTTGTTTCACTTTTTACTTGTACTCTTCTTACATGCCAGACCAGAAACCGAAAGTCCATTCCTTTTCTTTTAATTTACATGTGTCAATAATTAAAGTGGGTTTTTTTGTAGCCAACATATATTGATATAGTTGGATTAATATGTACCAATTTTGTTACCGTTTTCCATTTGTTGCCCTTGTTCTTTGTTCTCATTTTGTCTTCCACAATTTTTCTGCTGTGGTTTTAATTAAGCATTATATTATTACATTTTCTGTTTTCTAGTATATTAATTATGCTTTCTTCTTTTACATTTTTTAGCGGCTGTCCTAGAGTTTTCAATATATATTTATAACTAATCCAAGTATATTTTCAAATAATTTTACATTGCTTGAGAGGAACTATAAGTACCTTATAATAATAAAATAATCTGAATTCCTTTCTCTCCTCCCTATATCATTTCTGTCATTCATATCACTTGTATATAAGCATATATATATTTAAATACCTGGTTGCTATTATTATTTTGGACAAACTCTTATCTGTTATATCAATTAAGAATAAGAAAAATAAAAATATCCAGCAGAGGTTGTTGGTTCATGAGGTTTAAAGAAATTATAAAAGATATTATTTATCTTCACTTATTCCTTCTCTAATGCCTTTTTTCTTTATGTAGATCTGAGTTCCTGACCTCTATCAATTTTCCTGTCTCATAAGAGATTCTTTTTATCATTTCTTACTAGTAAGGTCTCCTGGCAACAATATTTTTAATGATATTTGTCTGAAAAAGTCTTTATTTCTTCAGTTTTGAAGAATATTTTCCCAGGGTGCAGAATTACACATTGGTAAGCTTTTCACTTACAATACTTCAAATGAAAATATTTCACTTTATTCTTCCTTGAATGATTTCTAAGAACAAAGGTAGAACTTTTTAAAAATAATCCTTTTATTTAAATAATTAAATAAATCAGATTATATTCATAAAATCTGTTGCAGTTTTAAAAATCAGAAGGGTAGACCTGAATATATTGGCATTAAATATTAAAATTAAAGATACAGACATATCTCATTTAATTGAACTTTGCTTTATTGCACTTAGCAGATACTGTGTTTTATACAAATTGAAGGTTTGTGGCAAACCTGCATTGAGCATCTATTGGCACCATTTTTCAAACATCGTGTGCTCACTTTGTATCTCTGTGTCATATTTTGGTAATTCTTGGAATATTTTAAACATTTTCATTATTATTCTATCTATCATGGTGATCTGTGACCAGTGGTCTTTTATGTTACTGATGTTACTGTAATTATTATTTTGGGGGCAACAGCAATCCCACCTATACAAGATGGTAAACTTAATAAATATTGTGCATATTCTGACAGCTCCACCGACTGGCTATTCCCCTATCTCTCTCCCTCCATCCCACATCCCTATTCCCTGAAACATAACAATATTAAAACTACACCAATTAATAACCCTACAATAGTCTCTAAGTGTTCAAATGAAAGAAAGATTTTCAGGTCTGTCAACTAAATCAAAAGCTAGACATGATTAAACTTAATGAGGAAGGCATATTGAAAGCTGAGAGAGGCTTGAAGCTAGGCCTCTTGCAACAAAAAGTTAGCTAAGTTGTGAATGCAAAAGAAAAGTTCTTGAAGAAGATTAAAAGAGCTACTTAAATGAATACATCAATGATAAGAAAGCCAAACAGCCTTATTGCTGATATGGAGAATGTTTAATGGTCTGGATAGAAGATCAAACCAGCCATAACATTCTCTTAAGCCAAAGCCAGAACAAGATTCTCTCTTCAAATCTATGAAGGCTGAAAGAGGCAAAGAAGTGGCAGAAGTAAAGTTTGAAGTTGTTAGAGGCTGGTTCATGAGAAAGAGAAAGAAAGAAGCCAGCTCCATGACGTAAAAGTGCAAGGTACACAGCATGTGCTGATGTAGAAACTACAGCAAGTAATTCAGAAGATCTGCCTAAGATCATTGCTGAAGGTGGCTATACCAAATAACAGATCTTCAATGTAGATGAAACAGCTTTATAGTAGAAAATGCCCTCTAAGATTTTCCTAGCTAGAGAGGAGAAGTCAATGCCTGGCTTCAAAGGATAGGCTGACTATCTTATCAGGTGTTAATACATTTGATGACTTTGAGTTGAAGCCAATGCTCATTTATCATTCTGAAAATCCTGGTGTCCTTAAGAATTATGCTAAATCTACTCTAGCTGTGCTCTATAAATGGAACAACAAAGCCTGAATGACAGCACATCTGTTTATAGCATGGTTTACCAAATATTTTGAGCTCACTGTTGAGAACTACTGCTCAGTAAAAAAAAGATACCTTTTAAAATATTATTGCTCATTAATAAGGCTGTACATTCAAAGATGAATGTTATCTTCATGCCTGCTAACACATCATTTATTCTGCAGCCCATAGATTAAACAGTTTTGACTTTCAAGTCTTATTATTTAAGAAATAAATTTTGTAAGGCCATAGCTGGGACAGATATCCTTAAATAATAAGACTTGAAAGTTAAAACTACTCCTTGATCTATTGGCTACAGACTGTTGTCAAAATGTCAACACTAATAGAAATTTGGAAGATGTTGATTCCAGTCCTCATGGATAACTTAGAGGGATTCAAGACTTCACTGAAGGAAGTGACTTCAGATTTGGTAGAAATAGTAAGAAAACTAGAATTCCAAGTGGATCCTGAAGATGTGACTGAATTGCTGCAACCTTATGATATAACTTGAATAGATGAAGATTTGCTTCTTATGGATGAACAAAGAAACTGGTTTCTTGAAATGGAAGCTATTCCTGGTGAAGATGCTGTGAACGCTGTTGAAGTGACAACACAGGTTTTAGAGTATTACATGAACTAGTTGATAAAGCAGTGGTAGAGTTTGAGAGGATTGATTCTAATTTTGAAAGAAGTTGTACAGTGGGCAAAATGCTATTAAACAGCATCACATGTTACAGAGAAATCTTTTGTAAAAGAGTTAACTGATGCAGCAAATCTCATTATTGTGTCATTTTAAGAAATTGACACAGCCACTGCAAAATTTACCAACCATCACCCTGATCAGTCAGTAGCCATCAACACTGACAAAAGACCCTCCACCAGCCAAAATATTACAAATTACTGAAGTCTCAGATGACCATTAGCATTTTTAGGTATAAAATATTTTTAAATTAGGTTATTTACATTATTTTTATACACTTAATAGACTACAGTACAGTGTAAACATAACTTTTGTATGAACCGAGAAACCAAAAACGTCATGCAACTCACTTTATTCTGTATTAACTTTATTGCAGTGGTCTTGGAACCACACCCATAATACCTCTGAGGTATGCCTGTATTTAGAGTTAAATGAAGATATTTTTAGAAGAATATGCTATATATGTTTTTATATGATAAACATTGAAATGTAGTAATATGAATATAAATTATATATGTGTGTGTCCTTTATATACCCATGTATACACATACACACATATACAGAGACACAAACATATACACACTTAAAATGGCTGGAAGTATACACATTGAACTGTTAACAGTAGCTAATTTTGAAGAATTGAACATATAGGATGATGCAGCTGGGGAGACACAGTTTTCCTTTTTGCTTAATACAGTGCTGTATTTTAACAATTTAAAGAGTATACATTAATGTGATGATGATTTAAAGCAGTTACCATTTTGAGAACATAAATAGAATTCTGAAGTTGGAATTCCTAAATGGACACCTCATTCTCAAAATAACTGCCACAGAAGAGCAGTAGTTAATGATTACACCAGGAGGGCAACTCTTAGGTTAATAGAAGTACACCATAGACAACTGGAATCTCATTTAAAATACAGAACTCTCAGGAAAAGAAAACACAGCTGACCCTGCTAGGCACAGAGAGCAGAGTGACTATAGCACAGAGGGAGTACATCACAGAGTTATCTCTATGGTCTCTTCAGGGGAAGAGTCCTATGAGCCAACCACACAGCAGGAGGCCATGGTGCAGACTCCATGACAAAGACCGATGAAACAGTCACGTGAAATTAGGTTTCTAAAGGCTTGAGGTGACATTTGATTATGGCTTTTGGAGATAAACTGTAGTAATCTGTGGAATTACATATACCCAGAATTTTGCCTGTATTAACTAATAGTATTTTCTGATTTTCTCTTAAAATTAATTAAAGTAGAAACAATATCAAAGAACATTCAATGAAAAAAATTCTAGCACTTCTAGAATAGATTCCCAGCAAGTTCACCAGATCCGGTCTTCTGGTAAAGAGCTATATAAAATAACTGGAACTTTTGGTGCCAAAGCTGTTTCTTACACAAGGAGAAAAATAGGTACAGACGGTGTCAGATTTTTTATCCTAATTCATTTTCCAGGCTTGTGTACAGTTTCTTACCCCCACTATATTTTCCAGTTCAGTGAATTCTTCAAAGAATTTTTGTATTGTGGAAATGAACATGTATGGTGTTTATTTGTGCTACAAATAAGTATTTTCTTTCAAGTAGGAAAAGAGTGGGAACCCATTTACTTGTTCAAGAGCAATTCAATTTCCTTGTTGACTGTCAAACAAGCCAGGGATGAAATTGATCAATTTCAGAAAAGTAATGAAAAGAATTGGCTAGGGATTCAAAAGGATCTATTTTAGGGGAAAATCAGTATGTAGATATACTTCAGGCTAATAAAATTATGGCCAAACTGAGTAACTACAATTTTTTGATATCAACATTGTTATCAGAAAAATATTTATTGGGTTTTATTACTGTGTAAAGAATAGATTTGAGTGAACATTCTTTGTTGTTCTTCACATTCCAAGATCCTTACGTAATGTAATGTTTCACTCTTCCAATTATTTCAGCTGGCTGCTGCACCGCCAATGAGACTATTGTTGGGTAAAAGCAAACTGTGAATCTATGTGTATAGATGTTTGTCTTTTTTTATTTAACTAGACAATTTTAGAAGTTTTATAGATATTTCTGTTGTGAGGTAGGATAAACTACCGGAAAGAGGTAGGGAGGCAGTTACTGACAACGAGGTAGAGAAAACAGATTAAGGGTTTTGTTAGGTAGAGATTATGATGCCATATTTTAATGTATGACAAAACTAAAATAGCTGGTGGATATTTTTTATGCTGGATCATAGTAGGAAATACATGTTCCCAACTGGTAGTTTGAGGTCATGAAAGGGATTAAAATGTAGTTTGAGGAATACATTTTTTTCTTGCAAATGTTTATGTTGTTGAATTTTTAAAGCTGGAGATTGAGATTATGATAACAATGCATTTGGAAGATTTATCTAGTACTGAGAACAGGGCTGATTGTATAGTAATCAGTGAGAGACAAAGAAACCAGTTTAAAAAGGGATTGTCATAATGGTTGTGTGAGAAGAAAAGCAATTTAACTGAGGTGCTAGAAAGAATAAAAGTATCAAGAGACGGTTTGAAATAATTGTAAAAATGATTTGCTAGAACAAGAAAAAAGGAAAGATAATTTGACTCTTGGTATTAGAGGGTTTTTGATCCTGAACATCAGGGTTCCTGGAACTCAGAAAATCTGGTTTCTCATTCCAGTATGTGGCATTCACTAGCTGTGTGAGAAAGCATTATTTACATATCTTAGACTCTGCAAGTGTCGAAAAGAAGGTGGGGCACTGAACCAGTCTGTCCCATTTCCAGTACAAGAGACCTCAGTCCGGTGTCCCATCACTGAGCCAGACATCATAATGGATCATAAAGCTCTTTTCCATTGGGTACAAATGAAGCCTCATGATCCTTCTCAATTAAGGTCTCTAGACCAGGGGTCCCCAAACCCGGGGCCACAACCACTTCGTGGCCTGTTAAGAACCAGGCCACACAGCACGTGGTGAGTAGCGGGCCGCAGAGCATTATGGCCTGAGCTCCACCTCAGGCCATAATCAGCAGCCGCATTAGATTCTCATAGGAGCACAAATCCTAGCATGAACCACACATGTGAGAGATCTAGGTTGCACGCTCCCTAAGAGTCTAATGCCTGACAATCTGAGGTGGAATAGTTTCATCCTGAAACCATTCCCTCAGCCTTCCCCTACCCCAACATGCTCTGGACGTCTGATACCAACTGAAGGAATTTTGTATTCACAACAAAATCAGATTCTAATGTAGGAACTAGGTTTCAGTGTCTCGTCTTGTTGCTGTGTTATCTCCTGATTTTACTGTTTTCAATTCATGCAAATAGAGAAGCAGGAAAAGGAGAACTGAGAAAGAGAATGAGGCAGAGGAGGCAGGAGACGGGGTGTGTGAGGAAAGCCTGTATTAGTGGGTATTTGTGTTGGTTGGTCAAACTTGAATAGACTTGGTTACTACAGCTACAATCTTCCAGTCAGGATAAGGATGTTTAACAGAATGAAGACTAGGTAAAGATCAAAGAAATGCAAGTCAGCACACTGAGAAACTAACAGGAAATTAACATCAAAATAAATCGATGCCAGAATGAAAGTGTTTTTCTCTTGTGAGGGTTTGGAGGTGAACATTAGCTTCTTTCCCACTCAGAAGGGCAGTTGGGGGATCAGGCATGAGAACAAGTGGCCAAAAGCAGGAGCAATTAGATCCAGAAACCTGGACACCACAAAACAATTCACAGAGATAAGGGATGTCCTTTCACCACTTGATGTCTCGTTATGATACTTCTTGTCTGAGTTGATGCTTGATTAATACACATATTTGAATACTTGATTAGAAGTCACTGTTGGTGCCCCTCCCAGAGGGGCTGCTGCAAGGGCTTTGGCTGATGGACACACACACACACAGTTCTATTTTTAATGGCCTGCTTTTTTTCCAGTGAAGAAAACCCAAGTCAATACAATTCTAATTTTGTAGCCTGCAGACTAATGGCTATGATATAGTATATAATTATTGCAATAAGCTATTTCCATAGAGGGCTTTACAGCCTGTCTTTAGTGTAAATGAAGGTGATATACAAGTGGAATTAACTGAAGTTTTCTGATTTTAGGGAGACTTTGGGTTTGTGTAAGCAAATCCCATCTCATTTTGCCTTCATTAATAAATTCTTTCCCTATTTTCATTTTTAATGAAGAAAGAACTTTAATAAAAAAGTTTTATTAAATTCTATACTAAATGTTAATTGAACAGACTAATAATCCAGATATTACAGGTTTATTTAAAATATATCACATCTCTTAATTATAAGAAAAGTAACTATATAACAATATGACTATTAAGCTAGTTACTATGTCAAACGGTCTTAACTCTTAAATTGCAGTATCTCAATTTATTTCTTCAGCTACATAGAATATGTTTGCCTCTTCTCATACAGTTGTATCCTCTAATTAGGTCCTCATTATTTTGTGAAATTCTTATTATGTCTTCTCAATCTTCTTCGGTCTTACAATAAAGCTGATGGTTTTCAGTATTGTTTAGAAACAGGTATGTGATTCCCAGGCAATAGCTTTTTCTTTCATCTTACCCTCTCTCTCTTCTACTTTGGTACATGCCAGCATTCCTAACTAATGATGCCGGATCAGGATCTACCCTTGTTTCACGAAAACAATCTATTAACCTTGGAACTTCATGCAATTACTCAACTTACTCAGACTCATTACCTATTTTTACCTTGTCTGTTTCTTCATATTTCTATAAATTGATTGATTATCATCAGAATCAGGGACCTCATCTACTAGTCCTGCTAACAGTGAATACATTCCTCATGCTGACCCTCATTCCATATATGTAGATATATATTTTTCCCTACTTCGTATATATTAGGGATGCTATTGAATTTGGCTTTCTTCCTTATTCTATCAATCCCATTTAAAAAAAATTTCATTTTTAAATCAAATCCATGCATTTATGTGACATATTCTTCCAATTGATCCTAAGAATATCATCTCTTTAATCATCTTGTCCTCTGAGACACTCTCTTTAATTGTATGTTTTGAGATCCTCAGGTTGAAAGAATGAGAGACAATTAGAGAGACAATAGAAAAAGTAAAAAACACTTGAAGACCTAGGACAAACACACAGACAGATTAAAAATATGATAAGTGTGGTGACAGAGGTGCCTATGTGGTATTATAAGGTACTTGGAAGGGACTTTTCAGTGGTCTATGAGGTAGGAAAAGAAAAAGAGTGATGATAATCAATGGGAAAACTAGTATTTCCATGCCTAATAGTGAAAAGTATAAATCAATACAAGTTGTCTGAAAGGCGATTTGTCAATTTATATTCACAATCTTAAAGTGGTTTTTACCCTTTGAAAGACTTCTAGGAAAAATTGGCCCTAAGGCTGTAATGTGATAATTTTCACAGATACTTGGATAAACGTTGTCTCAGTAAACCACTTACTTTCTACTTTTAAAACATGCTGACATTTTTTTTTTCAAGCCTGGTTTCACATTCACCCTGTCCATGATGCCTGTTTTTCAAGCCTCAACTGCTACTTCCTGGTTTCTTATTTACTCTGTCCATGCTAGCCAAACTAATATTCCTGATACTTTATTCCTAAATTGCTAAACTTTCTTTCCCTTGCTTAAGAACCTGTTGTGCATGTCCATTAGCTAAAGCATCTACTTCCAAATGTATCTGGCTATTTTCCCTGCTCTCTTTGACTCCTCTCACTCAGGGATATGTCTCATTACTTTTCAGAATGATTCCTCTAAATCTTGTTCACTTATTTTATTGCCTATTTAGACCAGATATCTTCTGTTTGCCCTTCCATAAAGACTTCCCACCCATGTCCATGTTGCTCTTCACCATCAAAGGCTAATCTGCTTGGGTAAGTCACAGGCTCCTATGTCTACTGGCCATCTGTAGGGTTTGGCTAAAGGGGATATCTGGTAGGAGGTTAGAGGTTAGTGAGGTTAAGGGTATATATTTCCTCCTGATTAGGCTGCTTTTTCCCCCTTGAGGAAGAACTCTGTTTTTTTGCAAGATGGGCTGCTTAATGTAAGATGTTTTTGTGTGTCGGTGGAGGGGGATGGTTCGTATAACCTCTGCCACTCCTCATGCCTTCACACCCAGCATGGTAACAGCACTGCTGCAACTAGCTTTGTGCTATTGCACTATCCTTTGCCTCAGCTTACACGGCTTTGTAATTAGATCATCTGTAAACAAGCATTCTTCAAATTATTCTAATTTGAATGTGTCCTCTTTCAGGGGGGATATGATTAATATATTACCCTTCTCCGGGAGTGGTTTTTGTTTTTCTGTTTCTTAAGCTCCTTGGGTAGATTCTAATATGCAATGTTGATGAACTTGTAGAACATAATAAGGATTTTGGGCTGTATCCTAAGAGCAATAGGTAATGGGAAACCAATAAAAGGTTTAAAGTGGAGCAAGATGTTATTTAAGATTTGTTTTGAAAGTATCACTTTGGTTAGTATAAACTTGATTGATAGAGAGGCACAAGGAGTTAGGGAGATATTAGTAACTTTGATATTGTCAAGCTAACTGTGTTCTGCTTGATTGGATAGGAGTCTAATCATTGGATAGAAGGAATGTAAAAACTAAAGAATTTTTGTATTCCTTTATATTTATCCAAAGGAGCTGAAAGCTTATGCACACACAAAATCTTTCACATGCATGTTCATAGTTGTCAAAACTTAGAAGCAACCAAGATGTCTGCCAGTAGGTGAGTGGATAAATAAATTAGGGTACATCCAAATAATGGAATATTATTCAGCACTAAAAATAAATGAGCTATCAAGCCATGAAAAGACATGGAGGAAACTTAAGTGTACATTGCTAAGTAAAAGGAGTCAGTCTAAAAATGCTAACTACTATATGATTACAACTACGTAACATTCTGGAAAAGGTAAAACCATAGAGACAATAAAAGAATTCATGGTTGTCAGGGTATAGAGGGGAGGGAAGGATGAAAAGGCAGAACACAGAGGATTTTTGGAGGCAGCGAAAATACTCCGTATGACGTTATAATAGTGGATAATGCAATTATACATTTGTCCATACCGTAGAATGCACAAATCCAAGAGTGAACCCTATGAAATCCAAGAGCTTTGGGTGATAATGATGTCAGTGTAGGATTATCAATTGTAATAAATGTACCACTCTGGTGGGGGATGTTGATAATGTAAGAATCTATGCTTGTGTGGGGCAGAGGCATATGGGTTATCTCTGCTCCTTCTGCTCAGTTTTGCTGTGAATCTAAAACTGCTCTAAAAAAATAAAGCCTTTAAAATAAATTAACAAACAATAACAACAACAAACACATATAAAAACAAAGAAAATCTAAATGATTGAATAAGAGATTGTATATCACAATAAGGGTAACTAGGCATTCTTGATAGTGTATTGGCCCCCTAAGGGTTCTTATGCCCCAATCTCCAGACTCTGTGACCACATGACAAGAGGGAGTTAAGGTTGTAGATAGAATTAAGGTTTCTAATCAGCTGCCCTTAAAATGAAATTGTCCTAGGTTATCAGTGTGAGTTTAATGTAATCACAAGGGTTTAAATGTAGAGAAGGAAGGCAGAAGAGTCAGTGTAAGAGAGCGATTTGAGGGTACTGCACAGCTGGTTTTGAAGATGGAAGGGCTATGAGCCAAGGAACCTAAGCAGCCTCTAGAAGCTGAAAAAGGAAATGAATTCTCCTTCACAGCCCCCAGAAGGAATGCAGCCCTGTCAATACTTTGACATTAGCTCAGTGAAACTTATTTCAGATTTCTGACTGCCAGAACTGTAACATAATAAATTTGTGTTTTTCTAAGCCACCAAATTTGTGGGAATTTGTTACAGCAGCAATAGGAAACTAATGCACTAGGTTTCTCGCTTGTGCACCACCTGGAGAGTAGTATTTATTGGCATAAGGGGCATCGAAAGAGAAAGAGGTTTGAGGGTAAGAAGAAAAATTAAATTTGAATATCCCCAAAGATGTGTTTAGAGATCTCAAGTAGGCATATAACTACATGAAAATAAGGTATAGAGGTATATGTTTGGGAATAATATTAGCTTTTACTGATTGGACACCCCAGACACTTTCATAAGCTCTCTCTCTCTCCCTCAGTACATGCAAAATCTTAACAACATTTTAATGTTGACCTGTTAACAAATGAGAAAATAGAAGGCCTATAGGGGCTTACAATCCTATAGCTGGTGGAATGTGTACACTGATGACCCTTCACCTTTACACAAGATAGTCTACGCCAATGCTTGTAACCACTAGATAAGTTGAGACTTTCTGTGTATAGATGTAACTGAAGTGTGGGAAAGAAGGAAACTGAGCTTCTCTAGAGATTTTAGAGGGAGAGAGAAGGAAAGTTCAGAACTGAGCCTTGAGAAACTACTGCAGTTAATGACCAATAAGAAAGAATGACCCCTCTAGAGAGGGGAGGAGACCCAGAAGGAATATTTAAAGAGGTAAGGAGGAACTCCAGAACAGAGTGCTATCCCAGGACCTGAGGAAAGCAGAGATTTATGAAGAAACGAGCAGCCAGCAGTATTAAAGACTGCTAAGATGTCAACCAGG
The DNA here is from genome assembly GCF_000001405.40 of Homo sapiens. NCBI lineage: Eukaryota > Metazoa > Chordata > Mammalia > Primates > Hominidae > Homo > Homo sapiens. The sequence goes on along the minus strand of NC_000003.12, from coordinate 35,517,417 downwards.
AGGAGGATTAAGAAAGGGAAACCCAAAAGTTATGGCAACAAAAGCCAAAATTGACAAATGGAATCTAATTAAACTAAAGAGCTTCTGCACAGCAAAAGAAACTACCAGCAGAGTGAACAGGCAACCTACAGAATGGGAGAAAATTTTTACAATCTACTCATCTGACAAAGGGCTAATATCCAGAATATACAGAGAACTCAAACAAATTTACAAGAAAAAAACAAACAACCCCATCAAAAAGTGGGCAAAGGATATGAACAGACACTTCTCAAAAGAAGACATTCATGCAGCCAAAAGACACATGAAAAAATGCTCATCATCACTGGCCATCAGAGGAATGCAAATCAAAACCACAATGAGATACCATCTCATACCAGTTAGAATGGCAATCATTAAAAAATCAGGAAACAACAGGTGCTGGAGAGGATGTGGAGAAATAGGAACACTTTTACACTGTTGGTGGGTCTGTAAACTAGTTCAACCATTGTGGAAGTCGGTGTGGCAATTCCTCAGGGATCTAGAACTAGAAATACCATTTGACCCAGCCATCCCATTACTGGGTATATACCCAAAGGATTATAAATCATGCTGCTATAAAGACACATGCACACGTATGTTTATTGCAGCACTATTCACAATAGCAAAGACTGGGAACCAACTCAAATGTCCAACAATGATAGACTGGATTAAGAAAATGTGGCACACATACACCATGGAATACTATGCAGCCATCAAAAAGGATGAGTTCATGTCCTTTGTAGGGACATGGACGAAGCTGGAAACCATCATTCTCAGCAAACTATCACAAGGACAAAAAAGCCAAACACCGCATGTTCTCACTCATAGGTGGGAATTGAACAATGAGAACACATGGACACAGGACGGGGAACATCACACACTAGGGCCTGTTGTGGGGTGGGGAGAGGGGGGAGGGATAGCATTAGGAGATATACCTAATGTAAATGACGAGTTAATGGGTGCAGCACACCAACATGGCACATGTATACACATGTAACAAACCTGCACGATGTGCACATGTACCCTAAATCTTAAAGTATAGTAAAAAAAAAAAAAAAGAAAGGGAAACCGAATTTTAGCTTGGCTAATATGTATAAAAGACTGCTGGCATCTTCACATATTGACTCCCATTTTATATTAGCAATTTATCGTATTTAACTGTCTATAATGAAAATTTTCAAAGGCACATAAGTGGAGAGAATGGCATAATGAATCTCCATATATACATCACCAGACATAACACAAACATTTTGCCATTTTTTCTGAAATATTTATTAAAAATTCTGATATCATGCCATGTCATCCCTCAATATTTCAGTTTGTGTTTACATCATATAAGGATACTTCTTTATACAACCACAGTGTCATTGTCAACCCCAGCCAAATTAATAATACATTATTACAATCTTATATCGTCTATATTTTTTTCTGTTGTCTCAAAAATATTGTTTTTCAATTGGCCTATTTAAATTTTAATAAATTTTAATAATCATAGATATATCTAACTATGAAAGGTGTATTTAATTAGTTTATTTGCATTTAGTTATTTATAAAATGTATTTTTTTATCTTCATTTGTTATTTGTGCTTCCTTTTTCAGTGTACTGACTTCTCATGTTGTCTATATTTTCTTTACAGGGTACCTGTTTCTTGCTACCTGTAAAAGCTCTCTGTCTGAATATATTTTTATCTTTAATTATAAATTAATTATAAAAATATAAATACAAAATATATATTTTATATTTATATTATAACTTTAGTTTCTCACCTGTCTTTTTACTAAATCTGTTTTTAGTATAAACATATTTGATTTTACATCAAAGTTTTTTCTAGAATTGATGTTAGAAATGTCTTCCTGTCTCAAAGAAAACACAAACACGTCACACATGCTTTCTTTGAATTCTTTGAAACATTTTATTATATCGCACACTTTAACATAGCAACTATTTTAGTTGAAAGAGTGAGAAGGTTTCATGGTTTTTTCTTCTTCTCCAAACATAGACACTTACATCACTTGTTTAAAATAACACCTTTATCAGTACTTATTCCAATATTTATTTGAGATTATATTTGAAATCTTAGTTATTTCATTAGTGTTTATGTTTCTTCCAGTACTAGAATCAAATAATTAAGCTTTAAATGTTCTATATCTGGTTGATATCTTCCCTCTTTGTCACATTTATTTTTATTTTTTTTACCTGCTATTCTCATATTTTCCTATCAGTTTTACTATATTATTTTCTAGTCTATTTCTCTCCTCATTCTTCACCCCTATATTTTACTTTCTCTGTTTTCATGTCTCTCTTCTCTCTGCCATTTTCTCACACACAAACACACATGCACACACACCCACACATGCATGCTGTCACCTTCAAACTCATGTATACAATAATAAATGAATATGCTTCTTATAAATGTACTTGAAGTGAAAAGGTAAGAATTATGGCAGGAAGTACTGATGTCTTGGTAATGTTGTCCTCTTATCCAAGACCACTTAAGTGATTTTTTTATTCAAACTTTCTTTGATATTCTTAAGTAATGTTTTAAAAATACTTCTTTATATGTTACTAACTTCATTCTTAGGCATATTACCTTTTGTGTTGCCAACATTAAAGAAATATCTTCTCTCATTATGTTTTATCATTTTAATTGTTTGCAGAAATAAAATATTTTGATTTTCTATATCAATTTTATGAACCAGATAATCTCTTGGTTTTCTATTTTTTCTTATTTTTCCTAGTGTTTTCTAGGCATCTATTCATAATATCTTCAAATAATTTTTCTCTTTCAACCCAATATTTATATATCTTATTTTATACTCTTAACTAACATCTCAACTAGTATATTCCTAATACAGTAGTTGCTAAGTTATAGTGTAGGAATTTTTTAATGTTTCCCAGAATTATGTATATATGTGTGAAAGAGAGGAAGAATAAGAGAGATCATATCAAGATTGTCCATTTATTTATATTTTATTACTGTTGAATATTTAAAAAATCATTTTAGTAACCTTTAGAGTTAAATTGATTTTTATTTTCCTAAAAAATACACCAAGACTTTACAACTTTGTATATGATTTACACTATATATTTTTATTTCTGTAGATGGGATTATTTACCTTTTCTTTTTCACTGACTTTCACTGTTTTTTTCTTTTTAAATCTGCTTCAGAAAGCCAGATGTCATTAGATTTAAAAATCATCAGTGCCTGAATTTATATATCAAGGTTACTTTTCAATTGATCTCAAAGAAGTAGAGAATAGAATAGTGGTTACCAGAGACTGGGGAGGGTAGGAGGATAGAGTGGATGGGAAAATGTTGAGCAATGAATACAAATATACAATTAGAAAGAAAAAATAAATTTTTGTGTTCTATCACACATTAGGGTGACTATAGACAACAATAAAGTATTATACATAGAAAAATTACTAGAAGGAAGGATTTTGAATGTCCCACCTCAAGGAAATAATAAATGTTTAAAATGGTGGGTATGTTAACAACCTTGATTTGATTACTACATAACAAATATATATATTGAAATATCACATTGTAGTCCATAATTATGTACAATTATTATGTGTCAATTTAAAAATGTAAAAAAGTCTATTTGTCATTACTTTACTATATTTTAATTCATTAATGTTCATGGTTTTTTATTCCTGGTTTCCTTCTGTTTTCCTTATTGTGTTCTTTTTCATTATAATTTTGAAATAAAATTGTTTATTTTCCTCTTTCTTGTTTAATAATGCAAGTTTTTAAAACTCTACAATGTTATTTCATGCAGAGTCTTAAATACTTGGTTTTATATTCAGAAACTAATGTTGCTATTTGTTGGTGTAAGGTTGAGATTTTGATTTTTTCTTTGATGTAAAAATTGTTTAAGAGATAATTTTAAAATATTTCTGAATAAGCATCTAAAACTTTCTGTGTTATGATTTATTGTTTTATTATATTGCAGTCTATAGCATTTCTATTTAGAACAAAAAAATGTGTAATTCTCTAACTACATTATCTGTATGTTCAAATATATTTTGGGTAGCTTATCCTTGACTAATTTTATAACCTCTCTATGCTGTGTGTGTCTCTTGCTAAGAACGGCATAGCAGTGGTAAAAGAGAAGGTAGCCAACGTTTTAGGGTTTTGATTATAGAACGCTTAATCATCATTGGAAAAGAAGCTGTCAAAAATCATTTTCCATGTGTTTTTATTAATGATTAGTTTAGGGGGAACTTTCTCTGTGCTAGTGAGCATTTCTCCCAGCCAGGGCAAAAAAAAAAAAAAAAAAAAAAAATTTTTCTTCTCCTTTGAGTCATTAATTATCCATAGTGGCAGGTACTTTTTTTATTTTTTCTAAAGAATCTTTCAGTTTTTTTACATCTGAGCCATAATTTCAATTTCCTCCATTTACATAATTTCTTTCTGCTTTATTTTTTCCTTAAGGATTCAGATAGCAAAATTGTATTATGTGAGGTCTTACACTGTTGGTACATTTTAAATTCATATTTGGTATGTTGTATTAGGTTTCGAAATACCTAGTGTAAACCTGCTTTTATGCCATTATTTTCTTCCACATTGAATTATCCCTTTTTTGTTATCTTGTTCTTGGTCATTAAGCAATAAGAAAGACTAATCAGGAAAGCTATAATTTTCATCATGGTCCTTGATGGTCCTTGAGCCCATTTAAATGATTCCTGTATATCCCAAGAAACCCTTTGTCACAGTACAGATACTAAGCGCCATCTTGTCAAATTATTGTTCTCCCCTGTTATAACAGAGTAACTATCCACATGAAATGGTGACAGTTGGAGAGAACATTATGGTAAAGACATTATAAATTAGTTCGGTAAGAAACATTTATTGAATCCTTACTATGGGATATGACTTAGGAAATGATGAACAAAATAGACATAGCCCTGATGCAGTTTACATCTAGTGAAATAGACTGGCGTTAACCATATATTAAGACAAAGAACAGAAAATTCCAATCATGTTAATTGTTAGCAAAAAAGAGGGACACGTTGCTTTGAAATGCTTTAATGTTGGGATTAGATCTTATCTGGAAAATCAAGGAAGGCTATTTTGAACAAGTAAAAATTGAGCTAAGGGCTAATGAAATAGAGTTAACCTAGGAAAGAAAGTGAGTTTGTGTGTTAGGGGAGAGTGTTTTTAGTATTTTAGGTAAATGGAAGAATATGTGCATAGGCATTGTGGTGGAAAAGAGCATGTTGCATTGAGGAACTGTGAAAAATGCCAGACCAGCTAAAATAAAAGACCTCAGGTGTGGGTGGTGGACATGATATAAATTAAAGGCAGAAGCAGGTGTAAGCAGAATTGTTCAAGATTCTATAGAACATTTTACAAAGTTTGTACTTTATCCTAAAGTGATGGAAAATAATAAGAAAGAAATTGAAAGGAGAAAGATTTTTGAAAATACAATTAAGCTGCTGGGTGAATAAAGGATTGGAAGAATGAAGGATACGTTATATTCTGTAGTAAACTACTCATCACCCTGCTAAACTCCATCTATTTTTTTTTTCCAGATGTGGCATCTTATTTTCTTCAGCATCCACCTGTCTATCTTGATTTGTCCAGGCTTTCCTAATGCATTAGTGCTTCAGTCCGTTCTCCAGGTTGAGATAGCAATCCCTCATATCACTTTGGAATAAGTTGGTAAGTGTTCTAAGACAAAACGCTTTGAGACTATCACAGGGTGCTTCTGTTTAATAGAGAGCAGATTCAAGAGCTGTATAATTGCTTAACATAAGTTATTAGGGAGTAGAAACATTGCCTAAATTTCCAGGTTCCTGATTCTTAAGTAGGTCACCCAGACTTCCCCCAACTTTTGACTGAAGACATCCTAATTATTATGAGATGAACCTAAGATAATTTGAAGCCTATAAGCTAATTTTTCAGAGAATAACATGGTTTGGAGTGAAATAATAAAAATCCCTTATTTAATTTAACATTAGCAAAATGGTAAAGCAATTCTTCATTTAGTACCAATAAGCCCAACACAATTAATAGTGGAGAAAGAAACTAAGTTAATATGGAAAGTATACATTGTGAAAGTAGGTATTGTTGATTCCAAAACTAAACAATGCTTTGTTAGCATAGCTTGATTTACCATATATAATTATGCATAGTGATGGCACTCTTATTTAATATAGAAACTTCATTAATTGTAACATCATATGCTCCATAATCTAAATTGTAGTGGGTTTTATAGAGTAAGAACCTATGTGATCTTTTTGAATGAATGCAGTTATTTCTGAATATTTTGGCTGAACTTTCAAGAAGTAGTCTAAATTAATGAGCCCTGGTTGTTTGAAGAAATTAGGCTTGTCCAAGGCACAATGGAATAAAAATAAATGATCATTCTCCCTGAAAAATTCATTCTGCAGATACATAATAATGAAATCTCAGACTAAGGCCCAAGTAAAGAATTTTATTGCCAGTCTAGTAGGCCCCAACTTAAGTTAGTTGTATTCAACGGGATGTATAAATTCATTATTTCAATACTGTATTTTATTAGTTAAAGCTCCAAAATATTTGGACATATCTTCAGAGCCTCAGGTTTTCAATTCAGTTGGCTGTTTTTTTCTATAAGCATATCATTGTTTCTTTAAATTATTTAATATTAGAAAACACCATTCACTCCAAGGATTCTAGTGGCATTACTTAGTTAAAATAATAACACACAAGTCATAATAGATGTCATGATGTGGACAGTTGGCTATGATCAGCACTCATCTTGGATACCAGCTACCCCAACGGAAGAAATTCATAGCAAAAGCGCTATAGCAGGACAAATGCAAGTTAAGAGAGAAAAGAAGAGAAAAAGCAAAGAAAAGGAAGAAAAAGAAGAAAAATTAATTTTATTGTCACCTTGCTCTAACTATAAAATATATTAAATATATACATATATTTGTGGTAGACATACTCTAAGGTGGTACCCAAGATCTCTAGCTCCTGGGATTTATGCCCTATAAATTTTCTGCCTTTTTAATGTAGATGGAACCTGTGACTTGCTTCTGATCAATAGAGCATGGCAAAAATAATGGATGTCACTGTCATGTGAATGTTTCATAAAACCAAAACCCATATTGCTAGGGGACACTCTCTCTGGCAGTCTTTGAGGAAGCAAGTTGTTATCTTTCTAGGAAGGCCCTCATGACAAGAAACTGATGAAGGCTTCCAGTTGACAGCCAGCAAGATATAGAGGTCCCCAGTCCAGTAGCCCATAAGGGACTAATGGCCATCAACAACCACATGACCTTGAAAGCGAATATTTCCTCAACTGAGCTTCAGATGAGGCTGCAGGTCCTGCCAGTACTTCAACTGCAGCCTTGTGAGATCCTGAAGCAGAGATTCCAGCTGAGCTTTTCCAACATCCACCCAAATAGTGAGACAATACATGTGTTTTTTTCTTTTTTTTCAGTCACTATTATACAGCAATATACAAGAAAACATTCAATATATTTATATAAATATATATTTTAAGTATAAAATATGTCAGACATCATAATAGGTTGTTTAATTACTACAATATTTAATCTGAAAAATGAGCAAAAGTATATAACTCAAAAGAGGGGGATTTACGTTATTCAACACAAATTTGAGTGTGTTGTATTCTTGTATTTCTGGGAGAAGCCAAACTTGGTCATGTAACTTTAAATTTAGAAGAATAAATGTTTTTGGTACAATGGTAGCCTTGATTTTTAATATAGTGTTTAATAATTTTATAGTTATGTAGCTAAGTTGATTTTATTTGAATGAGAAAAGCCAGAGAATGACACAAGAAAAAGGAGAACACAGATGCACTGTCACTTTTGATTTATTTGAAAATATCTTCATTTGGTATTTATTCTTTAATAATGTTGGACATAAAATTCCAGATGATTTTTTTCCTCATAATTTTAGAGAAACTTTTTGACTCTTTTTTTTTTTTGCTTTGGAGATATCTTCTGTATCATTTCTGTAATCTAGTTTACTTCCTCCCTTTAAATATTTATTATTTATTTATTTATTTTAGTATTCTACACTTTTCCTTAGGAGTAAATTCATTTTTATTTACTATGCTCGAGATTCATTATGCTTTGTAAATCTAAGAATTTATGCTTTTTATTCAATTCTAGAATGGTGTATGCCTTTTTCTATAAATATTTGAATACTGTTTTGCTTCCATTAACTGCATTCTCTTGTCATGCAACACTCATTAGACACAGTTAAGTTTTATTACTACGTCCTCCTCTCCACTTCTCTCAAATTTTCTCATGTATTTAATATTTAAAAATTCATATCTCTAAATAATTGCCTTAAATATATCTTTTACATCATCGATGACTTTACATATTTTATATGTAAATGTTTAAATGTATGTTTGCCTACATATGTCTATATACATATGTATTTAATTATAGAATTTTGTTTTTTTCTCCTCTCGTTGATATTTTCTCATAGTGTTTGATTCATTTCTTAATATTTTTAGCTTTAACCTTTTTATCCTATTTTAACAGATTGGTTAATAATCAAAATCACCTGAATAACAATAACATTGTTATATTTTATAAATAAATATATATATATATATATACTTTTATTCATTTATCTTCTTATTGTGATTTGGATCTTGACCCATGTTTGGAAGGGATTTATCTATGAGGATCTTGTAGATCCTAGGCTAAGGAGTTACCTTTCCAAAAGGATGTATGCTTGCCTCCAGCAAGTGCCCAGGCGTATGGCCATTTTTATGTTAGTTTCTTTGCTAAGAGTTTCCAGACCACACAGTTTGTTTACATTGGAATCTCAAACTCAGGAAAGGTGACTGTGACATTTAAGACTCTAAGGACATTTTGTTTTTGTCTACACGGAACCCATTCAGATTGGAACACTATCGTCCTTTCCCTGTGCCAGCTAAAAGATGTTTTGCCCTTTTTTAAGAAAAAAAAATGTATTTTTTTATTTTGAGACTTATTTTTTCTTTTTACTTTAAGTTCCGGGATACATGTGCAGAACATTCAGGTTTGTTGCATAAGTACACATGTGCCATGGTGGTTTGCTGCACATATTAACCTGTCATCCAGGTTTCCTCCCCTCATCTGCCACCTCCCAACAGGCCCCAACATGTGTTTTTTCCCTCCCTGTGTCCATGTGTTCTCATCGTTCAACTCCCACTTATAAGTGAGAACATGTGGTGTTTGGTTTTCTGTTCCTGTGTTAGTTTGCTGAGATGATGGCTTCCAGCTTCATCCATGTCCCTGCAAAGGACATGATCTCATTCTTTTTTACAGCTGCATAGTATTCCATGGTGTATATGTACCACATTTTCTCTATCCAGCCTATCATTGATGGGCATTTGGGTTAGCTCCATGTCTTTGCTATTGTAAATAGTGCTGCAATAAACATACGTGTGCATGTGTCTTTATAGGAGAATGATTTATATTTCTTTGGGTATATATCCAGCAACGGAATTGCTGGGTCAAATGGTATTTCTGGTTCTGGATACTTGAGGAATCGCCACACTGTCTTCCACAATGGTTGAACTAATTTATATTTGCACCAGCAGTGTAAAAGCATTCCTATTTCTCCATAGCCTCACCAGCATCTATTGTTTCTTGACTTTTTAATAATCACCATTTTTGACTGGCATGAGATTGTATCTCATTGCAGTTTTGATTTGCATTTCTCTAATGATCAGTGATGTTTAGCTTTTTTTTATGTGTTTGTTAGCTGCATAAATGTCTTGTTTTGAGAAGTGTCTGTTCATATCCTTTGCCCAGTTTTTGATGGAGTGGGTTTTTTTTTGTAAATTTGTTGAAGTTCCTTGTAGCTTCTGGATATTAGACCTTTGTCAGATGGGTAGATTGCAAAAATTTTCTCCCATCTCCCATTCTGTAGGTTGCCTGTTCACTCTGATGACAGTTTCTTTTGCTGTGCAGAAGCTCTTTAGTTTAATTAGATTCCATTTGTCAATTTTGGCTTTTGTTGCAATTGCTTTTGGTGTTTTCATCATGAAGTCTTTGCTTATGCTTATGTCCTGAAATGTTATTGCCTAGGTTTTCTTATAGGTCTTTTATGGTTTTGGGTTTTACATTTAAGTCTATATTCTATCTTGAGTTAAGGTTAGTATTTTTATGTGTGAATTTGACCCTGCCATCATGATGCTATCTGGTTATTTTGCACACCAGTTGATGCAGTTTCTTCATAGTGTCATTGGTCTTTATATATTGGTGTGTTTTTGCAGTGGCTGGTACGAGTTTTTTGTTTCCATATTTAGTGCTTCCTTCAGGAGTTCTTGCAAGGCATGTCTGGTGGTAATGAAATTGTTCAACAGTTGCTTGTCTGGAAAGAATTTTATTTTTCCTTCGCTTATGCAGCTTAGTTTGGCTGGATGTGAAATTCTGGGTTGAAAATTCTTTTAAGAATGTTTAATACTGGTCCCCACTCTCTTCTGGCTTGTAGGGTTTCTGCTGAGAGATCTGCCGTTAGTCTGATGGGCTTCCCTTTGTAGGTGACCTGGCCTTTCTCTCTGGCTACCCTTAACATTTTTTTCCATCCTCTTGACCTTGGTGAATCTGAAGATTATGTGTCTTGGGTTTGGTCTTCTCCTGGAGTCTCTTAGTGGTGTTCTCTGGATTTCCTGAATTTTAATGTTGACCTGTCTTGCTAGGTTGGGGAAGTTCTCGTGGATAATATCCTGAAGTGTGTTTTCCAGCTTGGTTCCATTCTCCCTGTCTCCTTCAGGTACTCCAATCAATCATAGGTTCAGTCTTTTTACATGTCCCATATTTCTCAGAGGCTTTGTTTGTTGCTCCTTTTCATTCTGTTTTCTCTAATCATGTCTGCATGCCTTATTTAAGCAAGGTAGTCTTCAAACTCTGATAACCTTTCTTCCACTTGGTCAGTTCGGCTATTGATACATGTGTATGCTTCACAATGTTCTTGTGCTGTGTTTTTCAGCTCCATCAGATCATTTATGTTCCTCTCTAAACTGGTTATTCTAGTTAGCAGCTCCTCTAAGCTTCTTTAAAGGTTCTTAGCTTCTTTGCATTGGGTTAGAATATGCTCCTTTAGCTCAGCAGTTTGTAATTACCCATCTTTTGAAGCCTACTTCTGTCAATTCACCCATCTCATTCTGTGTCCAGTTGTTTGCCCTTGCTGGAGAGGCGTTGTGATCATTTGGAGGAGAAGAGGCACTCTGGCCTTTTGGGTTTTCAGCTTTTTTTCAATGATTCTTTTTCATCTTCATGAGTTTGTCTAGGTTTGATCTTTGAGGCTGCTGACTCTTGGATGGGGTTTTTGTGGGGACTTTTTGTTGTTGATGATGCTGTTGTTGTTGCTTTCTGTTTGTTTTTCTTCAGTGGTCAGGTTCCTCTTCTGTAGGGTTACCGCGGTTTGCTGGGGGTTCACTTCAGGCCCTATTCATTTGGTTAGTGGCTGGGCCAGGAGATGTCACTCAAGGAAGCTGGAGAACAGCAAAGATGGGTAGCTGCTCTTCCTCTGGCTATCTCTGACCTCAATGGGCACCAACCTGATGCCAGCAGGATCGGTCCTGTATAGGGTGTCTGACAACCCCTGTTGGAGGGTCTCATCCAGTTGGGTGGCACAGGGAATAGGACCTGTTTAATGAAGCACTTTAACTCTCTCTGGTGGAGGGGGTGTACTTCATTGTGGGGAATCCCACTTGTCTGGGCTGCCGGATTCCTCAGCTAGCAGGGGGAAAGGCTAAGTCTGCTGGTCCTCAGAGACTGCGGCTACCCCTCCCTCTAGGGGCTCAGGCCCAGGGAGATCAGAGTTCTGTCCCTGGGCCACTGGTTAGAGTTCTTAGAGTTGCTGGAGTTGTTGGAGTTCCTGCAGGGAGGCCCCGCCCAGTGAGGAGGGATGGGTCAGGGTCTGGCCTGAAGAGGCACTCTGGCTGCAGTCTGCCACAGCCCCTGTGTTGGGATATGGGGGACACCTGTTGGAATCAAGTCGTCCAGCCTCCCTGGCTCCAGCAGGGAAAAAGCGTGGCCTGGAGCTATAGAGATTGCTGCCGCCCTCCCCCGCACCCAGGGAGCTTAGCATATTAGGTAGCTATCAGTCCTAGTGCTGGCTGGCTGCTCCTCCCACAAGGAGCTCAAACAGCTTAGACAGCAGGCAGTCACAGCTGTGGTGCTTGTCGTCTGTCCCCCTGGGAACTCGGCAGGCTTAAGCAGATTCTAGCTGAAAGACTGCTGAGAATCTGAGCGGCTCCAGTATTGCGACCCTAGGCCCCAGTGGCGTGGGATTACAGGCGTGAGCCACCGCGCCTGGCCATTTTTAGGTTTTTAAAAATTTCTTCCTGGTCCTTGGCAATTTTATTTGGAGGCTTCTGAGGTCATCTTTGCTTTTACAAGGCTGTTTTATATATTTTATCTAACATTTCTAGTTATCCATATGGTGAGTTTGTTCAGAGTATCTGGTTTTTAAGAAAGTCTTTTCTAGGTACAGGTGCCAATTTAGACCTGTTTTAAAGAGGCATTGCACTGACATTAGTAGAGGTTTGCGTAGGATCTAATATAACCCTCTCTCCATAATAATTTCTTTTGTAAAGTAGAATAAGTTTTCTCTTTCTAAGATATTGGGCTCTCAATCAACTTACTGTGAATAATCAGTTGCCAGCGCAGACACAAATAATAAGCCCACACTGATAGAAATATCTTCAAGTTCATCTATGATTCCATTTTTATGTAGTTTAAGAACATATAGAACAAATCAATGATAATAGAAGACAAAATGGTGGTTACCTATGAGTTATTGATTGGGAGAGGGCTTAAGGGAAACTTCTGGAGTGCTGCAAGAGTTTTACATCTTGATCAAGGTGATAGTCACCACAATTGTTTTCTTATGCAGAACTTCACAAAGCTATATACTTAAAATTAATATACTTAATATACTTTATGCTATATTTATTGTAGCTCAATTTTAAAAATGACGTCCAACATGTCCTAGATAAGCTATAGTCACATTTCAGAGCCACTAGATTGAGTCCTAACCCAGTTATTTTTAAATTTTTTAATTTAAAAATGTTAATAATTTCTTCAAAATCTAAGTCCTAATGTTGTAAGAAAGAATTAATAACTTCTTCTAGATGTGGAAGCGCAAACCCAGAATCATTCTGAACAAGACTAATCTAGCAGATGATATTAATCAATTAGGGTTGGAAAGTGAGAACAGCTGTATTTGAAATGTCTTGACTGGGTGATCTCCAAAGGGCAGACTGGTCTTATGTTTTATGTTACTTATGAGTGGCTCATTTTTCCTGTCTATTGGCAGATTACAGACAAGCTTCATGAGAAAGTGAATAATCACTGTTGACCTTTTGCTTTTCAAAATAAGCCTTGATGTTCAGACATGTATGGTGATTTGTTAATTGTCTATCTTTGTATGGCTTTGCTCTTAATATCCAGCATACTACTGGTTTCCCTTCAAATTCAGTCATTACCAGGATGTTGATTATATTGATTTGATAAATTCTAGTGACATACATAAGGTTAAGGAAAAAAAGACTAACAAAAAATGCCACTGGTTTACAAATTAGATTAATCTTAGGACACTATGATTCAATCCAAGATTTACACCAATTACATCAGCATGAGTTGCCTCCCTTTAAATTGTTGTTCTCACCATAAGCTCTGTGCATCTAGATGAAGCATCACAGGTCTTATTATCTGCTTAGGAGGGGCAATAGAGGTCTTAAGAAAAGTGGCAGAAGCCAGCAGCATAAAGGGAATGTCTGGTCTCTTTTGCTTTGTTTAGTTTGTGATAGCGAATAACCTAAAAGCTTTGAAGCTTTGTTAACTATTACTTTGAGACCAGTTATTTGCTCAGATTCCTTTTAGGTAAGAATAAGAGTCAAATTTTGCAATCTATTAAATTTGTATCTTGTTCCTTTTGATGAAATCCATGATTTTTAATTCAAATTTATTAATCCTTAAACAAATGGCTACTAATATTTATATATCCTTATATTGCTTCTGCCTTCATGCACACCATCTTTTGAAAAAAAAAGTTCACTAGGAAGCTGCATTTTTTTTTTAGTAATACATATTTTGCCAATTTTCTACACCACGAAATGTTTTAATCTGTGGCTCCCTATAGAGTCTGAGAAAAGGACTTGAGTACTGGAGGTTAATTTGGGAAGTGACCTCAAGAACCAGGAATGAGTGAATAGAACAAGGAAGTAAAAGAAAAGTCAGATAAAAAGTTGTCATCAATGTGCTTCCTGTGAATAATAGGGACTTCATTCCATTCTTGAGGCTTCCTGAGGAGCAGGTAGAAGAGCTTCCAGAACTGCCCACCTGCAGATGAATAGCCAGCCTTGGCATTTATCCACTGGCTTCATTGCCTATTGGATGAGGATTATCCCTTGGGTATTACCTCCCTTGTACTTTCAGAAAGAGCATACAAACATGGGTCCAGTGAGCACTGGAATATAACAGAAGGCCCTTGGCAGAATTCAGGAGGACTTAGTACTTGTTGGTGCAGGCTGGCAGTGCAAGGTGAGTCTGAACTTTCAAAGAACTGCCCTCTGCAACTGTGGGTGAAATACATGGGAGTGTGTCACAAAGCACTAGAGGCATTTGGCACACATGCATGATGACAGTATGAACTTCTCAATAACAGGAGAGAAAGTGTGATTCCTACTTAGTAATAACCTAGATGAAAACAAATGGAATTAGTAAGTTTAGAGAAACTTACAGTCCTTATTCAGTTTCCTCAATTATTATTTTCTATAGCAGTTTTCACTAATTCATTACCTTCCAAGGATCTTAAAACTTTGCAGTAGGGTTTGAGTATATATGCTTTGTAAAAGCTTCCCTGATGTTTCTGATGGTTACTATTAGATAAGAATCAGTAATATCCGATCATTGGGTTAGCCATTGTTGATTTATCCTTTTGCTCTTTGAGTTTAGTCACCCTATATTTCAAGGGTTTTCTATATATTCTCACTCAGTATGTGTTAACTGGATGCTCAATGAACATGCTTGACTGAAGAATAAGAAAACTGAAAATATACATTGTCTAAGTTTCATAAGTGACCTATCTAGTCTCCCAGTTTTCTGTTTTGCTGAATGAAATGTGTAAAATTCTGTAATTCATGGCATTTTGACTGTATGTGTCTAGCTATATATTACATGCAGCCAGACACTTGTATATACATACAGCTACGAAGATGCAGACATATCCTTATATGCCATAATAAGCAAGGGTCTTTTCAATCAATTCTCCTCAAATTGTCCCTCATTCAGCATCATCAGTATCAATTAAATACTTGTTAGATGAGCAAACTCTCAGGCCCAATTTTAAAGTTACTAAATCAGGGATTCTGGGCATAGGGTCCAATGATCTGTGTTTTAATATGCTGTCCAGGTGAATTTTATACCCACTACCATTTCAAATCACTGTAATAGATGATTAAAGCCTTACATCCAAGTTAACTTAGAGGACTAGAGACCTTGCTTGCAATATCAGAAGCAGCCTGATGTCATAGACTTTTTAAAAATCCTTGTAAGAAAAGTCTTGTGAAGGAATTTAGGAAGAGGTTATGATATGAACAATGAGATAACTGGAAATAAGGAAAACATGGAGACTTTGGCAGTGTAAAAGAGTGGTGTTGTCTTTTTTTTTTAATGGAAACTCCAGTCCAACTTTGTTGTTGGTTATTGTTAGAGACATGGGTCTCACTATGGTACCTAGGCTGGGCTCAAACTCCTGGGTTAAAGTAATCCTCCAGCCTCAGCCTCCTGAGTAACTGAGACTACAGATGTATGCCACATAATCACACACTGGACAAGAAGTGCTCTCCAACATTACCACAATGTCACCTGTGAAAGCCAGCAAGTCTCTGGTTTAGAACTAATAAACTGTACACTCCTGGTGGGTAGAAGACCCATGAGTTATTCTTCACTCTATATGTTCCATGTGGAAAACCAAGGTGTCCATCTAAAGCACGAGCAACCACTTGGCAGTCCAGGAAGATACTCCAGGCAACTAGCTAGAGTTTGATTTCAAACTCATTCCCACAAAACTCATTGCCAGAATTTGGGCACTGTTTCAGTTCTTCCTTACCATGTTTTGGCTGGAATTTCCTTATTAACCTCACTCTGATTGGACTCCACCAGCTTTGCTCTTCATCTCATCAGCTTCACTAGCCTCCCTTATGCTCCCCAGCATCAGCTTACAAAACAGCTGAAGCTTGCAAAACAGACTTTCCACGCCTGGCCTAAGACTGAATGGCTGAGGCTACGTTTGGACTCAGTCTCTGATTGTGCAGAAAACTCTTGCCTGCTTTCACGCCCAGAATCTCTCAAAGTCACTTTCTTGAGAGAGAAATGTTTTACCTTTTTGTGGGTATTTCCTGAACAGAGAAAATGATGAGAAATCAGTGCTTGATAAAATAGTTTGTCTTTTAGATTTTTTTTACCTCATTTTTTTTTACCACTCCCTCTTAGAAAAGCAAGTATTTATTTGGTAACTCATTAATAGAGTGAGTAGTTGTAGAGTAACAACACTAAGAAAGTGTCCTCCAGCTGTTGTCTGGTTACATGCCAATCTCATACCACAGCCAGGACTGGACTTTCATGAAGAGCTACAAACTGCAACCTTCTCTGTCCACACTCAACCCTTCCTCTTACCCAAAGAGTATCAGCTGTTCACATTAGGAACAATAAATTCAGCTAAATATTAAAAACAAACAACCAAACTAAATCACACTAAGGAGAACATTTATCTTAAACTTCCTTGGGATAGTTACTTTTTAAAAGAGGTATTAGTTAACCAATATAAATTGCTAAGTGACAGCAAGAAATAGTGAAGTGGAACTATACTGGTAATATAAACTTGAGTATGTTTGTTCTTTTTGGGGAATACGGGTGTTTTATATGAGTATATGTTTCATTTTATTCACTGTACTTTCAATGAACACTAATGTGTGAACATGTAAGTGCTTTTGTAAATTTTAAATTATCTTTGGATAGTAAGTGATTTTTCAAATTTTACATGGTCTTTAATACAGATTAAAGTATTATGCACATGGATGGTGTTTATGTCATTCCATAAAATTCCAATTTCCTTTAAAATGTGTTAATTGCATATGGTGATTACTTGGAAATTTTTTTGAAAAGAATATGCTATCTCTCTATTTTTTTTTACATGGGCTCATTAATAATATATATAAACATCATGAAATTATCATTTCAAATACGCTAAACTGAAACTGGAATAATCTGAGTAATAAGGTTTTTTTTTCAACTGTTGCAATAAAGATAAAATTTAGACTACTATTATTTGATAACCATGTATTGAATTTAGACCTGACTGATGCTTTTGCTTATGAAATAAATAGCACATAGCACTTCTAGTTTTTTCTATTTTGATATACTTTGCAAAAATAGTGTTCATAAGCTTTTTTCTTAAGATATTAATCCCTCATTAAATTATTGAGAAACAGTTAATGTGAAGATCCTTTAAAAGATGCAGACAGTGCTCAGAAATGCTCCCTATACTATTGTTTATAACAGGAAAACTTAATGTTTAATTGGGGATTAAGTCAACATAGTATGGTCACCTACCTGATAAAATACTCTGCTTTCATTGAAATTGTTTTGAAAAATATATTACATTATAAATTATGACTATATATAAACAAATCAATATGAAGGTATGATCTTTACTTTGTAAAATACAGACATAAATAAGCAATTAACACTGGTTAGAATATACATCCATATATTAATTAAATATTGGTTTTTAAATTTCATCTTATTGCTTTTCTATATTTTCTGATAGTCATACAAATAGTAATTATTTTAAAAGAAGAGCCAGCTGAGCATATCTACATAAATTTAAATTTAGATTTTAAACCTGAATTCACTTGACCAAAATAATCTATTCCTCCAGTATCTAGGAGATATCGAGGATCTAGAGGGGGAAAGGGCATTCGGTTTCTGGTTCTGGTAGATTCTTGGTAGTTGCCACTCCATCCTACAACAAGTAAATGTGAAAAAACTAAAAAAATAAAGAATTCTTCCTAGAGCTATATGAGAAGTAAGGTCCCAGGGCAAACTGCTACCCACCAAATTGGAGAAACCCAATGGTAAATATAGAGAATCACAATTTTCTGAAACAGAAACCCATGAGCATCAACTTCTGTAGGAGACAGTGCTGGAGTAGGAAAACCTGAGCTGTACTTAACAATTGCTTGAGGCTTAGTGTAGACAACTCAATTGCTTGAGGCTTAGTGTAGACAACTTAGCTTTAAAAACTCCAGGGGAACCCGGTTTTGTGAGTTTCTGTGAGTTTTACCTCCAGGAGCTCTACCAGAACGTCACAGTGATTATCAAAGAAAAATCTTGTCTTGCTTCTGGCAGGAGGAGGGGAAAATAACCATCCTGAAACACACCAGAACATTCTATTCTTCTTAACAAAATCTGCCCTCAGGAGAAACTATTTAAACAGAGTCTAACCTGCTGGGGTTTTCTCAGAGCTTAAGTTACCTGGAGAAAGGGAAATCTCTCACTCCAGCTGCTCTAGCCTTCTATGGGGAGTAAGGAAAATACTGAGCTCCAGCCCAATCTAGCCATCTTGTCCCACTGGGGCAGGAAGGATATTGAGAAACACTTGTGAAATTCACAATCCAATGTACAGGCTTACTAAAAGACTAAGGCCTGATCAAAGGAATATAGAACACTTTCCCTCCCCCACGCCTCACTGTCACATACTAAAGACTTATTTCTGGCAGTTCCTTTTACCCAATACATCATGTCTGGCTATGAAGAAAAAAATTACAAGACATACTACAAACGAAATACTTAGTTTGAAAGATAGAACAAGCACTAAAACCAGACTCAGATATGGTAAGAATGTTAAAAATATCAAATTGGGTACTAAAACAACCATGATTAATATGCTAAGGCTGTACTGGATAAAGTAGACAGCATGAATGAACACATGAACAATGTAAGGAGAGAGAGAGAAATTCTAAGCAAAAAAGAAGACAAAAAATCCTGGATATCAGAAACACTGTAACAGAAATAAAGAATGTCTTTGATGGGCATAGATTACCATTAGCAGATTGAACATGTCTTAGTAAAGAATCTCTAAGCTTTAGGATAACTCAATAGAAACCTCCAAAACTGAAAAGCAAAGAGTAAAAAAGACAAACAAACAAACAACAACAACACAAAACAAGAACAATATCCAAGGGGACTGCGAGACAATTACAAAAGGTATGACATATCTATAATGGGATTACCAGAAGAAAAAGAGAAAGAGAAAGGAACCAAAAAATATTTGAAACAATAAGAAATTAGAATTTTCCCAAATAATGCCAGATGCCCAACCATTGATCCAAGAAGCTCAGAAATCACCAAGTAGAATAAATGCCACAAAACTACACCTGTGCATGTCATTTTCAAGCTACAGAAAATTAAAGAGAGAAAATCCTAAAAGAAGCCAGAAGATAAAATGCCTTACACTTAGAGGAGCAAAAATAAGAATTAAATCTGATTAAACTATGCAAACAAGAAGAGAGTAAAATAAAATATTTACAGTGTTGAGAGAAAAAAAATTACCAACCTAGAAATTTGTATTCTGTGAAATTATCTTTCAAAAGTGAAGAAGAAATAAAGACTTTCTCAGACATAAAAATCTGGAGAATTTGTTCCTGGTATATTAGTCTTGAAAGAAAGATTAGAAGTTTATTAGAGAAAAGGAAAATGACATTGGGCAGAAACTCAGGTCTACATACAGAAACAGTATTGGAGAACAAATAAGTGAAAATGAAATTTTAAAAAACTTTTTTTTCTTTTTTTTTTTTTGAGATGGAGTCTCACTCTGTACCCAGGCTAGAGTACAGTGGTGTGATCTCAGCTGACTGCAACCTCTGCCTCCTGGGTTCAAGCGATTCTCCTGCCTCAGCCCCCTGAGTAGCTGGGATTACAGGTGTGTGCCACCATGCCTGGCTAATTTTTTTTGTATTCTTATTAGAGATGGGGTTTCGCCATGTTGGCCAAGCTGGCCTCGAACTCCTGACCTCAGGTGATCTGCTTGCTTCGGACTCCCAAAGTGCTGGGATTACAGGTGTAAGCCACCACACCTGGCCTATTTTTCTTATTCTTAATTAATCTTATAGCAGCTTTTTCAGAACACAAAACTGTAAAACTTCTAGAAGACAACGTATGATAAATCTACATGACATAGGATTGGCTATACTTTTTTAGATACATCACCAATGATGTGAGCCATAAAAGAAAGAACTGATAAGCTGAACTTCATTAAAATTAAATTTTTCTGACCTGTGAATGATGGTACAAAAAGAATAAAAAGTGAAGACAAGCTACAGTATAGAAAACAAATTGAAAAAGACATGTTTAATAAAAGTCTGTTGTCCAAAATATATTAGGTTTGTACAAAAGTAATGGTAAAAACTACAATTACCTTTATGCCAACCTAATACAAAGAACTCTTAAAACTCAACAATAAGAAACAAAATACTATTAAAAATGAGTCAAATACCTTAACAAATAACTCACCAAATAATATATACAGATGGCAACCAAGCATATAAAAAGATGCTCCACGTTGTATGACATTATGGAAATGCAAAGCGAAACAAAGATGAGATCCACTGTACACCTATTACAGTGGGCTAAATCCAGAACACAAACACCAAATGCTGACAAGGATATGGAGCAACAAGAGCTCCCATTCATTGCTGGTGGAAATGCAAAGTGGGGTAGCCACCTTGGAAAACAGATTAGCTATTTCTTACAAAACTTGACGTTTTCTTACCATATGATTCAACAATCACACTTTTTGGTATTTGTCTAAAGGAACTGAAAACACATCTCCACAAAAAAACATGCACATAGATGTTCATTGCAACTTTATCCACAATGTCAAGCTTAGAAGCAACCAAGTGTCTTTCAGTAAGTGAATAAATACATAAAATCTGGTACATGAAATGAAATGTTATTCACTGAAATAATGTAATGATCTATCAAGAAATGAAAGACATGGATGAAACTTAGATTCATATTACTAAAGAAGCCAGTCTGAAAAGGCTACATACTGTATGATTCCAACTATTAATACGTGACATTTTGGAAAAAGTAAAACTGCGGAGACAGTAAAAGGATCAGTAAATGTCAAGGGTTGGGTGAAGGGATCAATGAATAGGCGAAACACGGGATATTTAAGGCAGTGAAAATATTCTGTATGATACTGTAAGGTGGATACATGTTGTTTTACAGTTTTCCAGACGCATAAAATGTACAACACAAAAAAGGAACCTAATATAAAGAATTAACTTTGGGTGGTGATGTGTCAACCTAGGCTCATCAGTTGTATTATAATAGATGAAGCACTGATGGGGGGATGTTGATCACAGAAGAGGCTATTCATGTGTAGGGGCAAGGGCTATATGGAAAAGCTATGTACTTCCTGTTCAATTTTCTGTGACCTTAAAACTGGTCTAAAAATAAAGTCTATATTTTTAGAAAGGATTAAAATTTTCAAAGATTTCCCAGTTTTAAGGAACCGGGCATTACCTGCAAATTGAAAAGTATGAATAATAAAAGCTTAGCTTTTCATACTACACTGGATCTCCCATCACAGGCAATCCCTATAGATTCTGTCTCTATCAGCCCCTCTTGTCCTTTCTGATATCTTAAAATATTAAAATTGGTCATGTTAAACCAAGTGACTTTCTTCCTTCTGTTCACAGGAGAGTTTGTTAGCTAATTTCTGATTTCTAAATTAACTTTTCCACAATATATTTAGAATATTTTATCCAATTACTGAAAAGAACACCAGGTAAAATACATTTGCACTCTCTAGGAGGCTCTACGCTCACCTTGCAATTAATGTCTCACCATATCACTGATGAATGCAGAAAACTGAGTATTTTGTTTTTTAAGGGAAAATCCATGCCAACTGAAATCATTTTAGAATAAAGTGAGACGCATAATTGCATCGTGGATAAGAGCAGGAATTTCTGCTCCATTCTTTATTTGCTACATCATCATCACCATGGGAAAGTACACCCATCCATTCATTTCTTTGTTTTTTGTTTTGTTTTTGTTTTGAAAAGGTCTTGCTCTTTTGCCCAGGCTGGAGGGCAGTGGTACTATCATGGCTCACTGCAGCCTCACATTCCTGGGCTCAAGCAATCCTCTTGCCTTAGGCACTGGAGTAGCAAGGAAGACAGGCATGAGCCACAACATGCAGCTAATTATTTTTTATACTTTTTTTTTTCTTTGTAGAGGGGGTGTTGCTGTTGCACAGACTGGTCTTGAACTCCTAGCCTCAAGTGATCATCCTGCCTTGGCCTCCCAAAGTACTGGAATTACAGGCATGAACCACTGAGCCTGGCCTTACATTTATCCTTTTTTTAAAAAAAATATTTTCTGAACACTTAATAGTCATTATAGCACAGTGATTAAGAGTATGGACTCTGAACTGGACTTTTGGGCCCAAGTCTGTTCTGCACCACTTATTACTGTGTGAGTCTGAGCAAGTGACTTATTATCTACTTACCTCCATTTTGTCACATGAGGATAAAAAAATTCTTTTCTTATAGGGTTGTTGTGAAGAATACATAGATACTATATATACATATATGACATATATGCATAGGTAGGTAGAGGCAAAGATAAATAGTACAATGATAGCATACGGTAAGTGCAATATAAGTGGCTGCCATGAGTGACCACTATGCACTTTTTGGTTTTTATTTTCCTTATAAAATGGGAGTACTAATATTACCTATCACAGAATATTGTTGTTTGTCATGTTTTAGAATAGTACGGTGCTTGCCAAATAGCAAGAGCCCAATGCATTTATACATCATCAATGTTATCGTAATGTTATATTTTATGTAAAAGCAATGGAAATAAGGAATTTCTAAATATGCTTAAAATGCTAAGGTTTCTCAGGTCCTGCCTGTAGCCTAGCTTATGAATAAAGTATGGCTTATTGCTGACAGTTGATAAAGAGAACTTAGGCATTTTAGCCACAGAATTTACTTTGCAAGGATGAAGGAGATTCAGCATCTTAATGTGTGTTTGGATGTAAGGGGTCTACTGTGGGATATTCTTTTTAGAATGTACTTCAAGTCTGAAAGTCACATATTGTCAAAAGATTTATCAAACTCTCTTCATTTGAAAATAAAAATAAACCAGAAAAGCATGGAATTCTCTTTGCAGAATCAAATATTTCTCACTTGTTCTCATGAGAATGGCTTCAAATGACCACTAATGCTCCTCCCTCTTGGGCTCCATTTCAGCTTCCCAAAGGGAGGGAATAGGAGGTGGTCAGGAAGGTGGTGAGCACCTCACATTGAGGACCTTATATCAAAGGGCAGACTGACTGCTCCCAGATCCGGAGCCTAATCTTCACTGTGGTGGGTGTGTCTGAGCTGAGATACCTGCTTCAGAGGAGACCTGGAACCTTACAGGTTCCTTTAAACTTCCTTTATGTATATATGTGTGCTCACTCATAGAGATGGTGGGAACTAGCCTGTAAAGGTAACTTGCTACATACCAGATATAATTCTAGACATCTTTCACATTGTTCTTGTTGCTGTTGCTTCGTTGTTGTCAGATATAAGTTATGGTATTTGATTCCCATAGCAAACCATGTGCAGACAAGGAGACTGAGTTTTAGACAGAAAACTCATGATAAAGTCAGAATTCAAACTCAGGGGTGTGTAAAAGACCAGGTGTTTCAGAGTTGCTCTAACAATTGGATGCTAATTCTGCATCAGCTATGTACTCTGTAACTTTGAGCAAATCACTCAACATCTGGGAACCTAAGTATCCTCTAGGGTCACTAAACAATGCTTGCTTTATTAGATATGGTTATTATGAATACCACGATCATAAATGAGTCTGTTGGATACTCTAATGGGACAACCACCTTTCACAAGTGTGGGTTGCAATTGTCCTGAATCAGGGTCTAAAGTTCCTGCTGCTCCATCAGTCACTGAAATTTGTCAAAAGTCTGTTACATGCTTCTGGGTCTTCTGCAACAGGATACAAAGCTTAAAAAACAAGGGAAAATAGGCTTTGGTCCATCATAATTTTCTTGTGTTTTACACCAGAAAACTGATGATTACCCATGTATGAATAAGGAGGTCAGTTTAACACAGGACCAAGGGAGGAAACCCCTTACGACTGATGCCTATATCACCAGCTCAGCTTCCCTGAAAATATATAACTATTGCCAGAGATCCACTATTTTGGTGTCCCACTGTCACTTAAGACCCCACAGCCCCTGATCATTTGTTTCAGATTTCCCTTTAACAACAGGTGCATGCAAAACTGAGAGATGGTTTTATTGCATCTTGATGACGTGACTGCAGCTGCTGGTATATAAATAAACTGGAGGCCACTTAGGGCATTTTTTGTCTAAGACCTACATAGGGGGAATGTCAGTTATTTTTTAGCTTTTTAAAAAGACTAGGAGACTGTGAGAACATCCTCTACTAGTGATTTCAGCATCTTGACAAACACTGAAAAACAGTAATTTCTTTGTAAATATAAAGTGACCATTAGAGGAGAAACAAACCAAATATAGGACATGCTAGTGTGGGTTTAATCATGGTAGTCAGTTTTTTTTGCAGGTGTGTGGATTTCACTCCAATAATGTGTTTCTTGATTTCCTTCCTTTTTACCTGCTAACTTTTGCATCATGTAACACCAAGAGATAACAATTAAGAGGTTGGTCCATTTGTAGGCAGAGGAAATCTTAAAACTTTCTAGTACAATAAACAAAATATTTATTATTTGCATTAAATGAGGTGAGAGAAGAAAAGACTTCACCTACAGAAAATTATTGTGTGTGTGCATTACCAAAGCTGTTTTCCTTTTTCTCAATAATGTGAATGTGTGTATTTCTCTCCCTTCCCTATTGCTGAAATTGTGAGGTTTAATTTGGTGGTGCAATCTCTACTCTGTAACTAATAGGAAAATTAGCTATGACTCTGAGGAGCTATTAAAGACTGGATATAACAATAGTGTATTACACTCTGCCACTATCCAGTCTTTGAGAATGGAAGGAAATGAATTTTAAGTAACTCTTTCAGTATCTCCTTTTCAATACATGTTTAATAGTACATGTCTTTTAATGAAAGAACACAGATGGTACAATGAAGTCTTAATTAGATTTCATATTAGGTGCAATTAGTTACTGTTGCAAATGTAAAATCTACAATAGAGCATTAAGAAATAACTTTAAGTCTATCAAGTCACTTCAATTTGTTAGGTCACTAGCCTTTGTGGATTGTAGTGTGCACGTAACAGCTCAAGATGACAGTGAAGTGAATTCATATTTAAAACATGTTATTGGTTAAAATTGTGTCTGATTTGCAGGTTCTGAAGCAGTTTTTCTCAAATTATATATATATGAAAATATGAATGCAGATAACAGTATTACCAACACTGATAGAAAACCTAATTCCAGATTTTAGAGAGAACGTATTCTAATAAAGAGGCCAGTTTAGCCGGATTAAAAATAAAAACACAGCTGCAGACATATCTGAAATACTTCTGATGAATAACTAGACTATACTTCATAAAAAATAGTTTTGGAGGTGGGTGGGTGGTGTTGCAAGAGTTAGAAAGAAAATTGGCATATCTCCCTCTATTTTGCCTTGACCAAATAATTTTAAATTTAATAATGAAAAATAACATGCCAAGCTATACCTCTCCTGCACATGTGCTGTTTTTCAAGATGTCTGAGCATTGTTTATTCTCTTTACCTCAATAGTGCCTCCCATTTCCACACCTTGTCCTTACTTTTTATTTTTTATTCATTGAAAGCAAGAATCAAAGAAAAAATAGGCTTAAGAGATACGGTAAAGATGGTCAGACAGGCATTGAATATTGATAGAATTTAGCTCCTACAATTAAAGCAGGAGAAAATGTCAAGAAGGACCTATTAGGGCATGCTGGGTACAGTGAAGGTCCATGTACTGTATCACCTCAGGGTAATAGAAAAATGGGAGCTAGAAACAGATGATTTCACATGAGGAGATCAGAAACAATGGAATAAAAAATATGGAATACATTTCCAATGACACATCAAGTCTAGCTGATGGTAGCAAGTGGAGCAGGATGTGCTTGCTGTGTTTTAAAAAGCTCTGCCCTTTCTTAGTAGGAAGAGTTGTGTGATAAAATACCAGTGTATATAATGGGAGAAGGGGAGTGATTTACTGTAAATTTCCATGTATTTAAAAATTACCTAAATATTCACTCATCTAATTTGATTTAATAAATAAAGGAATATACATTCTTATAACTGATAATTGATTTTATGTTTCAGCTTGACTGGGCCACGGGATGTCAAGATAGTTGGTCAAACATTATTCCTCGTATTTCTGTGAGAGTGTTTTTGGCTGAGATTAACATTAAAATTGGTGGATCTGAATAGAGAAGAATGCCCTTCATAACGTGAGTGGGCCTCATTCAATGAGTTGAAGGCTTGAATAGAATTTTTTTTTTTTTTTTTTTTTTTTTTTTTTTTTTTTTTTGAGACGGAGTCTTGCTGTGTCGCCCAGGCTGGAGTGCAGTGGCGCGATCTGGGCTCACTGCAAGCTCCGCCTCTCGGGTTCACACCATTCTCCTGCCTCAGCCTCCCGAGTAGCTGGGACTACAGGCGCCCGCCACCGCGCCCGGCTAATTTTTTTTTTTGTATTTTTAGTAGAGACGGGGTTTCACCGTGGTCTCGACCTCCTGACCTCGTGATCCGCCCGCCTCGGCTTCCCAAGGTGCTGGGATTACAGGCGTGAGCCACCGCGCCCGGCCTTGAATAGAATTTAATTACTGATCCTCCCTGAAGTAAGAGAGGATTCTCCAACTGACTGTCTTCAGACTTCATATATAACATGGGCTGTTTTTGCTTAAGGGACTTCAAGCTGGAACACTGGCACTGCCTGCGTCTCCCAAACCACTGGCCCACTCTGCAGATTTTGAACTTAGCAGACTCCATAATTAACTGAGGCAATTCCATAATATAAAGCTATATCTGTATCTATAAACACATGCTATTGGTTCTGCTTCTCTGGAGAACCCTGACCAATATGCACATTAATGAGAAACCCTATTATACTTAAAATCACATTGTGAAGAGTATTTAAGCTCAGAAAAGATTAATGTAAAGTAAAAAAGATGAAACTGATACTCTATATACAGCATTACTACATTATATAATATGTGTACCTACATATAAAGAATTGAAAATAATATAGAAAATATTAATAGTGGTCATCTGTGGGTGTTGGGATTCATTTCATTTTTTTCTTTTTAATTGTCCAGCTTTGTAAATTCTTTATAGTGAATATACCTTCCTTCTTAATTGGTAGGAAATATGTCATTATTTAACAAAAATATAATCAGTTTAAAAGACAGTTACCATAGTTAACATTTTGTTGCTTGCAATGAAGAATATTGCAGTTCCCATAAGAACAAAACCAAAGCATATGTCAAAGAACTGAAGTAACAATTTCTTTCAGCAGGTATGCTACCTGAACAGATGGTATTTAGGAAAGAAATCACTGTACCTTAATGTAAGGCGGAGATACAATTTTTCCAAAAGTTGACATTGAAAATAGATGACATTTGAGGGCATCCCATTCTTTTCCCCAAGAACAGTGTACTCTCTACATATTTGTAGATGTTCTTTTTAAAGAGACTTATTTCCAGGGGACCAGACATCCTCCATCTCCAGTTCTTGCTGCCATATAAAACATAAGACACTAAGAAAATCAGAGAAAAAAAATGTCATATTTCTTATTGTGGCCTTATTTACTGTTTTCATTAAAGATTAGTGAAACATAGTTTGGTGTGGAATAGACATTTCTCCCTGAGCCTGTTCTTCTTTTACTTTTTGTTTCCTATTTAATTAACATAATTTATGAAAATCTTTTTTTTTTTTTTTGAGACAGAGTCTAGCTCTGTCACCCAGGCTGGAGTGCAGTGGCACCATCTCAGCTCACTGCAACCTCTGCCTCCCAGGTTCAAGTGATTCTCCTGCCTCAGCCTCCTAAGTAGCTGGGATTACAGGCACCCACCACCACACCCAGCGAATTTTTGTATTTTTAATAGAGACAGGGTTTCATTGTGTTGGCCAGGCCGATCTTGAACTCCTGACCTTGTGATCCACCCGCCTTGGCCTCCCAAAGTGCTGGGATTACAAACGTGAGCCATCACACCCAGCCAATTTATGAAAATCTTAATGTTTGTATATGTATGTGCGTATATATACACATGTGTACACATTCACAAATACATGTATGTGCATATATACACACATCCGTATATACATGTTTCTGTGTACATATGTGTATACATGTATATGTCTTCTTTCACCATCTGCCCTTTCTTACCCATGGACTGTATGATTATGATTTTGTCCCCCTTACTTCTTAATCTCTGAATTAAGAAACTGAATGCTGGCGTTTGCTTTCAGAGATCCAGTGCAGACTTATAGATTGTTGAGTATTTTGTCTGCTTCTTCATGATTTGAAAAATAATGAACTAATGACCATTTTTCCCTCCTCCTCTTTTTCTTCCTCCTCCTTTTTCTTCTCACTTTTATACTTTGGATATCTGGTTTCTAGTAGCTGAATCACTTGATGACAAACATAAATTCCCAGCTATAAATTTGGGACAGCAATTAAAGCCTCACAAGGATATTGTGCAGTTACACAACTAGTAAAGTAAATCATTAGAAGAGTTTTTGGGATTGGAGCACCATTCAAGATATATATGTCCTCTTCTATTTTCTTCCATTTTTAATTGACTTTTTGTCTTTTTGTCTGTACCTTGTTTTTTTTTTTTTTTTTGCCGTTTTCTTTTTCACCTCCTTCATACATTCCACCTTCTTTCATTTTCTGTACTTTGCAGATTAGACAAAGGGTACAAAATGATCTGATCACTTACATGAACCAAAGTTGGCCTCCAGTTAATCATCCTGCATGAGCCACAGAAATGTCTCCTGTATAACAATAGCAATTGAAGGCTGAGATCCTTTAGTGAGCGAAGAAAAGCCTAGTTGGAGGAAGGTTAAAGGAGTGCAGGACTTTGGCCATCTAGGGTAAATACTGATGTTACTAACATTTCATATATGACCTTGGGTAAGTCTCCTAACATTTCTGTACCTCAGTTTCTTTATCTGTAAACTGGGAATAATAATAGTCAGTTTCTTATAGAGTAAATAGGAATTTTAAATGAGTGAACATAAGTGACTAAATAAAATGAAATTGCTGTTTCTGTGGGCCAAAACCTGATAAGCATTAGCAATTTCATAAGTTTTAGTTTAATACAAAATTCTCTTACAAGAGTACATAATGCCAATCCCTCAATAAATGTTAGCTATTCTTTTTATTATTACCATTATGTAGGAAAAAACAACAGCAGAGTAAAATGTCTTGTCTAGGATGTCAATGGAGTCTGAATGGATCTGGGGGGCATTTTATTGGACTAAGAGGGTGCAGTGGCTGAACAGTGCCTTCCTAAACAATATATTCATTCCTAATCCCTGGAAGCTGTGAAAATTACCTTATTTGCAAAAAGAATCTTTGAAGATGTAACTAAATTAAGGATCTTGAGAATGGGAGATTATCCTGCATTATCTGAGTGAGCCCCAAGTTCAATGATTAGTGTTCTTATACGAGAGAAGCAGGGGGAGATTTGACAGACAGAAGAGGAAGCAGAAATGTGACCTTGGAGGAAGAGATGGGAGTGAAGTGCTACAAATCATGGAATGCCAGGAGCCATTAGAGTTTAAAAACAGACAAGAAACAGATTCCCTTCTAGAGTTCCAGAGGGAGGCTGGCCCTGTAGACACCTTGATTTAGGCCAAGTGATGCTGATTTTGAACTTCTGGCCTCTGGAACTGTGAGCGAATAAATTTATGTTGTTTGAGGCTATCAAGTTTGTGGTAGTTTGTTACAGAAGCCCTGGGAAAGTAATACAGAATGCAACTAAATTCTGTGGCCAGAGTTAGGCAATTCATAGAGGACAGGTTTCTACTCTGATGTTCTAATCCCTTGGAACCCATCGGATCTCATTTTCAATTTTATGGATCTAACTGGCTGCTGTGCTGGACTTTCAGGAAAGTCTGTGAGGTTGAAAATTGGTATTCTCGTAAATGCCTGCAAGTGTAATGATATATGGATATCTCTCCCTGCCTGCCAGAAGAAGTCAGCACCTGCATGCCTTGTGTGTTGAACAACTCAGAGGCATAAATAAATAAATAAATAAATAAATAAATAAATAAGACTAAATCCAAAGACAGCCTTACAAATGTCCCCTCATCCTCGCTGTATCTCCTGAAAATGTTTTCATCCAAGCAGTCCAATCCAATTGTTCCTACATTACAGACCAATTCTTACAGAATGAGTTCATATAAAAAAGGGAGTTCTGATATAGATCAGGTTTCACACTGATCCAACTGCATTCTTTTGGTTTTTGTTTGTCACACCTGAAAACTCTCCTTTTTTGGTCACCTAAAGATCTAAAAACATATATTAGGTATTTAAACCAATGTCAGGACTGACATTTTAACCAGTCCTTCCCTCCACTTCGTTCTTGTTTTTTGTAAACTTAAAATAAAGCATGAGTTAACATTTACCCTGATGTTTAAGAAATGTGTGCAATTTTAAAAAATTATACTGGCTTTCTATTTAAAAAATCCCCCAAACTAGCTTTGAAGTAAATGGCCATTTTGATAATTAAAGGACACAGACTTGTGGGAAAATTGTTTCTCTGTCATGTAAGCAATCATGAGTAGCCATTCACCATTCCTATATTGTGCTAATAGGCTGTGTATATGCATGGGTATTTGCAGAAATTCCCTTTGTCACATTGACCTCTATCGGATGAAATGTCACATCAACCCAACTCAGCCTAAAAACTTCCTCCTATTGGTTAGGGCTCCAGTATAAAACCCCAGGCAGAAAGCAGAGGGAAAGGAAAAGGGCAGAGGAAAACACAGTAAAGAAGGGAGGCAAGTAAGGACAACAAATGGAGGTAGTGAAGCACACAGAAGTTTATAGAAAAGCAAAGAAAAGAGGGAAAATGTAAGTGGGGAAAAGTTTGAAGTGCCAAGGAAGAACATTCATGACCTCATTAACCTTTAGCAATCTTTTCCTGGTCCAAAGACATAAACAATTTGGCAGCAGTCTAGTTGATCTGATCATTTAATTAATTGTTGATCTTCTTTATTTGTTATTTTTATTTTTCTAATTATCCAAGTTGAATGTCTCCACTGGTCAAATATATGGACATATATAAGTCTTCATTTGGCAAGCCTCTATGTCACTTTGAGCTAAGCAGGCTGAGACTAGGAGAGAATTGGCAACATAAAGCCAAGTATTTCAGCAAAGTGAGATGTATACCACTCCCTTGGGATTAATGACCTAAATCAGGTATTTGATGATGCATCTGAGAACTGGACTATGCAAAACCCAACTATATCATCCAAAAGTGGACGGGGAAATGCTGTGGAATGTAAGATTTTCCTTTCTTCATCACAGTCAGTTTCCTTTTCAGTGGCTAAAGTAAACTATTTCAACTTTATTGTCATGCCACTTACAATGTTGTGAGGTTTGTGGTGTGCAGGAATCAGCCCTTGGAATAAGGTAAGCATCAATTCTGCTGGCAATCCAAGTTTCCCTGTCCTGTTTGCCACATAAAGTAGTAGGGCCCTCCATCTGCACTTTCTTTGCCATCAAAAGAACCTGCCCAAGGAGACATCTTTTCAGGCTTGTTTTAAAAATATACAAATAATAATAATAATAATAAAAGCAGCATCCATCACTTATTTTTGTCTTTCTTTCCTTCCACTTTCCACAGTTCTTTTAACCTCAGCATTCTACCTTTGAGAAAGGTATGCTCCATAATGCAGCTTGACTTAAATTATGACCCTGCTGCACTATTTCTTTGAGCTGCTATTTTCCCTGCCTGTTCCAGCTGCTGAGCACAATTGCTACAGCTCAATTATTAAAGAGATACTAAAAATAGCCCAGTGCAAGGCTGTTGACAAAGAAAAATCATTCAAACACAGCAAGAGACACAAGTTCGGCAGCAAGCTTTCACTGTTATTAGATCCTTAATTCTCCCACCCCCTTTTCTCTTTATGCCTTGCTTTTTTTTTCTTTCAGCAATAATAAAGTAATAAGCAGCTTAAAGATCTCTTTTTTGTACCACAGGAATTTACATAAGCTGATGACTGCTTTGCTAGTGCAATGACTCCTTAGCTAGTGCAATGACTCCTTACTGAAAAAGCATAAGTTTGACTTAGGAGCCAAGTTGCAAAGCTGCATGCAGAGGAATTTACAATTGATTCTTTTCCTTGTGAGTGGTGTGTGAGACCTATTCACTCAGACCTGCCATTCTCCAAAGTGTCCCTCCTGAGATGTATCAGAGTTGAAATTAGAGTTTTCCTCCAAAATCTTCTAAAGAGATTTTCTTTAGAAAATTTTTTAATGTTAGAAATTAGAAAAATTAGAACTATTAGACAAAAATGGCCCCATGTTTAAAGACTTATAACCTCAGTATTTTCCCTTTCCACATACTATGTGACACTGCTTGACACAAATTATTGAACTCTCTGAGTTTTACTTTTCCTATCTATGTGTCTATCTATAAAATATTAACTGAATGTATTCATTTTCTCATAGAATAGAGAAGGGCATTGTAATATAATCAGTCTTGAAAAGCTATGAAATCCTCTGTGCTTTAGCTCACAAGTCTGGGTCATTATGTGTATATAATGAAAAAGTATGTGAAAAAGATAGAAGAAAATATTTAAAAATAATACTGAGCATTTCTGAGAATAGAATATAGAATATGTTTAACAGAAATTACTGAAATTCAGGCAAATGAAAGAAAATAAACCAAAACATGGTAACATTTTGAAAAGTCCAAATGGTTTTTCTCCAAGCACTTATGTAGGAATACACACACACACACACAAACACACAATATTAATTATTGCCCAGCTATCTCTAATAAAAATAAAAATTATCAACAACAGAATTTATGCAATAATAAGTATTGGCTAAAAAGGAAAATTTCTATGATTTCTGAGGGAAAAATTCTATGTGCAAGTTGTTGTTTTTATGCCGAGAAAAAAAGCCATCCATAGATATCCAGGAATTCAGAAAATTTACCATCCTTGTTCCTTTCCTGAAAGTGTTACCTGAAGAAATATAGTGATTGATAGGACTAAATGAAAACCAAAATATTACGAATGAGAAGACACACCATTGGGGGAAAAAGGATTATGGAAAATAAAACCTATAAACATAGAATCTATGCCTTATTTGCTGATAATTTATGAGACATAGAAATACCAAAATAATTTCTGACAGAGACCAAATGTGAGTCAAAACGGAAGAGCAACTTCTGTGAAATCCCACATTCTTAAAAAGGGAAAATTGACACAAAGCAGTATAATATGAAAAATTGATATTAAATGATCAATTATTCTTTATCCTTTTGTAAATACATATGTATATGACTACTTTATATTAAAAGTAATGAAAACTAAAATAAAAACAAGACTAATAATTTATAAATCAATAAGGCAGAGTATATATAATATAAACAATACAAAAAATAAAATTTTAAAAAGCAAAGAGATACGAAAAAGAATGTGAAAACCAAAGCAAAGACAAAAATGCAAAAATTAACAAGTGGGACTTCATTAAACTAAAAAGCTTCTGCACAGCAAAAGACACAGCACAGTAAAAGGCAGCCTGTGGATTGAGAGAAAATAGTTGTGAACTATATATCTGATAAGAGGTTAATATCCAAATTGTATAAAGAACTTACACAACTCGATAGCAAAAAAACCCACAAATAACCCAATAAAAAGTAAGCAAAGGGCCTGAATAGACATTTCTCTAAAGAAGACATAAAAAATGGCCAATAGGTTTATGAAAAAGTGCTCAATACTACTAATCATCAGGGAAACGCAAATCAAAACCACAATGAGATATCATCTCATTTCTGTGAGGATGTTTTTTATAAAACAGAGAAGAGATAACAAGTGCTGGCATGAGTATTGTATTAGTCCGTTTTCATAGTGCTATAAAGAACTGCCTGGGGTGGTTCCAAGATGACTGAATAGGAACAGCTCCAGTCTACAGCTCCCAGCATGAGAGATGCAGAAGATGGGTGATTTCTGCATTTCCAGCTGAGGTACCAGGTTCATCTCACCGGGGCTTGTTGGACAGTGGGTGCAGGACAGTGGGTGCAGCCCACCGAGCATGAGTTGAAGCAGGGCAAGGCATTGCCTCACCTGGGAAGCACAAGGGGTCAGGGAATTCCCTTTCCTAGCCAAGGGAAGCTGTGACAGATGACACCTGGAAAATTGGGTCACTCCCACCCTAATACTCTGCTTTTCCAATGGTCTTAGCAAATGGCACACGAGGAGATTATATCCTGTGCCTGGCTCAGAGGGTCCCATGCCCACAGAACCTCACTCATTGCTAGCACAGCAGTCGGAGATCAAACTCCAAGGTGGGAGCGAGGCTGGGGGAGGGGTGTCTGCCATTGCTGAGGCTTGAGTAGGTAAACAAAGCAGCAGGAAGCTCAAACTGGGTGGAGCACACAGCAGCTCAAGGAGGCCTCCTTGCCTTTGTAGACTCCACCTCTAGGGGCTGGGCATAGCTGAACAAAAGGCAGCAGAAACCTCTGCAGACTTAAATGCCCCTGTCTGACAGCTTTGTAGAGAGCAGTGGTTCTCCCAGCACAGAGTTTGAGATCTCAGAACGGACAGACTGCCTCCTCAAGTGGGTCCTTGACCACCGAGTAGCCTAACTGGGAGGCATCCCCCAGTACAGGCCGAATGACACCTCACACGGCCGGGTACCCCTCTGAGACGAAGCTTCCAGAGGAACGATCAGGCAGCAACATTTGCTGTTCCACAATATTCACTGTTCTGCAGCCTCTGCTGCTGAGACCCAGGCAAACAGGTCTGGAGTGGACCTCCAGCAAAGTCCACTTGACCTGCAGCTGAGGGTCCTGACTGTTAGAAAGAAAACTAACAAAAAGAAAGGACATCCACACCAAAACCACATATGTATGTCACCATCATCAAAGATCAAAGGTAGATAAAACCACAAAGATGGGGAAAAATCAGAGCAGAAAAGCTGACCTGATGGAGGTGAAAAACATGGCATGAGAAATATGTGACAAATGCACAAGCTTCAGTAGCCGATTTGATCAACTGGAAGAAAGGGTATCAGTGATTGAAGATCAAATGAATGAAATGAAGTGAGAAGTTTAGAGAAAAAAGAGTAAAAAGAAATGAACAAAGCCTCCAAGAAATATGGGACTATGTGAAAAGACCAAATCTACATCTGATTGGTGTACCTGAAAGTGACGGGGAGAATGGAACCAAGTTAGAAAACACTCTGCAGGATATTATCCAGGAGAACTTCCCCAACCTAGGAAGGCAGGCCCACATTCAAATTTAGGAAATACAGAGAATGCCACGAAGATACTCCTCGAGAAGAGCAACTCCAAGACACATAATTGTTAGATTCACCAAAGTTGAAATGAAGGAAAAAATTTAAGGGCAGCCAGAGAGAAAGGTCAGCTTATCCACAAAGGGAAGCCCATCAGACTAACAGCTGATCTCTCGGCAGAAACTCTACAAGCCAGAAGACAGTGGAGGCCAATATTCAACATTCTTAAAGAAAACAATTTTCAACCCAGAATTTCATATCCAGCCAAATGAAGCTTCATAAGTGAAGGAGAGATAAAATACTTTACAGACAATCAAATGCTGAGAGATTTTGTCACCACCAGGCCTGCCCTAAAAGAGCTCCTGAAGGAAGCACTAAACATGGAAAGGAACAACTGGTACCAGCCACTGCAAAAACATGCCAAATTGTAAAGACCATCGATGCTAGGAAGAAACTGCATCAACTAATGAGCAAAATAACCAGCTAACATCATAATGACAGGATCCAATTCACACACAACAATATAAACCTTAAATGTAAATGTGCTAAATGTTCCAATTAAAAGACACAGACTGGCAAATTGGATAAAGAGTCAAGACCCATCAGAGTGCTGTATTCAGGAGACCCATCTCATGTGCAGAGACACACATAGGCTCAAAATAAAGGGATGGAGGAAGATCTACCAAGCAAATGGAAAACAAAAAAAAGCAGGGGTTGCAATCCTAGTCTCTGATAAAACAGACTTTAAACCAACAAAGATCAAAAGAGACAAAGAAGGCCATTACATAATGGTAACGGGATCAATTCAACAACAAGAGCTAACTATCCTAAATATATATGCACCCAATACAGGAGCACCCAGATTCATAAAGCAAGTCCTGAGTGACCTACAAAGAGACTTAGACACCCACACAATAATAATGGGAGACTTTAATACCCAACTGTCAACATTAGACAGATCAATGAGACAGAAAGTTAACAAGGATATACAGGAATTGAACTCAGCTCTGCACCAAGTGGACCTAATAGACATCTACAGAACTCTCCAACCCAAATCAACAGCATGTACATTCTTCTCAGCACCACATCACACTTATTCCAAAATTGACCACAGTGTTGGAAGTAAAGTACTCCTCAGCAAATGAAAAAGAACAGAAATTATAACAAACTGTGTCTCAGACCACAGTGCAATCAAACTAGAACTCAGGATTAAGAAACTCACTCAAAACCACTCTACTACATGGAAACTGAACAACCTGCTCCTGAATGACTACTGGGTTCATAACGAAGTGAAGGCAGAAACAAAGATGTTCTTTGAAACCAATGAGAAAAAAAACACAACATACCAGAATCTCTGGGACACATTTAAAGCAGTGTGTAGAGGGAAATTTATAGCACTAAATGCCCACAAGAGAAAGCAGGAAGGATCTAAAATTGACACCCTAATATCACAATTAAAGAACTAGAGAAGCAAGAGCAAATACATTCAAAAGCTAGCAGAAGGCAAGAAATAACTAAGATCAGAGCAGAACTGAAGGAGATAGACACATAAAAAACCCTTCAAAAAATCAATGAATCCAGGAGCTGGTTTTATGAAAGGATCAAAAAATTGATAGACCACTAGCAAGACTAATAAAGAAGAAAAGAGAGAAGAATCAAATAGATGCAATAAAAAATGATAAAGGGGATATCACCACCAATCCCACAGAAACACAAACTACCATCAGATAATACTATAAACACCTCTACACAAATAAACTAGAAAATCTAGAAGAAATGGATAAACTCCTCCACACATACACCCTCCCAAGACTAAACTAGGAAGAAGTTGAATACCTGAATAGACCAATGAAAGGCTCTGAAATTGAGGCAATAATTAATAGCCTACCAACCAAAAAAAGTCCTGGATCAGACGGATTCACAGCCGAATTCTACCAGAGGTACAAAGAGGAGCTGGTACCATTCATTCCGAAATTATTCCAATCAATAGAAAAAGAGGGAATCCTCTCTAACTCATTTTATGAGGCCAGCATCATCCTGATACCAAAGCCGGGCAGAGACACAACCAAAAAAGAGAATTTTAGAGCAATATCCCTGATGAACATCAATGCAAAAATCCTCAATAAAATACTGGCAAAGAGAATCCAGCAGCACATCAAAAAGCTTATCCACCATGATCAAGTGGGCTTCATCCCTGGGATGCAAGGCTGGTTCAACATATGCAAATCAATAAACGTAATCCATCATATAAACAGAACCAAAGACAAAAACCACATAATTATCTCAATAAAAGCAGAAAAGGCCTTTAACAAAATTCAACAGCCCTTCATGCTAAAAACTCCCAATAAATTAGGTATTGATGGGATGTATCTCAAAATAATAAGAGCTATTTATGACAAACCCACAGCCAATATCATACTGAATGGGCAAAAACTGGAAGCATTCCCTTTGAAAACTGGCACAAGACAGGGATGCCCTTTCTCACCACTCCTATTCAAAATAGTGTTGGAAGTTCTGGCCAGGGCAATCAGGCAGGAGAAAGAAATAAAGGGTATTTAATTAGGAAAAGAGGAAGTCAAATTGTCCCTGTTTGCAGATGACATGATTTTATACTTAGAAAACCCCATCATCTCAGCCCAAAATCTCCTATAGCTGACAAGCAACTTCAGCAAAGTCTCAAGATACAAAATCAATGTGCAAAAATCACAAGCATTCTTATACACCAATAACAGACAAACAGAGAGCCAAATCATGAATGAACTCCCATTCACAAATGCTTCAAAGAGAGTAAAATATCTAGGAATCCAACTTACAAGGGATATGAAGGACCTCTTCAAGGAGAACTACAAACCACTGCTCAACGAAATGAAAGAGGACACAAAGAAATGGAAGAACATTCCATGCTCATGGATAGGCAGAATCAATATCATGAAAATGGCCATACTGCCCAAGGTAATTTATAGATTCAATGCCATCCCCGTAAAGCTACCAATTGCTTTCGTCACAGAATTGGAAAAAACTACTTTAAAGCTCATATGGGACCAAAAAAGAGTCCACATTGCCAAGTCAATCCTAAGCCAAAAGAAGAAAGCTGGAGGCATCACGCTACCTGACTTCAAACTATACTGCAAGGCTACAGTAACCAAAACAGCATGGTACTGGTGCCAAAACAGAGATATACACCAATGGAACAGAGACCTCAGAAATAATACCACACATCTATAACCATCTGATCTTTGACAAACCTGACAAAAACAAGAAATGGGGAAAGGATTCCCTATTTAATAAATGGTGCTGGGAAAACTGGCTAGCCATATGTAAAAAGCTGAAACTGGATCCCTTCCTTACACCTTATACAAAAATTAATTCAAGATGGTTAGAGACTTAACTGATATACATAAAACCATAAAAATCCTAGAAGAAAACTTAGGCAATACCATTCAGGACATAGGCATGAGCAAGGACTTCATGTCTAAAACACCAAAAGCAATGGCAACAAAAGCCAAAATTGACAAATGGGATCTAATTAAACTAAAGAGCTTCTGCACAGCAAAAGAAACTACCATCAGAGTGAACAGGCAACCTACAAAATGGGAGAAAATTTTTGCAATATACTCATCTGACAAAGGGCTAATATCCAGAATCTACAATGAACTCAAATAAATTTACAAGAAAAAAACAAACAACCCCATCAAAAAGTGGGTGAAGGATATGAACAGACACTTCTCAAAAGAAGACATTTATGCAGCCAAAAGACACATGAAAAAATGCTCATCATCACTGGCCATCAGAGAAATGCAAATCAAAACCACAATAAGATACCATCTCACACCGTTTAGAATGGCGATCATTAAAAAGTCAGGAAACAACAGGTGCTGGAGAGGATGTGGAGAAATAGGAAGACTTTTACACTGTTGGTAGGACTGAAAACTAGTTCAACCATTTTGGAGGACAGTGTGGCGATTCCTCAAGGATCTAGAACTAGAAATACCATTTGACCCAGCCATCCCATTACTGGTTATATACCTAAAGGATTATAAATCATGCTGCTATAAAGACACATGCATACATATGTTTATTGCGGCACTATTCAACAATAGCAAAGACTTCGAACCAACCCAAATATCCATCAATGATAGACTGGATTAAGAAAATGTGGCACATATACACCATGGAATACTATACAGCCATAAAAAAGGATGAGTTCATGTCCTTTGTAGGGACATGGATGAAGCTGGAAACCATCATTCTCAGCAATCTATTGCAGGGAAAAAAACCGAACACTGCATGTTCTCACTCATAGGTGGGAATTGAACAATGAGAATACTTGGACAAAGGAGGGGAACATTACACACCAGGGCCTGTCGGGGGGTAGGAGGAGGGGGGAGGGATAACATTAGGAGATATACCTAATGTAAATGACGAGTTAATGGGTGCCGCACACCAACATGGCACATGTATACATATGTAACAAAGCTGCACGTTGTGCACATGTACCCTAGATCTTAAAGTATAATAATAATAATAATAATAAAAGAACTGCCTGAGACTGGGTAATTTATAAAAGAAAGAGGTTTAATTGATTCACAGTTCAGCATGGCTTGGGAGGCCTCAGGAAATTTATAATGATGGTGGAAGGTGAAGAGGCAGCAGGAAGAAGTGCTGAGTGAAGGGGGAAGAGCCCACCCAGGACTCACTCACTATAAGGAGAACAGCCTGGGGGACACCACCCCCATGATTCAATTACGGCTGCCTGGTCTCTCCCTTGACATGTGGGGATTATGAGAATTAAAATTCAAGATGAGATTTGGGTGGGAACACAAAGTCTAATCATATCAGGTAAGGAGAAAAAAGAATCCATGCACGCTATTAATAGCAACATAGACTGGAGCTGCTACAGTGAAAAACAGTGTGCAGCTTCCTAAAGAAATTAAAAATAGAACTACCAATATGACCTAGCACTCCTCTTTTGAGTATATAACCAAAGGAAATAAAATAATCACCTCATAAAGATATCTTCACTCTCATGTTCATTGCAGCATTATTCACAATATCGAAGATATAGAAACAACCAAAATGTCCATCAATGTTTGAATGCATAAAGAAACTGTGAGATATATATCTCATATATGTATATATCATATATATCTCATATATATGTGCATGTGTGTTTGTATACATATATAATGGCATATTATTCAGCATTATAAAGGGGGCAAACCTGACATTCAAACAACGTGAACAAAATTAGAGATTATTATGCTAAGTGAAATAAGACAGACACAAAGAAAAAATGTTACATGATCTCACTCATATGTGAAATATTTAAAATATGAATACCTAGAAACAGTAAAACAGGAGCAGGGTGGAAGGGAGATTGTAGGGATGTGGGAAGATGCAGGTCAAAAGTATAAAGTTTCAGTTATAATTGTATTCATAATAAAGGAGTCAATTATCCAAGAAGATATAACAGTTTCTAATGTTTATGAACTTAACAACAGAATGTCAAAATAACTGAGGCAAAAACTGATAGAAGGGCAAGGAGAAATAGATAACCCACTATTATAGTTGAAGACTCCAGTAGACTTCTTTAGTAATTTATAGATCGAGCAGACAGAAATTTAAAAGGATATAATACATACGAAGAGCACTATCAAACAATTTGATCTAATTGATATTTATAGGATAATTCATTCAACAGTGGCAAAATATGTCCGTATGAAACTCAAATGGAACACTCACCAAAAAAATTCTTAACAGTTTTAAAGTAATAGAAATTGTACAAAATATGTCCTCAGACTACAATAAAATTAAATTAGAAATCAATAACAGGAAGATGGCTGAAAAATCCCAAGTACTTGGAAATTAAACAACACACTTCCAAATAACACATGGGTTAAATAAACTGTTTCAAGAGAAATTTAATTTAAATTCAAATGAAAACAATAATATAACCTATCAAAATTTTGGGATGCAGTAAATGCAGTACTTAGAGGAATATTAATAACTTTAAGTGCATATATTAAAATGGAAGAACGACCTGCAATCAGTAACCTAAGACTTCACATTATAAAAATTTTAAAAAGACAATTTCAGGTTAAAGAAAGCAGAAAAAAGTAAATAATGAAAAATACCACAAGAATCAGTAAAATCGAAAACAAGAAAACAATAAAAAATATCCATGAAACCAAAAGCTGATTCTCTGAAAAGAAAAGATCAAGGACACCAATAAATCTTTAGGTAGGCTAAGAAGAAAAGAGAATAAGCAAATTGCCAATATCAGAAGTGATACTAATTCCCTGAATATTAAAAGGACAATGAAGCAATACTACAAATAACTTTATGGCCTTATATTTGATAATTCAGATAAAATGAACTATTGAGAAACACAAATTACCAAACTTCACTCAAAGTAACATATAATCTGAATATGTTTATATCAAATAAATTGAATAAAAAATAACAACAACAAAAAATCCCAGCATGCCCCCATGGTGGAGTCACTGGTAGATTCTACCAAATATACAGGAAAGAAAAGATATCTATTTTCCACAATTCCTTCCAAAAAATAGAAGTAGATACTACAATTACTAATAATTCTACGAGACCAGCATTATTCTAATCCCAATCCCAGATACAATAGAGAAGAAATTTATGTAACTCCATAAAGAACCTTCAGTAGTCTCACCTTAATCATGGTTTTGCTTTCTGCAGTTTCAATTACCACATTAACATAATTTTATTCCAGTATATTAATTGTTCTATTTCATTATTAGTTATTGTTAATCTCTTATGGCACTCAATTTGTAAATTAAACATTATCATAGGTATATAAGTATATAAAAAACATAGTACAAATAGGGTTCATTAATATCCATGATTTCAGACATCCACTAAGGGTCTTGGAATGTATGCCCTATGGATAAGGGGGGTCTACTACAATGCACTGAAAACCTACAGGCAACATGTTTATTCATGAGAAACAGGATGCTGTCCCCCAAAGGTTTAGAACAAAGCAAGGATAAACTATTTTACCATTCTATTTCATATCTTACTAGAAGCCCTAGATAGCCCTAGATAAAAAATGCAATAAAATGTATATAGACTGGAAAGAAAGAAATAAAACTGTCTTTATTTGCAGGTAATATGATTGTGTATAAAATTCCCCCAAAAGGAGAGAAACTCCTAGAGCAAATAAATGAATATAGTAATGTCACAGGAGACAATATAATATACAAAATAAAATTGTTTACTCTGTATCAGCAACGAACAATTGGAATCTGAAATTAAAAATCAATATCAGTTACAGTAGCACTACCCCCAAAATTAAATGCTTAGATATAAACCTAATAAAACATGAACATATCCTACATGTTAATAATTATATAACTCATGAAACAAATCAAAGAAGATCTAAATAA
The DNA here is from genome assembly GCF_000001405.40 of Homo sapiens. NCBI lineage: Eukaryota > Metazoa > Chordata > Mammalia > Primates > Hominidae > Homo > Homo sapiens. Next base: position 35,474,480 of record NC_000003.12, on the reverse strand, counting down.
ATGGAGATTGGAAGACAGTATTGTCTCTTCTCTCAGTGTGATATATAGATTGTGTAATTGACAGTAGTGTCAATTCTCTCAGTGTGGTATAAAGATTCTCATAATCCCTGTCAAAATACCAGCAAGTTATGTTTAGATAATGGCAAGTTGATTCTATAGCTTATGTTGAAAGGCAAAATACCTAGAATAGCAAACACAATACTGAATTAGAAGAATGAATTACAAAGAATGATTTCAAGACTTACTATAACATTACTTCAAGACAGCATGGTATTGGTTAAAGAATGAACACATAGATCAATAAAGAGAGCCCAGAAATAGGCTCACACGAATATAGCCAACTGATCTTTGACAAAGGAACAAAGGTAATTCACTGGAGAAAGCCCAGTCTTTTCAATAAATGGTGCTGGAAAAATTGGATGCTCATTTAAAAAAAAAAAACCATCTAGACACAGATCTAATACCTTTTACAAAGTTAACTCTAAGTGGATCATAGACCTACATATAAAATGCAAAACTATAAAACTTCTAGAAGAAAATCTAGGTGGTCTTAGGTTTGATGGTAACTTTTTAGTTACAGCAAAAAGAATGATGTATGAAATTTTAAAGTAAACTTTAAAAAAATGAATACTTTGCTCTGTGATAGACAGTGTTAAAAGAAAGAAAAGACAAGCCACAGAAAAAATATCTGCAAAACACAAAAATTTAATTTCTAAACACAATAGTAAAACTGAAAACTAAACTCAGAGGTTTATTCTTAAGAAAAACTAATAGAATTATCCAGGAACAAAAAAACCCACAATGTTACCAATTAGAAAGGTAATATAACCACAGGTGTAAATAGATATTGAACATATATGAATTTATTACCAAATTTGACTCAATCAACTGTATGTACCTGAACAGGGAAATAATATATGAATTCAAAACATCTAAAAATAGTAATATAATGGCCTAAATTATTCTATCCAGATGATTTTATGAATAAATTATGTCAAAAATTTTTTTTGCTATTTATGTGCTCTGAAAGAAAATGATATAATGCTTTCCAATTAATTCTGATGAAGGTAAAATTTCTTGGTAACCAATCTCATTGGAGAAATAATTGTGTTTTTATTTTTTAGTGTAATCCAGGTACTCAACAACTTCATGTATATTTATTAAAGGAATAAGTTATAAAATGAGAAAACTCTCTACCCAAGAAATTAATAAGACATATTAAAATACTGTATAATTTTAAGGTAAAAAATTATTTTTAAAAAGTCTTGATATAACCTAATTATACAGATATATTAATATAAGATATAATAGGACTGTAGTATATTGATACTTTACAACAAAAAATGTAATCCCTAAAGAGATGCTATAAATCCTGGAAACACATTTGATTATATTTAACATCTATATATTCTAAAAATTCTTGGTATAAAAATAGCATATTATGTATTATCTCTCAAATAAATAGTTGACATTTAGCTTAATAGTAAAGTGATGCATTCCCAATGAAGTTAAAAATAAAAATAGTGAACAAACATTGTGGCTTGACATTGATCTAGCTCTTGTTGTCTAGAACATTGTGCTCAGATTATAGATGTAATAAGTGGCATAAATTATCACATCTTTTTATTGAATGTGTGCCAAATGTTTAATGTAGAGTTTGACATATATGCATAAAAGTTACTATTAACAATGATATTTATTTATAAATTAAACTATAATACAATTAAAACAAATTAAGATAACTCAATGGGAGTATAATTTTTAAAATGATGCACAGAGATGAAGAGCTTGTAAGAAAATTAGATAGAAATAGAATGGGGAAATGCCCCAGTCATTATAGCAAGAAAAATTAAAATGCCTAACAATAATTGTACAGGATCTCCTTGGAAATGACTATAATACCACAGCTCATTATTTGATCAATGGAAAAATTTTACATAAAAACAGATGCTTATTATATCCTTGGATGTTGATATGGTTTGGCTGTGTCCCCACCCAGATCTCATCTTGAATTGTAGCTCCTATAATTCCCACGTCTTGGGAGGGACCTGGTGGGAGGTAATTGAATCATGGGGGCAGTTTCTTCCATGCTATTCTTATGATAGTCAGTAAGTTCTCACGAGATCTGATGGTATCATAAGGGGCTTTCCTCTTCGCTCTGTTATCATTCTTCTGTCTCCTACCATGTGAAGAAGGACATATTTGCTTCCTCTTCTGCCATGATTGTAAGTTTCCTGAGGCCTCCCCACCCATTCTGCACTGTGAGTTAATTAAACCTCTTTCCTTTGTAAATGACCTAGTCTCATGTATGTCTTTATTAGCAGCGTAAGAATGGACTAATACAGATGCACAAATTCAATATAGTGTAGATGCTGATTCTATCCAAGTTGACTCTACTTAACATTCCATTGGGATTATACGAGAAATTACAGAAAATTATTCTTTAGTTTATCTGCAAAAAAATAAAAATAAAAGAGCAAGCTGAAAACTTTGTAAATAAAAAAGAAGAATGAGGGCAAAATTTGGTGCAGGAAAAGACAAACAGAGCAGTGAAAGTGCCTATGCACTTGAGAAATAGACTCGAAAGCTTATTTTTTTTTCTTTTTTTTTCAACTGTTATTTTGAATTCAAACATGTGCAGGTTTGTTACATGGGTACAATGGATAAGGCATGATGCTCAGGTTTTGGGTATAGATGATCCCATCACTCAGGTACTTAGCATAGTACCAGATAGATAGTTTTTCAGCCCACAGTCCTCCCCCTATCCACCCTCTTGTAATCCCCAGTATCTCTTGTTTTCATCTTTATGCCCATATGCTCTCAATGTTTAGCTCCCACTAATAAGTGAGAACACGTAGTATTTGGTTTTCTGTTCCTATGCTAGTTCACTTAGGATAAAAACCTCCAGCTGTATCCATGTTGCTGCAAAGGACATGATTTCATTCTTTTTCATGGCTGCACAGTATTCCATGGTGCATATATACCACATTTCCTTTATCCAATCCATCACTGATGGGCACCTAGGTTGATTCCAGTCTTTGCTATTGTGGATAGTGCTGCAATGAACGTATGAGTGCATGCATTTTTTTGGTAGAATGATCAAGAACTTATTATAATCACTTATTATAAAATACAATGGAATTTCAAGCAATGAATAAAATAATAAATTCAATAAATTGTGTTTGGGCCAGTTGGTAAGGTATGTTAGAATCCTAACATCCAATTAAGTATAAATGTATTAATATTCAAATGTAATAAAATAAATTCATAAAAATACTAAGGCAGATCTATCATTTTGGGTTGCTGAAAGTAGTTCATATTATGACAGTAGATTCAGAAATAATAATATAAAATACCGATAGATTTATTACATAAAAACTAACATAATTCTTTTAATATAAAATCTCTGTGGGCAAATTAAAAAGCAAGCGATAAACTGAAAGATATATTTAATAAGGTAGGGTCAATTTCAAAGGGTGATATTATATGATACACACACACAATCATGTATGGATTTTAAAAAAACAGATTCTACTAGAAAATATGGTGAAAGGATTTACATAGGTAATTAACTGAAAATAACTATCAACCACTATTAATTTTATCATGGTAATTTCTCATTTACAGTAATTTAGAAAATACAACATTAAAGAACAAAGCTATCTCATGTTTAGTTTTTAACTAGGCGAAGATATAACTATTGATTAATAGCTACTGCCAGAGATGGTGTAGGGTGATGGACAGCCTCACATAAGTTAGAATTACAGATCAGTGCAAATTTTGTAGAAGGCAATTTGATGAAATGTAATAGAAGTCTTAAAAATTTATATGTTCTTTAGCCTAAAATTTCCACTTCTAAGTTTACTTCATTAAGTGACGAAGCAAAATATTTCAAAGATTTATAAAATAATAATTAAGGAGAACATTTCTAAAGTAAATGTAAGTGATAGATAAGAGAAATACATTAAAGAATATAAGAGACTACTAGGAATTTTAAAACATGATGGTGTAAAAGGCTGCTTTTGGTATAAAAATAAACATATTACTCTACATATAGTTATTTGAGAAAAGAAAATTAACAATAGTTATATTATGATCTCATTATATGTATATGCATAAAATTATGAAGAAATACAGATGTATATATACAAAATTAATGTAGGGAGGAATGGTGATGGGATTAGGCTGAACATATCTTTGCTTTTTATTTTGTTTTTGCTTATGTATATTTTTAATGTTTTCTCCAAAACTTAATTATAAAATAAAGTTAGTGGAAGCAAAGTTTACAATAGTAAATAACCACTTCAGGAAGATTGAGAACTATTATCTAAATAAACCCTCTACACTAAGAACTGTGCTATTACGTCGCATATTTATACTATTCAATGCAAACACCCGTAAGCTGTAGTCTTCTCACAGTGACATGCTGAGACCTGATTTAACCGGATAAGATGGATAAGAAGCACCATTAAATTTATCTGTGTTCAAAATCCTGATGTTCATCAATATTTAATAGCCTGAGAATTTTATTACATGTGCTGAGTGCCACAGAAACAAGCATGGGAACTGAACTCCACGTATAAAGTCATTGTGATAGTCAGCATCCACATTGATCCAGGAAGATACATTTTTACTAGTTCTGATGACAGCATCCATACATTTCATGCTAGTATCTGGTGAGGAGTTTTTCGAAACTTCCCTTCACTATCTTACACTTGTGGTCTTCAGCATGAATCTGAGTCCCATTCTACCTTTATGATACATTGTGAAATCAATATAAATCAAACAGAACATCATTCTCAGGAAGTAAAAGTATCAGTCAGAGCTCAAAATTTGAAGTTCTTTGACATTTCTGCCTCTGTAGTTTCTGATTAAAAATTCCCTCTGCTATAGTTTTTCTTTATTCTCTCAGTCTGTGATTAATCCTACTGGCCACCAAGGACAGGATGAATGTCAGAGTAGAGAATGGCAGGTAATTGGAGCAGAAAGACAAAGAAACTAAAGGCACATCATTTTATTTGTAATTCAAAGTCCTGGTTGTGGGACACTGACTGGAAGTTTTCCAGGTAAAGGATGGAATGGGTAAAGAAAATCACCATATCACAATAGTTTTCAGTAACTGGTAGTGAGGAGTGAAGCCAGCTGGACTTGCTGGGTTGAGTGGGGACTTGGAGAACTTTTCTGTCTAGCTAGAGGATTGTAAATGCACCAATCAGCACTCTATAAAAACGTACCAATCAGCCCTTTGTGTCTAGCTAAAGGTTTGTAAACGGTCCAATCAGCACTCTGCAAAAATGCACCAATCAGTGCTCTGTGTCTAGCTAAAGGTTTGTAAATGCACCAATCAGCACTCTGTAAAAACACACCAATCAGCACTCTGTAAAATGGACCAATCAGCACTTTGTAAAATGGACCAATCAGCAGGATATGGGCAGGGCCAAATAAGCAAATAAAAGCTGGCCACCAGAGCCAGCAGTGGCAAACCACTGGGGTCCCCTTTGTTCTTTCACTCTTTGTAGTAAATGTTGCTGCTGCTTACTCTTTGGGTCAGCACAACCTTTATGAGCTCCTCACTGTGAAGGGCCCTGGCTTCACTCCTGAAGTCAGCGAGACTACGAACCTACCGGGAGGAACAAACAACTCCGGAATTAGGAGGTGTGACACTCACTGTGAAGGTCTGCGGCTTCACTCCTGAATCAGTGAGAGAGACCGCGAACTCACCGGAAGGAACAAACAACTCCAGATGTGCCACCTTTAAGAGCTGTAACACTTACTGCGAAGGTCTAAGGCTTCACTCCCGAAGTCAGCAAAACCATGAACCCACCAGAAGGAATAAACTCTGGACACATCTGAACATCTGAAGGAACAAACTCCGGACACACTATCTTTAAGAACTGTTAACACTCAACGTGATGGTCCGCAGCTTCATTCTTGAAGTCAGTGAGACCAAGAACCCACTGGAAGGAACAAATTCTGGACACAGTGGGGCTTCCTCACAAGCCTCACACACCATGCTAGCAGCAAAAATCCAGAAGGAACCCAGAGAAAATGTGTCTTCAGAACAGAGGGCACATACAATCCTATAAGAAAGTATAGGGGCAACAAACTGAACTGTGAGTTGGAGGCCACCCCCACTAATTCCTCTCCTACATTTCCCCACAGTATTTTCCAGCATATAGCCAAATGATGCATTTCAAGTACTTATAATTAGCAGAATGGTACCAGTATAAAACCTGTGCATAGACATTGACATTTTAAAAATTAGAAAGAGAAATATAAGAACAAAATTAAAAGGGAAGTATACATCAGGAGAATAATTATTCCAGGACACAAAAGAATTCAATTAGTTCTCCATAGTGCTAGGAAAAAATAGTGAAAACAAGTTTTCTAGGAAAGGGAGATGACATAAAAAAATACGAAGAAAGATGAAGAAAAATGAGCATATGTGATGCAAGTATATTATTCCTAAAAATGAAATTAAGTAAATAGAAAAACAGGAACAGAGATATCTGAATTGTGACAGCACCTATATGATAATAATTAGCATCCGGAGATCACAGAGGAACATGGTTTTATAGTAATAGCTAGTATCAAAAAATAAAATATGACATAAGAATTTTGTATCCAACCAAAATATGCTTCAGTTGTAAAGATGATCTAGCAAGGTAAAACACGAAGGATTTAGGAAATATGCCTTAAGTTTGTCTTTTTTGAATTAAAACAAAAACAATAACAAAACGATGAGATGAAATCAAAACAACCCAAAAGATGAATACAAATAAGGAACTCAGAAATATCAAAGTCATAGTAAAAGGACTAGCAGTACACAGTAATGAATTTACATGTTAAACTAAAACTAACCTATTCCTCAAATATGGGTAGAAAACCAAACATAAAGTCTATAAATCCTGATTGTTAAAGTAATGATATCACCAACCAAAAACTGGTAGAGGAGAGAAGAATGTCAGGGATAGTTTAAAAGTATTTAATTCTTTATTATAACTAAGACAGGGTCAGTAAATCTGTTAGCATTAAGATAGAAAAAAATTGAGCGATCTTAAATTCCATATTTTACTTAAAGCTTTTCATTTTTAATTTAAAAAATAAATTTAGGAACAAATGTTCTGGTAGAAAACCATATATTTGAATTTCAGCTATCCCTTAAGCTTCATTTTAACTCTTTGTTTTTTGAAATTTGATTTTTATATAAAATGCACGTGCATAATATTTAAAATTTTCTCTACAAGGTTGACAATAAAAAAAAGATAGCATTTCCCTGTCCCAGCTAGCTCTGCTGCTTCCCCGCACACCCTAGAATTTACTACTTTCAACGTTTGTTTTTAGCCGTTTTTAATTTTCATAGTTTCTATAACACATTCGTTTTTCAGGTCACATGTTGTCTTTTGCTCATGTAATATAAATAAGGAGAATGTAACTTTCTCTACTCCCCCCTCCACAAATGAATTCTTAACCTCTAACTTCTCAACATACCACACTGTAGTTATTGTCAATTTTTCATTTAATCATTGTACAAACTGAACTTATTAGAAATATTATGCAAATTTGAACCAAGTATTCATGTCCTCACATATTCCTTCGTTTGCATACTTCCTTGTGAACTTAACACTGATAAATCTCAGATTCACTTGTTTTCTAGACCTGCTCTACAACAGTCTCAGATTTCCCTTTTATGAAAATCCTGGAAATTCCCTCTCCAGCCTTACATTCTGAAAGCCATACTTCTAAGTTACATATCTTCCCACTTCTTGATTCTTTCTTTTGGGTAAAATAATTCTTCATTAACTTTTTCTGGTTAATGGGTGCATGGAAAGAAACTTTAAGACATTTCACATATTACTATTGAGTGATTGTTCCGGTGAGTACATGATTCTAGGAGACAAATCATTTCACTTTCAATCTATTGCTTCAAAAATTCCTAAATTTTAGTGCTGCTGTTGAGAATTATTATGCTATTTTCATAACTGATCTTTTAGCTTCACCATTTTGAAATTTGTAATGAGAGCCTTTGCATGTTTCCGTGTTTCTGCATGTGCGTGTGTGTGTGTGTATATATATATATATAAAATTCTATTTCTTACATGTATCCTAGGCACTTTTTTGCAAGAGACTCAGCTTTAAGATTTATAAATGCTTAAAATTTAATCCCTCTAACATCTGCTTTCTAAACTCCAAAATTTGTTGATATCTTTCATCTCCTGTTGTTTTGCCTCCTTTCTTTCCGCTTCCAAGTTTATGACCATTTTTGTGCCATGTACTGTTCTTTTAATAATCTTTTAAGAGTCAACAGAGTTTAAAATGTTTAATCTGCTGTATTTGGTAGCCATTTGTATATTCTTTAATTTTTAATTAAGTTTAATGAACGTTTATAGAAATCTCATGTCTATGATTTTATTTTTAAATTCCTTATTTCGCTCCTTCCGTTCTTTCTCTTTTCTTTGTCTTTATATGTAAACAGCAGTGCCTCCAATAATGTTCTTCAAATGTTGGAAATGGATATTTCTGTAGGATAAAATCTTGTGCGGTTTGCTTTCTGACTTATATACTTTGTGTTGCTTCCGATTTTTAATATATACAATTCATTTTTCCAATAAGAGTAGCATTTAAAAATTTCCTCCATATTAAAAAAACATAAATTGGTGAGTTTTGAACAACTCAAACAAATAGTCCAGTTAACAAGAGAAAGATAATTTGCTCACATTGTTGTCTTCTATTTGGTATCCAAGTTGTCTTAACTTCAACAAAAAAACTCACTTTTAGGGGCTTTAAGAAAAAAAAAAAGTCTAAATTTAAAATGTAGGACTTTAGTGGCTGTTAATAGGTTTCAGATAAAATAAATTGTATTATAAACTTTAAGCATTAAAACAAATTATCTACTTACCTATGTACCTGAAGTGAGGAGAAAAGCAATATGCCTTTTATACCTTTTTTATCATGAAAGTTGAGAAGTACTAGAGTGGGGAGGAATTCCCTTCCACAACATGGGATAGGATTTCCTTCCTCCAGCTGGGATAAGAATTTTCTTCTACCAGCTGGGATAAGGTTTGAATCTTGTGCTTTGTGAAATTCTTCCCTGGAGAGTAACACTTCATTGTGAGGGAGGCTCTGGGTATAATTGAACAACAGCTTATTCTTCTGCACCCTTGGCAGGGCCATGAGAGGATTTTTCTTTACTATTATGGAGAACCTGGTAGAGTTCCTGGAGGGAAAATCCACAAATGTGTAGAGCTTCTCTGAAGACTGCAGCCCCTAGAAGTTTCTCAGTCTCATTCTCTTCCACACTCAGCCTTTAGCAATTCATCAAAATTACTATTTAAGAGTTCTTACCATTTTATGGCTTAAGCAGCTTCGGCTGGAACACCTTCTGCTCCAGCTAAGCGGATCTTTCTGCTGTATCTTTCTGGGTGCTTCCATCTTTCCAGATATGGGGGTGACAGTTTGCCTCTTGACCTCAGTTCTATGATGAGTACAAGAAAAAACCTTAAGAGGAGAGCAGTAAATACCAAGAACTCATGTCATCCTTGCAGTAGCCCATTATATACCAAAATAATATGAATACTAATGTTTCATTTTAATCTACTTTTTGAAGGTCAATGTTGAAATTGTCTGTTTTTATGTTTTTTTGTGTTTAATCTTTAATAGAGCCATATTCCAAAAATTGATGGGAAAAAACTAAAAACACCTGTATCCTGTCATGTCTGGTAGATACAGCTAGGCCTGTTGTTTTGGTCTTTTGATCAAGTGTATTGGGTTGAAATGATTCAGAAAGAAATTTCTTAATAGCAGGGAAGATTTGAATTAAGATATTTACATATATTTGCCCATATAAAGCAAACCAAAACATTCCTGTCACATCCACTTGGCCGGTTCATGGTAGAATATTTAAACTCATGGATCCATAAGTTTGTGACACAGACAAGTGTTAACTAAGCACTTTTTACACTGAATAAAGTCTAGGTTCAAGCAAAGCCAAACTTGACTACCTGCATGTTCGTTATGGATAAATCTATCTTTCTTCATATTTTAATTAAATCTGCATTTCATCTTTTCTTAACAGTTTTTGTGTTTGTCCACTTTTACTTATTTATATCATTCTTCTTATCTGAATAACTGCATGCCTGTCCACTTTTACTTATTTATATCATTCTTCTTACCTGAATAACTGTATGCCTTCAGTCTTTATGCCAATAGTCTACTATAAATAGGAACGTACGGATATTGGTGAGCTCTCTGTCCCCATCCAAATCTCGTCTCTAATTGTAAGCCCCATGTATTGAGGGAGGAAGGTGATTGGATGATAGGGGCGGTTTCCCCCATGCTGTTCTCGTGAGAGTGAGTGAATTCTCATGAGATCTGATGGTTTTTAAAGTGGTAGGTTTTTTTTTTGTCCTGTGCTCTCACTTCTGCCTTGTGAAGAAGATAATTGCTTCCCGTTCACTTTCCACCATGATTGTACGTTTCCTGAGGCCTCTTCAGCCATGTGAAACTGTGAGTCACTTAAATCTCTTTCCTTTATAAATTACCCAGTCTTGGGTATTTCTTTACAGCCATGTGAAAACGGACTAATACAAGTACTAACCCATCTAAGTAGCCTATAGATTAAATAGAAAATTACGTGGGAAATTAAGTAATAGGAAATTAATGGAAAATCCAATTTTCAGCTTTCATGAAGCTAAATTATAAGTTTAATCAGAATTTTCAATATAGGTCATATTAAAATAATTCATATTCAATGAGTCTGTCTTAAAAATCAGTCAAAGGAATTTAATTCACTCATTCTATTTTTTCAACAAAAAATAGTATTTAATATTTGCAAAACAGTATTCTAGGTATTTTGGGGAGTTATAAAAAGATTAGACAAAGATCTTGCTGAAGGGCTTGCATGCAAATAACTAAATATAATGCAGAGTAAAAATAACATTGGTAGTAGGATAACATGAAAAGTTAAAAAATATGTGAGAGAACAAAAAAATGAAAGTTTAATTCCTGCTATTGTAATTAGGAGATGCTTTAAGAAAGAGGGAGCATTAGTGTTGAGAACTGAATAATGACTCAACTTTCAAAAGCGCAGAATGGGTAATAGATGAGAAATGGGAATTTTGATTTAAGGAAAGGTTAATAGCTATAAAGCAAGAAAGGTACTATATGGTTAGAACATAGAGGTCTCGAATTCAAAACAAAGAAGCGTTTAATTCATTCTTTTGATAGTAGAAGTAATTGAAATTTTTGAAGTAAATATCAGGTTCACAAGTTATCTTATATAAGGTTCAGCAATCTGTAGAATGGCCATTTCTAGTGGCAGAGATAAGGTGGAAAAGACAAAGATCAGAGGATTAGTTAGATCATTAGTGAGAACCAAAGCAAGGAAATTATCGACCAAGAAGCTGAATTTAGGAGGGTTTTGAGGACAGATACTGGAGGTAAACTTAATCAAATTGACAAGCAGCATAAACGTGAAAGATGAACATTTGGATATGACATTGAGAAAGTGTTTGGAAAACATAATACATTTCGTTTGTATAGTGGTGGTCACCAAAACAGAATGAGAGCTAATAAGAGAATTTGGGAAAACAAAAAGCAGTTGGACATGAAAGGAGAGAAAAACAAGCTCTCTAAAAAGAGCATTTGGAAACTATATAAAAAGGAAATTTGGAAGAGAAAAAAATTAGAAATGTTTACATTAACTAAGCTTAAGGGTCCTAAAATCAGAATTTTATCTAAATTAAGGTATTTTATATTCTTTATTTACTAGCCCCCACCCATTATTACATAGATCAATTATGATTTCCAATAAATCTGAATACAAAATATGCTATATAATTATGAAACAAAAATGCTAATGACTAGGATGTTGAAAACAATCAAGAATTATTTCTTCCTCCTGACTACTTTCACACATTGATCGATTAACTGTCTGTTATAACCTGTTAAGAAGGAGAGCCAGGGCAAATAGAATTGGGAGGTGAAAAGAGGACACCTGTACTGTTTGTTTGCACCTCATTAAAAAAGATGAATAGTATTAAAGGTTGAATCTACTAAAATGGAACATCAAATCATTAGTTGACATCATTCATTACTGTGCTACCTGACTTGAAGATTAAATAATTTAATCAAGACTCCACAGAAGTACCAGAGTATAGACATAAACATAGTCTATCACAAACTCAGTAGGAATAAATTTTTTAGTCACAGCTGGTTGCTATATGACATTTTACATTTAGTTAAGGAACAAAGTATTTCTACATGAGATATAATAATTTATTGATGGCTGTATAGTCAAAAGATAAGTACTATAGGAATTGGAGAAAGAAGTTTTATTCATGACTCAGAAACCTTTGGAGATGAGAGAAAGTTTTATAGGGAAAATACAACTTGATATTGGACCTAAACATTGATAAGGAGTCATTAATTCAGTCAATCAGTCATTCAATCAGTTGTTCAGCCAACAGTTGAGCACCTGCTCTTCCAGTTCCTGTGCTGGGTGCTGGGGACAAAGAGATTATAACAAAAAGTAGAATATGCCAAGTACGGTGAAGCAGACAGAGTAGTGCTGGGCCCTGATACTCAGTGTGTTTCATTATCATCAGCATCACCTGAGGGGTTGTTAGGTATGTAGAATTAAGGCCCCATCCCAGACCTTCTGAATTTGAATCTGCATTGTAATGAGATACCCAGCTGATCCCTGTGCACATTAAATTTGAAAAGGCCTGGGATAGTTGGCATTTTGTCTTTTCTTAAAGATGTAACTTATAAGGCCTGTCATTTGGACACTTCTTTTTTTGGGAGAAATACTAAAATAAATAAGAGGTAGCAAGATGGTTCCTATCCACACCCCTTTGCATCTAGGCCAGGGCACAAAACCAAAACCCAACTACCTGCATGCTCCGCTCGTGAATATGAATCTTCAAAGGGTAACCCAAAGTTGCAGGTCAATTAGAGATTATGGCCATGGTATAAATGAAAGCACAATGGTGAGTGTTACGGGGCCACAATCAGGCAGCATGCTGGTTAGCATCCAGTGGTGGCAGCATCAGAATCCTGGCTGTGACTTCACTTCGTGAGTTTCTTCCTGAACCACTTCTCTGTGAACCAATCAGGTGCCATAAGGTAAATCTTCCCTCTTTATAACCTAAACAAAATCCATTTTTTGCTTGTTTGGATCATTTTCTAGTGTATTCAAAGAACGGACACTCATGTCAGTCTACAGAGCCTGCTGGGAGGGAGGAATTGTGCCATTTGCATTGAATCTTTTCTCTTAGTATTATTTTTAACAAAAGTTAAAAACATTTAGAATTATAAAAAAATTACAAGACCCCACACAATCCATATAGCTAATGTAACACAAACATACAATCTTGACATGTGTGCTTTCACTTTAAAAAATAGTATTCTTCTATATTCAGTTAAAAAAAGTTAGTATACTATTTATGAAGAATTTAAGCAATACATAAATTAGCAAATATAAAGGTTAAAAAAATCAGTCCAGATTCAATCACTCAGAAATAACCTTTATTAACATTTGATGAATGTGATTTCAGTCATATTTTAAAGTATATATAAATAGATAAATTGAGAAATGGAAATGTTTTATTAAAATTGGATCATATTACCAAAATCATTTAAATGATAAGCACAAACTTAATTTTCTGGTTTTTATTAGACAAAAAGAAAATGAAGAAATTGCTCAACTTTAAATATGTGTCTTCATCTCAAGTGATATAGTTCCCTAAACAATCTCTTTTAGGTTAGGGAAGGAAGAAAAAAATCAAGAAGTTGGGGTCTCTTTTATGAAACTACATGTTTCAATTTTAGCGGCATCAATCAATACTATAAATGAAAGATGAATATATTTCACTCTCACATGTTCTCACTTCTCCTCCCCCTCAGATTCTGATTGTACTAGTCACTTCGTGTTTTAACATGGTATAGGTTTTTATTCAAAATTGGTTTTGTGGCCATATTTCACATGGTTGAATAGAATTAATTTTTAATTATATGAATTTGATGTTTACGTTTTATACAGCTACAGGGACTCGTCTACTCCTGAAACCGTAATTGAAATAATTTATTGTCAAGTTGTTTAAAAAAATATTGATAGGTGTTATATACCTCTCTAATAAAGAAAATGTGATATATATATATATATCTTCTAGTTATTTTGAAATATACAATAGATTATACTCATCCTATTAATCTGTCAAACACTAGCTCTAATTTCTTCTACCAAACTGTATATTTGTACCCGTTAATCAACCTCTCTTTATTTCCACCTCTTCCCTACCTTTTCACTTTTCTGGCCTGTGATAATCACCAATTATTTTTTTCCGTAACCAATTTTCTCCCTATATTCATGAGACCCACTTATTATTTGGCTCCCACATATGACTGAGATCATGTGGCATTTGACTTTCTGTGCTTGGCTTATCTCACTTTAATGGCCTCTAGTTTCATACATGTTTCTGCAAATGATATGGTTTCATTATCTTCTTGGCTGAATAGTAATCCATTATTTGTGTGTGTGTGTATATATATAAATATATATATAAATATATATATATCACATTTTCTTTATTCACTCATGTACTGATGGGCACTTAGCTTGATTCCGTATTTTGGCTATTGTGAATAGTGTGCTGTAATAAATATGGGATTGCAGATTATGTCTTTGAAATATTGATTTTCTTGATTTTCTTTCTTTTAGGTATATACCCAGTGGTGGAATTGCTGGATAATATAGCAGTTCTATTTTTAGTTTTCTAGGGAACCTCCATACTATTCTCTATAGTGGCTGTACTAATTTACATTTCCATCAGCAGTGTACCAGGGCTCCCTTCATCCATCCTCACCAGAATCTATTATTCCCTGTCCTTTTGAGTGTGTTTTTTTTGGATTTTTTTCTTCATTAGTCTAGCTTAATTATCTTATTAATTTTTTTAAAGGACCAACTCCTGGATTTGTTCATCTTTTGTATAACTTTTTGTGTCTCAATTTCCTCCAGTTTAGCTCTGATTTTGGTTATTTCTTGCCTTCTGCTAGTTTTGGGGTTGGTTTGCTCTTGTTTTTCTAGTTCCTCCAATTGTGATGTTAGGTTGTTGTTTTAAGCTCTTTCTAACTTTTTGATGTGGATATTTAGTGGTACAAGCTTCCCTGTTATCACTGCCTTAGGTGTGTCCCAGAGATCCTGGTATGTTATATCTTTGTTCTCATTAGTTTAAAAGAATTTCTTGGTATCTTCCTTGATTTCATTATTTACCCAAAAGTCATTTAGGAACATGTTGTTTAATTTCCATGTAATCATATGACTTTCAGCGATTTTCTTAATATTTATTCCTATTTTTATTGTGCTATGGTCTAAGATAGTGGGTGGTATAATCTTGGTTTTATGATTGTTTTATGTCTTATTGGTTGGTTGATTTTAGAGTATGTGTCATGTACAGATGGGATGGATATTCTGTCGGTTTTGGATAAAGACTTCTATATAGATGCCTATTAGGACCATTTGCTCAAGTGTTGAGTTCAGGTCCTGAATATCTTTGTTAATTTTCTGCCTCAATGATCTAATGTTGTCAGTGGAGTGTTAAAGTCTCCCACTATTATTGTGTAGTTACCTAAGTTTGTTTGTAGCTCTCTAAGAAATTGCTTTAGAATCTGAGTGCTCCTGGATTGGGTACATATATATTTAAGATAGTTAAATGTTCTTCTTGAATTGAGCCTTTTACCTTTATGTAATACCATTCTTTGTCTTTTTCCAGCATTGTCAGTTTAAAGTCTGTTTTGTCTGAAATTAAAACCTCCAACCATAAAAACCCTAGAAGAAAACCTAAGCAATACCATTCAGGACATAGACATGGGCAAAGACTTCATGACAAAAACACCAAAAGCAATTGAAACAAAAGTGAGAATTGACAAATGGGATCTAATTAAGCTAAAGAGCTTCTGCACAGCAAAATAAACTATCATCAGAGTGAACAGGCACCCTACAGAATGGGAGAAAATTTTTGCAATCTATCCGACAAAGGTCTAATATCCAGAATCTACAAGGAACTTAAACATATTTATAAGAAAAAAACCAGCAACCACATCAAAAAGTGGGTGAAGGATATGAACAGACACTTCTCCAAAAAAGACATTTATGCAACCAACAGACATGTGAAAAAAAGCTCATAATTACATTTATTGATTTATGTATATTGAACCGGCCTTGAATCCCAGGGATGAAGCCCACTTGATCATGGTGGATAAGCTTTTTGATGTGCTGCTGGATTCAGTTTGCCAGTATTTTAATGAGGATTTTTGCATCAATGTTCATCGAGGATATTGGTCTAAAATTCTCTTTTTTGGTTGTGTCTCTGCCAGGCTTTGGTATCAGGATGATGCTGGCCTCATAAAATGAGTTAGGGAGGATTCCCTCTTTTTCTATTGATTGGAATAATTTCAGAACGAATGGTACCAGCTCCTCTTTGTACCTCTGGTAGAATTCGGCTGTGAATCCGTCTGGTCCTGGACTTTTTTGGTTGGTAGGCTATTAATTATTGCCTCAATTTCAGAGCCTTTTATTGGTCTATTCAGAGATTCAACTTCTTCCTGGTTTAGTCTTGGGAGGGTGTATGTGTCGAGGAATTTATCCATTTCTTCTAGATTTTCTAGTTTATTTGCGTAGAGGTGTTTGTAGTATTCTCTGATGGTAGTTTGTATTTCTGTGGGATTGGTGGTGATATCCCCTTTATCATTTTTTATTGCATCTATTTGATTCTTCTCTCTTTTCTTCTTTATTAGTCTTGCTAGCGGTCTATCAATTTTGTTGATCCTTTCAAAGAACTAGCTCCTGGATTCATTAATTTTTTGAGGGGTTTTTTGTGTCTCTATTTCCTTCAGTTCTGCTCTGATTTTAGTTATTTCTTATCTTCTGCTAGCTTTTGAATGTGTTTGCTCTCGCTTTTCTAGTTCTTTTAATTGTGATGTTAGGGTGTCAATTTTGGATCTTTCCTGCTTTCTCTTGTGGGCATTTAGTGCTATAAATTTCCCTCTACACACTGCTTTGAATGTGTCCCAGAGATTCTGGTATGTTGTGTCTTTGTTCTCGTTGGTCTCAAAGAACATCTTTATTTCTGCCTTCATTTTGTTATGTACCCAGTAGTCATTCAGGAGCAGGTTGTTCAGTTTCCATGTGGTAGAGTGGTTTTGAATGAGTTTCTTAATCCTGAGTTCTAGTTTGATTGCACTGTGGTCTGAGAGACGTTTGTTATAATTTGTGTTCTTTTACATTTGCTGAGGAGAGCTTTACTTCCAACTATGTGGTCAATTTTGGAATAGGTGTGGTGTGGTGCTGAAAAAAATGTATATTCTGTTGATTTGGGGTGGAGAGTTCTGTAGATATCTATTAGGTCCGCTTGGTGCAGAGCTGAGTTCAATTCCTGGGTATCCTTGTTAACTTCCTGTCTCATTGATCTGTCTAATGTTGACAGTGGGGTATTAAAGTCCCCCATTATTATTGTGTGGTTGTCTAAGTCTCTTTGTAGGTCACTCAGGACTTGCTTTATGAATCTGGGTGCTCCTGTATTGGGTGCATATATATTTAGGATAGTTAGCTCTTGTTGTTGAATTGATCCCTTTACCATTATGTAATGGCCTTCTTTGTCTCTTTTGATCTTTGTTGGTTTAAAGTCTGTTTTATCAGAGACTAGGATTGCAACCCCTGCCATTTTTTGTTTTCCATTAGCTTGGTAGATCTTCCTCCATCCTTTTATTTTGAGCCTATGTGTGTCTCTGCACATGAGATGGGTTTCCTGAATACAGCACGCTGATGGGTCTTGACTCTTTATCCAATTTGCCAGTCTGTGTCTTTTAATTGGAGGGTTTAGTCTATTTACATTTAAAGTTAATATTGTTATGTGTGAATTTGATCCTGTCATTTTGATGTTAGCTCGTTATTTTGCTCGTTACTTGATGCAGTTTCTTCCTAGCCTCGATGGTCTTTACAATTTGACATAATTTTGTAGTGGCTGGTACCAGTTGTTCCTTTCCATGTTTAGTGCTTCCTTCAGGAGCTCTTTTAGGGCAGGCCTGGTGGTGACAAAATCTCTCAGCATTTGCTTGTCTGTAAAGGATTTTATTTCTCCTTCATTTGTGAAGCTTAGTTTGGCTGGATATGAAATTCTGGGTTGAAAACTCTTTTCTTTAAGAATGTTGAATATTGGCCCCCACTCTCTTCTGGCTTGTAGAGTTTCTGCCAAGAGATCTGCTATTAGTCTGATGGGCTTCCCTTTGTGGGTAAGCCGACCTTTCTCTCTGGCTGCCCTTAACATTTTTTCCTTCATTTCAACTTTGGTGAATCTGACAATTATGTGTCTTGGAGTTGCTCTTGTCGAGGAGTATCTTTGTGGCATTCTCTATATTTCTTGAATCTGAATGTTGGCCTGCCTTGCTAGATTGGGGAAGTTCTCCTGGATAATATCCTGCAGAGTGTTTTCTAACTTGGTTCCATTCTCCCTGTCACTTTCAGGTACAGCAATCAGACGTAGATTTGGTCTTTTCACATAGTCCCATATTTCTTGGAGGCTTTGTTCATTTCTTCTTATTCTTTTTTCTCTAAACTTCCCTTCTCGCTTCATTTCATTCATTTCATCTTCCATCACTGATACCCTTTCTTCCAGTTGATTGCATCAGCTCCTGAGGCTTCTGCATTCTTCACATAGTTCTCGAGCCTTGGCTTTCAGCTCCATCAGCTACTTTAAGCACTTCTCTATATTGGTTATTCTAGTTACACATTTGTCTAAATTTTTTTCAAAGTTTTCATCTTCTTTGCCTTCGGTTTGAATTTCCTCCTGTAGCTCGGTAGTTTGATCGTCTGAAGCCTTCTTCTCTCAACTCGTCAAAGTCATTCTCCATCCAGCTTTGTTCCATTGCTGGTGAGGAACTGCGTTCCTTTGGAGCAGATCTGTTGGAGTTTGATAGAGGTCCACTCCAGACCCTGTGTGCCTGGGTATCAGCAGTGGTGGCTGCAGAACAGCGGATTTTCGTGAACCGTGAATGCTGCTGTCTGATCGTTCCTCTGGAAGTTTTGTCTCAGAGGAGTACCCGGCCGTGTGAGGTGTCAGTCTGCCCCTACTGAGGGGTGCCTCCCAGTTAGGCTGCTCGGGGGTCAGGGGTCAGGGACCCACTTGAGGAGGCAGTCTGCCTGTTCTCAGATCTCCAGCTGCATGCTGGGAGAACCCCTGCTCTCTTCAAAGCTGTCAGACAGGGACATTTAAGTCTGCAGAGGTTACTGCTGTCTTTTTGTTTGTCTGTGCCCTGCCCCCAGAGGTGGAGCCTACAGAGGCAGGCAGGCCTCCTTGAGCTGTGGTGGGCTCTGCCCAGTTCGAGCTTCCCGGCTGCTTTGTTTACCTAAGCAAGCCTGGGCAATGGCGGGCGCCCCTCCCCCAGCCTGGCTGCTAACTTGCAGTTTGATCTCAGACTGCTGTGCTAGCAATCAGCGAGACTCCATGGGCATAGGACCCTTCGAGCCAGGTGCGGGATATAACCTCCTGGTGCGCCGTTTTTTAAGCCTGTTGGAAAAGCACAGTATTAGGGTGGGAGTGACCTGATTTTCCAGGTGCTGTCTGTCACCCCTTTCTTTGACTAGGAAAGGGAACTCCCTGACCCCTTGCGCTTCCCGAGTGAGGCAATGCCTCTCCCTGCTTCGACTCACGCATGGTGCGCTGCACCCACTGTCTTGCCCCCACTGTCTGGCACTCCCTAGTGATATGAACCGGGTACCTCAGATGGAAATGCAGAAATCACCCATCTTCTGCATCGCTCACGCTGGGAGCTGTAGACTGGAGCTGTTCCTATTCGGCCATCTTGGCTGCCAGCACCCACCTACCTAGGCCTCCAATCTCTTCTAGCTTGTTGAGTTTTGGCTGACAGGTCTGCTGTTAGTTTAATGAGCTTCCCTTTGTAGGTGATCTGCCTCTTCTTTCTTGCTGCCTTTAACATTTTGTGTTTCATTTCAGCCTTAGAGAATCTGATGACTATGTATCTTGGGAATGGTTTTTTTGTATAATATTTTGCAAGGCTTCTCTGCATTTCCTGAATTTTAATGTTGGCCTCTCTAGCAAGGTTGGGGAAATTTTCATGAATGATATCCTGAAATGTGTTTTCCAAGTTGCTTGCTTTCTCTCTTTCAGGGGTGCCAATGCATTGCAAATTTGGTCTTGTTATATAATTCCATATTTGTCAGTGTTTTTTTTTTTTTTTTTCCGATCTTCTTTATTGTTTTTTCTTTATTTTTGTCTGATAGTTATTTCAGAGAACAGATCTTTGAGCTCTGAGATTCTTTCCTCAGTGGTCAATTCTGCCCTTAATGCTTGTTACTGTATTCTGAAGTTCTGGAAGTTAGTTTTCCAGCTCTATCAGCTCAGTTTGTTGTGTTTTTTTTTTAATGGCCATTTCACCTTTCATCTCCTACATTGTTTTATCATATTCCTTAGAATTCTCAGATTGAGTTTCATCTATCTCCTGAATATGATCTTTATTCCTATTCATTTACTGTATTCTATTTCTGTCATTTCAGTCTAGTTAAGAACCATTGCTGGGGAACTATTGTGATGCACTGGTCCTTTCTCATCTGTGTGAGCTAATATTCCTTCAGTGTTGGATGTTGCTATCCTTTAGATGTGTTTGTTCATTCATTTTTATCTTCTTCAATGCTCTTGATTGTTTGGTTACGGTATAAGGTGGGTTCTGTTGACTTGTTTTGATTATAGTGCACTCCTGGATCATGAAGGAGGCCCCTCTGATTACTATCTCCTTGCCTACATTTCTTTTGCTGGGTGTTCTGGTTCATGGAGCTCCCTGAGGCAGGACCCACAGTGGACAGACAAGCTATATCCTTGCTGTGCCAGCCCTAATCTGCTGTCCGTGTGCTTCCTGGGGAAACACGGGGTTGTGCCTGCCCACAGAGCTCAGGCAGAAGCAGGCTCCCTGGGCTGGAAACTCCAGCAGGTATAGCCCATCTGGCTGTGAAAGGTAGGGGTGAGTGGAGTTGCCTGCTCTGCTGTCTGCATGTTTCCAGGGCAATAGTAGGGTGTACCCTTCAGCAAATTTAGGCAGAAGTGGGACTACTGGGTTGAAAGCTCTAGGAGGCGTGGCTCACCTGGCTTCCAGTGGTAGAGTTGAATCGGGATACCCACTTTGCCATCCAGGTGCTCTCTCAGACAACAGGAGGCTTTGCCCACTAACTAAGTTCCTATAGAAACAGTACCAGCGAGCCGGAAGTTCTTGCAGGCATTGCCAGCCTGGCTATCAGCAGCAGGGGTGGATGGAGTCGCTTGCCCTGCTGTCCAGGTGCGTCCAGGTGCTTCCAGGGACAACAGGAGGCTGCGCTTTAGCTAAGTTCCCACAGAAATGGACCACTTGGCCAGAAACTCTAGCAGGCATTGCCCACCTGGCTTCTACTGGTGGGGGTGGCTGGAGTTACCTGCCCTGCAGTCCAGGCATGTCCCACAACAACAAGAGGCTGTGCCCTATGACTGGGTCCACACAGAAGTGTGACTACTGGGCCAGAAGTTCTAGCAGGCATTGTCTGCTTGACCACCACTGGCAGGGGTGTGTAAAGTGTCCAGCTGACTTTAGGCCAAAGTGGGACCACTGAGTAGAAAGCTGTCAGCTCCATCTGGTGAGGAGCTAGAGGTGGAGCAATCTTACTGCTCTCAGGCACCACAACTGCAGTCTCTACTGGGCTATGGCACCGGTGCTGGTCTGCTCCAAGGCACGAGGCTTATAAATGTCCTGTTGGACTCAAGAGTTGCCCGGGCAAAATGTCCTGTGGCTCTCTGCCTCAGTCTAGAAGCATGCCGGGAGGGTACGGGGTGTGGAGCAGGGGATTCTCCCATTTCCAGTCTTACACAGGTCTCTGTGGAGCGCATGAATCTCCCTGGGGTCTCTTACTCACCCTTTCCCATGTTGGAGAGGTTCTCCTGGCTCCATGCTGAGCCCAATCTGGTGTCAAGCTTCATTCCTGTGTGCTTTCTGTGTCTCACTCCTGCTTTGATGGTTCCCAACATGGTTTCTCAGATAATTGGCCTGCAGGGTCAGTGTTCACTAGCCCTTTTGTTTCTTCTCCGTGAAGGCGACACACATGAGCTTCTTCTAGTTTGTCATCTTGGTCCCCTCGTCCTTGGCCATTTAAAAAATCAGATTATTTGATTTCTTGCTATTGAGCTATTTGAGCTCTTAATATATTCTGGTTATTAATCTTTGCTGTGCAGAAGCTTTTTAGCTTTGTAATCTAACTTTGAATACCATAGATCAATTGTGCACATTTAAAAGTTACTATAAAGAGAATAATTTAATATATTTTCATTTGTGTCTTCTTATATTGAGCATTTTGTTTACATTTATCTTTGTGTGTATAGCTTTGGTTTGCTTATTGTCATTGTGTAGTATTTCAATTGTGTGACTATACTACAACATATGTGTCCATTGAATTATTGATGAACATTTTAGTCTGATTTTAACAATTATTTCATAGATATGTACACCAAAACATTTGCAAGAATATGTGCATATGATTGTTGTATATATATAGGAGTGAAATTGCTTAGTCATTGGGCATAAGTATGTTTAAATTTAGCAGACACAGACAAAACGTTTTTCCCAAGTAGTTGTAGAGAATTTATACTTCCACTAATATTCTGTGAGATTTCTACTTGTGTCACATGATCTCTAACATTAATATTGAAAGTTTTAAAAATTATTATCAATCTGTAATCATATTTCACTGTTATTTCATGTATCATTTCCCTGATGTCTGAAGTTGAGCTCCTTTTCAAGAGTTTATTTTTCATTTGGATGTATTCTTTTGAGATGTTTCTGTTTAGGCTTCTTGCTTATTCTTTTTCTATTGGTTATTTTGCTTTTTCTTATTGGTTTATAAGAGTTCCTCTATATTCCGAATATGAGCCACTTGTTGTTTATTGTTGACTGTTAGATGAGTTGTTATTATCATTCTTGTTGTTTTTGTTAGCTATTTCCTTGACTAGCAGTTATTGAAAAGACTGCTCTGACATGTGACCTTCCTTGTAGCTCAAGCAGTCATATACATGTGGGTTTGGTTCTGGATTATTGTGTTGTATTTCCTTGGTTTATTTCCCTATTCTTACACCAATTTTATCTTGCCTTACCTATGTTTTTCTATAAAATGTCTTCATTTCATGTATAATAAATCCTCTTGCCTTGTTTCTTACAAGAGAGTCTTGAATTTTCTTGCCATTTGCATTTGTATATAAAGTATCAAATCAAATTGTCAAATCTGACAAAAGTAAATCTACTGACAATGCTTTAATATTTTTTTAAACAAAATTTGCATTGAAGTATAACCTTCAAGTAGAAAAATACACAATTCATAGATACAGAGTTTGATACTTTACAAAAAAAGGTGTATAGTGTAACTACTATAACAGATGAAGACAAAAAAAAGAGGAACATTGCCACTACCAAGAAAATATCTCTTGATCCTTTTGTCACTATCCCCTCACCCAAAGACAACCACTATCTTGAATTAGTTTAGCCAATTTTTGAATTTTATACAAAGGAAACCATATAATATATACACTGTTTGGCTCAACATGGCATATGTAAAATTCACCTGTGTTGTTTCAAGTAAAAGAAGTTCATACATTATCACTGTCACATAGTTCTCATCGTGTATCATCATATGTTTATATTTTAATCTTGATAATCTTGGATTGTTTTCTGTCTGGGATGTACTATAAATAATGCTGTTATGAACATTCTTTTTTCATGTCTTGGTAAAAATTCATACTTTTTTCTTTAGTATATACCTAGGAGTAAAATTCTAGGGTCATAGTATATACCTGTGTTCAACTTACCTAGATAATGTGAAAGTCACATTGTTCTCCCAAAAGGTTCAACAAATTTTATTCCTACTAAAGTGGTCAAAAAATTTTTATTTCCACCAATAAAAATTATTCCACCAAAATAATTCCACCAATAACATTTTCTACCAATAATAACAAAAATACTCTAATAGTTGATGAGAATTCTAGTTGCTTGACTACCTATTAATGTCAATATTTTTATTTTTGTCATTCTAGTGGGTATATAGTAATATCTCATTTTGGTTTTAATTTGCATTTCCTTGATGACTAAAAATCTTGAGCACCTTATTATGCGTTTGTCAACCAGTTGGATATTCCTTTTGGTTTTGAAATATTTGCTGTGTTATCTTTTTTCTTATTGTTTGTTTAATTTAGAAATATTTTCTGGATAAAAGTTGTGTGCGTGTGTGTGTATATGTGTGTGTGTGTGTGTGTGTGTGTGTGATATGTGCTCTATATTTTCCCAGTTTGTGTTTTGCCTTTTTACTTGATGACATCTTTTGATAGATAAAAATGTAAAATTTTGATATAGTATTACTTATCATTTCATCCTTTATAATTAGTGCTTTATGTGTCCTGATTAAGGAATTCTTACCTACCTCAAGTTTATGAAGAATTTTTCCTGTATTATTTTATAGAAGCTTCGTTGTTTTACTTTCCACATTTTGATCTACAGTCCAGATGGTGTTTTCTGCATGGTGTGAGTTGTGGATCAAGATTGAAAATTATTCATATTGATATCCAAGACCTAGAAATTTTATTGAAAAGACTTAACTTGACTTTTAAATTTCAGTGTTATCTTTATTATCAATCAAGTGACATATATGTAGGGATCTGTTGCTCAACTCTGAATGCTGTTTCATATATGTATGATTTTATTTCTCCATTCTGTGTTCTGTCTCATTGGCCTATGTTTTGTCTTAATAAAGTACTGTTGATTTAATATTATGTTAATTTTTGGTAATACCTCAAGCTTGCCCCCTTTTTTTTTTCTCAAGATTCTCTTGCTCTTTTGGCCCTTTTCATTTCCATGTAAATTTTAGAATAAGCCAACCACTTATGCCAGGAAGAAAAAAACTAGTATTTTAATTGTAATTGTAATAAATGCGTAAATGCTATTTGGGAGAAGATTCATCTTGAAAATCCTGATATTCTAATCTATTTTCTTAATATATCTTTCCACATGCTTAGATGTTTTTCTCGTAATAATGTTATTTCTAAACTGAATTGTGGTATCCATTTTATGTATCTCTAGATTAAATTTTCTATTTTTAAGGTTTTATTTTATGTATATATACATTTTTATATCTCTGCTTATGAGAAAAATCGACTTGCAATTTTCCTGTCATGTAATTACCTACTGCGTATTTTTTATTGACCATAAAACAAATTGGTCAATATTTCTCTTTTTTCTCTTCACTAGAAGAGTTTGTATAACACTGCTTATTTAAATATTTGATAAAACTCATCAGTGAAATTTTGAGTCTGAACTTGGCATTTTGGTTTTTATGTCAGATGTCTCGAGAAACATTTCTAGGACCTTAAATGTAGTACAACTCTATATAATGTTTCATTTTTGCAGATTCATTTTTGTCTCACTTAGGCTGATAATCTCTGTGAAACAACATCCAACAGAGAATTAGGGAAACTTTCCAAAACAGTCATGTTTACCATCTAATAGATAAAGCATGAAAAAACCTGCTGCCAAATGTCTCCCAATGTGACACCCTCTGTAACCTTGCTATCTACTTCAAAACTTCAGGATTTAACTTGTTTAAAAAATACTTTCATACACTCCATACATGCCCTACCCCCACAACACACACATTGTATTCTGAGATTCAATATAAGCAGTGGTTAAAAAAGCAACTGAGAGAAAAATAAGGACCTACAGAAAGGAGAAAAAGTGTTTTATTCTTCCTCTGATTCAAGTATATTTTGGGATAAAGGAAATATCAGGAGGAGAAATTCTGTATCTCATCCCAATTTTATTTGTGTCCCTCTATTCTGGTGGAAATACTAAAAAGGTCTCCCACACATACCAAAAGGCGGGGAATGCCAAGAAAGCATCATTTTTTTCTGACATTTTCACATTACTCCCTTCCTCATTCTTCTCACCAGGCTGACTTTATATATAAACCCACTGTCTTTTCTTTCAGACTCATCCCTTTTAAGCAAAGTGGCACACATAGAAAGAGGTTAAAGAGTCTTGATAAGGTGAAAATTTTCAGCGTTGGCATGAGTCCCAGTCAAAGTTGGTGACAGACTGCATTTGCTGATCAGAGTTCTAGAATGCAGGGAGATAAAGAATTTTTTTTTTTAAATGGAGGTGGCAATTTCAAAGTTCATAGTATTTGAAGTGTCTGGTTGCTCTTTCCAATTTTTTTATTCAAAAGATTTTTGCAAAGAGAAAATCTAAATTAGTTCTCAAAGCATTATGAGATACTTAAATGTCAGCATTTTAATTCCTGTGTATAATTTCTATGGAAAAAGAATAGCAAGTTGACTCAAATCTCTCTCTTACTCTTTTAAAGAATTAAAGACAGTCTGGAATCAATTGCCATGTCTAAAATCCAGACCCAGATTGTACTGGGGTGTTTAATACTATGACATAAACTGTCAAAGAGTTAGATAAAGATTGATGATAGAAAGACTTAAGAGTCCTGCAGATGTTGATTTATATAAATGCGTTTGCCTTGTGGCCTGAAGCATTTCCTTGCATGCAGGATATAACCAAGATGTACAAAGTTGTCTGTCTTTATGACATGGAACCTCTGTGTGTAGACTAGTCCATCAATCAGTTGATTAACAGGTTGTTGTTGAGGGCCTACTAGGGGCTAAAAGGCTACTATGTTCACCACTATTTCATAAGTGTCACACTTATTCTTTGAAATGGTAAATACTGTTTACACAGGAGATACTTTGTTTTGCTTTAGAATGCTTTTTTTTTTATAAATTTAAATACAGCTTAAATTCCGTTTGCCTATTAAAATATAATCTGACATCTGTATAATATCATCCAACATCAGTAAAATAATAAAAATAAGTCCTATTAACCTTTTAAAATAATATATGTAT
Organism: Homo sapiens; assembly: GCF_000001405.40. NCBI lineage: Eukaryota > Metazoa > Chordata > Mammalia > Primates > Hominidae > Homo > Homo sapiens. The sequence continues at coordinate 35,447,505 of NC_000003.12, read as the reverse complement.
ATTTTTAATATAACTAAATAAATCAGACTATCTAATAAAGCAGATACAGCAAAACTATTTTCTCCTTTCACTGACTTTCAAAGAGAAATTTAAAAAATAGATTTATGAAAGATTTTTGGAGGGTTAGAGATTAAATTTGTATGCAGATTTATCTCAATATTCAGTATATGTATCCTCAAATGCTTTTCAATGTAAATCAATGGGAGCATCTCCTTGTGCTGAGGGATGATATTTTTATGTTTTATATACGACATTGGCCTCTATTTGACAGGATGTTGCAGTTGTCTACTGCTGTTGAACAACCACCCCCAGCTCCACCTGAAACATATAATCTCTCATAGTTTTGTGGGTTGCAGGGCTTCTTTGGAGTTGTTGCCTGGGATTCCTTATGCAATTGTCATCAGATGGCGGCTGGGACTGGCATCATGCATTGACACTATTGGGCTGGGTAGTTTTACCACAAAGGCAGCAGTTGATCCTTGCTATCATCTTGCAGTTCAGCTAGTCTGTCTTCTGAAGCTCCTATGTGTGCCTTTACTGTGCAGTTTGGGTTTCTCACAGGAGAATGGCTGAGATCCCAGAGGGAACAAGTCAAAAATTACATATTCTGTGAAATAGGAGTAGGAGATTATAGCTCTGGATCAGAAAATTATCACAGGGTCACTTCTGTATCCTATTGGTCAAAGCAGTCACGGAACTTGCCCACATTTATGGGAATGGGAAATAAACTCCACATTTTGATGGAAATAGTGTCACATGATTTGTGGTCATCTTTAATCCAATATACAGCTCATCTGAGTACCAGTGCGAATCAGGCATTTTCTAAACTGCTACATTTGCAGACTGCAGTGATAAAAACATCCCTAATAAAAAGGTTAACTAAACACTAAGACCTCAAACAGAGAGGCCACAGTTGCAATGATCACTGATCTTTCTCATGATTTATCTAGTTTTTAATTCATACTACAGTGTCTTTTTGCAAGTCAATTTAAACCAATTTTCTGGGTTATATTTCACGACACATTTTAACAGGCATTTTACTGAAGTCAAAATGCAGAACATCTACTGTGTGCCTTCTTCTGTACATGATAAGAAAAGCTTTTAAGGAAACAACAGTAATTTGTTTTTAACATAGACAATTAAATATAGTTATTCAAGGCTTTCTATTGTTGCTTCTGCACGCAAGATAATATTTTTCATCCTCCTTCACTAGCCATTCACAACTGTTTGTTTTATTTATTTTTTTCTGCAGTGAATCTTCCATTGCGTTTTTTCTTAAAAAATAGAGGTTTTAAGTCAGTTTGGCAGATTCAGAAAAAATTACTACATTTGTAAATTCTATGAAGTAGAATCACTTTTACTTCAAATGAAGTAGAAGTATTTACCAGAGGGTATCAGCAGCCTAAGGAATTTCATTTTCAATTAACTAAAAGTATACTTCCTATGTAAAATGAAACTTTATCGTGGTTATAAAAAATATTGCTCTTTATTTTTTATTTTCTCTTAAATATTGTAGACCTTTCCTCCATGGAGAGACATGGGATCGTGGAGCTGTGCAAAAGATTTGGGTGTCCATTTTTCTTTCAGCTCAGAATAAATGATGCGAAGAGCCATAAACTTTGCAAGGGGCATCGTTAACCATTAGCATATCTGTAAGGGAAGTTTAAAGTAGTACTGTCGCTCCCCCTAACCTGCAGACTCCTCTTGGATGCCTGAAACTGCATATAGTACCAAACCCTCTATATTTTATATTTTCTATGCACAGGTACCTGTGATAACATTTAATTTAGGAATTAGGCACAGTAAGAGATTAAGAACAGTATCTCATAATAAAATGGAATGATTATAACAATATACTGTAATAAAAAGTTATATGAATGTGGTCTCTCTCACACAATATCTCACTGTACTATACTGCAAATAACTGAAACCATGGAAAATGTAAACTGTGGATAAGGAGGGACTACTGTAGAAGGTCTAGACGACTTAAAATTACAGGGTATAGAAGAATCGTTGAGAAGTGGCCAGGCGCAGTGGGCTCATGACTGTAATCCTAGCACTTTTGGAGACCAAGCGGGGTGGATCACGTGAGGTCAGGAGTGCGAGACCAGCCTGGCCAACAGAACAAAACCCTGTCTCTACTAAAACTACAAAAATTAGCTGAGCGTGATGACACATGCCTGTAATCCCAGCTACTTGAGAGGCTGAGGCTGAGGCAGAAGAATCTCTTGAATCCAGTAGACGGAGTTTGCAGTGAGCAGAGATCACGCCACTGCACTCCAGCCTGGGTGACAGAGCAAGACTCTGTGTCAAAAAAAAAACAAAAACAAACAAACAAAAGGTGAGAGGGTCTAATGCAGAACAGAGAAGCTGTACATCAGAAGGACTGTTTTTGTATGTTCTAAAGTCTCTTATGTGGACTTTCTGTGTAATTTGTTAAGACTGAATAATGACCAACCAAGAAATATTTCAGGAAATCAAATTTTTACTCAATTTTTTAAAAATCTAACTGCTAATGTAATTTCAGAGTATAATCTTTTGAGAATTAAAGAGTTGCTTCTTATTTAAAGTTTCCAGAAAGAAAATTTAGAAGGGAGATTATGAAACAATGTATACAAAATACATAAATCAGATTAGGGGTCTTGTAATACCTTTTACAATTATGAGAGGGTCACATGCTAATGGTTCCCAACTAATATTACCAGCTCCAACCTACCTCCAGAGCTGCAGAAATACACAGTGGGCTATTGACTTAATTTTCCATCTAAATATTTCCACTCAAATTTTACCTATCTAAACCAGAACTTTGTCTTCCCAACCCCTAGTTCCAATCTGCTCCATCCTTCATGTTCTCCATCTTAGTAAATTGAACAGTTTTTGAACAGTTTCTCAAGCTAAAAATTTGGAGTAAGTCATTTTTATTTGTTCATGTCTTCTCAGACTGTACATCAAATCCACCCAGAACTGTACCATGTATGACAGTCTCTACCATTACCACCCACCTCATGTATGACAGTCTCCACCATTACCACCCTCCTCTAAGCAATCATTATCTCTAATTTGAATTACAACAAAAATCTCCCAAATGGATATTCTCTAACTCTACAGTTTGTTATTTGCCCAGTAGCCTGAATGATCCCCTGATCTTCACCCTCCAAAGGCTTCGTGGCGCATTTCGGTTTCAATCCTGAAGCCATCTCTTGTCCTGAAGGCTCCCTTCATGCTGGATTCTCTCTTCTGACTGACATTTTCTTCCACTCTCTTTACTGCTCACCAGGTCTCATTGCTGTTCCTAGTGCACTTCCTAGCACACTGCTACCTTAAGACCTTTGCACTTATCCCCTATCTTCAAATGCATTTGCCTGTCTCACTGCATCAGGTCTCCTTATAAAGTTTCAATCCCAATCCCCACCCCACCAGTATAACTCTATTTTTTTTCATAGCTTTTTACCACTATCTGACATAATATCTGTGTGCTGATTTATTTTCTTTTTCTCCTATTTAGCTCTAAGCTCCATAAATGAAAACTTTTAAAATTCATTGCAATATCCTCTATATCTAGAGCACTACCAAGCCCAGAGAGTTGGTGGTTTATACACATATATTGAATTACTTTTAAAATGAAACAAAGGCTGAGAGATATTAAATGACTGCCTAAGATGGCACAGCTTCTCAGTGACCACTGGGACCTGGTACTTCCTTGCAATAATGCTTATGAATACATCTCTCCTGAAAAATACTAAGCTGCATAGAATTGGTTTAAAGCAGGTTTGGGGAATATTGCTAACTAAAACTAAAAGCCTTCAAATATCCACTTCTTGTAAGACTTTGGAGGACCCTTGCTATTCCTCTTTTCTTAGATTTAAATCTTTGTTATTAAATCGTATTTTCCCTTACCTCACAATATTACCAATTTCAACATATTTACTTTTATTCTATCTTTCTATCTTCACTTTTTTTGTGTTGATCTCATGGATTTAAATAGTCTGAAACTCTGCTTTCAAAATTATTTTTTCTCCATCGTCAATCTGATTGTTAGTTTCTTTCCTGAATCTCCCACTATTTCAACATCCTACCCAGTTCATTTTGCACAGACCTATCACTCTACTTGATTCTCTAAACTAACAACTTATGCTAACAAAGTTTGTTAAACTTATACTAACAAACTTTAACAAAGTTTGACCACCTGCATTTTTTTGTTTTTTTTTTTTTTGAGATGGAGTCATGCTCTGTTGCCCAGGCTGGAGTGCAGTGGTGCAATCTTGGCTCATTGCAAGCTCTGCCTCCTGGGTTCATGCCATTCTTCTGCTTCAGCCTCCTGAGTAGCTGGGACTACAGGCATCCACCACCATGCCTGGCTAATTTTTTGTATTTTTAGTAGAGACGAGGTTTCACTGTGTTAGCTAGGATGCTCTCAATCTCCTGACCTCCTGATCCACCCACCTTGGCCTCCCAAAGTTCTGGGATTACAGGTGTGAGCCACCGTGCCCGGCCAACCACCTGCAATTTTCAAGACACATAGAGACGAAAAATATGCAACTGGCCTTTTGTCTGGCCAAGCTGTTAATAAGGCAATATTCAAGTGAATAATGCACAATTCCTTATTGGGGTTTCCAGGTTTAGTAAATAAAAATACAAGACACCAGAAAAATTTAAATTCTCAAAATATTATGAATAATTTTTAGTATATGTATGTAACAAATGTTGCATAGAACATTATTATTCTGATAATATGTTTTCATTATTTATCTGAAATCATTTAAGTAGTAACAGAGTGTTTTATATTTTATCTGGCAACCTCACTTCTCATACTTCTTACTGCCTCCTATCTTTTGAGATGCATGAAGAGTTTTCTTTTGTAAATGGGAAATGGTTTGGTAGCAGGGGCTACAGAAGAGAGGACTGAAAAATGAGTTTGAATGGATATGCACCTGCCTTCTGCCTTGGATAGTCTTTAAGCTTCTGTAGTGGGACTAGAAGAGGTTGGGAGCCAATAGAGCTCCTTTCTTGAAAGGCTCTGTGGGACTGGGCAGGGGCTTGGTTGCTTCAGGACACAGGTGGCAATAAGCAGCCCTGCTTCTGCCTGGAACTCAACATTGACCTATTTCTTCAAGATCTGGTGGGTTGAGCAGCTTCAGGACCTGGGTATTATTTCTCTTAACAAGGACAATAGACCTCCTATGATGGGTTCAGTTAGTGATGGCAGCACTGATACTGTCAACAGAGGTGTTAAGGAGACCCGATGTTGACACGTGGTAGCTAGGGTAGAGGGGAAAATATGAAGATATTGCATGGAATATCAGTTGCCAAATTGTAGACGGACTCTTGAGGGACGCTTAGCTTCCTGATTCATAAGAAATATGTTTATGTTAATTTGATTATGAAAGTAAACCTGATCCAAATATACGTAAGTTGTGAAGTAGGTTTCTTTTGAGTCGCTTACAGTGACCAACACTCTCTGTCCCATAATATTTCTTCAAATTTCAGGATGGACTTAATGCAACATCTTTTATTTAAGCCTTCTCTGATATTCCTTCCAAAACAACCTCTTCCATTCTATTTATATGTCTTACACATATTTACCTAATGTAATTTATCACTTTAGTTATAATTTTAGGTAATCATTTATACATTAATATATTTAAATATATTTACTGACCACTTTCAATGGGCACTGTTTCAGACATGGAAGACAAAGCAGTATACAAAACAAGTGGAAATTCCTCATGGTTCATTCTGGTGAAAGTAGAGACACGGAAAACAGAACAAATTAGCAAAACATATTGTATAATTTCTGGGATGAATAGTGAATGGGCCTCAATTTTGGACCCCTCTTTATACTCGCTGCATTTGCTATTAACTTTGCAGTATCTCCCACTTAAAAGGGTGGTGCTCATTTCTCTGTTCCTTGACCTTGTGTTTGACTAAGTGAGTTGCTTTGCCCAGTAATGTGAAGCAGACATGATAGTGCGCCAATTTCAACTTTATCCTTTTGAGAGTCCTCACATTTGTCTACTTGCCCTCCTGCATTTCTGCCACAGTCATGAGAACAATATGCCTGGGTTAGCCCAGTGTTTCTAGAAAGAGGACCAGTGCCCCAGGAGGCAGAACAGAGCCTATCCAGCGGACCCAGCCTAGCTCAGCAGTCACCCAGCAATGCTCAGCATAAATCAGATCCTTCAACTGACCCACATGCTTGTTAATTAAATAAATATATATGTTTTTATGCTGCTAGAATTTTGTGCTGAGATATGCTGCAGATTGTGAAATATCTGGATGGCCATTCCATTGATTTTTTTTTTTTTGTCAGAGTAAGATATAAACTGTTTGTTTTTAAATTTTTAATTTTTTTTTTAAGGAGGAGTTACCATTTTATTATCTTTAACAGGGTCATTTAGGGCAAAAGCAAGGAGGCTACTGCAATAATCTAAGTGAGACATGATGGTGACCAAGATTGCCTAACATTTTCCACAGTTTTATTTGACTTTAGAGTTCCTGGCTCTAGGCACCTGACCTACTTTCTTTAGAACCTTTACTTTAGACAACATGTAATTGTACATACTTTTTCTATCCCTTTGAGATATAAATATTTTTCAAAAGACATTGGCCAATATTACAATCAATACTATCTTTCTCAAGTACCTGAGAGCCATCCCTTTGAAATGTAATCACCAAGGATAATTACATCAAGGAAGACAGTGCCTCTATTCCCCAGTCTCTCTGGTAGGGTAAGGGCCTAATGTTCATGGGTGCTCCTTAGTGCACTTAGCAAGCACAGGTGGCTGAACCACAGAAAGAAACTTTTAGCAAACTTCAGGACAAAACTCAATGTACTAGACACATTCCATTGATCAACATCTTCTCTAAGGTCCACCAGTATTTTTCCTTTTACTTGTACTGTGATTTATTCAGTGTTCACTGCACAGGCAATGTAAGGGCATAGGTAAACACATGGGCTTCCCAAGGCCACAGGTTTTTTTTCTTTAACTTGCATTTAAAAATCCTCCTGCAGGCTTAGCCTTGTGGGAGGAGGGTAACACCTCCAGGAGCCCTAACAGGTTTTCACATGAAAGATCTCAGAAAACGTCCTTCATGCTTCCAGTAGGGAGAAAGGAAAGTAACCATTTTTAAATACACCCAGATTTTCCTTTTTTTTTGATAAGGTCTGCCTTCACGAGAAAGTATTTTACCAGAGCTTAACCTATTGTAGTTTTACCAGATAACTAACCTGGTGAAGCAGCCTCATTGTCTGGGGTGCCACCCGAAGTTCTTTGTCTCACAGTTGAGGAAATCAGGAATGTGGACACTCCAAGGGTGAGTTTAGAGCAGAAGTTTAATAAGAGAAAGAAAGAGAGAAAGCTATCTGTCATAGAAAGGGGTTCCAAAAAAGGGTTGCCATTTTAACAGTTCAATGCAAAGAGTTTCATAAGAAACTGATGAGGGCTGGGCATCTCATTTGCGTAAGGTGCTAATTTCTGGTAGCTCCACCCCATCGTCCAAATGCGCATGTGGGCCCTTAGCTTGAGTTACTCCATATTGCTTTGCTCCACTTACTGTGCATGTGTTAAGGGATGGAATTTTCCATTGCAGGTGTGTCTGGGCAAGTCACCTTTGTAGCCTTTCTTATCTATGCAGCTGCGAGCATGTCTTAGGCAAGCCCATCTGTACAAGTTCCCTTATCTGTGCCTGCAGCTTGATTTTTTTAGGCTTTTCTTTTGTTTGAGAGAATCTAACCAAGGATCCACCCTAACTGACTGCCTGACTGGTTTCTTCCTTTCTCCTCTCTCACTAGGGAAGGGAAATACCCAACTCCAGGCCGATGTGGCCTTCAAGGCAGCAGCAGGGAAGTACTCAATTTTAGCACTCTCTAGCTTTTTTCTTTCTCTTAAGGTCTAGGGGTAAGGATACTGTAAGGCAAAAATAAGACCTTAAGCCCCCTACTGACTGAGTGAACCCCCTGTTGGCCAAGGGGAGCCCAGAGAAACCTGAAAAACTGGATCCCTGGCCATGACAGGAAGGAAGGAAGGTCAAACACATCTTGTTACACTCCCTCCCTTTTGGAGTTTAGACACAATTCACCCACATTAAAATTAAAATAGAGATCATAAGACTGGCAAAATGGACATTTGCAGCATTAATATACTAAATTATAAACAAGACTTAAGCCCATTCAAGTAAAGGTTAAGTCACACTCTACAGCCCATAAAATCTCCTTAAACAAGTTTTTTTTGTTGTTGTTAACCTGGTATAATGTGGCTTCTTTTCAAACTAACTCTGTTATAACATCACATGACAGCAGGCCCTAAAAGCAATCAAAATATTTTACCCCAAAATATATTTCTTTGACATATTTTGAAATGACTGCCACAGTGCCAGCAGACTGAAATGGCCTTGCAAAGCTATTTTTGGTGGGAGAAATTTGAGGCTGTGGAGATCTCCATAAATGCAGCCAGGCCTTCCCTGTTTAGGCCTTTTCTGGATCTAGGAGAGATTAACTGAGAATCTGACACCTTTAAAAATCTGAAAAGAGACATTTGACATCTATTCTCTTTGAGGGCTGTGATCTATGAGTCTTCATTTGCGTAACGAAGGCCTTGGCCCCCACAACTCCTTTATCTTAACTTAGGCATTTTTTTTTTAACTGTCTTCAAGTCTTTAGTTAATAGCTTAATTATCTCAATGGATTGTCAACTAAAGAATTCCTAAAACTCACCTAATGACTAGTAAGACTCTGCATTGGGATGTCCTGCCTTTTTGGGTTGAATCAATGTATACCTTCCCTGTATCGATTTATGTCATTTTCTGTAGCTCCTGTCTCCCTAAAATGTATAAAACCAAACTGTAATCCAACCACTTTGGGGCTGCTTATTAAAGGCTTCTTTGGTTTGTGTTTTTTCTGGGCTATGGTCACTCATACTGGCTCAGAATAAATCTCTTTAAAATATTTTACAGAGTATGTTGTTTTTCATTAAAAGTCCAAAACAATACTATAAGCCATTGTGAAGGCCCTAGCTAAGGGATACAGGCTCAGTAAAAGACAGAGACTTGAGCTGGGCTTGGTGGCTCACACCTTATAAGAGTCTGAACCTCCCCAAATTGCTCCTGGTAATAACATCATTGTTGTAAAACCTATGATGAGTGCTTCAGATATTATGCAGACCCTGCATTCCAATGTACCAGCTGACACCACCCAGACCGGTAATCTGGCTCAACCAGTTCTGTGACCCCACCTGGGGTTTGCAATTTGGGGAGATTCAGACTCTTGCAAGGTGTGAGCCACCAAGACCAGCTCAAGTCTCTGTCTTTTACTGAGCCTGTATCCCTTAGCTAGGGCCTTCACAATGGCTTATAGTTTTGTTTTGGACTTTTAATGAAAAAAAGATACTCTGTAAAATATTTTAAAGAGGTTTATTCTGAGCCAATATGAGCCCAAATCTCAGCAATTTGTAAGGCCAAGGTAGCAGGATTGCTTGAGCCTAGAAGTTTAAGACCAGCCTGGGCAACATAGTGAGACCCCATCTCACATACAAAAAGATTAAGACAGAGAGCTAATCAGTATTATAGAATGCTTTTCTCCGCCTCCCCCAAACCTTGCCACCACATTAATAAGGCTCCTGCATAATCGTAACCACCCAACAGGTTCAACTTGTCTTCTGCCTATGCAGAGCCTATTTGCCAAGACAGCAGAACCGTAATAGAGAAAGAATCATTTACTATGTGGGAGACTGGAGTTATATTATTACTCAAATCAGTTGCCCCAAAAACTTGAGAATAGGAGTTTTTAAAGATAATTTGGTGGATAGGGGCTGGGGAAGTGGAAACTGCTGACTGTCAGGTTGGAGATGGAATCACAGGGGGTTCAAGTGAGTTTTTCTTGCTGTCTTCTGTTCCCAGAGGGGATCACGGAACTGGTTGAGTCAGATCTGGGTGGTGTTAGCTGTGCATTGGAATGCAGGGTCTGCAAAATATCTGAAGTACTGATCTTAGGTTTTACAACAATGATGTTATTACCAGGAGCAATTTGGGGAGATTCAGACTCTTGCAACCAGACATTGTGTAGTTCCTAAATTGTAAATTCTAATCTTTAGCTAATTTGTTAGTCCTACAAAGGCAGACTGGTCCCCAGGCAAGAAGGGGGTTTGTTTTGGGAAAGAGCTGTTGTCATCCTTATTTTAAACTATAAACTATGTTCCTCCCAAAGTTAGTGCAGACTATGCACAGGAATGAACAAGGACAGCTTGGAAGTTAGAAGCAAGATGTTTTTGGTTAGGTCAGATTCCTTTCACTGTCTCAGTTATAACTTTGTGATGGCAGTTTTGTAATGATAGAGGGATACAATTAAAAGAACAATATTTTCAGACAATAATTAAGAAGTCACTAGGGAAACTGAAAGACAACAGAGAAGACAAAAATAAGAACACCAGAGGAAAGTTTGACCTCTGATACCTACAGCTATGGCAAACAGTAAACACAGCCCAACCCCTAGCCAGATAAATCTAAAACCTCACAATATAGGCTGATTTCCTCAGTTCTTTTTACACAGTACAAGGAGCCTGACTTGCCACAAAAATTACAAGGCATACTAAAAAGAAAAAAACAACACACACAAAAACCCCACAGTTTGAAGAGTTAGCACAAGCAGTACCAGACTCATATAGTAGATTTGAGGATTATCAGACAGTGAATTTCAAACTACTATAATTCATATGCTATGGACTATAATGAAAGAAGTGGTCAGCATACAAGAACAGATGGATACTGTAAGCAAAGAGATGGAAACATTAAGAAGGAATAAAAAGGAAATGCTAGAATTTTTTTTAAAAAAAACACCATAATAAAAAAGAGGAATGCCTTTGATGGTTCTACCAGTAATGACTGAGAAAAGAATTAGTGAACTTGATGCCAATAGAAACTTCTAAAACTAAAATCTCAAAAGAAAGGTAAAAGAATAAAAAGGATAGAAAAAATATCCAAAATCTGTGGGACAATTATAAAATGTACAACATAATAAAATTAATCAGAACAAGGAGAGAAAAGAAAGGAACAAAAGAAAAATTTCAAACAATAATGACAGAGAATTTCCACAAACTAATGATAAACACCAAATTATACACACAGGAAGTTCAGAGGACACCAAGTAGAATAATATCAAGTAATCTATGCTAGGCGTATTACAATAAAAATTCATAACCAAAAATAAAAGACAAAAACATTTCAAAAGAAGACAGAGGAAATAAAATGCCATACCTATTAATGATCAAGGTTAAGGACTGTGTGAACTGCTCTTAAAAACTATAAAAGCAAGGAAAGAATAGAGTGAATTAGTCAATGTGTTAACAGAAAGAAAAGTATTGCCAGCCTAGAATTATGTACCCAGTGAAATTATCCTTTTACAGAGGAGGCAAAATAAAGATTTTTTTAAAGGAAAAACAAAAATTAAGGGAATATGTTGCCAGTACACCTGCTTTGGAAGAAATGTTAAAAGAAGTTTGTCAGAAAGAAGAAAAATTATATGGGTCAGGAACTTGTACTAACATAAAGAAAGGAAGAGCATTAAAAAATGAATAAATGAAAAAATCCTTGTTTTTATTTTTTATTAATCTATCAGATGACCACTTGTTCAAAATAATAATAGCAAAAATGTTTTTAGTAATTATAGCTAATGAATACATGAAATAAATGACAAGAATTCGGAGAAAAAATAAACTATACAAAATAATTAAATTAGAGAATGCAGAAAAAAGTAGAAGACCAAAATAGAACAAGGGCAATGAATAGAAAACAGTAAAAAATATGGTACATATCAGTCCTAATTTATAAAAATGGTGTAAATACACCAATTACAGAGACTTTCAAGAGTTGTTTAAAAAATAAGACTTAACTATATGCTGTTCACAAGAAACTTATGTTATATATATGAATATCTCTAAAGTAAATAAAGATATACCATGCTAACACTAATCAAAAGAATGCTGGAGTAGATTTATACTATTAGACAAAGCAGATGTATTAGTTTGGGTTCTCCAGAGAAACAGAACCAATAGGACATACATAGATGATAAATGGATAGACAGATACATAAGGAGATAGGTTTATTATAACAAATTGGCCAACATGATTATGGGGTCTGACGGTTTCCAAGAACTGCAGTTGGCAAGCTGGAAAATAGAAGAGCTAATGCTGTAGTTCAGTCTGAGTCCCAAGGCCTAAGAAGCAGGAGAGTCAAAGGTGTACTTTCAGTCCAATTGCTGGCAGGGTTGAAACCTAGGAGAAAAGCTGATGTTTAGTTTAATGCAAATGCAGGAGAAAAACAAAAAACAACAAAACAATGTCCTAGCTCAAAGCCAGCCAAGTAGAAGGAATTCCCTTTTACTTATACTTTTTATTCTATTTAGTCCTTCAACTATTTGTATTAACCCCATCTTCATTAAGAAGGGCAATCTGCTTCTCTTGGTCTATCAATTCAAATGTTCATTTCACCCTTCACAGATACATCCAGAGACTCCTAGAATAATGCTTGACCAAATATCTAGGCATTCTGTGGCCCAGTCAAACTGACACATAAAGTTGACCATGATAACCGACTTCAGAGTAATAGAAATCATCAGGGAGAAAGAGGGGCATTACATAAAGACAAAATAATCAAATCTCCAAAAAAAAAAAAAACCCACAAAAATCCCAATGTATATGTACCTATCAGCAGAGAATATCTAAATATTTGGGACAAAACCTGATTAAACTGCAAGGAGAAGTAAATAAATCTGTTATTGTAGAGACTTCAAACCCCCCTATCAGTAATTGAAAGATCCAGAAGGTAGAAAATCAGTGAGGACATGGTTGAACTGAACAGCAGCATCGATCAACTGGATTGAATTTACATTTACACAATATACTTCATCCAACATCAGCAGAATACACCTTCTTCTAAAGCTCATATGGCCACATTCTGGGCCATAAAACACACTTTAACAAATATAAAAGAATATAAATCATACAAAAATCTTTTTGGACCACAATGTGATTAAACTAGAAATCAATATAGAAAGATAGCTAGAAAATCCCAAAATACTTAGAGATAAAAAACACACTTATACATAGCACATGAGTCAAAGAATAAGTCTCAAGATAAATTAAAAAGTATTTTGAATTAAAAAGAATAAAAATAGAACGTTACAATTTGTAAGATGCAATGAAAGTAGTGTATAGCAAGAAGTTTATATCACTGGATGTTAGACAAGAAGACTAATTAAAAATCAATAATTTAAGCTTTAACTTAGGAAACTAGAAAAAGAAGAAAAAAACCCAAAGTAAGATATATAATAGAGCAGAAATTAATACAATTAAAACAGAAAATTATTGAGAAAAACAACAAAATAAAAAAACTAGTTTTTTAAAAACATAAAAAAATTGATTAAGCTATAGCCTGGCCAACTAAGAAGGAAACAGGGAACACACAAATTACTAATATCAGAAACCAAGAAGAGGCCGTCACTACTGATCTCCTGTATTAGTCCATTTTCACGCTGCTGACAGAGACATACCAAGACTGGGCAATTTCCAAAAGAAAGGTTTAATGGACTTACAGTTCCACATGGCTGGGGAAGCCACACAATTGATGGAAGGCAAGGAGGAGCAAGTCTCATCTTACATGGCTGGCAGCAAGCAAAGAGAGCTTGTTCAGAGAAACTCCCATGTTTAAAACCATCAGATTTCATGAGACTCATTCACTATCACAAGAACAGTGTGGGAAAGACCCGCCCCCATAATTTAATCACCTCCTGCTGGGTTCGTCCCATGACACGTGGGAATTGTGGGAATTATAATTCAGGATGAGTTTTGAGTGGGGACACAGCCAAACCATATCATCTCCTTAAAGAATTTGAATTAATAATTAATAACCTTTTAAAACAGAGCACACCAAGCCCAGATAGACTGATTGGTAAATTCTACCAAAGATGTAAGGAAGAAATTATACCAATTATCTACAATCTTTTCCAGGAAACAGAATAAATACTCACTTTTTGATGCCAGTATCATCTTAATACCAAAATTGGACAAAGACATTATAGAAAAGTAAACTGCAGACCAAACTGCTCATAAAATAGATGCAAAAAACTTAACAATATAACATAACAATGCATGAAAAGAATTATATGACTAACTGGGATTTATTTCAGGTATGCAATGCATAATATTGCATGAAAAGAGTTATATGACTAACTGGGATTTATTTCAGGTATGCAAGGCTGATTTGAAAAATCAGTGATTGTAATCTATCACATCAACAGGTTAAAGAAGAAACCCTATCATATCAATTGATGAAAAGAAAGCATTTGATAAAATCCAATAGCCATTCATGACAAAACTTCTCAGCAAGGTAGGAAGAGAGGAGAATTTCCTCTATTAACAAAAGACATTTACAAAAAAACTTATAAGTAACATTATACTTAATTGTGAGAAACTAGATACTTTCCCACCAAGATCAGGAACAAGGCAGGAATGTTCACTTTCACCATTCCTATTTAACATTATATTGGAAGTTCTAGCTAATGTCATAAGAAAAACATTTTTAAAAAAGATATACAGATTAGGCAAATTGTCATCATTCACAGATGACATAATTGTCTATATAGGAAATCCAGAAGAATTAACCACCACAAAAAATCCTGAAACAAAAAGGCACCTATAATAAGTTTGCATAATGTAAAGTTAATATACGTAAGTACATCGCTTTCTTATAAATAATGAACAATAAAATTTTGAAATTAAAAATACAATACCATATATAATACAAAATGAAATAGTTATTAACCTAACAAATATGTACTAGATTTATGTAAGGAAACTGTAAAATTCTGATGAAATAAACTGAAGAAGCATAAATAAGTGGGGAGATATTGAATGTTTGTGAATAGGAAGACTCAATCAATATTTATCAAGATAACAGTCCTCACAAGTTGCTCTGTATATTCCATGCAATTCCATTCAGAATCCTGATTTTATTTTGTGGATATTCACAAACTGATTCTAGAGTTTATATGGAAAGGCAATGTCTCAGAATAGCGAATACAATATTGAATGAGAATAACAAAATCAGAGAACTGACAGTACCCAAATTAAAGATTTTAAAGCTACAATAATCAAGATAGCATGTATTGGCAAATAAATGGACAGATAGGCCAATGGAAAGAAAATAAAAGATCCAGAAATAGACCCATATAGATATATTCAACTGGTATTTGACAAAGTAGTAAAGACATTTTAATGGACAAAAGATAGTATTTTCTACAAATGGTGCTGAAATATCTGGAGATTGACATGCAAAAAATGAATCTAGATGCAGACCTCAGACCTTTCACCTAAACTAATTAATAATAGATTATAGACCTACCTGTAAAATGTAAAAACTCTTTTTACAGTTAAATCCCCTAGTAGACAGTAACACAGGAGAAAATCTAGGTGACCTTGGATTTAGTTATGATGTCTTAGATTCAACATCAAAAATACGATCTACTAAAAGAAAAAATGATAAGTTGGACTTCACTAAAATTAAAAATTTCTGCTGCACCAAAAACACAGTTAAGAGAATGAAAAGATAAGGCATAGACTGGGAGAATATTTTTGTAAAACACATACAGATAAAATGTTTGTATCCAAATATACAAAGAACTCTTGAAGCTCACCAATAAGCAAACAGCGTAATTAGAAAACTGGCAAAAGATCTGAACAGACATCTCAATAAAGAAGATAAACAGATGGCAAAGAAGCATATGAAAAGATATTCAACATTATATGTCATTAGGGAAATGCAGATTAAAATATGATACCACCATACACCTATTAGAATGGTCAAAATCTAGAACACTAACAACACCAAATGCTGGCCAGGATGTGGAGCAACAGGAACTCTCATCCATTGTTGATGGGAATGCAAAATGATACAGCCACTTCAAAAGACAGTTTGGTAGTTCCTCACAAAATAAGCATACTCTTACCATATGATCCAGCATTATGCTCCTTGGTATTTCCCCAAATGAGTTAAAAAATTACATCTACACAAAAAACCTGCATGTACATTATATAGCACCTGTATTCATAACTGCCAAACGTGGAAGCAACTAAAGACAGTGGATTCACTAAAGATGTCCTTCAGCTGGTGAATGGTAATCAAAATGTGGTACATCTATACAGTGGAATATTATTCAGTGACAAAAAGAAATGAGCTATCAAGCCACTAAAAGACCTTAAAGATTCTTAAATTTATATTAATAAGTGAAGTAAGGCAATCTGAAAAGTCTATATACTCTGATTCCAATTATAAGACCTATGGCATGCAAAACTTTGGAGATCATTGTTTGGCACAAGCTTGGAGGGATGAAAAAGGGGATGAGTAGGTGAATCATGGGATTTTTAGAAGTAATAGAGAAACTGTTATTCTGCATGATATTGTAATGGTGGGTATATGCTATATATTTGTCAAAACTTACAGCATCTATAACACAAAGAGTGAACCCTAAACTATGGACTTTGGTTTAATATAATAATAAAGTATCAATATTGACTCATTGTTTGTAACAAATGTAACACACTAATATAAAATGTTAAAAATAGGGAAAATTGGTGGGAGATGAGGGGTATTTGGGAATTGTTTGTACTTTTCCCTCATTTTTTTCCTAAATGTAAATGTGTTCCAAAAAGTAAAATTTATTAATTTTTAAAATGTACATTCATATCAAAAGGCCTATCAAAATAATAACATTTATTGCTAAAATTAAAGACATTTTAAGAATAATTCTGACTATATGCAAATGTGGGTTTATGGGATACTCTTTTGAAGGTAGCTCGCCTATGATGATTCACACTTTTGAAATATTTGATATATCCTAATTTGCACTTTAATAAAATTCCCATGTGTATTGTTGGGTTGAAAGATAAAAGAACACTTCAATACTTTGTTTTGGTGAAATTGAATTCAGACTGATTTCTCTTTCTTTATTGCAATAGTCTTTCTGCCCTGTTTAATTTTTGTCTGGTGCAATTTTTGCTTTGAAAATGGTGACTTGGATTATGGTGACTTGGAAATAATGGGGTTGGTGACAGGAGGCAGATTCTGGATACAACTTGAAGGAGAATCTGACAAGGTTTGATGAGGGATTGGATGTGAAAAGTGAGAGAAAGACTTCAGTTAAACTTTATTTCAAGGCATATTGACCCGAGCAATTGAAAACATGAAGTTGCCAATAACTGAGATTGGGGAGACAGCAAGGGAAAGTGCATTGGAAGGGGAAGAAGATGAAGGAATTGGTTTTAGAGAAACTAAGTGTGAAAACCCAATTAGATATTCAAGTGGATTTTCTGAATAAACAAGATGCAAGATACATAAGGCTGGAATTTGAGGGAGAGAGGTCTCTATTAGAAATATACATGTCAAGCAATATTTAAAGCCATGAATACATAGATATTACCAAGGAGGTGTATATATTTATTTAACAACATAAATCCAGGTATGAAGTTATGTGGCATTCAGAACCAAACAACATTCGGAAGGAGAAGCCAATAAGTTAGGAGGAAGACAGTAGGTGGAAAGATGCAGGGCAGCAATGTCTTTCAAAGAGGAGAGAGTGCTCAACTCTATCCAGTCCTACTGATAGGTAGGGTACTCATTTAGTGTCCAAATTTGAAAACTTTTAAGCATGAGTACTGGTACTATTAGTACCTGTAATAGGACAATGGTTATAATCAGTGATTGTCACAGCCTAACCAGGGCACATGGTTACTTACTGTATTGTACTATGGAAACAGAATTGATCATGGGATTTACCAGTGTGGAAGTCAGAGATAAGCCTGAAAAGAGCAGTTTCTTAGGGGTGGCAGGGGCAAAAGACTGATTTGAGAAGATGTAGGAAATGATAGGAGAGTTATTAGAGACAGTGAGTATAAAAGACATGAGGCATTTTGTCATAAAAGATTTCAGGGAAATAGGCAGTAGCTGGAGTCATAAATAGGGAAGGAAATACTTTTTTTTTAAAAAGAGATAGAAAAAAACAGCATGTCTGTATGCTGATTGGAATAAGGCAGTAGAAAGGAAAGTTGGATGACGTGAAACTTTGCATTAGAAAGTGGAGGAGTGCCAGTGTGATGCTCCTTTCCAATTTCACATTTGGGAGGAAATGTGTTCTTGTGCAAAGATAGAGGTAGCCTTAACAAAAGGCACCATGAACTTATCCACAGTAACAGCAGGGAAAGCCAATTTATGGGCATGGATGTTAGTAGGCAGGTATGGGTGGGGTCTTAAAAAAGTTTCTTCTGATTGTTTGCATTTTGTCAGTGAAGTAGCAAGGTCGTCATCAGAGAAGAAGAAAACAGATTAGAGTCTGGGTACAGTGGCTCATGCCTATAATTCTAGCACTTTGAGAGGCCACGGCAGGAGAACCACTTGAGAATAGGAGTTCAAGATAAGTCTAGGAAATGGCGAGATCCCTATCTCTGAAAAAAAAAAAAAATCTATTCAGGAGGCTGAGGTGGGAGGATCACCTGAGCCCAGGAATTCAAGACTGCAGTGAGCTATGATCACTGCACTCCAGCATGCCAGCCTGGGTGACAGACTGAAACCCTGTCTCAAAAGAAGAAGAAAAAGGAGGAGGAGGAGAAAGATTAGAGGGATAGATTATGGCTTGGCTATTATAGGTCTACTTGAGATTGGTGGTTATGACTTTAAAGTGAGAACAGTCAGCATAAGTGTGTTTTTCTCCTCCCATACATAGCTATGGGGGTTTATGTATAAGTAGATGAAAATTTATATTTCACCAGGGTTATTGGTTTTCCAATTGAGTAAATGAAATAAGAAGAGAAAGGAAACATATATTCAAGATACAAAATTGACTGTGGAATCTGTTTTATGCAAGGAAGCATTCGAAAGCATGAAAAGGTTAAGGTCAGAGGTGAAAAGATGGTATGATCAGAAATGAATGATTCAGAAGTCCTTGTGGGGTTGAATACCGTTTATTGTTGGGTAAGAAATTAAGTCAACTTGAAAGAGAGTAGGTTAAGCTCAAGATTGTGAAGAATTGGCCAGCCAGGCGCAGTGGCTCACACCTATAATCCCAGCACTTTGGGAGGGTGGACCACGAGGTCAAGAGATCAAGACCATCCTGGCCAATATGTCGAAACCCCATCTATACTAAAAATACAAAAAATTAGCCAGGTGTGGTGGTGGGTGCCTGTATTCCCAGCTTCTCGGGAGGCTGAGGCAGGAGAATCGCTTGAACCTGGGAGGCAGAGGATGCAGTGAGCCGAGATTGTGCCACTGTACTCCAGCCTGGTGACAGAGCAAGACTCCTTCTCAAAAGAAAAAAGGACTGTGAAGAATTTAAATCACTGCCAATGGGAAGGTTTAGGTATGACCATGGCTTAGGTAGGGTGAAGGACAAGCTCATTTGAGAAGAGGAAGTCAAGGAACTGAGAGATCAGTGTATCAGAAGATTAGGTGAATAATGATGTTATCAAAGATTATGACCAGCAGAATATAATGGAAAGTGCCTGTGCTAGGAGCCAAAATCTTCAAGGAAGAGAAAACATCCTCTATTTGTTGTTGACTGACTAATAACAAAGGCAGCGGACAGTATGTGAAAATATGAAACTTAAATTTGGCTTTTGATGGTAGAGGGAAATGAAGTGGTCAATAAAAGACATGAAGACCAAAAAGCACTTATCCTAGCCATTTTATATTATTGAATTATTTTTCTAAGAAATTACAGTGGCCACTGATATTTCCCAGAGGAAAAGTGCTGAATATTCTAGCAATATTTTATTTTATTTTTAATTTTTTTATTTCAACAAATTTAGGGGTACAAATGGTTTTAGTTACATGGATGAATTATATAGAGGTAAAGCCTAGGAATTTAGTGCACTAATTATCCACGTAGTATACATCGTACTCAACAGGTGGTTTTTCATCCCTCATCTTCCTCCCATCTTTGCCCCTTCTGAATCTCCAAGGTCCATTATGCCATTCTATATGCCTTTGCATACCCATAGCTTAGATCCCACTTATAAATGAGAACATGCAGTGTCTGGTTTTCAATTCCTCAGTTTCTTCACTTAGAATAATGGCCTCCAGTTCCATCCAAGTTGCTGCAAAATACATTATTTCATTCTTTTTTTTATGGCTGAGTAGTATTCTATAGTGTATGTATACCACATTTTATCCACTTATCCTTTGATGGGCACTTATGTTGATTTCATGTTTTTCAATTGTGAATTGTATCATATTAAACATATGCATGTAGGTGTGTTTTTGATGTAATAACTTCTCTTCCTTTGGGTAGATACCTGGTAGTGGGATTCCTGGGTCAAATTGTAGATCTACTTTTAATTCTTTGAGAAATCTCCATACTGTTTTCCATAGAGTTTGTACACATTTACATATCCAACAGCAATGTCTAAGCATTCTCAAGCAATATTTTTTTAAAAAAACTAACCAATTCTCCTTTGGATATTACAATATAGGGAAAAATAAAAAAAGAAACAAAACCAACAACAATGCCCCCTTTCTCAATCGATTTCCCTTCTTCCATTTTTGTCCCAACAAACCTAGAAGATTGTCCCTCTTAGAGCCTGATATTCCTAACAGGCTGGGCTCATTAGCTCTCATCATTTCTCCATATTCTAGTTCCCTTTGCAATCAGTATGTGCAGCTTCAGATTTTATGGTAATGTTCTGAGTCACAATTTAGTGGTTAGCCTTTCACATTCAGAACACATTTGGTGGTGAAGCTCATTATAAATAATATCCTTTTATCAGTAGAATTGAAATTCCCATTACTTGTTACAGGGGCTTAAATAGCTACAGTTTAATTAACTAATGATGCCTTTCTGAGGACAGTCAAATGGCATCTTCTAAATTGTGTTTTCACAGGCAGTACACAGGTCGTTACCAGGGCGGCACTGGGAACAAGAGGGTGAAGCTATGGCACACTCAGCCTCCTGGTCACAAACTGCTTTCTAGCTCAGCAGGGAAAGATGTGCTGTGTACTGAGAGAGCTCTCAGGGTTCATGTCTTACCTGCAAATTTTGAATATCAACCTCATTTAATCAAATTGTCATTTTGTATCATTTGTCCATTTCATTTTGACTCAAGATTTTATATTCTCTTCTGTAATGAGGAAATTATCAGTTAGTGCTAGAATTCTTTTTTTTTTTTTTTTTTTGAGACGGAGTCTCACTCTGTTGCCCAGGCTGGAGTGCGATCTTGACTCACTGCAAGCTCCACTTCCCAGGTTCACACCATTCTCCTGTCTCAGCCTCCCGAGTAGCTGGGACCACAGGCACCTGCCACCACGCCCGGCTAATTTTTTGTATTTTTAGTAGATATGGGGTTTCACTGTGTTAGCCAGGATGGTCTCGATCTCTAGACCTCGTGATCCGCCCGCCTCAGCCTCCCAAAGTGCTGGGATTACAGGCTAGAAGATGCTCTCATGAAAGATGATTCCTGAATTGAAATGTTGGGAGTTACTAATCTATTTGAAAACATATTCAGTATTATCTGGAAGATGCTGAATCTCACGTAAAGATGCCAATATTCTCCAAAAAGATCTTCAAAAATAAATATTAAGTGCTGCTTTAAAAAAATTATCTTGGTAAAAGTCCTCATTTTAATGATGGGGAAGGGGGTGCTGAATTATAAGGGAAGAGAGAAAATCCATTGCAGTGCATAAATCTACATAAAATATCTTTATTTGACCTAGTCTCAAAAGACATAATCTAAACTGTACTACTCACTAAACAATACTTCCTACACAACTGCTAACCAGACCAGCCCTTGTCTTGATTATGTTATCCAGGAAACTCCAGGGCCATGGGAAAGGTGCGTGATGACTAGGAGGAAATATGTAAATTAATATTAATGTACATACATATTTACATTCTTGCATATTAGTGCATAAGTTAATGGCTACTTATCTGTGTGTGATTTTTGCATACATCATTCACTAGTGGTTCACTTAAACAATTCTGTGAGATAAAACCAGGGACTCTTAGACCAGAGTCCCGTTGTTTTTGGATAGGGATCTACTTACTATTCAACAGTACTTTTGCCTCAGCTTTTGAATGACATCTCAGTATGACAGTTTTTACCTTTATTTCTTCCTTGTGCTTTTTCCCAGTCTTGTAGTTATACTTTCTCAACAGCTACTTGCATTAAGAGGCAAGGCCTCGAGTATCTCTGGGCTTTAAAACGTCCATATCTAGATGCTTTGACCACAGCATTAGTGGTATACCATAGATTATATTTCCAGTCATTTAAATCCCACACCTATAAGCTCTCCATGGTCTCAGAAACCTCTTGAGCTGCATAGATTGTGTTTGGCATTGACCATTTAATCACTTTGAACTCATGGCCAGGGCTGGTATACACTGACAGCCACACCTCTGTAGCCTATCTTCCAAGAATTCTGTTTCCTGTTTCCCCTTAAACACTGGTAAAATTTTTTCTGCATCTCTGCTTCCTCAGTGCAGCCCCTGGGAAGGGTATGTGTATCTATATTTTTGGAATAGCCTGGGCTTCAGCATGAGTGCCATTTTCATGACTATTTCCCCAAGAGAAGCCAGAAAATTTCAGTATCATCTCAGAGTTCTCCCTCTCTTTCTCCACATCCAATCAGTCACTGATTCCTGCTAATTTTACCTCCTGTATTCCTCTAAAATCAGTTTCTTTTTCCCTTCCCAATTGCTGCTGCTTTTGCTGTAGTTCAGGTCTCATCAGTCTTGCCTGGACTATTAAATAAGACTTCTTCCCTGCCTCCCTTTCTGCAGCGCCACACCAACCCATCCATCTATCACAGAATAGATGCCAGAATGATCTTACAAATACCCATGATATACATGAAAACACTGAATAGTAATATTTGAAGTCTAACATTAAATTCGTTTTGGCATTATCTATTTCTAAGCAACTTTTAAGTTATGCCATCATTCAACACCTTGATAACTATGTTATAGATACTATTGTAAGTAATGAGGAATATAGAGAATGGTCAGGGAAGGTTCCTTCCTATACTCAGTTCACAATAAGTATTCTCTTGTAAACTACATTTCAGTAAAGAATTGCCAACCTCATTCTGAGTTAATACATGCTGTTCCATCAACACAGAGGGCTCATCTCTCATCCTCTATCAAAGCTCTTATTATCTTTAAAGAACCATGTCAAATGCCATCTTTCTTTGAAGCTGTCCTAGAACCTACAAGTTGGAATTACTGATTATCATTCAAGCATGAGGGCAAAGAAACGACATTTAAAAATACCTAAGACATCTTAAAGGACAGATTTTTCTTGAGCCTTTTTTGAAGAATCTACTGGAAGAGTAATTTTAGCCTATGAGAATAGACAAAAAATACAATATATAGCTATAAAACAAGCAGACAAAATTTATATATATATAGTTAAAAATAGGAAAAGTGTTAAATAAAGCGAGATAAAAATGTAAGAACTAGGTCTTGGTATTGCAGTATTTTTTGAAAAATTTATTCAATAATCTAAAGAGAGTCCTTGGATTGGATTAATGATCTGATTATGTGTGATTTATACAATACATTTAAAGTAAAAGAACTAGACATCTAATTTGAAAATGTGGCAAAAATCAGCATTTGCCCCTTTTTCTTTTGAGAAATCCTCTCAAAATATCAAGGGGAATCAGAAATAAAAATGTAAATGTGTATTCAGTGAAACATGAAGAAAGCTGAAAATATGAACTACAAGATAAGAGAAATGACTGCCCAAAGTACTTGAAACGGAACAGAGGCATAAGAGAAGAAACTTTTGAATGCACACATGCAGTGGCAGAGCTCAGAAGGAGCCAGCCAATTACACTGCTAAAGGTGGGGAGCATAACCTGGAGGGCCAAACAAAAAATCTCTCCTTTTCAAGAGTGAAAATGAGGTGCTTACAGTCGAGGGAACATCTTTTCTAGACCTAGTTTTGTGCTTTAAACCAGAGGCGGAGGGCTGAATAAGGTTTCCCGCAAGTAAGTCAAATTTGGAAGAAGCAGTCTGTCTATTTGTGGGGAGAAACAAAGTGGTTTTGCCTAGAAAACAACCTCACAGCAGTCCATCTCCCTTGGCTGGGAAAAATAAACGACTGAAATGACTCACATGCATAAATATGTGTAAAAAAATAAAATGTCTGCTAGGTTTGAACGCTGCCTCACTGTAGTTCCCTACATCTCACCTGCCAAAAAATTGTTTATAGAAAATTCCACTTTCTAAAAATAACAGAGCTTAAAGGTTCTAGAGTAGAAAACCCTCCCATCACCCACCCCCAAATTACTACCTTAACACAAGCAAAACAAAACAAAACAAAACAAAACAAAACAAACAACACCACCAGAACAAGAGAGAAAGGCTGGCTGGGGGTCTTGGACTTACTTCAATAACTGCATCTGGGCTGCTTTAACTTCCTCTGCTATGAGGCTATAGAATAACTAATGACTCAATAACTTCCTTATTCAGGATGTTATCTTTTGAAATGCCCTTGGAATAGTCCTTCAAGTCGGAAAGTGATCTCATTTAGCAATCTTTAAGGCATTTCAAAATTTGGTACAGCTTTCTTAACTTTTCTGAAATATTGAAAATATTTTGTTTTGCACAACTGAAAGTGAGAGATTGCCCTATGGAGTTGTAGATGATTTATTTTATTTTTCAGCAATATGAACGTAGTGAGGTCCAATGACACAACCTGCCCTAATTTTATTGTGGAATAAAGTGCATTTATAATATATATCTGTGTGTCTTCTGTAGCACTAGGCATGCAGGACATGATGGAGGAAAAATTCTAGTCTAATAATGTATCTTTTCCAAAAACATATGGATGTAGGCCCTTGGATGCTGAATTTAAGAAGATACCGCTTTTGTCACTCCTATAAAGTAGCAAAGGTGCCCAGTGGTCTATCAGAGAGCATTTGCCATATCAAGAGTCATTGAAAAGTATTCATTCTTTTGTGTAGGAACCCAACTTCTGAGATTTTCTCCCAGAAAGAAATCCAAAAGGAAATATGCTCTTTAAAGAGAAATTTTTATTTCATGATTTAATATAGAAGTGAGAATTAGAAAACATCTAAAGTCTGGTGGTAATGCAGGCATCTGCCATATGGGGTGTCTGTATGGAAATAGAACCTAAACAGAGGACTGGACATATGAAACAGCAACTAGAGTTTGGGGATACTAGGGCAGATGGTATTTGGGGGGCAAGCTACTACAGAAAATAGAAACAGAGCGAAGGAGTCATGAAAATCTGTGTCAAAATATGCTGTTCATGATCAGGGTGATGTGGGAGGCCCAGCTGAGTACAGTTGCTGGGAAGCTGAAAGCTGAATAGTAATTTCAGAGATCACACAAGGCTGAGGAGACTCAACTAGATGGAATACTCATCATGGATATCTTTCTAAAGTGTTTACTTTTATGAAATTCTTACAGTGCTACAAATCATAAGGATTTGATGTGTAAGTTACATTTGTAATTTTCAGAAATTTCATATTATGACCTTAGACATTTAATCTTTGGGTACCTGGACAATTTCTAAATTAAAAAAAAAAACATAAAACAGTATTCATTAATCTAACATTAATTTACTGTTATCTTTTAAATAACTAGAAATTATAAAATATTTAAATGTTTTTTACATATTATTTATGATTATTATTGCAACTCAAAATCATTAAAATTACAAAAAGTAGTCATTTTTTATAATAGCCAGTTATTGAATTTCTGTTCTCTAGTTTTCCCCTGTGCTTGGAGAGAACAGTTTAATTAAATATAGTAAGTATTAAATATGATAAGTATAAATAGTATAAGGAGTTAACTATTCTAGTTCAATAATTCAATATTTAATATGTATAAAAATATCATATTTGTTTCTAAAGTTATTGTAGTTTATGAATAAGATTGATTCCATAGGATATGTATTATTTAACATTCTGACAATTATATTTTAAAATGTAGTCAAAACTTTAAATTTATTACCTATTTAAATATTTATGTGTATATTCATGCCAAAAAAAGACATATTAATAAATTGTATGCTGAAAGTTACTACATGAGTAATATACAAAAGGAATAAAATCAAAATATATTTTTTCTGTAAATGAGTATTTTGTGCCCAGATTTGTAAAGTTTCCTCCTTAGACCAAAAATATTCTTTTAATCTCTGTATCCTTTTATATTCTTTAATAATTAAATATCATTATTTTTTACTTTAAAAAAGTTAAGTTCCTGATAATCACTTTTGTTTATTGTATAGTTTTGGCAATGCTACTTTAAAATATTTCTTGTCTCTAGATATTTATGATTAAATCTTGTCTACTTTGATAATATTTTTATGTGCCTTTTCCAAATTTAGACCCTGAATTCAGAATAATAAATCTACTACTATACCTTTTATGCTTAAACAGAGTTTTGATTTTCTAAAAGGGCTAGTAAATGACACAAAATTTTGCTTCTTCACTCTGTAAAATAAAGAAGAATATGAATATGTTGTTCTATCTAGCATTCTCCAAATTTTAATTAATTCAAGACTGTATAAGAACTCGTTTATTTACCAAATTTGGGGGAAAACTGGTGAATCTGAAAGAGATTTTATCCTTCTAGGTTAATCCTGCATGAATAAAATATGTTGACATTCTTTAATGATTATATGCTTTTCAAGTTAAAAGAAATATATTCATATTTAAGCACAGAGACTGGTAGAATAACTTTTTACATCAGTAATTTTTTCCAGGATTTTAGATTAACAAACTCTTTTTATAAAAAGAGGGCTTACGAAAGATCTGGACAGGGACTAAGGCTATTAACCCAATTACATTGATATCATCAGAGGCTTATTGCTTACTTCAGTCTTTTTTTACTTAACTCCAGTAGTCAAAAAATATCCACCCATCTAAGTGCTATAGCAGTGATGGCAGATGTATTAAAGTTCCAGTTTAGTTTTAAGGTCTCCACTAAATGGTTTACTGACCCTTCTGTGGGCAAAAAAACCCCTAAACTTCTGGCCTAGTTGCCTGAACTTCTGTAAAGTATTGCATTTGCACACCACTATGAATGGCTGTAACACTCTTATCAGCCACCATCTTTCCCCTACCCAAATACAGACAACCCATAATTTTTACCTCAGTTAAGAAACTATCCATACCCTGTATAGAGCTTCTAGGGATTTTCTGGGATAATACCGAGGTATTTGTGTATGTTGAGGGTTCATTATATAAAAATAAAAAATAAAGATCGTCAAGCAGAGTATTATATTAGATCTAATTTTACACTTGAAATAATAAGCCTTTCCCCAAAATTCAATAGGTTCCAATAGCAGAGTTAATTGTCTTTGCCTGTATCTACCAGCTAGCAAAAGACAAAATGGCAGATATTTATATTAATAGTGGGTATTATTTCAGGTTTGCCTACTACTTTGTAGTGTTTCAGAAAAATAGAGAGTGACTGACTGCTATAGAAACCCCTATAAAATCAGAATCGAATGGGAGATTATTTAGAAGCTTTGCAACTGTAATAGTCATCTTTCTGTTGTTGGGAGCAGCTTGGCTAGCTGTTTCTGGCTCAAGGTCTCCCATGAAGTTGCAGTCAAGCTGTCAGCTGGGACTGCAGTCATTTGAAGATTTCCAAGCTCATGTGGTTATTGGCAGGCCTCAGTTTCTCCCTGGCTGTAGGCTGGAGTCCTCACCACATGGGACTCTCCATAGGCCATCTGAGTGTCCCGAAGACACTGGCTGGCTTCTCCAGAGTGAGTGATCCAAGAGACAGAGAAACCAAAGATGACAGCTGAAGTCTTTCATAACCTAATATCAGAAGTGACATGCCATCACTTCTTTTATATGTAGAGTAACTTACCATATAATGGTAAGTTAGTATTTCTACCAGATGGATACAATGTGTTCAGGAGTGTAGATAAACTGTAAAATGTAGTTTTTTAAAAAAAGAATAGAGAGTGAAAAATTTTGAGCATTAAATATCTTTTTTTTTTTTACCATACTTTAGTTATGTTTGTACAATATAAGTTGTAATAATGGATATATTTAACAATGGCTCACAAAATTGCTGACAATTAACAGCTCTCTCAAGAGAGAACTGTCACAGCACACCACTGGTTCTACTCCAACTTTGTTTTAAATGTTCTTAATGGTGTCTTTTGTGTGCTTTTTTGAATGTCTCATTTCTTGAAACTTATTGAGAGTCAATAGGAGATTCCTGGAAAAGGTCAGGTTTTGGTCTCAGGAAACACATGTAGGTCCAACGTGCTATGAGTGTCAAAATTGCCAGAGGGAAATCTATTTTTGCAGCCTACCAGCCTTGTGGCATTAAACAGTTTACTCCATTTCTCTGAACTCGAATCCTCTTGTGAGTTTACACACACACACACACACACACACACACAACCTATTCTCCACCCACTGAGATTGTAAGGATAAACTGAGATAATTCAGGTGAGTTACCTTTTTAGGTAGCAAGTCTTTTACATCTTTAAAAATGTATTGTAATCCTGACAACAGCTCTGTTTGAAAGTCATTAATAACTCTGCTTTATACGAAAAGTCAGAGGGGTTAAGTAACGTGCCCAAGGTCACAGAACCAATAAAGCTTCTCCATAAATGTGAAGTAGCAATGATAATGTTGGCTCAAAAACAATAACCTTCCCTGTGAACTGAAATCAATGGACAAACTTTAATTATATCAGGAAAAAGTTATTGTGGGACTTCAATACCGACAAAGCTATTTTAGCACCCTCCCTTTATCAGTGAGGTCTCTTGGGCAGATATAAACTCAGATTTAATTAAATGAAAAATCCTACACCAGCAAATCCTAGACACACTGCTCCTCATTTAACCACGACAATGAATAATGTGATTTCTTCAGTGTTCACTGCACAGGCAACGCAAGGGTATAGGCCAAACACTTGCATTTCCCAAGGCCGCGACCTCCTCAATTACATGACAGATATGTTCCCATGGATGTCATATCAGGGGCAAGGTCTGCAAATGGAGGGGAGTAGACTCAAGTGGAGGAAAGGGTGTTTCCTAGCAAAAAACATGGACCATCCATGCAGCAGCCAATTGAGCAAAAGGAGAGGCACCTCAGGTATCTGTTAAGTGGTTTCTAGTTGTAAGTAATTATCCACACATCAATGACAAATCTGGGAACGTGTCAAAGTGTGAGTGTTTAGGCACATGCTAAAGGTACCTTTTAAGTGCAATGCAATTTTTATGAATAGATCAATAAGCCAAAAAAAAAGATTTTTTTTTTTTTCCGGCTACAGCCTGGACATGATTCTAGAATCTATGGAAATAGAGGACAAGATACAGGGCCAAAAGAAACAGAGCTGGAGTATCAAGATAGCCAGGATAAAACTCAGCCTATGAGAAGACACCTGAGGCAGCCTTTCTTGAACCTTCCATACCCAAATGTTCCTGAGGCATTTAAAGGGGTTACATTGAGACTAATAGTGACATTTGTCATCCAAATATTCCTAATGAAAGTGTATTCTGGTGGATTGCAGGTCTGGAATTATTCTTCTCTTCCACAGTCACATAGACACTTAGGAACTCTGTTTCAGGGTAATAATCTGCATGAAAATTAGCATGTATTTCACAGGTATACAGGCAGCTTATAAAGCACTTCTATAAGCATTAATTTATTTGGCCAACACAATAATCATGCGAGGAAGACAATGGTGATATCACTAACCAAATTTTGAAGATAAATTCTCAGAAGCTGAGGCTTAGAGAATTTAAGAATATTATCCAAGGACCCACATTTTAAATGAGAAGCTGCAGTTTAAACTCAGAGTCAAAATGTACATGGTAATAATATGATTAAAGCCATGGGTTCCATTCTCGTGGAAAAACGGGTACTTTTCCTTTTCAAGACTACTTACTGAATTTCTGACTTATTTAGTTTGGGAATTCTGACTAGAGATGAACTGTAGACAGATAAGGTAAAGTCTAATCCTGAAATCAGGTCGATTGGAGCCCAATATAAAAAAAAGATGGCAAATAAATGAAGAAAGTAAACAAAACACAACCAACCACATAAGCAAAATAGTCTCTAAAATGAAAATAATCTGTAAGAGGACTTTGCCATTTTTACACAGGGATTTAGTAAGCTCCTGACATTGGAAGCTGCCACATTGCACATGCCAATCAGAGTGTGTGTGTCTGCTTCCTGGAAGGGCACTTATCCATTAGAGAGATGCCTGAACTAACTGACATTAAAACAGGTTACAACTCTGAGATTCCAGGAGCCAAAAAAAACGTCCACTCTGTAGACAAATGTTACAGGAGTATTATCATAGCAGAGAAGGGACAACAAAACATGGTCAAAGTCTGACCACCTGCACTGCATAACCCCCACAATCCACAGCTAACATATTAAACGAATACAGAAGTAATAAATAAACCAGCAAATAGGTAAGCAAACTATGAAACTGGATATGGCAACAAAATAAATGCTAGAAGTAAGGTACAAATAGCATTGACTATTAGGTTAGAACTTGAGTGCTTTGAAAGAAAATGGTGTCTTAAAAATAATAAAGAATTAAATGATGTGTATGTATGAGTCCAGTTGTTTCACAGCATTTAATCCTGCTGGCAATGATGGATCTTTTTTGTTGTTTGTTTGATACCCTCCCACAGAACCCAGCAATGTTATCAATAAGGGCTTGCTGAGGCCGGGCGCGGTGGCTCACGCCTGTAATCCCAGCACTTTGGGAGGCCGAGGCGGGTGGATCATGAGGTCAGGAGATCGAGACCATCCTGGCTAACAAGGTGAAACCCCGTCTCTACTAAAAATACAAAAAATTAGCCGGGCGCGGTGGCGGGCGCCTGTAGTCCCAGCTACTCGGGAGGCTGAGGCAGGAGAATGGCGTGAACCCGGGAAGCGGAGCTTGCAGTGAGCTGAGATTGCGCCACTGCAGTCCGCAGTCCAGCCTGGGCGACAGAGCGAGACTCCGTCTCAAAAAAAAAAAAATAAAAAATAAAAAAAAAATAAAAAATAAGGGCTTGCTGAACAAATCGGTACACACTTTGCCAATATAGCTAAACTCAACATTAAGTAAGCCACAACCAGTTTGCAAAGAATTAAGAAGTCTTTTTCTCACTTAGCCTTTGTACTTGATCATCTGTTTATCTGTTCCTGGAGTCCCACTCCAGTGAAGACTCTGCTTTCCTGGGTCTTGCTACACTGTCTGATAGGGGTAGTGCTGACTCATTATTGGAAATCCAAAACAGCCAGCTGTGCTAATTAATCAGCCAGGATTTGATGTGACAAACACATATTCCTCCACTGAAGCACTAACAATGCTTGAAGAACCCACTCAGATTTTTTAGGAATCTTGAGGATTTAATCTGGCACTGGCATATTGATCTTTGTTATCTCTACTGCACATATTAGGGCTTGAATTTGCATATTGTGTTCATTAGTGATTTACATTCCTTTAACATTCATTTTCTGAGGGCCAACAATATGGCAAATACAGGAGTTATGATAGTCTTATTCTACTGGGAAATGAGTGAACTATGTTCACTTTTAACTTTAACACAGGCAAAAAAAGGCCCTTAGAGAAAATCAGATCAGAAACAATGCTCTGTGGATTCAGAGGAAGAAAGAACTGCATCTGTCAGAAGATAACCAGGTTAACTACGTACAGTAAGTGAGGTTTTAGTTGAGCTTTAAAAATAAGTAGCCTCTAGGCATGCAGAGTTTGTAGTGAGAGCAGAGTGGAGAGAAGGGAATTTAGGGAGGAAGGTAATGCATGCAACAGGGCCAAGGTCATGAGTGTTCACATGTGTGTGCATCCATGAATCTTTGAGCATCCATGAAGTGATCTTTGGCCTATCTACTTGAAGAGGTACAGTAGGTGCCTGTTGTGATTCAGAGTACTCACAGCCTCAACTACTTTGGCTGCAATGTCAGAGAAAAATTCCAGGCTATTTTAGTGGCATGTTTCTAGCCTCATTAAACCCTGATTCAGCCCTTCATCAAAACTTTGGATTACAAATTTTAGAAGATTCTCTTTCCCTAGACATTTCTAACAGATATTTACCCTACTGCATGTGCACAGCGTGGACCGGGCTGAGGTTTCCATAGTCACTGAGAAGGAAAGCATGAGTCAGGTACACTCAATTCAAATATTTTTGCTCAACTGGTACCAAAACACTTGAAGCATACTGTCCCCAATATTGAAGCCCTTTTCCTATAATCTGTTACTTATGGGCAACCAGTATTTAGGACTTTGCCATCCTTTTTGATTGCTGGTGATGACAAACCAAGGAAAATATTGTCTTTCAAAAGATTCCTGAACAGATGTTGTGTCAGCCAGATGGATGAAAGCCATGACTGATACAGCTGAACATGAGAATGATCCATGTTTTCCCTGCAATTATCAGCTAAGCACCAAGTGGGATCTACTAGCAAAAGCTGGTGGGAACACCCAAGTGTATTAAATGCATGAGCCAAAGTATTCTACTAAGAGAGCTCTGTGGTGTGGTCCATCAGTGTGTGACAGTTAAGACTACAAAGAAATGCCCAGGCATGGCTGGAACCAACTTAGGTCCCATTTACTTGAATATGATCTTAGACAGCAGTTATCTCAAGAGGAAAGTGGAAAGACTGAAAATAGTAATAATGATGATAATCATCAGGCCATTGTCTACCACATTCCAGACAGGCAACATTTAAGTGGCGTAAACAACAGCTAGAAGTTTGTGATAATCTAAATAAGTCTATTGTATTGTTTTTCTTTATAAGGACAAATGCAGCTAGTATTGGTGATGATGATATGCTACAGAAAAGATGTTGTCTCTTTATAATTTCTCTTGCTCATGTTACCTTTTGCCAGTGTGAAACACCAAAGATATATTATTATTATTATTATTATTGGTTTGGATTTATTGATTTCTCCCCATGCAGTTTGAGGATTAGCATCCCTGCTTCAGCTTAACAGCATGAACTCACATTTCTCCCTCAATTCATGTTGTTGACTGCCTCCCACTCCCTTTCTCTCTCTGTGAGTCAGGGCAGGGCTCAGAGACTGGCATGGAATATTTGTTTACTTTAATCAATTGCAAAGCCAGCAGAAAGATTCATTAGGGATAAAAGGTGTTAAAGATATCCATAAAAACTGAGGAGAGGTGATTTTATATAAGTAGAGAGATTTTTAAATGATTTCAGTCTGTATCCAATGGCATTGTAATTATTTTTAGACATATCCAACAATAATCTTACAAACCTAGAAAATAGTATCATTCATATCTGATATGGTTTGGATCTGTGTCCCCACCAAATCTCATGTCAGATTGTAATCCCCCATGTTGGAAGTATGACTTGGTGGGAGATGATTGGATCATGGGGGCAGATTTCACATGAATGGTTTAGCGCCATCCCCTTGATGCTGTCCTTGTGATAGTTTGTGTGTTCTAATGAGTCCTGGTAGTTTAAAAGTGTGTAGCACCTTCCCTCTCTCTCTTTTTCCTGACCTGGCCAAGT
The DNA here is from genome assembly GCF_000001405.40 of Homo sapiens. Taxonomy (NCBI): domain Eukaryota; kingdom Metazoa; phylum Chordata; class Mammalia; order Primates; family Hominidae; genus Homo; species Homo sapiens. Next base: position 35,413,973 of record NC_000003.12, on the reverse strand, counting down.
GATGAGCCTCCCCTTTCACCTTCCACCATGACTGTAAGTTTCCTGAGACCTCCCTAGAAGTTGAGCAGATGCCAGCACCATGCTCCATGTACAGCCTGCAGAACCAAGAGCCAATTAAACTTTTTTTCTTTTCAAATTACCCATTCTCAGATATTTCTTTATAGCAATGTGAGAATGGGCTAACACAATATCATAATGCATTTTGATAAGTTAACAATGCTAGACCGGCTAATTGTTGTTCAGAGTGAAATATAATCCTTATCTAGTAATTTGCTTATTAATGACTCAGCACCTTTTTCATTATTACATGTTGTTATAGCACAAACATCTTCAAATATGTTAAATATCCTAACACTCAGGACATCCCCCCTATTTTCCTTGACCAGCTTCCAAATAGCTATAAGTGATGAACAACCATATTGAAAGATGATTATAGGAAATCAATAGTTGCTACCAATTTGTGGGAGGTTGAATCTCCCTTTCATGTAAATTGTGTTTTCTCTCTACAACAAACTAAGAGCCTTATAAGGAAGATGCTAGTATCCATTTTACAGACAGAGAATTCAAGGCTGAGACACGTTTAAGTAAACAAGGTAAGACAAGGTGGAATGAGGACTTGAATCTAGATCAATCAGATGCTGCAGCCCCTGCTTTATATGCCAAACCATGTTCCTAATATGCATGTATTTTTCCCATATACATGTTATATATCTCCATCCATCAATTCAATTACACACTAAATGTTGACACAGCTCATCTTTCAGAATGCAAATGTGAAAACATCATGGTCTCTGCTTCTATGGACAGTATAACTTGGCAGAAATAAGTGTACCAAAGGCAGATAAAAGTGTCTTGAGGGGACACTAGACAAAATGTTACATGGACTTCTAAAGGAAATCTCTCACATCTGGTTTTAGAATCCAGAAGTTCTTTCAAGAGAAGGAAATGCAATTATATTCTTTCCTATTAATCTGGATATTGTTAAAAACGAAGTAAGTTTTGACTACATAACTGGATCTATAGATTCTATATATGTAGACTGAGGGATAAAAACATGTATTTTCAGTTTGAAGGATTCATTTTGAAGGATTTTGTAGACACCAGCAAGGTCCTTTTTATTTTTCAATAAGGACAAAGTTGAGGGCTTTATTTTCTCATGTGAAGTTTCTTTGTGTCATTGTCAGAATATTGTTCCAAGTTAGTCTGAGGGTAATGTTAAAACGTGAGCTGTGGAATTAGAAACCTGTCCACTCCTTCTTGTCTCAACTTAATTGCATCTTCTTCATAGAGTTCACTCAATCTCAATAGTTTCCATGTTTTCTCTTCTCAGAGTGTCTTGAGCTCCTTCTTTAGAACATTTATTATGATGAATAAGAGTATAATAGTTCATGATTTTTTTTTGTGCATCTCTTTCACAGCTTTGTACGTTTCATGAAGAAAGAAGCTCTGCTTGTCTCATTTATTGCTGCATCTTCCTTGCAGGTACAGTGCCTAACACAAAGTAAACTTTCATGATAGAATTATTGGAATGAATAAAGAATTAGATTAGAGTCCTGACTTTATCTCTTATGAGCTGAAGGGGCTGTGGAATATTTTATTAATCTTATGAGTCTCAGTTTTCTTACCTGTAAAAGGAGCAAAAAATAATTTATGACACAATGGGTTATGAGGATCTCTTGGAGAACATAATAATGAAAGCACTTTGCCAATGTTCAAGTGCTAAGCTAATATTTATTATTGACTATTGTCATGCTGTTATAATTTGTAATGAGCATAAGACCAGGAGCATATGTTAAAACCAAAGTTAGTGCAGAGTGTAAAATGTGCTGCCCAGCTTCTGAAGTGACATTGCAGACCCTTATGAGAAAATCTGTGCTAGGAAGCACTGTGCTGCTAAGTTGTCAATGAAAACCTTTAATAACCCTGTATTTACGTGCTATCCTGGCTTTCCCCAAACTTATCGTCTGGGACCATGACTAGTCCTAGTCTAAGAATTTGGTAATTGCTTTTGCCCAATCTGAGCACAATCTGTTCCGCTACTTTTGAGCTATGCAGGGGTGAAATAAATACAGAACAAGCTTGCAAGCTACATTAAAGAAACTCAAGATGTGCTTTGCACATGGATAAAAGTTAAAAAAAAATGCCTGAACTTTCAAAGTCAAAACCTCTACAAGCAGCAGTATCACGAGTAAAACTTGAAAAACCTAGTGGAATCACCCTGTAGTGCTTTGAAATGTAATGGGTGATATTATATCCTCTAAATTGACTTCCTGAGATGAAGCTAGCCCCATCCCCATATCACAAAAGATTGAAATTAGGATAGCTTTAAATAGTCTTCCCCAAAAAAGATCTGCTTCTCAGGTATATATATGTATATGCACACAAACACACAAAACTATATATATGTGTGTATATATATATATATGTTTCTATATATATTTCTTTATATATATACATTTCTATATATACATATATATTTTTCCCCTATCAAGGCCAATGTAACTAAAATTAACCACATTTTTTTTCTTTTTGCTCAAAGCAAAATGAGCATCCCAGTTTTAGGAATTTGCAGAAAAAGCCTCACCCTACTCATCTACCTAAAAATGTCTTATATTTTTAGGTTATTTAGGTTATTTATATTTGTCAGCATATATTACATTATATTTTAAAATATATAATTTTAGTTTCAATTTTATTCCATTGTGACCATCTTTGAAATGATTCATGGAATATGGAGTATTTTAAGTACATATAAAAATAATTTCAACCACAGAATGTTAAGCAAGTCAAACTCACGTAAAATCAGAATTAAAATGACCTACCCTCAGGAAGAGTCCTGAAATTTATGACTGAGAATATATAACAGAGCCGGGATCAGTTAAAATGCCCAGGGCAAATCTCTGGAAGGTAAAATTTATCAATATATTTGAAGTTGTAACTAAAAAAAGCTATAATTTAAACAATTATAATACATGGATAAAATTGACATAGTCATAATCAATTCTAATCATTTTCCTGAGTTATCCTTTATCAATGATAATTTTAACAATACCAAGAGCCATTAACAACAGGAACAACTGGTTTTATTTATGTTAAAATGCACAGGTCTACCATCATCTCATACACAACATTACATATTAATACCTTTAATTTATGTCTATATTTAAATTGTAAAGACAACAGTTCTGTTCTCAAATTCGAATACACTGAGTACATGATTAAATTCTTATGAGAGTAACACTATAGTTATCTGTGACTAGATACCGGAGATAAATTAATCTCAGTGACTTTTACTAAATTGCATCACTATAGATGATGTTTCACATGTGAACACTTTGTCTCAGAATAGACAAAATATCAGACAGAGTTATTTGAGTAAAAATCTGCCATCATAGGAACATTTAACGATTATTTGCTGTTATTAGCTGTGTCTTTAGAAGCTAGCATTACATCACAGTTGTAATATACTTTTCTCTTGTTTTGTTTTTCCATGTTGATTATAATTTATTGACTATTCACATCTGGCATTCCTCTTTGATTAGTACCACATTGTTTTCTTATTACTTTTGTTTGCAATTATTCTTTCTTTTTTTAGAATTGTCTTATCCTTATTATGATTATAGAGGTTTTTTTTGTTTTGTTTTTGAGAGTTACGGTCTATTTTAGTTCTCCTAATTTTACTAAGAACTAAAATTATTCTAGAGTTTCTTATATTTTTTACACATTTTTATAACTCCTAAAATTTAGAAGTACTTCATGAAATAAAAACATGCTCAGTCAGCATTTCATATGATGCTATTACACATTTTGATTTCTATTAATTTCAAAATAGTTGACATGTTTTAAAAATTAAAGAAATAACACTTAAATGCATACAATTCTTATAGTCACTTCCTACCTTTCACCTGTTAGTATCAGCACATGATCACTGGAAGCTTGCATGTTTATTGAGGTGAATGGCTATATGGAAACAATGCCCAGCTGAAACTAGGGACAAAATACTAGCAAGAGAAAGGAGTCAGAAAGAGAATGAATAAGATCTATGAAGAAACAACGTCTATATTTTATTGAATGTCTCCTATGTGTGAAGTATAGGACTAGATGCATTATCTCCTTTAATCTCACAATATACCTGAAAGCTAGGTATTGTTTTTCACCTATAGCACTGAAGACCAAAAAAAAAAAAAAATTCAAGTAATTTAACTTGTTCAAGGTCACTCAACCCATAAATAGATGCTGGCCTGAGTCCCAAACTTTCTAACAATGCATTTTATTTTATAAGTTGATGTGCTTATAAAAGAAAGTAGTTTGAATGGTGTTCAGAGAAAGATGAACAAAAACAAACAAACAAACAAAAGAAGTACTCAGTGTCCTTGGAAGACTATCTAAGGAAGAACCACTGAACAAAGCAATGAAAATTACGGATCTTGGAAATAAACTGTAATGTGGGGCAAGAATATTTTAACTGGTGTTTCCAGGGATTGTCCGACTTATGCCTAAAACCTTTCTACTCTCTGCTCCCTGAAGCCTTACCAGATCCCTTCTAGTTTAATATGACTTCTGATTACCCTAGAAAAGTGCCTACATTGGTGGACATAAAAGAAATTCGTAAATTCAAAGTCAAAGTAATTAAATTAGTTTCCTGATTGTTAATAATTCATTTGAGAGTTTGGTTAATAAAGTCACCTCTTCTGAGTTAGTTTTTAGTACCTTGAAGACATCATATTTCCTAACTAGCAAAGCTGAGTTCCAGACTCAATGACTGCGGTGACCAAATGAGGAATTGCCTTTGAAATTGTCTTCACATTTAAAATATATCTCTGGACAACATCTCCTTCACACTCTCTTTCTCTTTTAAACACAACACTAAAGCCTAACCATGAGGACAAGAAAGGAAAGACTTCTAACCACAAGTACTTTTCTTTGAGACTTTGTGTCTCACTTCTTATAAGCATTTCTATGACCCTGGAAGCTTCTAATAATGATCTGTGGAGAGAAATGACATTTTAGGGGAACTTTTCTCTAAATGTTTAAATCTGCAAGTTTGTGTTAGTCTTTCATTCAATTAAGAATATGTCTACTAATATAATTCCAGATATCTGACAATTTTCAAACTATAATGCCCCAAATATTGTTTTTGCTCTCTAAATTTTAAAGCTGATTTTTAAAGGACTACTTCGTTTTTGTTTTTGTTTTTGTTTTTGTTTTTGTTTTGAGATGAAGTCTTGTTCTGTCACTAGGCTGGAGTGCAGTGGCACAATCTTGGCTCACTGCAACCTCTGACTCCCTGGTTCAAGCGATTCTCCTGCCTCAGCCTCCCGAGTGGATGGGATTACAGGCATGCACCACCACGCCCAGCTAATTCTTGTATTTTTAGTAGAGACGGGGTTTCACCATGTTGGCCAGGATGGTCTTGATCTGCTGCCCTTGTGATCTGCCCGCCTCGGCCTCCCAAATTGCTGGAATTACAGGCGTGATCAACCATGCCCGGCTGGTAGGAGTACTTCTTTAATAATTTAATAATTTTTTTTTCTGTTCTGAAAGCATCCTCTACAGATTATCTCCCTACCTCTTTGATATTCCTCCTTTGACTCTTGGTGGCATCCTCTTCTGATATCTGGTCCTTAAATTTTGCAGCTTTCTAGTGGACTGTCATATAGCTCTCTTCATTTTGCAATTTTTGTGGGAATTTTCACAACTTTCATAAATTTATTTGTAACAAATATGCTGATAATTCCCAACTCCAGTACAGTTCTTCCCTCATTCCATATTCAGAGTCATTTTGAGTTATTCACTAGAAATAATTGCAGAGATGCTAATATCTCAAGCTTAATATGCTCCAAACCCAATTCAATACTATCATTTTAATCCTGTATTTCTTGAGTATTCCACGTCAATTGGCATTTTTACTTAACCCTATCTTAGAAATTTGGCCTCATCTCTGTCTCAATGTTCTTCTTGACACAAAACAGATAAATTACTATAAAATTCTGATAACTTTACTATCTAATTGTATTTAGAGTTTATTCTTTTTTATGTCAACATTTAATACTCTCCAATCCCTCATAAACTATTACCTACAGTATTACAATAATCTTATAAAAGTTCTCTGTTCCAGTCTTGTTCTTCTGAAATCTATCCTTCACACAGGCACAAGAATAATGGTTCTTTAATACAAACTTTTTATTACAACCCTCTGAATAAAACACTTCAGTGTATCCTTATTATGTATAATATAAAATGCAATATTTTCAAAGTGATAGGGTTGTTCCTTAGGACTTATTAGAATGCAAATTATGATTATAATCATCATAAACATTATAATTTTAACCATCTTTAAGGCAAAAGCAAAATCTACTGGACAGAATTATGGATCCTTTCCTTTTCTTGAAACAGACTCTTGTCTGGCCTTCTGTGGCATAATATTCTCTTATTTTTCCTTTTTCCTCTTGAACATTCCTTGTCTACCTTATTTACATTATTTTTTTCATGGTTAAATGTTGGAATTTCTAAACATTGAAACCCATGGTCAGTAAAATGTTTAATCTGACTTCCTCCGTATATAGGTAACTCCATTTTTTATACCTCCTTCTAGATATCTCCTTCAAATTACAGCCTCAAATAGTCAAATGAGCATCTCACATATTCTCTGGGGCGTTTTAGAGACCCTCAAATTCAATATGCCCATATCCTCTCCCAGCTCCCCCCTCAGAGGATATGCCAGAGCCTCTTCTAATTCTCTCTATTGCAATGAATATTATCACCATCCATGTACTTTGATAAGCCAGAAACATATTGATGCTTCCCTCTCAGTAACCATTGCCATTCGATGCAGTCCCATGTTCTTTCAATTTTTACTCCTAATTATCTCTCTAATCACCCTGCTTTTCCCCTTTTCCACCCAGGTACTCTTTGACATATCTACCAGCATCAGAGCACCACAATACTTTCATATTCTTCCTCATATCCTCTTCCCATTCTAAGTTCTTTGCCACACTAAAAGTAGAGAGATATTTTCAAAATGTTATATGATTAACTGTCTGCATCTACCATCAATTAAAATAATTGCATTTTCTTTTAAGATAAAGTTAAAATCATTTACAGACATCGAAGTCCATGTGTGCCTTTTTGTGAGTGTCATCTCACAGGACATCCTCCACTTATTTTGTCTTCCGACTCTGCTGTTCATGCAGTGCTTTTTCCTATCCGCAGAACTCAATATATGTTGTGCTTTTTATTTGCAGGTCCTCCCTCTCTGTCTCTCTATCTGATAACTTCACTTCTAACAGAACTTTATAACTCACTTTGACCATTATATTCTTAGAAAACCTTCCTTCATTAAGTCAGATTCCCACAACATCCTAGTTTCAATTTTACATTTATTTATTTGTTTAATGTTTGATCCATCTTTGTGTCACCCAGTAGACCATGTGCTGTATCAGGGCCTCAATGCATCTGTTCTTCTTCATGTTTTGTATTCTTAGAAGCTACCTCCAAATTGGGCTCTTTAAATGCATTAGAGACCCTCAAATTCAATATGTCAATATGTGGCACTTTGTAATTGCAAAATGCCTTGATGTCATACATTGTGTTACAAAGCAATTCTGTGAGTTAAGTCAGTGTGATTTGCACTTTATAGATGGAGAGATTGGGATGTGACAAATGTCCAAAAGCCCAGTAATAAGGTATTAATGCCACCTTTCTAAATATACTTCAAGACACATAAATATTAAGATACAACAACAAACTAATTTACCTCAATTTTAATTACTTTATTTAGATATGAGCATAAAAGAGCCTGGAGAGGCTTGGAATCAAGTCCAAAAAGAAGATTTATTCATGTATTTAAGATAATAATAATCATCATTATCATCATCATCATCTTATACTATATAATTATCTTAGTGCTTTGGAACCCTTAGGAATAAAAGCCAATAATTCCATCATAGAAATGAAAAAGAACATTTTAAATTCTGTTTACTGTTAATTTGGTAATGACTTTGTTCACTAAACTTGGTGCATATATGTAATAAGTGCTAAATAAAATATGAAATTAACAAAAGACTCAAATTAATTTTTTCTAAAGAAAATGTTAAGCAAATTTTACCATAGGAATTTTGTGTTGAAAATATTTTTCTAAGCAGCCGTCTGACACTCTGATAATCAAACAACACTTATAAGCCTACCAAGTGGTCATGTTGTCCCATTTAGGACTGTAGCTGCAGGCAAGAACGTGAGAGAAAAGCTGCCGTTGAGGTCTGGCTCTGTCAGGGACTTGATGCATGACCTTTGGAAAGGCATTTTACTTTCTGAGATTTATTTATAAATGGGGACAACAACGAACTGATTGCTTGAGTTTTCTGTGAAGAATAAAAACCAGCATATCTGATAGCACTCTCTATCCATAGATTGTTGTAATGATGTGATATATATGTGGCTTTATTGAAAGGGATCTCCTCAACTACAGTCAAGCCCATCAAGTTCACTGAGAGCAAGAGAGAGCAAGGAGAAATGTAGAGGTTATTTTCCTTTTCATCTCAGGTAGAAAACTCAGGACCACCCAAGAGTTCTTTAGAACCCTGGTTACATAAGCTATCAAAAATGTTCACCTAAACAGTGAAAAGCTAAACGTCTGCTACCTGTTTTGTCTATGAAATGCATGGCACTAAGGTATTTGGTGAAATTTTAAATCTAAATGTGTTATATTTTAGACACACAGCTGAATCAAATCCCTAGTCCCTTATTTCCTGCAAGTGTCATAATCAGTTTATTTACATTTCCTCTGTAGGCCTTAATTTATTAGTTCTATTTTATGACTCTCATTTAACAGATCAGTAATCAGATTCAGGGAGTTTAAGTGGCTTACAAACGTCATTCCTCTATAAATGCATCGCTGAATCTTCACAAAATTATATTAACATTTGTTTATTTGCTGTTCTTTGACTTAGTGAAAGTGTCAGTGGTATGAAAGAAGCAAGAGTTCTAACTTTCAGAATGTGTGCCCTGCATATTCTCTTACCTATAAGCCAAGCTGCTCCCTCATAATCACCCTGATTTTTGATGATGAGTCCTTATCCTTCACAAGAACTTTTGCCTTTGCAACTTAAATTTCCTCTTTAAATCAACTGTCTCATTCTCCCCATGCCAGCTGTCGATTGCCTTCAGGCACCCTTTCCAGGACAATAAGAACATTTGTTTAAATCTCATTTCTAGATCTAGGGAATCGAGTGATACAAGAACCCTCTGTGAAACTGTTAATCCAGCTTCCTTCACCCCTACGTGCTGCTTCATTTTTACAAACACACACTGGCATTTTCCCTCTAGTGGGAAACAACTGCTAGCAATTTCAGCAGCATATAATTTGTGCCATTGGAGAAGTGGACTCCATCAATTCCAAGTCTCTGAGAGGACTTTGGTTGGCACAGTCAGGTGTGGATATCTACCTATGGCCCTAGCAACCATAGCTGGTGTTGGGGGGGCCTCACAGAGCTCAGGTGGCTGGTGGGAAAGTAGTTTTCAGGAGGTGGAGGCAGTATGGAAGACAATTGTGTCAATGTCCATGATAGCTCCTGCTCCTTGAGGACAGGCCATGCTCCCACCTGAAAATATTCTCTATTCTACCCTTTCCTCTATGTTACCATTAGGGCTCCCTCCAATTACTTGGAGAATAGACTGTTTAAATAAATTACTCTCAACATGTGGTCTGAGCACCAGTGAGGATTCCTGAGGCCCTGTCATGAGGTCCTTGCTTTTCCGATAATATAACTCTGTAAGTCTGGTGTTTCTTCATGTACTTAAACCAAAACAAAATATCACGAGAAATTGACTACAGAAATAGACATGATAATCTAGTTGTTGTCTGTGGTCAGACTTCAAATATATTTGCGGAAAGTATAAAGCAATGCCACTCTTCTCAATACCTTTTTTTTTTTTTGAGAAAATAGAAGTTTTTTTAACATAAAAATATGGTACTATTTTATGTTAAACATGATATTTAACATAAAATATGAATCAACATATAATTAGTATATTATAGATATTTTAAAATTTACTTATAACTTTGGGGTTTTAATTTCTGATATGATAAATGTTGATATGATGCACATAAACAGAAGGTCTTTGGCATCCTCTATGATTTGTAAAACTGAAAATAAATACTGAAACCAAAATGTTTGAGAACCACTAGTTTAGATTACCTTTACTTACTTAGAAGTCAATAGAATTAATGGACTTTTAAATAAATATAGAAGGAAACATTACCCAGGTTTTTGAAATTATTGCTGGGGAGGTAAATATATACCACCTTTGGTCAACTTGTAGTGGCTTTCTGCAGGTCTGTTCAAAACAATCTGGAAAAAAATGCTAAAATCAATTAATTGTGTTCATCATACAGTCAGGAGAGTAGAGTCACCTTTGCCCTCTGTGGATCATGTAAACATGTGATTCATAGATATAACAATAGTATTTCTTCAAGACAAAGATGCTGTGGGTCTCAATGGAATTCACAAGGCCTTAATGTAAAAGCTATCTAAAAATTTATGGATTAATCATTGTATATGTAAATTAAGAGTCAGGCCTAAAAACTGTAATAATAAAAATAATGACAATAGTATGGCAATAGCTAAAATATATTTTCTTACTAGGCACCAAGCACTTACATGTGGGATGAAGCCATAGAAAACAAGGAACTGATACAAAAGTAATAAGTTTGGAGATGTGATTTGACCCTGATATTCTGACTCCAAACTCAAACATCAGAGCCACATTACACTACCTCCATTTTCTGTAGTACATTATGAAAATGGTTGCAAACTTTTCACCTGACATCAAGAGGTAGGGCCTATGTATTCCTTCTCCTTCTAATCTTTGACTTGAATGATTCAATAAAATGCAGCCAAATGCCATTTTTGTGAATTTTGAGGCTGAACCTTTCCTGTCACCCTTTGAATATCTTGCCCTGGCCACTGGGGTTAACCTATTGAAGAATGAGAGAGTACATAAAACAGACCATTCCATCTAGGCCATCTTTGAACAGCATGCCCTCAACCAGTCTGGAAGCTGACTCCTGACAAATGAATGCACCCAGTTGAGACGAACCAACCCTGGCACAGATCATCAGAACTGTCCAAATGAGCCCAGTGCAAATTGGCAATGATAGAACTGTTAGATTAATACATGTAAGTCATTCAGTTTTAGCATGACCTGTTATGCAGCCTGACTGATAAATGTCTCAAGAAGAAATAAAAAATAGATGCTATATTATCTGATAAAAATTTAAAAGAAGAATACCCATATCCTTGAACAGTAGGAAAAAAGAAAAATGACACTGTAGGATAAGAAATGTAGCAAAAAGCTACAGGGCTTCCTTTGTATTTTCATGTGAGCTACCTGCCCTTACTCATTCTTTGATATAGTTTAATATTTGAAGGACCTGAAAGAAGCATAATTCAAAGAAGTCAAGATATTTTAAATTTGGGAAAAGAAAGAATTGAAGGATGGAAGGAGGAGTAAAGGTAGAAAAATAGGAGGAGAAGTAAAAAAGATTTAAATGTGAAAGGAAGCAAATATCAACTTCTCTATGGTATTTTCAGCATCTCCAGCTCTTTCAGGTTAGCAGGAGGAAAAAAAAAGTTTCTGCCTTGGGAAGAAAAATAGAAAAGAAAAATTTAGAGAAAAATATGCTGATATTAGGTGTGCTTGGTTATGAAAGAGCAAGAGCCAGATTTGAAAATATGGCAAAGGCTAACTGCAGCTTTATGTCCTATATATAAATCCCCAGAGTGGAATTTTACTTGGGGATGACGGTACTTGTGGAAATGGCATCTTGGAATATAAAGAAAAATGCTGGTATACGCAGAGCAGACTCTCTTTTAGCTGGGGACAAATAATCCTAGAGGGGCCTCCAATCTTACCTAGTCAGTAACCCTCAATCTAGAATTCATAGTCACTTATGACAAATAGAACACCAACTTGCTTATTTTCCACTCTTTGTTGCCTTTTTTAGTCCAACTAAAACACTCAGGGGTTTATGTTTGCCTTAAATATGCATGTGAGACAGGAATTTTATGTTCTTCTTATGTTCTGCCTTTCATGTGGGCTCTGTAGTTACAGTTGTGCTGTAGTAAAGTATGAATGACAAAAATGAGTATACAGAAGTGCAGTGTTATAAATTGGGGAAACATCTCATGATGATAGAGCATGGTCCTTTGAAAATCCTCTGACTTCTCCCTCAGCAGTTCAGTACAGGCTCAAATGTTAAGCTAAATGAATTAAAAGAAGAAAATGGGAAGGATTTTCAGAGGCTAATTCGCTTTCTCTTATATAATATTGAACGTGCTATTGCTCTTTTACTAAAACAGAGTTGCCAATTTTATAATCAAAGCCTTGGTTAGAGATTAGCTCTTGTTGGATGGAGTTGCTGTGCTTTAAATGCAGGAGACCATGTTCTTTCTCTCTTTTAAGTTTCATACTTGAGAGTTTGGCAGAATATGCCCTCTTTAAGAAAGGTGACTATCTTGTCTTTCTTTAGCATTTCTGTCTAAAAAATCATCCTAAGATCTTATCAAATTAAATCTTTAAAATTAAAATATAAGCTATCTCTTACTATATATACCATACTGGAGGCCAGCCTAGATGAAAGGTGAGCTTTGGACAAACATATTCTTATTTAGTGGTTTATGATCCAGTTTTAGGATGGTTTTCAGCCTGAGTGAGCCTAGAATGTTCAATTGGTTTTAGGTAGATCCTGAGGCCTTGGAAATTTTATCTTGGCCTAGAGAATCAAGAACAGAAGGTCTCCTCCAAGACAGTGGGGTAACAAAATGACCTGTGTAAATAACTTAAAATTGTCTTAGTCCTAGCAATGTGTTCTTAGATGAGTTCAAAGAACTCAGAATCCATTCCTCAGAATCATGCATCTTCCATAACTAGCAGATTTGAAGAATGAAAATCACTCCAAATCTATTATGATATAAACTAACTGGGAAGATTGTATGATATTTTCATGCTTTAAAGATTAAAAAATAGCTGCTCCATTTTGTTTTCCCTCATGGTGTCCTATATAATAGTAAGCATCCTAGAGATTCTATAGATATGAATCAAGATTTTCTTCAGAAAGTATCCCTGTCTCCAAAACAGACTATTATATAGTTCACATAAATATTTACAATTATATTCTTGGACAAAGCTAATTATTACAGAATCAATATAGATCAATTTTTAACTGTAATCTCAAATTCCATCTTTGAGTAGAGGAAACTTTCCTTAATTCATCTTATAAAATCATAAGTGTACAAAGTAGTACTTTGACTGAAAAACATGAACTCCCACTTTAGAGGCAAATATTGGCATACTAAGACAAATTCTACCCCTACAAATATCCAAACTGAGGATTTGTGTAGAGTAAAAAAATGGAAAATTTGGGGCAATATCAGACCTGAGAGCAGCAGCCACCATATCGTCCATGAGCGGTGAAGTCTTAAGCAAAAATGAGCACCATATTTAAATATTTCTGAGTCAATTACATGGATAAAAATTAGAGAAAAATTGATTTTATAATGTGAAATTTTCATTGCAATTAACTGCACTCTCAGAGCTAGCTTAGCAGTTTCCTCAGAGTAAATTGATGAAGAAGAATTTTATCCTGTAAGTTCTCTCCTTCCATATGCTGCAAATCAGGCTCAGTAACATGTTAAATATCTGTATGCTTCATTTTCCTCATCCTTCCTCCCACAAAGCTCAGAGCTAAACTGATAGTTGCTGTAATTATCTTTAGCTCAGGTTTTTCTTGTACCATTATGCTCATTCCCTCCCTTTATAGATCACCTACTTCTTTAACTTTGGAAAATGCACAATTCAATCAACTGTTCACAAATTATTATGTTGACTGAATCCCACATTTTAACTTTAAGAGTTGGTTATTGAATTTTTGTATCAAAAAAGTAAAAAGTGGTTGGGCATATACATATCCTTAGAGAATGTTTAGTCTGCTTTTTATCTCAGGTTCAAGTGTTACAAGCTACACATGGTCATTTGGATAGTGGAGATTTTAAAATAGCTCCTTACTACTTAACACATAAATCTGGTTTTGCTCACTCCATGAGAAAAGAACCTTCATTCTAGCTTATGAAAGTGCATCCTATGGCCAACTGCTTCTGTCAGCAGAGATTCCACACTTCCTCCAATGATTCACTCCATTGCCCTATCTTCTTCCCTAAAACTTTAAAGCCCAACTATTTTGGTATAAGTTCTTTGAGATACGGAAAATATTATGCCATCATGTCCAGTTCTCATCCAATTGAGGTGGCTTTTATAAATAATTTCAACTTTTATTTTAGATTCAGGGGATATATGTGCAGATTTGTTATGTGAGTATATTGTGTGATGCTGAGGTTTGGGATACAAATGATCCTGTCACTCAGATAGTGAGCATAGGATCCAATACTTACTTTTTCAAACTTTGTCCCCTGTCTCCCTGCGAGTAGTTCCCAGTGTCTATTGTTTCCATCTTTATGTTTGTGAGTACAGTGTTTAGCCCCCACTTATAAGTGAGAACATGTAGTATTTGGTTTTCTGTTTCTTCATTAATTGACTTAGGATAATGACCTCCAACTGCATCCATGTTGCTGCAAAGAACATGATTTAGTTTTTTTGTGGCTGCATAGTATTCCATGGTGTACATGTACCACATTTTCTTTATCTAGCCCACCATAGATGGGCACCTAAGTTGATTTTATGTTTTTACTATTGTGAATAGCACAGTGATGAACATATGTGTGCATGTGTCTTTTCGGTAGAATGTTTTATTTTCTTTTGAATATGTACCTAGTCATAGGATTGTTGGGTTGAATGGTAGTTCTAAGTTCTTTGAGACATCTTCAAACTGTTTTCCACAATGGCTGAACTAATTTACATTCCCAGCAACAGTGTGTAAGTATTTCTTTTTCTCCGTAGCCTTGCCAGTAACTGTTGTTGTTTTATTTTTCATTATAGACGTTCTTCTTTTTTTTATTTTTTTTGAGATGGAGTTTCACTCTTATTGCCCAGGCCGGAGCGCAATGGTGTGATCTCTGCTCACCACAACCTCTGCCTCCTGGGTTCAGGTGATTCTCCTGCCTTAGCCTCCCTAGTAGCTGGGATTACAGGCATGTGCCACCATGCTCGGCTAATTTTGTATTTTTAGTAGAAACAGGTTTCCTCCATGTTGGTTAGGCTGGTCTCAAACTCTGGACCTCAAGTGATTCACCCACCTTGGCCTCCCAAGTGCTGGAATTACAGGTGTGAGCCACCATGCCCAGCCTTTTTTTTCTTTTTTTTTTTTGACAGTGTCTCACTCTTATTGCCCAAGTTGGAGTGCAGTCGCACGATCTCGGTTCACTGCAGCCTCAAATTCCTGGGCTCAAGTGATCCTCCACCTCAGCCCTCCAAGTAGTGGGGACTACAAGCATGCACCACCACACCCAGGTATTTTTTTGTGTGTGTGTGTATTTTTAGTAGAGATGGGGTTTTGCCATGTTGCCCAGGCTTAATAATAGACATTCTCAGTTGTGTGAGATTGTATCTCGTTGTGATTTTTGATTTGTATTTCTCTAATGCATAGCAATACTGAGGATTTTTTTAAAATATGTTTATTGGCTGCTTATATGTCTTCTTTTGAGAACTGTCTGTTCATGTCTTTTGCTCACTTTTCAATGGGTTGTTTCTTGATTGTAGAATTCTTTACATTGCTTATTAATTCTGGACATTAGATCTTTGTCAGATGCATAGTTTATGAATGCTTTCTCCCATTCTTTATGTTACCTGTTTACTGTGTTTATATTTATTATGCTGTGCAGAGGCTCTTTAGTTTAATTAAGTTGGAGATGGGAGTTTTGAGATCTGACAGTGGAGGAATACAAGAACAGAAGCCTTCAGAGAGGTCTGAAATCATATAGGAGTAGCAAAATATAACAAAAGATTTTGCATCATGAAGATAAACTTTTTCTGCTATAACTTCTGTATCTTACCACGCCAGAAAGAGTGTAGATTCTTCCCAGAATTGAAACATGTCAAAAATCCATCCCATTATTTTCTTAGCCTCAGTGAGTCCCAGGAAAACAGAGAGGTAGATGGGAGTTGGAGAATACACTGCAAGTGAAAAGAAAGTATTGGGAGGCTGGAGTAGAAGGTACACTTGAGAGTCAAGAAAAGAAAGAGTCAATGTAGACCTAGCAAAGAGTTCCCTCTTTAAAAAGTTTCTGCTTTCAAAGAAAGGGATCTGATGTTTGGTCACATTCTTAGTGTCTGGTACTATGCATGATGCATCTTAGACACTCAGCAAATAACTTTGAATTAACTATTTAGGTAAAAATAACAAAATAGATGTAGACTACATTTCCGTTCAGTACAGACATGGACACTGAGCTCACATCCATTTTTTTTTCTACCTCTGTATCCTTAATTTATCATGGAACAGGTCATTTGGAGAATCTGGGGGAAAAAAAGGTATAAAATTCTTCCCCCAAAACGCAGCTACAAAATTTTACCCTCATTTTTGGGCTCATGAATCCTCCAAAGCTCATCCAAAAAATTGATAATCCACTGTGGGGAGGGATTGGGAGAACAGTAATCTCTTCATACGTTTAAGATGCTAGAGACTTTCCACTATACAATTTTATTCAAATAAAATATCAGTCTTTAAGTTCCTCATAGAAATTGTCATTCTTCCTCATTTTTCTCATGTTCCACTGTACCAAATTGCTTTAAAATGGCTCATAAAACCCCGTCTCTACTAAAAATACAAAAAATTAGCAGGGCGTAGTGGCGGGTGCCTGTAGCCCCAGCTACTCATGAGACTGAGGCAGGAGAATGGCGTGAACCTGGGAGGCGGAGCTTGAAGTGAGCCGAGATCGCGCCACTGCACTCCAGCCTGGGCGACAGAGCAAGAGTCCATATAAAAAAATAAATAAATAAAAATAAAAAATGGCTCATAAGCATGCACAGAAGTTAGATCCATGTAGCTATGATAAAACATTGACATTTCTAAGTATGTATCGGAAAGCCACCTAGTCACCCAAACCCACAATAATTTGTGGCTACATTGAATGGTTCTAGATTGGTGTAACAATTTTCATACTCTTAAGATGTCTACTAGGATTGCAGCTAATGCTGAAGCTCTCTGTAAAAAAGCCTCTGGTGGGAAGGAGGCAAATACAGCGATGGACCACATAAGCCCAGCTCAGCAACAGGTAATGGATCTGAATGCAGCAGCACATCACATTGGGATCCAATTTTTGGAAACAGTACCTGGCAATTCAAGAAGCAGAATGTACTTACACTCAGGAGATATTCATTGATATAACTATATAATGATTGCACAAGTCAAAGTTGAAAGAAAATAGAGACTTCAGAAAGCCAAATAATTTTAGACCAAACAATTTTGACATGTTGGACTTAGTCATAAACTCCTAGGAGTGTTGTAACACAGAATTTTTAATAAAACAAGGGGAAAATACCTTATAGTCTCCCCTGTTTGAATTAAGTCAGAAGTCAGGAAGGAATCTCTTGAGGCTGAATGCTACAAAACCAGGGAATGGGTTCATAGAAGGAAAGGTTCTCATTCGTGAAGTCTGTTAGAATCACCCGAGGAGTTAGGACCCATGTATACCTGCAGTTTCCCTCTTCCCTTTCCATAACCTGGGGTGAGGTTGGGAGGTAAGTGCTGGACAAACTAAGGAGAAAAACAACATTTACTAGGTTTTATTGTATACCTGTTATGTATTTCACCTTTATCATATTCATATTGCATAAGAAATATTTTCCCTGGGAGAAAGCATAGCTTGCTGGTCAAATAGACAGACTTAGAAACCCAGTGGCCTAGGTTTATGTTCTGGTGCTCTCCCTTAGAAACTATGTGACTTGGATGGGTTCTTTATCCTTTACATACTTCAACTCCTCCTCTTTAAAATTGAGATAGTTTTCATCTGAGTTTTTTGGGTAATGATGGGGATTAAAATGGAAGAATTTAGATAAAATATGTGGAACAGTATTTGGCACACAGTGACCACTGAGCAAGTGCTGGCAATCACTCTTAGGAAATTTTATAAGAAAGAAAATGGAAGGTTTAGAAGATGAAGTGACAGTTAGCTCAAGGTCATGCAGTGATGGAGATTTTAAAATGAGTCTAGCACACTTTTATGCTGGGGCTTATACAATTTAACTTTGAGGTGGCAGGATGGATTCACTATCTTTTCAAGAGCATGAGAGACATCTGATTCTGTCATTTACTTAGCAAAAGAGAGCAGAACTCCACCTTCATTTTCAAATGCATTCCTTCTTGTGAATATGAAAATAAACAGCAAAAAATAATGTGGCAATTATTTATGTGAAAATCATCTTATTTAATATTAATAGTGTTTTTCTTGGCTTCTCTGCTTCAGTTTTATGACTGCATACAAAAGAAATCTAAACATTTTACAATGTTTTTGCTATGTACATTGAAAGAGTCAGGGATTTTCACGATCAGGGCACAAAACCATGTCTTGCTTTTATTTCATCTTCCCTAATAGTTCCCTTGGCCACTGCTCCTGTAGTTCAGGAAATATTGGTCACCATGATGGTCTACAACTGGTGTTGCATAGTCTGTATCTTAGGGTTTCCTTGTTATCAATTCCTGACCAAAGTGTCTAGATATCACAGTTGTTCTACCCTAATATCCACACCTACCCCCAGCAACATTATCCCTGGGTACCGGGCTTCTGGGATTTTCCCCAGCCTCTAAGTTCCAAATTACTTTCTCAGCCAGATATATTTCCTGTCTGAAACTGTGCTTCTGATCTTAACTTAACTTTGGTTCTGATCTTGCCTTGAAGACTGAGACTTCCCCTTGCTTTCTACCAGCTCTTACCCAGGACAGACATAAATCTCATTTCCTCCTTGCTTTATGTGCCACACTGCAAGCTAAGGCTGTCTCTTCTATATCCAAGATCAGTCTTAAATAACCTATTCTTGGACATAGGTGAGCACTCACAAAATCTATTTGATTCAATTTGATCCAATTCAATTTAATTCAATACAATTCAAGTACTCTGGGCATTTTCTTTAAGATTAGTCCTACATTCAGCACTATTTGTCCATTGACCAAACAGGATAAAAATGCATAATAAGGATAAAATATCACATATCAATATAAATATTCTGTCTTTCTGTTCCTCTCAACTTTAAATAAACTCCACTTATCTATTTTATTTCCCTTCCCCTGGAACAAGCTATCAGGCTTTTTAAGAGTCCTTGTCACATAAATGCAAGTATCTGGTTTGAGGTATCACCAGAGATCTGACAACTGCTTTGGAAACAGAGTAATAGCACGTTTTTCCCATGGGAGCCATGGGCAATTTGATTCATTTCACATATTTGTGAGAGAGTGTGTATGGATGGGGTGTTTGCCTCTAAAATGCAGCTGACAATGAGTATTTGCAAAAATTAAACTGTCTCTATCAGTGCACACCAAATGTCATGTCAAATTTCACCTCTTAAACCTTGCTCCTGCTTTGTGGGCAGTGGATGTAAGAAGTGGCATATGCACATATCCATACCCATCTGCCCACACTCCCAAGCTCACACATTTGGAATTTGCTCACAGGTTGCACGCTGGTAAATACAAGGCACATCTGCCAAATGTCTGCACCAGTGACATCTGATATTCTTGTGCCAGTCACTTCCCCAGAGATGAGATTTACATAGCAACAGACCCAGCAGGGTCCATTAAATTTCTCCTTATCCTTTCCTAGGTGCAGTGAGTGCCTGTTAAGAAACCCCAACG
The DNA here is from genome assembly GCF_000001405.40 of Homo sapiens. Taxonomy (NCBI): domain Eukaryota; kingdom Metazoa; phylum Chordata; class Mammalia; order Primates; family Hominidae; genus Homo; species Homo sapiens. The sequence continues at coordinate 35,394,175 of NC_000003.12, read as the reverse complement.
GCTCTGTATGCTTTTCTGAGTCATCACTTGCTCTTTCAGCTGGCTGCCTCACCAGTACTCCCTCATGCTTGGTCTCTCTCTCTCCCTCAGGACTGGTATGCATGGCCACGCATTGTTAAACATTCCACACTCACAATGAGGTTGGTGTGACAGCTGGGGACCAGGCGGAGATCCGTACTGTGGTGGCACTCATGCACCTGTTGTTGGTAGTGAACTTCTGGCTGCCATTCAGTCAGCAGCTGTTAACTACTAAGGTGCCAGGACAAAATGAAATGCAACCAAGAAGTCATGCCCCATCACAAAGGTATGGTCCTAGTCAAATACCTTATACTTAAACTGATATGATTTGGTGTGTCCCCACCCAAATCTCATCTTGAATCGTAGTTCCCATAATCCCCATGTGTTATGGGATTGACCCAGTGGGAGGTAATTAAATCATGGGGGCAGTTACCCCCATGCTGCTCTTCTCATGATAGTGAGTGAGTTCTCATGAGATCTAATGATTTTATAAGGGGCTTTTCCCTCTTTGATTGGTACTTCTCTCTCCTGCTGCCATGTGAAGAAGGACATGTTTGCTTCCCCTTCTTCCATGATTGCAAGTTTTCTGAGGCCTCCCCAGCCATGGAGAACTATGAGTTAATTAAATCTATTTCCTTTATAAATTGCCCACTCTTAGGCAGTTCTTTATTCCAGCATGAAAATGGGCTAATACAGTAAATTGGCACCACAGAAAGTGGAGTGCTGCTACAAGGATACCTGAAAATGTGGAAGCAACTTTGTAACTGGGTCACAGGCAGAGGTTGGAACGGTTTGGAGGGCTCAGAAAAAGGCAGGAAAATGTGGGAAAGTTTGGAACTGATGCAGGATTTTTTGCTTCTTAGTTCAACTAAATCTGGGTTCTTGTCTCACAACCAGGAAAAATTAGGCATGAGAACACGTTGCAGGGTGAGAAGGGTGAAATTCATTAAGTGAAAGGGGAGCTCTTAGCAAAGAGAGGGTTCCTGCCAGCCAACTCCCACCTCACAGATTGAATACCAGGCTACCACACTGAGCTGAGCTGAGCTCAGGAGGCCAAGCTGAGGAGCTGAGGAGGCCAAGCTCTTCTCCTGCATAAGACATGGATTCCTGGTGGCCCCACCCCATTCCCACAGTGCATGTGGGCCTCCAGTTAATTGTGGGGATGCCCAGGCAAGCCCCCTGTGCAGGTTCCTTTAGCTGCACAAAATCATCTGGTATAAACACTTGTGGGGCAGGTCAGAGATTCTCTGGGGACCCTTCCTTGTCTGCCCCCTGCCTCTACCAGAACTTCCCAGAGACTTGTTGTATGGCTTTGACCAAAATGCTGATAGTGTTATGGACAATGAAGTCCAGGCTGAGATGGGCTCAGATGGAGATGAGGAACTCATTGGGAACTAATGTAAAGGTCACTCTTGCTATGCTTTAGCAAAAAGACTGGCAGCTTTTTGCCCCTGCCCTAGAGATCTGTGAAACTTTGAACTTGAGAGATGATTTAGTATCTGGCAAAAGAAATTTCTAAGAAGCAAAGCATTTAAGAAGTGACACAGCATAAAAGTTTTGAAAATTTGCAGCCTGACAATGCAGTAGAAAATAAAATCCCATTTTCTGGAGAGGAATTCAAACATGCTGCAGAAATTTGCATAAGGAACAAGGAGCCAAATGCTAATCGACAAGACAATGGGGAAAATATCTCCAGGACATCTCAGAGACCTTCATGGCAGCCCCTCCCATCACAGGCCCGGAGGCCTAGGAGGGAAAAATGGTTTCCAGGACCAGGTCCAGGGGCTCCCTGCTGTGTGCAGCCTAGGGACTTAGTGCTTTGTGCTTAGCAACTCCAGCCATGGCTAAAAGGGGCCTAAGTACAGCTCAGGCCGTGGCTTCAAAAGGTGTAAGCATCAAGCCTTGGCAACTTCCACGTGGTGTTGAGCCTGCAGGTGCACAAAAGTCAAGAATTGAGGTTTGGGAGCCTCTGCCTAGATTTCAGAGGATGTATGGAAACTCCTGGATGTCCAGGCAGAGGTGTGCTGCAGATGCACAGCCCTCATGGAGAACCTCTGATGGGGGAGTGGAGAAGGGAAATCTGAGGTTGGAGCCCTTACACAGAGTCTGCACTGGGGCATGGCCTAGTGGAGTTGTGAAAAAAGGGTTGCCATCTTTCAGATCCCAGACTGGTAGGTCCATTGACAGCTTGCACCACATGCCTGGAAAAGCTGCTAACACTCAATGCCAGCCTGTGAAAGCAGCCAGGAAGAGGGCTGTACCCTGCAAAACAACAGGACTGGAGCTGCCCCAGGCCTTGGGAGCCCACTCTTGCATCAGTGTACTAGGATGTGAGATATGGAGTCGAAGGAGATCATTTTGGAACTTTAAGGTTTAATAATTGCCCTATTGGATTTCAAACTTGCATGGGGCCTGTAGCCCCATTTTTGGACAATTTCTCCCATTTGTGATGGGTTTATTTACCCAATTCCTCTACCCCCGTTGTATCTAGGCAGTAATTAACTTGGTTTTGATTTTACAGGCTCATAGGCAGAAGGGACTTGCCCTGTCTCAGATGAGGCTTGGAACTTGGAGTTTTGAGTTAGTGTTGGAATGAGTTAAGAATTTGGGGGACCGTTGGAAAGGCATGATTGTGTTTTAAAAAGTGAGTACATGAGATATGGGAGGGGTCAGGGACAGAACGATATGGTTTGACTGTGTTACCACCCAAATCTCATCTGGAATTTTAGTTCCCATAATCCGCACCTGTCATGGGAGGGACCTAGTGGGAGGTAATTAAATCATGGGTGCAGTTACCCCCATGCTGCTGTTCTCATGATAATGAGTGAGTCCTCACAAGATCTGGTGGTTTTATAAGGGACTTTTCCCCTCTTTGCTGCCGTGTGAAGAAGGATGTGTTTACTTCCTTTTCCACCATGATTGTAAATTTCCTGAGGCCTCCCAAGCCATGCAGAACTGTGAGTCAATTAAACTTCTTTCTTTTATAAATTACCCAGGATCAGGCACTTCTTTATAGCAACGTGAAAATGGACTACTATATAAACCCTACCATTAAAACTCTTCCCTTGGAGAGTCACTGTTCACCTCAGCCTATTCATGACACTGATAATGTTTGCAATAAAAATCTGTTTAACTTTTTTTGACATGTGTCCTCCAAACATCTTGACCTTGGAACTCCTTACCTTCCACAGATAGCTCCCTAAGTATATGTACATACATAAACACACATACATGTAGCACCCATTAACCAGAATTCTGGGCAAATAATTCTCACTTGCATTTTCCTAAAGCTGGTTTTTCTTGATTACTTGAGAAGCATATATTATAGTAGCTAGAGCTCATGGCCTAGCAGAGTGACCTTCAGCAAGTTTTAAAATAGTGACTATCTTAAAAAGTTGTTGCAAAAGTTCAATATAACAAAAGAGCTAGAAACAACATCAGTTTCCTTGTAAGCAGGTAATGAAAATTAATTATTGTTAATTCGTATGTAGACTATATTTTTGGAAGTCCTAAATTATTCTTGTTAGTCACATTGTTTATTTTTTTCCTACATAGTCAATTTTAAATATTTCTCTTTTTAAAGCTTCTGCCAAAATGATGTTTCTTATCAGTGTTAAGTCTAGGATTTATTTTTTGTCAGCAAGGTAACCAATGCAGTGACCTTCTGCAAACCAGCCATAGATACATCTTGCTCTGACTCCAGCTGAGCTAAGCTGGGCCTAGAGCAGTAGGACCCAGCTCCTGCAGTGGCACCTAAGTTCCTCTTTACTAAACTTGCATGCTTTTGGGAAAATAAAGGAGGGGATATCTAAAGCTCTGGACAACCTTGAGAAGCTCAATTTTTGCTGCCCTGAAGAAAGTGTAAGGATAGATATTTAATGGAGCTGCTGCTGCTGGGTCTGTTGCTCTTGTAAGTCCTTCCTCTGGGGAAGTGAAGGGTACAACAATATCGGATGTCAGATTTTAAAGGAAGGGAATATCTTCATCTCTCCTGAACCACTAATTGAGATTATCCATTGCTTGCTGCCAAAAGAAAGACATAAATAGAAACAAAACTGAAAGTAGACAATAAAGCAAACAAAAATCTGCGAACAATGAAACTAAATCAAATCTTCCCAGTGTAAACTCTGGGCTTAACATGCCTCCTGTTGTGTTTTGATATTTTTGGTGTCATAAAAAAGTAAACAGGATATTTTATTTCCAGGGCCTTATAAAGCCAGATGGTAGGGGCCTTATCTATTCTTTGGATAATTCTGGTATCCTCCATTGGCTTAAGCCAGATTTAGACTCACCTCATACTAGGTAAAAAAAAAAAAAAAAAAAAGTGTTCTAAACATATGAAAATAGAAGCAGAATGGCAAGGCCTGGACTGAGATGAAGCAAGTGGGGCATTTGCATTGTCTGAAAAATTTTAAAGGGTGCCAAAAAACTTAGGAATTGAGATAAACAATATTTTAAAGCAGTATTTTTAAAAAATGAATGCAAAAAATTGATGATGAACAAAATATCAAAATTTTAAATAAAGGCAAGATCAGCATTACTGAATATTTCTTTTACCTTAGACTCTAAGACAGTTAGGCAAAGCACTGTGGGATGGAATTCCAATGTAGGAGTGATAGGAAAAAATTAGGTCAACAGTAAAAATTAATTGACAATTTCCATTAGACTAATGTTTTTCAAGCTGAGAAAATTCTAAGAAGCTATATCTGACAGCAAACATAGTTACTGAGAAAAATGTATAAAGAAACATCTTCCTAATTGTCTTAGCAAGCAAGATCAACATACATACTTTTTGCAAAGCAAAAGGAGACAGTGGGGTAGTGGAAAGGAAGATTTATTAGATACCTGTTGTTACTTTTCATATGATCCTTTAAACTTCAAGATGTCTAGAACTATTTTTATTATCATTTGATTGCTAAGCAAATGGAATTTGGAGAGTAATGCTCAAATTAAAAACTTATATGGCAATAGAGCTAGAATTTAGCTCTAGAATTTGCTCTAAAATCTTTGTTTTTTTTCCTCCACTCTATTTTGTGTGTGCCTTGGCTTTTTTATTTGTAAAGTAGTAATGGCACTAATTCTTACCATTCGTCTTTAGTGCATAATGGTAGTAAATGCACTTTAAGCTACAAATACACAACAGAAATATAAAGTTTGTTTATTTTTTAATTCATTAACTACTTTTTGAGCATCAGGAAGTCAACTATTTTTTATCTGAAATATTGTGGGGTTGGGGAATAAGGAACTGGCCATTTTGATTTTAAGTTTCACAGATTTGCAGGTCTTAAACATTTGAATTGAGTAGCCTCAATTTTCCTTCTATTTCATGTTGGAAACAAAAATGCAGCTGCTTTATTTCTAGGATACACTGCCTTGAATTGATTACGGAGGCAGGTAAGACATCATCTAGGCAATTTTCCAAATTTTTGCTCCTTCTTTGCTGTTAAGAGATTTGGTCCACAGATAAAGATAAATCATCATATCTTAAAAGTTTCCCCCACCATTTTTCCTTTTTATTCTTCACTTTACCAATACAACAGAATTTCTGCAGTAGGGTGACTGTCAATATTCCCTGGAGTGTCTCTTGAGTGAGTAGACAGACCTTGCTTTAGACTTCATGACAGCTGGAAATGGGTTCTGTGTTTCAGATGATGATCACTGGCTTTTCTGAGTTGGTGATAAGTTCATATACATAACAGGATTCTGAGGAATGGTGCTTCAGTTGGATAATTTGCTTATATTTAAAGAACTTGTGACAGCATATTTGAAGTACAGTCTTTTATAATGAATATCTCTGGTAGGTAGTTTATTATTTATGAATCTAATCACTTAAAATTTCATGATAAAAGATTTAGTGCAAGAGAATGTCTAGCATTGCCCAAATTATTACTAATTGGTTGCTAATAGCTGTTACACCGGTTATGTGTATAATTATGTAAAATTATACTGATGGCCTCAGGTGAGCCACTCTTTGGGAATGGAGATATACTTGAGCAAGCAGAAACAAACTCAGAATGCTCAGACAGGTTCTTTTAAATATGTTATCTCCCTTGACCCAAACTCTTTCAGTTGAAGAGGAGAGTTCCTATGAAGGTCTAACTTTTGATGTTGTTTTGGAAATATATCTTAATAGGAAGAAGTATAGCAAACTTAGTAAATAGTTAAAAGTGTGGGCATCAACATCAGATACCCTGGCTGTACATTTTCACTTCTTTACTTTCAAGAACATCTACTGTAACTTTGGACAAGCAATTTTACCTCGGTGATACTTGCTGACCTCACATAAAAAATACAGTTGGCTGAGTGTGGTGGCTCACGCCTGTAATCCCAGCACTTTGGGAGCCAAGGCAGGCTGATCACGAGGTCAGGAGATCGAGACCATCCTGGCTAACACGGTGAAACCCCGTCTCTACTAAAAATACAAAAAATTAGCCAGCCGTGGTGGCGGGTGCCTGTAGTCCCAGCTACTTGGGAGGCTGAGGCAGGAGAATGGCGTGAACCTGGGAGGCGGGGTTTTCAGTGAGCCAAGATTGCACCACTGCGCTCCAGCCTGGGTGACAGAGTGAGACTCGATCTCAAAAACAAAAAAAAAGAAAAAAGAAAACAGAAAAAAATACAGTTATGATATGTAATTAATAGTGTTGTTGAGAGAACAAATGAGATCATATATATGTGATGGAAAAAATATTAATAAAGAAATGCTCAGAGATGTTGTCTCCCCACCCCAGTCTACCAGAGAGAATGCTTTCATTGCTAACCCAGCTTTCAAGTCTTAGATTCCTTCTGTATAATCTGTCTCTGCCAGAGAAACCTTTTGTGATGCAGTATAATCCAAAAGAGATTGAGCCTAAGACTCAGGAGGAACATGGGGAGGACTTAGCAAAGAAATGAAGTCAACAGATACAAAAGAAAAAAGAAGTAGGCAAGGAAGGAGAGTGTAGAATGAGAGTCTGCAGAATGTAGGGATGCCAAGAGCTAAGAAAGTAATAAAAGTAGCTACCAGAAGCTTGTATTTGTTTTCTTTGAGGGATTGGAAAAAAGAATTGGGCTTCTTATTTTATTTTATTTCATTTTGGACTGTTCTACTTTGAAACTTTGCATATGACCTTACTAAGGAACCTATTTAGATGCCCTAAATTACATATGATTAGACATGTAAAGTAATTATTATTGAACATGGCTCATAGAAAATCCCAAATAAACAATAACTTTTATAATAATAATAATATAATGATGATGGTTGTATCTGGAGTAAAATTCCAGCAAAAGCTTCATTGAATAGGCATGTCTTATGAACATATCATTAGAGAGACTTGTATAATTGGAGCACTTAGAAAAAAATGGATATTTTGTCATCCCTTCCGTATGTGGATCACCTCAGAAAATATATTTCATTAGAAAAAATATTGGAGGAGCTTTCCATTCCTAATGAGATAAAAAATTAACATGAGCTACTGGCCTCTCCCTCAAAATGAACCCTGGAGAAATTAGAAAAATAAAGGAATGAGAGACGTTTTGGGAAATGTGAGGCAATTATCATGCCTTGGTTTATGTGTGTGTGTGTAGACGTGTGTGAGTGTATGTATGCGTGTGTGTGTGTGTGTGTGTGCGTGTGTGGTGTGATGGAATGGTCTGCGGACTTAAGGCAATTGAGGAGCTAGACATTTAAGAGTCTATTTCTTGACCACTTCTCACAGAAATTGCAAGGGCCATGCTGTTGGTATTGAGTGGTCAATATGAAAGCAGCACAAAATAACTGCTAGGATGAGGGTTGATGAAAACAATTCTTTAGTATTTACTACTTGAGTCCCTTTCCTCCAAATCTCATGGGTGGTGGATTAGAACTATGAAACATACCTCTTTATGATATTCTTTATTTTTCTCTAAAAGTTTAAAGGTGATCTCCTGACTGACAGAGTTGCCTTTGAGAGTGGCAGAGAGAGGAACATACAAAGTCATTCTGTGGAGTCTTGGACCTATTTCTTGCCCTCAGTTAGGATGCGGACCAAGGCCAGATCTTTGACCTATTACATTGTACATTATCATAGAACTGGCACCCCAGACCAATATGACTAGACACTTGAAGCTTATAAATACTTTACAAAAAAAGAAAACTTTAAATATATGGCTATTTAAAATAAATACAACAAATATAATTTTAAAAGGGGAGATATTGGCAATATGAAGTTAGGAAGTTTTAAATTAATACAACTAGAAGTATTTTGGTATCAAATACTTAGTATATAAAATAAAATGTTCAATAGATGATATAATTACCAGAAAGAACACCACTGAAACATGGATTGGTAAGGTGAAAGATGTGATGAAAGAATTATTTTAGAAGATAGCAGAACATGATAAAAATCAAACATAAAAGGTAGGAATTGTTGCAGTAGAAGTGGCAACAACTGATGACTAAGTTCCAGAGAAGTCAAAAATGGAGGATTGGTGTCAGTGATTTGTTACAACCAGTAAAACATGGCAGAAGTAGCACTTCTTGTATCTTCTGATGCTAAGTCAACAGAAGTCTTGCAGGTTCTATCTTGATCTCTTTGAATGCCTGTGCTCTAGATGTTCCCTCTCAAAAACCAGTCACCATCTGAGAGAGATATTCAAACCTCATTTAAGAGCTCTGGTCAATTGTTCCAGTTGATCTCAACCTTTCAGCAATCTTCTTGTGGTAGCAGATCTCTCAGCCACAAATCTGTCAGCCTCCAGCTGTTGGTCACTGTCAGCTGATCTCATCAACCCAGTTAAGTCTCCAGACATTATGAAGTGGAGAAGAACCATCTTCATTGTACCCCTCTTGAATTTCTAATATGTAGAATCTATGAGCATAAAATTTTGAATTGGTTGTCTTTGTTTTTGCCACTATGTTTTAAGACTATTTATTATGCTATAGGTAACTGGAACATTTAATGTGTTCTTTATCAAGAGGTACTTTTTGCTATAATATAAAGAAACTCAAGTAGGCCCAATTTATGTCTTTCATATATTCATTCATTCACTCGTTCTTCAAATATTTGTTAATCATCCATCATTTATCAAGTGCTATTCAAAGTAATGAGGATACAATAGCGTGTAAGACAGACACAATAGCTGAACTCATGAAAATTACAGCTTTCTTCTGAATTCTTGGAGGAACAGAACTTGTACTCAAGTTAAAGCCATACATCCAGGCACAAAGAAACAAGTATTTATAGTTAATACAACATTTCATGCCATATAGTCATAGATCAAGTAAATTAAATCATGAATGAAGGAATAAAATATATGAATATTGAAGTGCCTGTATACTAAAGCTTCTGTGAATATATACACACACAAATATATAGCCTTCTTTAATATGTATATCATATACAATGAGTTAAATATTTTATTTGAATTATGACAAAGCCTTTGATCAAGAGCAAATGATTCTATCTAGAATAGTACTAATGAAGATGATTTTTGTTTCTCAAACAGCATGATCAAGATCAGCCATGAACTCTGGAAGAAAATTCTGTAAAACTACTGAGATTCAAAGCATTCTGGAGCTGACATTAACCTTTGAGCTTGCTGACTCCAACCCCCTTATTTTACAGCTGGAGCAACTGAGCTCCAGCAGGCAGTGAACCAGATGGGTCATGGTATCAGCAGTGGTGCAGAGCAAGCTAAACTCTGTGAGGTCGGCTGAGGTCCTCTGTAACCCAGAGGGATCCTGGCATGAATTTTAAATCCTCTCCTCAATTCTGGCATCAGTTCTAGTATCCATATGTCCGTGCATACATAGAAGCTGAGGCAGAGAAACTCATGAGAATTGCCAAGGCCCTAGAATCCTGAAAACAGTTGCTAATATCCTGTTGCCATGACAACCCACTCAGGAAAGAGCCTAGGTGCCAGACTTAGATTTTTTTTTTCTGGGTCCCAGAGGAGTACCAGAGTGAGTTGATAACTCTTTTATTGCTACCTGGAGAGAAGCCTTTCCTGCCCTGTGTCTCTTCCAATGGCAGATCAACACTCCAGGGATGGTAACTGATGCAACTGTGGTTGGTTTCGTTTCTTTTAGAGACAAAGGTCTCCGATGATTATTGTGCCATGAAAAATAAGGGACTTGTACAAGCTAACATGTCTATGAAAACATGTGATTTCTTTAGTCCCAACTACCTCCGCATTTGTGAGGCTCCTTGCTTTATTTTCCCCTACTTGTTTTTCACCAATGCATCTGCTCCTTCCTGCAGAGGAAATGTTTGTACCGTTCAAATGGTTGGACTATGAGTCACAGATTAAACAGGAGGGACTTTTCTGAATGATGCTGAGCAAGGCCTTAATTAAAAGGAAGGAAGAAATTCTGGTGAGTGGGAGCAAGGTTGTGTTGTTCAGAGCCATGCAAAGTGCCAGCCTCTCCCTAGGTAACCACTCGCCTTCTGGCATGAAATCATCCAAATTTAGGATACGTAAAATGCATAGGATCTGTAAATTCTCAGAACTGCATCATGATGCCTGCAGAACCTGTGTACCTGAATGTTGGAACAAGATAATGATTACTAACTCTCACTTGCTTCCTATATGTCAGACATTATTCTAAGCATTTTTATATTCTAACTCACTAAATCATCACAATAATTTAATAAAGTTGGTACTAGAGAAGTAAAGTGTCCTTCTCATGGACACCCAGCTAAATCAGTGGCAGTGCCAGCACGTGAATTCAGGAAGCCTACACTCTGACCCATCATGCCAACCCACTTCTACTGATGTATGACTGTCTGGCTGGCTGATGCTAGATGGCATCATATGCCTTCATCATGACTCGTTGAATAGGCCACTACTTTCACATTCTTCTGCTCTATCCAAAATGCATTTGGCCATTATCTCCTTCTTTTCATATTCTACACTGCTGCCTTAGTTAAGATACTAATTCTTATTTATTTAACTTATTAATTAATTAATTTATTTATTTTTCTTGAGACAGAGTCTTGCTTTGTCACCCAGGCTAGAGTGCAGTGGCACAATCTCAGCTCATTGCAGCCCCTGCCTCCCGGTTCAAGTGATTCTCCTGCCTCAGCCTACCAAGTAGCTAGGATTACAGGGGCATGCCACCAGGCCTGGCTAATTTTTGTATTTTTAGTAGAGACAGGATTTCACCATGCTGGCAAGGCTGGTGTTGAACTCCTGACCTCAAGTGATCCTCACTCACTGGCCTCCCAAAATGGTGGGATTACAGGTGTGAGCTACTGCACCTGGCCCTAATTCTTTCTTGACTGGGAAATTCAGCATCCACATATTGTATCTCCTTGCTTCCCATGTTGGTTTTGTTCAATCCATTCTCCACATTGCAACCAAGTGATTCTTCTAAAATGTATCTAAGATCTTTTTTAACTCTTTTTTTTTTTTTTTTTTTTTTTTTTTTTTTTTGAGACGGAGTCTTGCTCTGTCGCCCAGGCTGGAGTGCAGTGGCGCAATCTCGGCTCACTGCAAGCTCCGCCTCCCGGGTTCACGCCATTCTCCTGCCTCAGCCTCCCGAGTAGCTGGGACTACAGGCGCCTGCCACCATGCCCGGCTAATTTTTTTGTATTTTTAGTAGAGACGGGGTTTCACCATGTTGGCCAGGATGGTCTCGATCTCCTGACCTTGTGATCGGCCCGCCTCAGCCTCCCAAAGTGGTGGGATTATAGGCTTGAGCCACCGCGCCCGGCCCTTTTTCACTCTTATTTTAAAATCTTGCAATGATTTGTTTTGTCTTCCTGTTGGTTCTCAAATATTTAGCAAGCTATCCCTGTGTCTTAAGCACACTGCTGCCACAGTTAGGTTTTTCTCTATTGTAATTGTCTATTTGGTCTAGCTTAATTGTGCCCTAATCCAAGACAGAGCTTATGATTTTATCATTTTCTCCACTCCCTAAAACACCTTTTTGCATCTGGTAAATGTGAAATAAGGCAAAGAAAGTTGAGTTAATAGTTATTGAACTAAGATGAATAGTTAGGCCTTGGTCTCCATATTAAGAAGCTGCCATGATATACTGCTGTTGTAGCTTCCCCTATATGTGAAATTACCATTATAAAGCATGTATTCATCTCACAGAAAAATTAAAGAATATGAATCTGACAGACACAGTTAGTATATAGTACTCTGGAGATAAAATTTTCTGAATCACAAAACAAATTGCTTTCAGTCTCAATCCAGAAATCATCGTCAGAAGTATGTTTTTGTTTTTGAAAATTAATATCTGCCTTTTCTTTAAGTACCCAAAGCCATGCTAATTCTACTGGGTGAGCATTGGTCTCATCGCTTTTAATGCACATGATCCATTAATGTCATGTGTCATAATACACCTTGTTAGGGAATATTGTTTTATAGTCTCAGTCATAATCAGCCATATTTGTCGATCATACACAGTGTTGAGAACAATGTATTAGAAAGTTTAGTGCAGAATGCACAGGAAATGCCCCAGTGTCCTGAGGAGAATTTCCTCAGTTCAGTTGATGGTACTTTCTTTCATCTAGCCATGTAATCTATCAACCTTGGGTCTGTCTTCCTCTCCCTCAGCTTCCACATTCAATAGCTTAAATAGCTGTTGAATCCATCCCCTCATCTCCACTGCTACTACTTCTGCCCTAGGCTTTGTCATCTCCTAGTGGAAACTGGAGTATCTTCCTCATTAGTTTCCCTGTCTCCTGTCTTACTTCTTCAAAATGCCTTAATAGTATTTTATCAAGAAAGCAAAACTTATCATGTCATTTCCTTATTTAAAACTCTGGACACTCTTCATAATCCAAGTTCTGCAGCCTAGAATATAAAATCTCATATTATTTGGCTAACAGTTAAATTTACTGGGTGGCAGGCACTGTTCTAAGTGCTTTAGTTCTCTTGTTGGCTTCTAAGGGTCTCCATGTCTCCCCAGGAGACACTCCTAAGAGGGAAGTGCTATTTTATCACTGCCTTACTTTCAACTTCAAAAACTTTGTATTCTCACTACATGTTGTACATATGTGAGGTACCTTATACTTCAAGAGATTTTGTGCATGTTATTTTCTCTGCTTGATATGACTTCTATTTCCTTCCCATCTCATTGTCTTAACTGGTTGTTCATCCTTTAAAACTAGTTACAGGCATATCAAAAATTACAGTCTCCAAAAAAAGCCTGTTTTAACCTCATCCATGTAGCCAGGCAAGGAGCCCATGTTCTATGTTTCCATAAAACTTTATATAAAATCTGAACATGATGTCTGTCATGATGAAATCCTCTTGTCTTTTTATGGACATATAATTGATCTAAGTCCCCAAGGACAGAGGCTATGTTTGATTCTGTACCGATCTTTGAATCCTTCTTACTTCCAGTGGATGTTCAATAAGTACCTATTGAATAGAATAAGTACTTCCCTGTATATTCATGTAAAATAATATTTATATATTCTTTTATGACCAACCTTTAGTTTATGAGTGACCATTAGGGATTATAAAATGGGCTTTACTCTCGCAGTTTCATATTTCTAATAAAGTTATGATGTTAGATATAGATATACTGTGGAAACAACAAGGGAAGAAAGAATAAGAAACCAGGAAAAAAATCAGAGAAAATTAGATATAATCTGAGCACAGGTGATAGCTGAAAACATGAGCAGTGAGATAATTGAGGGACAGAATTTTAAGAAAGAAACTAAAGAGCCCTAAATAATACCTGGTTAGTGAGCCTGCTAGAAAGGGGATCAGCAAAGGAAAAGTGTTTATTTGTTGGCAAAAGCTCCAGGGACAAGTCAGCTCTTTATTGAGTTTGAACATAAGGAGAAGTACCCAAGAATGTAAGGCTTTCATCACATTTGTTTCATCTGTCACTTTATTTACTTTCTCTTGAGAATTTAAATGGAGAGAGATCTGAGCGAATTTGAAATTTGTTATTTTGTAATGTTAAGTCCAAAGCTTCTAAATAGTTTTGAGAAATCATAAGGTCTGTTAGAGATTTATTTAGCACATTTTAAAATGTGCCTGTTTCTTACATTTAAAGTCCCCCTTCTGTTTTCTACACATTACCAGCTACATTTGACCTTCAAATAGAAAAAGAAAATTATGACTGATACTTACAGTAGTTAAGAGATTTCTATATGACAAGAAGTAATGCTGGACATTTTATATAGATGACCTTATCTAGTCCCCCAACTTTATCAGTGAGGACTTATTTAATCAGCAAACTATGTATTGAGCACCTATTATGTGCAGACACTCTCTAGCTGCTGAGAATACACAATAAGAAAAATAGATTCCAATTTTTGACCACATGAAGCTTATATTCTCATGGGGGAAAATAGACCATGAACAAAATAAATTAGTATAATATAACATATAGTATATTAGAATATTGGCAAAAATAATGAGGGGAAGTGGGATTGAAATTTCTTGGGGCAATGTTTCATTTCAAGTAGAATGATCAGAGAAGGCCTTGTTGACAAGATGACTTTATTAGAGGCTTTGATAGTGAGGATGTATGTGGGAAGAAAATTCACAGCAGATGGAACAGCAAGAACAAAAGCTCTTCTAATTTAGGCTTTGAAAAGCAGTATGGAAGCCAATGTGTCTGCAGTGTGATCTATACTCTCTAGAGGGTGGAGAGTATGAAGAAATAAAGTTGGAGACAAAAAAGGGAGAGAAGGTGAGCCAGGGAGGTGAGAAGGATCGTGGGGAGACTTAGAGGGCCTTAGAAGAAATTGTTCCTTTTCCCTGAGTGAGACAGGAAGGCTTTGACAGGTTCTGAGCAGAGATATGACCAGATTTGAGTGACATTATAGCAGGATCAGCACAGGAAACAAGTGGTACCCAGGGAAGAAGCAGGCAGGAGTTTGAAGAAGTGATATTTTTTCTGGAACAAAATGTGTCAGTTGTGATGTGACTATGAACTTCCTGCTAATGGATATGTAATTTTGAGGCCAGTATGCTCGCAATATCCTACGCCCCGGCACCACTGATTACAATGGACTCCACTTGTTGCAAATAGACCATCACACACTAAATTCTCTTTTATTCCTTTTTCATTAGACAACTGCAATAAAATTACTTCTATTGCCTCTGTTACTTTTTTTTATGATGTCAAACCAATGTCTTACATTATTAAAGAACTTAAAATACAAAGTTTCATTCTGTGGACAGATCTTCAATTGCTATTTATTACTGCAAAGAAAGTACATCATTATTACTGGTAATGTAATATAGTCATAAGCCTGAGGCGACTTTGGTCAAGTTGACATTAAAATATGCCCTACTAATGTCAGTCATATTTGCTTACTGATACATTAATAGTTAAATATTATTACTGTGAATATTCACTTGGCATCAAAATAATCACAAATGCCAATCAAACACAGTCATTGAAGTTATGAGATAATCTCTGCTAATTGGTTGATCAAACAGATGATCCAGTATATGCCTTTATATCTTTGTAAATTAAATTCCATCTATAATACAAAATTAAATAATAATCTCAGTTAATAATATAATAAATATCTCAGTGGTCCTTTTAATAATAAAAAAATGGTCATTGCTTTTTACCTCTCAAGAAGAGGTTGATATATTAGTCATCTATTACTACAGTGATGCTATGTAACGAACTACCTTCCAACTCAAGAACTTAAAGTATAATAAAAAAAAAAAAGAAGGAAAAGACATAGCCCCTCTTCATTCCTGGAGCTGTTGCAGCTGTGAGTCTACTGATGAAGACAAGACTTAGCAACCTTGTCTCTTCTTTGAATTGGAGGCCTTTGAGTTAGCTGGGGGATAAAGACACTGTTCCATGTGTCTTTATCTTCCTTGAACCAGTGGGATAGCCAGGGCACCTTCTTCTCAGAGCAATGGCAGAGGTGCAGAAGAGCCTGGACAACCTCAAAAGTATATTTCCAGCAGGCATGTGCCACAGCTGGCTTTATTTACTCGTAAGACCTGATTGTTAAATGTTCAGCATTTTCTGAGGTGGTTATTAAACACAGCCATTATTAAAATTTAAATTACATAAAGGTATAGATAAACACATTATATTAAAAAAGAAAATAATAAACATTAAAAACTCACCACTTCCTAATTATTTTCTACATTATTTTAATCTGGGATCTTGAGGTCATTTACATCTAGTATGTCTATACAGTAGAGATATTATAACATGATATGTTACTGTGCATCTCTTTCCATCTCCACATTTACTAATGTCTCATTGTTAACATGAAGTTGGCCGTGGTGAAAGTATTTATACCATGAATATCATCAAATGTGAGAAATCAGGAACTTCCTCATCTTGTTTAACTGATTCTCAAACCAAGCTCTTTAGTAACTGGAGAGCCAGTTGTTACACATTTTTAAGCACACCATTCATTTTGAGCCTTTGCTCACATCAGTTCTCCAAATATCCTATCGATCAAAATCAAACAATGGTGAAATACACTCTACCTTTAGTGAAAGACACTGCAATATTACAAGACAAGGTGAATCTACAGGGAGGGCTGAAGAATTGAGGCTAATAATTCAATCTACCATAGTTGGGAAAAGATACAAAAGGCATATATAAATAGGGAAATCAGTGTTTTATGTATGTGAATGAATTAGTATATATTACTTTGATTTTTCTCAAAAGCAACATTTTTTTCTTCATTATTTCAAACATTTCTCAAAGGAAAACAAATAATTTAAAGTGACGATTTGAATTACAAAATAGATTATCTGTTTGTATTTATAAAGTGTTCATTAATTATGATGATAGACAATTCAAACAGGCTAGAATGAGTTTCTTGGTCATAATTCCTAAGTTCTAACAAGCACAATTCATAGTAAAAAATTATTCCATTTTGAATGTATCATATTATCCCCAATCCATGATTTTTTCAAAGTACTAAAAAGCTGACATGGGCTATATGAGAGAACATTAAAATTTAACATTAAGAATGTTGGTTAATAGTCTTACTTTCCTTGTGTGCAGATTTGTCTGTTCACTCCCAGCTGCATTGAAAATGTTTTCTGAACAAAGGGAGGAGGAGGACACCTTAACGATTGCAGTGGAAGTCAAGGAAAACCATAATTTAAATTTCAGAATATAAATGCCCCACGGAGGCCTTCTTCCCCTGCTGCCTGGAACTTTGATTGGCATTTCAATAGAATTCTACCAAATTGGAGGTTGGTCCCAGGAAACTCATCCTCGTGGTTACCAATGACTCTAATTCCAGGCATCTGATCTGGGCAAATAATATTTATGAGAACAGGACATTTAAAAAGTCGAGACAACTATGAAAGCCAATGAGAGTCAGAAAACCAACATAAGAAGGAGAATAAGGACGTGGGTAGTAAGGATTTGTGGGTGCTTCCTTCTGGAAAACAGATGTATTTCTAGTTAAAGTTAATTCTGCTTTTCTAATTGTTGATAAACTGGCAAACAGCAATTATTTGTGTATTTGTGTGGGCGTGTGTGTGTGTGTGTATCATATGTTTTTTCACTCTCACTCAAAAACCCATCTTCTCCAGAAAGGATTATCTTCTATAATCTTATAAATTTAAAGCACTATAAAAATTGGATTATTTTGGATATAAAATTTCTAGAATTCTTGAGTATAAAATTTTATTTTGGATGTTAAATTGTAAAACCTGGACTCCTCTCTTAAAATCAGGGAAAAAAAGGAAAAAGAAATTGAGGTACCTCAAATTAATTATCAACTTCTCCCTCTCTAAATATAATAAAATTCTAAATCACCTTTTTTCTCTTTTCTCCAATTTTCAAAGCTTGTAGCAGGAGAATGAAAATTATACTTTATCTATTCTATTAGCTTATAACCTTACCATCCAATCAAACTTCCATTCTGGTCCAGAACTGTCCTTTCTTCCTTCTTACCGTTCTTTTCCCTCCCTCCCTCCGGCCCTCCTTCTTTCCCTCCCTCCCTCCCTCCCTCCCTCCCTCCCTCCCTTCCTTCCTTCCTTCCTTCCTTCCTCCCTCCCTCCCTCCCTTCCTTCCTCATTCCCTGCTTCTTCTTATTTTTTCCTTCCTCCTTTCCTTCGGTTTGGCTCTTAATCATTTTTATGAAGATAAAGTAATGTGTGGTTTTATAAATATGAATATATATACAGGAAGATATAAGAAATTACAAGGATATAGCTGCTATGAGAAGTCCAGTGTACATGGTGAGAAAAAGAAATCTAACATTTCCCCCCAAGAGACTAGCCAATTGTATTAATAGACAAATGTATTTGAATCTGTTCTGATTTCAATAATTTAAAGTGTGAAATTTAGCACATAGACCATTTCCAGTTATTTACGAGTTTTTCTCTATTGGGCTTCTAACATTTACTCATTTTTTCTCATGCCAATATTACATAGGACTAATTATTATAGCTTTAGTATAATTCTTTTTTTCCTTGCAGGTACAAATATTCCATCCTTATAATATTCTGAACATTTTCTTGAGTTTTTCCTTTACTTTTTTGGCAGATAAATGTTATATCCATACCAAAAATCTTTAAACATTATTTTAAGATTTAAAACATAATTAATTTGGCAGAATTGATATGTTTATAATTTTGCATTTTACCAGCTCATAATGTATATGTAAAATTTCATTTCAATCTTATTTTATGCCTCTTCAGTAAAGTTTCACAGTTGTTTTCTCTTGTGGCTTTCATTAAAATATGGAATTTCCTATTCTCACAGTAAAAACTAACTTTCCAAATGATGATTTTTAAAAACCACCAATTATATTCTCATCAGATCTCAGATGATCATATCGCCACTTTTTCTAAAAACACTTTATTTTGTTATTGTAGGAAATTATATTAGGGCTGTGATTCTTACTCGGAATTTCTGCTAGAGCTGTTAGAAAAGAGAAATTGTCATTCTGCTAGAGTTGCTAAACTAATAGGATAGTGATCTAGAAATGTTAGCTACCATTTGCCAACATATCCAAGACAATATTTGAGGGAAAAGACCACACAATATAAACGATAATTTAAAGCTGAAGAGACAAAGATTGAGGACATAATTTGTAGAACTTGAACTAATTCATGCCTAAACTTAATCTACCTAGTGGAATTCTCAATATGATGAATCAAAAATCTTTTATTTTTTTAAGTGATTGCCAGGTGCCACTGAAAGAGACATGCATATAGTGTTTTGTGTTCAATTTTTAGATATTTAAAAATAATCATTGTAAAGATAAAACAGGAGCAGATACTTTCCATTTTGCAAGAGCATAGACACAAAACTCATAGGGATGATTTACATTAAAACTCTTGCAGTTTGCCTAGTATTTTCTTTCTGGTTACTTCTGCTACATTTTATGTCACTGGTGATGGTCTTTTAAACTTTCAATAAATGGGTACTTGAGAATTCTACTTTTCATGTCTGTTTATTATTTTTTTGCATCATGGTCAGTGGCATGACCACTATGATTACTGCTCTTTGTTTGTGAACTTTTATTCTGCATCTTTACATGATATCGTATCACATGCCTTTAATTTCTTAAGCACATTGGTAACAATTAACAGGCCATATTTATTGGATTCACAAATTCTTTCCTTTCTTCATCCCTTCTTTGTTCCTTCCACTCTTAGTATAAAATAAGACTTCAAAAAGTTCAAATTTTCTCCACCTTTGCTTGATATTTTCTTTTCTTACCTACCAACTTCTGAGAGAAGAATGTGAAATGTCTCTATTATTATTATTATTACAGTTTTTGCTTTTTCAATATAAAACATATGTTGCTAGGAACTTGAATATTAAGATGAAATATTTCTCATTGTATCCTTTATCCTACTTACCTCAAATCAATTTTTTCTAATGTTAACATTGCCTCAGTCTTTTCTGTTTATCATTTCCTTGGTACAGTGTGTGCGTGTGTGTGTGCGCGCGCTGTGTTATAAAATCATGCCTGAGTACAAAATCCTTTAAAATGCCAAAGAGACAAATTAGTTTTAATGAAACAGTATGAAAAGTTCACTAATATAATTTCACATTCTTTATTACAGCTAACATTTAAGAAATGACCACTTTTTCTTTTTTTTTTTTCTTCTTTTTGTTTTTTAAAGGATCTCGCTTTGTTGTGTAGGATAGAGGGTAGTAGCCTAATCATAAGTCACTGCAAACTCAAACTCCTGGGTGAAGCAACCCTCCTGCCTCAGCCTCCTGAATAGCTGTGACTACAGTTGTACATCATCACACCTAGCTACAAAATAACCACTTTTGAAAATGTGTTAGAGTATCAAAAAAGAATACTCATATTTACCTAAGAAGGCTGAAAATCCTCCACCTTTTTCCAACCACATATATGTGTGCAGTGAGCTAAATGGTATGTGCCCCCAAACTTATACATTTAAATCTTAACGCCCAATGTGATGGTATCAGGAATTGAGGGCATTGGGGAGGTGATTAGATCATGAGAATGAAGCCATAACAAATGGTATTAGTGCCGTATAAAAGAGACCCCAGCTAGGCGCGGTGGCTTACGTGTGTAATCCCAGCACTTTGGAAGGCTGAGGCGGGCGGATCACAAGGTCAGGAGTTCGAGATCAGCTTGCCCAATATGGTGAAATCTCGTCTCTACTAAAAATAGGAAAATTAGCCAGGTGTAGTGGTGCGCGCCTGTAGTCCCAGCTACTCGGGAGGCTGAGGCAGGAGAATCGCTTGAACCCAGGAGGTGGCGGTTGCGATGAGCCAAGATCTCGCCACTGCACTCCAGCCTGGGTGACAGAGCGAGACTCTGTCTCAAAAAAATAATAATAATAAAATAAATAAATAGGTAAATAAAAGAGACCCCAGAGAGCTCCCTCGCCCCTGCCACCATGTGAGTTAATTGTGAGAAGATGGCTACCTATATGAGGAAGTAGAAACTTACCAGACAACTAGCTAGCTGATGCCTTGATCTTGGATTTTCCAGTTTCCAGTATAATGAAAAATAAATTTCTATTATTTACAAGCCACTCAGTGTACAGAATTTCATCATAGCAGTCCGAACAAACTAAGACAATGTGTGAGGCTAATTTTTTTCAGCTTACTTCAACCAAAATTGTGTCATAACAGATTGAATGCAAAAGCAGATAATGAAAAACCAGTTATCTTTTATTAAACCAGAAATTAGGGAATTTACCAAAGGCAAAACTAAACTCTCTTCTCACTAAATTCATTTCAGTTTGGAGAAATACAGTTTTTATAGTTTTTAATGTGTAATTTCTGTTAAAATGTAATGGATTTGTTAAAGCTATTTTAACTTAATTGTTAAATAAATACTTTCAAAATTGTTCAGTTTTAATTTTGAATTCATGAAATATTAATAGATATAACCCATATGAGCAAAAGACCTTTGGGGTTCTCAGTAATTTTTAAAAGTATAAAAGGATTCTGAGAACAAAAACGTGAAAACCTTTGTTTTGGTAAAGTTTCCCTTATTTTATATATTTATTGTGAATATTTTCTTCCAGTTTATGATACGTGTTTTCATTTCCCAAAAGCTGTTAATAAACTAATTTTTAAAAATTAATAAAGCCTAAGAAGCATATATATTTTTTGTAAGTACTTTGTTTATCTTCTCCTATAAATTTTGCCTATCCCTCAGGGCCAAGGGAGTCATGATCTGTCTGAAATTCAGTGTTGTACATTATGTGAAGGTTGAAGTTCATTTTAACTACATGGTTATCCAATACACAGTTGTTCTAGAACCATTTGTTAAAAGACCGTTGAATCCATTAAATTTCCTTGGTGCCTATGTAAAAAAAAATCTGGTGAATATTGATTTTATAATATTTACAGTAGTATAAATATTGAAATACTGTAGTTTTATTGTAAATATTGAAATGTTGATTGATATCTATCAAAAATCATATTGAAATTAGATTTGGGGTTGCTGTGAATCTATAAATCAGTTTGGCAGCTTAATGATATTGAGTCTTCATGAAGATGAACAGTAATTCAGGCTTTCATTTTTTGCTGTGATGTTCCATAGTTTTTGTTGTAAAGGTCTTCAGTATTTTTGTTACCTATATTGCATTTCAAAAAATATTTTTATTTGTTCATGATTTCTCTTACTTCTTTCAGCAGTGTTGTGTAATTCTCATTGTAGAGATTTTTCCCCTCCTTGGTTAGCTGTAATCCTAGGTATTTTATTCATTTTGTGGCTGTTTTGAATGGGATTGCATTCTTCATTTGGCTCTCAGTTTGCATGCCATCGGTGTATAGAAATGCTACTGATTTTTGTACATTGATTTTGTATCCTGAAACCTTACTGAAGTAGTTTATCAGTTCTAGGATCCTTTTGGTGGAGCCTATGGGAAAATCTACATGTAGAACCATGTCATCTGCAAAGAGAGATAGTTTAACTTCCTCTTTTCTTATTTGGATGCCCTTATTTCTTTCTCTTGCTGATGCTCTGGCTAGGACTTTTAGTACTATCTTGAATAAGATTGGTAAGAGTGTGCATCTTTGTCTTGTTCTAGTTCTCAAATGGAATGCTCCAGCTTTGGCCCATTCAATGTGTTCATGTTGGCTATAGGTTTGTCTTAGATGGCTGTTATTATTTTGAAGTATGTTCCTTTGATGACTAATTTGTTTAGAGTTTTTAACATAGAGAGATGTTGAATTTTATTGAAAGCCTTTTATGCATCTGTTGAGATAATCATATGGTTTTTGTTTTTAATTCTGTTTATGTGGTGAATTACATTTATTGATTTGCATATATTGAAACAACCTTGCATCCCAGGAATAAAGCCTATTTGATAATGACAAATTAAGTTTTTGATGCACTGCTAAATTTGATTTGCTAGCATTTTGTTGAGAAATTTTGTGTCTATATTCATCAGGGATATTGGCTTGATGTTTTCTTTTTTTGTGGTGTCTCTGCTACACTTTATTGTCAGAATGATGCTGATTTGTATAACAAATTAGGGAGGAGTGCCTACTCCTCAATTCTTTGGAATAATTTCAGTAAGATTGGTACTAGCTCTTTGTACATTTGATGAAATTTGGCTGTGCATTCATCTGGTTCTGGGCTCTTTTTGGTTGGTAGGCTTTTTACTACTGATTCAATTTTGGAATTGTTATTGATCCATTCAGTATTTCAATTTCTTCCTTGTTCAATTTTGGGAGCTGTCTGTTCCCAGAAATTTGTCCATTTTTTCTAGGTTTTCTACTTTGTATACATAGATGTGTGCACAGTAATCTCTGAGGATTTTTTGTATTTTTATGTGGTCCATTGTAATTTTGCCTTAGTCATTTCTGATTGTGTTTATTTGGATTTTCTTTTTTCTTTATTAATCTAGCTAGCAGTCTACCAATCTTGTTCATTCTTTCAATTAACCAATTTTGGATTTATTGATTTTTTAATAGATTTTCATGTCTCAATTTCATTCAGTTCAGCTCCGATTTTGGTTATTATTTTTCTCCTGTTAGCTTTGGGTTTAGTTGGCTCTTATTTTGTTAGTTCTTCTAGGTGTGACATTAGATTATTAATTTGAGATCTTTCCAACTTTTTGATACAGTCACTTATTGCTTTAAACTTTCCTCTTAACACTGCTTTAGCTCTGTTCCAAATATTCTGGTATATTGTGTCTGTTTTTCTTAGTTTCAAATAATTTTTTGATTCCTACCTTTATTTCATTCTTATCCCGAAGTCATTCAGAAGCAGGTTGTTTAACTTGCATATAATTGTATGGTTTTGAGAGATCTTCTTGGTATTGATTTCTATTTTTATTATGCTAATGCCCAAGAGCGTGGTTGGTATGATTTGGATTTTTTTGAATTTGTTGAGACTTGATTTATAGCTGAGCATATAGCCAATTTTAGAGTATTTGCCATTTGCAGATGAGAATAATGTATGTTCTGTTTTTATTGGTTGGAGTGTTCTCCTAAATGTCTGTTAGGTCCAATTGGTCAAGTGTTGCATTTAAGTGCAGAATATCTTTGTTAGCTTTCTGCCTCAATGATCTGTCTAACATTGTCAGTTGGTTGTTGAAGTCTCCCACTGTTATTGTGTGGTTATCTAAATATCTTCATATATCTCTAATAGTTTTTGTTATGAATCTGGGTGCTCCAACATTGGATGCATATATATTTAAAATAGTTAAGTCTTCTTGTTGAATTGACCCCTTCCTCATTAAGTAATGTCTTCCTTTTTTATCATTGTTGGTTAAAGTCTGTTTTATCTTGTAAAAGAATAGCAACCCCTTCTCCTTTTTATATTTCATTTGCCTGATAGATCTTTCTTCATCCCTTTGTTTTGAGCCTATGGTTGTCATTACATGTGATATGGATCGCCTGAAGATAGCAGTTGGATCTTGCTTCTTTATCCAACTTGCCACTCTATGCCTATTAAGTGGATCATTTAGCCCATTTACATTCAAGGTGATTATTGATATGTGAGTATTTAATCCTGTGATCATATTATTAGCTGATTGCTATGTAGATTTCATTGTACAGTTGCTTTATATTGTCATTGGCTAAGTATTTAAGGGTGTTTTGTGGTGGTGGTTATTGTTCCTTTGTTTCCATGTTTATTACTCCCTTTAAGACCTCTCCTAAAGCAAGTCTAGTTGTAATGAATTCCCTTAGTATTTGCTTGTCTAAAAAGAATTTTATTGGGCCAGGCATGATGGCTCACACTTGTAATCCCAACACTTCGGGAGGTCGAGGAGAGCGGATCACCTGAGGTCAGGAGTTCAAGGCCAGCCTGGCCAGCATGGTGAAACCCCATCCCTACTAAAAAAGAAAAAAAAATTCAAAAATTAGCCAGGCATGGTGGCAGTTGCCTGATCCCAGCTACTTGGAAGGCTGAGGTAGGAGAATCACTTGAACCTGGGAGGCGGAGGTTGCAGTGAGCCAAGACCACGCCACTGCACTCCAGCCTGGGCAACAAGAACAAACAAAACTCTTGTTTAAAAAAAAAAAAAAAGAAGAACGTTATTTCTCTTTTGCTTATGGGGTTTAATTTGGTGGGATATGAAATTCTTGGTTAAAATTTCTTTTCTTTAAGGATGTTGAAAATATGCCTCCAATCTTTTCTGGCTTCTAATGAAAGTTCCTCTGTTAACCTGATATAGTTTTCTTTGTACAGAAAGTCCTGTTCTTTCTTCCTAGCTGCCTTTAAGATTTTTTATTTTGAGGAATTTGTTAACTATGTGTCTTGGAGATGGCTGTCTTGTATAGTATCTCACAGGAATTCTCTGAATTTCTTGAATTTGCGTGACAAACTCATTAGCTAGTTGGAGAAAATATTCATGGACTATATGCTCAAATACATTTTCCAAGTTGCTTGCTCTCTCTCCTTCTCTTTCAGGAATGCAGAGTCATAGGTTATATCTCTTTACAGAGGTTTCTCAGAGGTTTTATTCTTTTTTTTATGTTTTTCTACCTAAGTTGCTTCAAAGGAGCAGTCTTCAAACTCTGATATTCTTTTCCTAACTTGGTCTATTCTCTTGTTAATGCTTCAGATTGTATTATGAAACTCCTGTAGCGAGTTTTTTTATTTCCAGAATTTCATTTTGGCTCTTTCTTAAAATGGCTATGTCGTCTTTGAACTCTTGGATCATTTTACTGTCTTCCTTGAATTGGGCTCAGCATTCTCTTATATCTCTGTGAGATTCCTTACCTCCAGATTCTGAATTCTATTTCTGACATTTCAGCCATTTATATCTGATTAAGAACCATTGCTGGTGAGCTAGTGTGATTATTTGGACATAAGAAGACATTCTGGATTTTAGAGTTGCCAGATTTCTTGCACTGGTTTTTTCTCATCTGTGGGGGCTGATGTTCCATTTTCCTTTGAAGTTGCTTTCCCTTGTAGGAGACTTGATTTTTATGTTCTTTATTGCCCTTGAGAGTTCGACTATGGTGCAAGCTGGGTATAGTCAAATGGCTTTATTTCTGGATGGTTTCAAAGGGCCAAGGCTCACTCAGCACTCCTAGACTGCATGCTCTAACATTGGGGGTCTATGATCAGGCCCATGGCTTTGTCCTCTGGCCCCTTGAGGTCAAGCACAGACTGTTCTTGGGGAGCTGAGGTGCTCCCAGACCACTGGCAACAATATTCCACTGGGAGCTGCAAGTGAGAGCACTTTGGTGAGAAGGCCAAGGGTAAAACCACTCTGGTGGGTTTGTTTGGGGACATGGACAAAAGCATCCTTGCAGGTGGCAGGCGGCTGTGGGTGAAAGCAGTCCAGAGGGGCAATCTCAGGGTCATGGGTGAAAGTGCTCTGGTGAGGCAGCCAGGAGCCTGCAGGTGAAAGCAGTTTGAAGGGCGGTAGTAGTGTTGTGAGTGAACATGTTCTGGTGGGGCAGCAGGTATGTCACAGGTGAATGTGCTATGGCAGGGGGCCATCAATAAAAGTGCTCTGGCAGGGCCACTGAGGCTGCACTGCAAGCCATTGTACCCAGGCAGGAGCTCTGGGAGGGGTCCGCAGACAGGAAGCCCTCTTCCTGCACTACTCTCTCCAGTTCTGTCAGATAAAGATGATTAAAGCTACCTACAAAAGTATGGAGAACATTTAGGAATGGGCATCTATGGCTGTGTTCCACTGCAGCTGTTTCCATGCTAAACTGCTTGGGCTCCACAGATTCAAGCTCTGCCACTGCCTACTTCTTGGGCAGTTCCCCCTGTGAACTCAAATCTCAATGGGGGTTGTGTGCATTCCTGCAGTTAGAACCCTGGTGACCCATGTTGAGAGTGGGCTGCTGTGCATTTATTTCACACACCCCTTCCTTAGGAGTCATTCAGGAACGGGAACAAGTCCTGGTACTCAGCAAACCCATGTGGGGTTTCCGGCTTCCTTCCCCTTCGGCCTCAATGCCCGTGTTGTCTGTCTATCTGCTCAGTAAATTCTCTCTGAAGATCTATCCAGAGTATGCCAGTCTACTCAATATTCTGGTCTCTCTTGGTGGGAGAAGTTCTTCATGCCTGCTTGACAATTTCTTTAACAGATATGGGATATGATAATTTTTTCTTATTTGTGTTCATTTCCATAAGAATTGTTTTTATAGAAATTTGATCATTTGGGCTGTGTTGTTAGATAAATAGGCACATAATTTTTCATGATAGTACATTGTTATAATTTTATTTTCTATAGGATTTATAGGATTCACCCTTTCAGTTCTGATATAGGTAATTGATATTTTCTCTATTATAAAAATAATAAAACCTTATGAAAATAAAGTTGGTTGGGAGAATATCTTTTTTTTCTGAATCTATTATAAGAGTCAGTGTTGGCTTTATTAATTTATTCCATTGTCAGTCTGTGTTCTGTTTCATTAATTTCTGCTCTTTATTGGTTTTTCTTCTCTGTATTTTGGGATTAATTTGTTTTTATTTTTCTAGCTTCTTAAGGTGAAAACTTAGATCTTTGGTTTTAAACTTCCCATCTTTATTAACATGCTCTTGTAATGCAAAAAAGTGTTTAATTCACTATCTAATTGTACCCAATATGTTTTGATATGTTGTATCTTGATTATAACTCAGTTTGAAATGCTTTCTACTTCACTTGTAATTACTTTTATCTATGGATTATTTATGTGTTGTTTTTAATTTCCAAATATGTGGGGCTTTTATTGTTTCTTATTGTGACTGACTTTTATGTAATTTTCTTATCATTAGAAAATATACTCTGTAAAATTTATATCTTTTGATATTCATTGATACATATTTTATAGCCAACACATGATCTATGCTATGGTTTGAATGTTTGTCCCTTCTGAAACTTATATTGAAAATCCCAAATGTCACAGTATTGAAAGCTGAGGGCTTTCAGAGGTGTTTGGGTCATAATGGCTCTGCCCTCACGAATGGGTTAATTCATTCATGGATTAATACATTAATGGGTTATCATGGAAGCTGGTTAGTTATCAGGAGAGTAGGTCTATTTTAAAAGCCAGTTTGGCATGCTCTTGGCCCTCTTGCCATGTGATGAAATCTGCCGTGTTATGATGTTGTAAGCATGCCCCCATCAGATGTGGCCCCTTGACCTCAGACTTCCCAGCCTCCAGAACAGTAGGAAGTAAATTTATTTTCTTTATAAATTTCCAAGTCTCAGGTATTCAGTTACAGAAACAGAAAATAGACTCAAACAATTAATTTTAATGAATATTCTATGTGGACTTCAAAAAAAATGTGTATTCTGTTATGTTGAGTGTAGTATTTGTAAAATACACATTAGTAAACTTGATTCATATTGTCATTACAATAATTTATATTCTTACAGAGTTTTCGTCTGTTTTACTAATTTTTAAGATGAGAGTGTTAAAATTTTCTATTTTGATAGGGAATTTGTATCTTTCATTTAGTTCTGCAGGTTAATTTCTTCTTCTATTTCTTATATGGTATATTCAGTGCATATGCATTTAGAATTCCTATGTTTTCCTGATGAGCCTTTATCATTATATATTACCCTTCTTATTGCTTGTAATACTCTTACCTTTAAGTCTACTTCACTATTAATATAGCCATGCCCTTTATATATTTACTATTTGCATAGTATATCTTTTAGTATGATTTTACATCCAACCTCTCTGATAATTTATATGTAAAATGTCTTTTGTAGATAGTGTATAATTAAGTCTTCCTTTCCTAATGTCTCCACTAATCTTTTTTTTTTTAATTTTAGTGGTTTGTCAATTTACATTTAATGGATATAAGATTTATTGGTATGTTTGGGTTATTTCTATTATCTTGCTTTTTTTTAGACATCTTTCTGTTTTGGATCTTTTCTTTCTCTATTTCTGCCTTATATTTGGTTATTCAAGTTTAAAAATATCTTCCATTTTAATTCCTCTATTGGCTTTTAATCTATTCTAAATATTAATTCATTCATTATTTATTTTAGTTTTTCTGTAGCAATTACAGCATACATTCTTAAATCATCACAATCTTCTTAGTGCTGTACTACTTTATGATTTATATCCTCTCCCTCTAATAATTACAGGTCATATTTTCCTGCTTTCTCTCATGTTTAGTAATTTTTTATTCAATGCTGGGAATTATTTATGACACACTGTTAGGAGTTTGGAATATGTTTCCTTCCTTTAAATAGTGCTGGATTTTATTTTTATAGGTAATTAGATTACTTGTGCTATTTGTTGTTACCCCTGTCAGACTTGGTTTTGTTCTTTATTAAGGAGGATCTATTTTAGTATTCAATTTAGTTCTAGGTTAGTGCCCTTTGCTTACTCTATGGCATATTACTTACTTGAAACATGTGGCCTTTCCAGAATCTCAAGTGAATGTCTGCATTTCTCAGAAAGGTCTGTCCATTCCGGCGGGTCTATAACATTAATATCTCCCAGTATTTCTTGACTCCTCTACAGTCAATGTCCCATTTTTACCCTCGCAGCAAGTTATATCTGCTAAGCATTACAGAGAACCCCTTGACCAAAAGCCCGTATGAATTCTCAGACTTCTGTGGCATTTCCTCTCTTCTAAGGCATAGCTCCCTCTCACCTAGTATTCTGCTCTGCAAACTCAAGCTGGTTCAGCAATGCAGAACTCCTATCCTTGTCTCCTCACCTCAACAAGACTAGCATGCCCTATTTGAGCTCCACTTCTCCACAACAGCAGGTGTATACCCTTAGGCAGAAAGAGGCGGGTAATTACGGATATATTCTCATGTATTTAATTTTTTCAAGGGTCACTGTACTGTACTGCTTGTTACATTCTGTAGGACCTTTTATTATTAATACTTGTTTTTCTTCAATGCTGAAAAAATTTCTGTCATGTCTTTGGGAATCCTTTCCCTTCTAATCCCCTTATTGCTTTTATTTCTTTGCACTCTTATTTAACTATTAAATAAATATGTATACTTCAGGATCTGTTCTCTGTATATTAAATTATTTTCTTTTCTAATTTCTCATTATTTTGAAAAGCATTCTGGGATTATGCTCAAATTTGTCTTTCCAGTTTTCTTTTGATGATTCAATTTTATTATTCTCAAGTTGTATGTGTTTTTCTGTTTTACAGCAGCTTATTGTTTAAAGAGCCATTTCCATTTTTTATGCCTTTAAGTTTATGAATCTCACCTTTTATTTCCTTCTTACCTTTGTTTTTTTCTGCCATATATTCTAGCATGTTGAGTTTGTTTCTTTTTTTGTTGTGTTAGTTATGTGCTCATGTTTGTCTCTGAGATTCTTTTGCCTACCTGTGTATGCGGTTTGGCCTATCTTAAGAAATTTTGCAAGAGGGATAGGATATGCTTCTTATGGGTACCTACATGTAGCTTACTTCTAGGCCTGAGTGTTGTTTTTTCCTTCTTTATTATCTATACAGGGCACTGTCCTTCCACTGGCCTTAGCGCTCCAACTCACTGCCCTGGTTGATTGAAACCAGCATGGAGCATGGAGCTGTGGGCTATCTGCTGAACTACTTACAAGTTATTCATATCCTATTCCTGGTCTCTGTCATCTCAAGACTTGAAGTACCAATGGAGCTACTCCTTCCTCTCACTCCATTTTTCATAGCAGTCCTGTTCTGTTTGTTACAGGCCATTTTCTCAATCAACTGTGTCTCATCAATTCCACCTCTTAGAGAGTCTTAAGCATTTATACTTCAAATTTGGCATGCTTTAAATGATAGAGGGTGAGGAGGCAGAAGGATATGTGTTAAGCTCTACAACTTGATCCTAGAACCTATATTGCAAAATGTATGAGCATAGGATAGATTAGTGATAGATAATGATGAAGAGAATGCCTTTTAATCACAGTGGATATTCAGCCGATATACACCAGGACACCCACATTATCTGTGTATGATCAGTATCTATTTTGATTGGTTTGTGTCCCTGTCATGTTTGCTGCTAAATAATATAAATGTCATATTTACCTGTAATAATTGCAGAGTATGGACAGAGCATTCTGATAGTCTTGAAAAGCTGGCTAGGAAATAATAGTTTGGAAGCCCTTGCTATTTTTATATTGGTTGAGAGTTGCTGGTATCTCTTTTTATCTGCCTGTTTGCTATAGGAAGAATCTTTTGAGGAATCAGAGGAGGATGCCTCTGTCCATTTGATAGGAAGCAAGATGTAGGACAGGCATGCAAGACCAAAATATGTCTTTTTCTGACCTGTTGCAGAACTTTAATTTCTATCTGGTGGAATCACAAAAGTTGACTCATGATTTTTTTCCTCCTAGAAACATATATTGATGTAGCCGAATGTCTACATAGCCTCAAACTCAAAGCAAACAATGCTTACATAAACCTGCCATATTTACCCACTGGGTTGAGATGCAAATATCAGCCAGGATTCCAAGTCTTATCCAGGATATCACTTTCTTGTTTCAGGTTTCACCCTTTTACTTTATCCTTGATGTCACATGATTGCTATTTCTTTGGAAGATGGTCAGGGTTTACTGACCATCCTCATGTCGATCAGTAGCAGACCACGTGGAGCTAGCACTGAGTAAAGCTTTAATGGAGTTAGATACATACACACAAACACACACACACACATGCACACACACACAATGAGTTTCATGTGTTGGTGTATTGAAGTTCTAGGCAACCAAAGGAAAAGGCTGAAACATCATTTTGTCTGTAAGGATGAAAGCCTGAAGTCTTTGGGACACAGCAGGTGGTTAAAAGGGCCTTCAAATTGCAGGCTTAGAGATTTCCTCAAAATGCCTCCTCCACAGCTGTCCTCCTAATGCACCTTTCAGAGGCTCAGCTGTGTTCTGTAATGGTTTTTAAAAGGTTATATTCCCATGTAAAGATTTTACCCCTTTCTCTTTAAGCAAAGATTGCTGAAAGCAAAACAAAATAGGACTTTGAAGTGGGAAAAAATCAAACATCTAAGACATAAAAAGAAAGATTTCAAACTTGGAAAATTAATACCAACTTTAGGACTGCATTTTTAGGGACCAGCAGTAAATTCTGAAGGCAATTTGATGGCACCTGGAGCTGGACACTGAAGACAGGAAACTTGCAGATGAGATAGTATCAATATGCTAATCTTGGATCTCTATGGTTGCTTCTGATTGCAGTTTCACTAATCTCTTTAAGCAGTGGTTCTCAAAGTGTGATCCCTGGACTAGCAGCATCAGCATTACCTGGGAACTTATTTGAAATGTTCATTCTCAGGCTGTACTTTATATCTATCTACTGAATAAGAAACTCTGGGGGTGGGTCCCCTCCATCAGTTTTAATGAGCACCCCCCACCCCCAGGATTCTGATGCATACTACAGGTTAAGAACCATTATCTTGGAGAATGTCTCTAGAAAGAATGGCATTAAATTTCATAGCCACCCCTACTCTCCTTTTAGATTGTCTCCATTTCTCCTATGTATATTTCTCTTGGTGATTAAACAATGCGCACATAGAGCTCTAAAGAGCTGGCAGAAATCTTTTTTTTTTTTTTTCAGGCAGAGTCTCTCTCTGTTGCCCAGGCTAGACTGCAGTGGCGCGATCTCAGATCACTGCCAGCTCCACCTCCCGGGTTCATGCCATTCTCCTGCCTCAGGGACTACAGTAGCTGGGACTACAGGTGCCGGCCACCACGCCCGGCTAATTTTTTGTATTTTTAGTAAAGACGGGGTTTCACCATGTTAGCCAGGATGGTCTCGATCTCCTGATCTCGTGATCTGCCCGCCTCGGCCTCCCAAAGTGCTGGGATTACAGGCGTGAGCCACCGTGCCCGGCCAGAAATCTCTAAACTACCAAGAATGGGAGTGAAAGCAACGCTTGCTTTTCTAACTGTCCCATCGTAGGCCTTTGATCTCCTTACAGGTGAGAGATAGGGACTTTGTTCCTATTGGCTTTGTTCCTACTGATTTGTTCCTACTGGCGTTGTTCCTACTGATTTTCCTACCTGCTTCTGGCCTCATTCTCATTTAGCGACCAGCCTAAATTCCCATCTTTCATGGTTTTCCCATCTACATTGGTCTCTTGTTCTCAATTCTGCTTGCCTCCTTCATTTTGCCATCACTTCAGCTCTCACAACAGAAGCTTTCATTGGTTGCTTCTGTTGTGAGAGATGGAGTGATGGCAAATGTCCAAGAGAGCACTTCACAGGAAGGAGAATTAACACTGCACTGTCTGCTTGCAATCCATTTTTATTTATAATTAGAATCCACCCTTTGATGTACCTAATGAAACTACCGTTTCAAAAATGTAGAGATTGAGGCTGAGAGAAGATAAAAACTTTCCCAAAGTGGCACAATTCTCAAATGCTTGATGTAGGAACCAAATCCATTTTTGCCTGCCTGAAAATGTATGGTTATTCATTCCTCGCCACACTGTCCTATATGTGTTAGCCTCTTGTTTTGTCTGTACTATATTTCTGGTTTGTAGTGACAGATATTCAGGGCTTGAACATTATAGGTGTCTCTGAGTTTGCTTAGTCATATTTTTAAATAAAACAAGGCCAACTACTATTTTTTCAGATGTAGCTAATGGGGAAAAAAGGTAAAACAGTTTTTATTCACTTAGCATTTCTTTCCCCTTTTTTCATACTCCTCTTGTTTCACTTTCTTATCTGTATTTTAAAAACATCCTTGGGAAATGCCATTCATGACAAGGAAGGAGAGAAAGATGGGGTTTATGCTGGCATATGCTTTGAAGTTCAAATGTAAAACAAAGGAGGAAAATGGAGCATATAAAAAGGAATAGTACATTTTTATGCTTTAATCAAAATATGCAGAGAACAAAAATAATTAATCTTTTTAACTTTAGAATAGATTGCAAAGGAAAGAATATGGTCTGATATCTATTTCTCCGGAGACAGCACCCTTGGGAAATGGTCATAAAGTTGCCACAGGAAGGATTTGAGTACGATAAAGTTAGGAAGGAGGGCCTGGTTTGCTAGTTATGTTTCTCCTGGTTAAGTTGCTGTGACTTAAAGAATGATCTTTCCTGCTTACTTAGTTGAGGATCTTTAATTCTTAAACTGCCTGAAGACCTCTCCTGGATGCAGACCTTTTCCAGATGACTCTTGTAATTTCTTGCAGAGTAAAAGCCTCATGGAGTTGTGAATCATCAACCTCTATTTAAATCTTGGACATACCAATTTTAAGCAAATAAGCCTATATCTGAGACTCTGTTGTTTTATTTGCAATATTAGTGACTTAATTTCTCGATATAACCAAGTTACCTCAACAAATTTAGTGACATAATTCGTGGATCCCTGAGCTAAATAAAACTCTAGGACCCCTTGTTCAAACATTATTGAGAATTTCAGGATGGCAAAAGAAGAGCATTAGACAGGTCCCTTCTTCGTGCAGAGTCCTGTAGGGCTGCGCAAGTCATATGTCCATGAAGTCAGTCCTGTGCTTCATTGTCTGCAAGATGATTCATCTCTGAGAACCTAGGGGATAATACGGTCCAAGAAGACCCAGATTAGAGCAAACACAAGTTGATACGTGATTTTGTGCCACTGGTCTGGTGAACTTCATACTGCTTTTTTCAGACTTGCTATGAACAGGTTAAGCAATTATTTGAAACACACACTCTATTTGGATGTATTTAAATGAATCTAAAAACTTTCAGTTTCATTCTTTTCAATTTTTACAAGTTTATTGTAAAAATTAAATGAGATCACAGATGTAGAATACATGGCCCATTGTAAAGGCAAATTAATATTTTCCCCAGATATATTTCTGAAATTCCCTACATGAGAATCACATGATTATTGATTACAAAGCAGACTCTCAGTTCCCATCTCAGACCTAATGAATCAAAAGTTCTGTGACTGGAACATGGGAACTTGAATTTTTACCAAATATATCAAGAGGTTCTTATGCCACCAAAACTTTAAAATAACTATAGTAAAAACAAGTTATCCATCAGGCCCCTCCCAGTTCCAAAGATAATCTTGATATGTAATTTGTACTGGACTAAAGCCTGGCCATCACCAAAAATGTGTAAATTTTAACAATGACAAAATTCTTTTTTTTTCTTTCTGTTACAATAACTTACGGCAACAGCAAATATAACAACACAGCTGTGGTTCATTAAGCATGTTTTATATGCCAAGTGCTTAATATGCATTATATTTAATCCCCAAATAACTTGTGAAGTAGGACTTGTGGTCCCATTTTATAAGAGAAATGACCGATACTCAGAGATGATAAAGGATTTGCAGATAGCAAGTGGCAGCTTTGTGTTAGATGTCTGGCCTTCTGTGGGCCAAAAGTCCATGGTGGTCCAGTACATGGTATTATCTTTCTGAGTGGGAAAGTAAATGAAGAATGTGGGTAAATTGTCCCTATAAATTTACTTGCTTTTTTTCAGAATCCGGATGTATTGGCCTTCTTAGCACTAAACTTGGTGTTTGGAGCAAAAATCCTCTCAAGGACCCAAGTAATGGAGAGGATCCCTTGCTTAGTGGAACGTACTCCGGGAATAGATATATTGAGTTGCAATGTTTTCTTATGTCTGAAGCTAACTAAGCCCTGCCTCTCTAAACCCAGCCTCACTAGTGAGCAATTTGTTACTGCCTTTTTTGTTGTTGTCACCAATATGTCTGGCTAAATGCAAATGCAAGGGACAAACCAAGAGATGCATGAAATAATTTTGAATGGAGGTATGAGCTGTAAAGCTACAGGAGGCAGCTAAGAAGTAAGACATCAAATGAGGTTTTTTGTTTATTTGTTTGTTTGTTTTGTATTGCACCAATTTATCTTTTACTGAATGAGAAATACAGCATAGTGAATGAGCTAATTTTTAATCTTTCCTTTTCATATATGTGGAAAACAAAGAAAAAAGAGACTGTTAACAGATTAGTCGTCTTTTCATTTTAGTTTTCATTTCTATTCTTCATTGTGTGCCAAGAGGGGAGACAGAAATATGGAAATTCAACACAAATGAAATGGGTCAAATTCTTGGAGTTTACATTTATTGCTGCTTAGTAGATTAACATCAGTAAGAGTTGTTCAGCCTGTCTATTCTTATTCCTTATATAAATATGTCTCACAAAACTTGTTAGACATTAGCAGTTATAATAAATAGCAAGATTTAAAATATAAGTACCTAGGATTAAAGTAAATACCTGGTTATTCTATTTAATACAAATTTGGAGTTATATCACTGGCCTAAGTAAAATTTTCTTTGAATTTTTAATTATAGAAAATTGTGAGTGTTGTTTTCTCCATTGAGTTTTCAGTTTGGAATTTTCTTCTGCAACAATACTGTATAATCAGTGATGTGCTAGTTGGTATTTAACAACTAGCTCTCCATGGGCAGAAAAAACAACAAAAAAAAATTATCTGTTACATTTGCTGATTTCCATGCTGTAGAAACTCCCACGTGGCCAATTTTTGTTGAGAGAATAAAATAGTAACACATGTAAAATAGTTAGACCAATGCCTGGTACAAAGTAAACTTTGTAGAAATATTATCTATTTTTAGCAAAAGTGTAGGAACACCAAATATTCATCAATAGGGGAATGATAAACAAATTAAAAATGTTCCAATGTTTCCTATTGAGAAAGTTAAAAGCAGTTAAAGAAAGTAAACTAAATCTATGGAAAATTACATGGACTCTTTCAACATTTAAAAAATGTGAATTTATTGGTTGGTTTTCATGGTTTCTGATGAGAAGTCAGTTGTTGTTATTATACCACTGTATTTATGCTGTTTATTTTTAAATCTGGTTATTTTTCAGAATTTTATTTTATTTTTGGCTTTTGGTAGCTTGATTATTATGTTCTAGGTTGGACTGTCTACTAATTTATTTTCGCTGGGATCTGTTAAGCTTCTTTTATATGTTGATCAATGTTCTTCACCAATTTTGGAAAATCTCAGTCATTACTTCCTTAAATATTTCTTCTGTTTCATTCTCTCTAATCTTCTCACAATTCAGTTAATCATGTATTTGGCCATTTGAAATAAATCTCTATTATTTTCTTTTTATTTCATTAACTTCCCCATCAGTAAATAATGTACTAGAGTACTTGAAGCAATTCTGTTATACTATTTTCTTCTTCACTAATTTTTCTATCAGTCTTTAGTTTAAATAGTTAATAATAAACTTTTTTGAGCTCATCAATTATTTTTTATTTTTTGCTTCTGTCTATTCTACACTTTGAACAAATCCTTACCGTCAGATGTTGCATTTTTCTGCTGTAGAATTTCTATGCACTGATTACTTTTTTAATTAATAGACTTTACTTTAGATATAAGTTTTAGATTTACAGAAAAATTAAGCAAAGCAAGTTGAGTTTTTATATAATTTATTAATTCCCTTCTCAGTTTTCCTATTAATAATATTTTGCATTGTTGTGGTAATCTGTTAACAATTAATGATCCAATATTAACACATTACTAACATGAGTCCGGTAGTTTACATTAGGGTTCACTCTTGGTATTATACAATCTATGGGTTTGACAAATGTAAAGTGACATATATCCACAATTACAGTAACATTAACAATATTGTCACTGACCTAAAATCCTCTGTGTTTTACCTGTTCATTCCTTCCTTTCTTCCTTCCCCAGAAACCCTGGTAACCACAAATTTTTTTTATTATCTCTCTAGTTTTGCCTTTTCCAAAATTTTGTATAGCTGGAATTATGTACTATGTAGCATTTCAAATTGGCTTCTGATATGGTTTGACTTTGTGTCCCCACCGAAATCTCATATTGAATTGTAATCCCCATAATCCTCATGTGTCAAGGGAGAGACCAGGTGGAGGTAGTTGAATCATGGGGGTGGTTCCTTCAATGCTTTTCTTGTGATAGTGAGATCTCACAAATCTAAAGGTTTTATAAAGGGCTCTTCCCCCTTTGCTCAGCATCTTTCCTGTCACCTTGTGAAGAAGGTACCTTGCTTTCCCTTTGCCTTCTGCCATTATTGAAAGTTTCCTGAGGCCTCCCTAGCCATGCCGAACTGTGAGTCAATTAAAACTCTTTCCTTTGTACATTACCCAGTCTCGGGCAGTTCTTTTTAGCAGTATGAAAATGGACTAATACAGCTTTCTTCACTTAGCCATATGCATTTAAGATTTCTCCATGTCTTTTTGTGAATTGATAGCTCATTTCATTTATTGCTGAAAAAAATTCCATTGTCTAGATGTACCATGGTTTATTTATCTATTTACCTATTACATTGAAGACCATCATAATTGCTTCCAAGATTCAGCAATTATGGAATAAAGTTGCTATAAACATCCATGTACAAGTTTTATATGGCTGTAGGGTTTTTAACTCATTTGGGTAAATAGCAGGGAGCATGATGGCTGGATCCTATGGTAAGAGAATATCTAGTTTTTGTTATGTCAAATGGCCTTCCAAAGTAGCTATACCATTTTGCATTCCAACCAACAATGATTGAGCATTGCTGTTATTCTACATGCTCACCAGTATTCGATGTTGTCAATGTTTTGGATTTTGGCCATAGTAATAGGTAAGAAGTGGTGGCTTTCTGTGGTGACATGTCTGCTCAGGTTTTTTGCCCATTTTTCAGTTAGGTTGTTTGCTTTCTTATTGTTGAGTTTTAAGAGTTTCTATATGTTGAATATCAATCCTTTATCATATATATAATGGAAATATTTTCTTGCAGTGTGTGGTTTGTCTTTTCATTTTCTTAGTAGTGTTTTTTGCAGAGCAGAAGTTTTTACTTTTAATGAACTACAACTTACCAATTTCTTTTTTCATAAATTGTGCTTTTAGTGTTGTACCTAAGATGTCATCACTAAACCTAAGTTTATATAGATTTTCTTCTATGTTACCTTTTAGAAGTTTTATGATTTTGTATTTTATATTTAGGTCTATGATCCATTTTTAATTAATTTTTGTGAAAAGTATAAAGTCTGTGTCTAGATTCTTTTTTTTCCATGTTCC
The DNA here is from genome assembly GCF_000001405.40 of Homo sapiens. NCBI lineage: Eukaryota > Metazoa > Chordata > Mammalia > Primates > Hominidae > Homo > Homo sapiens. Next base: position 35,355,430 of record NC_000003.12, on the reverse strand, counting down.
TACCCAGTTCTTCCAGCATCATTTGTTGAAAATATTATCTGTTCTTCATTGAGTTTCCTGTGCTCTTTCTTCAAAGGTCAGTTGACCACCTTTATGTGAGTGAACTTATAGGCTATTTTGATTTATTTCTCTATTTATTCATCAATACCTCACTCCCTTTGTAATTTTATTGTCTGTCTTGAAGTTGGATAGTGTCAGTCATCTGACTTTGTTTATCTCCTTTACAGTTGTGTTGGCTATTCTGGGTCTTTTACCATTCCATGTAAGCATTAAAACCAGGTTGTCCATATCCACAGGGGAACTTGCTGAAATTTTGATTGGAATTGCATTGAATCTATAGATCAGTTTGGTAGTAGGCAGCATCTTAACAATATCAAGACTTCCTATTCAGGTTCATGAACTATCTCTCTATTAATTTAGACCTTCTTTGATTTAGTTCATCAGAATTGTGTAGTTTCCCTTATATGTTTATATATGATGTATATTATACATATACTGTCTCATATATGTTATATATATATATATATTAGATTGGTGCAAAAGTAATTGTGGTTCTTGCCATTAAAAGTAATGGTAAAAACCACAATTATTTTTGCACCAACATAAATTTTTATATATGGATTTTATATCTTCTCTGCTAAATTTCTTCATCATTTTATTCATTTTTGTCCATTTTTCTATAATTTTGACCACATTTAAATACTTATTTTTAATACATTGTTTTTTCATTTTAATATCAGAATCTCTGGCTCTGCTTATATTACATATTTTTTTTCCTTTGCCTACCTATGTGTCATATTTTCAGACTTTTTGTTGTATTCTGAGAATTAGATTTAAATAGAAATCATAATAGAGACTAAAGTTAATATTATTTTTCCCCAAATGGGGCATTCCCATTCCACTGTCAGGAAACCAGGAGAGAGGTTGGTTCCTTTTATTCCTTTAGATATAGAGCTGAGTTTGAGCTGTGTGTAACTTGAGTTAGTTTCAATTCACATTCAGTTTTTAAAATCTTCATTTTGAGATCTGCCTTATTTTCATTTAGGCCTCTTCGTCTTTCAGGCTTTGGGGATACAAATACCACAGGACTAGGAGAGATGCCATTCTGCTTTTAGCACCTCTTGCCACCTCCACCTACCACCTTTCCTGCAATGGTATACAGTAGAACAGAATAGGCATGTTTTGAGAATTAAATGTATATTTGTGGAACTTCTAGATTTCAATCTCTCTTGTCATCTAAAAAAAAAAACCATTACAACTCTTAACACTTTCTCATTACCTTAGCCAAGCCCTGGGAAATATAATCCATAATGACAGTGTTTTAAGTACTTACATATATTAACTTATTTATTATTTCCAACACTGTGGGTAATGTACTATTACAATTTCCATTTGGAAATGGGAAAACTGAAACAAAAAAGTGTTTAAAGAAAAATTGCCCAGAGGCACACAGCTAGTAAGTTGCTCACATGAAATTAATGCTCTGTATTCAGTGTGTCAAGTTGACTTTCAGAAGGACTACCCCAGGAAAGTTATTTCATCTGCCTTGGGGACTGGAATTATTCATAAATGATATCTAGAAAAGATCTTAACATCTCTTTGCTCTTTCAGAACCTATGTATGGCTGTTTCTTTTCCAAACAATTTTTGAATAACAGAGTCTATGTCCGCCCCATCCTGTGCCTTTTCAGATAGTACCATGTATCATACCACCATTCCTTGGCATCAATAAAATTGATGGTCTTACACTCTCTCCACTGATCATCCTCTCCCTTTGATATCTGTCTGATTTCCTAGCTTCAGCTGATTTAGAACCCTCCTGTCTTAGCCCTGTGCTTGGACAAAAAGAAAGATTTGGCTTTCCTTTATCCCATACCTATCTCACTAAGCTTTATCTCGTGCTTCTCCTGGTTAATGGAATGCCCTTTTCCTGGCCATGGGATCTTTTGTCTTTTCCAGGCTTTTTTGTTGATAAGGACTGTGGATGACAACAGGGATATAGCAATAATAGCTTAGACATATTATTTATTAGGCATTTGGATGCCAATCAAATGAGGATAAATATTGAGTGAAGACTATATTATGTTATTAAATATAATAAATACAATATAATATTTCATGTTCCTATACAAACTATTCAGCTATAAATGAAGCTGAGGTCAGGTTAAAAAACACAGAACAAGTAAATTAAACAATGTTGATTCTCAATAGTATTTTATGTCATAGGCTTTGAGTAAGACTCAAGTCAAATTCTAGTTGAGGTTGAAATAATTCAAAGTGACACCTCATACCAAACAAAGAGCTACCTGGTTCACATAAGTGGATCCTCTATCAATATCCATATTTATAAATGTAAAATGCCATTATTGGCATTTAGATAATCAATATTCACATTTGGAGCTCTCATTTTCATGAAAAACCTTAGAAAAAGAATGGAAAATGTCACACTACTGGTTCCTTTTTGTGAGTACAAGAAGGTGTCTCTAATATCTTGTGTCAGTATTAGCATGTATTCTTTAAGATGAAAAATGACAACTCAATGTGATTGTTTTCTCACCTAAGCTGAGAACAATGTCCATAGCAAGGCATATTGATTTTTAAGCCAGTGATCATTTTTGTGCTTAAAAAGTCCAAGTACCATGGGCCACTATTTTAGTTGTGGATAAAATATATTCAGAAATGAAGTAACCATCTCAGCCAATGACAACTGCAGCCCACCCTCATCCTGGAATTCAGTGAAGGCTTGTCATGCTGTCTTTTCTTTTGAAGTTCCATGAAGAGTCACATTAAGGGGGTGAATGCTTCCATTTTAGGTTCCATTTAGGCCACCCTATTAACTTTCTGTTAAAAGCTTTTTCTACTTTATTTTTTACCCATTTGAACATTTTCTTGTAAAATCTCTGGCTAGAAGAAAATTTCCTTTAAGAAACTTTGACTGAAACATAGACACCATTTTTAAGTTATAAGCCTTTGAAGAGAAGTACAGGTTTTCTAACTCTGTAAAAAAATATTCAATTCTATCTTTTATTTCACAGTCGTACTCAAATAGGGTTTGATATAAAACTCTAAATCTGCCTTTATTTTATTGATCCTATTTGAGAAGTAGTGGGTCAAACTTTAGCTGAAATTTAACATATTACTTTTTAAAATTCAAATTACTGAACACTAAAACTATGGGATGATGCTATTCGCTGCTTTATCCTATACTTCGTAGGAATAAAAATAGAATTGTTATCTTGGATCAACTTTTTAGTTTTCCTCTGGGAAACATTTGTAGAGAAATCTTTTGGCATCTTATAGAGGCCTAATAATGGCTTAAATTATGATTAGCCAGAACAAGTATAAAGGGAAAGTTTGAGGGTATCCCCATTACAAACTTCTGCTTCCAAATACCAAGTGTACTATTTTGTGTTATTATAGCTTAAGTCCTTGAGGACCTGACAGGGAGTTTTGCAATGATTTGTAAATGGAAAGGCCACTGGAAAGTATTCAATATTAAGAACTAACAGCACATTAAGAAGAATCTTGCAAGACTGATAAGTTAGTCCTTTTTTAAAATGGAGTAACATAACTGAGGTTATATTCATTTACATCTTGATGATAAAAGATCATCAGTCAAAAAGGGTAGTAAAGAATGCTCTTGAAGAGGGAGTAGTTACCCAAATGACTCTCAAGAACTCTATTCATGGGAAAAGGGCAATATTTGGATAAGTTGAACTGGTTAGTTGGAGAGTTGTAGGCATGAATTTGGAAGTGAGGTGAAGAAACATAAAGCCAGTTAAGAAACATACAAGCAGTTAAGAAACTACTAAAGGAAACATTAGTAGTCCTTTAAGAAGTGATAAAAGTGTTTATAGAGGAAAATAGTGACATATATGAATTTTGGAAAGTAAATTCCACCCAGTAAACATCAGGGAAAATAGATCCAAAAAGAAATCCTGGGAGAACGAGAAATCCTTCAAAAATCTGTAATCTGGAGGAGAGATAATGGAGAAGTTAGAGTGGCATCTGAGAGGAATGAACAAAGTTTATGTACTTTGGAAATGAGGAATATGCTATGAACAACAATTATTTGAAGATTATATTTGCATAGAAAGAGAAATTGAAGCATAATTATCATATTTTTTGAGAAGTATTAAAAATACTCTAGAATATTGTACTTAACTTTTACATAAAATTGATTCATTCTTCAAGTTGTTAGAAACTAAACACTTTATTTTTTACTATGGTTATCTGGAAACTTGTTAGATATGTTTCATGAATTTAAATCTTTATATGTCTACTAAACTAGACTTTTTGGAAAAGATGACATTCTTTGTACCCAACACATGTAAGATAAAGGATAGGTTTTCAGAAATTGTAATTGAACAAATTGACCAGAAGATCATAATAATAACAATAATCATGGTAATACTTATAAAGGCAGTATTTTTATTATTCAAAACAAAATTTACATGTATTATCTCCTGTGATTCTCTGTGATCTAGATAACTTTATAATTAAGAAAACTTCAAAATAGTTAAAGAACTTTCCCAAGATCACAGAGTCTAAACATTTTTCTGCTTTTCAATATACCAATTATCTCAAAAACAAATGTTGAGCTGATGCTGGGGCTTCAGTGATCTTTCCAGAATATTCCAGCATCAGATGGACAGAGACAGTGTAGCACTATTTAGGGTAATTGTCATTTAATATCTTTACACAACATTTCTTGTTAATGGCCCGTGTTTTATGCTTCTTCTCCACAAAACCTCTTTTCTGTCCTTTTGTAGTTATAACAGCAACCGTCAATTTTCCTTTTTTTCTTTTTCATTAATCTAACTTAGGTGAACTTATTTATTATTAGTGAATTTTGCAAAGCTATTTCCACTGTCCCTGTGGATTCCCAGATAATATGGTCCTAAACCTACAAACAAATACTGACATTTCCTTATTAGAAATTATAATATCAATGAATACTGTAAAAATGATGCTATTGTTAAAAACAACACTAACAAAAGCTGCATTTATTTGCAAGAACGTTGAGATGAGTAACAATGGTCAGTGATAATATTTTCACCTAAAATAATTATAAGCAGTAAACTACTAATGAACACTACCATGAAACTTCAAAGAGGAAGAGATTAAGAATTAATAGGTTAATTGGAAGGTGAAATTAGATTTTATAAAAGAACTAAGTTTTTCAAGTGGTTTAAAAGGTAAGGGCTTTCATTGAAGCAAACCAGGTGATTGTGAAAAGGCACATTAAACATGACATTGTTTGGAAATTGTGGGAACTGATTATAGCTAATTATAGCTGAAGTAGATAGTAAAAATTGAGACAAAAATGGAAGTTGAGATCCCTCTGTCCAATATGGTAGACACTGGCACTATGTCATTGTTTAAACAAAATAAAATTAAAAATTCAGTTTCACGTTGACACTAGCCTGATTTCCAGTGCTCAGTATTTATGTTTGGCTAGTGGCCACTATAATGGATACCACAGAAATGAAGTAATTCTTTCATTTCAGGAGCTTCTTTAAAAGATCACCACAGACAGACAAGGGCCAAGTGATAATTGTATAGGCTCATATATAGCAAAATGAAGAGCAACTAAATGAAAAGTAAAATGAGAAATGTGAACCATATTATCAGTCCTGTCTTCAGCATATTAATCTTTTTCATATTTATCCTGATTTATTTAAAGCTGCTAAGCATATTTCTATAGCAGCATAAATGCACTAGAGTTTTCAATTTTAACATAGATATAGATGTATTGGGTTGGTGCAAAATTATTTTTTTGCAAAAGCTGCAATTACTTTTGTGCCAACCTAATAGAATCATAGAAAACACACACACAGCCACACACACACACAGACAACCCATAGAGAACATAGCTTTTTGCCAGAACCCTTTATTATAAACACAAAGGCACAAGTTTCTAGTGGTGCAAAATTAGTTGCTTAATATTACACAATTAATAAGATATTCAAATTAAGCCCTTGCCTTGTTTCTCACAATTAGGAACTTGTCCCAAAAGACCATAAAATATCCCTGGATCTGGATTTTGAAATTTAAAGATTATAGTAAATGTACTGGGATTTATTCTGTCCTTATTTTCAGGATATTGTGGGCTCTAAAAGTGGTAATATAGTAGAACCTCAACAGCTATTCACCTCAAATAATTAGACTGTGTGAATCCTGACAATTCTGGTGTTTGGTTCCGCAATGGGGATCATAAGACAGAATTTTATTTACAGGCATATTATGGGGCCTTTGCTGTGAGCTCTGGGAAAGTTTTATTTTCTCTCCTATAAAAGAGGCACAAGAGAAACATGACGTATTTTCTTCTACTAGATATGCCCGGATGGACCTGGGAGTCGTATACCCTGAGAATGCAGCCAATGCAATAGCATGGCAGAATAGCCGACCTAGAGCCCTTCCTTCCATATCTGCAGCCACCTTCCTAGTCATTTCTTATTTAGTTATATAATAAAGATCATTTTTGTGGTTTATAAACAAGAATTATAATTAATTTTTACATAAAGAAGGTAAGATGAAATACAGTAATTTTTATTTATATATTTTTTTCCTGGAGTGACATACATTTTATATACATTTTTAGTGCACATAACAGATAACCCAAAGGAAGAGAAAACATTCTAGTTTGAAAAATCAGTACGTGCAAAAGTATAAAGTCAGAGAGCCTGATATTTTTAAAGAACAGTCAAGGTCTATTAGTTTTCAGGAAGGAATAATTATGAAAGCTTTAGTAGGTGGCAATAGGCAGGCAAATGTCAAATTAGAAACATATTATGAAATATTTTGCTTGGCATACCAAAATTATATAAATTTTATCCCAGAAGTAAAACCTTGAACTCTATGAGGAGTCCCCAAAGATGATTCTATTAATCCTATTTGAAAAACACTCATGGCTTTTTTTTTTTTGCTAGAGTAAGTTTAAAGGTTAATTCCCTTATTTAATAATAAACTTTCAGTCACAATATGTTGTTTATTATCTGTGCATATTATTTTAAACATTGATATTAGGATTTTCTACTACAATGTTAAGGAATAGTGGTGGTGGTTTGGAAGATAAATGTGAGAGGGACAGTTAAACCTCAAGCAGCTTGTGCAAAGACCATTTTGCCAAAAGTGTGTCTATGCAATTCTCAAAAGAAGGTTAGATATTCAAACACTCCTACACCTTCACAGATAATGGTAAAATAAATGTCTAGACGGACCCATTATTTTTGATAGAGAACATATGATTAACTTAATTAACTCAGTCCTCTAATTCACACCTTTCATCTTTTGAAAGGACACCACCAAAATCATGGGCAAACATATCACTAAAGTGTAGGTATCGAGACATGAGTATAAATAAATCTAATTAATTTTTAAAAATCATTACTGCACGCATGTGGATACAGTTCTAAATTTTAAACACATTTTCCCAGCATAAGAAAAACTCTGGTGTTCATACGCACTTTAAACAGAAAATGTTCCTGGCTCTTGCATTCATGCTGTTACTTAGTTGTTACTAATAGTAACTAGGGTATGTATCTTGAAATATGCTTTTAGCCTTGCTGTGCTAATAGTTCATTCTTGTTTGTGAACAATAGGGTTGAATTTTTCAGAGAGTATATTTAAGGCTTAATAAATGTAGTCCTTGGCTATGAAGTCAAGGATTTCTTAGGAAGGCTCTGGCTTATTAACTTAAGTTCTACCTGTTTACACTTGTGACATGTTCAACATCATGTCAGATGCTATGAGGGAATACAAAAGTAGAAAGAAAGTGGGTTGGATAGTGCCCCCTTCACATCAAAGTCATGTCCATCAGGAATCCCAATGCACCCTTATTTGGAAATAAAATCTTTGCAGATATAATTAGTTAAATTAAAATGAGGTCATACTTGGTTAAGGTAGGCCCTGAAATCAATGATGGGTATATTTATAAGAGAATTGGGAGAAAGCTTAGACACAAAGGGTACACACAGGTACCCAAGGGAGAATGTCATGTGACACAGAGTCAGAGATCGGAGTGAGTCAGCTACAATCCAAAAAATGCCAAGGTTTGCTGGCAACTAGAAGCTAGGAGAGAGGCATGGAAAAAATTCCCCCTCAGAACTTCCTGAAGGAACCAAACCTGCTGACACCTTGATTTCAGACTTCCAGCCACCCAAACTGTATCAGAATAAGACTTCTGTGGTTTTAAGCCACCCAGTTTATGGTAATTTGTCACAGGATCTCTATGGAAGGAATACACAAAAGAAACAAGGATTTGTGGAATCCATGCTATGGGGCCGATTCTGTGCTAGACTTTGAATTGTTCATTGAATCCTTATAGGGATTCTATCCCTGTCACAGAGAAACCCAGAAATTCAGAGATAAAAAACAAGGAAACTAACTAAAGCTCAAGGTGGTTAATAACTTCAATCTCTTAGCAAATAATCATCAGGGGTCGAGTTCCTGTTTCTTCTGTTAAGTTCATCACCCTGAACTCCCTGGGCATGGATTTATTCCTCTTACAACGATGTGCTGCTGATTTTGGGATGTTCAGAAAAGAGGAGCTCAAGGAGTACTGGGGCATGAAAGGATATCTTCCATGAGGGAATGGAGCTGAAGCTGGCTTTTGAAATTTCAATAGGATTTGCATAGACATAGAGGTCTAAGCATGCTTTTCAAGGGGAGAGAGACTGGGATCCTAACTCAGTTTTATGGTTTAAGCAGTCAAATGCTGATACACATGCTGAATTGTACATTTTCTATGTAAGATTCCTGCATCTATTGTATCTCAGTGGTATATACTCTGCCAGAATTCATGCATATGACACATCTCCAAACCTTACAGACACCCTGCAGTATAGGTATGCTCATCCTCATAGTATGAATAAGAAAATGACTTTCTGAAAGGTTAAATGCTTTTGTTCAAGGTCACACGATTAGAAATTGATGACAGGGAATTCAATAAACAATGTTTCTGACTCCAAGCTCTATATACTCAAACTGTATATAATGGTAGAATAATTCTCCCTCTTCCCTTGCACTCTCTCTTTATCCATTTCTTTCTTTAAATTTATGTAGTATTTTTATAGAATAGAAACAGCACTCGGTGGGATACAACTTATATAAGACACAAATCTCAATGAGAATGCAACATATTCATATCTTTCTGAACATAATGCATTTTAAGGCCTAAGTATCTGTATGTATTTGGTAGGGGAAAAAGGCATATTAATTATGACTAGGAGAGCACGGTTACTTAGCAGGAAACTTGCTCATCAACTCTGGGCCATGCAAAGTCAATGATAATTGCTCATTTTTTGTCTGTCTTGCTAAGCTAGGGGAAGGTATCTGAAGGGATGGGCTGTGTCATCACTATCATTACACACCTGCCTTCTGGCTCTATGCCTGGCATAAAGCTTGTGATCAGTAAATGTCTTCCTGAATGAGTGGATACATGAATGACTTATTATATGAGATGATAGCTACCCTATGTTTCTTTGGTCATCATTGATGGTTGTTACTCAAGCAGTTGAAAACATATATAAGGTATCTGAGCTAAGACTCACATGTAAAGTGAAGTGCTTATCACTAACTTTCACTAAAAATAATGAAATTATGTTTAATATTTATATGTTTTGTAAAAACATACTTTTCTTAAAAACAAATAACGTACTCTACCTTTTTCTACCTTAAAGTAATTCTTCTGAATACCAGGCTTCTTTTGCTATACTCTCTTCTCTGACAGTGCATTAGGAGTCTAGACATAACACACGGTTAACAGAGCAAGATCGGGGATACATGTGTAAAAGGAATAAAAGAAAACCAATTTAAGAACCCATACAACCTCTCTGATAAATCCTTAATTCTTGTTTTAATGATTAATTAATACAAATCAGAATATAATGATAAATCCTTAATTCTTGTTTTAATGATTAATTTATATAAGCCAGAATATAAACACGTTTTGAAAGTTTTCTGATAATTTAAGCAAGACCTCATCAGGGTAATTGTATTCACACCATCTATTTAGGAATCAGTCTTTCCAAATAGTATTATATTAAGATAATGAGACAATATGCATATGCAAATTGCTGAAATCAAAAATCATGTTAATGAAAACATTAAACAGAAAATATTAGATAGAATGATAATTTGACATATGAAATACCTTCAACTATATGGAAAATTTATGCAAATAGCTTAACCATCACAACCTGATGTGCTTTTTAATCTACTAGAAAATTGCAAGGGGAGATGGACCACAGTGGCAGCGACTTTATTTTAAATTACGAGAAATGTAAAGGAGTATTCTTTTTGCAATTTCAATATGGATAAGTCCCAAGCTTTTTCTTCTGCCAGTTTCAACCTTGATGAAAGTCACTTGTGCCCTGATCCCACATGAAAAACTGCTAAGATTCCTGCAGTAGAGTCAGACAGATCCACAAGTCAGTTTCCCCTTCTCTCTCTTGCCCCTCCCATGCAATGCTCTGCATTATTTCTCTGGGTCTTTTTTGTTATATGTTGATTCTCAGGAAACATTTACTTGTATTTCTCTGCTATTTATTTGAACAGCAATATGGTCCCCTTGCGTTCGTTTGGTCTTGTAGGATGACCTTTAATAAGGTGTGGGTTTCCCCTGGAGCACCAGAAGTTGTTTCCCGGGAGTATAACAATTCCCAGTCTCCCTTCTTCTACCCAGATGCATTGCATATGCTTAGGGAAAAGTCAGTTTCCAGTTAAGGGCTATTTTTCTAGAATACAGGGAAGATGTGTCAGAAAGATATCCTCCCAATAGCTGAAAAGAAAGGAAAGTTTTTTTTTTGTCAAAGCTATTTTGTTCCAGACATTGTTCAAGGACATCCACAAAACTCTGAGAAGTAGGTATTATTATCTCTGTCTCTCAGATGAGCTAGTAGTAGTTAAGTGGTAGGTGTAGAATTTAAACTTAAATTTATCTGCTCCCAAAACTCTTTCCACCATACCCATTGACCCAGAAATATGCTTGCAATCAGCATAAAGCAAGCAGCACAATTTAAAGTATCTTTATATAAGCTGCTTGGAACCATAGAACCATAGTACAGTACTGATGGGAAGCTTAACAACCATTTAATCCAATCACCCCACTTAAAGATAAAAGCTGTGGCTTTAAGAGGTGCAGTGTTTTCCTCAAGGTCACATATTATAACTATAACCCAACTCTTCTAATTCCAATACTCATTCATAACAATAGTCTACCTCTCACTTAACAATTTGGCTTGCTTTAATACAGCTTCTTTTTTCTTTTTTATATTTTCATCTTTATCCTCTATTGATTGATTGTCCTAACTGATGAAACAGAAGAATTTGCATTCACCAACTTTCTTCTCTCTCGTTGTGAACAAGTTTAAAGAATTTCCTAGGAAAAGGTCACTTGAGATCCACCATGAATGAGAATGGATTGGAACAAACTGCAAAACTATTTGGAGTTTAATTCACTGATTGTTGAAAGATTTTCTTTTCTCTCTACTTTCAATCTTTTTTGAACTGAACTGATGTTAAAATGCAATTAATATCCTTACCAACTTGCCAGTCCGCAGAGTTCCGTGCTTCTGCTCAAACTGAAAAAAAAGAAACAGACAAAAAGCAAGCAAAAACATACAATAAAGCAAAAATGCATAGCTACTTCACACAGAGACAACTTCAATGTTTTTCCAGAGTCAGTGCTGCCTGGGGATGCATACCATTTGTCCTTGATAGTCAATTTTCTGCCATCTTGAGAACAGCTAGCAATCCATCCATCACTATGCTTGGGGTACATAAAAAGAACAGCACCTTGTAAAGGTCTTTAAAAAAATTACTCCCAAAAGATAAGAGAGACCAAATGCTTGTTGTTTTTTAATAGAATTTGAATGAGAGATATTAAAAAGAAACAAACTAAAATATATATTCAATACATCTTACCGGCAATTGTCAAACTCTCTCTCTCTTTTTTGGACACGTCTTTTGAAAATGGCTTTTGTTTTGACATTTTACCTGAATGCGCTTATCCCTAATGCTGGGGTCCCATTTTGGGAAACTAAGAACATGGAAAGCCCACTCCATAGACAGAAGTGCTGCAAACACTTTGCACATGTATTAGTCCCCAGATTAAAAAACAAACTCCAGATCAGGAGTTTTTGTAGTCTGTTACCACACCAAGTGGTTAAAATGTCAGTAGATACTAAGAAGTTACCGCTGCTGGCTCCACAAGTTTCTACAGAATATTCATTTTTCAAATCAGTTGGGATATGGAGAGATAGGTAGACTTTGAGGGTAAAAGAGACAGGAGGCATGGTAAGGAGGAGGTAATATCAAGAAGAAACCTGTCTGATTCATTATTAAATGAGAAATGCTACATTTTATTAAGCATTTGCTTAGGTCAATTTCCTCAGAAGCAAAGTCTGAGATAAGGATTCCTGTACAAGTGATGTATTTGGGGAGAAATGGGTGAGAAAAGAAGGATAAGACAGGGATAGGAGCCAAACAATGATGTGGTCTCAGCTGGAAATCAGCTTCAGCCTGATCTTGTAAGACGTTCTAGAGCTGCACTGTCCAATATATTAAGTCGTCATTGGCCGCAGGTGGCAATTAAGCACTTGAAACATGATTAGCCTGAATTGAAATGTGCCCCAAGTGTAAAATACATATCAGATCAAAGATGCAGCACAGAAATGTAAAATATCTCATGAATAGTGTTTTTTTACTGATTACATATTGAAGTAATATATTGGGTTCACTAAAATATATTATTAAAATATTTCACCCACCCACTTTTTTTTTACTTTTTAAATGTGACTACTAGAAAAATTTCAATTACATATGTGGTTTGCATTGTATTTCTACTGAGCTACACTGCTTTGGAATGATCGTCTGAATTTACTTTAATCAGGAAAATAATACAGTCATGTAATGTCCCTCTCTCCCTCCCTCCCTCCCTCACTCCCTTCCTTCCTTCTTTCCATCCTTCCTTTCCTCCATCTTTCCTTCTTTCCATCCTTCCTTTCCTCCATCTTTCCTTCTTCCCCCCTCCCCCACTTCTTCCTTTTTTCCATTCTTCCTTTTTCGTTTGCTTCTTTCTCCTTAAAAAACAAACCTAACCATTAATGTGTATTTAACACTGACCAAGGCAGGACTGTCTTCTAGATCTCCTACTGAAGTTGCACAGAGGCCTGTGATCTCATCATCCAAACACCCAGGCAGACATGTCCACAACTGTACTATCCTAAGCACAGCTACAGAATGCTCCTGACAGCTTGGTGGTGGGAAGAGATATTGGCAGCAGCTCTTCAAAATAAGCAGCTTATTCAAGGTTCAAAAACACATCATCAACTGGCTTCCAGGTACTGCCATCTTTTTATTTGTAGGCCCATGTTGTTGATGGCAGGTGAAAGCTATTGTGACAGGATACCAAAACAAAAGAACCCTACCTCATTCCATTTCTGAAGTAGTGCTACTTGCAGGCACCTGAAGGACACTTAAAAATTTAGGAACAGCTGCAAAGAGTTAAATTATGTACCATAAAATTAATATTTAAGTTATAATTCATTACATAAATTGTACTGCAACTTATACCATTTCTACACCAGATTTTTTTCTTTGGTAACTTGCTAAATTCTTTGGTGCATGCTCAATTTCTAGAAACACTTGGTAACTAGACTGATCCCTTGCAGAAAGCCCTTTTCATAACATAAGCTGATCTTCATAGTCATCATTATCATCATCATCATCATCATCATCATCATCATCATCATCACCATCATCACTGTGTCACCAATGATACTATTTTTTAACTTTTGTCCATGGCATATTGATTAGTATCAGGCACAATAAATGATTTATAATGTGTTGGGCATTTGGGATGTTAAAGCAAAAATTATGATGAATAAAATCAATAGTGTAGGCAGTGTGTTATCTCTTCTTTGACAATTTGTAGGTCAAAAGAATTTGAGTACAGGCAGCAATTCTAGAATATAACTCAACTGCATAGCATGTTACTAGGCTGAGGTCAATTTTATGTTATCTTTTTCTGTGCTTTCAGTTTTCTTGCATTTTAAAAAAGAAACTAAACAGCCAATCCAGCAGAGTGGCATAAGGAATGCACAGCTTACCAAACTCCATTGTCAGTGATAGTAAATACAACAGTGGATAAAGTGGCAGAGCAGAGAGGAAAAGCAAACAGTGTCATGAATTTCTAGATATATTAAGCATCGGAAAAGTAATTAATATCTAGCAGGCTAATATTTGATCTAGAAAGTATTAATAGGGCCTTGATTTTAACATTTGGATCTAGCACTAATTTATCTAATCTTTTACAGTTAGATTATAATAATTTTTTTCTACAAAGGATGGAAGCTACATCATAGCCAAATAATAATATGCTATCTGTATATGCAAAACAGCTCAATTATTTGAGGCAATTAAACTAATATCTCAAGAGTGACTTGAAAGGAGGTTATCTTTGTAGGAAAGATTTCAATGAGAATTAGAAAAATAAAGCATTTTTTTGCTGTAATTCTGTGAAAAAAGGTACAAAATGGACCAAAGAAATTAGTCTTCAATATTTAATGTTTATCATTACCAAAACCCAACTCTCTGATGACTTTTTTAATTATCTAGATGAAACTTTCTTGTTTTGCAAAAGTGATAATTTCTAAGGGAGGTTACTCTTGCTAGAGCTAGTTTTTACTGCGCCTATACAAAAGCAAGAATAAAAATGGAAATAAAAATATGCTGCACTAATATTGTTTTCTAGATGTTTGCTCTTTGAAGCTTTCTTGGTATTATTTGCTGGTAATTTCTTAAATTAGAACCTTTCCCTTGTCTCTCTGATTTAAGTAAACAATAGCGTTTCACATACTAAAGCTTTTATTTTAAAAAATCTCAAAAATCCTACTAATAACCACATTACCCCTTGCAGAAATTCCTGGCTAAAAATGGTTCAGAAATGGGAAAGACATATGTAAATGGCAAGCCTCAGGATCAGAAAAGCCAGTGACTTAACCACAGTCCTGGATAGACGGTTATGAAATTCTGATTTTCATACCCCAGCATGATATTCTACTTCACTGTGACAAAATTGCTCCCATGAAGTTTAGTAAATCAACTACCAGACCTTACTAACTTAAGCTCAGGGAGAAAATAATAATATAAACATTGGAGTAGGTTTAGCTTGGCCAATTTGTGGAAGAACTCAAAGCTACTTCTAATTAGTAAGACAAAAAGTCTTCTGATATGTTAAAGGATATAGGTCCTGCCAGTTGGTTCAGTCCTTCAGGTTGTGTACTGACTCTCAAACATGTCACCATTTTTTGTGCTAGTTTCTTGGATACTGACCACATAGTCTAAGACAGAAGCACAGCTAATACACTCTTATTTTAAGTTATATTTGTTTCAGCTGTTCTATCTTAGAATGCAGTGAGTTCTATTATTTCCAGTTAAATGATGTTATATCACTGCATTAAAATGTCTAGTGTAAGAGGGAAGCAGTGGTTTTACATATGATTTTAATAGATTACTTTTACTGTCCAGTGGATAAGAGTAATGAGCCAAGAGAGTAATGGTGAGTGCTTTTCAAGGCGTATGCATGTCTTCCATTATTGTGAGATGCAAAGTGAGGGATCAATACTTTGGGAAGCTTAGGAATGTACACCCATAATGATCTGCAGATGTGGACAGAGTTCTCATGTGGATGGTTACAAAACACATCAAATACACCAGTGATTGAAATGTTTCATTTATAGAGAATATCACAGCTATACTGAAATGATTTCCAGATAGTTTTACTCACAGATCTAAAATTAGGATTCCATAACTTATAGGCCATTAAAGCAAGTTAAAACAACAAACACACAAACATAAGAATACAGTGGAGAACGTGACATCCAAATTTCACTTGATGTTTAACGTTAGTGTGCATTTTGAGTTCTCTCTATAAATCCACTTCCATTCTTCTTGATCAGCTCCTCACCATCTAAAACCTGTTTTTTGAATTTATTGCCATACTTATCTTACTAAAAGACAAATCTAATTATTGCTCTGCCCTTGAAACTCTTGCTTAGGTACCTGTTGCCTAAAGATGACACTTAAAAGCCAAATTTTTCTCACAAACTATTCCCAACTACCAATTTCATTGGTCAATACTATCATTTTTATATTTCCATAAAATCATACTACTTTTCAAAATGCCATTTGTTTTAGAAGGGCCACTCTTAGTTTTTCTGGCAGAGAAATGTATGTTAATGCATTTCCTGGTTGGTCTCATGTTTCCCACTTTACACTATGAGCATAAATCCTTGCTTCTTCTCTACCTGCACATTCTGTACTTAAATTATTGTTTCAATTTAAATTATTATTTCAATTATTATTCTTTGCTTTAATGAATTTATTTAGAAATTGGTAGCCACTATTAACATTACCGCATCTCTAATGCTTGGACTCAGCATACTTTAGATGCTTTTAAATATGTGTCCATTTGAATTGACCATATTTAACTTCATTATCTTTTTCCCTCATAAGTCACAGATCAAAGAATATTCCCTTTTAAGCAGATATTAACAGGGGAAATACACACCATTGTTTCAGAAAGTAATTATGCAGATTGATTCTCCTACTAGGAAATTAGAAAATTCACTCAGCACCACAGCTGTGGGACTTAATTTATAGAATCAGCTATATTTTGAAAACTTTGAAAATCTGCCAAAAGAGAAAATTATAAGATTGATTCTGTAAATGATGGTGTTCAGAGTTAAACTACTTCTCTGATGGATTTGTTAGAGAGGATTTTTTCCCCAGCCATATTTTTTTATTTTCTTACTTTTGATCAATGGATAACTTCTGTTTCATCCTATAGCAAATAATTCTACCTGCATAAAATGTAAACCTATAATCATTTGTGAAAAATAAAGGCAGTACTTTATCTATTTAGATAAGATAAATGAATCGTGAACATAATGTCCTTTACTTCAAATACTACACTCTCATCCCACACCCCCTGTTCTGTTGAGCATTGTCACTAAAATAACAAACACGATGGGTGTCAGGGGCAGTGGAGGAAACTAAATATTTTTTTAGCCATACACTGCTGAAATGAGGCATTATCACATGAGCCAGTCTTTCAATTTAGAACACACTCATTCCTTAATTTAGTTTGATGTGAATGCACATACAGATAAGTGCATATAGCCTCAGTGTACAGTTTGATTCATTTTACAAATGGAACTCACCCATACACCAACATATAGAAGCCCTTCATACTCCCTTCTAATCATGATCTTACTTCCACCCCAGGGAAGCCATTAGCCAAACTTTTAACATCATGGATGCTAATTTTTGTACTCTATGCAAATTGCATATTAAATAGTTATTTTTTTCATTCTGGCTTGTTTCCCTCAATACTATGTTTGTGAGTAGCTACATTTTGTTCATTCTCATTGCTGTATAGTATTGCATTGTATGACTACACCAAAATTTATTTATCCATTCAACTGTTAATAGGCCTTTGAGTAGTTTTGAGGTTGGCTTTATGAATACTGTTGCTATGAATATTCATGTGCACATCTTTTGGATAACATATGTATGCATTTTTCCAAATGTTAAACCCATCTTATATTCCTAGAATAAACCACACTTTTCGTGATATATTATCCTATTTATGTGTTGCTGGATTTGATTTTCTAGGATTGGATTTAGGATTGTTGCATTTATGTGACTAAAAGAAATTAGTCTGTAATTTTCCTTTCCTTTAATGTTTTGTGAAGTTTTCTTATTGGGTTTTCCTGAGTCTTATAAAATATGGGTTGGAAAGTGTTATCTCTTTTTTTTCCTACTCTGAATTAGTTTGTTTAATAGTGGTGTTATTCCCTTAAATATTTGGAAGAGCTCACTGATAAGGTTATATGGATCTGGAGTTTTCTTTCTGGGAATGTTTCTAATGATAGATTAAGTTCTTTCATAGATATGAGATTATTAAGATTTTCAATTTTTTCTATCAATTTAGGCTATAGATTTTTCCTCAAACATATCCTTTTCATACAATTTTCTAAAGTAATTGGCATTAGGTTGTAAATAATATTAATTTCTTTGATGCTTGAATGATACTAGTGATGATTTATTTTGTATTCCTAATACTGACAACTGTTTTTTCTTTCTTTTTTATTGATCAGTTTGTAGGTACTTATGAATTAAATTAATATTTTTATAGATTGTATATGTTTGAGATTTGAATTAGTTTTTCTCTAATTTCTTGAGATGGATGTGTAAATATTGATTTTCAGCCTCCTTTCTAACAGATTTTTTAAAAACCATATTTAATTGATCTTTTCTCTAAAAACATTTTTCTTTTGGCTTTTTATACATAAAATATTTTTCCACTGGATATAGAATTCTAAGTTATATTGTTTTAGCACTTTTCAAAAGGCCATGTCCTCATTTTCTAGCTTTTATTATTTTTATGTTTAGTTTCAGTATCCCTGCTTCTTTGAATGTAATTTGTCTTTTTTGCTTGGCTGGTATTAAGATTTTCTCTTTGGATTCCTACACTGTAACTTGGATATATATTGCTTGGAGTTTGTTGAACTTCTTGAGTCTGGATTAATGTCATCCATCAATTTTGGAAAACTTTCAGTCATTACATCTTCACTATTTCTGTTGCCAAATTTGCTCTCTTTTCTCCCTGTGAGAATAGATTTATGCAACTACCAGACTTATTGAGTTTGTTCCATGTGTCTTTCACCAATTTTCTCTGAATTTTTCTCTCTGAACATCAGTTTTGCATTTTTTAATTTATCTGTTTTTTAATTCACTAAATCTTCTCTGGCTAACATGCTATTGAATTCAACCACTGAAGTTCTTAATTTCAGATATTTTATTTAGTTTAAAATGTCCACTTAATTTGTTTTTATATGTCCCAGTTTTTAATTGAAAATTTTTTCATTATTTTATGTCTTTATCCCATTTTTAATCTATTTCATTAATATAGTTATCATAATCATCTTAAAGTCCAGTTCTGTTCATGCGGACATCCATGTTCTTGTTCTAATATCAATTCCTTAAAAATTATTATTGGTCATATAGTCTTGATATTTTGCAAGTTTTGTGTTTGGATTGTGTAAAAGTAACCATAGATACTCCAGATTGTGTAAACCTCAACCAGACAGGGTTAATTCTTATCTCTGTTAGGCAGAGAATGTGAGGGCTGTTGACCTCAATCCAAATTAGATTATGATTTCAGTAAAGTCATCTTACCTCTGGTTTGCTCTGCTTTCTAGATCATGAAGCTTTCTACCAGAGCCAAACCTGAGTTTCACCCACTAGCTGGCCTATTCCCCATGAAAAAACTTTTTTTTTAAATAACCACCAGTACACTCCTACAAAATTTACCCTGACATTCAAAGTTTGCAGCCCTACAACAAAGTAATTTTTAAGTGGGTGCAGAGCAATATAGGGGCTCTCCCCACTCTTGCTCTTTCGCATTCTAGCTTTGCATAACTTGCGAAAGATCTGCTGGTTACTCTTTCTCTAGGAAGATTCCTCTTCCTAGAATGAGTCACAGTTCTCAGGCTCTAACCTGCACTAAAAATTAGTACGTACTACCAGAATAAAAACTGCTGGGATCCTCAATTCACCCCTGAATGATTCTCTCCTCTCTGGAATTTTATTCCATTAGTCATGATTTTTACAGCTTTCTTATGATTTTAGTATGTGAGTATTGTAATGAATTCATATATTGTAGTTTCTTTTAGTAGCTGAATGAACATTCAACAATCTACATAACTTACGTGAAAGTGAAGTGCTCCAGAACTGAATTTACTTTTTTACCCTAACAACATGATTTGAACACTTAAAAGTTTAATACAGAATATATTTCTATTTTCTCTCAATAAATTTATGAAAGAAATTTAAAATAAAAATTAATTAAACTATATTGAAATTGATAATTAAAATTTACCAATTCATTAGGAGATCATCTCTTCATAATTATTTCTCAATAATTATAGGCATATCTCATCTTATTGCATTTTACAATTACAAATTGAAGGTTTGTGGCAATCCTGCATTGAGCAAGTCTATCAGTACCATTTTTCCAAAAGCATGTGCTCACTTCTTGTCTCTGTGTCGCATGATGACAATTCTCACAATATTTCAAACCCTTCTTCATTATTATATCTTTTATGGTGCTCTGTGATCAGTGATCTTTGACATTATTATTGTAATTGTTTCGGGGCCCCATGAACCAATATAAAATGACAAACTGAATTGATAAATGTTGTTTGTATTCTGACTGGTCCACCAAATGGCCAATCCTCATGTCTCTTCCTCTTTTCAGGGATGCCTATTCCTTGAGATAAAACAATATTGAAATTAGACCAATTAATAACCTCACAAATTTCAGCTTTAAAAACATATATAGACTGAAAGTGAAGTGATATAAACAGATAATCCATGCAAATGAAAACCAAAGGAGAGCAGGGGTACCTATAGTTATATCAGAGAAAATACACTTTAAATCAAAAACTGTGACAAGGGACAAAGAATAAGGTCATTACATAATGATAAAAGAGTCAATTCATCAAGATGATAGAAAAATTTAAATGTATATATGCATCCAACATCAGAGTACCTATATATGTAGACCAGATATTATCTAATCTATGGGAGAAATAGACAACAATATAATATTGGTAGGAAACTTCAATACCCTGCTTTCAACAATTGATAGATCGGACATAAATCAATCAGACAACATTGGAATTGAACTACATGTTAGACCAAATGGATCTAAAAGACATGTCTATAACATTTCATCCAATAGTAGCAGAATATACATTCTCCTCTAGCACACATGAAACATTATCCAGGAGAGATCATAGGTTAGGACACAAAACAATCCTTAACAAATTTAGGAAGATCGAAATTATTTCCAGCATCATTTCCAACCACACAATTGTATGACTCCAGAAATCTATTACTGAAAAATAAATAAATACTAGAAAATTCACATATGAACAGAAACTAAATAACATGCTCCTAAACAAACAATGGATCAAAATAAAATCAAATGGGACTTTAAAAAATCTTCAGACAAATGAAAATGGAAAAACAACATACTGAAACTTACGGGAGGCTAGAAAAGAAGTTCTAAAAGGAAAGTGTAAAGTGATAAATGCCTACAAAAAGGAAAAAAACATCTAAAATATACAACCTAACTTTATACTACAAGCAACTTGAAAAAGAACAAACAAAACACAAAGTACAAGAAAGTAAATGAAAAGATCAGAGCAGAAATAAAGAAATAAAAAGTAGAAAATCAATTGAAAAGATCAACAAAAGAACTGTTTTTTAAAAATGATAAAGTTGACAAACCTTTAATTAGAATGACAAAGAAAAAATGAGAGAAGCCTGAATAGACAAAATCAGAAATGGAGGAGACATTACAACTGATTCTACAGGAATACAAAGGATCATAAGAGACCACTATGAAGAATAATGCAGCAACAAATGGGATAACCTAGAATAAATGGATAAATTCCTGGATATATACAACCTACCAAGACTAAATTGTGAAGAAATATCAATTCTTAATTGATGGATAGTAAAAAATTATTTCAGTAATAATAATATAAAAACCTCCCAACATAGAAAATCTTAGTATCTGATGGCTTCACTGGTGAATACAATTGAACATTAAAGAAAAATTAATACAAATCTTTCTCAAATGTTTCCAAAACACGGAAGAGGAAAGAACGCTTTCAAAATTATTTTATAAGGCCAGCATTATCTTAATACCAAAGTCATACAAGGACCCTATATGAAAATGTATGCAAAACTTTCAACAAAATACAGCCGACCCTTAAGCAATGAAAGAGTTAGGAGTGCTGATATCCTTCACAGTAGAAAATTTATGTATATCTTTTGACTCCCCTAAAAGTTAGCTATTAATAGCCAACTCTTGATCAGAAGTCTTACCAATAACAGGTCAATTAACACATATTTTGTATATTATATTTATATTAAATACTGTATTCTTATAATAAAGTAAGCTAGAGAAAAGCATTAAGAAAACCATAAGAAAGGGAAAACATATTTACTATTAAGTGAAAGGAAATCATCACAAAAATATTCATCTTCATTGTCTTAACATTGATTAGACAAAAGAGGAAGAGAAAGAGGTAGGATTGGTGGTATATATATACACAATGGAATGTGGTATATATATACATATATATGTATATATATATATACATATATATGTATATATATATATACACACACACACACACACACACAACGGAATATTATACAGCCTTTAAAAATAGGAGTCTTTCTGTCTCAGTGAGGACAGAGGGAGAAGAAAATCTATGTATAAGTAGATCCACACAGTTCAAACTCGTGTTGTTTGATGTTTAACTGGACAAGCAAATGAAATTCAACAGCACATTAAAAGAATCACTCACCATGAGCAAGTGGCATTTGTTCCTGGGATAATATGGTTCAAAATATGCAAATTAATAAATATGGCATATTACATTAGTAGAATGAAGTATGAAAATCATATGATCATCTCAATAGATGCAGAAAAAGCATTTGACAAAATTCGACATCTTTCATAATAAAATATCTCAACAAATTAGGAATAGAAAAAATGAACTTCAACACAATGCAGGTAATATATGACAACCTCACAGGAAATGTCATATTCAATGGTAAAAATCTGAAATCTGAAAGCTTTTTCTCTAAGATGAAGAGCAAGGCAAGGATGTCCACTCTCACTATTTCTATTTAACACATCACTGGAAGTTCTAGACAGACCTGTGAAGCAAGAAACATAAACAAACACATCCAAATTGGAAAGGAAGAAGTACAATTATCTCTATTTGCAGATAACATGATTTTATATGTATAGAACCTAAAAGACTTCCCCCAAAAATTGTTACAATCAATAAACAGATTCACTAAAGTTGCAGGACACAATATTAACGTGCAAAAAATAGCAGTGTTTCTTTACATTAATAACAAATGATCTGAAAAATAATTAGAAAAACAATTACAATGGGATCAAAAAGGTAAAATAGTTAGCATAAATATAACCAAGGGGGTTAAAGAGGTGAAACTCTTCAAAGAGAACCTGAAACCATAAAACTCCTAAAAGAAAGTGTAGGGGAAAATCTCCTTGACATTAGTCTTGGCAATGAATTTTTTTTTTTTTTTGATATGACACAGAAAGCACAGACAGCAAAAGCAAAAGTAAACAAGTGGGACACTACATTAAGCAAAAATGTTCCTGCATATCAGAGTAAACAATAAATGAAGTAAAAGGAAACCTACAGAATGAAATAAAATATTTAAAAACTATATGTCTGATAGAAGGTTTCAATCTAAGATATGTTAGGAATTCACGTAATTCAATAGCATAAAAAACAAGTAATCATTAAAATATGATCAAAGACCTGAATAGACATTTTTCCATAAAAGACATGTAGAAAGCCCACTGGAATACATGAAGGTGCTTAACACCACTAATTATCAGGAAAATGCAAATTATAACCACAATTAGATTATCTCCTCACACCCGTTAGAATGGCTTTTATCAGAAAGTTCAAAGATGACAAGTTTTGAGCAGGAGAAAAGGTAACCCTTAAATACTTGTGGTGGGAATGTAAATTTGTACAGTCATTGTGGAAAATGTTATGGAGGTTCCTCTAAAAATTAAAAAGAACTATTGACCAGGCACAGTGGCTCATACCACTCTTGTGTTCATTACAGCATTATTCACAATAGCTAACGTATGGAAATAACCTAAGTATCTGCAGATAGACAAATGGCTAAAGAAAGGTTGTATATATACACAGTGGAATATTACACAGCCTTTAAAAGTAGGAAATCCTGTCATTTATGACAACATGAATAAACCTGGAGGACATTATTCTAACTGAAGTAAACCAGACACAGAGAGACTTATATCACATTATCTCACTTATATATAGAAACTAAAAACATGGACTTTATAGAAATAGAATGGTAGTTACTAGGTGTCGAAGACTGGGGCAAAGAAGAGATGGTCAAAGCCTACAAACTTTTGGTTATAAGTTGAATAAGTTCTGGAAACCTAATAATGTACAGCGTAGTGACTACAGTTAATAATTTATTGGATATTTGAAATCTGTTGAGAGAGATCTTAAGTATCACTTAAGGTAAGATATTAAGTATTCTCATCACACACACATAAAAGGTAATTATGTGTGGTGAAGGGAAATGTTAATTTGCTTTATTGTTACAATCATCTCACAATGTATATGTATATTAAAACATCATATTGTACACTCTAATATATAAAATTTTTATTTGTCAATTGTACTTAAATAAAGCTTGAAAATGCCAATAAAAATGAAATTATGGATTAATATGTTCAATTTATTAAAAGCTAATAAAAATAAGACAGCCCACAGATAATTAGACAAATATCAACAGGTAATTAATAAAAAGGAAAATAGATATTTCAAATAAAAATATAAAATAGTACCTAAAATCACTAACATCTAGAGAAACATAAATCAATAATGAATTATCAGTTCTCATTCATTAAGCTGGAAAAAATTGTAAGCACTGAAAATCTCTGTGTTGATAAGAATGCAAGAAAACTGATATTCTAATTTACTTACAATACATATTAACTTTTAAAATATTTAAAAGGGATACTAATTGGTACTAGTAAAATAAATTTAATATTTAATGAATTAATATTTTTAAGAATTTACTTCTTTTAGCCAAAAACATGTGTCTAGAAATGTATCACATACACAAGTTCATATGTGCATAAAGGGCATGTGTAATGTTTGTTATTGCAAGTTTATTTGTAAGAGGAATACTCAGGACATCTTAAATATCTATCACTATTCAATTATTTTCTAAATATATTGACGTATTAGATACTATGCAATCTCAAAAAAGAAGGTACATACTGGAAAAGAAAGCAATCCAACACTTTAAGTGGCATTAAAAAGCCAATTTCAGAACAATACGTAAAAGGATTCATTTGAGTATTGTATAAATGTGATACATACATACATGCACATGAATGTGTAGAAAAAGAAGCTGAGATGTACATGTCTAAATATGAATCATGATTGTCCTTGAAAGAGGGGTTGGGAGTAAGGAAGCAAAAGAGAGGCTTTGATGTATCAGCGTGTGTAAATCTTTTTGTTTGAATCTGTTTGAAATGAGAATGTGTTTATACAATTTTTTCCAGAATAATTTATTGGACCAGTTGACCAATAAATGTTATGTTGCCAACAAGGGCTGTGAAGAAATCAAGGTTTACCTCATATGATTTGCTAACCCTGGACACTTTCGATTGAAGGCCATTTCTTGGTCTTTGGGGATTAAATTAAGCTGTACAAGTCATTTAACTTTGAAACAATCTTCAAGTATCATTTTTAATGCTTTCATTAGAAACATTTTATGCTGTACTTTATGCTGGTTTTCAATGATGCAGGATTAAATAATGTACAGTGCCATCCTTAAGCTGTTTTATAATCAAGATATTGATTCATACATAAAAGCTTTCAATGCAATGTGGTAATCACTCCTAAAAAAGGATAAAGTAGGGGAAATAGAGCTTTGTCCAAAGTATTATACTATGGAACAACAGAATATGAAGGAACCCCATTCTCTGCCAGAGTATTTTAGAGAAAGTGAATTTGTTATAAATATTCAAAAATTAATATGAGTTTTAAGTTAAAATCTATATTTCTAGCTTCTTTAAAACTTTCAATAGATCAGGAAACATCATTTTCCCACAAGGCAGAAAATATCTGAAGTTCAATGATTAATGCATTCTTTTAGCCGAATAGTTTCCACTTCTAGGTAATTTCCCTCTCTATCTCTTACACATACACACACACCATGTTAGCATTTATCCCTCCTTAGCACACTTCTCATATAAAGAAAGCTCTTGCCTCTCCAACAGCCACTTTCCTTACTAACATGACCTTATTGACTCCTACAGATGTTTTGTATGTTGCCACTTATTCCAGATGGCAGAGCGGAAAAAAATGGCCTACAAAGTTTTGGTGTGGTGGCAGGTTAAAAAGAGATTTCTCCATTTTAATCACTCCTAAAAAAGGAAAAAAAAAAAAAACATGCATTAGCTGCAGTTAGAATCACATTGCAGAAATATCCCCATGTTTCACATATTAATTGTAACCTTTGTAAAAAAAAATCATAAAAGTTATTATGAAATAAATTCATAGCAGAATTCATTTCTTCAATGCTGTATGTTTTCTACAATGGCACTTGCATTTCAGATGTTCACATGGTGATGTGGCTTGACTGTGTCCCCACCCAAATCTCATCTTGAATTGTAGGTCCCATAATTCCCACGTGGCATGGGAGGGACCCAGTGGGAGGTAATTGAATCATGGGGATGGGTCTTTCCCAAGCTGTTCTCATGATAGTGAGTAAGCCTCACAAGATCTTATGGTTTTATAAAGGGGAGTTCCCCTGCACATGCTGCCTTGCCTGCCACCATGTAAGACGTGACTTTGCTCTTTATTCACCTTCCATCATGATTGTGAGGTCTCCCCAGCCATGTGGAACTGTGAGTCAATTAAACCTCTTCCCTTTATAAATTACCCTGTCTTGGGTTTGTCTTTATTAGCAGTGTGTGAACAGACTAATACACATGGGCTTTTGCCTTGCAGCTTTATCTTATGTGTCTTTCCTCAAACCATTTTTCTACTTAATACAAAGAAAAACTGACAGCTTTTCTGCTTAAAGAGCCCTAGGATCACTTGAGATCTTTTGCACTATGCACAAGGGTACACAGAATAAAATTAAGTTCCTGAATAAAAGAAAGGATTGCATGAAAAACAACCACCAGCCACTAGCTCAAATCAGTAGCAGTTTAAACATGCGGCTTAGAATTCCATTCTAGAGGTTACTTGGGGTTTTACTTCTTTAAGTCTACGGAGATACCTCGTAGCCCTTGGTTACTTGCTTAGCTTATGCTCTCCAATCTAGTGGCTTCTTTATAGGATTTTAGTCAAGTGAAGAATGTGGCAGATTTCATTTACTGAATATGGCCTTAATACTGTCTTCCATTCCTTATGCTCTTCAGTGCAGTTTTGACCCTCCTCTTATTGAGAAGTATGTCTGTGTTCTCTCATCTGGAATCTAGGCAGGCTTGTGATCAGAGCAGACATAAAACTTTGACTTTTAAGAGTAGGTCACAGAAAGGTAATTCATCCTCTTCCTACTTTCTTTGGAGTGTTCGCTTGAGGAACACAGCCATCATACTAGGAGGCACCTCAGGCTACATAGGAAGGCAATGGGTGGATGTCATAGCTGATATCTCTAGCTGTACTCCTATCAGATTTCCAGCATCATTCATCAAACTTGTAATGCAGACAATTCCAAAAGGGTTTGATATAGTTTAGATATTTTTCTCCATCCAGATCTCAGGTTAAAATGCAATCCCCGATGTTGGAGGTGGGTCCTGGTGAGAGGTATTTGGATAATCCCTCATGAATGTCTTGGGCCATCAACTTGGTAATAAGTGAGCTCTCACTCTAAGTTCACAAAATATCTGGCCATTTAGAAGTGTGCACTTCCCCTCTGACTCTCACTTGCTCCTGTTTTCACCATGTGACATGAATGTTCCTCCTTTACCTTCCGCCATGACTAAAAGCTCCCAGAGGCTTCGCCAGAATCCAAGCAGATGCCAGCACCATACTTCCTGTAAAGCCTGCAAAACCATGAGCTAATTAAACCTCTTTTCTTTATAAATTACCTGGTCTCCAGTATTTCTTTATAGTGACACAAGAATGGCCTAACAAAGGGTTTTAGCCCCTAGCCATTAAGTCATACCCCAGCCTTTGAGTCTTCCCACCCCTGAGATCCCAGATATTATGAAGCAGATAATACCCGTCCCCACTGTGTCTTGTCCAAATTTTTGTCACAAAGAGTCTGCTATCATAGCAATATAGATGCTTTATGCCACTATGTTTTGGAGTAATTTGTTTTATAAATATAATCAATTGAGTATTGAGTGGTCCCCTTGAATACAAGTAATAGTTTTCATACCTCTTGTATTTTCCACTCCACCAACTCCAGTCTTGACATAAAAGGATAGTGGAAAATAGAGAAATGAGAATGCTTTAATGTTAGACAGACCTAAGGTGAAATCTTATTTCTGCCCCTTATGCATTCTAAGGTGTTAGGCAGGTTACTTTGAAACCACCTTTGCGAAGATTGTGATAGTGAGAGAAATCTATGTCCTCAAAATTTAGGCATTTCATTTGAATTGGGCATGTTGTATATTGTCTTTGCTAGACGATTTAAGGACAAAAAATTCTTCTGTGACCTTTTTGATAATGGTTTGACTTGCCTGTTTTATAGCCATTAGATTCTAGGTAAGACCCGTGGACATATG
Organism: Homo sapiens; assembly: GCF_000001405.40. Classification (NCBI taxonomy): domain Eukaryota; kingdom Metazoa; phylum Chordata; class Mammalia; order Primates; family Hominidae; genus Homo; species Homo sapiens. The sequence continues at coordinate 35,326,999 of NC_000003.12, read as the reverse complement.
GTGTCAGCCAAGCACCTTACTATGCTGGGAAAAGTCAGACATTGTCTACAGTTCTGTCCTTGTCTTGGGATCTGCAATCTGATATATGGTTAAAATTGCTTATTTACTAGGTTCATCACAAAAAATAAAAGTTGCTAAGAGTTAACATTGTAACATATGTAATTGAGACTGGTAGGGACATAGTTTTACATGTGAGGAGTATAAGGAAAATGGAATGTGTTTTGGTAAAAGATTATAAGAAGGCATGGGGATATAGTTTTTGTTAAAGGGAAAGTAATTCAGTCTCATTTAGAGATTTTAAGGATTGTCCTAAGTTAAAAGAATGGTAGAATAAAACCAAAGAAAAAGTAGATTTGTGAAAAACTGGTATTTTAAAGGAAGTTTTGTCGGCATGAGCAAGTTGGCCAAAACCTAAAGGGAGTTAGTTAGTTTTTCTATAAATTATACATTAAGATAGAAAGCACACTGATACAGGACCAGAATCTGGGCCCATATGTCAGAATAACATGGTTTCCTTGGAGCATTGATCTGCTCTTTAATAGAAAATTGTAAAAAGTTACAAAAGTTTTATAAAAATCTTACCTTATGGTCAAAATGATTAAGAATGGATAGATTTGTTTATAAGGTTTCATTAGAAATTGTGTTTAACATTAATAGTACACTAATGCAAAGGTGGAATTTGCATTTCTCTTTTGAACAAGATTGTTGTGTAATATTGAGAGATAAAGAAATATTTTTGTTTGCCTTTCTAGTAAATTGTAGGAAAACAAGGAAAAAACAAGAAAAGAGCGAATAGACAGGTTTACTTGGCCACATGTTGTCTTATTTGGTCTTGTTTGGAAAGCTGAGCCTCCTCTATTGAAGACAAAAGCTTCTTGCCTTTTGAAATTTTTGAGTTATCACTTCAAATAGATGAATGATCTGTGATATTACTTTGTGATATCAAGTGTTTTAAACTTATAATATTTGATAAACCTTCCCAAATCAAAATTTAAAGTTATAAATGCAGCCCTTGTTGACATCATTAACATTTAGATACTAGCTTCCCTGAAGTCCAGAAGAGATATTTGGCTTATCTGGTATGTGAAAATCATGGAGGAAGCATTGTCAACTATGAAATGGTGTTTGTTTTTTTTGGGCTGTATTTGTATAAATATGTTATTAGTGTGCATTCCAGAATTGTGTGAGACTCCTATAATTCTGTTTTTGGTTTTTTGTTTGTTTGTTTGTGTTTTCTTTTTCTTTTTAGAGACAGTGTCTTGCTGTCACCAGATGAGTACAGTGGCATGATTATGGCTCAGTGCAGCCTCAAACTCCTAGCCCCAAGTAATCTTCCTGCCTCAGCCACCTGAGTAGTTGGGACTACAGAGGTGTGCCACCACACCTGGCTCTGGCTCCCATAATTCTGATGTGACTTAGCGTATGTTATCAGTAATAATTATGATTGTTATGTTAAATTATTATACACCATAAAAATATCAAAATTTCCATGTCAATTGCATCATTAATAATGGCTATTCTGAGACTTTCATCATCCACAATTGTTTTACTTTGATCCTCTTCAAAGGGTGGTTTTATAATCAGCTGTAGGACTTTAACAGGTACTTTTGAATACAGGTTTCTGATAACTTCAGTAACTGTGCCAGTGGAATAGTGAAAACAAACTTCCCGGACTCTCGTGGAGGGCTGATGCATTCATAAATATCAAGAACACAGAACAGGAGTTAGTTGCACAGACTGAACTAATAGAAAACTGAAATAATCATTTTATGACTTTTTGCTTGAAACATTACTGATAGTTTTTGTTTTGTTTTTAGACTCAAAAATCTTCTTTACTTTTGAGATATTTACAGCTTTTAAGCTATTGAGTAAATTTTACTCTTGTGGGCAAAATGTAAAATATATTTCTTTCTGTCTACTTAATTTCTCCAGAACTTGGAAACTATTTGTAAGTATTCTTTATTTATGGCAATACAGTTATTTGTATAAGCTCAATAAGCATCTAGTTTCCTTTGTAACAGTATATAATTAGATTTTTGTTGTTGTTGTTGTTTGTTTTTTATTTACCAAGGCTTTGACTAGAATGATATGTATTCAGACTACTTTGAGGAATTGAGGTGGACTTATAAAGCCAATAACATTCCCTTGGGGAGACTGGCCTAATACTTTGTCCTGTACAGGGTTTTGACCTGTGGTGATTAGAAAATGTCATTTTCTGACAGACCCAGGAACCTTAAGTTATGTTGGGACCTTAAGAAGAGAGGAATTCATCCAATTCATACAGGTATCTGCAGGCACAGATAAATCCTTGGCTAGGCTTGGGAGGCTTTTAAAAGGTTTAATCTGAGATTCCTTATGAAAAAGTTCCAGCAAAGCCTATTTAAACAAGCCTATATGGCAAATGATTATTCTGGTTGCATTGTCTGTGAATAATTAGACCAAGAAAAATAAGACTAAAACTGATTTTGCAAAGAAACTTGTCCTACTATGATTTGTCTTTGGTAAAAATGGAAAACTGAAGAGAGAAAAATTATGTTTCAGAAAAATACTGTAATACACATATTAATTTTATTTTAACTTTTCATAAGTGATTTTATTATTTATTTTTCATAAAGACTTTTTAAAATTCTTATTTTAGATTTAAGGGTACATGTGAAGGTGTGTTACTTATGTAAACACATGTCCCAGGGGTTTGTTGTACATATTATTTTATCACCCAGATATTAAGCCCAGTACCCAATAGTTATCTTTTCTGCTCCTCTCCCTCCTCCCACCCTCCCCACTCAAGTAAACCCCAGTGTCTGTTGTTTCCTTCTTTGTGTTCATAAGTTCCTATCATTTAGCTCCATTTATAAGGGAGAATGTGCAATATTTGATTTTCTGTTTCTGTGTTAATTTGCTAAGGATAATAGCATCCAGCTCTATCCATGTTCCCACAAAAGACATGATCTGTTCATTTTTATGGCTGCATAGTATTCCACGGTGTCTATGCACCACATTTTCTTTATTCAATCTGTCATTGATGGGCATTTAGGTTGAATCCATGTATTTGCTATTGTGAATAGTGTTGCAGTGAACATTCATGGGCATGTGTTTTTATGGTAGAATGGTTTATATTCACATGGGTATATACCCAGTAATAGGATTGCTGGGGAGAATGGTAGCTCTGCTTTTAACTCTTTGAGGAATTGCCATAATGCTTTCCACAATGGTTGAACTAATTTACACCCCCACCAACAATGTATCAGGATTCCTTTTTATCTGCAACCTCACCAGCATCTGTTATTTTTTGACTTTTTAATAATAGACATTCTGACTGGTGTGAGATGGTATCTCACCTACAGCCATCTGATCTTTGACAAAGATGACAAAAACAAGCAATGGGGAAAAGACTCCCTATTCAATAAATGGTGCTGGGATAACTGGATAGCCATATGCAGAAGATTGAAGTTGGTCCTTTTTCTCACACCATATACAAAAATCAACTCAAGATGAATTAAAGACTTAAATGTAAAACCCAACACTATAATGACTCTGGAAGACAACATAGCCAATACCATCTTGGACATAAGAATGGGCAAAGCTTTCATGACAGACAACAAAAGCAATCACAACAAAATCAAAAATTGACAAATGGGACCTAATTAAACTTAAGAGCTTCTGCACAGAAAAAAAAAACTGTCAACAGAGTAAACAGAAAACCTACAGAATGGGGGAAAAGTTTTGCAAACTGTGCATCCAACAAAAGCTTATTATCCAGCATCTATAAGAAACTTAAATGAATTTACAAGAGAAAAACAAACAACCCCATTAAAAAGTGGGCAAAGGACATGAACAAACAGTTCTGAAAAGAAGACATATATGTGGCCAACAAGCATATGAAAAAAAGCTGAATATCACTGATCATTAGAGAAATGCAAATTAAAACTATACCTATTATTAGATTCCAGCCTTGTCCATTGTCTTTGACTCTCTGCTTATGACTGCATATCTGATTAGTTCTTGAGGATACTCACCTGGATGCCTCAAGACTTCAGGTAAGTTCTACATGGACTCCCGAAGCTAAGAATCTCACTCCTTATTTGAGGGCTCATTATTTGTCTTACGGTCCACTGTTCACTTAAGTGCTGTACCAAAGCTGTGCGTAACAATATTAATATTTATCATACAAACCTTAGGACCCCAACCAGGCACCCTGAATACATGCAGACAACTGCAAAGTGATTTCATTTTTCTCACCCCAGGGCCAGTCTCAACCACAGCTATACTCTCTGTCAGCAGAAAGAAGTTAGAGCATCATCAGCCTTTTCCCATCTCTGTAGCTCCCACCTCAGGATTGAGGTGTGCTGAAACCCAAGAAGGGAATTGAAAATGCCTTTGCAAAGATTATGATGGTGAGAGAAATCTAGCATGGCTGACTCTATCTTACTTCTATCCTCACAGGCTGGTTGTCTTTGCTCATTCCTGGGTATAGGCCAAGATAACCATGGGAGCAATTTAGTTTACAGTTTAACTTTTAAGCAAGGATGATAATAGTGCTTCCCTAAAACTGATTCTCTCCTTGTCCTAAAATTGCCTTTGTACGATAATAAAATACCACAAGATTATAATTATGGGAGGGGCCTGAATTCTGCCAAGATGTAGGCATAGTGTTTATAATTCCTTACTACTCAGGAGTCACGTGACCAGAGGTCACAAGATTTGTGACTTCTCCAATTGTTCCTGTAGATATCATCACTACTAAGAACCGGAAATTAGTGTTTTAATGTTTTCCAGACTGACCACAGCCAGACTTATGACTCGTGACCCAACCAGTCCTGTGGCCCCCATCCATAGGGAGACTTAGTGCACAAGGACTGTTTTCCACATCTCTATGATTGCATCCTCAACCAATCAGCAGCCTCCATTTCCTAGTTTGCTCCCCAAACTATCCTTTAAAAGCCCTGACCTCTGAGCCTTTGGGGAGATTGAGTTCAGTGATAACTCCTTCTCTTGCATGGCTGGGCTTGTGTTAATTAAACTCTTTGTTTATTGCAATACCATGGTCTCAGTGAATTGGTTTTGTTTGTGCAGCAAGCAGGAAGAACCCATTTGGCAATTACAATATGACATCTCTAAATACCTTTATCTTTAAAATAGTGACTCTTAATACTTGCTTCATAGAATTATTATAAAGAGAAAGTGAGACAGAATATTTAAAAAATACTTGTTTTATATTTAGCTCATGGTAAGCACTCAATAACACATGGATGTTTTACATACTAAATGTTTTGAATGAATTAATAGATTAGTCAATCAGTGAATTCACTATTGAGGCTACAGTTAAAGTTCTTATCTTACTTCTGGAACTGTGAGCTAAGTTGCTAGTTCTTTTGGTTCTCACTTGAAGGAGAACCTCCTAGGATAAGGCGGAATACTCTTCCCCTGGTGATGCATATAGAACTGGCCTCGTATTTATTCTTTGATACACATTCCAGAACCATTGGATGAGTTGATTTCAAAGGTAACTCATCAATATGCTAAGTTGCTAAGCACATTCAGTTTGTCATTTTGTTCTTGTCATTGCTGACAACTTCAAGGGGCACAGGAGAAAGTTTGAGATTATTTACCTGCTAACCTACTATTCCATAAGGCTGTGATCATGTCTGTTGCTTCTAGGGTCTTCCTGAAGTAGCCTTCATTTGAGTGCCATTGAATTTTAGTGTCAAACATGGTGCTCTTCCTAAGAGTTTGCTTTATATTATGCCTCAGCTAGAATGCTGTAAGAAACTCCTTTTCAATGGCCTAATGTCAGTGAGATGTGACAAAGGATTTGACACCTAACTGCTTCTGAAAGACAGGAACATGTGTCCTATACAGCTGCTAAGCTAAGAAAGGAAAGAAAAAGCGGGGTTGGGGGAAGCTGAATCTGAAACATAGCAATGCCCCAAATTGAAACATTCCATGCCAACATAATGCCTCCCTTCTGTGCATGTATGAATGTCAAATGCATACAAAGTACCTGTTTATCTGCTCACAGTCAGTCCATTTTTACAGCTAAGCAGGAACACATTTGCTGACCCAGGGAACAAAAATGACATCATTACCTAATGAACTGTTGCAGAATTCATTTGAATGTGGCCATCCTTTTGAAAAGTATGAATCTTTTCAGTGATTAAAGTGATTTAGACAGGAGTAGTTCAGGGCAGACAATATTAATTTAGGAATGAGTCATTATGTTCAGCACCAGTCTGGAACCTAATGAGCTGATTCAAATTCATTTAAATCACTCAGAAAATACATACAGAGGCTGCACAATATACATAATTTGGAACTAAAAGACATTTCCTCTAAAACCCAATATATTTCAATCAGTAGAAATAAAATAAATCCACAGATTTTTTTTCCAAATTAGTTGGCTTCTTCAGTTCTGTGGTTTTGAAATTAACTGAGATTGTGGAATCACCTGAATTGAAAGCTTCATTTGCAAAAGAGTGAATAAAAAAGCTAATTAGTAATATTTTATTATTTACTTATATAAGAGATTTACCAACCAGGATGTACTATCATTTCAACTATTAGAGTTACTTTGGGGATTATGCTAGCAATCTTGGTCCTACTGGCAAAAAATTAAGAAGGAGAAATAATTTAATAGTTATGAAATTTTATAAGATATATTTATAAGACTTAATGTGCCAAAATAAAAAAGAAAATGCATCAATTTTAGTAATTTTACACAAGGAATTATATGAGAAATAAATAGAAAAAATAAAACATTAAAAAAATGTCTTGAGGAGTCATTATTTGCTCTTCTGCATTGAAAAAACAATGTGATGCAATGAGAGATTTTCGGATACTAGTTGCTCAGGCTTGGCCATATGTGTTTTGTGGGCTTCTCTTCAATCCCATACATTATATTGATTAAAGTGAACTACCTGTGGGAATTCCAGAATCTTGACCAGAGATTATTTTGCTATTCCAGAGATTATTTTGATAGGGGCATGAAACACCACCCTGGTCAATGGGATATAAATGGAAGTGTTGTGAGGACGTCTGGGAAATTGTCTTTATTCTTAAGAAAAAATACATATCTAAAATCCCCCCCACCCACTCTATTTTTTTAGCATATGATGCTTATTAGCTAGCAGTCATTTTAAAACCTTGAGGGAAGTTCACAGAGAAGCTGACTGGAAGCTCTAATATCATCAAACCAATCTGTTAAGTTGTCCTGAACCTACTCTCCACCTCTGTTTCTTCTTACATAAGTCTGTAAGTTCCTGTTTCTGAAGCCAGTGTCTGAAGGATTTAAAGATTCTGTAGCTGTACATATCCTAAATGGTACCCAGACTTTCATAAATAAGAATTATCCGATCTTCTTCACAGAAATAGTCTACTGCATTGAGCAAATCTTGTACTCAGGAAGATTTTCTTCTGCCTAGCTTTGGTATAAAGAACCTCTAAGCTTCTTTCTTTATACTGCAAGATGATTAAAAGTATACTTTTATAAATCGAAATTTAACTTCTGCTGACTTCTAGCTTGTGGTGTTAAGTTATATAAATTTAAAGAAAGCAGTTTTTCTCAGGGTGAAACTAATTGCATTGACCTAGAGATTAACATAAGGTGATACTGAGTTGTCTCCAGGCTCAGAAGGAGAGATCAGCTATTGCTGGAATGCTAATACCCTTCACTCCCTTCATACACAAAATGGGTTACTATGTTATCATCTCTCTTCTCCTGTGGGGTCTAAAATTTATCTTCCACTCATGAAAAGATAATTCCCTTGTTTTAAATATGCAGATAAGATTATTTACCCTGATGAGTGATGGAAAGATTAGAAGGGATGTGTATGTAATGTCTAGGACAATTTCTGCCTTCTAGCTATTTAGTAGAGAATGGCTTTTACCACTATAAGTGAGTTTGCTAAAGTCTTTGGAGGTGAGAAAATGCCAAATTAACTTCACTCCTCTACCCGACTAAGCTCAGCACTCTCCTAGGAATATGTCCTTTGTATAGGAGCCTTGGTTTGGTTAAGGAACAAGACCTAGTGTTTCAATATTATTGTACTAAAATATAGAATTACATTAGAGTAGCTTAAATTGAGAGAGTTCTTTCTCTTAAATGACATTCAGCCTTTGACACAGGACATGTGATCTAAGGAAGATTCCTATAAGCCAAATATAAGTCAAAGAGAATGTGTAGTTTAAATTGCAATAGACAATGCCAAATTTCCAAGCAAAATTTATACCCTTACCATATTGGATGGCTGAGTTTTTCCACATGTCTACCAGCACTTGTATAACCAACATTTTGTCAGTCTGTTTCGTTAAAAGTGCTGTCTCATTGTTATTTAATACATATTTTAAAGTTGTGAATGCATTAAAATGTTTAAATATTTATTATATGTTATAAAGATATCTTTTATTTTTCTTATTTTCTATACAATTTCTTCTGAAATTCTTTCCCCCCTTTTTTTCCTAAATGGGATTTGTTTCTTTTCTTATAATGTCAAGGAGTATGTTTGATTATACATATAACTGGAATTAATCCTGTGTAAGGTATGTGTGCTAAAAACTGCAATTTTCCCTGTTTATCATTGGTCTTTTGACATTATGTTTGTTACCTTTTAAAACGAATGTAGTCATCTTCACTTTCTCATTTTGTTATGGCTCTGAGTTCTCACACATTTTCTTCTGTTTTCAGCCTTTCATATATCATCGTTTATAACATTTTATTTTGGAAGTATGGTAAATTGACTTTAATTATTCTCCATTTTTATTCCTCAGTTTGTTAATTCGTCCATTTTCTTTCATTGATTTAAGGTACAAATTTCATTTTATGCTATATCTTTCTTTGAATCTATTTCTGTACTTTCTGTTTTACTGAATGTATTCCGGAAATATTAACAAACTCTTTTAACTGAAATATTTTATACTTGACAGGATGTATCCTTGCTCCTGGTTATTCTTACTTATTCCAGTTTTTATATTTAATATACATTCAGTTTTAATAGTTAAAGATCAAATTTATTGATTAACTTAGTTTTAATTGCTACTTTAAAAATATGAATTCCATCTAGCTTCAAATTAAGTATGTTATGCCATCTATTCAAATATTCTTCATTTGCCTTAAGAGTCTTAAAATCATCTTCATATAAATTCTAGAAGTTTTTTGTGAATTATTTATGTCTTTGTAACCAGCCAACATATTGAATTCCCCTCTTAGATCTAATTGCTTATTAGTTGCATTTCTAGAGTATTTAAATAAATGATCATAGTAATTTTCAAATATAGATGATTTTGCCTTTTTTGTCTTCATTTATTACTTTGAAAATTAAGTCAGTAAATATGTATTGAATTAGAGACAAATCATGACCCTAATGGAACTTAAATTCTAGCAGAGCTTGCTTTTTTTTTTTTTTCTTGTGTAATTGCATTGGAGCACACTCCTGGAAGCTCTTCAAAGCTCTTCACTGTTAATGGTGATAAAATGTTTACTTGTCATGTTCCGTATTTAACAGGAATGCTCCCATTACATAATGACAAGCATGTTGCCAACTTTTATTTTAGAATATATATATCTTGGTTTGACATATATACTTACCATGTTAAAATAGCAACTGTTACTTTTTTAAAAAAGAGTTTTCATCAAGAACTGATATCAAATTTAATAAAATAACTTTCTACATCTATGGAGATAATTGCTTTTTTCCTCTTTAAAACACTTTTAATTGGTGTCATAGCTTAATAGACATCTTAAAATTGAATAGTTGGTAGTCTCTTGAAAAGAAAGTACAATCTGTGCTTACAGATATTATACATATATATAGTTTAACCAGCCATCTGTTGTTTAAATCCTTTGTGTCTTAAATTGACTGAATTAGCTGAGTTTGGTTAATCTTGCTAGCAATTTGTAGAAGAAACTCAAATAATCCACAGTACAAAGCTCTGCATATTCTAGGTCCTTATTATTTATTTATTTATTTATTTATTTATTTATTTATTTATTTATTTATTTTTGAGATGGAGTCTTGCTCTGTTGCCCAGGCTGGAGTGCAGTGGTGCAATGTCGGCTTACTGCAACCTCCACCTCCCGCATTCAAGTGATTCTCCTGGCTCAGCCTCTCAAGTAGCTGGGATTACAGGTGTGTGCCACCACACCCAGCTACCTTTTGTATTTTTTTTTTTTTTAGTAGAGATGGGGTTTCACCATGTTGGTCAGGCTGGTCTCAAACTCCTGACCTCATGATCTGCCCGCCTTGGCATCTCAAAGTGCTGGGATTACAGGCGTGAGCCACCACACCTGGCCTGGTCCTTATCTTGAAATACAATGTTATCTGGCACCTAATTCATTCCTACCCCCAATAGCAATGTAAATATGACTTCTCCTCACATTTTTATGTATATCTATTTTCAAGTTTTCTTTTTTTAAAGCAAAGTTGGTTTGTTGTTGTTGTTAAAAATTGGGATTCTCAGTCTACCACTCACTCGTGACCTGGTTTGTTAAATGTCATGTGTTTATTTTTCACTGCATAGCTAATTGGGATATTCAGGCTAAGAATAATACAGAAACTTTTGATTGAAAGATGTAAGGTTTGCACTATTGGATTACTTCCTGTTCCTCTAATGGGTTGGTTTCTTAGCAACCTAATTTTGGATTTCCTTTGTGATTTCCTTAACATTTTTCTTTTTCCTGGGGCTTTATCTCACTACCCCACCAAAAACTGAACTAAAACAAAACAAAACCCCAACGATGATTCTGAAATATATTTAAGTCTATGTATGATATCATCTGTCTCAAGTGTGTATTTATATAAGCATATTTCACTGTATAGTATTATATTTATTTTGTTTTTAACTCAGATGTATTTTATCATATTTCTTTTGTTTTTAACTCAAATTTATTTAGCTATCAGAAGTTTGTAAATGTCAGTTCTGCAAATAGTGTCCAAAATAATATAACCTTATCTTTGTATTAATTGTCTAATGAATTAGGTAGTGCAATCTATATTCTTAACACAACTCGGCACAAAGAATCAATTTCAGGGCTTTACACAGTTCCATAACAGTGTTTACTTCAGGTCTATCAGCATTTCTTTCTAAAACAAATTAATTTCCTGTATCTTTATTATGAGGATAAAACAAATTCATTCTTCTCAGAATCTCCTTTTCAATGTGTTAAGCCTTAGCATAGTAATGTTTCTCATTCTCTGAACTGCACACTGTGAGGGACTTTAGAGATCATTTGAATTCTTCTGTTTTGGGTATGGGATTTGTAATGTTTTGATAGTAAAACTTTGATTGGATTGTCTGGAAGATGTCTACATAGGTCCTCTATTCTCTCACTAAGTATCTTGGGGGAAGAATCAGGAAATAAGACAGGAGTTACTCTTATCTAGGATAACAATGTAACTAGCAATTGCGTTGTAATCTACCATCTCTTGACCTCGGTTTTGTTATTTGTATAACAAGGCAGTTGAATGATAATTTTTTTTTCCTCTGGGGGCCATGACCACAGATTGGAGCCTTAGACTGCTTGGAATTGGTTGGTCCAGATTTGAATAACACTCACTGTTCACGCAGTTATGGTCCATGCTAGACCTCCTATAGGCTCCAGGGCTGCTAGAGGATTCCTAAAAGTCTTCAACATTTTAATAATCTTCACTTTTTACCAAGCATACCACTCAATTTGCTTTTCAACAAATGCCTATATTGATATAAGGTTAAAAACAGTTTCATCATTCAATTTGTACTTTTTAAAATGTCAAGCATTTGAAAAGACCTGCTTTTCAGAATGACAGCTTTTGAAGAATGGCATTTTGTAATCATTTACAAAACGTGTGTGTGTATGCCTGTGTGTGTGGCAATTTCTGCAATGCCAAAGAAGGTTATCATTCATCAAATACATCATGTTCAACTTGTCTTTGTCAACCTAAAAGGAAGAAGCTGAGCCAAAATTAAAACAAAATATATGAGAGTTCATGTGGGCCAAGCATGAGGGGTGCAATCTGGGAGCATACATTCAAGTTGCTCTGAATATATAGTCTCATTAGCAGCAATTGTAAATGAATTTTTAAAGAGAAAGAAGAGGCAATTCCCTAAGTTATTTACTAAAAATTTCCATTAAAATGACATAAACTGTTGATTGGTTATACATTGTTTGTTTCACAAATTCCAGGAATGTGAAGATAATGGGTCAGGCCACTAGTCAGTAACAAATGACTCTAAACAATTGCTACCAGTCGTGAGTGGGTGGAGTGAGGGCATGACTAAAATCCCATACTTCTGTCATAGCATATGAAGTTTGATTTCACAGGATTTCCTCAGCTCTGAAATAGAGGTCACTAACTCTGTGATCAACTTTTATTTTCATATAACTTTAAAACTCTTTTTTTGCTGGGCTGAGATGATTAATGACACAAAAGTGGATTTTGAAGAAATAGCTACTTCTGTGTGTAAGTTTATGAGCATTTTATAATAATGGAAGGGGATCACTTCATAGCAAAATGGAGACTTGGTCCCACATTTACCTTCCTTGTCTTCCAATGCTATCTGAAATGACCCAACAAATAGAGCACAACAAATAAGCAAGAAGCTTTTTGGTATTTCTGGGAGGTATTGTGCAGTTGTGATAGGATGGACAGAGTTTGGAGCAGCAGCAATTTCACACCTGCAGAAGTAAAGCCCATCTGGGAAGCAGTGATAAGATGATAAGCAGAGCTACAGACCTGGGCAAACTCAAGTCAAGAGAGAAAGAGAACAAATCTGGGCTGTCAAAAGATATCATCATATTTTCCTATGCTATTCACCAATCCTTTCTTGACTTAATGATGGCCAAGGAAAAAGTAACTTCTTTTTTTTGTTGTTTTTTTCTCTTGAGATAGAGTCTCGCTCTGTTGCCAAGGCTGGAGTGCAATGGCTTGGCCTTGGCTCATTGCAACCTCTGCCTCTCAGGTTCAAGCAATTCTCCTGCCTCAGCCCCTGAGTAGCTGGGACTGCAGGCGCATGCCACCACACCCGGCTAATTTTTGTATTTTTAGTAGAGACAGGGTTTCACCATGTTGGCCAGGCTAGTCTTGACCTCCTGACCTCGTGATCCACCTGCCTTGGCATCCCAATGTGCTGGGATTACAGACATGAACCACCATGCCTGCCTGGCAAAAATAACTTCTAATGATGTCATGGGTGCATCACTAACTCTTTGATGCCAGAAAAACTGAATACAAGTGAAAGAGGTACAGAGAGCAAGAAAGTTACAGCCAATGTGTGGCTTACAGTTAGGACAGAGAAGGGGGCAGGTTCAGATCCACTTGATGTGGGTAGATTTTAACCCAACTTGTACTAGCAATAGCTGAGGAGCTGTTAGCTTTAGTAAACACATCCAGCTTCACTAACATGGGAGCCTGCTAGATAAAGCAAAAATATTCACATAGCTATTACAGAGAGAGGAAAGGCTGACCAGTTGGGGGAAAGACATGGCTGTTCACTTGGTGTTTGGTGAGAACAAGGAATGAAGTTGTTTCCTAAGAAATTATTTTGGCAATGGCTTCCTGCCTCTCACAAGCCACTAAATTTCTTAATATGCAAAATATAGCTATGAAGAAAAAAACACGTGAGAAAATGTCTAACATGGACAAAACAGAACTGCAATTTCCAATACTGTACAGCCAAATAATACTTCCTATAAGTTGCGAACAAAAATGAAAATACATGGCCAGATATAGGAAAATAGCTCTAAAGAAAAGAAAAAGTGGAAGAATCAGAGCATAGAATAAAAAGATATACTCTAATGAATTTTTAAAAGACAGTTTAATTCTTAGATTGACCATATTTAAAATAATATTGAACCATTTAACAAGTATAAATTCGGATCAGGACAAAATTAAATTTAAAAAGAGTATAGGTAAGTAATAAAAATGTTTCTGAATTGAAGAAAGAATAAAATTTTAAGATCTAAAAGGCATATCACATTCTAGCAACATTTGTGCACAATCAATACATAAACAAATGTTTAACAATTGAATTTTTAAAACAATGAAAAAGTTATTTAGGAAAAAGGAAGTCAAATGCAATTTGTAGTGGGATTGCGACTGGGGGAGCAGCCTGTGCAAATTTGGGCCGGCCTCAAATCCAATGTTAGGTGTAGCTGAGTGAGGCTCACCATATCCTAAGACACTGGTTTGATAACTAGTTGAACACTGAACCACCTGAGGAGTTATTGAGAAAACAAACACAAACAAAAATCAATTAGTGTGTGTTCCTCAGTTCCACAGATTCTGATTTAATTGTTCTGGGGTATAACCTGGGCTTTTAAAAGCTCCCTTGTTGATTCTAACATGTAGCTCAGTTTGAGAAACAGTTTCAAGGCGAACCATGTGAAAAGCATATTATAGATAGTTAAGTTGTAATTCACATATAAAATTGTCAGGTAATTTTCTTCAAATCGAAACAGCTCAAAACCACAGCAACAAGGTAAATTATGATACACACACACCCACACACATGCACACATACACATGCACAAATTAGAGTGGATGTCCACTCATCAAGTGTTGAGAGAAAAACACTTGGTAGACATGGCTGAGAATCACTGCAATACAATGTATAACAAGTAAGAAATCAATTCTGCAATATGTTGTTTAATATATCACAAATTATTATCTTTACAATATAAATTTGAACAATAATATAAAAACAACAACAAAAATTCTCAAAGTGGACAGGAGAAAGGAAAAAAAAGGTAATTGAGCTGGTTTTCATATCTTCCTTACCCAAAAGTTAATAGATAATATTTACACTGAATAAAAGAAAGAAACAGAGGTTTAGGTATATTATATAAACTAATAAGAGGAACCTACAGAAAACAGTAATAACAATAACAAAAAACTGAAAGTAAGACAATAACCACATAAGACCAATAAATTAAAAAAGGGAAAAGAGAGATTGATGTGGCTGTGCTAGTTTTCTCAGCTCTCCTAATGAAGACTATGTATCCTGTCTACTAAATCAGAGACTAGATGGTTAAAAACATTCCCATTAAAACAGCAACCATTACAAGTTCTAAAAGGAATCTTATGTTACAAATTAGCAGGAATAAAAATGTTTATTCAAACAAAAGCATACCACAAAACAACTGGAGAAAAAATTATATAGTAAAATGGCAGAGAGCAATGTAAACATAAAAGTGTTTTTAAAAGAAGAAATAAAGGCAGAATTAATTCAAAATATAAATATTATATTAATATAAATGGAAAATTTGTACTCATTAAAATAACAAAATTCTAATAGATGAAAATTTTAAACTAACCCCATATATTGAATAAATATATCTTAGAAATTTCAAGATTAAAAGAATAATTTTAATTTTTAAAAATTAATTTTAAAAAATGCTTGACATATTAAACAAGATAGTTGGTATATGATAAACAGTCAATTAAGTTTGTTTGGGGCATAAAATATCAAATAAAATAAAAATCGAGGCCAGGTGCAGTGGCTAATACCTATAATTCCGAGCACTTTGGGAGGCCAAGGCAGGTGGATCACCTGAGGTCAGAAGTTGGAGACCAGCCTGGTCAACATGGTGAAACCCCCTTCTCTACTAAAAATACAAAAATTTGCTGGGCATGGTGGCCTGCACCTGTAATCCCAGCTGCTCAGGAGGCGGAGACAGGAGAATTACTTGAACCTGGGAGCTGGAGGTTGCAGTGAGCTGAGATTATACCACAGCACTCCAGCCTGAGCAACAAGAGTGAAACTCTGTCTCAAAAACAAACAAACAAACAAAAAAACCAAACACACCAAAGAAGAAACAAAATAAAAATAGATAATGTAAAATGATAAAGGATAAAGGTAATATATACAACTTGGACCCATCTATCATCATCACAGTATGTATTGATTTAAATAAATAACTCAGATATCTCAGATATTGCAAGGATAAATTGACGGAAATACAATGGAAGCATCCACTCATAGCATATTATATGTATCATGAAAATAAGAAGTAGATTGTCTGAATACAATGACTAATAAGGTTGATTCGTGGATATATTTGAAAATGTTACACTTTAATAAAAGCTTTCTTTTTAGCTACTCACAAGGAATTTAAAAACTTATTCCTATAGAAAGCCTTAAAACAAACCTTAGTAATCCAGCCTAATGAAATGCAGTAAGAAAATAAATTGGCAACCCAAAAAGGACCAGCTATAAAACCATAAATATCTGTGAAGGTAAAAATGAAAACAAAAAATAAGTATGTTAACCTTAAATAATAAGATTCAGAAAATATGATTAAGTTTAGAGTTTATTGAAGGGCAAAGCTTGAGGGTGATCACCTGTGAAGCACCAACCTCAAATTGGGTCAGTGTTCCAAAATAAAGAAGTTAAGGTTTCACTTATATAGGCAGAGACAGATAAATTTTAGCAGGATTACAACATTTCCCACACAAGACCAGTGCATGTTACAGGAATTCTATTGGTTACACGTTGCTACATTCCAAGAAAGATAACTGTATTACTCTGTGAGGACAGTAGTGATCAGAAGGGGTATCATCTCTGGTACCATTTGGTCTTCCTAATTATTTGCAGCAACAAAAGGCAGAAGTTGCAGCTGCATGCCACCTGACTCAGGCCACATAGCCACATTTCTCACAAGGCTTCGAATAATTTAAAGTTTCAACAGCTTTACATCTGAAATATTTAATTTCAGAAGTGTATATCTTTTGCCAAAGATAAAAACAGAAACCACAGAAAGATATAATCATAACATGTTTGCTGTGTATATTGTCAGAAATGTGAATATTACAATCTTTTGACATATATGTATGTATGTATTTTTTATAAACAAGTTTTTAATATTAGCCTAGAAAAGAAAGCTGATCTTGGTTCCTGAGACTGAGATTTATAGCAACCAGTGATATTTAGGCAAAGCACTTCCAGTATCCCTTCCAGGGCTTCACTAAGTCTTTTCCGCACTTCTCAAAACTCCAAGTTTCACTGATTTTCAAATTCCTCCCCTTTGGACACTAGTTTTCTGCTGTTTTTCACACTCTGCTTTAATGTCACAGTGGTTTGCCTCACTTTTTTTCAAGTTCTGTTTCACCTTTTAAAGCACCAAGCTAAGAGTTTCTCTTCACTGCATACTTAAAAAATGGATAGTTTAGAATAATAGACAATTTCCATAAGTACCATTTAACCATATAGCACTTATAGTTACACAGTGTCTTATGGTTAAAAATAGGCATTATTAATAAATATTCCCTGGTCACATAAATTTACAAATTGAGCACGTCTTCCTGAGAAACCTGACAGAATCTGCAAATTGCATATAATTCCCGAGGACTACTTTATGTTGGGATAATATATGTGGTATTTTATTTTTATTTAACAGGTATACAATTAATGTTTTCACATATTAAAAATACTAACCATTGAAAGGGAAATAAAATTTTACTAAAGTCTTTCCTTTAACCCCATTCATTAGATAACAAAATACCGAAAATATGTCTGTATTTAGTTTTTCTTTGTTTAACATTTTAAGATTATGTTTAACATTTAAGATTAAGAAATGTTTAACATTTTAAGATTATATTATATATATATATAAGATGTATATATATATCTTCATTCCTGATTATTGTTTTCTAGACAAGCTTTACAATCTCCCTGCTTTAGAAAACATTCATATGTTACTACCCACCTTCCCATTTTCTCCCTTCTAACTTCTAATCCCAATATTGTTGGATATATTACTATTATTTTCAGAGATTGACACTTCTAGCATTAAATTCTAAATTTAATATTTATTTCTTGATTTATCAAGCTTTGAAAATACCTACTAATTTTGTGCTATAAAAGAGAATGGAATAAGGACTTTATTTCTTTCATCTCTCTTCCCCCTTCCTATTACTATAAATATTGTATTTTACATTTACAAGGTTTATAGAATATACATTCTATTTCATTAAATAGCATTGAATTATTTGTGGTTTGTCGGTACTTTGATTTTCAAAAAAGAAAGCAATAATAGTATTCATAATATTATGATTATGTACATGTACATCACATTCATACAATAATGAAATTGTGTAGTTGAAACCATGTAAAAGAAAATGCAGCCTCACATCTTACAAAATTTCGAATTGTATATGTATTTCAGTGTGTTAGAGTGTATGAATTGTATATGTATTTCAGCGTGTTAGAGTGTATGAATTGTATATGTATTTCAGCGTGTTAGAGTGTATGAATTGTATATGTATTTCAGCGTGTTAGAGTGTATGAATTGTATATGTATTTCAGCGTGTTAGAGTGTATGAATTGTATATGTATTTCAGTGTGTTAGAGTGTATGAATTGTATATGTATTTCAGTGTGTTAGAGTGTATGAACTGTATATGTATTTCAGTGTGTTAGATTACACTTTATTTTTTGCTAGCATTCCCATTCTGCATTATGCTCAATTGTCATTGTTTATTTTAGCTCATGTTACCCCTGAGTTAAATTACTTTTAATTTCATTGAAATTACATCCTGATGAATATGTTTTTAAAATGTACTTGGCCAGGCATGGTGGCTCAAGCTTATAATCCTAACACTTTGGGAGGCCCATGTGGGCAGATCATGAGGTCAGGAGATCGAGACCATCCTGGCTAACACGGTAAAACCCATCTCTACTAAAAATACAGAAATTAGCCAGGCGTGGTGGCATGGGCCTGTAATTCCAGCTACTTGAGAGGCTGAGGCAGGAGAATTGCTTGAACCTGGGAAGTGGAGGTTGCAGTGAGCCAAGATCACACCACTGCACTCCAGCCTGGGCAACAGAGCGAGACTCCTGCTCAAAACAAACCAAAACAAAAAAATGTACTTAGAGAATAATGAATGTTGTAACCTTTTTCATAAATAAAACATCTTTATTTTGCCCTCATATTGGATTGGGGATGAAACTCTAGGTTTAAAGGTGATTTTTTTTCCCCCTCAGAATTGAGGACTTTTAAAATTATTTTCTGTATTCAATGTTGTTAAGACAGTGTATGGCTGTTTCTATAACGTTTTCTGTGTAAATAACTTTCTGTTCTTATTTAAAAGCTTTTAGAATTTTCTTTTTATCTTTGAGGAAATGGAAATTCAATATGTGTACATATGGATAATACTTCATTAGTCCTGCTTTCCATTCAACATGCCACCTCAATTAAATAACTGTTTCTTCATTTCCAAACACTTATTTTCTATTTTTTTATTATTTCTTCTCCTCATTTATTTTTGCTCCTCTCCATTTAGAATTTCCATTAGATGGATGATGGATTACTTAGATATTTCCCTTCGTACCTCTAAATTTCTGTTGCAAGTGATCTAGTTAGAAAATGTCAGATAAAACCCATATAGTTACAAAACCATTTTATTTTCCATTGGAATACAGTAAAGCATAATTTCCCAGCACCCGTTTCATGTAGTTAAGATCCATATGGCCAGTTCTGGCCAAAAGTAAGCTAACTGGGGCATGTGTGTCCCTTTCAGTACAAGTTGGTGTAAGTAGGTAGTGGTCTATCTCATTTGTCTTTTCCTTTCATATTTGAAGGCTGACAGATGCCAGTGCACCTTGGAAGCCAAAAGATGTTGAATGAAAGATGAAAAACGATTTGATTTCTGATTCAGTGCTTAAAGAAGAGCTTTCCAGAAGTGCTCACTGACTTTTAGCAAGGGATGAATTTTAGGCAAAGTGGTTTTATATAGCAGCTAGTTTAAATTACCTTAGCAAGTACTTCTTGCCTCAGTAATCTGGATTCTGGGAATATGACTGAATTTATATTCCAGATAAATAATTCAGATGTCCACTCTAAAAATGTATTTATGCAACCCATGTGTTAATTATCTTAAATGATTTTGGCAACTATAATACTAGTTTTAAAAATGTTTTCCTTATTTTCTATTTGCTATTTTTCATTTCACTATTCCTACTTTTTATGTCTGCAATATCTCCTAGCATCTATCAAGTTAAGATTTTGTTCCTTGAATTATTTTATTGTTTTATTTAGCATTTATGATTCTGTTTATTCATCCTGGTCCCTCTCTCTTATTTATGTTCTTCTCTATGATTTCAATTTTTAAGTATAAAAATACCCCATTCCTGAGACATATTGAAATACAGATTAACTTAGATTAGATTAAAATGATTGAGGAAAAATACCCAATTGTTTGGCATGAACTCTTCTCTGTCAGATTTCCCTTACTCTTTACATTTGTTAACATCAACTTTTTTCTTTTTTTTTACATTTGATCATTCGATATTTGTTGAATATTTTTGTCTTTGTATTTGTTGATTCAGCTCTGAACATTTGTGGACTCAGCTCGTAAATATTATGTCTGGGCTGAAATTCAATGTGATTTTCCTTTAAAGTTAATCTTGTCGACTATTTACCTTTTAACTATTTGAAAACTTGAATTGCACTCCTTTCTGTTTATAATTGTTTTTGTTTCATACTTAAAATAACTTTTTGCCATTACAGTGCAATTTGAGGAAAACAAGAAGGCAGATGTTTTGCCATTGAGCCAGAATTAAGGTAAGAAATGTGAGGCAGCATTTTGCATGATTAGAGTTGGACCCTATATTTATTTTAAAATATGATATTTTGTACAATATGAATTTTGCATTATTTTTGATAATTTAAAATATTGCAATAAGGAATTGTATTAAGATATTAATCAGCTTGATTAATAAGATTTTACTACTTTCTTAAATTCTATGCATGATATACATATCTCATTTGCTTGAGCCTGGTTCTGGTCCTGATGTGCTATCATGAATCATACAGTAAGAGAATATTCAATAAAAAACAAAAGACAGCAGAATGTATATTTCAGTGAGTGGGAGGTAGATTGTAGAGATTCTGTTTTGCAATTGTTAACAAAAACCCTATATTTGCTACCAGAATGTGTGGCCTAGAGAACAGAGATTACCTTTGCATTTCTGCAAATAAAATTCCCATAAGTAAGAATAAGCAAGTTGGTCAGAATTTACTATTATAGCTACAATGTGAAAGATAGATTAAAATATTAAAGGGTTTAAACTCAATGACATTGCATGTGAAGATAAGCTTAATATTCTCAAGTCGATCTAATATTCCTCAATGTTTATTAAGAGCACACACATGTTTAATTAGTGCCTCAAAGATTCAGAGAACTAGAATGTCCAAGGGCCTCAGAAAATCCTCAAGTTTAAGTTAGAATTATGTAGAAGCGGAGACAAGTTATTCAGGGCACCTGGATACGAGTTTATGCACAATTTATCCAACTGTCTTTAAAACTTTTCACTTAATGAGGCATATTATAGGGAAAAAAATGACCAGGAAATGTATGATATATTTGGAGAAGGTAGCAATCCAATTTATAAATTCCCATCTTCCAACCATCTGGAGGTGCCAGATTGGCAGAGTTTCTCGTCAGCATTCTGTATATTATGCATGCTTCACAAAGCAAGAAAGGGAATCACTCAGCATTCTCAAATTCTCAAAGGATTCCTTTAAAAGGTTGATAACCAGTCTGCAATATATTTTTTAAAATAGCTATTTGTTATTATGCTTTCTTTAAGAGAAGAACTGGGATTCACATTAAAAATTGCATTCCCTATAGATAATACCAAAGATTCAAGGATGAGGGATAACCCATTGGGTGTGAGGGTGAATTTTCTTTATCTCTACTAACTCTTTGTCACCTGGGGCTGAGGTTAATTATAGTGATAATATGACAGTCTAGCAAAATCCACAGATTTGGGAAATGCACATAAATTGGTAAGTTTACTATTTCTGGGTTAAAGCATGAGCAACACAATGAAACCTGTACTTGAGGCAGAGTGGGGAAGAAATGAAATAATGATCAATTTTAAGCATCTATTTTACTTTTCTAATAGTTTTCTTGAAATATACATGGGAAGATTTCTTTTCCATTAATTATGTATGCCTTTGATGGATCTAGATTCTCCTTAACCCAATGGAAGCTACAATCTTCTGTGAAATTATTCTTCTATTTACATTATAGATCAAAATATGTCTGAAACAAAAACTTATAATAGAAGTCATAAAAACATTGGATGATGGATTCTACTTATTCCCAATTAAATAAAAAATGGGAATGCAACATATGAATTAAAGAGTATTTTTTTAGAGTGAAATACCACCTTAGGACTTTCTAAGCCAAGAAGGAACAAGATACAGCTAAATATTTGCTGATAACAATATTCAACTCTGAGATTTTCCATAGAAGCCCAATTCTGGATTTTTAACAATGGCAAAAAACAAACTATTTATTAGTCTAATGGGAGTGAATCTGAAATGAAAAGTAAGAAGCTCAAAGCCGAAGATGTAATAATTCTTTTTTTTTTAGGTTTTTATTTTATTTTATTTCATTTTATTTTATTATTATTACACTTTAAGTTTTAGGGTACATGTGCACAATGTGCAGGTTAGTTACATATGTATACATGTGCCATGCTGGTGTGCTGCACCCATTAACTCATCATTTAGCATTAGGTATATCTCCTAATGCTATCCCTCCCCTCTCTCCCCACCCCACAACAGTCCCCAGAGTGTGATGTTCCCCTTCCTGTGTCCATGTGTTCTCATTGTTCAATTCCCACCTATGAGTGAGAACATGCACTGTTTTGTTTTTTGTCCTTGCGATAGTTTACTGAGAATGATGATTTCCACTTTCATCCATGTCCATACAGAGGACATGAACTCATCATTTTTTATGGCTGCATAGTATTCCATGGTGTATATGTGCCACATTTTCTTAATCCAGTCTATCATTGTTGGACATTTGGGTTGGTTCCAAGTCTTTGCTATTGTGAATAGTGCCACAATAAACATATGTGTGCATGTGTCTTTATAGCAGCATGATTTATAGTCCTTTGGGTATATACCCAGTAATGGGATGGCTGGGTCAAATGGTATTTCTAGTTGTAGATCCCTGAGGAATCGCCACACTGACTTCCACAATGGTTGAACTAGTTTACAGACCCACCAACAGTGTAAAAGTGTTCCTATCTCTCCACATCCTCTCCAGCACCTGTTGTTTCCTGACTTTTTAATGATTGCCATTCTAACTGGTGTGAGATGGTGATGTAATAATTCTTAAGAAAGTCAGATCCATTAAGAATTCCCATGTCATGGAAAATAAACTCTCCTAATACTTTTAGGATTTATCAGGACAATTAAGCTGAATGAAAGGACTATGACTTTAAATGTCGAAAGAAGAAAATGAAGCTTGAGATCTGCTTTAGAAAGGAAAAAATAACAAAAAATAATAAGGCTCTGATTCTGAGTAACAAGCTGTGTATAACTTCAAAATACTAAACTGATAACCAAGAAAACCAAGAGCAGTAGAAAGATGGTTTCTGCCTTTAACATTCAAAGTTAGTTCTGTTTTGTTTTAGTGTTGAAAGACTCAATTTACGTTGAATAGAAATTTCAATTGAGAACTGTTTTTGAATATTCTGTATATATTAAAGAAATGACTCAGGCTGGTTTTAATATTTCCAAAGCTTGAAGCAGAAGACTTACTCTGAATCCTGCAAGTAAAGCTGGGAAACCTGTCTTTACAGGTGCTCTGCTGTATGATCCCAGAAGAGATGGAGGAGTGGATTATTAGGGAAATGAGCTAAATTAAAGCTTGGCATCATTGCTAAATTCACCCAAGTCCAAGTAATATTTAGGTTGAAAGCCAAATGAAAGCATGGGTTAATTGAAGCAACAGAGAAATTTAACATGAACTAAATTAATCTAAAGCAGGATGTAAAGTATAGATTTATGTATATTTTGTCAGAAGCATACAGATATTGTTATTCTTTTTTAAATGCTCTCATAATACCTGGTCGAGGAAATGCAGTTACCTATACAAAGGAAGGTATATGAAATTTTATGTCAAAACAGGAGAGTGCCTTCCCTTCTCCACTCTCCAAAGCATAGTATCTAGTCCGTCACTCTTCTTTTTTGTAAACATTTCATGCCTAATGACTTTCACTTCCCTTCATTGGAGTCATGATATTTTCAGGACACATCCCCCTGGAGCTAAGAATCATATATTTCTCCTAACATGATTGTGCATGGAATCAGGAGTCAGAGATTGCATGATTGATGTTAGAGTACCTCTCCTTTTATGGAAGACCGTCTTTCAGAAAGTTTGTATCAGCTTGCTCTGTGTGTGTGTGTGTGTGTGTGTGTGTGTGTGTGTGTGTGTGTGATTTATGCTTCTCTGGTTCCCCTGTGATAATAAGACCCAGGAGAACAAATGTATATACTATTTATCTTTTTTATCACCAGCATCACCAACCAAAGTACTTTTCATATGATGGCCATTTATAAATGTTTATTGGACTAAAAAAATGATGAGTACTTACTAACTAATAAGATAAAAGAAGAAAAGAAAGGTTTTAAGAATCTAATTATTTAACAAATCAAATGGATATACAATAAGTATAGGAGAGGAAAGAGTCCACATTTATCATTAAAAATTTAAGTTTATATTTTGGGTGATAAAGTCTGCTGAGCTAGACAGTCTAATCGAAGTCTGTAATATTTCCATTCTTCATTATATTTAAGTAGAAAGGGATACTTGACAAAATAAAGCCAAATAACTTCACTACTCAGATATAGAAGCATGGGAAGGGAAGAAGAAAACTTACAAGAAAAATCAGGCTAAAGGAGAATAAGTTGCAAGTGTTTCTATACCTCATGAAAGGAGAGATAGCAGTTGTCTTCAGCAGTTAATAACATGAGGAGATATTTTTATTCATGTGTTTATTGAAGAAGTTTTCTGTGTTGAATGCCTATAATGTGACATGCTAATTTTCAGGGATTTTCCTTGCAGAGCTCACAGTCAGGTCAAGGCATGAAAATAATAAACAGCTAGTCTAGTGTCATGTGACAAGTACCATAAAGGTGGATACAGTGAAGTAAACCCGGAGCAGAACAGCTGACTTGTTGGAGAGAGAGTCTTAAGTGAGATGTGAAGAGAGTATATCTTACCAGATGAAGAGGGCAGGGGCCAAGGATAATAGCAAGAGTAGAGATAGTGTCTTGTGGTACACATTGTTTAATTAATTCATTGCTTGATTGTGGTCCTATGATCACATTTTCCAAAATAATTTGTTTCCATAGACTGGCGGTAATATCTAGGGTCTCTGAGGAAGGAGTCTGATGTGAAGCAACCTTATAAACTGCTTGGTTTTGGTTTATCAGCAATTTGCTATAATGCAGATTGTTTCCTATCCCTCTGAGCCTTTGCACATGGGCTTTATTCTCTATTTTGTAAATGTACGATAATATTGAAGGCAAGTGCGTTTTCATAACAACCACTTTAGAATACCGTGGTTAAGAGTACAGGCTTTGAATACAGAGAGACTTCAGACAGATTTCTGCCACCAATATGCAGAATTTGGTAGTGATCTAGAGTTAAATTTCCTAATCAGAAAAGATGCACAATATATGATTTATAGAGCTGTTGTGAAGGTTAATTATTATGTGAACATTGTTATTAGGTTTATTCAAATCATAAGAATGTTTCTACTTGATAGAAAATATTAAACCATAGCATAACTGGCAAATATTTTCTAAAGATACTGGACATAAAATGTTAGACAAGGAAAATTACTGCAAAAGTGTCTATTTTCAAAAAAAATTAACACCTTTAGCTTGGTGATAAATTATTACCAACTAGAAGGCCAAGTTAACTGTTATGCAGTTAGGGTGATATTCTTCTTCACTCAAGGATTTAAAACCCTTAATTATAACCCTTCCGGATAACAGAAAGATGCTCATCTTACAAAACTGATTTGGGACTTCTTTGACAGGGTACATGATGATATATTTAAGTTGTGAATAATGAAAGCAGATATCATTACATTACCCTTATGGGTAAATTAGGGAGTCAAAAATAAGTTTAAGAAGGATGTGGAGGAACTGGGAAAAACAAAATCCAAATAGTAAGCAAAGTAGAAGTGGAGAAGTTGGGAGCAATATGGCCAAGATAGGAAGCCTCTAGGAATGAGAGTCTACTGAATTCAAGACTATGCTATGTAGAGCCTCAATAAGGGAAGGAGAGGTGAAATAAATCAGGAGTGTGAAATTAAGAGATGATGACAAGCAGGACAATTTTACTTGGCTACATATTAGAAACAACCAACAGTGGGGTGGGGCTCCTAGAATGGAGGCATGAGGAACTCGGCAGGCCCTTGCCCTAGTATAACAGTGATTTAATTGGTGGAAATCATAAAAAAAAATCATTTAAAATTTCTGAACATTGTCCTAGAAGTACACAGTAAACAGAGAAACAATTACCCAAGAAAATTGACTAAATGTCAGTAAGAACTCTAGAAATCTGTAGTATTTGGGCCACAACACACTCCATTCCCCTGACTCCCATCTTTCTCCTGCTCTTCTGTGGGCTCCCTCAAAGTACATTGAAACCTTACATATTTTTTCTCTCTCCATTTCTTGTTTTCCTTCAATGCCTAATGCAGTGTTAAGCCCTTGTTATACATAACTAAATTTGTTGAACAAAAAATAAGTATAAGAATGACTACTTGGTTGGGAAGCCGCCTGACATTTCCATGGGTTACTTTAACACAGGCCTTAAGTTTTTTGATAAGCACATGGAACAGTAACCTCAAATAATATTGCTCAAAAGTGAAGAAAATAGAATTCCCAATGCCATTTTTTACTTAACTTCTGCTTCACTGACAGTTATTTAATAGAAAAATATGTAAATTGGGCTTCACAGATATTGAAAACTTTTGTGTATCAAAGTACACTATTAAGAAAGTATGAAGTCACATAAGTTTATAGCACACAATTGACAATTGCAAAGATGTGGAACCAACCTAAGTGCCCATTGACTAATGAGTGGATGAAGAAAATGTGATATATATACACCACGGAATACTACTCAGCCATTAAAATGAACAAAATAATGTATTTTTCATCAACTTGGATGGAGCTGGAGGCCATTATTCTAGGCAAAGTAACACAGGAATGGAAAACCAAAAACTGTATGTCCTCACTTACAAGTCAGAGCTAAGCTATGAGTAAGCAAAGGCATACAGAGTGATATAATGGACTTTAGAAACTCAGAAACGGGAGGGTGGTGGGGGGCTAGGGATAAAAAACTACACATTACGTACAATGTACACTACTCGGTACACTAAAGCCTCAGAATGCATCACTGTATAATTCATCCATGTAAGAAAAAACAATTTGTATCCCAAAAGCTGTTGAAATAATTTTTTAAAAAAAGAATATGTGAAAAGACTACCTACAGAAGGGGAGAAAATATTTGAAAATCGTATATGTGACAAGGGGTTAGTATCAAAAACACAGAAGGAACTCCTGCAAGTCAACAACAAATCTACAGCCTGATTTTAAAATGGTGAAATAACTTAAATAGACATTTTTCCAGAGTATATGCAAATGAACAATAAGCACAGAAGAAAATACTTAGCATTACCAATTGTCAGAGAAATGCAAATCAAAACCACGATATACTTTTTCAAATCTATAAGGATAATCTAAAAAAATAATAATAGCAAGAAATGTTGGCAAGGATATGGAGAAATTGGAACCTTCACAAATTGCTGGTGGAAAAGTCAAACGATGCAACCACCATGGAAGTTAGTGTGGCACTTCCTCAAAAAACTAAACATGCAATTGCCATATGAACCAGCAATTCCATTCCTGGGTATATAACCAAAGACATAGAAAGCAGGGATTTCAACAGATATTTAGACATCAATATTCATTGCAGCATTATTACAGTAGCTAAAGGTGGAAACAACTCAAATGACCATTAGCAGATGAATGGATAAACAAAATGTACAATATGAATATAACGGAATATGACTCTGCCTTAAAAAGATAAGAAACTCTGATATATGCTGCAACATGGAAGGACCTTGAAAACATTCTGCTACAAAAAATAAGCCAGACACAAAAGAAAAACATTATATGATTCCACTTATATGAAATAGTTAATAGGTAAATTGATACAGACAGAAAGTAGATTAGAGGCTACCAGGGTAACCTGAGGGGAGAGAGAATGCAGAATTTTTTCATAATGGTTACAGAGTTTCTACATGATGTGATGAAAAGTTTTAGAAATAGAAATGGCCAGGAGTGCTGGTTCACACCTGTAATCCCAGCACTTTGACAGGCCAAGGTGGGCAGATCACTTGAGATCAGGAGTTCAAGATCAGCCTGACCAACATGGCGAAACCCCATCTCTACTAAAAATACAAAAATTAGCCAACTGCAGTGGTGCGTGCCTGTAGTCTCAACTACTGGGAGGTTGAGGCATGAGAATCGCTTGAACCTGGGAGGCAGAGGTTGCAGTGAGCCGAGATTGTGCCACTGTACTCCAGACTGAGCACAGGGTGAGCCTCTGTCTCAAAAAAAAAAAAAAAAAAAAAAAAAAAGTTAGAAGTGATGATTGCACAACATTGTGAATATAATTAATACCTTTGAATTGCACACTTAAAAATGGTTAGAATTGCAAGTTTTGTTACATATATTTTAGCACCATGTAAAATTATAGTGATGTAATATGCCAAAAAGCATTTCATTCTACACTGTAAATGTATGAATTATATGATAGGTGTATTACATTTCAATAATTTTTTTTTCAAAAAGTGATTTAAAAGCAGCCATGGGACAATACACAAAGAATTTATCATTGTGAAAGCCCTTTCACAAGGATGAAAAAACATTAGTTCATGGGATTTTAAGAATAGAGTCATTCTATGATCTTTGAAAAAAATGAATCCTATTTAAGGCTGTCTTCTTCATGATAACCATTTCTAGTTACCGGGATCATTTAATTTAGATGAATGTGGCCTGGTTGCAGACATACATTGCTCAATTTTTCACTATATTTCCTCCTGTGTTTTTTCCCTTTTTGTCCTTGGATTATGCATTACTTGGTAGTTCTTTGCACACAGGATTGAGGAATTGAGAAAAGACATAAATGGCCAGATTCAGACTTCTGCTTCATATAGTTCAGACTGAGAATCCTGTCTTGTGCTCAGTAATGACAAGATGTCCTCCTTGGACTGGGCTGTGTCCCAGTGAAAATGATGTAAAAGTCTAGTCCCAGTTAGTCTTGTTTTGAGCAGGTTCTATAAAACAAACAGGCTATTAATCAATTCTGAAGTTATTAAAACCAGTAATTGTGCTAAGAGGCACAAGTGTGCTTACTGGTCATGACACTTTTTCTCATTAATATTTACCACTGGAAGCAGAAGTGTTAGAGGAATGAAGGCATTAGGAGTGAAAGTATTATTTCACGTCAGAGATTGCACAAATTACCAAATTTCTAAGTGGCAGAAATCTCTTTTGCCTGTAATACCTCATGGCCTGATTGTCATTTTGAATAAATATACGCAGATCAAGTTTCCAGAGACTATTTTTATAACACAAATTATAAATTTGTATCCCCCCCCAGCAATACAAATTAAACAGTCCCTCTAACAATGTCCTACAAAGGAAATTATTTTTAAAGTCCAAAAGGTTAGCATTATTGACAAAATAGAACCAAAAACTTCTGTTGTATTTTTAACGTGCATCAACACCCTTCTAATCAATATGTGGTTATTACTTAAAAATATAAAATAAATGGTTGTAAATACTTTTTGGCTGGGCATGGTGGCTCACGCCTATAATCCAAGCAATTTTGGAGGCTGAGGCAGGCAGATCACTTGAGGTCAGGAGTTCAAGACCAGCCTGGCCAACATGGTGAAACCCATCTCTACTGAAAATACAAAAATTAGCTGGGTGTGGTGGCACATGTCTGTAATCCCAGCTAGTCAGCAGGCTGAGGCAGGAGAATCGCTCAAACCCAGGAAGTGGAGGTTGCAGTGAGCTGAGACTGTGCCACTGCACTCTAGCCTTGGCAACAGAGTGAGTGAGACTCCAACTCAAAAAATAATTATTATTATTTTTTTACAATTTTGACATCAAATAACTTGCCTTGAATTATACTATCAAAAATTGTATAAATACAAAACATAAATTTTCAAATACTAATTTCATTGCATCAGAATGCATATAAATTGATTATTATTTCTACAACTTCTTTAACTAGCCCAGTGCAGAGACGTGCACATTGAGAGAAGACAACACTGTAGTTGCTTTCAGACAAGCCCACATGAAGAAACAGTTCTTCGTTGATATGGCTCACCGCAACAGTCACCAGTTCTCACAATAGGGTCAACCACAAAAAAGAAAGTGTGAACCTCTTTCTCTTGTGGGAACAGAGTGGGATGAAAGTGGCTGTGCAAACAGGATTTTAGAAAGGAGAGAACAACCAGATGTCACAAAGACTGAGACTGAAACAGGCCCACTTGCAATAACAGAAAAAGTGATGTAACTGAACGTAGCAGCACCAGCTGTGGTAGATTGCATGGGTCAGAGGCACACTGTCAGGAGAGCCTTGATCAGACCACATCTGGTGGTGCAGAACCAGCATTTAAACAGGGCAGAAAGAGAAGAAAAAGAACATGTAATTTTGTGGGAATGGTAAGGGAGACAGTGGAATTCTACTGAATATGAGATTTATATTTTAGGATAGTCTATGCTTAAAAATTTTTTTTAGACAACTGCATGGCACCTATCTTAGTATTTTGTAAAAATAAACAATTTTCTTGATATGGGTCTAGAATGATGGTTCACCACTGTGGGTGATTTTGCCCCTACCCAGGGAATATTCAGCAATGTCTAGAGATATCTTTGATGGTCATAACTAGGAAGGGGTCTTATTTACTACTGGTATCTTGTATAGAGGTCAGAGGTGCTGCTAAATATTCTATTACACACAGGACAGCTCCTCACAACAATGAGTTATTTTGCTCAAAATGTCAGTAGTGCTGGGGTTGAGAAAGACTGATTTAGGGTCACGTGATCAAAGGTTCGAGATCATCTTGTCTGATTAAACAGATGAGGAAATAGAATCAAAGAGGGTGGGTGACTGATGCAAGGACTCACAGCTTGGCAAAGTGGTAATTAAATATGATATTCCTAGACAGTTCCAAGATGACAAGAGTCACAGAATAACTAATTTTGATGGCAATGAAGATGCCAGGATCAAAAGAACCTGAGCATAAGAACTTTTTGGTAATGGGGAAAGTGGGAAAAAAAGGGAACTCTGCCTTAGTTATCTAAATTCCTAGGATAGTGCAGAAATCGAATACAAACGGGACTACTCCAAGCTGCAAAGCATGGCCCTGTCATCATTTATTATTATCAGCAATACCTGCCCAGTGAGATCAGGCCTCAGGGGAATGCCAGTAAGCGACTCCCAGAAATGTGAGAAAAGAAGTATAGGGCTCAAGACCAACTAATGTATGTTCAAAGCCATTCTAAAGACAAATTTCCTCAAATACCACATTCTTGCTTATGGGTTATTCTTTGAAAAAGAACAATTAAGCTATAGTCTCATTTTAGTAAAATGCCAATTTCTTATTGAGTCTGAAGTAAACAGAATCTTGCTGTTTTCAGAAAGGAAATAATATACTCTTTTCTTCCTCCTTTGAATCAAATATCTTTGCCAGAAAAATTACTAACTGCTTCTCTGGATTAAAAAAATTATCATATTATGTTGACTCACTTCTATCTTCTTTCAAGTTAAATATGAACAGACACCTGCCTTTGCAGAATTTACAGTGCATTTGTAGTAGTTTAGTTTTCAGAATCTCCCTTGGTCTTGTCTCATTTCCCCTGATACTACTGTGACTGAAGTTATCTCTCCCTTCAGTTAGTTTAAATTCTATTAAATCTGATCTTTTTCAATTAGTTCCACTTGTACACTCACAGAAGCATTCCTCAAGGAAACTGTGAAATAGGAAGTTTATGGTGGGTAAGAAGAAAAAAAATCAAGTGGTAAAAAAATTGGCATTTTGGAAAAAACAATATATTTTGTGATTATTTTTCTCCCATGATAGTTTGAATTAAAAAGATAATAATTCAGGATGAGTTTCTATCTAATGTGGGAGGAAAAGTATGTCATCAAAAAGTATATGTTTGTCTTTGGAGACCACCTCAATGATAAAATAAAGATAAAAAATCTAGGTTGTTTTATCGTCACTTGAAACATTCCAAATAAGATAATTTTGATCATTTTTGGTGCCCAGATCTTTTTTAATTTCATTCTCAATGTTCTCACTTATTTATTTTTGTATCAACTGAAATTATTCTCCATCTTTGCGTTTACCTCTTTGAAATATATGTTTACAGTCCTGACCCTCCATTAGGCATTGCCTAACAGAATGATGAAGTACATGTTCTCATTTAATCTTGCCCTGTAGATCAGGCCCTTCAGGCTTTGAATTATTTTCTTAATCTTCTGAGCACTCAGTTGAAAAAGCTTCATTTCTGTAGTAGTTCACCCCAGGTGCTTTGGAAAATACAAACATCAGGCATAGTGCCTAATCTAGAGGGACTTACATTATCCATAATACTTTAAATATATATGATACCATACAATTAAGATTTCCTTATTTACTTATCTGATACTATCATCAACCCAGTAAGACAAGTAGACCGAGAATTTTATCAATACCAAAGCACACAGCTACTAAGCTACTAAAACCATGTATTTTGACTCAAAGTTTAGCCAATCCTTTCTTCTTAAGTATAGGATCTTTAAATCTATCTCCTCCCCATACACACTTTTTTTTTTTTTGTAATTGCCTTCCAGTTGGTAGATGCGTTCAACATAGTAGTAAAGGAATATTTCCTTTTTGGCACATTTCCAAGTGCAAGGCTTAGATATTTTTTCATAATACTGCTCCATGTCTCAATAGGGTTAGCACATCCATGAACATATGTGCATCCAAGACTAGAAATTGTCTTCCTCAGGTAGAAACAAATTGCCATATATGTTAATATATGAATTCTACCTTACCTCATAGTCTTCTAATATTTCTATTTTCACTTTTCTGTTTCTTATATCAGCTTGTGTAACCTGAGACAACTCCTCTAAGGATTTTATTATGACAGTCTTTGAGTCTCTTTCTGTCTCTCTTTTTTTTCTCTCTCTTACTACACACACACACACACACACACACACACACACACACACATATATATATATATATATATATTTTTTTTTTTTTTTTTGAGATGGAGACTTGCTCTGTCGCCCAGGCTGGAGTGCAGTGGCACGATCTTGGCTCACTGCAACCTCTGCCTCCCGGGTTCAAGTGATTCTCCTGCCTCAGCCTCCCAAGTAGCTGGGACTACAGGCTCCTGACACCATGCCCGGCTAATTTTTGTATTTTTAGTAGAGACGGGGTTTCATCATGTTGTCTAGGAAGGTCTTGAACTCTTGACCTAGTGATCTGCCTGCCTCAGCCTCCCAAAGTGCTGGGATTACAGGCGTGAGCCACCATGCCTGGCTTTGAGTCTATATTTTTAAAATATGGCTCTGAAATGTAAACATAGGATAGTTAAAAATTAGTATTCTTATGATCAACAATATAGATTCAATGACTTTATGCTAGGATTAGGTTACTGGAGTCCTAAACTATCATGATAAGAAATGGATAAATCCTAAGCCTCTTGATGTTTCCTACTTTGTCTGTAACTAGTTTTACCTTTAACTAGTCGGGCAAAACTTTCCTTCAACCTTAGAGAGCACTTTAATCCTAAATACATTTACCTTGACCACACTTATTTCAACTGTTTATTCATCTATATACCCATTGATTAGATATTGTGATTCCTTTTTATGGGATTGAAGTCTGTGTTAGGTGCTAGGTGTATGGAAATTAATAAAACACAAGAAGATGAGGACAAAAAAAACCTTGAGGCCACATTGAATATTAGGTCAGGATTGGAAAGGATCTCTCTTTATAGCAGCCCGAAGTGACCAATCCTCAGAAAGTAGAGCCAAAGAAGGTGTGTCTAGGTAGTTCGCTTTAGGAAGAAACTCAGGGGAACAGGAGTGGAAAAAGGACAACAATGGAAAATGAAAAAAGAAAACAAATACAAGGGTACATTGTCAAGCTTGCCACTGCTCTGGCAACAGGGGCAAAATTCTACTTGATTCTTTGATGCAGTCAAGTCTAACTTAATTCAGAATTTTCTGCTCAAGGAATGGTTCTAGGTCCCACGCCACGATGATCAGAGTTGCCACATGAAGTATTAAATCCCTCATCCTCCCATATTTGTGTATGAGTGATTGCCAGGGTGTTCTTTCAGATCTCTGGTTGTGGTCTTCAAGAACTCCTATAGAAGAAATGTATACACTGAACAGCTGAGCAATGTGGTTAGGTTACTCCTGAACCCAGCTGCCTGCTGGGCAATGAATAGGGTACAGGAGGATTGAGAGAATGTGAGGCGTAACACAGGAGGTAAAGGATATTGTGTCAAATAATAGGGAAGCTCAAAGTAGAGAAACTTAGCTGGATCAGCTTAGTGGGGACCTTATGGAGGAAACTCAAGTATTAAATGGGCAGTTGAACTATATGGCTTACATGATCCCTTAAACACTTGAGTTTATAAATACCAATACATATCACTATCTAATCCTAAATTCCAAACTCATACTGTTTCATAATGCCAGGTTGTTTCTTTTTCACTGTTACAGATAGCTCCTGCCTCTTCAGTGTCTGCTTTCATCCTGTGACTTTTCCATGACAAGCATTCTCAATTAAGCCCTTTAGAAGCATTTTGCAGATCAGCATTATAGAAGGTGCCCAGATCTAAGACAGTTTTTTACTGTTAATTGAAATTTGACCATGAATAAAATATGTAACCTCCCTGAGCCCTGGGTTCCATATATGAAAATGCACACTTATATTGCAATGTTTTAAATGGTTAAAACAGCCTAACATGCAGTAGACACTCTAAATAGCAGTTTTATTATCTCTTTACCTGAGGTTGTCAATTCCAAGGACAAGATTTGGCAGCATTCCTGCAACACAAAAATGTTATCACTAGGAGTCACTGGCATGTCATAGATCTGGGTTTCCTCCAAGGTAAGCAGTGAGTTGTGGAACTGAAGGGGATGTGTAGATTCCATAGTTGTCTCTACCACCCTCTTACTACCTTATCTCTTCTCTGCCATCATTAAGATGAAAATATGATTGGGCCAAAGCCTAATCTTTATCATTTACTAATGATCTTCATTAATATGCTGTTATTTCTGCCTTTTCTGATCGTTTTCATTTAAAAAATATGTTGGTGGTAGCAAGGCAATCTGGACCAACCGTGTAATTGACATTTTGAGTCATTGGGTAAAATATTTTACCAGTGTGCTGTGCTAGGCTCTAAGTCTGTGTTGAGGCCATGCT
The DNA here is from genome assembly GCF_000001405.40 of Homo sapiens. NCBI lineage: Eukaryota > Metazoa > Chordata > Mammalia > Primates > Hominidae > Homo > Homo sapiens. Next base: position 35,291,696 of record NC_000003.12, on the reverse strand, counting down.
AAAATATCTGGCCAAAACAGTAAACTAGGTGAACAATGTAGATAAATGACATCATGGGGACAACATTTCCAGATAATCTACTGAATCACTGAGTGACATGATTGACGTTTTGGTTTTCTATAGACACGGAGTCTTGTTTTGTATCTTCACTGTTGCAATAACAGAGGAGAAATCCATTTCTTTTTTGGAAGACTGTTATTACTTCAGTGGAAAAAAAATCAATCATTCACAGTCAGAAAACCTGGAGTCTTCACCTACAAAATTCTAACCACAGTCCAATCACTACAACTCTCTAAGACTCAGTTTTCTCGTTTGTTTTAACAAGATAGGAATAATACATTTTTTTACTACATTGCTAGCTCCTAGCATTGGTGTAAGGATCAAGTGGAGTAAAGTAATAAAAAGTATTGTGTAAACAGGCAAATTTCTTTAACAAGTCATTTTGTTTTCTCGTACATAATTGTTTTGTCTTTATTCTTTATTGGACTTTTGAGGATTTGGATGGTGTCCTATTTATCTTTGAAATCCAGTTGCCTAAGTATAATGGTTGTCACATAGAATATACTTATTTTCAATTAAAAACATGCTTCTAAGTGAATGAGTTTGCTTTCTTAATTTTATATACATTTTAAGTTTTCAATGACCCACAGGAGCATGGCAAGTGCCCTGAGTTGTACTTCTTTCACACCCATGGAAAAAAGAGCCCATTAAGGATAAATGCATCATCTATGATCATAATTGAAAGTGGTACAGCAACTACTGCAGCCTGGATTCTCCACCTGTGCCTACTTTTTATGCGTAACATTTAACTTTTCTTATTCACAAAAATGGCATAGTTGGATATCTTTATTGCATACTTTTTGAAAGAATTTTTGATGTTAATTAAGAATTTCTCTCAGATCACAATACATACCATCAGAACTGCATATTTTTATTATGCCCTAAATATTTCCTCCTCACCCCTAGACACCGATAGGAATATGTGCTTTTTCCCGGTACTTCAAATGCAATATGCTGTGTTAAAATTAAACTAAAAATAAATTTTGGCTTTTTTGTGCTGATTTTGTCTCTTAGATCCAACCTGTTTATGTCTCTTCCTTTTATCATACACTTGGCAGCCATGACTGTTCTGGTACCTTAAGCTTGCCCACAAAAGCAAATCTCTTTTCTACTGCTACAGGGAGCCTGCTCCTTTGCCTGGTCAGTTCTCATCATGTGGCCTAGAAACCTCACTATTGTATTTTGTTTCTTTTTAATCATCACCAATTTTACCAAATGAATGTTGTTAGTAGGCCAAATGTGGCCACTCATGCCTGTAATGCCAGCACTTTGGGAGGCCAAGGTGGGTAGATCACCTGAGGAGTTCGACACTAGTCTGGCCAACATGATGAAACCCCATCTCTACTAAAAATACAAAAAATTAGCTGAGCAGGTGGTGGGCACCTGTAATCCTAGCTACTCGGGAGGCTGCAATTGAAACTGGGAGGTGGAGGTTGCAGTGAGCTGAGACCGTGATATTGCACTCCAGCCTGGGCGATGAGTGAAACTCCATCTCATAAAAAAAAAAAAAAAAAAAAAAAAAAAAAGAAAGAAAGAAAGAAAGAAAGTTGTTAGTATAGTTTTACTATTTGCTGATATCTTTACTCCAATCTGTGATTTCTTGAAACGTAGGTACCATTTTGTTTTGTTTTTGTTTATATTTCATTTTCCTCTCTTTGTCATACCATCTTCCTGAGAACAGTTTTGCAATAGGAGATATTTGATTCATCAAACTGCTAATGTCTCTTAAACAGGTCATTTTTTCTTCCGTCTTGCTCTCATTTTGGCATTCGTTTTGCAACTGTCAGTCTTCTCAGTGGTCTCTTTATCTAGGATACTCTCTTCTTCAACCTTGTTGGCAAGTGACTGTCAGTTTAACATTTTCTGAGCCATGCCTAAGACCTTGGAGGAGCAATTTCAAATTTCTCAGAATGATAGACTTCATCACTCTTGGAGAATAATACTTTAATGTAACTCCTTCCCTTTCCTCACTCCAATAATTCAGTTAGTTTCATTAAAAAAGAGTTAACTATACTCCTGAGCCTGCCACAGATACCTAAGCAAAAAAACTCTCCTAGGTCCTTCTATAGAAATAGGCTTCCAGGTAGTACATACTGCAGCTCTATCAATACCATCACTGAGAATAGGATTACATTTATTAAATGAGCTTGATACTCTGTAGGTCATCTCTACTCCCTAACATCAGAGCTGCCATTTATGTGGTTTTAGGAGTGGATGCTGCTCATTGAGATAAACAGCAGCAAAATGTGATGAGAATATATATATATATATTTTGTTTGTTTGTTTGTTTGTTTGTTTTTGTTTTTGTTTTTACAGTTCAGTTTGTGGTCATTTGGGGATCAGCACAAATGCTCCACCAACATTAATTCCTGCCTAATGCGACAAACATTAGTTCACTGGAGTTATAAATACGAGATTTACTTTATATTTACTCCATGATTTCTTCTTAGGGTCTACCTTTAGATATACAGTTTCCAAGAAAAACAGACCATTGCTTATTTGTAGAATGTGGGGAATGCCATTTCAGCTCTCTACAGTTTACCAGCAGTGCACAACCACAAACATTTATTGAGTACCTACTATGTGTAAGTGACAGGGTTAGATACTTTAACACGCAGTATTTTATTATTCCAAACCATATATTCGTTTCCGTATAAAACTGGATCAAAATTATGTTCTCTAATCTACTTTATATTTTTTTAAACAAAGCATTTCTTTGTCTCCTCTGTCTCTTTCTGTTTGTATAGTGTATATTAAATGTTGTAATGTTTATTAAGTCTGGCAAATAAGCCAGAGCTAATAATTACTGAAAATCTGCAAGCTGAATGCTTAAGAACACTTAGAGCTTGCAGGCCCTTGAGGATTACAAATTGGCTTTCAGGTACGTGGGCACAGCACTATAGCAACAGATCAAAGCACCTGTTTTGGGCAAGAACTGGGTGATACATTGTCAAGAGTATGGTAGGCTTGTATTTGGAAGGTACGGATTTAAGATTCAGCATTAATGTTTATCAGAACAGTGAACTCAAACAAGTTCTTAATCTTAATGAGTCTCAGTTTCCACTCTTTAAGATGGGTGCAGTATTGTGCCAAGGAAATATAATGTATTCGAAAGTATGTGGTGACATGGATTGCTTATCTCTTCTTGAGTTTCTACAGGGACCATAAATCCATGTCTCCCTGTGTCTCTGTCCCTTATCCCCAGAAGTAGGTAAATGGAGCAGGTTTATTCAATTAAGCTGTCCCCATTTTTTCCACCCTCAGTGATGTGTCCAGGGAGAGAAACTCACTGGGGCATTTATTCTAGAACTACCTGTCAAAATGTTCTATTTCTGCACTGTCTAATATAGCAGCTACTAGCCACATGTGTCCATTAGGCAATTATGTGACCAGTGCAACCAGATGTGGTCACTCATCTGTAATCCCAGCACTTTGGGAGGCCAAGGCGGGAGGATCACCTGAGGTCAGGAGTTCGAGACCAGCCTGGCCAACATGGTGAAACCCTGTCTCTACTAAAAATACAAAAATTAGCTGGGGGTGGTGGCAGGCGCCTGTAATCCCAGCTTCCCAGCTACTCGGGAGGCTGAGGCAGGAGAATCGCTTGAACCTGGGAGCTGGAGGTTGCAGTGAGCCAAGATCATGCCACTGAACTCCAGCCTCAGTGACAGAGCGAGATAAAAAAAAAAAAAAAAAAGGGAAAAAAAAGTGACCAGTGCAACTGTGAAATTGAATCTTAAATTTAAATTTAAATAGCCACTTTGTACTAGCAAGTACCGTATTAGACAATGCAAGTCTAAATTTTCCATGAACTATTTTGCATACTTTGTTACTTGTTCTTTGTTGGATTCCTAGAAATATTTTTTAAAGCTTGCTTTCTCTATCTCTTGTTTGGATAGCACTTAAAATACTGTTATTTGAGGATTTTAAAGAATTGAACTGTGAAAACATCTTTGGTACTATTTTTTAACCTTCTTGATACATTGTGTAATCATTGATAAAAATATTAATATTTTATTTTCACTTCAAATCCTTTATTATTTCTGAGTAAATATTTTGTCATTGATATTTCCTGAGAAATCATCTATTTTACATAGATTCTTAAATTTATCTGTATAACTTTGAAGAGTACTTCCTGATACTTCTATATTATTGTGTTTGTGATAATTGCTGCATTCTCAATTATTTTATCAACTGTGTTTCATTGTTACTTTATCTAGAGACCTATTTTATTGCTTTGTTTTAAGAATCAATTGTGTTTTAAAATATTTTTCCTGTAATTATCTTTACAAAGAAATCTTTTGTTTTTACATTTATGAATTTCTTCCTCTTGATTTTTTAAAATTTATTTTGCATTTTAAACAGATTAATTTTACCATTTTAGAAACTTTATATCTTTTTCAGTAACATAAATGTTTGAGATAAATAATTGTCCTTTTAGATTGACTTTAGATATACTCCGTGAGTTTGGATATATATCATATGTTTTAAAAGGTAAATTGTAAAATTTCAACTTTTCTTTCACTGAAGTTTTTCAAAATAGTTTTTTAAATTATGTAATATTGGTTTAGTTAATTTGTTACTACCTTTTACTATTAATTTTCAAAAAGATTATATCATGCAAAAATTTTGGAATATATTGTATTTTTGTGGCTTACTAGATATTTTTGAATCATTTTAGGTATGCTTTAAAAGACTGTATGTTTATCCATAGACTTATTAATCAAAGCCTCTGTTGTCTTGCCTATTTCAATATTTTTCTCAAAAAGCATTCGTTGAAGGAATTATTGCACTTTTAGTTCTCCTTTAATTTCATTCAGTTTTGGATCTCTCTCTCTTACATATTTCTGTTTTTTATTTTTATAGAAAAATTATATTGAGTATATAGAAAATGTATATTGCTTTCCCAGTTCCTGAGGTGCATCCTAGAATTTTATTTGAAATCTTTCTCTTTTTTTTGATGTAGGCATTTATTATTAAAATTTACTCATAGTACTGATTTATCTGTATCCCATAGGTTTGGGTATGTTTAGGCTTTTGTTTCAAGAAATTTAAAAAATTTCTTTCTTAATTTCTTTCTTGACCCACTGGCCATTCAGGAGCATGTTGTTTAATATCAGTGTATTTGTACAGTTTCTAAAGTTTTTCTTATTATTGATTTTATATTTTATCCATTGGAGTCTAAAAATGTACCTGACACTATTTTAAATTTTAAAAATTTGTTGAGATTTGGCTTGACATGGTGGCTCATGCCTGTAATCCCAGAACTTTGGGAGGCTGTGGTAGGTGGATCGCTTGAGGCCAGGAGATTGAGACCAGCTTGGCCAACATGGTGAAATCCCGACTCTACTAAAAATACAAAACTTAGCCAGGCACGGTGGTGCATGCCAGTAGTCTCAGTTACTCAGGAGACTGAAGCATAAAAATCACTTGAACCTGGGAGATGGAGGCTGCAGTGAGCTGAGATCACACCACTGCACTTTAGCCTGGGTGATAGAGTGAGACTCTGTCTCAAAAAAAAAAAAAAAAAAAGCTGTTGAGATTTTTTTGTCTCCTAACATATGGTCTCTTTAGAGAATGTTCCCTGCACTGAATATACAAGAAGAATGTGTATTGTGTATCTGTTGAATAAAATGTTCTGTAAATATCCATTAGGTTCATGTGGTCTAATGTGCAATTTATTTGAATTTCTGTTTTTCTTTTTTTTGAGGCAGAGTCTTACTCTGTGACCCAGTCTGGAGTGCAGTGGCACAATCTCAGTTCATTGCAACCTCCACCTCCTAGGCCCAAGTGATGCTCCCTTCTCAGCCTCTCAAGTAGCTGGAACTACAGGCACATGCCACCAGACGTGGCCAATTTTTGCTTTTTTTTTTTTTTTGGTAGAGAAGGGTTTTTGCCATCTTGCCCAGCATGGTCGTGAACTCCTGGGCTCAAGTGATCCACCTGCCTTGGTTTCCCAAAGTGCTGGGTTTACAGATGGGAACCACTGCGCCTGTCCCTAATGTGCAATTTAAACTCAACATTTCTTTGTTAATTTTCTGTCTAAATTATCTGTTTAATGCTAAGCACTGGATGCTGAAGTCCTCCACTATTATTGTGTTGGGGTCTATCTCTAATAATGTTTGTATTATATGTCTAGGTCCTCTGGTATTGGGTGCATATATGTTTATAATTGTTATATCTTCTTGCTGAATTAATTTCTTTTATCATTATATAATGAACTTTGTCTCTTTTTACTGTTATGTCTTAAAGCCTGTATTATCTGATATAACTATAGCTACTTCTGTTCTCTTTTGGTTTCCATTTGCATGAGTATGTTTTTCTATATTTCACTTTATATGTATTTATAGGCAGGATAAATTTCTTGTGGGCAGCATATAGTTGGCTCATTTTTTAAATACATTTGGCCATTCTATATCAAGTGGAAAGTTTAATCCACTTACATTTAAGTTCATTATTAATAAGTGAGGGCTTATTTATGTTGTTTTATTAATTGATTTCTTGTTGTTTTGTATATTCTTTGTTCTTTCCTTTGTTTAATATTGTTTATCATTGTGATTTGGTGGTTTTCTGCAGTGGTAGTATTTAAGTCTTTTCTGTTTGTATGTTTGTTCTACAAGTAGGTTTTATATTTTCATGTGTTTTCATGACGGTAGATATCATTCTTTTGCTTCTGGGTATAGGACTCCCTTAAGCACTTCTTGTAGGACCATTCTACTTAGTGCTGATGACTTCCATCAGCTTTTGCTTGTTTCAGGAAGACTTTATTTTCCTTTCATTTATGAAGATTGACTTTGTTGGGTATAGTATCTTGTGCTACCAGGTTTTTGCTTTCAGCACTTTGAATATATCATCATATTCTCCCTTGGCCTGTAAGGTTGCTGCTGAGAAATCTACTGTTATTCTGATGGTGGTTCCTTTATAAGGGACTAGACTTTTTTATCCTGTTGTTTTTAGAATTATCTCTTTGTTTTCTGGCAGTTTGAATGTAATATGCATTAAAGATGACCTTTTTGAACTGTGTCTATTTTGGGATCTCTGAGCTTCCTCAATCTTGGTAGTCAAATCTCTTGCTACACTTGGGAAGTTTTCATTTATTATTTAATTAAATAGGTTTGCTTAGACTTTCGTTTTCTCCTTGTCCTCTGGAGCACTGAAACTCAAATATTTGATTGCTTTATGATGTCCTATATATCACATAAGCTTTGCTCATGCTTTCTTATTTCTTCAATTCTTATTTTAAGTTCAGCGGTACATATGCCAGATATCAAGGTTTGTTACATATGTAAACATGTGCCATAGTGGTTTGCTGCAAATATCATTCCATCACCTAGGTTTTAAGCCCAGCTTCCATTAGCTATTCTTCCTGATGCTCTCTCTCCCCTCACACCCCCCGATAGGCCTCACTGTGTGTTGTTCCCTGCCATGTGTCTATGTGTTTTCATCAATCAGCCCCCACTTTTAAGTGAGAACATGTGGTGTTTGATTTTCTGTTCCTGAATTAGTTTGCTGAAGATAATGACTTCCAACTCCATCCATGTCCCTGAAAATAACATAATCTCATTTCTTTTTGTGTCTGCATAGTATTCCATGGTATATATGTACCACATTTTCTTTATCCAATCTATCATTGATAGGCATTTAGGTGGTTTCCATGTGTTTGCCATTGTGAATAATGCTGCAATGAACATATGTGTGCATGTAACTTTATAATGGAGTAATTTATATTCCTTTGGGTATAAACCCATTAATGGGATTGCCGGGTCAAATGGTATTGTAGCCTATAGGTCTTTGAGGAATCACCACACTATCTCACAATGGCTGAACTAATTTACACTCCCACCAGCAGTGTAAAAGTGGTCATTTTTCTCCACAACCTCACCAGCACCTGTTGTTTTTTGACTTTTTACTAATAGCCATTCTGACTGGTGTGAGATGGTATACCATTGTGGTTTTGATTTGCATTTCTCTAATGATTAGTGATGTTGAGCTTTTTTCATGTTTGTTGGCTGCATGTATGTCTTCTTTTGAGAATTGTTTATTCATGTCCTTTGCCCAATTTTTAGTGGGGTTGTTTGTATTTTTTTTTGTAAATTTGTTTAAGTTCCTTGTAGTCTCTGGATATTAGACCTTTGTCAGATGGATAGATTGCAAAAATTTTCTTCCATTCTGTAGGCTGTCTGTTCACTTTGATGATAGTTTCCTTTGCTGTGCAGAAGCTCTTTAGTTTAATTAGATCGTATTTGTCAATTTTTGCTTTTGTTGCAATTACTTTTGGCATTTTCATCATAAAATCTTTGCCTGTGCCTATGTCCGGAATGGTATTGCCTAGATTTTTTTTTCTAGGGTTTTTATTATTTTGGGTTTTACATTTAAGTCTCTAATTCATCTTGAGTTAACTTTTGTATAAGGTGTAAGGAAGGGGTCCAGTTTCAATTTTCTGCATATGGCTAGCCAGTTCTCCCAGCACCATTTATTAAATAGAATCTTTTCCCCATTGCTTGTTTTTGTCAAGTTTGTCGAAGATAAGATAGTTTTAGGTGGGTGGTCTTATTTCTGAGTTCTCTATTTGGTTCCATCGGTCTCTGTGTCTCTTCTTGTACCAGTACCATGCTGTTTTGGTTACTTTAGCATTGTATTATAGTTTGAAGTCGGGTAGCATGATGCTTCCAGCTTTGTTCTTTTTGTTTAGGATTGTCTTGGCTATTTGGGCTCTTTTATGTTTTCGTATTAATTTTAAAATAGTTGTTTTCTAATTCTGTGAAGAATGTAAATGGTCGTTTAACGGGAATGGCATTAAATCTATACTTAACTTTAGGCAGTATGGCCATTTTCACCATATTGATTCTTCCTATACATGAGCATGGAATGTTTTTCCATTTGTTTGTGTCCTATCTGACTTCTTTGAGCAGTGGCTCACAGTCCTTTTTGAGGAGGTTATTCACTTCCCTTGTTAGCTGTATTTCTACATATTTTATTCTTTTTGTAGCAATTGTGAATGAGAATTCTATCATGATTTGGCTTTCTGCTTGTCTGTTTTGGTGAATAGAAATGCTAGCAATTTTTGCACATTGACTTTTTAACCTGATTTTCCTGAAGTTGCTTATTAGCTTAAGAAGCCTTCGGGCTGAGACGATGAGGTTTTTCAGATATAGGATCATGCCATCTGCAAACAAGATAATTTGACTTCTTCTCTTCCTATTTGAATTCACTTTATTTATTTCTCTTGCCTGATTGCCCTGGCCAAAACTTCCAATGCTATGTTGAATAGGAATGGTGAGAGAGGACATCCTTGTCTTGTGCCAGTTTCCAAGGGGAATGCTTCCAGCTTTTACCTGTTCAGTATGATATTGGCTGTGTGTTTGCCATATATGGCTCTTATAATTATTATTTTATTATTATTTTTTTGAGATGGAATCTCACTCTGTTGCCCAAACTGGAGGGCGGTGGTGTGATCTCAGATCACTGCAACCTCTGCCTCCCAGGTTCAAGTGATTCTCCTGCCTCAGCCTCCTGAGTAATTGGGATCATAGGCATGCTCCACCATGCCTGACTAATTTTTGTATTTTTAGTAGAGATGGGGTTTTACCATGCTGGCCAGACTGGTCTCAAACTCCTGACCTCAGGTGATCCACCCTCCTTGGCCTCCCAAAGTGCTGGGATTACAGGCATGAGCTGCTGTACCTGGCCAATGGCTCTTATTATTTTTAGGTATGTTCCTTCAATAGCTACTTATTGAGAAGTTTTAAAATGGAGCGATGTTGAATTTCATCAAAGGCATTTTCTGCATCTATTGAGAAAATCATGTGGTTTTTGTCTTTAGCTCTGTTTATGTAGCGAATCACATTTACTGATTTGTGTTTGTTGAACCAACCTTACATCCCAAGGATAAAGCCAACTTGACTGAGGTGGATACACTTTTTGATGTGCTGCAGGATTCAGTTTGCGTGTATTTTGTTGAGGATTTTTGCTTCGATATTCTTCAAGGATATTGGCCTGAAGTTTTCTTTTTTTGTTGTATCTCTGCCAGGTTTTGTTATCAAGGTGATGCTGGCCTCATAGAATGAGTTAGGGAAGAGTCCCTTCTTTCAATTTTTTGGAATAGTTTCAGTAGAAATGGCACCAGCTCTTCTTTGTAGCTCTAGTAAAATTCATCTGTGAATCTGTCTGGTCCAGGCTTTGTTGTTGTTGTTGTTGTTTGGTAGGCTATTTATTACTGCCTCAATTTCAGAACTCATTATTTGTCTATTCAGGAACTCAAGTCCTTCCTGTTTCAGTCTTGTGAGGGTATATATATCCAGGAATTTATTGGTTTCTTCTAGATTTTCTCATTTATGTGCAGAAAGGTGTTTATAGTATTTTGCAGTGGTTGCTTGTGTTTCTGTGGGGTCAATGGTGATATCCTCCTTGTCGTTTCTGATTTTGTTATTTAGATTGTTACTTTGTTTTATTAGGGTAGCTAATGTTCAATTTATTTTATTAATTTTTTTTCAGAAAAACTAGCTCCTGGACTTGATCTTTTGAAGGGTTATTGTGTCTCTATCTTCTTCATATCAGCTCTGATTTTGGTTATTTCTTGTCTTCTGGAGCTTTAGGTTTTTTTGCTCTTTGTTCTCTAGTTATTTTAGTTGAGATGCTAGGTTGCTAACTTGAGATTTTTCTAGTTTGTTCATGTGGGCATTTAATGCTCTAAATTTCCCGCTTAACACTGCTTTAGCTGCATCCCAGAGATTCTGGTACGTTGTCTCTCTGTTCTCATTAGTTTTAAATAACTTCTTGATTTCTGCCTTAACTTCATGATTTACCCAAGAGTCATTCAGGAGCAGGTTGTTTAATTTCCATGTAGTTGTGATTTTGAGTGAATTTCTTTATCTTGAGTTCTAATTTGACTGCACTGTGGTCTGAGAGACTGTTTGTTGTGATTTCACTTCTTTTGCATTTGCTGAGGAATATTTTACTTCTGATTATGTGATCAATTTTAGAGTAAGTGTCATATGGTGATGAGAAGAACGTATATTCTATTGTTCTTTGGTGAAAAGTTCTGTAGATATCTATCAGGTCCACTTGATCCAGAGCTGAGTTCATGTCCTGAGTGTCTTTGTTAATTTTCTGTCTTGATTATCTGTCTAATATTCATAGTGGGGTTTTGAAATCTTCCACTCTTATCATGTGGTAGTCTACATCTCTTTGTATGTCTTTAAGAACTTGCTTTATAAATCTGAGTGCTGCTGTATTGGATGCATATATATTTAGAATAGTTAGCTCTTTTTGTTGAATTGAACCCTTTCCCATTATGTAATGTCCTTCTTTGTCTTTTTTGATCTTTGTTGGTTTGAAATCTGTTTGACAGAAAGTAGGATTGCAATGCCTGCTTTTTTCTGTTTTCCATTTGCTTGGTAAATTTTCCTCTATCCCTTTATTTTGAGTCTATGTGCATCTTTACACACGTCTCTTGAATACAGCATATGCATGGGGCTAGGCTCTTTATTCAGCTTGACTGTGTCTTTTACTTGGGGCATTTAGCCCATTTACATGTAATGTTATTATTGATATGTGTGAATTTGATCCTGTTATTATGATGGTAGCTGGTTATTTTGCAGAGTTGTTTATGTGGTTGCTTCATAGTGTCACTACTATGTGTAGTTTAGTGTGTTTCTATAGTGGCTGGTAACAGTTTTTTCTTTTTCATATTTAGTGCTTTCTTCAGGAACTCTTGCAAGCAGGCCTGGTAGTGATGAATTCCCTCAGCATCTGCTTGTCTGTAAAGGATTTCATTTCTCCTTTGTTTATAAAGCTTAATTTGGCCAGATATGAAATTCTGGGTTGGATATTCCTTTCTTTAAGAATGTTGAAAATTGGCCCCAAATCTCTTCTGGCTTTTAGGGCTTCCACTGAAAGATCCACTATTAGTCTGTTGGGCTTCTTTTTGTAGTTGGCCTGGCCTTTCTCTGCGGCTGCCGTTAACATTTTTTTCTTTCATTTTGACCTTGGAGAATCTTATAATTATGTGTCTTGGGGTTGATCTTTTCGTGGTGTATCTTACTGGAGTTCTCTGCATTTCCTGAATTTGTATGTTGCCCTGTCTTGCTATATTGGGGAAGTCCTCCTGATAATATCCTGAAGTATGTTTTCCAACTTCGTTCTCTTATCCCTGTCTCTTTCAGGTACCCCAATCAGTCATAGGTTTGGTGTCTTTACATAATGCCATATTTTTCTGAGATTTTGTTCATTCCTTTCATTCTTTTTTCTCCATTATTATCTGCTTATCTTATTTCAGAAAAATTATCTTCAAGTTCTGAGATTCTTCCCTCCACTTGGTCTATTCTGCTATTGATACTTGAGATTTCATTGTGAAGATCTTGTGTTTTCTTGTTCAGCCCCATCAGGCTGGTTATGTTCCTCTCCAAACTGGCTATTCTGGCCATTAGCTCCTATATTGTTTTATCATAATTCTTAGCTTGTTTGCATTGGGTTACAACATGGTCCTTTAGCTCAGCAAAATTCGCTATTACCCACCTTCTGAAGCGTACTCTGTCAATTCAACTTTCTCACTTTCAGCTCAGTTTTGTGCCCTTGCCAGAGAGGTTTCGTGGTCATTTCAAGAAGAAGAGCCACTCTGGCTTTCTGAGTTTTCAGCATTTTTGTATTGATTATTTCCCATCTTTATGGGCCTATCTATCTTCAATCTTTGAGGTTGCTGACTTTTGAATGGGATTTTGTGGGGTTGTTTTGTTGTTGTTGTTTTCTGTTTGTTTGTTTTTCTTTTAACAGTCAGGCCACTCTTACATAGGGCTGCTGCAGTTTGCCTAGAGCCCCCTCCAGACCCTAGTTGCCCCGGTTTTTTTCCATACCTGGAGGTATCACTAGTGAAGCCTGTGAAACAGCAAAGATGGCAGCCTGCTCTTTCCTCTGGAAGCTCTGTTCCAGGGCGGGCACTGACCTGTTGCTGGTCTAAATGCATTTATAGGATGTGGCTGGAGACCCCTGCTGGGAGGTCTAACTTAGGAGAAATGGGATCAGGGACCCGCCCAAAGAAGCAGTCTGGCTTCCCTTTGGTAGAGCAGGTGCACTCCACTGAGGTGAAACTCTTAATCGTCTGTACCATTTGTATTCTCCAAAGCCCACAGGCTGAAATGAGTGAGTCTACCAAACCACACAGATGGTGGCCACCCCTCCCCCTGGGAACTTGGTCCTGACTCAGGCCAACTCCATCTGCTGCTACTGGCTGGCTGGAAATCCAAGCCAGTGAGTCTCAACCCATGAGGTGCTCTGGAAGTGGGGCCTGCAGAACAATGCCGCTTGGCTCCCTGGACTCAGCCTCCTTCCTAGGGTCATGCACAGATGAATCTCTCATGTTGTAGTGGAGTCTGGGACCAGAGTATGCAAAACTCCTGGGTTTTTGTGTGTGCCTAACTGTTCCCTCTGCCAAGACTCCACACAGCTCCATGTATTGGACCCCAGGCCCTGGTGGTGTTGGCTCACAAGTGGATCTGCTGATATGCAGGTTGCAAAGATCTGTGAGAGAAGCATGGTTTCCAAGAGTGGGTTGCAAAATCACTCACTGCTTCCCTTGGCTCAGGGTAGGATTCTCATGGCTCCATGTTGCTTCTGGGTGGGCAATCACCCAAGTCTGCTTCTCTTTGCTTTCCCTGGGTTGAGCTGTTTTCCTAGTCAGTCCCAATGCAAGAACCTGGATATGGCAGTTGAAAGTGCCGAATTCACTCCCTCCTTTCATTCCGCTCCATGAACACTGCAGACTGCAGCTGCTTCCAATCATCTATCTTGGCCCCTCTCCTCTTTTTTCTTTATTTTTATATGAATGGATAATTTAAAAAGATCTGTCTTCACATTCTGAGATTCTTCTCTTCTTCTTTGATCTAGTCTATTACTGACACTTTTGAGTATATTTTCTACTACATTAAATGAATTCTTCAGTTCCAGGGCTTCTATTTTGTTCGTTTTTATGATTTCTATCTCTTTGACAAATTTCTCATTTGTATCCTGAATTGTTTTCCTGAGTTATTTGTACTGTTTTCAATATTCTCTCATGTGTCATTGGGCTTCTTTTATGAAAATATTTTGAATTTTTCTCTGGGATTTTGTAAATGTCTTTTTGATTGAAATCAGTCGCTGGATAATTATTTTGTTTTTTTGGACGTGTCATATTTCCTTACTTTTTCATGTTTCTTGTGTCCTTACTTTGATATCTGCACACCGAGTGTAACAGCTGTTTCTTCCAATTTTTTGAATTTGCTTTTATAGGGGATGAATTCTCCTGAAGATATATTTATGGTATTGGTTGAATAGAGCACTGCACTTTAGCTTTGATTCTGGGTTTGCTGTAGTGTAGTCTCAATATGATTTCTTTGGCTATAAACAGAGTCAGTGGTGTCTCTGACTTTCTTAGTGGCTTAGAGTGCATATTTACTGTTAGTGGCTGTGATGATGTTTTACTGGAGACTAGGATACCAGGTTGGTGGGCCATTTGGCCTCAGTGATGCAACACTGCACCAAGCATCCCTGTTGCTATTTCCCAGGATGGCATGTGCTGACACCAATATTAGTAGGCCCAGGTAGGCCGATTTTGGGCCTCTGGATACCTTGCTCAGGTGCCAAGAATGACAGCAGTGGACTGGGCAGATGGGTGGATTCTCAAGTCCTTAGGCAGTAGGTATTGTCTTGGTGGTGGCAGTAGCAGTGGTAGGACAACCTCTGTGTCCCAAGCAGTGTGTATTGGTGTTGGCAGTGGTTGTGATGGGCTAAGTGACCCAGTTCCCAGGCCCATAGATGGCACATGTAGCAGGTGTCAGCTGTGGTGGTTGCAGCAGATTGAGGTTGTAGCCTATTCTCAGTATTCTGGGAGGAGTGTTTAGGTGCTAGTGGTTATGGATTTGACTGGGTGATCCCCAGGCCCAAGATAGCATGTTTGTGTACTAGGAGGCAGACTCGGCTTGGAAGACCTGTTGCCAGGCCCCTTGGAAGTGTGTGCAGGTGTTAGCTGTGGTAGACAGAGGTGGGATGATCTCCAGGCTACCAGCAGAAGGTTCAGGTGGGGACAGCAGCAGCTGTGCTGTTTCCCTGCTACTGCATTGTACAGGATTTATTTCTGTGGAAATAGCCATAGACAGGCAGCTGGAGGTATATGCTTCTTTTACACTTTGTGCCTGATAGTGGCAGCCCAGAGTAGCAGTTGCATTTGTCCTCAGAGCATTTACAAACATATGATTGTCCTGCTGGAGGGATGGGGTGGTTTGTGCTTTGGCCTGGTGGCAGCAGCAGTCAGCAGCAGCAGTGGCTGTGGATAGGGTAGACTCTCATTAATGCTGCCCCTCTGTTGTGGGGGTTTCATTGCTGCCGGTGGCTCCCACTTTGGCCCTGGTGGCAGCTGCTGGCAGCAAAGGTGGGTGTGGGCAAGGAATGTCTATGGGGATCTGGAGCTGTGGAGATGCAGGGGCTGTTTTACCCCAGACCAGGATGCAGTCTGGTAGGGGCTGGATGCTCAGAATGGTGCAATGCCATAGCTGCTTGAAACTTGGCAGTCTGTGGGATTCAATGGAAGCTGCTTCTCTGGAGCAATGCCATTCCATGATCTCCCAGGGGCTTCTTATGTTAGTCTCAGGGCTGTCCCATGACTAGGACTGTAGGAGTTTTCAGTGAGAATGTGAACCCCTGGTGGTCATTCACTTACCCTTTCCCCAGATTGGGGAGCTATTCCAGGTTTCCAGTCTATCCTAGCCAAGCAGGCTGCCTTGCTTGTCTCTCGTTCCTTACTTTACGTGTTTTCTGTCACTTCTCTGCTGAGTTCCACTATTCTCTCTTAAAAGATCTCTTTGAAGTGTGTTTATCTACTTGCTATTTTGATTCCTTTTTGTGAAAGTGGCAGGTTCCAGATGTACCTAGTTAGCCGTCTTGCAGCCCCTCTGTTTTTAGATTAATTTGTTTAATTTCTTTGTATCAATATTTGCCATATTTGTTATATTTCTATATTATTTATGCTTGCTTTCTTTTATCCCTCTTCGAGTTATTTTAAATGTGTAGAGTCTGAATTTTAGTTTATGAATGGTTGCCTTTCTATTTTGTAATAATAGGCTGAAATTTATATTTTGTAGATTGTCAACTTTTAATCTCCTGCTATGGAAGGTGAAGGAGTTAGCACATTTATATTTCTTTAAATTCTTAATTTTTTTCTGTTCATGTGGTTGTAGTCCGTATTCTCTTACACACACATTAAAAATTTTTTTCATTATGCAGCTTTTCTTTAAATATTTATGTTATATTGTGTCTCTTCATTAGAGTCTGACCAATTTTATTCTATTTTTTAATGAGCTTATCACTGTTGATTCAGGCATCTATTCATTCAAGACATATTTATTGTGTACATCCTCTTTTTGAAACACTGGTCAAAAAATTGGGGAACAACAGTTAGGAAGGCAGAAAATACTGCTCTCAGGGGCTTACATTTGAGCAGGGGAGTGACTAGCAGTGATTAAATAAATAACAAAAATATCTAACTCTAATGCATTCTATGCAGAATGTAAACATGGGAAAATATTAGTCAATTTTGGCTCCTATAAATGATTTCTTAAGGAAGTTTGTTTAGGATGAGACAATATGCTAAGAAAACATAATTGATTAGAGTGCTTTAGTCAGCCATGCAAAATATGAGAAATGAGCTTCAGACAGGAAAAACCGGTGCAGCATTTTATTGGTTCTATCAATTATTGAATTAGGAATTTTACATTTTTCTCAAAATTGCACATAGGCCTATTTTTTTCTGTTTTTAATTATGTCACTTTTTCCTGTATCGGTGATAAAATCAACAGTCAGGAGTCACTGATACTGTGGCTTTGAAATGTAAATATGGTTATTAAAAATAAGGTGACCTTATGTACCAGTTTGCTTGGTTTGCTGAGCTCTCACTTGTCCAAGCATAATTATTACTAGTCCCCTTTTCACTCTCAAACGTGTATTATGGACAATGGATTACTTGATCATTCTCATTATAGTGGACCTTAATATTCAATAAGAACTCAGCTGAAAACACTGACACACCTCCAAGTACTTTAATTCAAATTTGTCCCTCTGTGAAATTTACACCATATAATCAAGATAAGCAGAGAGAAACAAAGTTCCATAGAGATTTCCACTTACTAGAAAAGGGACTGTATTCCTGCTTACACTTTCAGTTGGTGTCTTAGTCCATCGTTGCTGCTATAACAAAATGTCCCAGACTAGGTAATTTATAAATAATAGAATTTTGTTTTCTCACAGTTCTGAAGGCTGGAACTTCCATGATCAAGGAGCCAGTAGGTTCAGTGTCTGGTGAGGACCTAGTCTCTGCTTCCAAGATGGTACCTTGTTGCCTCATCGAGGGGAGGATATGAACACTATGTCTTTATGGGGTGAAGGAATGGAAGAGAAAAAAGGAATGAAAGGGTATAAAGGGCCTAGATAGTTCCTTTCAGCCCTTTCATAAGGTGGCTAATTCCATTCATGAGTGCTCTGACCTCATGACTCAATTATCTCCTAAAGGTCCTATCTTTTAATGCTATCACATTGGGGTTTAAGTTCCAGCACATGAATTTTGGAGGTATACATATATTCAAAGGTAAGCAGTTGGATAGTCAGAAGTCATTACTGAGCACCTTTTATTCTAAGCCTTTCTTTTGACAAATAATGAAAAATTCAGGTGTTATACCAATCTCCCGCTCATCTGTGCATGAATGGATCATCATTTTTTGGCCAATGAGATGTAAGATAAGTTCTTCTGGGATTTTTTTCTGGTAATAGAAGGGGAAATCATGTGATGATTTGCTTTCATTGTCCTGGTTTCTGTCCTGTTTCTAGCCTATGGAAGCCATCCTAAAACTATAAAGGACTATAGACAAAGGAAATAAAAACTGATATCCTGAGGATGGTAGAGAACTTAAGCAAAGTGTTCCTTAGAGTTATTCGTTAGCTACTTTTCCAAATGTGTAATTCTGTAATTCCAGACTACATTTTACATAAAATGTAAACTATTTTTTTTGTTAAGCCAGTTGTAGTTGGGTGGCCTGTTACTTATCATAAAAATAAAATAATTTAAAATGCTTTGTGAGAATGAATAGGCTAGAATATATCAGAAGTCTACGGTACTGTTAAGGTTTAAATGCATGTTAACAGGCCGGGCGTGGTGGCTCACGCCTGTAATCCCAGCACTTTAGGAGGCCGAGGCAGGTAGATCACGAGGTCAGGAGATTGAGACCATTCTGGCTAACACGGTGAAACCCCGTCTCTACTAAAAATACAAAAAATCAGCTGGGTGTGGTGGCAGGCGCCTGGAGTCCCAGCTACTCAGGAGGCTGAGGCAGGAGAATTGCGTGAACCTGAGAGGCGGAGCTTGCAGTGAGCCGAGATCACGCCACTGCACTCCAGCCTGGGTGACAGAGCGAGACTCCGTCTCAAAAAAAAAAAAAAAAAAACCAAAAAAAACAAAAAAAAAAAACCCGATGTTAACAACCTCACTTAAATAGGTAGAAACCCCAAAATAATTATGATTCTTTCTATATCTACTTTATGTCCTGCATTCTAGGATAAAGCTACCTCTGTCTCTCTACTTCTTGTCTTCTTAATTCAGCCCTTAACTATCCAGAGCACAGGCACACTGACAGCAAGTCACACCTAAGCTATACACTATCAATTTTAGAAATGGATAGAGTGGGAAGAGAAAGTTAATTGGCCAAACTGAGACCCATAAGTAATCAGTAGAGAGTGAAGCAAGGAATACCTGGCTAAAGAAACAAATGTATTATAATTAGGCCAATTATCCTAGATGTAGTTCATCAGCTTGTAGGCTGTTAATGAGCTTTGTCACTGACAGCATTACTTTCTAATCTTAATCCTTTTTAGGGTTATTAGCTTTAATGATAGTTGCACAGAGATAAGTTAATTTATACTAAAATTAAATTAAAAATAACAAGTAATGATTGCTGCATTTGAGCATTAACTTACAAACTTTCTCTCTTGCTGACAAAACTTACTGAGGGCAGTGAACTATTTCCAAGACTTTTTGAGCAGGTGGAGGAAATTCAGAACAAGACATAGTCACTCCTTAAAGGAAACATTTATAAATACCCTTGAGGATCTTTTAGTAAAGTGGTCGATGGCTCTTTTATTACCTTTTAGGTGCCAGCACATGGTGTTCTGTCTTGTCAACAAGAAAATTCTTCAAAAAAAGTCAACTTTTCAAGAAAATTCACAAAACATACGAATTACTCGTAGACATACAGTACTTAGAAATCTGCACAAATGTTCATTAGAATCTTGAGTCCTTGCTTCTATTAGCCTTACTCACCCAGAATTCTTAATCTAAGCCTTGGTACACAGAAAATGATGGCAGAACAATTAGGTTCTTCCAAGGATGGTACAGAATCCGTGCCAGTCAACATGCATGGGAGATAAGTTTATTCTTTACACATAGTTGATGACTTAGGGTATTCAGGCACACTTTTCTCAAGAACTGCAGTTGAGAAAGTCTGCTAAAGATTGGAAGTATTCTTCTAAACACATTTGTCTTACCCTCTACCTATGAATTTATTTACTTATCCATCAATATTTATTAAGTTACTACTTTTTATATAGCTAACTGTATCTAGGTTTAATAATACTGTGTTTGATATATGTAGCAATATCAAGTGAACTTAACTCATTCCATTGGGAATGGTTTTGAATATTTTGCCACTAAATAGTGGTATGTGTGTGTGTGTGTGTGTGTCTGTGTGTACATCCTATTTTCTAAAATAGATTAAGAAATTTTATGTAAAGTTCTAATATACATTATTATCTAATAACATTATTTTACAAATTAATGTTAAAATTAATCAAAATTTTTTTGTATCTATTAAGATGATCATCTGGATTTTCTCCTTTATTAGGTGGTAAAATATAGTGGCTCATTTTAACACCTTTATGGAGATGTAGTTTATATACAACACATTTAGCATATTTAAAGTATATTGTATGATAATATTTAATATATGTATACACCATATGACAATTACGATCAAAATGATGAACATGTCTATCACCACCAAAAGTTATATTGCAGCTCTTGGACATTCCTTCTTCCCACCATAGCAATTGAAAACATAGTGGATGATTTCGACACACATCTCTTAGTAACTCATCAAATAAATGCAAAAAAAAAAAAAAGAGTCGTATACTAGATATGTGCAACACAATTAAATGTAATTGAAATATAAATGACCACTCCTTAAAACTGAAGAATACATATTTTGTAAGTGCACATAAGATATTTACAAAAATTAACAATATACTGGACCATAAAGCAAATTTCAATAAACTTCACTTGATTGAAATTATACTAAAATGTTCTCTCATGAAATCGAATTAAACAGAGATTGATAACCATTAGGGAAACATAAACACTAAAAAATAATAAGAAATTTAGCAATACTGGTTGTAAATAATGAATGGATAAAAGATTAACAATTGCTATTAAACAATATTCTAAACATTAAATTCAGTGACAGAAAAATACTGTATATGAGAAAAGCTGGAAAATAAAGATGTGGTTAGAAAGGCATATAGAGCCTTAAATGTATATATTATAAGAAGAGAAAGGTTAAAAATTAATCATCTACAAAAGTTAGAATTAGCATAGGAAATTAAACTTAAATGGAGGGAAGAAAATAATATATAAGTATTCATTAATATAATATAGAACAATACTAGAAAAGACCACTAAAATCAAATGGATATGCTTTAAAAGATTACTAAGTCATAAACATTTTCCAAGACATATTTTTTTAAAAAGTGACAGATATCAGGAAGAAAAATTGAGGCAAAATTATGGATTATTTTGACATTAAAAAGACATATTATGAAACAAACACAACTGAAAATTTACAAAAAGTAAATTTTAAAAACAGATACAAGAAGAAACAAAATATCAACTTATTCTGTAGTTACTTGATTCTACAATTAAGTCATTTTAACACAGACAATTCTGTGCTTAAATGTCTTTAATGGTAAATTCTTCCAGATACATAAAGTCTTCTCGGCTGATTCTATGAGGACAGCAGAACTCTGACACTCAACACCCGAAAATAATACAGAAAAGAGGAGACATATAGACATGGACATGGATGCAAAATAATATAATTATTTTGTATGTACAAAATGAGGATTTGATATAATTTATCAGCAATTTAGCTTACAAATTAAATTTTAGAAACCCAGAAATAAAAGAGAGTACTTCCTTAATCTGATATGGAGTGTCTATGAACAATTGACAAAAACATCATTTCAATGGTTGGTTCTTCATTGGACTAGAAATCTATGCCAGGACCATAAAGCAAAAAGAATATTTAAAAGATAAATGGATTGAAAACAAATAAAGAAGATTGTCATTAACTGCAAAGATTATTTTTACATAGACAGTAAAAAATTCTTAAATATATTGCTTTTATATATATATTTATTATACTTTAAGTTCTAGGGTACATGTGCACAACGTGCAGGTTTGTTACATATGTATACATGTGCCATGTTGGTGTGCTGCACCCATTAACTCGTCATTTACATTAGGTATATCTCCTAATGCTATCCCTCTCACCTCCCCCCACCCCACAACAGGCCCCATTGTGTGATGTTCCCCTTCCTGTGTCCAAGTGTTCTCATTGTTCAATTCCCACCTATGAGTGAGAACATGTGGTGTTTGGTTTTTTGTCCTTGCGATAGTTTGCTGAGAATGATGGTTTCCAGCTTCATCCATGTCCCTACAAAGGACATGAACTCCTCATTTTTTATGGCTGCATAGTATTCCATGGTGTATATGTGCCACATTTTCTTAATCCAGTCTATCATTGTTGGACATTTGGGTTGGTTCCAAGTCTTTGCTGTTGTGAATAGTGCCGCAATAAACATATGTGTGCATGTGTCTTTATACCAGCATGATTTATATTCCTTTTGGTATATACCCAGTATACTGAATAACTGAATTTAACAATTTTATGGAGTGCAATGTCAATACACAATTACTATGTATATTATATGGGTATAATACAAAAATATACTGAAATGATAATGGAATGTAAAAGACATAATTTGACATAGCATAAAAATTATTAAATATAAAGAAGTAAATCTAAAAGGATATATGTAAGATCCCTACACATATACACACACATACATAGGTACACAATCATTTTATTAAGAGAAGTTAAAGATTTGAATTAATAGTACACTAAGAGTAATTATGTTTATGATATAGAGGATTCAATATTATGAAGATGCCAGTTATTATATTGGTCACATATTGCCAAAATAATGCCCTGAAAAGAAGTGCTTCCAAAATATGGTGATATAAAGTAACAATCACCTGTGAAGCTCATTTTACTATGGATTGGCCTGTGGGTCTAGCTGGATGCTGTTTATCTCAGCTAGGCTTCATCATGCTTCTACAGTTAGGCAGCTCTGCTTCTGGAGGTTGACTGACTGCTGGCTAGAGCAATGTGGCTCTGCTCTTATATCCCTAATATAGACTAGCCTGGAAGTGCTTTTATGATAATAAATTGTTCATGAGGCAGTGTGGAACCACACAGTATCTCTTGAGGCCTAGGCTTGGACTGGCACAGCATCACTTGGGTGACTGACACAGTGTTAACTCACTACATCTTGGGCCATGTAAGTAATGAAGACAACTCAGATTTTAGAGGAATGGAAACAAACTATATTTTTTTTTGGAGAGATGAACTGCAGAGTAACATTGCATGGATTTAGAGATATGACCAAATAGGACCAAAATGGTCAATCTATCACGAAACACATACAAAATCTCCACAGGTATTGTGTGTGTGTGTGTATGTGTGTGTGTGTGTGTGTAAGCTGACAAGCTTATTGTAGTAGTTATATCGTTGTATATGTAGGTAAATATTAATAGAGCTCTGTGCTTACCGTCGTGTGCATTTTACTGAATAAATATTACCTTAATACATACAGAAACAAAAATAGGCTGGACTAAGAAAGCTATTGAAGCATCTAAAGAGGCTATCTTGATGAATTAAGTTGGAAGACTTATTATACTTTATATGAATACATAATAAATTTAAAGTTAATTAAGACAGCATAATGTTTGCCGAAGAATAGACAAACTGCCAAATGAGACACAATAGAGTTTGGTAATAGACTCACACATGAATATGAACATTTGATTTATTATACAGTTGGCAAGTAGAAGAGTAGGAAAAGGCAGCCTTTTCACCAAATTGCATTGGATCCTTTGGATATGTACATAGAATAATAATGTAGCATACCTTGGTCATTATACCATATGAAATCATTTCTGGTGAGTTTTTTATCTAAATGAGGATAATAGATCAATAAACCTTCAAAGAGGCAGCAATGAAGAATATATTCATGATCATGAGATAGGAAAAGTTATATTAAACTAGACTCACATATCACTATGAAGAAAACTGTTTGCAAGTTGAACTAAATTATAATTTTCTGTTTACCAATTAAGGAAGTAAAAAGTCAAGCTTTAGGTCAGGAGAAGATATTTGCAAGATATATAAACATCAACTGAATCATATTTAGTATACTTTTAAAAGCTTGTAAATCAATAAGAAAATATATATATATATACATACATACATATATATATATATATATGAAAAGCTCAGCAATACAAATAAGATATCCAAACGGTCAGTAAATATATGAAAATGTGCTTCAATATTCTTAGTCTTAAGAGGCTCACAAGAATTCTGGGTTGGATTCAGAAGCTCATGGCAGAACAACACGTTTACAACTAGGAAGTTGAATTATAAATTTAATTATTTAAAGGCATCATAGAACTATGTAAGCAATCAGAATTAGAAATTAAAATTTCAGAAAAGAGAGAATTTTTCTGAGGCAAAATGAACATCTCCAACTTAAAAATGTCCTGGGGTAATCTCCTGTTTTTAGATTCGAATTATGGATCCTCCTTATTCAGGCAGAAAACCTCTGCTAGGGGTAAAAGAAACAAGCAAATGATTGAACAGTTATTAGTGTTAGCATGACGAATTAGAAATTTGAGGCAACAGAAATCATGGTCAGTTTTTCCCATGGCATATTGGCTGGGGTTTGCTGCTGCTTGTGAAGCTAGGGATTTAAGGTGAAAGTTTCTAAAAGTCAGAATAATCTCGTCTGGTCTGTGAGGTTTGGGAAGCAAAGACCTGTGAGTCTTACAAGGCAGAAGTCATCAAACACAATTCTTGTTTTAACCCAAGACATTCCTATATCTTAAACTACGTGGATTAGGAGACAAGCAACTGCACTGGAAACTCTGAATGGCAGAACATTGTCTCCTGCTGTTTGAATTTTGAATTCCCCACAAGGCTGAGGATCCACAAGACTCTGTATCAAAATCCCAGGTGGGCTAATCTGAAAATTGGGCAAAGAGAAAATTGAACATAACTGATGTTTGAAAGAAAGGGCTGACAGTATACACAGGCCAGAGATAATCCAGATATTGGAAGTAGCGGATAATGAATTTTAAAAATACATGATTATTATGTTTAAGGAAATAGAGGAAAAGGTAGATAACATGGATGAATTTAAACAAAGAATTGGAGCTGTATTAAAGAATCAAACTGGTATTCCAAAAATGAAAAATACAATATCCAAATTAAGAAATGTATTTAAAAAATATTAGTCACAGCAGAAGGCATGATTAGGAAAATGGGACGGACTAGTTCAATAAGAAAATGTGCAAATTCAGGCAGGAAAAAGATAATAATGCTGATGAAAATTTAAGAGACACATGAGCAATTCTAAAGTTCCAATGAAGAGCTTAGAATATGTTAATTCACAATTGAACACCTTCCTTATTTACACGTTTTAGATTGTGCACATTTAAAATGTATCTTATAAATTTTAACACCAAAAGACACTATAAACATTTTCTTATATTTTATCCACATATTTACTATTTCTCTTGCTTTACAGTGCTTCTTTAATCTCAAATGTACATTTTTAGATGCTCTATCAATGAGTCTTTAAAGAGCAATGTTCAGTTTTTAAAAATGTTATCATTATACCGCCAATGTAAAGTTAAATATATTTCCAGTATTTCAATTATTTTCTTTCAGTATTTTGACAATATTGTTAAACCTATTTGTGTTTTGTTTTGTTTTGTTTTTGTCTTTGCTTTTGTTTTTTTTTTGAGATGGAATCTCGCTCTGTTGCCAGGCTGGAGTTCAGTGGTGCGATGTCGGCTCACTGCAACCTCCACCTCCTGAGTTCAAGCGATTCTCAGTCTCTCCAGAAGCTGGGACTACAGGCGTGCACCACCGCGCCCGGCTAATTTTGTATTTTTAGTAGAGATAGGGTTTCTCCATGTTTGTCAGGCTGGTCTGGAACTCCCTATCTCAGATGGTCCACCCGTCTCAGCCTCCCAAGGTGCTGGGATTACAGGCATGAGCCACTACGCCCGGCCCGATTTCTGTCTTTTTATACTTTTGAGAAGTCAGCTCTGTTTATATGTTGTTTATTTTCTTATAATGTATTTTTCTTTCTGGCTACTTGTAAGATATTTTCTGTTACTTTGGGGTTTTATACTTAAATTATGAAATATTGCTGTAGATTTATTTTGTTGTCTTATTTTAGTTGATTTTCTTTTCAACTTTTGGATTTATAAGGTTCTTCAGTCATTGTGAATCCGATGATTTATTTGTTTTATAAATTTTGGAAAATTCTCAGTAATCATTTTTCTAAATATTAACTCTTCCTATTTGAGGATTTCTCCTCAGAACTTCATGTGTCTCTATTTTTGACCCTCTCACCCATAAGTGTCACTTAATATGTTTTATATATTTTTTCATCTGTTTATATCTGCAGTTTTTCTGCGTTATAAAATATATCACTTGTTATTTCTCTTTTTTGCTGTGTCTAACACCATACTGAAATGGTTCATTGATTGTTCAATTACATATATATTGTTCATATATGTATATTATGTATATAAAATTAAAATTACATATATACACATAATTTTTACAAGATCTATTCAACTCTTTTACAAATATATCTGTTAATTTGATGGTTACTTATTCCTTCTTTATTTAAATATTACATAATCTTTAAATATGGGTAATACACTTAGTTTCTCTCTGATGAATTCAGAATACACCGCCTTTATGTATTTAATTTCATGGTTTTTTCTTCATTAGCTTTCGTCACAGTAATTTTTTTCTTGTATATTGGATATTTTTTATTTATTCTTTTGTCATTGCTACTATTGTGAAATTACCTTTACTTAAACCTCATCTGTGAAAGATCTTTCAATCCTGGTGTTAAATTATGTTTTCCTTCTGCCCTTACACTAAATTATCAGCTTTGAGAAGGTTTTAACACAGAGATATTTAAACATGTCCCTAACTTATATAAAATCATGATTTTGTTTAGAAATTCACAAAGTACTTGTGTACATGTTTGTGTGCATGTGTGCATGCATGTATACATGTATACACACACATATACACACAGTTCTATATAAACATTTTTATCTTACCTTACCCTCCACTCAAAGCTAAAGATGAGATACTCAGCTGTCTTGTCCATCTCCCTCTGTGTTATTTATCCTTCAATTTAGTTATGGTGTTGGCTTTCGTAAATGCAGACCTAATATTAGGGTCTTATATTAAACCCACTTGCATTGCATGGATCTCAGGCTTCATGTCCCGTTTACCACAAAAACAACTATTTCAAAAATCAGCTTTAGAGCATCAGAGAAAATCAGATGCTCCAGGAAATATAACATAATCAGTCCTCAGTACTGTTGTAAATTTGCTTTTTCTTTCCATCTTTATCCTCTAAAGATTATCTTATTTCATACTAGACCTACATTTTATGCAGGACTTTTTATGTATCCTGTATCAAGAGGATTTCTCTGGTCCTTTATCCACCATATTACTAGAATTGAAAATCCAGTTTTGTTACTTTAAAAGCCATAGCTGTCATAACTAGAATCTAACATATAATTTAAAAATACAGAAGAAAAACACAACAAATTCTATTTTTGAGTTCCACACTCTCCCTTCACACAAACATATACTTTAAATGAGTACTTAATTATACACTGGTGAAGCTGCTAGAGAACTTGGCAGACATTCTACTTTTAGAAGCACTCCACTTAGATTTATATATCACATTTTACATAATGAAGACTTCTTTCCCACCTCTTACTGAAGCACAATAATAATAATGATAATAATAAGCTTCTTAAAAGAAGGATGGGGATATATCAGGAAGGTTTGGTGAATTGAGACAAATAGCAAGTTAAGGATGTTGCAAGCTAAAAGATGGGGATGACTACACTTCTGATACAAGTTAAAAGACTTAAAATTTTGCAGCCCAAATTAAATCCTGAGTATATTGTTTGAAAGTCCCATATTCTCTGCATTGTTGAGGGAGGCACTAAATCTCACCATATGGCTGAATTGAACAGTCTTTTCCCTGGATTGTACTCATGTGGAGCTTCATGTATGGCTATGATCAACTTCTCAATCTTGAAATTAAGATACAATTTTAGACTGCTATTTGAGAAATTGTCTAGCACATGGGCAATGTTTCTTATTTTTCCTATGGTTTGAAATTATCGGAAAAGCAAAACTTCATACTCATAGACTGTTTTTAATTTTTTTTGTTTGTTTGTTTCTGAGAAGGCTGACATGTTCAAGAAAACCTCATTAGTCCTTTCATCAGCATGTGTGAATCTTATTAATTCTGCCTAAATGCTTAGGTGTGAAGCAAGATGCCTCTTCTACAAAATTCTCTCTTATGTAAGGCATAGGCAACATGAAGAATATCTCCTTTCCACTGATTACTGCAAAGTGACTCTGTGCCAACTCTGGATCTAGCTTTTAAGAGGACTGACAGCTTTTGTCTTGGTTTCTGTTTCTTGGAGACTTGAGTTACCTGAGTCAGGTCTTGGAGATCTGACTCACCTGAGTCAACATGAAAAATGTCCCATTACCCTGCTGCAGAGATACCATGGAAAATCCCTAAAATTCCATTGAAAGGGAGGAAACCACCTGAAGTGAGCCTTGGAGATGACAGCCTTATGGTTGTAGCCATCGTGTACCCTCCAGGCAACCCCAATGGCTAAAGAGTACTGTGTGACCCCAGTGGGGTTTGCATGGAGCAGAAGAATTGCTCACAGAAGCCCTGCCCAAAGTCCTGACCCATAAAACCATGTGACCTAATAAAGTTGTTGTTAGGTGGAATGTTTGTTTAATAGCAATAAATAGATGAAACATCTGTTAAGCTGAACTTATTTCCTTTGCCAATGGTTTAAAAATATAATTATCTTGGATATGGAACTTCTTCGGCAACTTGTTTTCAGAAATGAACTAGGAATTGGAGCTAGATGATTACATTTGGACAAAATCAGCTCTTGAGATGAGCAGAATTGAAGACAAACAGCAGAAGATGCTCCCTTGAATGAAATGATGATGATTAGTCACAGGTATGTGGTTTTCAAGCCAATAATCATCACTGGGGAAATCAACCAGCAAAATCGGTGCCCCTAAAATGCAACCTATTTCTGGTGGTTGCAGATAGTGGCGGGTAAAATATATGCTGGCAAAATTAATAACGCAAGGGCTTCCTTTTAATGTAACTATGGTTCTAATAATGTTACCAAGTACAGATTTGCAGTCAAGGAGCATCATTTGAGAAACCATTAATTTGTAAATTGCAATGCACTGTGTAATAATGTTAGTGGGTATCATTAGTTCTTAGTTACCAGAACTGGGGCAAGATGTGGGGACACCTTTTCAAATGATAGGTCAGAAAAACTGTACCACTTATTAAGCTATTTTCACTCACTCAACTCAAAATCCACCCATTTTCTATAGTTATCTCTGTGATGCTGGAACTGGGAATCTACAGACATTTGTCCTTTTAAACTGACTTGCTGCTATTTGTGCCCTTAGGGACACTAGGTAATGGAAAAAATGATTAGCTTCTTCTTTGTTGGCTTATGGCTCCTGTAAGCAACAAATGAGCAAATGGTTATTCAACCTGGCAACAGTAATTGGTTCAAATAGCAGTTGGATGCAGTTTCAGCTTCTTTCAGCCCTCCAAAATTTGTCTTGTCACAAATACCAGTACAAGTCAGAGCTATCTGCTATCTTTCTTTCTCTCCTATCACAGTGTATTCTTCATTTCCTGTGAGTCCTTTGTACATATTTAACTTTCTGTTTCCCAGACTGTTCTGTTGCATGAAATATCTCTGTAGCTAGTTGTATTCGTTCATTTTCACACTACTATAGAGAACTCCCTGAGACTGGGTAATTTATGAAGAAAAGAGGTTTAATTGGCTCACAGTTCTGCGGGCTTGACAGGAAGCATGACTGGATGGTCTCAGGAAACTTACAATCATGGCAGAAGGTGAAGGGAAGCAAGGCGCATCTTATAGGGTGTCAGGAGAGAAGAGTGAGTGAGGGGGAACTGCCACAAACTTTTAAACCATCAGATCTCATGAGAACTCACTCATGATCAGGAGAACCACATTGGGGAACTTCCCCCATGAAGCAGTCACCTCCCAACAGATCCTTCTCCAGACCGGTGAGTATTACAGTTTGACATGAGATTTGGGTGAGGACACAAAGCCAAACCATAGCACTAGTTCCTACCAATATAACAGCAGAAATGTGTAGTTAAGATTTTCTTTACCTTCTTCCTATTTTTCTCCTATCTGATAAATTAGTTATTGAAGTCACATTTTGAATGTAATAAAACCACACCATGAAAAAGAGGCTGCTCCCAAAATTTCTCTGTAGAGCAGAGTTCCTCACCTTCCTCTGTTGCCCAATGTTGAATCTTGGTATGTGAAAACACACACACACACGCCCTAATCTTAATTGTTTATAGCTACTGAGCTTCTGTATTGTTTGTTTTAGCAGCTAGTATGGCTCATTCTTATTAATACTTAAATTAATAAATAATGTTAATATATTAATTAATGTTTATTGATTCTAACTATATGTTCTTTATAACTATATTACAATCAATTATGAAAATATTAATTAATTAGTGTTAATACATAAATTGATACTAAAATTGGAGAGCCATCACTAGCATTTTTAAAAATATGAAACATTGGCCCAGTGGTTGAATGGAGGAAGGCAACACATATAAAGTGATAGCTAGCTCTTGATCTTTGTCATTTGCATGCAAAATAATAATACATCTTTTGCTTGCAATAACTTGGAAGACAAATCAAATGGTTACTGAGCCGGGGAAAGGAAGTTGAAAAAGTTCACTTTCATATGTCTTCGTTGCCACTGGATCTGTTTGGCAATATAGGAGAAGGAAACAAGAATGCTTAGAAGCAGAAATGCAAGGATAAAGGGAAAGCATATATTTGGGACTTACAGGATTTTAAAAACAATGACAGCTTCTAGACCCTAAATAACAGAAGACAGCATTTTAAATATTGTTTTATTGGCAAAGACAAGATGTAATGTAGTTTGTACTTTTTTCCATCACTTATTTCAATAAAGTGATTAGATTTGAAACATACCCTATTCAGGCCTCATCTCCTCAAGGTAGCTTAAGGGAGCCAGGAAGAGAGGAAATAAAGACTAAGAATTATTTCAAAAATAACTTTTAGTGTTGTTACTCATACATGAAACTGACTAGAAGTAAATAAATGAGAAGCCTAATGAGGTTTTGAGAATAAGTCACCAAAGAACTCTAACCTCATCTGAAAATTCTGTCATTTTTTTTTTAAATTTTATTATTATTATACTTTAAGTTTTGGGGTACGTGTGCACAATGTGCAGGTTTGTTACATATGTATACATGTGCCATGTTGGTGTGCTGCACCCATTAACTCATCATTTAGCATTAGGTATATCTCCTAATGCTATCCCTCTCACCTCCCCCAACCCCACAACAGTCCCCGGGGTGTGATGTTCCCCTTCCTGTGTCCATGTGTTCTCATTGTTCAATTCCCACCTATAAGTGAGAACATGTGGTGTTTGGTTTTTTGTCCTTGTGATAGTTTGCTGAGAATGATGGTTTCCAGCTTCATCCATGTCCCTACAAAGGACATGAACTCATCATTTTTTATGGCTACATAGTATTCCATTGACCCAGCCATCCCATTACTGGGTATATACCCAAAGGATTATAAATCATGCTGCTATAAAGACACATGCACACACATGTTTATTGTGGCACTATTCACAATAACAAAGACTTGGAACCAATCCAAATGTCCAATAATGATAGACTGGATTAAGAAAATGTAGCGCAGATACACCACGGAATTCTATCATTTTTTGATAAGTTTTTTTTTTTTTGGAGATGGAGTCTTACTCTGTTGCCCAGGCCAGAGTGCTATGGCATGATCTCAGCTCACTGCAACTTCCACCTCCCGGGTTCAAGCGATTCTCCTGCCTTAGCCTCCCTAGTAGCTGGGACTACAGGCATGCGGTGCCACGCCCAGCTAATATTTTGCAATTTTTAGTAGAGACTGGGTTTCACTGTGTTGCCCAGGCTGGTCTCGAACTCTTGAGCTCAGGCAATCCGCTAACCTCAGCCTCCCAAAATACTGAATCACACCTGAATTCAGGTGTGAGCCACCTTGCCTGACCTTTTTGGAAAGCCTTAAAATAGACCTCAGTAGGAAGTGAGCTACAAAAAGCACATAGATCCAAAGAGGACACACACCCCAATGCCAAATTCTCATATATCTGGGAAAATAGTAAACGTGGAAGAACCTCTTGAAGCTTTGCTGCTTTTCATGTGAAAGCATGCAGCTTTTGCTTTTAAGGAAGAACTTATGTCAATGTCAATTAGTTCAAGTTAACTGTATTGTTCAGGTACATTATCTACTTGCTGAATTGTTTGCCCAACTATTCTACTAATTACTGAACAAAAATAATTAATAAGTTTAGTTGTGGATTTTTGTATTTCTCCCTTTGATTCTGATAGTTTTAGTTTTATTAAGGCTCTCTTAGATAATGTAATCATTTAAGATTATTACATTTTTCCAGTAAACTGCCATATTTATTACTATATAATTCCCACTTAATTTTTGATAATTTTTGTGCTAAACTCTACT
This sequence comes from Homo sapiens, assembly GCF_000001405.40. Taxonomy (NCBI): domain Eukaryota; kingdom Metazoa; phylum Chordata; class Mammalia; order Primates; family Hominidae; genus Homo; species Homo sapiens. The sequence goes on along the minus strand of NC_000003.12, from coordinate 35,259,517 downwards.
TTTTCTAAAACATTTTTGTATTATAGTGTGCATGTCATATCTTTTTCTATCCCTTTTTACGTCTTATATATAGACAGTATAGAATTTAGTCTCAATTTCTATTTTCTAATGTACTATGAAGCTCTCTCTTTCAGTTGTAAGGATTGGACCATTTATACTTGATTAAATTACTGAAACTTTTAACTTTATGTCTTCCATCTTGATGTTTGATATCTGTTAGCTCCATGCATTCATTTGTTTGTTTCTTTTTCCTTTCCTATTTTTTCTTTTTTCTTTTCCAAAGGAAGTGCTCGACTTAACTGTTTTTCAAAAATTATTCTGGTAAGGTTTAAGATTTAACCTTACACTTAATTTTGTTAAGGATATTTTCTCATCCAACATATTTCATCCAGCTTTATCTGAAAAGCATTAATGTACTTATCCTGCATATTTGTTGATGGGATGCATCTGAAGGAAGAGACCACAGGTACACTATTAGGCATCCTCCTGTACATTCACAAAACCCTGTATTAACCCTGTGCACTGTCAAAGTGAGTGGCTCATTTTATCCACTATACTACCAGGAACTACAGTGTTAAACTCCACACCTAATCAAGTGCTGTTATATAAACTACTAAATTTTCTTGATCGTCCAGTCTAGTACCTCAGTTAAGAAAATTCAGTTTTCTAAGAGTTCAATTTTTAGGCTGTCATAGTTTAGAATTCCTGAGAATTTATTCTCCTTTTGTTTTATACATTCCCCAAGGATTATCTTTTTTTCATTATTTCAGTGACCACATATATGCTGATTGCTATTGAACGTATATATCTTGGTCCCAAATTTTGCTCCTGAGCTTCATTCACATTTTCAAAGGCCCTCTAGATAATCCCACTGGATAGATACAGGCACCACAAACACAGCATATTAAAATAAAATCTTATGATCTTTCCTTTGAACCTGCTGCTCAAATACCTTATTTCAATTAATGAATTTATTATTCACCTAGTTTCATCAGATAACATCATATGGTTCCTACTTTTCCTTATCTGTATACCCCATTGATATTTAATTACTATTTATGCTACAATTCTGGATAGTTCCCTCTCCTTCATGTACTGCTTACCATTTCCACAAACCATGCCACAGGCAGGCCTTTATTTCTTACCTATGTCACCTCAATTACATCTTAATATGCATCTCAGCTGGTAGAGTCTCCTCTTTACTTTTTAACTTCTACCCACCAGAATTAGAATCATCTGGAACTGGATCCTCAGGTGTATCACAAACTTACTGGATCGGTATTCTGTGGGTGTAATCAAGTAATCATTGGTGATTCTGATGCACAGTGTGGGAACTACTGCTCTACATTAAAGATTATATCAAACATGGCCTTCCTCCAATACACATTATCATTAAGGCTAATATTCCTCTCCTCAGTGAAGCTTCAAAGTGAATAAGAGTCATAATACTATAAAGAAAATCTGGCATTTGCTCTGAATTTTTATCTTGTTTCTATATCTTAGAAGTAAATTAAACTTTATCTTTGGTTCTTTATTATTTTTAGCAGGCATTTTGGTAAACACTTGCAGCTGAATCAACATCCAAGAGTGCTTTGATACCAAAGTTGAGAACACATGACCTACACTAGCAGTCAGTAAAAACTATGGCCCAGGGCACTGTTTCATGCACTGAGAATATAGAGGTCAACAAATGAAACAAACCTCTTCAGTCATGGGGAATACATTTGAATGAGGGCAGGGGGTGGCTGACAATAAACAAGCATACAAGTAAATAATGAGATCATTTCAAAAAGTGATTCATACTGAGCAGATAAAGTGATACAAAGTGACCATGAGGAGCAACACCCTTGGGTTAGGTGTAGGAAAAGCCTTTCTGAGGTGATGGCACTGAGCTGAGACCTGAGTGATGAAAAAGAACAAGATGTGTGAAGTTCTTGGAGGAAGAAAGGACCTTGACTTGTCCTAAAACCATAAAGAAGACTTGTGTGGTTGGAGCAAAGTAAGTACTGTAAAGAGATGAGGCCCAGGCTAAATGTTTGTGAGACTTCTGATCAATGATAAACTGTATTCTTTCATTTCCACAGTGTCTCATAGAAGAAAATGATAATGATTCAATGTTGCTTACTATTTTTTTGGAGTGTTAATGATTTATGTTGGTTGCAGTGCAAGCATGAATGATTTTTACATCAATGCTGAGAAAATTAAGAACTTATGATTAAAATGAAAAAAAAAAGAATCATTTAAATACCAGGTTGAAATATTGCTTCTAACTCATATTCACCTGTATCAAGCCATTTAAGGTGGCAGAATTAAGCCAGATCTTAAAATCCCCTAAACCTAGTGACACGAACAAGCATAAGGCAAAACAAAACCAAAAACTCAAAGACTAAATGATCAAGCAATGAACAGGGCTGATAAATTGAACATGGGCAAAAATAAATTTTATGATATAAACACATTTCCTTCTATATTTTTAGTAAGGAAAATTATTGAGTGTAGGTGGATAGTGGGGGGTTCTTAAGAAGAGAAAGATTCAGCACTGAAAAGTCTCATTAAGAATCAACAACTTGGGGGCTTACTTTGATAGCACATGTACTAAAATTGGATACACAGAGAGAAGATTAGCACAGTTCATGTGCAAAGGTGCCACACAAATTCATGAAGCATTCTATATTTTTTAAATGAGAAAAAAACGTTGAATAGCCATTTCTCCAAAGAGGAAATACAAATGGCCTACAGGCATATGAAGAGATGTTCAACATTACTAATCATTATGAAAATGCAAATCAAAGCCACAATGAGGCTAACATCTCACCCATTAGAATAGCTACAAGAAAAACAAAACATAAACAAAAAGAATACACAGAAAATAACAGTTGTTGGTGAGCTTGTGGAGAAATTGTAACACTTATACCCTTTTGGTGGAAATAAAAAATGGTGCACCCATTCTGGAAAACAGTATGGAGGTTACTCCAAAAATTAATGATAGGTATTATAAGATCCAGCAATTCTACTTTTGGATGGATAGGCAAAAGCATTGAAAGCAGGATTTTAAAGAGGTATCTGAATACCATGTTCATAGCAGCACTAAAATAGCCAAGGAGTGAAAGCAAACCAAGCATTTGTTATGGATAAATAAATAAATAAAATGTGGCATATGTGCGCAATGGAATATCATTCAGGAAAAGGAAAAAAGAAATAAATTTTGACACATGCTACAATATGGATGAACCTTGAGGACATTATGCTAAGTGAAATGGCCCAGTCATAAAAAGGCAAATGCTGTAGGATTCCAGTTATATGAGGTATCTGGAATAGTCAAATTCATAGATACAGAAAGTGAAATGATGGTTGCCAGGGGCTGGAAGGAGGGGAAAATGGCGAGTTGTTGTTAAATGAGTATAAAACTTAAGTTTTGTAACATGAAAAAATTGGAACATTTTGCAATAAATGCGAATATTTTTAACAACACTGCTGAACACTGTACACTTATAAATGGTTAAGATGGTAAATTTTATGTTATGTATTTTTCCACAATCAAAAATAAAGCACTTGTAGAGAGGAAGGAGACAGTGTCAACAGAACAGAGCAGAGGCTATGACATGGAAGATCAGATTGAAAAGCTAGGGATTTTTGACTTGTTAAGACCTCATAAAAATGTCGTGCAGATTTAAAGGATTTCTTGCTCCTCAGGTGAGGTGAAAAGATGAAGAACATAGAAAATCTTGCCCTCTGCAACTAGTTGGATTGAAAGACTAATTTAAAAATGTTTTCTCTGACTTTTAAGAAAGGACAAATGCTAAATACTCTTACACAGATTCTTTTCTTCCCCTTTCAATTTTATTGAGAGATAGCAACTTGAAATTAGCAAAAGGTAACAATACAGCAACTTACGATTTGACTCTGCTTTATGGTAGATGAGCAAGTTCACTTACGTTGTTTGATACAGTGTTATCAGTCCCACTTGAAAGATAAGCCTTGAGGGTCCAGAGATTGAAGAAAGATAAGTGGTAGGAATTAATAGTGGAGGAATTAAGTAATTTTCTATTCCTGTCAGGGTCTAAAATTTGAGTACTTGATATGACAGCACCATATTTTTTTCTATAACTTTCATTAGAACCAATCTTCTCTATGCATCTACTTATTCTCTGGAAATGCAGAGAATAAAAGATGCCAATTCATGAGAAGCAGCTATCTATAAACTCAGTTAAACCATCTCCTTTCTAAACTGCCCACTTAGAGTTCATTCTTTACTGCTTTCCTCGGCATTGCTATCATCAAAGACTTCATAAATGGCTGTGCTGCAGCAGACAGAGGGCTGCCCTGGATTTACGAGAAGACCTAGATTCATTACCTGGCTAGGCACTTGCCAAGAACATTAGCGTGGACAAGACACAGTCACTGCAATTGAGATTCCTCATCTGTAAAACGACTCCATGTACCCTCTCAGCTTGTTGCAACACTTAAATGAAGTAACATATGTGCTTGCACTCAAGCAGTAAAACACTAGACTAATGTAGGTTATAATTGTTGTACTAGGTTCCTGTAAATCTGAGAGGAAGCATCTTAACTAAGAGTCAGGGATTTCAAAGTACACTGTGTTTAAAAGTCCTAAAAATAGAGTTTTTCAATGCAGCATTTCTTGAAATAAAACATTCCAATATTAAAATATGAAGATATTCCTTTAGCAAATAGTAGGAAATGTGACAGCTCTTCTGCTCCAGAATATTCAGTGTCCTGGGTGTTAAATTCTTTTTTTTTGTTCATCAACTTTTATTTTAAGTTCTGGGGTACATGTGCAGGATGTGCAGGTTTGTTAAATAGGTAAACGTGTACCTGAGTGTTTGCTGCACAGTTCAACCCATTACCTAGGTGTTAAGCCTAGTGTCCATTAGCTGTTCTTCCTGATGTTCTTCCTCTCACTACGCCTCCAACAGGCCCCAGTGTGTGTTGCTCCCCACATGTGTCCATGTGTTCTCATTGTTCAGCTTCCACTTACAAGTGAGAACATGCGGTGTTTGGTTTTCTGTTCCTGTGTTAGTTTGCTGAGGATAACAGCTTTCAGCTCCATCCATGTCTCTGCAAAGGACATGATCTTGTTCCTTTTTATGGCTGCATAGTATTCCATAGTGAATATGTACCACATTTTCTTTATCCAGTCTATCACTGATGGACATTTGGGTTGATACCATGTCTTTGCTATTGTGAATTGTGCTGCAATGAACATATGCATTCATGTATCTTTATAATAGCATGGTTTATATTCCTCTGGGTAGATAGTAAAGGAATTACCAGGTCAAATGGTATTTCTACTTCTAAACTTTTGAGAAATCACCACACTGTCTACCACAGTGGTTGAACTAACTTACATTCCCACCAACAGTGTAAAAATGTTTCTATTTTTCTGCAGCCTCACCAGTACCTCTTGTTTCTTGACTTTTTAATAATAACCATTCTGACTGGTGTGAGATGGTATCTCATTGTAGTTTTGATTTTCATTTCTCTAATGATCAGTGGTGCTGAGCTTTTTTCCATATGCTTGTTGGTTGCATGTATGTCTTCTTTTGAGAAGTGCCAGTTCATGTCCTCTGCCTGCTTTTTAATTCTTGTACATTAGTTAAGTTCCTTATAGACTCTGGGTATTAGATCTTTGTCAGATGGATAGATTGCAAAAATCTTCTCCCATTCTGTAGGTTGTCCGTTCACTCTGATGGCAGTTTCTTTTCCTGTGCAGAAGCTTTTTAGTTTAATTAGATCCCATTTGTCAATTTTGGCTTTTGTTGCAATTGCTCTTGGTGTTTTCATCGTGAAATCTTTCCCCTGCCTATGTCTTGAATGGTATTGCTTAAATTTTCTTCTAGGGTTTTTATAGCTGGGGTTTTACATTTAAGTCTCTAATTCGTCTTGAGTTAATTTTTGTGTAAGGTGTAAGGAAGTGGTCCAGTTTCAATTTTCTGCCTAGGGCTAGCCAGTTCCCCCAAGCACCATTTATTAAATAGAATCTTTTCCTCATTGCTTGTTTTAGTCACGTTTTTCAAAGATCAGATGGTTCTGAGTGTGTGGTCTTATTTCTGAGCTCTTTATTCTGTTCCATTTGTCCATGTTTCTGTTTTTGTACCAGTAGCATGCTGTTTTTGTTACTGTACCCCTGTAGTATAGTTTGAAGTTGGAGAACATGATGCCTCCAGCTTTGTTCTTTTTGCTTAGGATTGTCTTGGCTATACAGGCTCTTTTTTTGGTTCCAAATGAATTTTAAAATAGTTTTTTTCTAATTCTGTGAAGAATGTCAATGAGAGTTTAATGGGAATAGCATTGAATCTATAAATTACCTTGGACAGGATGGCCATTTTCACGATATTCATTCTTCCTATCCATGAGAATGGAATGTTTTTCCATTTGTCTGTGTCCTCTCCGATTTTCTTGAGCAGTGATTTGTAGTTCTCATTTAAAGGATCCTTCGCTTCCCTTGTTAGCTGTATTCCTAGGTATTTGATTTTCTTTGTAGAAATTGTGAACGGGAGTTCATTCATGATTTGGCTCTCTGCATGCCTGTTGTTGGTGTATAAGAATGCTAGCAATTTTTGCACATTGATTCTTTATCCTGAGACTTTGCTAGAGTTGCTCATCAGCTTAAGAAGCTTTTAGTTTGAGATGATGGGGTTTTCTAGAAACAGGATCATGTCATCTGCAAACAAACGTAATTTAACTTCCTCTCTTCCTATTTGATTACCCTTTATTTCTTTTGCCGGATTGCCCTGGCCAGAACTTCCAATACTTTGTTGAATAGGAGTGGTGAGAATGGCCATCCTTGTCTTGTGCTTGTTTTCAAGGGGAATGCTTTCCAGCTTTTGCCCACTGGGTATGATTCTGACTGTGGGTTTGTCATTTATGGCTCTTATTATTTTGAGATGTGTTCCTTCAATCTAGATGTTAAATTCTTATAGAGAAATGTTTTTCTCCTTTTTTAATCACAAGAAATTATAAGCTATAGAATTTCACGGTTGAGTCTATACATATTTAATTGCCTATAACAATTAAATAATAAAAATCCTGAGGTTGAGAGATTTGGTATTACTTAATGCTAGAAGATCAGAGGCCAATTTGGATTCCAATTATTTCTGTAGGTGATTTTGATCAAGCTCTTAAATGTTTAAACTTCATTTTTTTAATCTGTTGAAGTATGGAAGATTTGTTCATGTTTCAGTTTGAATTCTTCAAAAACAGTGGATGCAATGGACATGAATTTGGATGCAGTTAGTTTAAGAAAGAGATAATCACAGCAAGTAAAGAGAAGAATATAATGAAACAGTGCAGGGAGAAAAGGCAATAGAAGATGCATCCCTGAGCTAGTTTCTGTGGTAGACATCTGAAGCTTAATCCCTCTGAGGATTGTCCAAGAACCCACATAGAATGCATCTTAAAATGATCCTTCTAAGGAAAGGAAAGCTGAAGTATCTATCTACGGATTCCTGTCTCCCATTGGTTGAGAATTGCTCCCAATCTGCATCTGTACGCAGGCTGAGTGACTTTCCAAGGCTTCGGAGACAGTCTGAAAGGCAGGAAAACAGAGAGATACCACAGCATGTTTGTCTCAGGAGGGGCTGGTGACATGCACTGAAAACAGATGTACCTATTCAATGTGGTGCAGGCACAAAAAATGTTGGTTGCCATGAAGATTAAGTAAATTAATATATGGATGTATTTAGAATGATGGTGCTTGGCTCATTACATAAAAGCCATAACAACTTGGGCTTTTATTAGACTAAGACCTTTGTTGATGGGCATTACTAGCTTTTAGGAACTTTGCTCTGACTACCTGATACTCTTTTATTTTCTATGACTTCTTTTCTGTATTCTATTGCTGAGTATATCTTTCTATGCTTTGCATATATATGCCTGTGTGTGAGCATGATCACTCTTCCATTAGCATATTTTATTACCTATGTTGTCTTATTTAAATGGCAACTTGTTTGAAACAGATTAAATGCTTCATTCAATTTTGCATAATTGTATAGACCTAAAATGATCTTATGTATAGAAAGATGCTTCATAAATATTACACATTTTAACATATTTTTAAAGTGAATGTCTTTCAGTTGCCCTCACCACAAAGTTTTACCAGTATTTAAAACACATGGCCTTATTACTTCAATGAAAATTCAAATTCACAGCTCCCATTAGCATTGCAGAGAATTTCTGGCCTAGTTTCCCTGGATATTAATGGAAGTTCAGATCTCTTTTAATGAGCTTAATAGGGAAGAATTTTGGTATTCAAATAAACTACTTCCCCTCTCTTAGCCTAAGGCCAAAGAGAAAACAGTTACCATTATAAACTGGTCAGATAACTTCAAAGAGACTTAACTGCCAGAAAAGCCATTAAAGACTATATAAACAACAAATGCACAGTCATTTCTGGTGCAATTTGCAACATGAAATTTAACTTTTGGACATACTTGTCTCGGTTTCCTCCTACCTTACTGATAATCTATCGAATGCACTTTTTTATGTCCTCGTTATCCCATTGGTTTTTAAATTTTGGACATCAAGACTCAGCCTTCTCTCCTCGACTTCAGGTGTATGTAACTAAATATGTTCCTAATATCTCCACTTTGATGGTGTAGTAGATTGTAAAAAAAAAAAAAAAAAAGTTAAAAAAGGTACTAAATCCTTCTGCTTTTGCATCCCCCTTTGCTATGCAGCATTTATTTGATGATCCCACCAAGAGAATTAATCTTCTTTGTGACTTGATTTTACCAGTTGCTTGCAGTGGAAGGGACATTATGGGAGTTGTAAGCCAAAGGCTCAAAAGACCTTGCAGTTTCTACTCTTTATCTCTCTTGCTGCTCTGAGACTTCCATGTGAAAAAAGCCTGGGCTATCTTGTAAGTGGGCAAAATCATGAAGACGAGATGTGGTCAATCCATAAGGGGTCTCCTAGGTCAACCAGTCCCCAATTAATCCATCAGTCTATTCCACCCATGTGAGTGACCCTAGGTGAGGCCAGGTGAGCTACTTAGCTGAGTTCAGCTCAAATTGCTGATACAGAGATTCATGATCAAATAAGCCATTAAGTGGTATTGTGGTTTGTTACATAGTAATAGATGTTTGATACCAATGTTGAATAAACATCACTAATTTAGCAAATACAACAAGGAACCCTTGTTTAACCCCCTGAATGTAGTGCTTCACAGTTTCCCCTTTATCAGTAATTGGATATTTGAATCATTTAATTTCTCAAGCCAGTAACCTTTCAGTCATCTTTTCAAACTTTCTTTTTTTCTCTCATGACCAAACCATCAATAAATCCTGCCAACTATTTTTTTTTTTTTTTTGAGACAGAGTCTTGCTGTGTCACCCAGCCTGGAGTGCAGTGGCTTGATCTTGGCTCACTGCAACCTCTGCCTCCCAGGTTGAAGCAATTCTCCTGCCTCAGCCTCCTGAGTAGCTGGGATTACAGGTGCATGCCACCACACTCAGCTAATTTTTTTGTATTTTTAGTAGAGACGGGATTTCACCATGTTAGCCAGGATGGTCTTGATCTCCTGACCTCCTGATCTGCCTGCCTTGGCCTCCCAAAGTGCTAGGATTACAGGTATGAGCCATTGTGCCCTGCCCAACTCTTTTTTTAATGTAAAAAGCTGAACCACTTCTCACTCTTCTCCATTGCTTATATCCTGGTTTGAGGCATTATCATCTTTCACTTGGATTATTGCAATTAAATCCCATGTTGTTTTCCTGCTTCTGCCTTGATCCTTTGCAGTCTATTTTCCTCATAGCAATAATAATGACCTTTTAAATAATAAATTATGCCATGTTATTTCTCTGATAAAAAATCATTCAGTGAAACAGTTTTGTGGTTCCTCTTAAAGTTAAACATACAATTACTTTATGACCCAGCAACTTCACTTCTACATATATATCCAAAGTAATTGAAAATAGTTGTTCCAACAAAAACTATGGATGAATGTTCATGGTAGAAATATTCGCCATAATTATTTCTCAAGACATAAGTCAAAAACAAGAAAAGGTATAATATCTGCAGTCTAAGCAAGAGAAGGAGGGCTCTTACTTAGGTATATACCTGGAAAAATGCTGAAAATTGCTTCTGGTTGGAATGAAGAATCCCATCTAATGTATAAGCAGTTATAATCCAAACCCACCTCAGGTTGTAGACTTGTATTAATCATTTCACATGCAACCTTCTTCTATGTTTTTCTTCCTCTATCTTTTGCCTGCTATGCTGATAAAGACACTATATAAATTCGCCAAGATATTTATATGTTTCTTTGGACAAAATCTGCTTCTTCCATGCTTTGGTATGTATGTCAAAGGTAAGTCAGTAAGTCATTCGTAGACAGGTAATCACCTAGCTCCAAGCTCAGGGAGAATGATGCTGCAGGTACCGACAAGGCATGGGATTTATTAGAAATGGACTCTAGTATTTTCAGGAATCCTCCTTCTATCTAGAAACTTCCCTCTACCTTTAAGACAATTTAATTTGTTTGACTAAATATCTGGAATTTGAAGCTCTAATTTAAAATAACTAGTGTCATTTACACGTGCCCAGCTTCTCCTTGAATTTTTAAAATCTCTATATTAAACAAAATGTTTCAACTCTTGAAGTAGCTCTTGTGTATGGTGGAGCTTATATAACATTCTATATATCAACAGAGCTTTGCTTCAGTCCCAGGCCTGAAGCTGATCTGAATGCTGATCAACACACCACCTATGAGCATTTCATACAGAAAAAAGAGCAGCTAATGTACCTATTGATTTGCAACCACTTATTTTATATATGCATGTGCAGGTCAATTCTTCATTGAAAAGTACACACTGCCTTAATTTGACAGTTTTTCTCTTGCTTTTAAATTACTTCAAAAGAAAGAGAAAAGAAATCTTTAACAAGCTCTTAAGCATCTGAGCTGTATGTACAACAGGCAGATTTTTTATGGATTTAGCTAATTATTGGCTCCTAGAATATACAAAAAACAACAAATAAATTGTTGGAACAAAGGAGCAAAGATACTTTGTCACATAACAATAAGCATCCAATAAATATTTAAATAAATAAAAAATGTAAAGCTGACTTTTGCCATAACAACTAGGCATTCAAAAAACATTGGATGAATGAATAAATGCAAGAATTAATGGAGTATAAAGTTAGTATATTTCTTTTGATCTGAGATCGTTCTGCTGACTTCCTTATTTTCATACATAATAACTATCTCTGTGGCAAAACTTACACTCAGAAGCCAGTAGCAAGTATCTTCATATCCATCAATTCACTAATTTAGCCATTCATTTATTCAATTATATATTTGTTCAACTAATTTAATTGTTGAAAAATGATGTACTGAGCACTGATGGTCCCAAACACTATTTTGAATGCTGGGAATCAAGGAGCATGAAACTAACAATGGTGGTGCAGCATGTCAGCTAATTAAATGAGGGAAAGTATAAACTGTATGAAATCTCACAGCAGGGACATCTAATCCTCACCTGGGGAATCAGGTCAGCCTGTCAGCATCAAGTAACATTTTTAACTTCCATTTGCAAAGTGAGTAGGAGTTAGACAGGTGAGTAAAAAAAGTGTTGGATGGGAAAGGATGTTTCAGACAGAAGAACAGGAAGAATATCACATATTTTGTCACATTGGGTTATTAAAAGGAATTCACTATGGATATAGCACACAACTCCATGAAGGCTCAATGTTTAAACTGGACCTGTTTGGGAGCAAACCAGGGGCTTTACAAACCTTATTAAATCTGGTCTTTATACAGAAGTGTTGGCATTCTGGAAAGAAGAGCATCAATGACTCGCAGTTAGGATTTAAGTCTGTTTGTTATTATTGCTTTTATGGAATATCTGATTTCTTAAGTGCTAGGCCCTCTCTGCCTGCATAAGACTTCCTAAACAGGTTGGTCCCCATTAGTTTCCCTGATCTTCTATGTGGGCTAAATGTAACCTGCCTGAAAATCCATAATCCTCCCGTATCTATCTGGAAACCTAATTCATTACAAAATATTCAGGCTTCTCTGAGATGAGTGAGGTGTGCAGCTTGCAGAGGTTTCAAAAGAAAGTGTACGAGGTAAGAGTCATGTTTTAGTCAATATACTCTCAAGGGAAGGGGTTAAGTATCTATGAGAATTTTCTAGTTAAAAGGTAGAATCTTCAAGGGCATAGAAAAGTATCTGAGAATTGGAGGTAGCATTAATGGCTTTGGGTGGGGCAGGACATTTAGAGTGGTTTGAGTTGATTGTGCAGTGGGGGTGAAATGCTTGGGAGTTTATACCTTGGGCAGTGAATGATGGACAGAGGGATAGACATTTTGTGGTCGATGAGACTCAAATATCTCTTGAAGGAGGGCAATTCACAGTCTGAGACTCCACTCACTCATACTGTAAGAGCTGACTGGAAAAACCCAAAAGCTTCTTCACCCAGAAGAACTAGTTTATAATTGCATCTTGAAAAGAAGCCATATGAAAAAGGTGATGTCTTCTCCTTTTTTACGGTGATATGTGGGCTTGCCAATGACTACACTGTGTAGTCCAAAATTTCCTTAGCATGGTTTTAAAATGTCTTCAGAAACCCTTCCCAACTTAGCTCATTTCAGTTTTTATCTACAAACTATGGTCCATTAAGACAAAACCATTGCATATATTCACAGTAGCGATCAATTTCCCTGCCCTAGACTATTGCACTGGTGGGCTCATGATTCTGATTTGTTTTTTGTAGACTACTTTAAACTCTACCTTCTGTAGGAAACTTTCCCAGTCTACTCTGTGCTTCCACAGAACTTTTGTGTGACATATTGCTTATGGTTGCCTTGTCATCCATATACCTGTTTCTTTCCAACAACCAGTGGTTTCAATTTTAGTTTTAGTTTTCCTGTTTTATCCACAAAGTCCACTTATACAACATAGTCCCAACACAGTCCCAGTAATATTCAATGTTATAAGCTATTTCTTACCCTATCTCAATAACTCAATTGTTTCCACATGCAGGAAACTATATTAGAAACCATGGTAGTAAAACTTACATTATTGAAAGAAAAACCTTGAATTTACTTCACTTTATATAATAGGAAAATTATTAGTAAGCTTTGGTGTTTTGACAAATATCAAGAAAGTCTTGTGATCTGTCTCATAATGTAGTAGGTTCACTGGTTAGAGGCTAAGGATTCCCAGAGTCAGTGCCTTTTTGCTTCGTGTTTGCATGGCTGGAAGCAGTGCCTGACACATTGTAGGAGCTTAGGACATGCTTGCAGAGTGATTCTCTGAATAATGCATGAATTGACTACTTGGTTAATTAACTTAATATTTGTATTTAGCAGTATGCTCAGCAAAGCATTGAACTTCTAGGGAACCTAGTGACATCTAAGTCTCCATCAACAAATGTTCTGAATAATAAGACATGTGGTCTAAATCCCCAAAAACTTGAATTAGGAATCTAAAATACCTCAGGAGGCTGAGGCAGGAAGGTTGCTTGATGCCAGCAGTTCGAGACGAGCCTGGGTAACAGTGAGACCCCATCTCTAAAAATTTTTTTCAAAATTAACCAGGCATGGTGGTCCCTGCCTGCAGTCTCTGTTACTTGGCAGGATGAAGCAGGAGGATCACTTGAGCCCAAGAGTTTGATGCTACCATGAACCATGATTGCACCACTGCACTCCAGCCTGGGCAACAGAGTGAGACTCATCCATCTCAAACATACATACATACATAAATCTGAAATCACAGGTTGCTGAGATGACATGCATGTGTAATATAATGTGTATATAAATCTGCCATGCAGGTATACAAAGCAGAAGCTCCTCTATTTCTTTTGCTACATTTCATTCAGAAAACCATAGTTGTTTAGCACACAACTGCAACTGTCCTGCCCTGGGAGTTCCAGGCAGCATCTGTTTGTATGGAACTGCTACAAATATGTTTGTATGGAAATGCTGCAATGGTATGGTCAAAGGCCATCCTGAGAACTGTGACTACTAGACCACTACGACAAAGGTATTTCAAGAGAAGAATATGTCTTCATTAATAGCAATCCCTTTGGGCTGTTCCAATTAGATCACAGACTCTGACAAAAACCCATTTCACTTCCTTTTAAGTGAGGACATTGTCAGAGAGTGAAAGGAGCTCCTTAAGTCTTTATTGTGATCTTTAAGTTGGTCTTGGTATTAGGCAGTGGGTGGGGCAAGAACAAGGGTTTGGGAGCCTATTACCTGAGTTTGTTGTTCAGCCTCACCACCTCCATGCTGGGTGACACTGGAAATGCTACTTAGAGTTTATGTCATTCTTCTTATTTGTGATGCCTAGATAACAATTCCTGCCCTGGAGGGGTGATGTGAACGGCTGTGATAATGGGCGTGGTGTATCTGCCATGGCAAGTGTTTGATGCAATAGAGCTCTCATTAGCACAGAGGAAGTGTTTTGGTTAAATATAATAGAAAAAATATATAATACATCCCCTTTAAAAAGTTGTGACTTTTCCTCAACAACAGAGGCTTAAAACACTTGAACTGGAGAGTAACTAATGGTAGCATATGCACCCATCTCACAAGTGAAATAGAAGAGGTTTCAAAAGGCTCACCATGTCACTCTCTCAGGGTTAGTGCAGTCACATCTTAGCTTTCCCATATAACAGCAAGTTTCATCGTATACACGAGTTATTCCTTTGAAATATTAAATCATTACTGCTTGTTCTAATCTTTTGCTCCATTTCAAATGTTATGATTCTCATTTTTATGTTAATCAGCATTTATTTGCAGCGATCCAACCAAAAGTTTTCATCTGTTGTTCCTTTTCCTAGTCTTGCTACTTTATAATTTGGGTATTTCCTCTAAATTTCCTTGAAAAAGCTTAGAGCCCAGAGGTAAACTAAAATGCTCATGATTGTCTAACTTGTGAATGCCACTTTCTTACTCATTTTTAGAATTTCTTATGTATAATTCTGCTTTTTCTTTCTCACAGCGTAGCTATGACTCTGTAGTTCTTAGGATACAATGTTTCTCATGCTGCTTATTGATTAGATGGAGAAAAACATCAACTAGTCTTTCTAGCATTGAGAGAATTTAATATAAGAGCAAGGAAAAAAATAGTATATCCTTTCATTATTGCTGCTGTCACACTGTTGTTGTTTTATAGAATTTCAGCTTTTATTTTAGATTCCGGGTTACATGTGCAGGTTTGCTACATGGGTATATTGTGTGATGCGAAGTTTGGGGTATGATTGATCCCATCACCCGGGTAGTGAGCAAACTTGTCAATAGCTAATTTATCAGTCCTTGTCCCCATCCCTCCCTCTCCCCTCTTGCAGTCCCCAGTGTCTAATATTGCCATCTTTATATAAATGAGTAGCTAGTGTTCATCTCCCACTTATAAGTGAGAACATGTATTTGGTTTTCTGTTTCTGCATTAATTCACTTGTAATAATGGCTTCCAGCTGCATCTATGTTGCTGCAAAAGACATAATTTCTTTCTTTTTTATGGTTTTGTAGTATTCCATGGTGTATATGTATCACATTTTCTTTATACAGCCCACCAAGGATGGACAGCTAGGTTAATTCCATGTCTTTGCTATTGTTAATAGTGCTGTGATGAACATATGAGTGCATGTGTCTTTTGGTAGAACAATTTATTTTCTCTTGGATGTATACCCAGTAACGAGATCGATGGGTCAAATGGTAGTTCTGTTTTAAGTTCTTTGAGAAATCTCCAAACTGCTTTCCACGGTGGCTGAATTAATTTACATTTCCACCAATAGCATACAAGCATTCCCGTTTTGCTGCAGCCTCGCTGACAATTTTGTTGTTGTTATTGTTTGTTTGTTTGTTTTACTTTTTTAGTAGTAGCCATTCTGACTGGTGTGAGATAGTATTTCATTGTGGTTTTGATTTGCATTTCTCTAATACTTAGTAATCTTGAGCATTTTTTCATAGGTTTGTTGTCCATTTGTCTGTCTTCTTTTGAAAGTGTTTGTTTATATTGTTTTCCCACTTCTTAATGGGGTTATTTGGCTTTCACTTGTTGAATCGCTTAAGTTCCTCACAGATTCTGGGTATTAGACTTTTTTTGAATGCATAGTTTGTGAATATTTTCTCCCATTCTGTAGATTGCCTGTTTACTCTCTTGTTAGTTTATTTTGCTGTACCAAAGCTCCTTAGTTTAATTACATCCTACTTGTCAAGTGTTCATTTCCTTGCAATTGCTTTTGAGGACTTAGTCATACATTTTTTTCCCAAAGACAGTGTCCAGAATAGTGTTTCCTAGATTTTCTTCTAGGATTTTTATAGTTTGAGATCTTACATTTAAATTTTTAATTCATCTTGAGTTAATTTTTGTATATGGTGAAATGTAAGGTTCTAGTTTCATTCTTCTGCATATGTCTAGCCAGCTTTTGAGTAGGGAGTCCTTTCCCTATTGCTTATTTTTGTTGATTTTGTCAAAGATCAAATAGCAGACTTATTTCTGGGTTCTCTATTCTGTTTCATTGGCTTTTTTTTGAAATGGAATCTTGCTGTGTCACCCAGGTTGGAGTGCAGTGATGTGATATTGGCTCACTGCAGTCTCTTCCTCCTGGGTTCAAGTGATTGTCCTGCTTCAGCCTCCCGAGTAGCTGGGACTACAGGTGTGGGCCACCATGCCCAGCTGGTCTTGAGCTCTGACCTCAAGTGATCCACCCGCCTCAGCCTCCCAAAGTGCTGGGATTACAGTCATGAGCCACTGCACCTGGCTGGCCTGTTTTTATACCAGAACTATGCTGTTTTGGTTACTGCAGACTTATAGTATAGTTTGAAAACTGGCAGTGTGATGCCTCCAGCTTTGTTCTTTTCGCTTAGAATTTCCTTGGCTATTTGGACTCTTTTTTGTTCCGTATGAGTTTAGAATAATTTCTTCTAATTCTGTGAAATATGAC
Organism: Homo sapiens; assembly: GCF_000001405.40. Classification (NCBI taxonomy): domain Eukaryota; kingdom Metazoa; phylum Chordata; class Mammalia; order Primates; family Hominidae; genus Homo; species Homo sapiens. The sequence goes on along the minus strand of NC_000003.12, from coordinate 35,242,604 downwards.
ATTGGTAATTTGACAGGAATACCATTAAATTTATAGATGGCTTTGGGCAGTATGGCTATTTAAACGATATTGATTCTTATAATCCATAAGTGTGGAATGTTTTTCCACTTGTTTGTGCCATTTAATATTTTTTTCAGCAGTGTTTTGTAGTTCTCCCTGTAGAGACCTTTCAACTCATTGGTTAGATGTATTCCTAGGCATTTTGTGTGTGTGTCCCTATTGTAAATGAGATTGCTTTCATTATTTGGCTCTCAGCTTGAATGCTATTGGTGTATATAAATGCTACTGATCTTTTACATCGATTTAGTATTCTGAAATTTGGTGAAGTTGTTTATCAGTTCTAGGAACTTTTTGGCAGCACCTTTAGGGTTTTCTAGGTATAGAATCATATTATTAGGGAAGAGGTTGTTTGACATTGTTGAACTTCTATCTCATTTAAACTGCAAGATGCCGCATAAGTTCTCCACCTGTAAGAATGACTCTTGAATTCTTGAGAACTCTTATTCTCCTTCTTTTTATAAATATAATTCTTTACTTAGATACTTATAGTTTTGCTTTTATTATTTTTGTCTCTTTGTTGCTTTTGTAAGTTTTCCTGGCTTTAAGTGAATAATAACCACTTAAAAATATTTCAAACAATTCATTAAATGTTTTACTAGTCACAAACAATAAAGCCTTTACACAAAACAGAATTAGTACTGGCCCATACTGAGCCCATTAATCATTTATATAATTTGCTTTATTTTTATCACTCATGATGATCTTTAACCTGATTCCAAGACCATGATTAAACCCCACTTTTTTAATTCACTCTGATTAATTTTGTATGCACAATTGGGTGACTCACCAAATCAGAAATTATCCTGATGTCCAAGTGTTTGACTTACATATTTTCTTTTCAATATCTTTCGTGGATTTGTGATGAAAAAAACTGTACATTCATTGAGCCTGTTTTATTCTCGTTGAAAGCACTCTGCCTATTTCTCATGCTTAATATTTTCCAGGAGTATCAAATGCTACACTTTGCTGATGCTCACCTTCTTGAGCAGAAGTTTCCAATACTTTTCAAGAGCCTGTTATTTCCATATTTCTCAATATGCTAACATTCTTTCATTTTCTAAGAATAAATATTCGTGGATCAGTAAACATGCTGCCTAATCCCCTAAATAACTCAGGGTGATGTGAGTCTTGTAATGACTACCAAGTAAGGAATTCCCTTATCTTCACATTGGCTAGAGCAATATTTTCAACATCTTCATTACTCCCTAATTGTCTATATTTCTTTGCTTCATTTCTATTGTTAAAGGCAGATTTTAAAAATGAGTTCAATAACTCAAACGTTTTAGAGTCATCATTAATTTCATGCCCTTCCTCATTCATTAGTGGACCTATTTTCTTGTGGCTTTCTTTTCCCTCTGGGTCTGTCTGGTTTTTTTTCTTTAATCTTCTCATTCACTTTAACCCTTTAATCATGCTCTAGCAGGACCGTTGTCATGTCTCCCATGGTAACAAGAATAAAATCTCAACTGATACTGTATTTGTTTTCTCATTATTCTTAGAATAAATGTTCTTACATTTTTCTTCTAAAAAATTATTTCAGAACAGTCTGCATTATTACAAGCTGAATTTTAAGTTTTCTTATTCACGGGAAATGTATAGCTAACTTTTTAAAAGAATTGTAAAAATGCTCTAAATGTCTTCTATGGGAAAGCAGCATTAATATCTTTTTTTATTTTATTATTATTATACTTTAAGTTTTAGGGTACATGTGCACAACGTGCAGGTTTGTTACATATGTATACATGTGCCATGTTGGTGTGCTGCACCCACTAACTCGTCATTTAGCATTAGGTATATCTCCTAATGCTATCCCTCCCTCCTTCCCCCACCCCACAACAGTCCCTGGTGTGTGATGTTCCCCTTCCTGTGTCCATGTGTTCTCATTGTTCAGTTTCCACCTATGTGTGAGAACATGCAGTGTTTGGTTTTTTGTCCTTGCGATAGTTTGCTGAGAATGATGGTTTCCAGCTTCAACCATGTCCCTACAAAGGACATGAACTCATCATTTTTTATGGCTACATAGTATTCCATGGTGTATATGTGCCACATTTTCTTAATCCAGTCTATCATTGTTGGACATTTGGGTTGGTTCCAAGTCTTTGCTATTGTGAATAGTGACTTTAATATCTTTAAACTTAAATTTTAAAAGGACTGCCCAGATGCTTAAAAACAACTACTATTTGGGTAGTTGTTTTACTTCACCAAACATTAAATTTCTGCAACTAAGCCCACTGCCCCTGCTGCTGCCCCAGTTCAGACGTAGCCTCATATTATCAGTACATGTTTCTTCAGAATTCAATAAATGCCATAACACCATTTCTTACTCCTCTGTTATATGTGTTGTTTCCTAAACAATAGTTTCTATAATCAATGAATAGTTTTTATAAATATAATTAAATAGTTTTTATAATATATGTTGAATACTGTTTCACTGACTTTCTTTTTTAAAAATTAAAATAATCCACTGACAGGATAAGCTAACTGTTTAGAGTTAAGCAGACAAAAAGACAATTTTTGTTTTACCCCACTTTATGGTTAGCTTTGTGAACTACACAATAGTATAATACCTCCAGCACACACACTTGTACACCCACCGGCAGGCACAGTTCTTTGAAGATGTTCATGACTTTCCATATGTCATCTATGGACAAACTTGTTCAACTTAGTTCAGTTTAATATTTTCAAAGTTTTTTAGTTATGGCGATCTCTCTATGTGTAACTTCTTGTAGAAATATTGTTTCCTAAAACAAACTATTGGAAAAGATGTTTTAGATTATGGTTATAGAATATGTGTGACTGGCTCATACGATTATCCATAAAATTATTAAAGTCTCACTGAAATAGATTTCTATAATAATGAGTTGAAAAATGCAAAGCTGACATAGAAATCCCTCTCCTATTTCAGCTCCCCAACTGTTCCTTCTGGAATTGAATAGGAAGTTAGAGATGACAGGCTGGGTGAGTTTGGAGGTTTGAGAAATTTTTCCTCATCTAAAAAATGGGGAACGTGTACAAAATTATTTGTGAGATCTTTTGGAGCTTTAAATTTGATGTTTCAGTGACCTAACTCTGTGACTGACAGATTAATGAGAAAGGAAAACCACATTTTCTATATACTTTGTCTTTTAATTATTATTTCAGTGTTCAACTACCTAAAAAAACACTGTAAGTTAAAGGAGACAGGCCAAGCAAAATGAAATAGCAACCATAACAAGAGAAGAAACAGTAATATTTATTGAATACCTGCTAGGTACAACACATTCTTCTAAATACAACACATTATTATATCAGTTAAGCTTTACCACACATCCTTCATTTTGGCTGGATGCTAATAATTCCCATATTACAGGTTAACCTCAATCACAAAAAGCCTATGTAAACTGTTCAATATCTTACACACAGAAATGGGGCAATTGGACACAAACCCAGGTCTGGCTAATTTCAGTTCCCTTTCTTTTTCATTTTATTATTCTCGTATTAGCATAGAAACAACTAATTTCAACATGAAGGGAAGAAAATGAAAGGAAAATGATTTTTTAAAAATAAAACATACTAAAGATAATCCACATGTAGGCATCCACTAGTGACCCCTCAAGTTAGACGATGTGGAATATTAAAAACCTTTAATTTAGGATATATTAGCAGAAACTCAAAATTACCAGTAGAAATATTGAGCTGAACACCTGACATATACAAACAATCAGAATATAAGGGCATATTTTAATTTCTTACTTCTTATTTTATAAACAAAAATAAATAGATGTTCTAAAATAGGTTTTTAGACTTTTCTACTAGACATTTGGTATCATGAAGAAACTGTTGCTGCTATCTTACAATAATGTGACCACATTGAACTATTTAAAACCCATCTCCAAAACAAATGTGAAGGTAAAGCTTTCACCTTTAATTGCTTGACATTTATGGAATAAGACAACAAAGTTGTAATGAACCACCCTGACCGTATCATATAATGCAGGGAGGCATCATTAGTTTATTATAACAAGGAATGGGTAGTCAGGCTTTTCCTGAACTGATAAGGTGAAGTCTAATTAGTCATATACCTGTTTTATTTTCCTCAGTAATGAGCATATGCCAAGGAGCTTATTGCAAAAAGGTAGATATTTTAGAAACCAAATAATAATAATAATAATAATAATACATCAAATGCAAGATACAGTTGTTTCAAAATTTCTTCTCTAGGCAACACATTGATTTTCACACCACAGAGCATAATTAGAAGAGTCCTTAATTCTACAGCTTTTCTAATTTTTGAGGTCTAAAAATCTCTCAACCTATATTGCCTTGTATGTGCCTATTTCTTTTCAGTCATGAATATTCATTAATGTAATATGAGCTGCTATTAATTTCTGCTAATATCCAGCAAATGCTATGTATGCAATAGGAACTTAGTAAATATCCAATAATTGGATTTCTCATGAGTTGGTAGGTGGGAAAGTAGGTAGTAGGTATTGCTAGGTTTCAAATTGTCTACATTCTTATAAGTGTCTAATATTCTGCCTCTACAAATAAGGAGATACATTATTAAATTCCTCTTCGCCAGCTCTTTTCTTAGGATGAGTCTAATTCCTTCACCTCTTTCTGACAGGATCTAATTTCTATTCTTTTCAACAGCTCCGCTGACCTCTGTACACTCTCTCCCTGTGCTGCAGAGTTTCACTTGGCTGCTGGTCTCCCAATCTCCATACATTAGAGATGCATTTATACTTTTTTTACAGTGCTCTGAACATAATTACAAAAGCTTTGAATCAAGAATCAAAAAGGAGCGGTTTGATCACATAAAAGCTAATTTCTGAAAACCACCACACACAGAGATTCAAAGTCAAAGGGAGGACAAATTTAAAACTCTTCAGGTAGTCAGGAAAAAAAATATTTTCTAAGCAGACCCAAAGAAAAGTTTACCATGAGCTGCAATTCAAACTCTAGCCTCATCTACCTCTTGTTTTCTAAGCCCATTGAAGTCCTATTATTTGGTCTGCTGAGTTTTTTATTACAAGTAACTAATGTGCCACTTCTATTCAATAACCATCTCCTTTGGTTTATTTTTGCAATTCAAGTATAGATCAAACATTTAATAGTGAAAAAATTTAAAAAGTAATATGGGACAATGTTGGGGGAAATTTAAAAAAAAAGGTATTTAGCATCAAAAAGGAAACAAAGTGCCTTTATTGTTATTCACAAGAATTTTTAATGTAATTCCTGTGATAATCTTGCCTTTGGAGTACAGATTCAATAATAACAGCAGGGCAGGTAACAGTATTCTGTGTTTGCTTCCTTATGTATAGCTTGATATCCTTTTGAACTCCAAACAACAAACTTTTGTACTTTTATTACAGAGAAAATAAACTTTCTGTATGAAACTCTCTCTCACTCCTTCACCTGAAGACTCATACCAGTCCTACAATGCTAATTCTGCTATCACTTCTCATAGAAACCTCTCCCTTGCCTTTTGCTAAGGTCAGAGGCACTGCTTCTGTGTCCAACATAGTCCCATTACCAAAACAAGCCAAATAACATTAGCTTCAATTCTTTCCTTGTCTGTTTCCCCACAGTACTCTGTGACTCTCAAGTACATATACCACATCTCTGGTCCCATCCCCTTAACTCCAGTCTTGCACATAGTAGAAACCAAATGCCTAATTTTTGAGAGAAGGTTATGTCCCCAAATCATACACTGAAAAATATGACACTGGGAACGGTTTGTTGTACATCTATTCCAATGCAATTGTAAAAATTAAAAAGAATAATAATAATAAAGGATAGTATGCAGGAGCCACTTTGAAGAAATACATGTCTAGATTCAAAAATTAAATAAAAAGTACTGTCACTGTTATTCTTAAGCTCAAGCACTGGAAGGATGCCATAGAGGGATATCTAAATTACAGTTGGATAAGGCAAGCTTCTCCCTCCTTGAATTCCTCTATCCATGTTTGCAGGTGAGTGGAAGCCTCCTAAAGGCCACCTGAACTAGCTGCGATGTCTTCCAGCCTTTCCTTTGAGCAACAAATACATATCAAATGCACAAGTATTAGGAACTGTGCTTAATGCTATAGTCATACACCAGTGCATCCCTAGAGTTTTCAGTTTCATGGGAGAGGTAGAATGTGGTACAAACAATTTTAGTGATAATTCAGGACAAAAGTTTGTAGAACATGCAGTAAAGGTATAAAGAAAGACTCAATTTCAATAAGGCCAAAGAGGGAAATTAAGAAGTTACTCATAGAGGGAAAAATAGTTGAGTTGAATTCTGAAACAGGGTCAGTAACAGAAATATAGAAAACAAATTCTTAAGAATGTGGCAGAGGTGTGAGCATATTTAAAACCACTTTGTTGTATACAGAAATTTGAAACAGAAAGTCTAAAACAATTCTGTCCTCCCAAAAGACCAGATGAGCACAGAATTGACAGTGAGGTTCTTCCCCATTCTCTCTTTCATCTTACATTGTGGTGAAGAACTTAGTGCCAATGTTTATCTAAATATGGACATAACTGAATTGTGTGGTGGGTAGAATTTTTTAAGTAGCTCCCCCCAAAGTGTTTCTAACTAATCCACAAAAACTATAGATATGATACAATATCATTCCTGTGAGTATATTGTAATTATATGATACTCTATAGCAAAGTTAAACTTCAGATAAGATTATCTGAGTAGGATTGATTTAATTATATCAATCATTAAAGTGCAGAGCTTTATCTGGCTGAAGGTAGAAAATGTCACAGAGATTTAACATGTGAGAAGGACTTTACACTTTGTTGCTGGTCTGAAGATAGAGGGGTCATGTGAGAAAGAATATGGCTTGCCTAAGGAGTGGAGTGACTCCTCCAGCTGTTAGCTAGCAAGAAAACAAGGACATCAGTCCTACAACCACAATAAATTGAATTCAGCCAAGAATCTGGATGTTTATGGAAGTAAAGTCTTTACTAGAGCATTCATATAAAAGCCCAGACTAGTTGAAATCTTGATATCGGCCCTGTGAAACCCTATGCAGAAAGCCCAGCCCACTCTGCCTGGATTCTGACCCTCAGAATTGTTGGCTACTAAATGGATATTGTTTTTAATCCACTAAGTGTTTGGTAACAGAAAACTAATACTATTTCTGGCTATCTTAATTTTTTTCTAATGAGAATTTGAGAACATACTAAGTGTTCAAAAATGTTGTTGATATTAATGAGAGAGTTGAAGGAATGTAGATACTACTAGTTGCCAATCCAACATCCAATTCTTCTTTCTTAGAAAAATAATTGTGCATTTGTTTAGCTTGGCAGTGTAGCCATCCAAAAGACTTTACCCTGTCCCTCTTACAGCTGAATGACAATGTGACCAAGTTTTCGCCAATTATATTGAAACAAAGTGTTATGTGAATTCTGAGAGTCTTCCTAAAAGTGAAAGAGATGCACTTTTTTTGTCCTTTTCTCCTTCCTGCTGCATGACTGCATAGCTTTCTGTAATGTGATATGATGGCTAAAGCTCTGGGAGCCATTCTGAACTGTAAAGCAATATTGTTATCTATTGATACATTATAAAACACCCCCAAATTTAGTAGTTTAAAAAACAAAAATTTAATTACACCTCCTAATTATGTGGATTAGATGATTCTTCTGTTCCATAGAACATCATTTGAAGTGACTCATTAAAATTTAGTGGACAATAAGGCTGATCTTCAAGAACTGTGACAGCTTATTTTCCTGTCTGGCACTTAGTTGGGAGTGGCTAAAAGCCTGAGCCCAGCAGAGCCTTTCTCTTTCTCTATGTAGCCTCAGAGCCTGTCCAGCTTCTCTCTTCAACAGGCTCATTGGATTTCTTACATGACAGCTGAGAGCTCTGAAAGAAACTGTTTCAAGAAGGAGAAAGAAGAATTTGACAGTACCTTGAGACATGTGCCTAGAAATTGGCACACTGTCGTTTCTACCGTATTTTAGAGAAGAGTACAGAGACCTCATCCCTTGATTTTTTTTTTTTTTTTTTTGAGACAGAGTCTCCCTCTGTTGCCCAGGCTGGAGTAGAGTGGCATGATCTTGGCTCACTGCAACCTCCACCTCTGAGGTTCAAGTGATTCTCCTGCCTCAGCCTCCCAAGTAGCTGTGATTACAGGTGCATGCCACCACACCCGGCTAAATTTTGTATTTTTTGTAGAGACAGGGTTTGGCCATGTTGGCCAGTCTGGTCTCGGACTCATGACCTCAGGAGATCCGCCCACCTCGGCCTCCCAAAGTGCTAGAATTATAGGCGTGAGCCACTGCACCCAGCCAGACCTCATCTCTTAAAGAGAGAAATGCAATGAATTTGTACCATCTTTAATATTCGATAGGTGACCTGAAGATGGCAAAGAAAAGAACTGGAAGGAGCCTGGGTACCTGATGACACACAGCTTGCAAAACAGCCCTAAGTTTCTTACATCCAAATGTATTTTGTTACAGAAAAATAAATCTTCAAATGTCTGCCTGCTTTAAGAATATATAGTTGGAATTATGGTATATGGAGCAGAAGCTACTTCTGAGAACTTCAGTTAGAATTTTATAAGGATGGAGAGACCTGAATCATGGTAATTTACTTAGTATATGCAAACTTTGTATATCAGGGCTTCCCACAGCCTTCTCTCATAACATATCTAGAGAAAACAAATACTCTATTTTATCTTGGAATCGTTCCCCTGCAACTTCCTTCTGGTGGACATGAAGATTTATTTAATTTTGGAATTTATATGCTCTATTCATGTTAGATACCCTTAGTGAGAAGGCATCAAGACTTTTCATATTATTCTAAAAACAAGTTTTCATGGATAACAAAATAAATGAAAGGAAAAGCAAAGATCTTGAAAGAAGAAAAGAAAGTGGAAATTCTAAAATATATATATTCAAATTGTAGAAGTGTTTGCATTGGCAACTGGTACTTCCTATATTTCCTTATAATGTCATGGCTGTTTGTTATATATTTTAAGTTCTCATGATGATGGGCAGAGAAGCTGAAATCAATGCACCAGTAGGAAGGTTTCACTCATTTTTTTTTTGCTTTGTTTTATTTATCACTGCTGTACTTGATCACAATGCATTTCAAAGTAACATTCTGTCACATTCAGTGTCTTTTCTACATACATTCATACCCTTACTAATTCATATTCTTATATATCCCCACTCTCATGCACATCAAGACATGTTATGAAATTCTCCCAATCACATCTTCAGACTATTATAAAATATTTTGAATGCATGCACATGAACTCTCATTCTCTTACATAATATCATATCTCTGATTTCTTGTGTTTATTCAGTCCTTTTCAAACTTGGCTGATAAAATCATACTCTTGCCTAATGATACCTTCATTTATATTCTCATCTGTTGCAGACACACTTTTTGACAAGTTGAGTAAGTTTACTTAAGTTTCTCTATGCCCAATCAATCTCTGTCCTCTCTACACCAGATTAAAATGTCATGTCACATGAGAAGGGAAGAATCAGAGGTAAATGATCTCTGATGACAGTAAAGAACTTATGCTTCGGCCGGGCATGGTGTCTCACACCTGTAATCTCAGCACTTTGGGAGACCGAGGCAGGTGGGTCACCTGTGGTCAGGAGTTTGAGACCAGCCTGGCCAACGTGGTGAAATCCCATCTCTACTAAAAATATAAAAATTAGCCAGGACTGGTGGTACGTCCTTGTAATCCCAGCTACTCAGGAGGCTGAGGCAGGAGAATCACTTGAACCTAGGAGACGGAGGTTGCAGTGAGCTGAGATCGTGCCATTGCACTCCAGCCTGCGCGACAAGAGCGAAATTTCATTTGAAAAAAAAAAAAAAAAAAAAAAAGGAACTTATGCTTCAAGACCCTGGCCTGCATGAATCTCGTTTAAGAATCCAAAATAATAAAACTATAAATATTTTTACTTAGAGAAGCAAATGTGAACCTACAATGGTTACATCACATAAAAGTAGTAGTTCATTAAGAAAAAGAGATCCCTCTCAAATAGAAGTTATGTGGAGATCTTTGAATTGCTTAATGATCCCCTTTGATGAAAAGATTTGAAACATGGGAACATACTGAAAAAATAATAGTTTCTTGCTGATTTGATACAAATACTAACATGAGTGCAGATAACATCAAAAAGTATATGCCACTAAATAAGGACATTGAAAACACATTGGTTATGAGTGTGGTCATTTCTAAGCATATTTATTACACTGCATGAGAAAACTTGAAATGACTTGCAATGTTACAATTTATGTATTAAATAGATTTGATAAAGTCTTTTTGACTATATTTCTAAAAACATGACATTATCCAAAATGGGTCCTAAAGTGGAAGAAAAATTTTCTAAATTTTTATGTCTACTACCACTGTTACTTCCACAACAAATAATAACAACAGATTTTTAAGGAACTGTGGTAGAGAGAAAGTACTGAATTACTTTCCCATTCTTTCTATAGAACAAAGCACAAAACAATTTCTATATGAAAAGACTAACAAATAATCAAAGAATATAGAGCCAAAATATATGGAAAAGCATCATAGAGATATAACAGGCAGTTACTCAGTAATGACAGTATTTTGTGCTCACAAAGTTTATGGTATTCATAACTTTTTAAAAAATTGTATTATTATTATACTTTAAGTTTTAGGGTACATGTGCACAACGTGGAGGTTTGTTACACATGTTGGTGTGCTGCACCCATTAACTCGTCATTTAGCATTAGGTATATCTCCTAATGCTATCCTTCCCACCTCTCCCCACCCCACAACAGTCCCCGGTATGTGATGTTCCCCTTCCTGTGTCCATATGTTCTCATTGTTCAATTCCCACCTATGAGTGAGAACATGCGGTGTTTGGTTTTTTGTCTTTGTGATAGTTTGCTGAGAATGATGGTTTCCAGCTTCATCCATGTCCCTACAAAGGACATGAACTCATCCTTTTTGATGGCTGCATAGTATTCCATGGTGTATATGTGCCACATTTTCTTAATCCAGCCTATCATTGTTGGACATTTGGCTTGGTTCGAAGTCTTTGCTATTGTGAATAGTGCCGCAATAAACATACATGTGCATGTGTCTTTATAGCAGCATGATTTATAATCCTTTGGGTATATACCCAGTAATGGGATGGCTGGGTCAAATGGTATTTCTTGTTGTAGATCCCTGAGGAATCGCCACACTGACTTCCACAATGGTTGAACTAGTTTACAGTCCCACCAACAGTGTAAAAGTGTTGCTGTTTCTCCACATTCTCTCCAGCACCTGTTGTTTCCTGACTTTTTAATGATTACCATTCTAAGTGGTGTGAGATGGTATCTCATTGTGGTTTTGATTTGCATTTCTCTGATGGCCAGTGATGATGAGCATTTTTTCATGTGTTTTTTTGACTGCGTAAATGTCTTCTTTTGAGAAGTGTCTGTTCATATCCTTTGCCCACTTTTTGATGGGGTTGTTTGTTTTTTTCTTGTAAATTTGTTTGAGTTCATTGTAGATTCTGCATATTAGCCCTTTGTCAGATGAGTACGTTGCAAAATTTTTCTCCCATTCTGTAGGTTGCCTGTTCACTCTGATGGTAGTTTCTTTTGCTGTGCAGAAGCTCTTTAGTTTAATTAGATCCCATTTGTCAATTTTGGCTTCTGTTGCCATTGCTTTTGGTGTTTTAGACATGAAGTCCTTGCCTGTGCCTATGTCCTGAATGGTATTGCCTAGGTTTTCTTCTAGGGTTTTTATGGTTTTAGGTCTAACATTTAAGTCTTTACTCCATCTTGAATTAATTTTTGTATAAGGTGTAAGGAAGGGATCCAGTTTCAGCTTTCCACATATGTCTAGCCAGTTTTCCCACCACCGTTTATTAAATAGGGAATCCTTTCCCCATGGCTTGTTTCTGTCAGGTTTGTCAAATATCAGATGGTTGTAGATATGCGGCATTATTTCTGAGAGCTCTGTTCTGTTCCATTGATCTATATCTGTGTTTTGGTACCAGTACCATGCTGTTTTGGTTACTGTAGCCTTGTAGTATAGTTTGAAGTCAGGTAGCGTGATGCCTCCGGCTTTGTTCTTTTGGCTTAGGATTGACTTGGCAATGTGGGCTCTTTTTTGGTTCCGTATGAACTTGAAAGTAGTTTTTTCCAGTTCTGTGAAGAAAGTCATTGGTAGCTTGATGGGGATGGCATTGAATCTATAAATTACCTTGGTCAGTATGGCCATTTTCATGATATTGATTCTTCCTACCCGTGAGCATGGAATGTTCTTCCATTTGTTTGTATCCTCTTTTATTTCATTGAGCAGTGGTTTGTAGTTCTCCTTGAAGAGGTCCTTCACATCCCTTGTAAGTTGGATTCCTAGGTATTTTATTCTTTTTGAAGCAATTGTGAATGGGAGTTCACTCATGATTTGGCTGTTTGTCTGTTATTGGTGTGTAAGAATGCTGGTGATTTTTGCACATTGATTTTTTATCCTGAGACTTTGCTGAAGTTGCTTATCAGCTTAAGGAGATTTTGGGCTGAGACAATGGGGTTTTCTAGATATACAATCATGTCATCTGCAAACAGGGATAATTTGACTTCCTCTTTTCCTAATTGAATGCGCTTTATTTCCTTCTCCTGCCTGATTTCCCTGGCTAGAACTTCCAACACTATGTTGAATAGGAGTGGTGAGAGAGGGCATCCCTGTCTTGTGCCAGTTTTCAAAGGGAATGCTTCCAGTTTTTGTCCATTCAGTATGTTATTGGCTGTGGGTTTGTCATAGATAGCTCTTAATATTTTGAGGTACGTCCCATCAATACCTAATTTATTGGGAGTTTTTAGCATGAAGGGTTGTTGAATTTTGTCAAAGGCCTTTTCTGCATCTATTGAGATAATCATGTGGTTTTTGTCTTTGGTTCTGCTTATATGCTGGATTACATTTATTGATGTGCGTATATTGAACCAGCCTTACATCCCAGGGATGAAGCCCACTTGATCATGGTGGATAAGCTTTTTGATGTGCTGCTGGGTTTGGTTTGCCAGTATTTTATTGAGGATTTTTGCATCAGTGTTCATCAAGGATATTGGTCTAAAATTCTCTTTTTTGGTTGTGTCTCTGCCATGCTTTGGTATCAGGATGATGCTGGCCTCATAAAATGAGTTGGGGAGGATTCCCTCTTTTTCTATTGATTGGAGTAGTTTCAGAAGGAATGGTACCAGCTACTCCTTGTACCTCTGGTAGAATTCAGCTGTGAATCCATCTGGTCCTGGACTTTTTTTGGTTGGTAAGCTATTCATTATTGCCTCAATTTCAGCTCCTGTTATTGGTCTATTCAGAGATTCAACTTCTTCCTGGTTTAGTCTTGGGAGAGTGTATGTGTCGAGGAATTTATCCATTTCTTCTAGATTTTCTGTTTATTTGCATAGAGGTGTTTGTAGTATTCTCTGATGGTAGTTTGTATTTCTGTGGGATCGGTGGTGATATCCCCTTTGTCATTTTTTATTGTGTCTATTTGATTCTTCTCTCTTTTCTTCTTTATTAGTCTGGCTAGCGGTCTATCAGTTTTGTTGATCTTTTAAAAAAAACAGCTCCTGGATTCATTGATTTTTTGAAGGGTTTTTTGTGTCTCTATTTCCTTCAGTTCTGCTCTGATCTTAGTTATTTCTTGCCTTCTGCTAGCTTTTGAATGTGTTTGCTCTTGCTTCTCTAGTTCTTTTAATTGTGATGTTAGGGTGTCAGTTTTAGATCTTTCCTGCTTTCTCTTGTGGGCATTTAGTGCTATAAATTTCCCTCTACACACTGCTTTGAATGTGTCCCAGAGATTCTGGTATGTTGTGTCTTTATTCTCATTGGTTTCAAAGAACATCTTTATTTCTGCCTTCATTTCTTTATGTACCCAGTAGTCATTCAGGAGCAGGTTGTTCAGTTTCCATGTAGTTGAGCAGTTTTGAGTGAGTTTCTTAATCCTGAGTTCTAGTTTGATTGCACTGTGGTCTGAGAGACAGTTTGTTATAATTTCTGTTCTTTCACATTTGCTGAGGAGTGCTTTACTTCCAACTATGTGGTCAATTTTGGAATAGGTGTGGTGTGGTACTAAAAAGAATGTATATTCTGTTGATTTGAGGTGGAGAGTTCTGTAGATGTCTATTCGGTATGCTTGGTGCAGAGCTGAGTTCAATTCCTGGATATCCTTGTTAACTTTCTGTCTCGTTGATCTGTCTAATGTTGACAGTGGGGTATTAAAGTCTCCCATTATTATTGTGTGGGAGTCTAAGTCTCTTTGTAGGTCACTCAGGACTAGCTTTATGAATCTGGGTGCTCCTGTATTGGGTGCATATATATTTAGGATAGTTAGCTCTTCTTGTTGAATTGATCCCTTTACTATTATGTAATGGCCTTCTTTGTCTCTTTTGATCTTTGTTGGTTTAAAGTCTGTTTTATCAGAGACTAGGATTGCAACCCCTGCTTTTTTTTGTTTTCCATTTGCTTGGTAGATCTTCTTCCATCCTTTTATTTTGAGCCTATGTGTGTCTCTGCATGTGAGATGGGTCTCCTGAATACAGCACACTGATGGGTCTTGACTCTTTATCCAATTTGCCAGTTTGTGTCTTTTAATTGGAGCATTTAGCCCATTTACATTTAAGGTTAATATTGTTATGTGTGAATTTGACCCTGTCATTATGATGTTAGCTGGTTATTTTGCTCATTAGTTGATGCAGTTTCTTCCTAGCCTTGGTGGTCTTTACAATTTGGCATGTTTTTGCAGTGGCTGGTACAGTTTGTTCCTTTCCATGTTTAGTGCTTCCTTCAGCAGCTCTTTTAGGGCAGGCCTGGTGGTGACAGAATCTCTCAGCATTTGCTTGTCTGTACAGTATTTTATTTCTCCTTCACATATGAAGCTTAGTTTGGCTGGATATGAAATTCTGGGTTGAAAATTCTTTTCTTTAAGAATGTTGAATATTGGCCCCCACTTTCTTCTGGCTTGTAGAGTTTCTGCCGAGAGGTCTGCTGTTAGTCTGATGGGCTTCCCTTTGTGGGTAACCTGACCTTTCTCTCTGGATGCCCTTAACATTTTTTCCTTCATTTCAACTTTGGTGAATCTGACAATTATGTGTCTTGGAGTTGCTCTTCTCGAGGAGTATCTTTGTGATGTTCTCTGTATTTCCTGAATTTGAATGTTGGCCTGCCTTGCTAGACTGGGGAATTCTCCTGCATAATATCCTGCAGAGTGTTTTCCAACTTGGTTCCATTCTTCCCATCACTTTCAGGTGCACCAGTCAGATGTAAATTTGGTCTTTTCACATAGTCCCATATTTCTTGGAGGCTTTTTCATTTCTTTTTGTTCTTTTTTCTCTAAACTTCTCTTCTCGCTTCATTTCATTCATTTCGTCTTCCATCACTGATACCCTTTCTTCCCGTTGATTGCATCGGCTACTGAGGCTTGTGCATTCATCACGTAGTTCTCATGCTATGGTTTTCAGCTCCATCAGATCCTTTAAGGACTTTTCTGCATTGGTTATTCTAGGTAGCCATTCGTCTAATTTTTTTTCAAGGTTTTTAACTTCTTTGCCGTTGGTTTGAACTTCCTCCTTTAGCTCAGAGTAGTTCGATCTTCTGAAGGCTTCTTCTCTCAACTTGTCAAAGTCATTCTCTGTCCAGCTTTGTTCCATTGCTGGTGAGGAGTGGCGTTCCTTTAGAGGAGGAGAGGTGCTCTGATTTTTAGAGTTTCTGGTTTTTCTGCTCTGTTTTTTCCCCATCTTTGTGGTTTTATCTACTTTTGGTCTTTGATGATGCTGACGTACAGATGGGTTTTTGGTGTGGATGTCCTTTCGTTTGTTAGTTTTCCTTCTAACAGTCAGGACCCTCAGATGCAGATCTGTTTGAGTTTGCTGGAGGTCTGCTCCAGATGCTGTTTGCCTGGGTATCAGCAGTGGTAGCTGCAGAACAGTGGATTTTGGTGAACCGCAAATCCTGCCGCCTGATCGTTCCTCTGGAAGTTTTGTCTCAGAGGAGTACCCGGCTGTGTGAGGTGTCAGTCTGCCCCAACTGGGGGGTGCCTCCCAGTTAGGCTACTCGGGGGTCAGGGACCCACTTGAGGAGGCAGTCTGCCTGTTCTCAGATATCCAGCTGGGTGCTAGGAGAACCACTCCTCTCTTCAAAGCTGTCCAACAGGGACATTTAAGTCTGCAGAGGTTACTGCTGCCTTTTGTTTGTCTGTGCCCTGCCCCCAGAGGTGGAGCCTACAGAGGCAGGCAGGACTCCTTGAGCCGTGGTGGCCTCCACCCAGTTCGAGCTTCCAGGCTGCTTTGTTTACATAATCAAGCCTGGGCAATGGCAGGTGCCCCTCCCCCAGCCTGGCTGCCACCTTGCAGTTTGATCTCAGACTGCTGTGCTAGCAACAAGTGAGGCTCCGTGGGTGTAGGACCCTCCAAGCCAGGTGCGGGATATAATTTCCTGGTGTGTCGTTTTTTAAGCCCATCGGAAAAGCACAGTATTAGGGTGGGAGTGACCCGATTTTCCAGGTGCCGTCTGTCACCCCTTTCTTTGTCTAGGAAAGGGAATTCCCTGACCCCTTGCACTTCCCAGGTGAGGCAATGCCTTGCCCTGCTTTGACTCACGCATGGTGCGCTGCACCCACTGTCCTGCACCCACTGTCCGGCACTCCCCAGTGAGATGCACCCAGTACCTCAGTTGGAAATGCAGAAATCACCCATCTTCTGCGTCGCTCATGCTGGGAGCTGTAGACTGGAGCTGTTCCGATTCGGCCATCTTGGCTCCACCTTTTTTTTTTTTTTTGAGATGGAGTCTCGCTCTGTCGCCCAGGCTGGAGTGCAATGGCACAATCTCAGATCACTGCACCACCACCTCCCAGGTTCAAGCAATTCTCCTGCCTCAGCCTCCCAAGTAGCAGGGATTACAGGCGCCTGCCACAATGCCTGGCTAATTTTTTGTATTTTTAGTAGAGACAGGGTTTCACCATGTTGGCCAGGCTGACCTGGAACTCCTGACTTCTGGTGATTCACCCACCTCAGCCTCCAAAAGTGCTGGGATTATAGGCATGAGCCACCGCACCCGGCCCAACTTTTAAAACATATATTTGGCATGATTTTTTTTCTCATTCTAAGTAAAGGCTAATTTATACCAATATTTTATTCATAATTTTGTGTTCTATTTTCTAAGGAAGCATCCCTGAAATGGGACCAACTAGCACCATCAAAGCTGAATGTACCTCAGAGAGAGGCTGGTATCAGTCACAATGAGAACAAATGGATTGGAACAAATCTGGAGACTAAGCTTTAGGGCAATCACAATTCTATAAAAAATGAAAGGTCATATATCAAATGAAAGATGAGGCAGGCCATGGGTGCAGAGTAAGAAAATAAACAAATATTGGAAAAATATCTCTGAAGAAGGATGATTTTAAATCAGGCCTTGGAAGAGGTAAATGAAAGGAAGAGGTGGATAATGTTTCCTAAAGTGAATGGCATGTGTACCAACCTCTGAAGGTAAATACTGTAAGAATGCAGTCTCAGATGAGGAGCATGAGAAAGGAATTCAGACGAGTTGGAATTGCATGCTTTGGTATTATGTGGAGGAGAGGAAAGGAGATAATATTAATGATAGAATGACAAAGTTGAGTTCTTAAACATTAAGAAATTTTTAATGTTTTTCCAATATTTCTTCAAATTTTATCATTCATATAGATCACAAAACTGAGTGATCATGAGAGAAACCAAACATTGCCTATCTTCACTTTTAGACACTTGGAAAGAAACTGCAGCATTTTTCCTGAAGGTCAGCAGATTTCCAGTGACGTCACCTTAATTATTCCCCACTGTACACATATGAAAACAACACAAGGGCTGTTTGCTACTTAACCAAATTAAGTTCCACATCACTAGCTTATTGAGTCACTTGGCCCACTGTAAATTCTTTATTTAGAATAAAAATATCCTACACATTTCGGGTCATCCAAAGTGTTTAAGAATAATCCATTAGCCATCCTGCCACTAGACTACAAGTTATTGCATTGATTTTCAAATAAGAAAATAAAATAATAAACAGGTTAATAGAAGCCCAAAATTTTATTATTTCAATACATCTGGAAATTTTCCAAGGAGGGCTGACAAAAATAATTTAGTTCTCTCAAAAATATCGTATTCAAGGGCACTCAGGCTACTCAGCTACACAAATTCTCTTCATTCTCAATTGTCTCAGTGCCCCCCAGCCCCAATTTGATCACAATACCTATAGGAAAATCCAAAATAGTATTGTTGGAAAGATTGCATATACTTATAATAGTATCTGTCATAATAGCTTTCACATCATGCCCCATTAAAGTTTCTTTTTACACTAGTCTGGCATGACAGTGTAATTCCTTGTTAAATGCTATATTAGCAAGGATGAGTAATAATTCAACAGGATGCTAACATAACACAAGTTTAAATTGCTAATTCAATGAAGCCTTCCTTTCACTGTACATTGCTCAAATCATTGTGATTTTTGCATTGGAACACTAGAACCTTTTAAAAATAAAAATAAAACATGGAAATAGTTTCTACCTGTTTCCTACTCTTGGCAGAATATATGTCTTGAGAAAAAAAGCAGTACTCTGGCTTTACTCTTATCATCATTTATCAAAGAGGTTGTTCAGAAGTATTCTGAAAAACTTCTAAGAAAACTTATCTGCAGGTACAAACAATGTTAATTCCTCTCTCACTCTTCTTGTCCCTCTGATGTGAGAGTCAATAAATTACCACATCAGCTCTCATATTGTGAAATCCCTCTCAGAGTTGGCCTTGCTTCCTTATCCCAAATTTTATTATGGTACTTCAGGTTATATGTGCAGCTGCTAGTCTTTCTTCTCACATTCAATTTTTAGTATATCAGATCCTTCTTATGTAGTCTCACCATACTAACCATCACACACGCACACATGCATGGACACACACACACACACACACACACACACACACACTGCTTAACCCTGTCACTTACCTACTCAAAAATTATCTCCATTGTTTAAAGTCATCATCCAGCTTCCACTATGTATATGACTACAGAATATCATATTAGATAGATAGATAAACACATATACATAAACACATATAGATCTTTACACATATATACACATATGTATATAGCTATATGTACACAAACATATATATGCATATATATATACATACACACGTATTATCTATAGAGTTCCAAGAATTTCCAATACAATAACTGTTACTACTTTCTAGTGCATGCTATGTGCCAGTAGTATAGAATAATGTTTAAATTATGCATTCTGAAGTTAAGAGGTTCTGGGTTTATCTTGCTCTGGATCTAAGTAGCTTTACTATATTTGAGAAATATATTTGTTTCACTCAGTGTTCTCAGGTGAAACTCAAGATAGCATGAGTTTCCTATTTCATAGTAGTTTCTCAGGTGTTAGATAAGATGATGTTTGTAATATGCTCATCACTGTGACTAGCATATAGAACATACTCAATAAATGTTTGTCAGTGAAGAACTATGATGCCTATTACGTTTGCAAGAATTAAAGTGAAACTGTTAGGTCAAATTGAGTGCACTTTTTAATTCTGTTAATATGCAATGAAAAATTGCCATTTACAGAGATTGTTCCAATTTACATCCCTGTCATGTATTACCATGTATAAATGAATGTGTTTTTTCCCCCAAAGTTTTGCCCTACTGTGTATTATAATTTTAAATATTTGTCATTGAAAAATGGCATATTTTAAACTGGTATTACTTTGACCACTTTTGAAGTTCTAATAAAGTTGACTATTTTTTCTCATGTTTAAATTCTATTGATATTTGCCCAGTGGAATGTCTAACATAAAATTTCTTCAATTTGATATTGGTAAATGCAGGTTTATTTTATGATTTAAGATTTAAAAGGATTATTGCATGTGAAGATATTACCCATTGTCTACTATCTGTTTTTCATTTTTTCCAATTTGTATTTTTGTATCTGACTTTGTTTGTGGTATTGTTTTTGCCAGAAAGATCATTTTATCATGTGAATCTCAATGTATCTATATATTCTTCTCAATGTATCTATATATTCAATGTATCTATATATTCTTCTAGAACATAGAAACTAGAATATGTTCTAGTTTCACAACATGCTCAAAGGTATAAGGATTGTGAGATATTGAAGGTTAATTAATTATTCAATAATTTCTGCTTATTCTACATTTCTTTATTTTAAAATTGGAATCATCCATATGATTTTGGTAAAAATATCCAGCTGTACAATCTTCCCTCAAAGAGCTAGTTAGTCCCCTGTTCTTTTATTATTAATTTGATACATTTTTTCCCACAGTGCTTTAAAGCTCATATTCTATGTTCCACATAGATTAGGATCTATTATTAGACTCTCTAGTCCAGTTCATTCATCTACTTTGGTTGTGTGTAATACTGTTAACTTTTTGATATTTACTAAAACTAGACTTCTCCCATTACTCATATTTTATAGGGCTTTATATTCTTTTGGGTAATCTTTAGTAGTATTTTTCAATTTCCTCCCTCAATATTCCTTCTTCTCCTGTGGGTGTCCTAATTATATATACGTGTTTGTAAGTGATTTTATTTTAGGAAGAACTGGCATGTTTAAAATATTTTTGTCCAAAACTATGTTTTAACTTACCCATTTTTCTCTTTTAGGAAGTAAATTAAAGCTTCTTTTAGTATGTGTCCTATATATTTCTTTTTAATATTTTTTTCTGGATAATTTATATTTTCGATATTAGGTCAAATGAACTTTATCTGATCATATGTCTAAACTAAGCCATATACAGGAAAGTTTATGTTTTAAACATTAATATGATTAAACTTTGCTACATTAGCATTATTATTTCAAGTAATTTTTCAGTTGATATCTATATACAGTATCATTGTATTCAATTATGTTTTCTGCAAATAATAATTATTCTCAAATGTGATGATATTTACAGCTTGCATTGTATCATTTGTATTATTAAGATTTTCCAATATGAAAACAAATATTCTAAACTTATTTTCCCAATTCTATGTGTTTTGCAGTTATTTATGACATTTTTGATGTTGAAATATTCAATTTTACATTGTCAAATATATCATTTTTTTCCTGTTTGTTTTATGATTAAAGAAGCCTGCCTCTTAAACTTGATCTAAAAATTGTTCCCAGTTGTTCAAACTGTTACATGATTGCCTTAACACAATTTATTGAATAATTCACTCTTAACTTTCTGATTTTCGAAGTCATACATATATTATCAATACGTCATATATTGATTTCAAATTATTTGCCCAAACACATGTTAAATTTTACTATTATTTTCCAAAAGCTATTAAAATAAATAAGTTTATTACTATTTGCTGGAATACAAAATATAGACTTCTTTGTGCTTCCGAAATTGTGCACAATTCCTAAAGGAGGAAGAGAAGATAGGATTATATTGACCAGTGCATACACAAGTTTGTTTTCTTCTTAAGGATGTAGGTTCATGGAGTAGAAGGCAGGGACACAGAGGTCATTTACAGGATTTCTAATGTGGGTTTCCCTAAAAATATGTTTGCAGGAAAATCAGGAATTCACCTTAAAAACTCACCAAACACACGAAAGTAGGTATCATGAACAAAACCAGAAATAACATAGAAAGAATCATATACTAAAATTATGAGAGCACAACAAAGTACGTGTGTTTACTACTACTGAATGTATACTTAAAATTGTTAAAATGGTAAATGTTATGGTATATATATTTTACCACAAAAATATGAGAGAGATTATAAAACAGTCTATAATGACCAAGTTTAAATAAACTAGAAGCAAACTCGAAAATAAGTGTAGGGATTAGGGACTATAAAAAATTACCTAAACATCTGAAAATGAGCTAGAGATATTCTAGAAATAAACCACACAGCAATTGATATTTACACATTTAGAGTATTGTGGATATTTAAAGCTTGGATTATATAAATGAAAGACATATAGGGAAAAAAGAGAATCTACTTATGGCATATCAGTGTGAAGAGCTCTGTAGACCTATTACTCAGTGAAACAATCATAAGTGATGAAAATAATTTCTAAAGCAACTATTTAAAGTCCCCAGAAATTGTCATAATGGCATACAGCATGTGAAGAATATTTATTCAAGAAAATCTAGTACATCTTAGTAAGAAGAGCAAAAGTTTGAAGAGCAAAACTGTTTGAAGAGCAAAAGTAAGAAGAGCAAAACTGCTGCTCTCTCCAACCCTAGCTCAGTGTGACAGAAACTTTGCTCCAAATGGGCATGGCCAAGAAGATCATTCTCACTCTAATCACCTATCTCTGTAATGCAGAGATTAAATTTCAGATGAGGCAGTTTAGAGTAGGGGCTCTCTTCCTATATTTACTCCCCGCTTACAAGGTTCCATCTCTATTTCAGAAGTGGCAGGCCAGATTATTAAGTCCTCAGTCACCTTCTCCTTAGCCCACTTGAGGGGGAGATTCCATGCCCAAAGGGACAAGCTAAGTAAAGTCATACTCGCAGGTCAGGAGTAATGGGATGGAGATTTTCTTCAGGACGAGGCAGGTCATAAGAACAGACATCTCTGAAGTTCTCCCTAAAAGAACTAACTGACATTATTTAGAACACACTATGGAAGAATTCAAGACTAAGGGTACTCTTGAAAACAGTGATTTTTGGTGTTAATTAAGTGGAGGCTTGTAACTCCACAAAAGCACCAAGCTAAACTATAGCTCAGTTATTTTACCAGAGAGAATCAGGGGGAAAGGCAGCTTAGATGAGCTCTCTGGGTGTTAGAAGAAACACCAAAGACTGGCCCCAAAAACTACCCCTACAGGGGGACCTGAATTTAATTGGCTATAATCGTGGAGCAATTTATGTTCCAGAGCATCGTTGAAAAAAATACAGCAATTTACTGGCTCTTTCTGGAGTCTAACAGCTGTGTGTGATACCAACAGAGGCAGACAGCTAAATAGAGATATCAAGAAAAGAGATAGCTAAAGACAGTTCTGTTAAAACAACAGTCATCCCAGGGTAACCTTGTACAAGCCCAAAGCTTGAGTGATATTAGAAGCTTCACACTGCAGGGATTTAGCCTTCACTAAAATAGTCCAGCCAGGTCACTAAACAAATAAACAAGCAAACAATAATAACATCAAGCTCTAGAGGAGTGCGGTCGCTCTCTAGAGTTGCCATAATATATTACCTAAAATCCCCCAATTTTTAACAACAACAAAATAAGGCATACAAAGAAACAGGGATATATGACCCATGCATGAAAAAAAAAAAAAAGTAGAAAACACAAACTGACTGTGAAGAGGCCCAGGTGTGCAATTCAACAGAAGAAACTTCAAAGCAGCTATCTATCATAAATATATTCAAAGAACTAAAGAAAACTATGTTTAAGAATTAAGAAAAGCCATGATTACAGTGTTTCATTGAATAGGAAACATTAGTGAAGTAACTGAAATTGTTTAAAAATATATAAAGTTTAGAGTTAAAAAGTAATACAAGTAAAATTCAAAAATTTGCTAGAGGAGCTAAAGTAGATTTGAAATGGCAAAAAAGGAATCAGTGGATTTAAAGAGAGATCATTAGGCATTATACTGTTAGAAATACATAACTAAAATAAAACTAAAAATAAATTAACGGAGCTCAGAGAAATTCAGGATTCCATGTAGTTTACCAAGAATAAGAGTAGCAGGAAAGGAGAGAGACAAAAAAGCAGAAAAAATATTCGAGAAATAAAGGCTGAGAGCTTCCCAAACTAGATGAAGAAAACAACCAACCAATAAAAGAACTGAGAGAAATGCCAGGTAGATTAGCAACAAAGTGATCTGTATCAGAGCCATCATGGCATCAATGACACAGACAAAGAGAAAATCTTGAAAGCAGTAAGAGCAAATGACTACTCATAAAAGGAATCCCAATGAGAATAACAGCTGACTTCTCATAAGAAACAATATTCAAACTACTAAAAGAAAAGAAAAGCAACTGTCAATCAAAAATCTTATATCCAATAAAACTACCTTTCAAAAATGAAGAAAAACATGCATTATTCCAGTCTACTCATAAGTAAAGCATCAGAAAAACTCCAATAGTGGCATGCTGTGGCAAACCTAATCAGTATACCTGAAAACTGTCAAGGTCATTAAAAACAAGGAAGTTCTAAGACACTGTCACTGTTAGGGGAAAACGTAAGGAAACATAAAAATTATGTAATATGATAGCTTAGGTGGAACCCTGGGAAACAAAAAGAATGTTAGGTAAAAACAAAGGAAATCTGAATAAACTATGGACTTTAGTTAATAAGACTATATTATTACTGATTACTTAATTGTGACAAACATACCATACTAATATAAGATATTAAAAAGTTGAAAAATATAAAGGTAAAATGAAGCTATTCCCAGGTAAACAGAACTGATAGAATTCATTGCTAACTGACTCATCTTTTAAAAAATGTTAAAGGAAGTACTTCTGGATGATATCAAGTAATCTTAGAAAGTAATTCAATTCTACATTGAAACACATGTATATGCATACACAAAGGAGATGCAGCTAAAGCAGTGCTTAGAGGGAAAAGAAAAGCTCTAAATGCCTATGTTAAAAAAGAAGACAAAACTTCAATCAATAATCTAACTTTCCACCATAAGCTATTGGGGAAAAAAGAGCAAACCAAACCTAAAGCAAGCAGAAAAAGCAAATAATAAAGATCTCAGTAAAAATTAATGAAATAGAGAATTCTTTTTGTTTTTTTATTTGTTTAACTTTTATAAAGAGTAAATAAATCATCAAAATTGAAAGTTGATTCTTTGAAAATAGAAATGAAAATGGACCAACTTTTAGCTATTTAGCTAGACTGTCCAAGAAAAAGAATAACTCAAATTACAAAAATCTGAAAAAGAAGGAACATTAATACAGAGCTTATAGAAATAAAAATAATTATAAGAAAATACCATGAAAAAAATATGCCATAAAGTTAGAAAAATCAGCTTAAAAATAACAAAGTTTTAGAAAGATACTAATGATCAAAACTGATTCAAGATGTAATAAAAATATTAACAGACCTATACAAGGAAAGAGATGAATAATAGTTTTAAAAACTTTTCACAAAGTTTCCAAGCCAAGATAGTTTTACTGGTGAATTCTTCCAAACATTTCAAGAAGAGTTAATAACAATATTTCACCTATTCTTGCAAAAAACAAAACACTCAGATGAGAAACAAAATTTTCTCATCCAACTCGTTGGATGAGAAAATTATTATCTTAATATCAAACAAGACAAATTATAAGAAAACTGGAGAACAAAATTTTAATAAATAAAGAGAAAAAAGTCCGCAACAAATTACTAGAAAACCAAACCCAGACCAAGAAGCAGGTTCTCTGCTCCTTCTGGAGTTTCTGCCTGGTTCAGCCCGCCTGCCTCCACTCCTGCCTCCACCATGTCCAACGCGGTGACCCAGAAGTCCTGCAAGGTATCCACCTCTGGCCCCCGAGCCTTCAGCAGCCACTCCTACACGAGAGGGCCCGGTGCCCACATCAGCTCCTGGAGCTTCTCCCCAGTGGGCAGCAGAAGCTCCCAGGGTGGCCTGGGCAGAAGCTATGCTGGGGCCAGCAGCATGGGAGGCATCACCACCGTCACGGTCAGCCAGAGCCTGCTAAGCCCCCTTAGCCTGGAGATGGACCCCAACATCCATGTTGTGCACACCCAGGAGAAGGAGCAGATCAAGACCCTCAACAAGTTTGCCTCCTTCATCGACAAGGTACGATTCCTGGAGCAGAAGAACAAGATGCTGGAGACCAAGTGGAGCCTCCTGCGGCAGCTGAAGACGGCTCGGAGCAACATGGACAACATGTTTGAGAGCTACATCAACAACCTTAGGCGGCAGCTGGAGACTCTGGTCTAGGAGAAGCTGAAGCTGGAGGCGGAGCTTGGCAACATGCAGGGGCCGGTGGAGGACTTCAAGAACAAGTATGAGGATGAGATCAATAAGCGTACAGGATGGAGAATGAATTTTTCCTCAACAAGAAGGAAGTGGATGAAACTTACATGAACAAGGTAGAGCTGGAGTCTCACCTGGAAGGGCTGACTGAGGAGATCAACTTCCTCAGGCAGCTGTGTGAAGAGGAGATCTCGCAGTTGCAGTCCCAGATCTCGGACACGTCTGTGGTGCTGTCCATGGACAATTGTCGCTCCCTAGACACGGACAGTGTCATCGCTGAGATCAAGGCGCAGTAGGAGGAGATCGCCAACCGCATCCGGGCCGAGGCTTAGAGCATGCACCGGATCAGGTATGAGGAGCTGCAGACGCTGGCTGGGAAGCACCAGGATGATCTGCAGCATACAAAGACTGAGATCTTCAAGATGAACCAGAACATCAGCCAGCTCCAGGCTGAGATTGAGGGCCTCAAAGGCCAGAGGGCTTCCCTGGAGGCCTCCATCACAGATGCCGAGCAGCCTGGGGAGCTGGCAGTTAAGTATGCCAACGCCAAGCTGTCCGAGCTGGAAGCCGCCCTGCAGCGGGCCAAGCAGGACATGGGGCAGCAGCTGCATGAGTACCAGGAGATGATGAACGTCAAGCTGGCCCTGGGCATCAAGATCACCACCTGCAAGAAGCTGCTGGAGGGTGAGGAGAGCCGGCTGGAGTCTGGGATGCAGAACATGAGTATCCATACTAAGACCACCAGCTGCTATGTAGGTGGCCTGAGCTCGTCCTATGGGGGCTTCACAAGCCCCAGCCTCGGCTATGGGCCAGGCTCCAGCTTTGGCTCTGGTGCGGGCTCCAGCTCCTTCAGCCGCACCAGCTCCACCAGGGCCGTGCTTGTGAAGAAGGTCGAGACCTGCGATGGGAAGCTGGTGTCCGAGTCCCCCGACGTTTTGCCCAAGTGAACAGCTGCAGCAGTCCCTCCCAGCCTGCCCTTCCTGCAGCTGCCCCAGAGTGCAGGGGAGCACAGGGAACAGGAGACCCACTTAAGGCTCAGCCCTAGCTCTCAGCCCACCCTCGGGGGTAGTTTACTCCCTGGGGACCCCTTTGCCCATGCCTCCAACTACAAAACAATTCAATTTGTTTTTTTGTTTTTTTGTTTGTTTGTTTGTTTTTGGTGCAAAATAAAACCTCAGCTGGCTCTGCAAAAAAAAAAAGGAAAAAAAAGAAAACCAAATCCAGCAACATAAAAGGATTATACATGACCAACTGGGATTTATCCCAGATATGCAATTTTTGAATACCCTAAAATCAATTAATGTATTAATCAATTAATTTGTATCAACTGGTACACTATTTCAGCAGAATAAAATACAAAAACTTCCCAATATGTTCAGGAAATGAATTTTATAAAATTCAACCCTCATTTATAAAATGCTTGAAGGGCAAGCATCTGTGAAAAATCTACATGGTCAACACACTTAGGAATTAATTTAATAAAAGATATGCAAAAATTATTCTGAAAACTATAAAGCATTGTTAAGGAAATTAAAGAAGACCTAAATAAGTGAAAAGTCATTCCATTTTTATAGATCAGAAGATTTAATATTGTCAGGATGGTGATACTTCCCAAGTTTATCTATAGATTCAACAAAATTCCTATCAAAATCTAAGCTATTTTTTTTTTGGTGCACATTGCAAATTGATCCTAAAATTCATGTTGATATTGTTTGTCTCTCCCCACTCAAATCTCATCTGGAATTGTAATCTCTAGGCCTTGAGGGAGGGAGCTGGTGGGAGGTGATTTGATGATGGGGCAGTTTCCCCCATGCTGTTCTTGTGATAGTGAGTGAGTTCTCATGAGATCTGATTGTTTGATAAGTGTCTGGCACTTCCCCATCTCTCTCTTTCTCCTGCCACCATGTAAGATGTGCCTTGCTTCCCCTTCATCTTCCACCATGATTGTAAGTTTCCTGAGGCTTCCCTAGCCATGCAGAACAGTGAGTTAATTAAAACTCTTCCCTTTACAAATTACCCAGTCTCAGGTATTCCTCATAGCAGTGTGAAAATGAACTAATACAATATGGAACTGCAAGGGACCTAGAATCACTAAAGTATACTCAAAAAAAAAAAAAAAAAAAAAAAGACAACATTTGGATCACACTCCGTATTTCAGAATTACTACAAAGCTACAGTAGTATAGACTGTTCGATACTAGCAGAAGGATAGACATAAAGAGTAATGGAATAGAGTCCAGAAATAAATTTTCATATAACTATTAATTTTCAAAAAGCCGGAGACAGTTCAGTGAGGGAAAGAATAGTCTTTCCAACAAACTGTGATGAGAGAACTAGATATCCATGTGCAAAACCAGGAATATATACTCTTTCCTCACATTATACACAAAAAATAACCCCCAATGAATCATAGACTTAAAAGTAAGTGCTAAAAACATAAAAATTGTAGAAGAAAACATAGAAGTAAGTCTTCATAATCTTGAGTTATGTGGTCTTCTTCAATATGACACTTCATATTTGCTAAGACATTTATACCAAAAAAAAAAAAGCGAGAGAGAGAGAGGGGGAAAAAAAAAAGGATGTGGAGAACTTGGAATCCTCTTATTCTACTGATGGCAATTTAAACTGTGCAGGCATGTTAGAAAATAGTCTGACCATTGCTCAAAAGCTTAAGCATACTGTTAGCATATGACCAAGAATTTCACTCCTATGTATATACTTAAGGGAAATGAAACATACCTCCACACAAAAACTTGTTTGTGAATAATGTATTTGTCTAGAGCTGCCGTAACAAATACCACAAAGTAGCCTAAACAATAGAAATTTATTTTCTCACATTTCAGGAAGCTGGGAGCCAGAAATCAAGGTGTCAGACAGGTTGTTTGTTCTGAAGTCTCTCTCCTTGGCTTGTAGATAGTGTTCTTTTTCTGGTGTCTTCACATGGTATTATTAATCTTTCTATGTGATCTGTGTCCTAACATCCTCTTATAAGGATGCCAGCCATATTTGATTAGGACCCACCCTGAGCACTCCATTTTAACTTGTCTCTTTAATGGTCGTATCTACAAACAGAAAAACATTCTAAGGAACATGAGTTAGGGCTTCAACATATGAGCATTGGAGGGACACAAATAACATTGTGGGACAGTCCATAACAAATATTCATAGTGTCCAACACAAATAACATTGGAGGGACAGTCCATAACAAATATTCATAGTGGCATTATTTATGATAGTCAAAAACGTGGAAACAATCCAAAGCCCCGTCAGCTGATGAATGGATAAATAAATGTGTTCTACCCATATAATAAATATTATTTGGCAATAAAAAGTAATGAAGTACTGACATGATACAATATGAATAGACCTTGAAAACACGCTAACTGAAAACAGTAATCACAAAGGGTCTTGTATTATATGATTCCATTTTTATTACATGTCAAAATATGAAAATCTATAGAGACAGATAGTAGGTTAGTAATAATCTATGGCTGGGGGTCAATTTATAGGAAATGAGGTGTGACTACTAATGATTATGAGGTTTCTTTTTGGGGCAATGAAAATATTCAAAAATTGTGGTTGAAAAACTTTGTGAATATACTAAAAACCACCGATTTATATACCTTAAATTGATAAGTAATATGATATATAAATTATGTTTCAATAAAGCTATTATATATTGAAAGAAAAAAATAGTACATATAATGACATACAGGGGAACAAAAAATATGAATAAAAAACAGTGATGACAGAGACATAACCAATGGTACCTCCAAATGGATTTCTAGCAGAAAAAAAGAAATAAATGTGATCAAAGGGATATTTTAAAAGCAATGGCAAAGAATTTTTTAAAACATATGAAAACAATGAAGGCAAGATTTTATAAAGCCATTCAATTCAAAATAAAATCCAACAGCAAGAAAACCACAAAAAGACGCATCATAATGAAACTTCAGCTACCAAAGACAAAAATAAAATTTTGAAAGAAGTAAAAAGAAAAATCACAGATTATTTTGAAGCCTTGACTGATAGTTTTTAATTGTTGAGAAAACCTAGACTAAAAGAGCAAGAATAACTTTCCCAGCATCTCACAGTCATTAAATTTTTCAAGCAGGATACAGAATTACATATTTTTATCCAATTATCTTTTCACCATAATATATTGCCTAAACAGTTGTTTTTGAAGAAGAAAATGTGAAATGAAACTCAAAATCCATGACTGATTTATTCACAGCCTGAGAGTGTTGAGGAGGCCTGATTACAATGGTAGTAATTTTTTCTATTTTTGCCAAGTGAAATGGGGTATCTTTAAAGTGTGGGTTCAGTTGTACTTTTCTAAAACTTCCAGGAAAACATGGAAAGTTTATGGTGGCATCAGGGATTTTCTGGAAAAAAAAAACATTTATCTGGCTTATCTCTAATTCAATTTCTTCTGACTGTAGCAAGGAGGGAAAATTCATCGGCATATCTTTTTCACGGAGCATGGTAGAAATTAACTATGAGGCCCAAATAGTTATAATTATTATTTAGAAAACTCTCATCTACTTACCATATTCTGCTTGTGTGAGGTTCCTTCAACATAGTCCAAATCTAAGAAATATTGATCACAATCATACATTAAGACCCAGTGTCAAAGGCAGGTCAATTTTTCTTTTATATAATTTCTGATGAATTTTTGAATGTGGAATAGAAAGTTGTCTAATAGAAGTGCTTTTTTCAGACTAATAAACATGAATGCTTCTGGTCTAATGCTCCCCAATTTATCAAATTTTCATCTCTATTCTTTCACAATTATCACAGAAACCATAATTAAAGGAACAACAGATGGTTAATAGAAGCTGCTGTTTCTATGAGGATACTAAGCTATGGGCCTTATTTGAGAATTATTATAAAAGCAGATACAAAAGGCTAGTCTAGATAATTTCCCAAGTTGAAAAAGAAACCAAAAAGAAATGAAAGAATGTACAAATTACCTCTCCTAAAATTCTCTAGAATTTTCACCTGGTATTTATTCTACTTGGCTTGACTCCCACTGTGAGAAAACTGTGTCTTCTCTATGTTTTCAAATTATTTGGAACATTGATGGCTGATAATAATAGCAGGGATGGCTATTATGTATGTGTTAAGGTTGATTAGGGTCTCACTAGTTATTTCTCTTAATGATAAAGCCTTTTAAAATGTCGCTTAAAAAAAGAATAGATTTTGACAATATCAAGGATGTGAAAAAATCAATTTATTTTAAATCCATTCATAACTAATTTTAAATCATATACAATTCAGTCACAACAAATCTCTTTACATATATATTTTAGTCTTCTACAAATTTGATATGAGCAGTTTGTTAACTATATTTCTACCTCAGAAAACTAAAAAGTGTTCGAATTCATTTGATTTAAAATTGCCAAATGAGAAAAATGAACCTCACAACATATGAAAGAATGTGTAGGCTGCAGCTAAGGGCAGTAATGGTCAGTGATTATCTTCTGAAGACAACAATACAATTAGAATAAGAAAGACATTTCAACCATTTTTACATCAAAGTCACCTCAATATTTATTTAAGTTCCCCCAATTTTGTGGAATAATAAGACTTCTTTTTTAACAGAGAGAAATATTTCTTTAGATAATCAAGGGGATACATGTTAATATTTTGCACTGGTGCTGCTTCCTGATGAACTACTTAATTTCCTTGGGGGATGAGCACCTTCTCATTTCTTATATAGAGGAATAATGGAGGATTAAGGTGAGAGAGAGAAATTAAACTCCCAATTTAGTTCTGTTAGTTTATTTCAGTTCCTCAAGCTCCTGTCTACTTTTCACTAAAGTTGTTCCTTCTTGCTAGAATGCTCTTTTCTTTGGCTTATACCTGGCTAAGTTCTCAGACCAGATTCTATTTTAAATATCATTTCATAGATGCCTATTCTAAATCTGGCCATAATCCTCACTCCAACTCTAGCCATATTATACTTATCATTTATCTCCCTTAATGCCATTTATAACATTTTATGAGTTTACATTAGCATATGTGATTATTGTTTTGATGTGTGCCTTCTGACACTTAAATGCCTGCTTTATTCACTGGTGTGATCCCAGAATGTAACACAGTGCTTTGCTAGGCAATAATATAAATAAACACTTATTATTTCTTTTCTCCAATATTTTTGGACCCCTACTATGAGGAAAGCCTGTGGCTGTGTGGTGCTGTGAAGGCTATAGAGGTGTATAATGCCACACTTCTGCCTTTAAGAACTGTATAATTAAAAATGTGAAATTATATAAGTTATCATAACTGAAAGCAAAAATTGAAGTCACAGGAGAAAGAGATCAAAAATTTCAACTGAAACAAAGGTCACAGCTATCGAAATAACTTTCCTTGAGGGAATTTAAGGACACTAATTAGCCAACTGCTCTTTGTTCTTAGGATGAGGAGGTAGCTCCTTTCGTAAAAAGGCAAATAGTGAGTCAGGAGACACAGCTCTGTATCTGAACAACTACCTTCCCTCCCACAAGCTTCCTACATATCCAAACTTTTTTTTTCTTACCTTCTTACATTAGTCCCCCAATACCACTCCTTTTTGCAGAGCTAAAGTTCAAGACTGTTTAGCAGAGAATGTAGAAGTGTCATAGAGAAAGCTATAAGGCAATTTGGAGATTCCAATCACGATGAATTCCAGCCTTCACAATGACACAGGAGTTGGACGACAGTGTTAGCATCTACTGTCAAAATCGGTTTCCTTCGTGATTAGAAGGTGTTTAACTACCAAACTAAATTCTACATTCCAAACTTCTAAATACATGCCTGTCACTATTTATTTCAACTTCTTTGTCTCTTTGCAAAACATTTGTAACATTTCAACAATAAGAATGATGAGTACTGCCACACAAAGATGTTTAAATGGCTTCTGCTAAGGAACGGTAATCGGTGAAGGACAGACATGTGGACAACTAAATACAATTTATGTCTAATAATATAGTGCTAATTTTCAAAATCCAAGTCCTTTATATATTTTTGTAGATTTACACCTAAATATTTCATTATTTGAGCTATTGTAAATGGTTATTTCAGTTTCCATGCATTCATTGCAAGCATATAGAAATACCACTGATTTTGAACATTGTTCTTATGTAGTGCAAACTTGCTGAGTTCAATTATTAGTTTTAGAAGGGTTGTTTGAGATTATTTGAGATTTTCTATGAAGACTTTCATATCATCTGCAAATATAACTTTTTTTTCCTTTCTGGTCTATATTCCTTTTTTCCTTTTCTTGTTTTATTGCTCCATCTAGGACGTCCAGTATGATGTCGAACAGCAGTGATGAAAGTGGACATTCTTTCTTTGTTCGTAATCTTTGGAGGGAAATATTCAGTCTTTTACCCTTAGAATATTAGCTATAGTTCATCAGTACATGTTCTTTATTGAGTTGAGAAAGCTCCTGTCTGTTCCTACTATTCGGAGACATTTATTAAGTCTCACTTGGTCATGGTGTATAATTCTTTCATATATATTGCTAAAACATATTTCTTAACATTTTCTTAAGAATTTTTGTATTTATGAGAAAGACTGTATTTTGTTGTTTTGTTTTGTTTGTATTTTCTCTGTCTGGTTTTGGTGTCAGTACAATAAATTAATGATAAATCATAAAATGATTTGGGAAGTCTTTCCTTCTCTTCTGTTTCCCAGAAGAGATTGTGTAGTGCTGACATTAACTTTTTAAATACTTGATGAAGTCTCCAATGAAACAATCCAGACTTAGAGATTTCTTTTTTATGAGAGTTTACATTGCAAATTCAATTTTCTTAATATTTTAGGGCTATTCAACTTACCTATTTTAAATAAGTGGTGGTAGTATGTGCTTTTGAAGATTAGGTCCAATTTATCTAAGTTGTCAAACTTGTGTGTATAGAATTAGTTGTAATAGTGCCTTATAACCCTTATCATGACTGCAGTGTCTGTAATGGTATCTTCCAGATCATTCCTGATATTAGTAATTTGTGTCTCTTATCTTTCTCTCTTTTCTTTTGGTCAGTTTCAATTTTTTTTGGTCTTTTTAATAGAACCAGTTGTTTGTCTCATTGATTTCTGATCTTACATTTTTAATTTACTTATTTAAGCATTCTTTGGTTTTATTTTGCTCCTCTTTTAGTTTACTGAGGTGGGAGCTTAAATTATTGATTTGAGATATTGATTCTCTTCTAATGTGAGAATTTAGTGCTATAAATTTCCTTCTGAGCTGTGGTCCACATATTTTAATAAGTTTGTAGTTTTATTCACTTCAATGTACTATGTGATTCTTCCCTGAAACTTTCTCTTTGATTCATGGATTACTTAATTATGTTGTTTATTATTAAGTGTGTCATTTGGTTTCCAAGCATTTGGAGATTTCCCTCATATACTTCTGTTACTGAGTTCCAGATTCCATTGTTCTCAGATGTTTTAATTCTTTTAAATATGTTGAGGGTTTATTTTTTACAGCCCAGCATATGGTGTGTCATGCTACATGTACACTGTATGCACTAATGAAAAGTGTACTATGCTGATTTGAAATGAAATGTTCTATATATGTCAATCAGATCTTATTGATTAATGATGTTGTTGAGTTCTTCTACATTCTTGCTAAACTCAAGTCTAGTTTTTCTATTAATTGTTGAGACATGGATGTTGAAGTCTCCTATGATTGTTTATTTGCCTTTTTGTTTTCTTAATTCTATCATTTTTATGCAAATAATTGTGGCCCTTTTTTGGTATATATTCTTTTAGGATTTCTGTGAAATATTTGGGGATTGATGTTTCTTATGTAATACTCGCTCTGCCTTTATTAATATTGTGTGTGTTGATTTTACTTTATCTGATAATATGATGGTCACTGTTGCTTTCTCTGGCTTAATGTTTGAATGGTGCACCTTTGTACATTATTTTACTTTAAACTTACCTATATTGTTTTATTTTAAGTGAGTTTCTTGTAGTCATTTTGTTAGATCATGTTTATCATGATTTTTAAATACATTCTTCCAATCTCCTTCTGATTAGTATATTAGATCATTTAATGTAATTGGAAGAGAGAACACATCCTAATTCACTCTTTGAAGCCAGCACCATCCTTGTACCAAAACTATACTGAGACATTACAAGGAAGGAAACTAGGACCTGGCGTGGTGGCTCACGCCTGTAATCCCAGCATTTTGGGAGGCCGAGGCAGGTGGATCACAAGGTCAGGAGATAGAGACCATCCTGGCTAACACAGTGAAACCCCATCTCTACTAAAAATACAAAAAATTAGCCAGGCGTGGTGGCGGGTGCCTGTAGTCCCAGCTACTCAGGAGGCTGAGGCAGGACAATGGCGTGAACCCAGGAGGCGGAGCTTGCAGTGAGCTGAGATCATGCCACTGCACTCCAGCCTGGGTGACAGAGAGAGACTCCACCTAAAAAAGAAAAAAAAAAGAAAGAAAGGAAACTATAGACCAGTATCTTTCATGAACATAAATGCAAAATTCCTCACCAAAACATGAGTAATTAAAATCCAACAGTGTGTTAAAAAGAATTATACATTATGCCCGGTAGATTTAGTCTAGGTATGCTAGTCTAGTTCAACATTTAAAAATCAATGTAATCCACCATTAACAGGCTGAAGAATAAAAATTATATGATTTTGAAAAAGCATTTCACAAAATCCAATACCAGGATAAAAACTCTCAGTAGTGTAGGAATATGGAAAAACTCCCACAACTTGGTAAAGAATATCTACAAAAAAATTATAGCTGTTATCATACTAAATAGTGGAAGATTTGATTCTTTCCTCCTGGATTAAGAACAAGCAGATATCCACTCTCATCTACCTATTAGGGTTGGAAGGTCTGGGTCCCCACATGAGAGCAGGAGGTGACACTATGGGGTGGATATCCCAGTTACCACATAATGGCTGAGAAAGTCCTAACTCTCCACTAGGACTCCTTTGGCATTAACCCATTGGTGAAAGGAATGGAGAATTCAATACTTGTCACCACCCAGTGGAGACAGACATCTCCTCTGACATGGCAGTGCTGTGGGAGGAAAAATGAAGAGGGTGGGAGAGTCAGGGGCATATTTACTAT
This sequence comes from Homo sapiens, assembly GCF_000001405.40. Classification (NCBI taxonomy): domain Eukaryota; kingdom Metazoa; phylum Chordata; class Mammalia; order Primates; family Hominidae; genus Homo; species Homo sapiens. Next base: position 35,206,561 of record NC_000003.12, on the reverse strand, counting down.
TGCTCACCAAGAATGAACGTTTTAGCTCCCTACTCATCCCTACTTTGACATCGCCCTGGTAGGAATGGGAGTGGGTGGTGAGGTGCCTTTTTATATAGCCTGATAATGCAGAATTCTAGGATCCCCATGAGGAATTTTCAGGACCCTTTTGGACTGAGTACAGAAGAATAAAATTATGTTGTATCTGAAATCCAATGAAAATGACCATGTTATATTTGATTTGGATTTTAAATCTTTCAAGGTTTGTTGATGGAAAGAGTAGGCTTTCCTCCCTTCTGAAACAAAATGAAAGGAGACTCAAAGTAGCTAGAGGTTGTTTCAAGATGGGGAGAGGGTTAGCTTTCCACTGCTTAGTTGGACACTTGCTTGGGCAAGAGACACATAAATCTACTGCTGGGTCTATCAGAGGGGATAAGAAGAGAATTAGAGTAAACTGACACAAGCAGTGGGCAGTTTGGGAAGTATATGAGAGTCTGCCATGGGTCAAATGGTGGTGAAGCTTGAGGCACCTGGCCCCATTTAGGTCTCCAAACATAGGATCAGGGAAAGATGGAGTGGGGGAACCACACAATGTAGTAACTTAAGCACACATCCCATGAGAGAAGCAGGCCTTACAGGTCTGCCATTTGGAGGACAACAAAGGTCAGTCAGTGTTGCAAAAGCAACAGAGATGGCCTACAAAAACATTAAAACCTTACCTAGTAAAGTAAGGAGAAATTTCACTTATACCTCCCCTCTACCCAGGTGCAGCTCTCCAGAAGAGCTGGATTGCAAAAGGTGGATGGGTTTCCAAGCCTCTGTCACTCCACAGTAAGCCTGTCATCTCAGGTTTGCATTGGTGGCAGTGTCGGTGGAAGTGGGCATGGGGGATGGGGAAGCAATGTAGAGTATGCTGAGGAAATGAGTTTTGAATTGAGTTTGATTTGAAGCTTTCGAGTTTACCAAATTTTAATAATTACTAGTGAGCAATTTAGATTTTTAAGCTTTAACATGGTCCAAATTGTAATAACTGTGAGTAAATGGAAAGCTGTGGAAATCACATGATTTATTAATGGACAGCAACATATATTCTACAAAGCAGTGATCGAAAAAAAAAGCCATTTCATTTTTAAACCCCACCATGTTGAGCCTCCTTGACAAACTGAATAAAAGGTACTTAAGACATCGACAGTTTTTCTTATTCATCATTGAGCTTGTGGCTGCATTACTGTGCTGGCTGTGATAAAAGGGATGTATGAATATATCTAATGTCATTTATTAATAAAGCAGAAGTTATTTTTCATGTTTAAGTGAGAGCCACTGAACATAATGCTTCTACTTTCTATCCATCTCCCTGTTTACAAAGCAGACTAGAATATGATTCGCAGCCTTGACTGCCATTTTCCTTGACATTTCACTTACCTGCTTTCCTCACCCATTAGCCTGCCTTTGAGAGAGTGTGGGCACTGTGTAGTAGATAATCTTAATAGCTAGGACATCTGCTGTAGCCTAACAGACAGATTGTCTGCCTACTTAGACCCTCCGCACAAGTAAAATACGCATAAGAACTTGACCTTTCCAAAGTGGAGCTGACCTGATAAAAACCTTTCCACAGAAGGCAACGTCATCTCCTTCCCAGGAACAAAACAGCAACTGTGTAATGTCAGAGAGGAAAAATGAAGAAATTAAAATGGATATAACTTGGTTGTCATTTGATTTTGTTAAAAAAGGAAAACATATTTAATGATAATTTTTACATTTTGAAATAATCTTAGTTATACATTCTGCAAAAATAAAAATAGTATAAAGAACACCTGCCTTCCTTTTGCTCATATTTACCTATTGTTAATATTTTACCCCATATCCTGTATATGTGTTTACTTCATTATTTTTCTGAAACATTTGAAATAGTTGAACAAAATATACATTGTATATATAATGACTCTTTACCCCTAATATTTCAATGAGTATTTCCTAAGAATAGGAATGTTTTCTTACATACCATCAGTACAATTGACACATTCATAAATTTACATTGATACAGTATGTTTGTCTAATAATGATTTACATTCTCATTTTGTAGTTTGTCTATTCATGTCTTTTATAGGGTTTTCCGAAGAACAAAATCCTTTGATGTTTAAGCTTCAGTGAGGAGTAGACCATTAGAACAAGCGTATATAAGAAATTCTACAGAATTAACTTTTTCTTAATGAACCAGTGCACCAAAAGAAGTTGGCAGTAACAAAGATGCCCTGTCATTTACTACGTATGCCTTTTCATGAAACTAGTAGTTATTTAGGAAGAAATAAAATACCAGAACAAAATACCAGAAAAATATGACTTTAGGAAACTTTTCTTGGTCTAATCTACCTTCTAAGAGGTCTCTACATTAAAAGAGTAATTATGAAAATTTCTGGGTGTAATCATTCACACAACAAAGAGTCCAACTGGAATCTAAATTTCAGTTCTTTACCTGGCACCAAGCTGTATTTCTGGTCTGTGAATTCAAGAGCCTCAAAAGTCAATTCAACCAGATTTTTTTTTCATCAGTTGATCTAATAATGTATTTTATGACATTTTTGAAAGAACATACACCAGAGAAACATACCTAAACCTTATATTAGGATATGCTACCCATGGATCATAGGATAGGGACTACATGTTAAAGGTGCAGAGGTGGACGGCAACAAAAAGAGTCACATGTTCTCCTCCTATGTGTCCACGCCCCTTTTCAATATGGCTTACAGCTCTTCCTATTAAGGGGTGAAGACTGTATTGTTCATTCTTTGACTTGGTTGACCATGAGACTTTCTTTGGGCTATGGAATATCAGGAAACATGCCTCAAACAAAAACTTGATGAGTTCTTTTACCTTGGGCTTGTTCTCATTTTTTTTTCTTTGAAACCTTGAAAACACCACGTATTAGCTTCCTGGGGCTGCTATAACTCAGTGCCGTGAACTGAGTTGATGAAAACAACCCACACTTTTTTATCCTTTCACACTTCTGGGGGCTGGACATCTGAAATCACAGTATCAGCAAAGTTAGTTCCTTCTGAGGTGTTATGAAGGGAAATCTGTTTTGTGCTTTGTCCTAGCTTCTGGTGGCTCCCAGCAGTTCTTGGTTTTCTTTGCCCTGTAGCTGCATCACTCCAATCTCCACCTCCACCTTCTCATTCTCTTCTTCTTTCCATTTGTCTCTGTCTGTCCTCTCCTTTTCTTTTAAGGATGTTGGTCATTGATGTTATGGCCTGTCCTAATGCAGTATGACCTTATTTTAACTAATTGCATTTGCAATGTACTGAGTTTCTGGGTGGACAAGAATTTGGGTGGGGGATATTATTCAACCCAATATATATGAAGTAGAAAAGCTTGAGCTAGGCTGCTTGAAGATTGGAGACCTTGTGGAAGAGAGAGAAGCAATCCATGCTAAGGCCCACATAAATAAACCAGAATTCTAACTATTAGACTTGCAAATAAGGCTGTTCTAGATAGAACATCCAGCCACAAGCCAACCTACCAAATGACCACAAATATATGAGAAGGGTAACTCAGCCAACCCTCAAAGCTGAGCTAAAGAAAATGGTGGTTGTTTTAAGCCACTATGTGGTGTTTTGTCTCCTCATAGCAAAAGCTGACATATCTGTTTTCAGTATCCTAGGGGCAGGTCTGATTTCAAATCCCCTTAAACAATAAGACAGAATACAACTTTAGTTTTGTTACCTGTACAAATATGTGAACATCCTTCTTGAAGAGGTCAGATGGAGAAACAAACATAATAAAAGCAGTTCCGAAGATACTTTAGTATTGATAACTAATCCACCAGGATAACTACACACAAGAGCAAAAGATACATAAAGGCAATGTCTGAGATCATTACACATTTTTTTCTTCCCTTTTTTTTTTTTTTGATGGAGTCTTGCTCTGTTGCCCAGGCTGGAATACAGTGGTTTGATCTCAGCTCACTGCAATTTCCACCTCCTGGGTTCAAGCAATTCTCCCTGCCTCAGGCTCCCGAGTAGCTGGAATTACAGGCGCCCATCACCACACCTGGCTAATTTTTGTATTTTTTAGTAGAGACAAGGTTTCACCATGTTGGTCATGCTGGTCTTGAACTCCTGACCTCAGGTGATCCGCCTGCTCCCAAAGTGTTGGCCGCCCAAAGTGTTGGGATTACAGGCATGAGCCACCATGCCCGGCCCACTACACATATTTGAACATGTATCCAGATTGACATCTATAATATATAATCCTTTGAATTTAGTTCCACAGAAGCTCCTGACCACATAGCATTACTGGACAGGTAATTATTACGTGTTCTCTGCCTCAAAACACTGCAAAATCAGAATCATGGCCCTACATGTTGACCCAATGGTTGCCACTTACATCTGCTCAGTTTTTAACTCATAAAAATATGGACTCCTAGAAAATATAAGAAAATGGATATAGAGCTAGTTTGCAATGGTCATTCATTTTATGGGACAAGGTTAAGAGAAGTTTTCCCCAAAATATTTCTAAAAACAGAACCTCTTTCACTGATCCTGCAATTTTCTTCAAAAGAATGTTACTTACTGCACTAGATAACAAAACAAAACAAACAAAAATGACTACCTTTATTTTGAACAACAATTTACTTTTATTTCTTTAAAATGTTTAAAGGGAATGTTTAAAATGTTATAAACATGTAGCGAACTAAAAAGAAAAACATAATAATAAGTGTCGTTGTTCAAAATGTAATTTACGGCCAGTAGTAGAAATGAGGCATCATTCTCAACATGTCTTTTTTCCCCCTTTTTCTACTCTCTGGAGTGTTTCCAGAATCCTATCATTATCCATCTTGTAGTACTTAAGCTCACCTCTTCAAAATGTAAATGGATATTTGAAGATATATAACTTTTCCAAAAACAAGTTCTAGATTTAATGAAGTATGTTTTAGACAAAGTGTATTATCTTTAAGGAATTGGAGAAATCCTGAATGTGTGTGTGCGTGTTTGTGTGTGTAATTCTTCTAGGCAATTACAGACCAGAAGGCACGGGAAAAGGAATAATGAAAGAAAGAAAGGAAAAAAAAAAGAAAAGAAAAAAACTAAACCCTAAATGAGGGAGCAAAAACATTAGGAAGCTATCCATCTGTCTGCATGGTTTTGAAGCATCCCTGACAGGTGGCAGATACATGGAAAAATGACCTCTGGAGGGCCCCTTCCAGAACTGTGAATAAATGAAACCAAGTAAAAGCAAAGTTAATCAAGTAATTAATTCCTCCTCTGATTGTGTCTCCTTAGTTTTTCTCCCTAGATATTTAAAATGATTATATTAAAAGGGAGAGCAAGGAGTTTTTAGAATAATTATATCTGGATTTTGATTGGCTGTTCTTCAATACCAGAAGGAAAAAGACCCTTGTTCTTGAAAGAATGTGATTATGAGAGATGTTATTAGAGTAATTAATTCATTGCTGTGATTGTTTCTTGTTCGTTAGCACAAATGTGGGAAGAAAGTTCAAAAATTGACTTCACTGAATTTGTTTCTGAAATACATTTTACTAAGAGACCTTTGAAAGTTGACTGTCAAAGGGAAAAGCCCAGGAATTTCTTCAGTTTGATTTTTATTATAAAATGGAAAGAAAAAGACCATGCTTACAGAATATTCTGTGTCTCCAGGTGAATATTCATATCTGATGTTTCCCAATTCCTTATATTAAGGCCAACAAAATGTCCTCTGAATTTGAGTCTAATCTTTCCACACACAATAAGAGAGGCACAAGATCTTGCTTTAGAAACATAAGCATTGCTAACAACAAAAATTATTTAAGCTGTGACTAAATTGAATGAAAATATAACACCCTCATCTTTACATCCAGAGATTCTATCAGGTCATTAATCAAGAGCAGATCTCCAAAAGGCTTGACAAGTTCTGTACACTGTGTTTGTAATCAATTGTAGAAAGAGATGAGATTTTAAGATTCTTACTAGTACCATAATAAAAATGATGATCTCAGAAAAAGTCGAATTAGTTTAGCAGAGTCTAATTTGACTTATTAAACAAGAAGCCCATATATACATAGGAAATATATGCATATTTCATATTTTAAAAGCCACATCTTCCCCCCTCCCACCTTCCTTTGTCTTCCTCTTTCTTTCTCTTCCTTCCTCTATTTGGGCATGAGTAAAACAGCTCCTAAGGCTGTCTTTGTGTCTGAAGATATGAGTTGAAAAGCTCTTGCTAGATTCATCCAAGACCATTTAGAGGAGAGTTTGGCTCCATTGTAATATGAGGTCTCTCAGTAATGCTGAGGCTAAAGATAAGTTATTACAGTTCAGCATCTGGTATTGTAACTCTGAGCAACCTAGATGCCACTGTTCTGACTCATGCTGTTTGTTATAAATGACTCAATTTTCAAGATTTGAGCAGGCATCAAGGGGAAACTTTGGCATATCTAAGCAAGATATGTGAAATTTAAAAAAGAGGTTAATGTGAAATTTTAAAAAGAAGTTATTAAGTGTTCTAAATAGTGGCATACATTGGAGACTACATTGTGTTAACAGCTTCCCTAGGCCCATATATTGCACAGAGACCAAGAATGTGGAACCTGGGGTGGACAAACACAAAAGACCACATTTTCTGAGAAAAATCAAGTTTCTTAGCCCGATCCTTTTCATCCTGGATGTGGGGATGAAACTGTTTATCCCATGGTCTTGCTGAGAGAATTAAATTAGGTAAAGAATTAAAAAGTGATCTATAACTTAGGAAGTTCAATAAAAATATTGTTTATTGTGATGTGTCTATTTTGATTAAAGTTTGTTCCCAGTGAAAGAAACTAAAAAAAAATACCTCCACGGTCCAAAGTCAAACTATTTTGGGAAGGCTTACAGCTTACGTCTGCATAAACAAATACTAAGATGATTCTAAAAAAGATCTTACATAGGCTAAAAAATAATATAACTAGACAAGGAAAATCTACCTGGTGATTAAGGTATAAAACATTTCACTGGGTAAATTTACAAAGTAGTCTTAGTATCTATCACTTGCATCGTCGAAAAACATGAAACTTAAGATTTAGGGATGTAGATGATAAAAAGCAAGGCTGAAATGGTAAAGGGTAAAGAACTCAAACCAGACCAGGAGTCTTCTATGTCTTTCTCCAGTAAAAATACCCCACTTCAGGAATATGTGGGCATACCAACTTCCACACACACACACTCCCATGGAAGTACAAAAAACTTTCTGAAAATGGCAGAATTTTTTCTGTGTTTATTTTGGGCTGCTTGGGGTTAAAGACCTGATTGTGTAGCATTGATGCTTCTCTCCTGGTAATGAAGCCTCTCTGAGCTCCTACAGCATACAGTCTCCTAAAAAGAAACTAGGCAGAGTATTGTTTTTGGTAATATTCTCAAGTCCTAAAGCAACAGCAGTGGGATCAATGTAGGAAGGTGCCATTATAAACAAGTCTGTGTTCCAAAGTCTGGAAGGATGTATCTGGTCTCAGAGGCCTGATTGCCTACAACATCCAGGACGAGAGGCACCGGTGTGAAACACAGAAACCTGGGGGAGGTGTAAGCATATGCTTGAAAAGGAACTGTGTCTGGATAAACCATGCTAAGAGGGAATGGGATTGAAGAGAGTCCTTTCTGCTTTTCTGGTCAAAGTCCTTGGCTCCACCCCTGCCATAGGCCAAGCCGTGAGCTTTTTTCTAAATATTAGTTTAAAACACCAAATACAGAGCATAACTAGGATAACTAGGTTTTTGACCTTGAACTAAATAAAGTGATCAATTTATAGGTGAAGATGTTAACCTTAAGAGATTAGTTCAAGAACTATGTAATGGCAACATTGACAAATAATGCATCACATATCTTTTGTTTGCTTCTGTAGACTGACCCCCTTCACATCCCACCCAGCTTCTTGTCATAGAGGTTACCTTGTACCCATTACAGCAGCAGCTCTAGGATATTTCATTCTGTGGTTCCTTGTTGTGTTAGGCCAATAGAGGGTCTCAGTAGGGCATGGAAGGAGGATGAGAGTAGGTAGTTATATATTTCTCTACCTCCCGCCCTTGAGACATTACTTTGGGCTAGTTGTGTCCCATGAGCAAAAGTCACTTTCTCTCCAGGTGGACTCCTCTGCATAGCTCTCCAATTCTGGATTCCAATAACTTAATCCATTCACTTAGGCCTTCGAGTGGACTTGGAGGGTTAAGAGTGGCAAATTTTCTTAAGATCACTACACTCTTTTTGCTTTTACAATCCACCAATAAGTAAACTTTTATAAAATTATTCTAATTTGAGAACACCTTTGGTTTTCTATTTAAAGCCTGAATGAAACAGGGAAAGGTATATATAGAAAAGCCTGTTCTTCACTTTTGGATAAATTACTCAGGACTTCACAGATGACAATCATTGACTACACTATATATGTGTGGAGACACACACACACACACACACATATATTCTCCCATTAGTGCTAGAAATGGGTTCTATGAAAATAAAAAAATGGTTGGTAGTTATTTACGCTCTTAGAGATTTTTTTTAATATCACCTCCAGCCCACTGTGTCAATTTGTAACTGTGCTCTGTCCTTTCCTGTGAGATTAAAAAAACAACTCCGCAGTAGAGTCATCCATTATTGTAAAAAAGCTTGATACATAGGGAAAAGAACAACAACAGCACAGAAAAATCTGTATTCTGACTATGGCTGAACAATAGAACAGAAGGTGTTTTTCTGAACTCTGAACAATGGGCATGTAAGGATAATTTCAGCTGCAGAGCTAAGCAGTTTGGATTGACAACAACATAAATCAGCTTTGACAATGCATCCCCTCAGCCAAGTTCACTCATTCATCCAAATTAGAAAACAGAAGCTTAGAAGCATGGTACTAGCTGTTGAAGGACAGAAAACATGTTTGGGGAAATTACTTCTGGGTAACACGCTAGACAGGCTATAAAATGATGCCGGACTCAGCTGAGCAATTAGCACAGTCACCAGTACTCTTTATCAGACATATGATTCAGCTGCTTCTCTTTTTTGTTAATACATGTGTTTGTTTTATGTTATGAAGCTCTGTAGAAACTTTTAAAAGCCTGGGTTGATAGTGATGATATTAGGGTTGAGAAGGTTGGTATGTTTGACAGCAAAAAAGAAGGTTACAGAATAGTTAATCTAGCACAGATGTCAAGAATGGATATTTAATAATAAATGTTGCAGTAGAAATAATAGCTATAGGTCCTTATCACCCAGCCAGCAGTCTGCCAGTAGAATAAGAAGAGATTCACAATGTTCATTATGGTATTGAACCACCATCTTTGTATCCCAAATTTCCCTCCCACAAATGGGAATTGAAGAGGAAACACATTCACATCACCGCTATACCACTATAGAGTTGCATAGAAAACTAGACCTGTGGGGGATAGATTATTGCAGTAAAGTTTTCCAGGTCCCATACATAGGACATGTTAGCAATTCGGAAATTTTCTTCATTATGTGAGTATCCAACTTCTTTCATTCTTTTCCAGTGATATTTCTCAGACCTTGCCTAGAAAATTACCACCACTTTCTTACTGATATTCTCACTCTCATCATATTTTTCCCACTATTTATGGAATTATCTTTCTAAATCCTCAGCGAGATCACGCCACTCCTTTGGCTTGTGACTACCAACAGTAATGACTATTTAATGTATAACTCAAGGTGCTTTATGATCAAACTCCATCATAGTTTTTAGCAGCAACTCTAGCCTGGGAGTCAGAATAGTCAGAACAATTCCTAGTGGCTAGTAATAAGCAATGTGTTCTTAGACAAATCATTTTTCCTTCCACAATCAGCTTACTCGTATGTTAAGAAGTAATCCAAAGGAAAGAACAAAAGAAGAAACAGAGGAAAGGAGGGAGATGGGAAAAAACAGCTCCAACTCTTTTTCCAATTAACACTATGATCTGGCATGTAACTTTTTCTGTTTACATTTTTTGATTTACAACTACATGTCTTCTCTATCATTCTTTTGTCATCTTACAGGTTTCTTTCAACCTCAGTACCTATGAAAACTTTTGTACCTCTGTACATAGTTGGAAGCTCAACTCTTAGGCCACCTTCCTAACAAAGTTTTAAGTTCCCAAAGTAAATACAATTTTCTTCCATCTCTGCTTTAATACCACTTAATAGCAATTGTTCTATAATTCATATTATAGTTAATGATTCTCAGTCAACTTTCTCTGGCAATCTGTGAATATATAATTTCACCTAGAATATCTTGTTACAAAGAGTTGTAGAACAAACAAAATGGTGTCTGAATTGGGAAACATGGTGAGGGGTGGCTAATACCTGATATGACATTTTTAGTAATGTTACTTATGGTACACATCACAGAGATGCAGTGTTCTTTCATGCTTCCAGATGAATCAATTCAAAACAATGCTGGATAACAAGCTATATCAGATAATCTGCAGCTCATTCCATTCCTTCATTATTGCAAAGGATTTCAGACTCTCTCCAAGCACATAATATTTACATTTAAATTCAGAATCCTAGAAAAAAAAATGTTTCCAGGTAAGGAACTTGGAGCTGCCTTTATTTAGCAGAAGTAAAAATTGTGGCCAAGAGAAATGAAGTCATATTCCTGTTTTTGGCAGTGCAGGGTCTCATACCCAGTTCTTAGTCCTTTCTAAAATCCTGCTCCTCCTACTCTTATAACACTAAACCAGCTTCTGTTTTTCAAGAGCCACCTCCCTCTACCATATCTTGGGAATGATGGAACTTGTCTCAATTCTTGAACTGCCTACCTAGTGGCTGTCTACCCTTTGCAAGCTCCCTGTAATAATTTCTTCCTGTGAGCCACCTCATCCTTCACCATGAGGCATTCTTGGAGTTACTGTCCACAGTTCTGTTGACAGCAGTTAATTCATCCCAGTGTCAGCAGGAGAGGAGAAGACTTGTAATGGACCAGAGTTTTTGTGTGTTTTTTTTTGTTTGTTTTTTGCTTCATCACTTTATTCTCCACATCATCATATTAGGCTCTAGAAGTATTGAATACACATACTCATGTAATAATAGATGGCATATCAGTAAAGAAAATAACTAAATGGATAAAAATTTAAATAGTAAACTTATTCTGACACTCCTCATGATTCAAGAGGAAAAAATTGCTCCAAAACTAAGTCCATCTTAAATGAATGCCCTTGCAGATATGTTTCAGTTCTTAGTCTTGATACCCTGCCAAAATTCCTAGTTTACACCTGCATTTTGGGAATAGTCACACTGTTCTTTAGGGGAACAATCTCCCTTACCTAGAGTGATCCTTACCTTTCTCTCACAACTCAACGTATAGTCAGAGTCTTACCTACCATTTATATTTTTCCAAAGTCTTAATTGTTCTACTCAGAATATATCAGCATTGCAGTTTCATAGGAAGATGAGAGAGCTAAATGTTTTTTAGAGAAGATGACTTTGAAGTTGCTGTAGACATCTGTGCCAAAAACTCCTACCTGTCTACTAAAAACTATTTTCCATTTTCCTTTTTGCTAACATAACTCCAGTGTTATTTAGTAGTGCAAAATGCTCATCTTAAAAACAAAATTTAGCCAACAAATAAAGTATAGGCATTGCTATGTGACATGAGCAGGAGCTGATTGACCAGGGCATGCAAGAAGGCTATTGCTCTGATGATTAATATGGCAGGTTCAGTTGGCATGCCTTTGCTTCCCCCATCATCCCTTCTTCCAGCTTATTATGCAAACACTTGCCTGGAGGTTCCACAGCTGTTGTGTGACTAAAAGCTAAGGATGGCATAGCAGAAAGAAAAAACAAATATTGTTAGAGCCACTGCACAAATCCTGGACCTTCTACCTTCAGATTCCTTGGAAGTTCGGATAAAATAAATCAAGGCTGTACATGACTGAGTCACATGTTTTGGGTTTCTTTTACATATGGCTGAAATCTAAAGTTCCACATACAAGAAAAGGTTAATCCTTCATATAGTATTAAGATGCTCAAATATTAAGTCTCTATTAGTGGGATATTAACAGAAGCTGAGTATGGTTAAACTCTGTGTAAAGGACAGGGCTAACAGGAAGATTTCACTTCAAATAGACTTAAAAATACAAAATGGGATGCTTTGTAGTAATTTTAAATTGCATAATGCACAGGGTAATTAATATAAATTTCTTTTCTAATCTTCCCAACAGTAATAAAGACACATAGTTTTTACTTCCATTTTGCATACATGGTAGTGGAGCATTAGGGCACATAAATGTCTTAAATTTACCCAGCTATAAGTTATAGATTCAAAGCCAGGTCTGTTAGCTCAAAAATCTGCCTTTTGGTATACTCCTAAAGTGATTTAAGAAGATTATAAAAGATGCAAGAAATAAAATGGGCCCCACCCAGTGAGAACATGTTTAAGATTCTTGTTTTTGCTACCAAAGATACAGAGAGACAAAACTGTAGAAATAGGTATGAAAAACCAACTGATTTTTTTTTGAGAAAAAGTTATTAAACACAGTCTCCCTCCTTTTTCCTTGGCCAGCATATTAGACAGTACTGAGAGAATAGAATGGGAAGCTATTTTTGGTTTCCTGTAGAAAGAAGATTCCCCAAATAAATACTGGTGGTTTAATGTTATATAATGTGATGTGACTTAATAATACATTTAGAAAATGAGGGTAGTAATACACAGCCACAGGAAGAGCAGTGCCTAAGAGTAGATGCTAATTTCATACAGTAGGCATGGGATAAATAGGACATGGATCACTTAGCAGCATACCAGTGGAATTTAGACAAGCAAATAAAATCTATACTGGTTATACATGTATTAGCCCATTCTCACATTACTGTAAGGGAATACTCAAGACTGGGTAATTTATAAAGAAAAGAGATTTAACTGACTCACAGTTCCACATGGCTGGGGAGGCACAGGAAACTTACAATCATGGCAGAAGACACCTCTTCACAGGGCTGCAGGAAACACAAGTACCAAGCAAAGGGGTAAAAGCCCCTAGTAAAATCATGAGACCTAGTGAGAACTCACTCACTATCATGAGAACAGCATGGTGTTTGCCACCCTTGTGATTCAATTACCTCCACCTGGTCCTGCCCTTGATACATGAGGATCATGGGGATTACAATTCAAGGTGAGATTTGGGTGGGGACACAGAGCCAAACCGTATCATAGATTCTTGTTTTTGACACAGTTGAATAAAACTGAGTAAATACTTGAAAATTGTTTTCAGTAGTTGGAAATTCATAACAGAACTTAATGTATGTTTTAATTATATGCAATTATGCTTAAGTAATCTGTCTAGTAAGTTTTGTATAATTTTTGTTGTGAGTGATGTTAGTAATATTAGCTTATCTTTGTATTATTTTATTAAACTCCCTAGGTGTTATATCCTTTCAGGCATCGATGTAATGAAATATAGATTGAGAGCACTCTATTTAAAATATATATTAATATTTAGGTGCTCACTGAGAAAAAGGCATAGGAGCAAAATCTTTTTTAAAACTTGGGCTTTTTACACAGTAGGTATGGGGTATGTAGTCTTCATATATTAACATGTAAAATATAACAGAGGTAGGAATCTACTCTCTTGATATTTACTACAATCTTCGAGTAAATACAAAATAAAGCTTAGCCTTCTTCAAATATCCAGCACAAAATATACTCATGAGCCCACACCATTCTTCCCTAATCATTTCCTCTTCACATTCCCTTTAAAAAGTCTGACCAGTCCTATTTCTCAGAGATTTTGCTCGTGTCCTCTTTCAAGGTATATGGTGGCACACAGGATGCCACTTGCTACCCTGTGAGTTCCAGTTAACTGAACTAGGAATAGATACCTGAAAGAAGACACAATCAGATTCTCTCTCTGGAGTCAGTCTCAGTTGACATTTGAAGTCTGCAGATACACAGAGAGCATGAAGTCTGCAGATACACAGAGAGCATGGTTAGAGCCAGAGTTCCTCAAAAATGAGTTTGCAGGTTTTATCCTGTGTAAGGATGTCTAGCCTACAATCCTCATCCTGTGCTTTACTTGCCAAGCCATTTGCCAGAGAAAAGACTACCTTTTCCTAATTCCCCTAGAGGCACTATATGAGTTCATATGCCTCAGTATGGAATAGATATAGTTGGCATCTACACAAAGAGAGGCAGAGAAAGCCTGACCACAGAAGGATAGGAGTAAAACAGGCATTGAGACCACACAAGATTAAGGACTAAATTGGGCAGAGATAGAGAAAGCAAAAAAGTGAATCTGAAAACAAGGGAATCTAAGGGTGAAGGCAGCTCTCCTCTTCCTCATTGAAACTCCAAATAAGGTGCCACGACTCTTAAAGCCCTTAGTTTCTGTGTGTGTTCCTTTGCAAGAACAGTGACACATTCCTCCCTTTCTGTTCCTTGACTTACTTTGGCCAATAGCATGGGGAGGACATTGTGACAGCTTGAAGTCCAGTCTTCAAGAGGCCTTGTGTACTTCTATACTTCCGCTTAGAACTCTGTCAGCCACCACGCAAACAAGTCTGGGTTACATATTGGATGATCAGAGACATGTAGCTAAGTTGTTCCCTTCACCCCAGCCAACAGCCACTAAACCCCAGAAACTGAGCGAGTTAACAAACAGGCAGCTGACCACAGATGTGTGATGGAGCCTATCCAAAACAAAAAAGAAACAGAAGTGGACAAAAGACATGAACAGAAATATCTCAAAAGAAGACATACAAGTGGCCAACAAACCATTCTGAAAAAAAAATGCTCAACAACACTAATCATCAAGCAGTTTCAAGATTTCTCAAACAATTTAAAACAGAACTACAATTTGACCCAACAATCCAATTAATGGGTATATATCCAAAAGAAAATAAACTGTTCTACCAAAAAGACACATGCACTTGTGTGTTTATAGCAGCACTATTAACAATAGCAAAGACATGGAATTAACTTAGGTGCTCATCAATGATGGACTGGATAAAGAAACATGGTACATATTCACCATGAAATACTACACAGCCATAAAATAGAATAAGATCATGTTTGTTGTAGCAACATGGATGCAGCTAGAAGTCATTATCCTAAGCAAATTAATGCAGAATCAGAAAACCAAATACTACATATTCTCACTTATAAGTGGAAGCTAAACAGTGGCTAGTCATGGACATACAGATGGCAATATTAGACACTGAGGACTAGTAGAGAGAGAAGGGAGGGAAAAAGCCAAAGGTTGAAACTCTAACTGCTGGGTACCATGCCACTATGTGGGTTGCAGAATCATTTGAATCCCAAACCTCAGCATCACACAATATACACATGTAACAAACATGCACGCATACCCCCCGAATCTAAAATATAAGTTGAAATAAAATGAAAAGCTGAAACCAGCTGAACTAATAAAAAACACCCTGCAGAGCCCAGGGCAAATTTTTGACCGATAAAAGCCTTGTCTAAATCCAAGTTAGGCATTTTTTTTTTTTTTTTGTAAAGGACCAGAAAATAAATAATGTAGGCTTTATAACCCTTAAAAAATGTGAAAAACAAAACCCTATGTCTATGGCTGTACCGAAACTAGCTATAGGCCAGATTTGGCCCACGGGCCATAACTGGCTGACTCCTGGTCTATAAAAATGTTTATTTTTTTGACACTAAGTTTTGGGGAGGTTTGCTCTGCAGTAGAAGCCAGCTGATATGAGAGGAGATATTTCTATCAGTTTAAACAAATAGACCTTTTTCTGAAAACCCTCTTTTTGCAACCCCAATTGCCTTGACTTTTATTGCAACTTTCAAACTACACAGTTCACAATGCAAGAAGCCAGTATCACACTGAAACAATCTGAAACAGCAAGATTGGGATTCCTCAAGAATTTCTGGTCTTTGTTTAGGAAGATTTCACATATCCCATAAACAAAGGCCCTTTCGTTGAACCTTGAGAATGTGGCATACTCAGAAAGCAAACCATTCTTTGCATGATTTCTTGGCACTTAATTTAGCTTACTTTTTGTTCTAAATGTGATTCCTTACAACATATGCTTGTTCTGATGGAAGAAATTAGCAAAGGATTATTGCTTTCCCTAAGTTGATTAGGCTGAAAAGAAATAAGTTGTTTTTCTTTTTGCTGTCACACCAGCTTTACGGATTCTTTTAATGAAAAGATTACTGCAAAAATTTCCCACCCTAGGTGTTACTCATACCTTGTTTCAGTCTTACTGGAATTAAATTCTGAATGTGTATTCTGATTTAAATATTACCAGGAAAACTTAAACAAAAGAAAGACTTGTGAAATGAGGTAAAGGGGTGTGTGTGAGAGAGAGAGAGAGACAGAGACACAGGCAGAGAGAATGATAGATAGAGAGACAGAGACATAAAAATGGAAAATTTGTTGCTTGCTTTCAAAGCATAAAATATAACATTTAAAGGAAAGGCAACTAGGAAATCTAAATCTCTTTACAAAGCACATGCATTCTAGGGATATGTATCTAGCTCTTCATAGATACAGCTTTAAAAAGATGCTGATATTATAACACAATTCCTTATCGCCTACAAGTGCTTTTGGTTCATTAACCAGGAACATGATCAAAAAACCAAAAAGACAATCTTTTGTTTTCCAGAGTATCCAAGTGAGTATTATGAATTGTTTTGCTGAGCAAGCATGGTTTCTTGTGCACCAACAATACTTTAGAAATCAATGGAAGTAATTTGCCTAGAAGATGTTTGAAAAACCTGAAACAGACAAACAGGTAGAATTAAAGAGCTAAGAGTTTTCATTTAACTTGAGTTGGGCAATACACTGTTGACAGGGCTTAGTTTAATCATAAGTCATTATAGATATCAGACTTAAATAGATTATAATAAGTAAAAGTCTTATTTTTTAAAATTTCAACATTTACCTATACCAGTTAGAATCATGAATGTAGAATATATAAATCCTCCCTATAAATCAAACTGAAGGAATTTAATATGAGAACTTGGTGCTGGAAGGTATGGAGCACAAAAGTGATTATGGGGACTGAAGAAAAAAGAGAAAAAACGATCATTTCTGAAGATCAGAAGCACTGATGCCTCTGGGTTAGGATTGAAAATTCTGAACTTGTTGCCATCCAATTAATTTTTTTTAAGTTCCATCAGAAAAGTTCTGCCTCTTATTGGGCTACTAGATTCCAGAATCACTCCTTCTTCATGTTGTCCCTAGAGTTGCTGGCAATTGCTGCTTTCCTATTGATACCAGAAGCAGAAAGTTATTGTTTTCTTGTTCTTAATTTTACTTCCTGTGTTTTAATTGCTAATGAAACTCTCCTATTGGAAGGAGCTTATATTAAGTCAGCAGGCAAGGCAATCAGGAAAATATAGCTTAAGAACTTATTTTCCCAGCAAAAAAAGCAGGGTATAGAAAGTAATAAAGAAATAAATCAACACAGAATTATGTAAATAGTATGACTCTTTGCTTTACAAATTGTCTTTCCCATCTTCTTCTTGGGAATTCATTTGTATAATCTTTTTCTCAACTTTTACTTTCTGGGTTTGGCTGCAGATATCTATTGCTAAACTTTCTTAGTTTTGAATTCAAGTAAACATGGAATTCCACGCAGTTGATATGTCTATGAGTGAAGCGTATGAGAGATTGAACTCGTAAACTGATAATGAACAGACGACACATAAAACTAGAATTCTTCCCCACAATCTGCAGCAATCCCAGGAAGCCAACGTATTGTCTGTGGTAATCAATCTTAGAAGTCAAACTACTATCTGCATCAATCAGTCCGAAAACTAAAAACAAAACAAAACAAAACAAAACAAAAAACAGAAAAAAATAACTCATGTAGTAAACAGCTCCAAATGGTCAGAAATTGATTAATAATAGCAGCCCCTCCAATTTTTCTCCTTGCTTCCATCCTAGAGCAAACTGCAGAAAACCAGTATACATCCTTAACCAATCAGGGATTAAGAACGCAGGGCAGAGGGGCAGAGGGCTAATCAGGGCAGGGGGATCCTGCCTTCAGCTCCCTATGCAAGGGCATACCTGAAGCCTCTTTTTTTTCTGCTATGAAGCTTTTCCGCTCTTCTGTCTTGCCTTTGATTCTTGGACATAAGTAAGTGTTGGGGACTGACTCGCTTGCTCTGAATACATAGCCTTTGCTTTATTTCATTTGAGTGGTTTTAATTTGTTTCCACAAGTGAGAAAAGGAAATCAAGAAATCCATCTTCAAAAGATAGGTAATCTTTAAGACTGCTTCTATAAAGACATTGGGAATGATGATATTAATTATTCAGATTTCTCTAGACCGCCTAGACCACTGAGGTGGTCTAGAGGAATCTGAATATTTAATATCATCAAAATTTCTAGGGTAGAGTTTATCTCTCAACTTAGGAATAATGACATTTTGGACTGAATAAGTATTTTTTGGTGAGGGGCTTTCCTGTTTATTGCAGAGTATCTAGCAGCATCCCTGGTCTCTATTCACCAGATGCTAATAGCATACTACCTCCCAAGTTGACAATGAAATATATTTCCAGACATTGCGAAATACTGCCCAGGAAGAGCAAAACCACACTCCATTTGAGAATGATTGTCCTAGAGGAGTTTTGAACTTATTTCCCTTTAAGGTGCATTCATCCTATAAGAGTGTTAGTAGGCTCTAAGCTAATATGACTGCAGGTCCCCAGTTCTCTCATAGTGTATCAACTTTGTGTAATTTGGTTCTTTATAATAAGGGTGATTTGGCATGAATATTTTATATTTTTCGTATAATTTAAAAATATTTTTATATGCATAAATTCAATAAGGAAAAAGAAAGATGTTTTGCTCTTATGTCTCAAATGTACTCAGGAATCATGCTTTTTATACTCTATGCAAATATAGCACAATGTATGCAGGAAGGATCACTGGATAACTACACAATCTTTCCCAGGTTTTTACTTAGACCAAGATTCCAAACGGCCTATGGCAAACTGACTTTCCATATGAGACACCATTTACCTGCTCCATAGTTTTGAGCTCCTAGAGATTTCTGTGACTCTTCATTCTTATTTTACAAAGTACTTTGAGTAGTCATTTAGAGACTATCTTTGTTATATATGAAAAGAAAATACTGTAAAAAGTATAAGCAGATCGTATATGGCAACAAACTAGAACATAATTTTAAGTGTTAATATTAAAACTACTCCCATGTAAACTAAACAAACCCAAACATTTGCACTTATTATACTTAATATATCTAATTTTTTCTCACTACCTAGTACCCATCACCTTTTCTTCTTTCTTATGACACCTCATTTTTTGATCATGTACTGAGAGCATGCTATGCACCAGCCTCTATGAACTAGTATCTAGGAATACAAAGATGATTATATAGGGTTTTGTTCTTGTGTATGTCAGAATTTTCCAGAGAAACAGAACCAACAAGATATGTGTGTGTGTGTGTGTGTGTGTGTGTGTGTGTGTGTGTGTGTGCGCGCGATTGTATGAGGCCCATCCTGGAATAATTTTTGACCAAATATCTGAATACCATGACCTAGCCAAGTTGACACATAAAATTAACCATCACGATTCTCAAGTAACTCTGAATCCAAGATGGGGATGATAATATACTTGGAATTATACTTGGAATAAAAGCCCATAGGATATGCTATTTGAGTACTGAAGAGAAATCCTTAAATTCTCATGGGATAGTTAAGGAAGATATCAAAGAGGAGGAAGAATTTGAGCTAAGACTTAGAGGTTGAATTGGAGCAGGTTATAATAAAAAGAGATTTTAAAGTCAGAAAGAAGCTTCTCCCTGTTAAATTTTGACCTTGGATAAACCACTTAATGTCTCTAAGTTTCAGTTTACTCATTTATAAAATGAAGATAATAATTATCCTACAAGCTTGGCATTTAAAAAAATGGGTGCTGCTCAGTAAAGGCACTAAGCAAATGGTAGCTATAATGTGATTGCTATGATTGGACTAATGGAGTGAGAAACAGGAGAATTTTCTTGATGAGAAAAGGGAGAAGTTTGAAGAAAGGACACAAAACAATTTCCACTGAATGACTGATTATTGACATGAATGACGTAAAGTGGTTATGCCAAATTTAATAAAGTCCTGTCTAATTTACTTTAGTTTGATTTAAAGATTGTAGAGAACACAAACTAGAAGAGTCAGTCCATAGATATATTGTGCTATTCATTGTGAACTCTGTCAGTTCTTTTGCCTGCCCCAAACACTTTAGTTCCTTCTATCTCAGTCTACTGAATCCCTAAGGAACAAGATTCTGAGAGAATTAGGTTTCAAATATCAATCCCTTATCTAAACTTGACTTAATCTCTCACCTAGTGTGCTCATTTATTAAATGTAGATAATAATTCCCAACTTACAATCTGTTGTGATGATTAATTAGAAGGATATTTGTAAATAAAATAGTGTTGTGACTAGAATAGGGTGACTTTCAATATATATCAGTTTCCCCCTCTAATTGCCATTGGTCACATATAGAGAATTGATTTAGATATTTAATCTTGATCTGTATGCAACTAAACTTTTACCACCCTGCAATAAAAATTTCTTTGAATTAAATAATCAACTGTCTTTAGTTTTTCCATTCCTGTTATAATAATCCTAATCCTTTCTGAGGCCATGGATAATTCTGGCTAAATTCAGGGAGACTAGATACAAGAAAGTGCCAAAAGGAAAGGCATACTATTTTATTTCAAAAACATAACTGTTAATTATCTAATACACTGAATATATTTTAGATATACAGCTAAATATTGTGTGTGAGGTATTTGTTTAACAAAATAAATATGGGTAAGGTACTATTATTATTTCCATTCTATAGATGAGAAAACATTTTTATCATAGCTTTGCCCAAGACTTTATTGATTCACCAATTATTTACTGAACGCCCACCTCCCCCCACTTTTTTTTTTTTTGAGACAGAGTCTCGCTCTGTTGCCACCCAGGCTGGAGTGCAGTGGTGCGATCTTGGCTCACTGCAGCCTCCACCTCCCTGATTCAAGTGATTCTCCTGTCTCAGCCTCCCGAGTAGCTGGGATTACAGGCACCTGCCAGCATGCCTGGCTAACTTTTTTTTTTTTTTGGATTTTTAGTAGAGACAGGGCTTCACCGTGTTAGCCAGGATGGTCTCGATCTCCTGACCTCATGATCTGCCCACCTTGGCCTCCCAAAGTGCTGAGATTACAGGCGTGAGCCACTGCACCCAGCACTGAGCCCCTTTTTATTGGCCAGGTATTATGCTAGGCATTACGAATACAGAGGTGGATGCAGAAATGGCTGTGGGTTTAGACGGTAGGCCTGTTAGTGGATTAAACAGAAAATAAACTGATAGTGTGCAGTGCTATCATAGGGGTACAAAGTTTATTATGCATGTAGAGTAGATGTATATACATTCTGTGGGGGAGAAGAGAAAGCAAGAATATTACATGGAACCACAAATACAGTACACAGGCTACAGTTGACTGTCTGGTTGTGGCTAGAACATAGGAAAACTGAATCATAATTTTTAAAAATTATTCTCTAGCTTATTTGAAGTCTATTCCTCAATTTCTGCTACATATTATTTAATTTTTTAAAAGGCTTCATACTCAGTAGCACATTTTGCAATCAGTTCTTTATACTGTGCAGCTTACGCAATGTTGAATTCTGACGTCAGGAAACTTATGACACTGCTTGGCTTTATTTCAAACCCTATCATTCCAGGCAAAAAGAATGTATGGTCACTGCTGGTCAACTCAGTTACCAAGCACTATGTCAAGTGGATCTAGAATTTATTAAAAATATCTCCAAATTAGTAGTATTATGTTAAATGCACCTGCAAAAAACAAAAGTGCTTATTTAAAAAGCTTCAAGACAAGCCAAACCAACAGTGCCTCCGGACTATCCAGAACAACAAAAAAATATCAATTAAAACTGATAGGCATCTCCACCTAGCAGATGTCTCTTGCATTTTTCATGTAGTGTCTGTGCTAATTAGGAAACAAACAATGTAGGACTATTGGCTTTGGAAAGAGATCTATGTACTGTATAAGCAAGATTTTAACACGTATCAGCAATAAACACATATTGGGTTTCAATTAAAAGAAGAATCTTTGAAGCTAAAAATGTTAAGAAAAGTATGCAGTCATGCTGATGAAGCACATACTTGTGGTGAGGGCTTAACTTTCTTAATATAGCTTTAAGTGATGGATGGTTTTGCCTTTTTTCCACACCATCATCCCAATAATCTCTACTTAACAAGCTTCTTAACCTAAACTTGATGGTGTAATTACCTATTTTTGAAAAGAGATAGATGAATGATGATGGGTTGATCATTAATTTTACCTAGTACAAACTTGAAATATCCTAGAGATGTTTTATTTCCTGCAGTAAGATCAATTTAGCTAATGAATGCTTCTCCTGGATGCCCATGGCAGTCACTAGTTTTTCTCTTCCTTTGAGCTACTATTCTCTCCAGCCAGCTTCCCAGAGAGGTTATAATATGTCAAGGCAATTTTCTCCCATATTAGTCATCCATAGTCACTTTCCACTTAACCAAACCATCAAAATAATAGCTTCCTTATTGGTGATTCATGTATTCATGCAGTAAATACTCATTGAACACATGACAAGTACCAAGATGAAATTGTCGTGGATAAGGGTAGACAAAAAAGGAATACACTTCAATATTACATGAGAATCAGTAAAATCATATATGTCTATATGTAAGGAGCAGATGCAGGGTGAGCTGTGGGATAAGTAGGGTCACTGTACATTTTATCATCCAAAATCAGAACACATTTGAGAACAAAACAGATGTCATTAATAATTTACCTGGATAACAATTTAAATCCTGGGCTCTATCATGCTACCTCACATATATGGTCACCCCAGAGATAAGGGATGGGAAAGACATTGTATGAGGCTTAATATTTGAACTTCAAATCCATGTAAATCTGATGTTAAGACAAGACCTGTTAAGATTCACAGTTATAGTTCCAGTAAAAGGTCAGGAACCTGTGTGCATGCCAACTTACAAACCTACACACTACCCTTTATCCTTGGTGACAGATGAGGGTCATTTAAGATACAGAATGTGAGAATGCTTTGAGGGAGATGCTGAATTCTTAATGATGCTGTGATGAATACTTAACCTTGCAAATTATAGACACTCAACACATATTTATCTAGTGGTATTCCCTGAGAAAGTATGTGGGAAATACTTCTTACTCTAAATTTCAGAAACCCTACAGAATAGAAGTAAAGAAAATCAGAACTCCTCTCTAACCGAGAGAGGGGATGAGAAGGAGATCTGTGTTTATCTTGACTCAGAGTTATTGGTACATCCTTTCCTGTCCTCATATGCTCTATAAGCACTCCCCTCTTCCCATGTCCAGGATAAACCTCTGGAAACTTCTTCCTTCTGTTTCCTCTTTATTGCCTGCTCTTAGCTTGGAACCTGGTTCCTGTTGTCCCATGTCCCATTTGTATTTTATCTCTACTCTGTTTCTTACTTTCTGGCTCCTCCTAATTCACCTTTACTTGGTTCCATTAGATTCCATATTCCTAGGTCACAGACTGACCATTCCAAGTCTACAACCACATCAACCTGTTTTGGACCACAGAGCTCCTTCCTGCCTTCATGGAGTAGGGATAAAGTGTAGGGATACATTATTGTTTTAAATAATTTGGTGAGATAAAGTTTACACATAGCAAAATACACAATATTAAGTCTGTATAGATTGTCTTTTTCATAGAATGCCATTTATATGAATGCCATCTGATATGGTTTGGCTGTGTCCCCACACAAAACTTATTTTGAATTGTAGTTCCCATAATCCCCACATGTCATGGGAGGTACCAAGTGGGAGGTAATTTAATCATGGGGGCTGTTACCCCCATGCCGTTTTCATAACATTGAGTAAGTTCTCACTAGATCTGATAGTTTCATGTGTCTGGCATTTCCCCTGCTGGCACTCATTCTTTCTCCTGTCGCACTGTGAAGAGGTGACTTCTGCCATGATTAGAAGTTTCCTGAGGCCTCCCTATCTGTGCAGAACTGTGAGTCAATTAAACCTCTTTCCTTTATAAATTACTCAATCTTAGGTATTTCTTCATAGCAGCATGAGAATGGACAAATACAGTAAATTGGTACTAGGAGTGGGGTGCTGCTATAAGGATACCCAAAAATGTGGAAATGACTTTGGAAATGAGTAACAGGCAGTGGCTGGAACAGTTTAGAGGGCTGAGAAGAAGACAGGAAAAGGTGGGAAAGTTAGGAACTTCCTAGAGACTTGGAGGGCTCAGAAAACAGGAAGATGTGGGAAAATTTGGAACTTCCTAGAGACTTGTTAAATGACTTTGAACAAAATGCTGTTAGTGATATGGACAATGAAGACTAGGCTGAGCTGGTCTCAAATGGAGATGAGGAACTTGTCAGGAACTGGAGTAATGGTCACTACTGCTATGCTTTAGCAAACAGACTGGCAACATTTTGCCTCTGCCCTAGAGATCTGTGGAACTTTGACCTTGAGAGAGATGATTTAGGGTATCTGGTGGAAGAAATTTCTAAGTGGAAAAAGCATACAAGAGGAAGCAAAGCATAAAAGTTTGGAAAATTTGCAGCCTGACTGTGACAGAAAAAAAACAAAAAACAAAACAACAACAACAACAACAAAAAATGTATTTTCTGGGGAGAAATTCAAGCCTGCTGCAGAAATTTGCATAGTAAGAAGACAGATGTTAATCACCAAGAAAATCAGAAAAATGTCTCCAGGGCATGTCAGAGACCTTCATAGCAGCCCCTCCCATCACAGACCTGGAGGCCTAGGAGGAAAAAAAATGGTTTCATGGGGCGGGCCCAGAACACCCTGCTCTATGTAGCCTCAGGACATGGTGCCCTGAGTCCCAGCTGCTTCAGCTCCAGCCATGCTTGAAGGAGCTAAAAGGTACAGCTTAGGCCATTGCTTCAAAGGGCAGAAGCCTCAAGCCTTGGAAGTTTCCATGTGGTGTTGAGCCTTTGGGTTCTCAGTTCTTGAAGTCAAGAAATGAGGTTTGGGAACCTCCGCCTAGATTTCAGAGGATGTATGGAAATGCCTGGATATCCAGTAAGAAGTTTGCTGCAGGGGCGGAGCCCTCATGGAGAACCTCTGATAGGGCAGTACAGAAGGGAAATGTGAGGTTGGAGCTCCCACACAGAGTTCCCACTGGGGCACTGCCTAGTGGAGCTGTGAGAAGAGGGCCACTGTCTTCCAGACCCCAGAATGTTAGATCCACTGACAGCTTGCATCATGCACCTGGAAAATCCACAAGCACTCAATGCTAGCCTATGAAAGCAGTCAGGATAGGGGTGGGGGGGTGCTGTACCCTGCAAAGCCACAGGGGTGGAGCTGCCCAAGGCTGTGGAAGCCCACTTCTTGCCTCAGTGTGACCTGGATGTGAGACATGGAGTCAAAGGAGATCATTTTGGAATTTTAAGGTTTAATGACTGCTCCAATTGGATTTCAGACTTTTGTGGCACCTGTAGCCCTTTGCTTGGCCAATTTCTACCATTCAGAATGGGTGTATTTACCCAATACCTGTACCCCTATTGTATCTATGAAGTAACTAACTTGCTTTCAATTTTACAGGCTCATAGGAGGACAGAACTCACCTCATCTCAAATGAGACTTTGGACTTAGAGTTTTGGGTTAATGCTGTAATGAGCTAAGACTTGGGGGGACTGTTGGAAAGGCACGATTGTGTTTTGAAATGTGAGGACATGAGATTTGGGAGGGGCCAGGGGAATAATATGGTTTGGCTGTGTCACCATCCAAATCTCATCTTGATTTGTAGTTCCCATTATCCTACTTATCATGGGAGGGACCCGGTAGGAGGTAATTGAATCATGGGGGCAGTTACACCCATCCTGTTCTCATGAGAGTGAGTTCCTACGAGATCTGATGGTTTTATAAGGGACTTTCACCCTTTGCTCAGCTCTCATTTTCTCTCCTGCCACCCTGTGAAGAGGTGCCTTCTGCCCTGATTGTAAGTTCCCTGATACCTCCCAGCCATGTGAAATTGGGAGTCAATTAAACCTCTTTCCTTTATAAATTACCCAGTCTCAAGTATTTCTTTATAAGAGTGTGAGAATGGACTAATACACCATCCAACTCAACATGTATATAATTTCCAGTATCCACAAATGCTTCATTGCATCTCCTTACTATAAGGATAATAATTGTGATTCTGAATTTTATTACTGGAGATTATTTTTGCCTATTGTTGAACTTGATATAAATAGAATCACATAAAATACACTATTATATGTTGAGTTATTTCACTTAATGTGGTGTCTGTGAAAGTAATTCAAGCTACAGAGTGTAAGAGGGTTCATTCTTTCTCATTGCTCTGTAGTATTCTATTATATCAGTATGTTACTATTTATTTACACATTCTACTGCTGATGGGAATTAGAGTATTTTCCTGCCTTTACTTACTATGATTGAAGCATCTATTATATCTACTAATATTCTTGTACTTTTTTGTCGTATGTAGCTTTCAATTTCTCTTGGTTGCATGCCCAAGAGTAGAATTCTTGGGTCAAATAATTCTTATATATTTAGCTTCAGTAGAAATGGCCAAACATTTTTTTCAGAATATTTTTACATATTTATGCTCCCACTAGCAATATATAAACATTCTCTAATTTACATATTCACCAAATGTAGTATTTTTAGTCATTTTAATTATAGCCTTTTTTATAACTTTAGGGTAGATATCTCTTGAAGTCCAAATGTGAGATTCAGTGTTGTATCTGATGAATCCCTGGAATTGGTAATTAAATATAGCACACATAATAGACTTCTGAGTACCTCTGTTACCACCTAGCTTGTACGTCTGTTGTATGGAGTGGGCTGAGTTGATCATGAATAATTCTTAGGATGGTTCTTTTAATCATCATCAGTATTTAATATTCAATTTTGGGTGCGTGCACAAAGACACTCAAAGCTGCCCTGTTGGATTCCTTTGATATTCTTTTGCCTTAGGTGAGCTAATAGTATATAATGAACATTTCTATCTACTTAGTGCTCTTTTGAAAATAGATCATTTAAACATTCCAAGAGATATTAGGCAACACTTTGGATGACAGTTACAAGATCCATGTAGGGCTTTTAGAGATTTATCATCTAGAAATAACTTTAGGAATATTTATCCACATAATATTCTAATTATACCCTGCTGTTTTCAGACCTGGCATTAGAAAACTATTCACTGCCCTGAAGACTCCATCTACAAATAAACTGAAAAACTTAATAGCACTTTATATGTGTTATTGCAAATCTTACAGAAGCACATTACATTTCAAAACAAAGTAGAAAGAAATTTTTGCAAGTCCAAAAGTGAAGTTTGTTAACCCAGTGCATTTACAGAGAAAGAACACAAACCAAGAAAGCAAGCAAAAAAGAGAGGCCCACCCAGCCCACTGCTGCCACTGCTGCTAGCACCCATGTGCATTATCTGGGAGCCGAGGATTGGTCCACACTGCCTACTACCACTAGTGCACATGCCCACCATCTAAAGGCCTAATGATGGGACCAAACCCCAGCTGCCAGGGCCTACACATGCCTCACAGATGCTTAGGGACTGGCCTACCTCACATGCTGTTGCCAATGCCAATGTTTACCTGTGCACATCTCAAGGAAACCAGGGACTAGACAGCTCAGCTAGCTGCCTTGACTGCTGATATCTGGAAGTACCAACAAGGGTTGATCTGCTACTACTACTGCCACTGACAATGTCATGAGTCCTGCTCAGAGGCCCAAGGACCTGCCTGCTTCTGTCACTGTAGGTACCTGAGCATGCTTCCTAGAGGATTAATGACTGGCCTGCCAGGACCTGCCACTACCAATGCCTGCATACATCACTCAGGTTCCAAACAACTGACATGCCTAGCCTGTCATAGCCACCACTCATGCGCAAGGGACAGTTAGACGAGCAAAGCCTTATCCCAACCTCCACTATCACAGCCTAAGCTACTGAAGCACTCATGGACATCACTGACACTGATTACAGCTGAGGAAGTTACATAGAGATTACACTACTACATCCACCCAGAATCAGAGTCAAAGTATCTAACTCAAACAGCATAATAGATACATCTACTGAAAAGTTGTTTCCTACAAAAGCCAATCCATAAAATTGGAAGAAGTTACTATTAACACCAAATGTGCACATATCAATGTGACATAAAAACATGAAAATGCAAGCGAACACAACACCTCAAAAAAACCCCACAATAATTCTTCGATAATAAGTAACAAAGAAAGGAAATCTATGAAAAACCTTAACAAGAACTTAACTTGTTATTAACAAAGTAATGATATTAAAGAAACTCATTCAGATGGAAAAGAACACAGAAAAACAACACAAATATTAAGAAGAGAATTCATGATCCTGATGAGAAATTAAACAAAGAGATAGATTTTATTTTAAAGCCAGAAATCCTGAAATTAAACAATGTAGCAAATGAAATAGAAAATAAAATTGAGAGCTTAAACAATAGAGTAGATCAAGCAGAATAAATAATTTTTGAACATCAATACAGGTCTTTTGAAATAACCAAGACAGACCAAAAAAATGAATAAATATACACTTTTTTTAAATGAAGAAGACATATGTAACATATGGGACATCATTAGGCAAGCTAATATTCAAATTTTGAAAGTACCAGAAGGAAAAGATATGATTGGGCAAAGGCAGAGAAAATCTACATAATGAAATAATAGCTTAAAACTTCTGAAAGGTTGAAAAAATATAGACATCTAGGTACAGGAACCCCAAAGATTCCCAAATAGATTCCACCCAAAAGGGTCTTCTCCAAGACATATTATAGTCAAACTGTCAAAAATCATAGACAAAGAGAGAATTCTAACAACAGCAACAGGAAAATATCAGCTCACATATAAAGGAATCTCCATCAAACTTAAAGCAGATTATTCAGCAGAAACCTTAGGTACCAGGAGACAATGTGATAATACATTCAAAGTGCTGAAAGAGAAAAAAACTATCATTCAATAATACCATACTCAGAAAATCTATCTTTTAAAATGAAAAAGAAATACAGTGTTTTCCATAAAAGCAAAACTGAGGGAATTCATCGCTACTGGATCAGACTTACAAGAAATGCTTAAGAAGCCATAAACATGGAAGTAAAAGGACGATATCTATTATCAAGAAACATGAAATCCACTGACAGTGCAGATACACAAATGAGAAAGAGAAAGGAGTCAAATGTTAGCACTATGAAAAGAAAATTACCATATAATAAAGGGAAATAATAAAAGTGGAAGAAATGAACAAAGGATATGCAATACAATCAGAAAACAATTAACAAATGACAAGTGTAAGTCTTCACTTATCATTAACAACTTTAAAGTAGGTGGTTTAAATTCTCTAATTAAAAGATAAAGACTGGCTGAAAAACTTTTTTTTAAATAACCCAACTATAAGCTGCCTAAAAGAAACTCACCTCACTTGTCAAGGCACAGATAGACTGAAGTTAAAAGATTAAAAAATATTCCACACAAATGGAAACAAAAAGCATGCATGAGTAGCTATATATACATATATATATGAGATGAAATAGACTTTATATAAAAAGAGACAAAGATTATTATATAATGATAAAGAGATCAATTATGCAAGACAATATAAGTATTGTAAATATATATGCCTTTAACACCTGAACACCCGAATATTTAAAGCAAATATTACTAGAGCTAAAAACAGAGAGACAGACCCCTCAATACAATAATAATTGGAAACTTCAACGTCCCACTTTCAGCAATGGACAGATGATATAAACAAAAAAAATCAACAAAGAAACATTGGACTTAATATGCATTATAGATTAAATGGATCTTATAGATATTGACAGAACATTTTATTGAATGGCTACAGATTATATACCCTTATCTTTAGCATATGGAAAATTACCCAGCATAGAACATATGTTAGGTCACAACACAAGTCTCAAAAAGTTTTAAAAACTGAAATCACATTAATTATTGTCTCATATCACATGGAGTAAAACTAGCAATCACTAAAACGGGGGACTCTGGAAACTATAAAAATATATGAAAATTAAACAACATACTCCTGAATGATTAGTTGGTCAGTGAAGAAATTAAGAAAATAAAATAAAAAATTCTGTGAAAGATGAAAATGGAAATGTAACATCAAAATATAACATGTTATACATATATTAAAAGCAGTGCTAAGAGAAAAGTTTATAGCAATAACCATCTACCTCAAAAAGAAGAAAAATATTAATAACTTAATGATGCAACTCAAAAAATTAGAAAAGCAAGAACAAACCAAACCCCAAATTAGTAAAAGAAAAGAAATAATAAAGATCAAACCAAAAATAAATGTAATAGAGACTTAAAAAACAATTACAAATGTCTGAACAAAGCATGAACAAAATAAAAAGTTGATTTTTTGAGAAGATAAACAAACTCAATACACCAGTAGCTATACTAACCATGAAAAAAAGAGAGAAAACCCAAATAAATAAAATCATAAATAAAAGGCAGACATTATAATTAATACAAGAGTCATTAGAGATACTATTATGAACTATAACTATTTGGAAAACCAAGGAGAAATGGATACAATTCCGAGTACTCCAACCACAAGGTTGAATCAAGACGAAATAGAAAATCTGGACCAACCAGTAATGGATAACGAGATTGAGTCAGTAGTCAAGTTTCCCAACAAAGAAAAGCCCAGGAACAGACGCTTCACTGTTGAATTATACCAAACATAAAAGGAAGAAGAACTGAGAGCAATTTTTTTCTCAGACTATTCCAAAAAACTGAAGATGATGGAATTCTTTCTAACTCATTCTATGAGGTCAACATTGACCTGATATCAAAATCAGCAAAGGACATAAAAGTAAAAAAGAAAACTATAGGCCAATATCCCTGGTAAATATAAATGCAAAAATTCTCAGCAAACTACTAGCAAACCATATTCAATAACACCTAAAAAAGTGTAATCCCACTATGATAAATTAGGATTTACCCAGGGATGAAAGAATGGTTCAACTTAAACAAACCAATAAATCTGATACAGCACATCAACAGAATGAATGACAAAAACCATATAATTATTTCAATAGGCACAGAGAAAACATCTGATAAAACATTGTGATAAAAACTCTCAACAAACTCAACATAGAGGTAACATACCTCAAAATAGTACAGACCATATATGACAAACCCACAACTAACATCATACTAAATGGAGAAAAGTTGAAAGCCTTTCCTCTAAAAATTGGAACAAGACCATGATGCCCACTTTCATCATTCTTATGGTACTGAAAGTCTTAGTCATGAAAATCAGGCAAGAGAATGAAATAAAAGGCATCCATATAACAAAAGGTGTCAAATGGTCCCTCTTTGCAGACAACAGGATCTTTTATACAGAAAAACCTATAAACACCGCCACAAATCTCTTACAATGAATAAATGAACTTAATAAAGCTACAGAATACAAAATTAACATTAAAAATAAGTAGTATTTTTGTAAATGAATAATGAACTAGCTGAAAAATAAATCAAGAAAGCAATCCCATTTGCCATAACTCCAAAAAATGCAAAAATAAATCTAACCAAAAATGTGAAAAATTGTACAATGAAAATCACAAAACACTGATGAAACAAGTTTAAGAGAACATACAAAAAAACGGAAAAAACATATAACATCTTATGCTCATGGATCAAATAATTAATATTGTTAAAATGACCATACTACTCAATCTAAACATTTAGTGCAATCCTGGTCAATATACCAATGACCTTCTTCACAAATATAGGGGAAAATATCATAAAATTTGTTTTCAACCACAAAAGACCCCAAATAGGCAAAACCATCCTAAGCAAAGAGAACAAAGTTAGAGGCATCACACTACCTAACTTCAAAATATGCTGCAAAGCTATAGTAACCAAAAAAGATGGTATTGGTGTAACAACAGATACATAAATTAGTGGAACAGAAATGGGAACCCAGAAATAAAGCCACAGATTTTCAGTGAACTGATCTTGACAAAAACATACGGTGGGGAAAGAATACCCTTTTCAATAAGTGATGTGTAAACCAGGTATCTATATGTAAAAGAATGAAACTAGACACTCTATCTCTCACCATATATAAAGGTAAACTAAAACTGGATTAAAGACTTAAGCATAACACCCACAACAATAAGAAAATCAAAAATAAACATAGGGGAAATGCTTTAGGACATTGATCCAGAGAAGGAACTTATGGCTAAAGTTTCAAAAGCACAGATAACAAAAAATAAAAATAAAAAAAATAGACAATCAAAAAGAATCTTGAGAGGCCAAGGTGGCCAAATAGAAACAGCTCCAGTCTGTAGTTCCCAGCAAAACCAACACAGAAGGCAGGTGATTTCTGCATTGCCAATTGAGGTACCCAGTTCATTTCACTGGGACTGGTTAGGCAGTGCATGCAACACACAAAGAGTGAGCAGAAGCAGGGTGGGGCGTCACTTCCCCCAGGAAGTGCACAGAGCCGGGGACCTCCTTCCCCCAGACAAGGGAAGCCATGAGGGACTGTGCTACCCACCCTGGGTACTATGCTTTTCCCAGAGATTTTTGCAATCCATGGATCAGAATATTAATTTGTGAGCCTATTGCGGGATCTGGCCAGCAGCCTGCAATGCAATGGGGCTCCTTCTTTGTTCCCTGATGGATCAGCAGGTCGAGAAATAATAGACACTCACAAGATAGTGAAAGCTGGGTCCAGGGGGGTCACCGCCTTCTGGTCCTGCAATGCCATCAATGCACTGGATATATTAGCATTTGTTATTAAGTTTAGTGAGGGCGGGGGTAGGTTAGTGAGGGATTTAGGGTCGTTTGATTATGAGGTGAGATGGTCACATGGGGATGAAGTAATTCTTTAACATAATATCTGTATGCAGAAGTCCAGTATACAGAGATAAGAATTTACAATATAGTGTGTGCATCAGTAATTTCTAACAGGCTTAAAACAGAAACAGTCTTTCCATAACCTATGATTAGCAAGATATTAATCAGCAGTAACAGTTGCAGCAAAAGCTGGTTACAAACAATCAATAGAAATAGGACGTGAAGCTAGACAACCAGTTAGACCAGAAATTCTCAGAAGGGAGTATGCCTTAACCCTATAGAGGCCTAGAAGAGCTGTGGCAAGATGAGGGCATTTATAGCCCTATCTTATCCGTATGAACAGACACCCCTCATGCGTCCATTTATAGGCTCTCCACCAGGGTCGCTTGAACTATTCCCAGAGCTATGAACAT
The DNA here is from genome assembly GCF_000001405.40 of Homo sapiens. Lineage (NCBI taxonomy): Eukaryota > Metazoa > Chordata > Mammalia > Primates > Hominidae > Homo > Homo sapiens. The sequence goes on along the minus strand of NC_000003.12, from coordinate 35,173,302 downwards.
CTCCTTTTCTGGGATAGGAATCTTGGTGATGTGAAACCTCCCTGACTGCACATCCATTCATAGGCTCTCTGCAGGGGGAAGGACATCACACGCTGTTGGCTCATTCTGGCAATCCAACCTGGCGTTGTCTTTACACAATCCTGCATGCAATTTTGCATTTACAATAATCAGGAGCATTTCATCTTTTATTCCATAGCAATAGTTTCAGGGGGTCTCCCTACATGAGCCTACACCACCAAGGTCCTGGGTTTCAAGTACAAAACTGGGTGACTGTTTGGGCAGCCACTGAGCTGCAAAAGCTTTTTCATACTCCAGCAGCACCTTGAACTCCAGTGAGACAGTAGAACCATTCACTCCTCTGGAAAGGGGGCTGAAGCCAGGGAGCCAAGTGGTCTCGCTCAGTGGGTCCCACTCCCATGGAGCCCAGCAAGCTAAGAAATACTGGCTTGAAATTATTGCTGTCAGCACAACAGTCTGGAGTCAACCTGGGAGGATGGATTTTGGTGGGGGGAGGGGCAACCACAATTACTGAGGCTTTAGTAGGCAGTTTTCCCCTGACAGTGCTAAGAAGACTAGGAGGTTTGGACTTTGCAATGCAGCAAAGCAGCTGTGGCCAGACTGTTTCTCTAGATTCTTCCTTACTGGGAAGAGCATCTCTGCAGGAAATCCATCAGCTCCATTCAGGTGCTTACAGACAAAACTCTCATTTACCTGGATAGAGCATCCTGTGGGAGGGGTGGCTGCAGTTGCAGCTTCAGTAGTCTTAATCTTTCCTGCCTGCCTGCTCTGAAGAGAGAGGCTGATCTTGACAAGGGGGAATTCTCCCAGCACAGCACACCAGCTCTGCTAAGGGACAGACTGCCTCCTCAAGTGGGTCCCTGACCCCCATGCCTCCTGACAGGGAGAGACCTCCCAACAGGGGTCGACAGACACCCCATACAGGAGAAATCCAGCTGGCATCAGGTGAGCACCCCTTTGGGATGAAGCTTCCAGGGGAAAGAGCAGGCAAGAATATTTGCTGTTCTGCAGCCTCCACTGGTGATACCCAGGTGAACAGTGTCTGCAGTGAACCTCCAGCAAACTGCAGCAGACCTACAGAAGACAGGCCTGATTGGTAGAAGAAAAACTAACAAACAGAAAGCAACAATAATAACATCAACAAAAAAGACTCCCCACAAAAACCCCAGCCAAAGGTCATCAGCCTCAAAGATCAAAGGTAGATAAAACCACAAAGATGAAGAAACACCAGTGCAAAAATGCAAAAAGCCAGAATGCCTCTTCTCCTCCAAATGATCACAACACCTCTCCAGCATGGGCAGAAAACTGAACAGAGAATGAGATTGATGAATGGACAGAAGTAGGCTTCAGAAGGTGGGTAATAACAAACTCTTCTGAGCTAAAGGAGCATATTCTAACTCATTGCAAAGAAGATAAGAACCTTGATAAAAGGTTACAGGAACTGCTAAACAAGAATAGCCAGTTTAGAGAGGAACATGAATGACCTGATGGAGCTGAAAAACACAGCACGAGAACTTTGTGAAGCATACATAAGTATGGATCAATCAAGCAGAAGAAAGGATATCAGAGTTTGAAGACCACCTTACTGAAATAAGGCATGCAGACAAGATTAGAGAAAAATGAATGAAAAGGAATGAATGAACCCTCTAAGAAATATGGGACGGTCTGAAAAGACCAAACCTATAATTGATTGGAGTACCTGAAAGAAATGGGGAGAATGGAACCAAGTTTGAAAACACACTTCAGGATATCATCCAGGAAAACTTCCCCAACCTAGCAAGACAAACCAACATTCAAATTCAGGAAATGCAGAGAACACCACTAATATACTCCATGAGAAGATCAACCCCAAGACACATAATCATCAGATTCTCTAATGTCAAAATGAAGCAAAAAATGTTAAGGACAGCCATAGAGAAAGGAGAGGTTGCCTACAAAGGGAAGCCCATCAGACTAACAGTGGATCTCTAAGCGTAAACACTACAAGCCATGAAAGAGTGGGGGCCAATATTCAACATTCTTAAAGAATTTTCAAGTCAGAATTTTATATCCAGCCTAACTGAGCTTCGTAAGCAAAGGAGAAACAAAATCCTTTCCAGACAAGCAAATGCTAACGGATTTTGTCACCATCAGGACTGCCTTGCAAGAGCTCCTGAAGGAAGTACTAAATATGGAAAGGAAAAACCAGTACCAGCCACTGGAAAAGCACACCGAAATATAAAGAACATTGACACTGTGAAGAGACCGCATCAACTAATCTGCAAAATAACCAGCTAGCATTATGATGATAGGATCAAATTCACATATAACAATATTAACTTTAAATGTAAATGGGCTAAATGCCCCAAGTAAAAAATGCAGACTGGCAAACAGAATTAAGAGACAAGACCCATCAGTGTGCTGTATTCAGGAGACCCATGTCACATGCAAAGACAAAAACAGGCTCAAAATAAAGGGATGGAGGGATATTTACCAAGCAAATGGAAAGCAAGAAAAAGCAGGGGTTGCAATCCTAGTCTCTGATAAAACAGACTTTAAACCAAAAAAGATAAAAAAGACAAAGAAAGGCATTACATAATGCTAAAGGGATCAATGCAACAAGAACAGGTAACTGTCCTAAATATATATGCACCCAATACAGGATCACCTAGATTCATAAAACCAGTTCTTGGAGACCTACAAAGAGACTTAGACTCCCACAAAATAATAGTGGGAGACATTAACACCCAACTGTCAATATTAGACAGATCAACAAGACAGAAAATTAACAAGGATATTCAGGACTTGAACTCAGCTCTGGATCAAGTATCCATTGGATGTAATAGGTATCTACAGAACTCTCCACCCCAAATCAACAGAATATACATTCTTCTCAGTGCCACATAGCCCTTATTCTAAAATCAACTACACAATTGGAAGTAAAACACTCCTCAGCAAATGAAAAAGAACTGAAATCATAACATACAGTCTCTCAGACCACAGTGCAATCAAATTAGAAATCAGATTAAGAAGCTCACTCAAAACCACAAAACTACATGGAAATTGAACAACCTGCTCCTTAATGACTTCTGGGTAAATAACAAAATTAAGGCAGAAATAAAGAAGTTCTTTGAAACCAATGAGAACAAAGACACAATGTACCAGAATCTCTGGAACACAGCTAAAGCAGTGTTAAGAGGGAAATTTATAACACTAAATGCCCACATCACAAAGCTGGAAATATGTCAAATCAACATCCTAACATCACAGTTAAAAGAACTAGAGAAGCAAGAGCAAACAAATTCAAAAGCTAGCAGAAGACAAGAAATAACTATCAGAGCAGAACTGAAGGAGACATGAAAACTCTTCAGAAAAATCAATGAATTCTGGAAATGGTTTTTTTGAAAAATTAACAATATAGATAGACCACTAGCTAAATTAATGATGAAGAAAAGAAAGAAGATCAAATAGACACAATAAAAATGATAAAGGGAATGTCACCACTGACCCCACAGAAATACAAAGTACCATCAGAGAATACTATAAACACCTGTGTAAATAAACTAGAAAATTTAGAAGAAATGGATAAATTCCTGGAAACTTCCACTCTCCCAAGGCTAAACCAGGAAGAATTCAAATTCCTGAATAGATCAATAGAAAGTTCTGTGATTGAGGCAGTAATTAATAGCCAACCAACCAAAAAAAAAAAAAAACACCCAGACCAGATGGATTCACAGCTGAATTCTACCAGAGGTAAAAAGAGGAGCTGGTATCATTCCTTCTGAAACTATTCCAAACAATTGATAAGGAGGGACTCCTCCCTAACTCATTTTATGAGGCCAGCATCATCCAACACCTGGCAGAGACACAACAAAAAAAGAAAGCATCAGGCCAATATTCCTGATGAACATTGATGGGAAAATCCTCAATAAAATACTGGCAAGCCAAATCCAGTAGCACATCAAAAAGCTTATCCACCACAATCAAGTGGGCTTCATCCCTGGGATGCAAGGCTGATTCAACATACACAAATCAATAAACGTAATCCATCACATAAACAGAAACAATGACAAAAAACATATGATTATCTCAGTAGATACAGAAAAGGCCTCCAATAAAATTCAACATCCTTTCATGTTAAAAAAGATATTGATGGACTATATCTCAAAATAATAAGAGCTATTTATGACAAACCCATAGGCAATATACTGGATGGGCAAAAGCTGGAAACCTTCCCTTTGAAAACTGGCAAAAATCAAGGATGCCCTCTCTGACCACTCCTATTCAACATGGTATTGGAAGTTCTGGCCAGGGCAATCAGGCAAGAGAAACAAATAAAGGGTATTCAAATAGGAGGAGAGGAAGTATAATCGTCTCTGTTTGCAGATGACATGATTGTATATTTAGAAAACCCCATCGTCTCAGCTGCAAGTCTCCTTAAGCTGATAAGCAACTTCAGCAAAGTCTCAGGCTACGAAATCAATGTGCAAAAATCACAAGCATTCCTATACACCAACAATAGATAAGCAGAGAGCCAAATCATGAATGAACTCCCATTCACAATTGCTACAAAGAGACTGTAATACCTAGGAATACAGCTTACAAGGGATGTGAAGGACCTCTTCAAGGAGAACTACAAACCACTGCTCAAGGAAGTAAGAGAGAACACAAACAAATGGAAAAACATTCCATGCTCATGGATAAGAAGAATCAATATCATGAAAATGGCTATCCTGCCCAAAGTAATTTATAGATTCAATGCTATTCTCATTAAACTACAATTGACATTCTTCAGAGAATTAGAAAAAAATACTTTAAATTCATATGGAAGCAAAAAAGAGCCTGTATAGCCAATACAATCCTAAGCAAAAAGAACAAAGCTGGAGACAGCACACTACCTGACTTCAAATTATGCTGCAAGGCTACAGTAACCAAAACAGCATGGTACTGGTACCAAAACAGACATATAGATCAAAGGAACAGAACAGATACCTCAGAAATAACACCACACATCTACAGCCATCTGATCTTCAACAAACCTGACAAAAACAAGCAATGGGGAAAGGGTTTCCTATTTATTAAATGACGCTGGAAAAACTGGCTAGCCATATGCAGAAAACAGAAACTGGACCCCTTCCTCACACTTTATACAAAAATTAACTGCAGATTGATTAAAGACTTAAATGTAAAGCCTAAAACCATAAAAAACTCTAGAAGAAAACCTAGGCAATACCATTCAGGACATAGATATGGGCAAAAACTTCATGACAAAAACACCAAAAGCAATTGCAACAAAAGCCAAAATTGACAAATGGGATCTAATTAAAGTAAAGAGCTTCTGCACAGCAAAAGAAACTATCAACACAGTGAACCGACATTCTATGGAATGGGCGAAAATTTTTGCAATCTACCTTTCTGAGAAAGTTCTAATATCCAGAATCTACAAGGAACTTAAACAAATTTACAAACACAGCTAAGGAGGCTATGGAGAAATAGGAAAGCTTTTACACTGTTGATGGGAGTGTACATTAGTTCAACTATTGTGGAAGACAGTGTGGTGATTCCTCAAGGATCTAGAACCAGAAATATCATTTGACCCAGCAATTCCATTACTGAGTATATACCGAAAAGAATATAAATCAATTTTCCTATAAAGACACATGCACACATATGTTTATTGCCTCACTGTTTACAATAGCAAAGACATGGAATCAACCCAAACGTCCATCAATGATAGACTGGACAAAGAAAATGTGGTACACATACACCATGGAATACTATGCTGCCATAAAAAAGAATGAGATCATATCCTTTGTAGGGACATGGATGAAGCTGGAAGCCATTATCCTCAGCAAAGTAACACAGGAACAGAAAACCAAACACTGAACGTTCCTACTCATAAATGGGAGTTGAACAATGAGAACACATGGATACGGGAAGGGGAACAACACACACTGGGGCCTGTTCTGGGGTGAGGAGCAAGTGGAGGGAGAGCATTAGGCCGAATACCTAATGCATGCGGGGCTCAAAACCTAGATGATGGGTTGATAGTGTAGGAAACCACCATGGCACACGTATTTCCATATAGTAAACCTGCACCTTCTGCACATATATCCTGGAACTTAAAGTAAAATAAAAATTAAAAAAAAAAATCTTAAGGGTGTTTCCTTACAGCACCCTGACAGACAGTAAGAAAGAAAGAAAAAAAATACATATGTATTTCTTATATAAATTTACATTATATATATATACACACACACACACACAGCAGGAATCGAGTTAATAAATTAATATTTTATCACCATCAAAAAATATATATACACAGTATATATGTTTACATATATATATAAATATATTCACATATATTTTTATTTGTACATTGCATTGAGCTGGTTATTTACATCAAAGGTGTTTTTTTGCCCAGACAATGTATTTTTCTGTTAAAAGTAGGTAATACTTCTATGAGCAATCATCATGTCCTGGCATAAACTATATCTGGACATACATGTTTATATCTGGACATGATTAATTCTAAGGCTACATTTTGCATTTAATTTCACCTTTGCCAAAGATACTAAGTAATGGAAAAAAGTGAAGGCATAAAATATATTTAACTAATGGAAACCTTTCTTGCTGTAATTGTTAGAAAACCATTTCTCAGTAATAGCCAACAAGACTTATAACTATACCTGAAAGTGCTAAAATAAGAAAAATTAATATCCATCATAAGAAAGTTTTACATGAACCATGTTAATTTATTAACAAAATATTAGAGTAACAGAGCTACTTTATTTTTCTCTTTACACCATTTTTTGAGGATCTTATCTTAGCAAATTAAAAGCCCAAGTACTCCAAATAAAAAATGGTGTTGGCAAGTAGAAGGTGTAAGTATTCAGTAAAACACAAGACAGATTTTGAACACATAAGAAATGTTGCTATCATATTAGTAGCTAATCAACTGCCTATTATTTTTCAAGTGGAATTTTTTACTTTGAGATAAATGTATTGAAGAGTGAAATTATTCATACTAAGAACAATTTGCTTTCCTTGTATGTCTGAAGATGTTAGAGTTCTCCTTTGTGCGTATTTTCTTTTTCTAATTATAGGGAAGTAAATGCAAAGTAATTATTTTCATGACACTGTTCCCACTTTTGGAGTAGAAAACTTCATTATAAAGCAAGTTTATTGTGATTTTTGTTGTTAAAATCATCATAGCAATTATCATTTTAAGGCCAAATGAATTTTTGTTTATTCACAAATACTTGTGCAAAGGCTTGCACTGGATACAGGGAAATCACCATAAATAAGACAAAGCCCTTACACTCAATAACCTAATAGATAGGTAAGTAAACCAGCATTTAATATACAGCATGACTAAAGTGATAAAAGGGTTAGGTACAGTGCATTATGGTAGCATACTGAGATGTGCCTAATCAATTCTAGGGACAAAGGAAAATCTAGAGGAGACTATGTGTATATTTAAGCTCTTAAAGAAGAATAGTATATGGATTAAAGTGAGAAAGATCAGAAAAAGCTTATAAGCAATGGAATTTCTTTGTGAAAATTATTAGTGTAGTAAGAACATGCACAATATGAAGAATAGTAATAATTGAATAATTGAATAATATTAGAGCATAGAGTGCTTGAGGGAAGCAAGAAGAAATTAGACTTCTTTATTAAGATGGAGCTAGCTTCCAAAGTGAGATGGAACCTGCATTTTTATCCTTTTAATCAAAAGCATTTATACTGAGGTAATATATGCATATTAGTAAGGACTCCATGACACTAAAAATATCTTCTCTGATTTTACACTTATTGAATTGTATTATCTTCCCCTTCACTCACTCTCCATAGCCACAGTATTCTCCCTGTTATTCAGAAAACTCTACACACAAGTTCATGCCTTTTATTTTAAAGAGATATCTGCACTCTCATGCTTATTGCAACATTATTCACAATAGCCAAGATATAAAAACAGTCCAGGTGTCCATCAATAAATGACTGGATAAAGAAAACATGATACACACACACACACACACACACACACACAGAGAGAGAGAGAGAGAGAGAGAGAGAGAGAGAATATTATTCAGGCATTTAAATGAAGGAAAAACTGCCATATACAACAACATGCACCAAGCTGGAGGACACTAGGCCAAGTAAAGTAAGCCAGTTTGAGGACAATCACTGCATGATTCTGTTTACATGAGGTATCTTAAATAGTCAAACTCATAGAAGCAGATAATGCAATAGCTATTACCAGGGTCTGAGGTAAGGGAACTGGGAAGTTGTTCAGTGGGCATAAAGTTTCTGTTATGCTAGGTGAATAAATTCTAGAGATCTGCTGTACAACATAGGGCCTATAGTCAATAAGACAGTATTGTGCTCTTCAAAATTTGTTAGGAGTGTACATCTCATGTTAAGTGTTCTTACCACAAAATAAACAAAAATAATGACGAAGAGACCCAGGAAACTGGAAAGTATTGGCTGTATCGATTACCTTGATTCTGGTTATGGTATCATGGATAAACAGGGGTTCCTATAGGCCCCAAATCATCCAACTGTATATGTTAAATATTTGCAATTCTTTAATATGTACAATTATTTATATGTCAATTATATTTCAGGAAAGCTGTTTAAATCAAAGAAAGAATACTGTCGTTGTACTTACCATTCCTTCTGCTTAAAATATCCACCCTCCTGATAGGCCTGTGGCTTTCTCCCCTCACCTCCATTGGGTCTTTACTTAAGCTGTTCAGTGATGAATTATCCTGACCAACTAATGTAAAATCACAGCCATCTATGACCCCCTGCTCTGTCCTGTTTCCTTACTTAATCTTTCTCCATAATAGTGATCACTTAGGATAATACGCATATTTTACTAGTTAACTTTGATTCTTTACTTTTTCTCCACACTAGAATATTAGTGCTAGAAAAACATAGACTCTTACCTAGTTTACTCTCTGCTGCTTCACCAGCATCTAGAACAGGAGATAGCCAATAATAGATACTTAATGTTTCTGGAATAACTAAATAAAATAATAAATGTTTGCTATCAGATTTTCTCTTGTCTCAATATTTTACTTTGAATATCCAGACTCACTACATGGCCTTTTTCACACCCCTGTTATTCACAGGACATTTTCATCCCATAGAAAAAAAATTAGACATGTTAATTTTTGCTTTTGGTAATGATAACTGTTTGTATTAAACTACAATGTGTTATGTAGCTCTGTCTATTATTAGAAAGTTATATTATTCATTTGCTTTATAAATTTCATTACTATCCCTAGCAAAAGGAAAAAAAATGCATATGAAACTAAATTAAAAGTTGAACTGGCATAGCAGAAATCTTGTCAGAAATTTCAGTTATCACTTTCTATTTTACATTTCTTTCCCCTGGAAATCACTATGGGTACATAGAACAGTAGAAGTAAAACATTTTCACAAATAAGTTAATTTGAGTTTTTATCAAATAATATGCTTAATAAGTCAATCAAAAGAAACCAAATGCAAATATAACATTAAACCCCATTGACATATCCTACAAAGGAGTAAGTTCTTTGTATTCTGAGCACATCTGACTGGATCTATCTCCAAGACAGCACTTAACAAGTAGTTTTACAGTGATCTATTCCTCCATCTACCTCCACTAGTAAATATTGAACAATTCTAGGAGAAAATGTCTTTTGCTTTGTGAAGGAGGATATCAAAGTTATATTAGAATAGTTCTGACCTATAGAAACACTTATTTGTATTCCAATACATATGTGAAGTTAGTAGCGCTTTCTGGCTTTCTGACATAAACATTTGAATCATGTAAAGAGTTGTTCTGAAACAAACAAGCATATCTATTGACCTGGGATTTTCTGTGTGTGTGGAGTTGGGGGAAGAAGAGCACAAATGTCCAATCACAATGAGTTTTCCACAGGCCCTGAAAATGAGGTACGAAGAACCAAATTCAGCAGAGTTGAAATTTCAAAGGAAAGTCCTGGACCGTGCATAATAGATGTTATGTGAAAGCTTCATGGCCTAGAGATTTTCAATAAGTTACCTGTGTGTTTCCTGGACACACAAAAAAAGTCTCTTTGTGAAATTGAAAATATAACTTATTAAATGTTAAAACATCATGAGGCCCCGAACACCACATTATGATTTTCATATAATAGGCAACGTATCGGGAAGGAGAAAGTGTTTTTATATCCACTTAGTTACAGCATCCATGATAATGTAAATTTGAAAAAAAATATTTATTGCCAAAGAGGATAGCGTATAACTGATTTGAGGTTTGGCATTATTAAACGGAGTTGTCGGAGCCTCTGCATCTGCGGTGATGGTAGTGGTCATGGCAGAAGGTGCTGATGCTGGATGTCATTGATCATGGAGACAATACTGGAAAACTCTGGCTCAGCATAGGAGAGTCAGCACAGGGACAAAAGTAGGGAAGCACAGGTCAAACCAATGCACCACATGCGATAACTTACGTGGCTCCCAAACAATACGCAGAGATAATCAAGAAAGATGATAAACCCTTTAAACACAAGAATTAGTATTCATAGCACTTGAATTATAAACGCAATCTGAAAGACACTTTCAGATAATCTGTAGATAAAGAAAGGTAATCGAAAGCAATAATAGGAGGGCATAAGCATATCCTAAGCAGCACTAAAAAAAAAAAAAAACCCTTTAGAGATAAAAAGTATAGTCTTTCAACTTAAAAACACAGACAAATGAGCTCAAAAGATGGGAGAAGATATTAAGAATTATCAGAGGTAAACAAACCCAAACTTTTCTATCAAAGAAAGATCATGAATCAATACATGTATTTAGCAATAATAAAAATCTAACAAATATTTTTTTAAAGCATTTAGAGAAAGTAAGTGTAAACCTAGAATTCAACACACGACTAAACTGTCATTTAAGCATGATGGTGAAATTAAAAAAAAAGTTCAAATTTACAAAAACTGAAAGTGCTTACCAATCATAGACTAACTTAAAAAACATTAAAATGTTGTCCTCAGCACAAAATAAGATTGCCCAAGAAGAGAGTAGGATGTAAATAATAATGATGGACAAAAATATAGGCACCATATTGCAGAATCCAAACAAATTGTTATTGTAAATTAATGGTTACTACTTTGGGGAATTTAAATTCAAAACTGAGGCAAAATATTAGCAAAGGGTGGCATAGAATTTGGATGTGGGAAACCCAAATCAAATATATATATATAGACCTTAATCTTTAATTTTACAGCTATGCATAGATCAAATTAAAGATTCAGGTCTACAACCTTTAATTTGATATTCTGAAGTATGAAAAAAAAACCTACAAAAGTGATTTTTCAAAATATTTTCCCTCACATTAAAGTAAAATTAATTTGGCAGCAAAATGTGATCTGAACAAATATATGTGGATATGCAAAGTCCTTATTTCTCCTACTTAGTATCATTAACCACATGATTCAGAATAGGCATATTAATGTGTTCCAGATTCTGCTTCTGGGGTTTTGTTATATAATACGTGCTTTTGCGGATTTACCTTTTTCTTAAATGAGATGGGTCTTGCTATGTTGCCCAGGCTGGTCTCAAACTTCTAGGCTCCAGCAATCCTCTTGCCTCAGCCTTCTGAGTAGCTGGGAGGTGCATGCCACTGTGCCCAACCTGCATTATCTTTTTAAAATATGAAAAAATGCTGAATTGGAAAGACATCTGGCACCAAGGGATCTACATAAGCAGTTATGGACCTGTAATATTAATTTTTATTTTTAGAATTACGTTCAATATGATAAATACATACAAATAATTATACTAACTATTGGAAGCACCACTAAAAATAGAAAATGGGAAGAAATAATGAAAATTAGGTGAATTCAGGAAAGCTATAAATGGAAAATAAAAGAAGCGGAAAAACAAAGTGATCAATTGAAAATTTAGAAGGCCAGGCATGGTAGTTCATGCCCACAATCCCGATGCTTTGGAAGGCAGAGGCAGGAGGATCACTTGAGGCCAGGAGTTCAAGGCAGCAGTGAGCTGTAACAGTACCACTGCACTCCCACCTGGGCAACAAAGGAAGACCTTGTCTCTGAGAAAAATAAAAAAAATAAAAATAATAGAGAAAAAGAAAGTAAACTTAACCTGATAAATGTCATGAAATAACTATTTGTATTAAAACCCACCCATCAAGTTACATAATAATTCTAAGAAGCAGTTATAAAATTTGATAAGTGAACTCTTACTAGAATGGCCCTCTGACAGACAACAAAGATATAAAAATTGTATTTTCAGTTTTATTTAGTTCAATATAGTATTAAATTTCTTTTCAGAATTCTTCTTTTGTCCATAGTTTATTCACAAATCTGTCGTTTAATTTTCAAATATTTGGAGGATGTCTATTTTTGGTATTTTTTCTAATTTAATTCAATTGTGGTGTGAGAATACACTTTGAATGAATTCGATTATTTTAATTTTGTTAAGGTGTGTTTTATGTCACAGAATGTACTCCATCATGATGAAGGTTCCATGTGAGCTTGAGAAGAATGTGCGTTTTGCTGTTTTGAGATGGAGGATCCTATAAATGTCAGTTAGGTCAAGGTGATTGATAGTGATACTCAGGTCCTCAAATTAATCAATTTGCAGTTATTTTTTATTGCAAAACCTGCAATTACTTTTTCACCAACCTAATACAGATGTTTTGCTTACTTGATCTATCAATTATTGAAAGAGGGGTGTTGAAGTCTCCTACTATTATAGCTAATGTTTTAATTCCTTCTTTTGATCCTACCAATTTTTGCCTCGTGCATTTTCATGTTTTGTTAAGGATTTTTATGTCTTCTTAGATAATTGCCCCATTCATCATATTTCTTTTAAAAAATATTTAGTGGTTGCCCTAGAGTTTACAAAATACATCTTTAAAAATGGTCTAAATTCTATTAAGATATCGCTATACTACTCCACCTGTAGTGCAGGTACTTTATGACAAAGTCAATATTTCCAATCCATTTCTCCTATCACTTGTGACATTACGGTCTTCATTTCACTAATCCTTATCCCATAATTACTCAATACATTGTTATTATTGCTTTAAATATACCATTATTTTAATATAAATTAAAATAGAAACCATACATTATATTTTTATTTATTTATTTGTCAGCACTTTGCCTTTTTAAATTAAGATCTCAGTTTCTGATCTATATTATTTTATATTTGCCTGAAGAATTTATTTTGACATTTATTTTAGGACAGGGCTACTGACAATAAATTTCTCATTTTGGGTTTTTGAGGCAGCCTTTTTCTCTTCAATTTTGAAGGATAATTTCACTGGATATAGGATTCTGGGTTTGGTGGGATTTTACTTTCAAAACATTAAAGGTTGTCCATCACTTTCTATTTCCTTGCATGATTTCTGATAAGAAGCCCACTGCAATTTGCATACTTGTTACTCTTAAGGTAAGAAATTTTTTTTTTATAGCTTTCTTCATTTATTCTCTTCAGTTTTCCACAGTTTGAATATGATATACCTAGGTAGGTTTTCAGTTGGTGGTGGTGCTGGGGTTTTGTGTTTGTTTGTTTTGATTTATTTCAGTTTGGTGTTCTCTGTGTTCCTAGATATGTAGTTTGCTTTTTATAGTCTATTTTGGAAAGTTCTTAGACACAAATTCTTTAGATATTTCTTCTGTTCCATTTTCTCTTTCTTCTTCTTTGGTATTCAAATTATATGTATTTTATACATTTTGAAACTGTCTCCCTGTTATTGCATGATCTGTACTGTTTCTTCTCTAATGCTTTTTTTTCTTTTTGCATGTTAGTGTGAGAAGTTTCTATTGACCTATCTTCAAGTTTGCTAATTCTTTTTTGAGTCTTCTGATGAGCACATCAAAGGCATTCTTTATTTCTGTTACTGTCGGGACTTTTTTCCTAGCATTTCTTTTTGATTCTTTCTTAGAGTGTATGTCTCTCCGATTGCTTTATTTCTTTGTTCTTGCATGTTTTCCAGTTTTTCTATTAGATTCCTTAGCATAATCATAGCCATTTTAAATTCTCTGTCTGAAGATTTTTACATATGTATTGTATCTAAGTCTGGTTCTGGTATTTTCTGTCTTTTTAGATAATATTTTTCCTTACCTTTTTGTACATATTGTCATTTTTGGCAGACAATCAGACATTCTGTATTGACTAATGTGAACTAAAGTAAATAAGACTTTACTGTGATGATTTATTTTAATCATGCCAGGAGTTGGGCTATGTTTAATGTTCCATGTAGCTATAGTTATTAGGGGTTTAAAATTCATCTAGTATTCTTATTTTTACATCTTCTCTTGGCTTGGTGAAATTCTCAAGTTACTGCCCCTTGGAGGGAGTCTGACTGGAAGATCTTTCAGCTGCAATCCACCCTCATTATAGTAGCAACCTGTGGGGATTTGGTAGTAGGATGTGGCTAAGGGGGATTGTTCTATAATTTTCTGATTAATCTCAGCTTTTTTGTCTTCTGTTGTGTTCCATGGCTGTGGCCTTCACAAATATTTTTGTTTATCCTCACGTGGTATAGCTTATTTTTCCCTTTCCTTCCACTTCTCTACCTGGCCAATACCTTCCCAATCTATTTCCTTGAAGTCCCATCTCCTGTTGATATAATTTTTCCTTGGGTGGGAACAAAGGATAGAAGGGATTGGACAGATGGAGGCATTTTAGAAGATTATTTCCTAAGGGGATCTTTCTCAAATTTTCACTATGAGACCATAGTGGGGTTCTGGATGGAAAGCCTAAGATAGTATAAAGATAATCCCACAAGAATGCAGCTCCCAAGAGTTCTTCACTCCCCTGCTAGTCTACCGTCAGCCAACAAATATTCATCAAAATTATAATTTAAGTATCCCCACCAGTTCATGGCTCTAGCAGCTTCTCCTCTTCGTAAGTAAATTTGCTTCCTGTTTCTCTTTACATATGCCCATGTCTCCAGATTTAGGATACTTACTGCATCTTTACTTCTCTGCTGGGTCCAGGAAAATGTGTTGATTTTTAGTTTTTCCAGCTTTTTCTTATTGACAGGTTTGAAAAATAACTTTCAAGCTCTTTACATGTTCAAAATAAACCAGACGTTCAAAGTCTATAAAAATATTCTTAAAACTACTAGAAAGTTCTGGAAAGTGTAAAAAGAAAGTAAATATTGTAGAAAGGTGACACTTGAATAAAGGGAGTGGCACAAAGTGATTTTCCAGTTTCTATAGGTTTTACTTGAAGAATAGGAGGCACTTAGTAGTGCAAAAACTTGCTGGGGCATTAATGAGCATCATGCTGTCTCTCTCACCTGAAAAACAAGAAGAAATATCAAAAAGCAATCACAAATATTGGAAAACGATATGTTATTTCAGGGGGAAGAACCGAAGAAGGGGATCCGTAAATTATGTGCATAAAATATGTCCAAATACCTGAATGTCGACTGAATGATGCATGTGCAAGGCAGGCTCAAAGCATCCTTTAAAGACTAAATGATCAGAACTGAGAATTTAATTGTGACTCAGGAGACAAAACTTGAAGCTGGAATGAAAACAAATCAATTACCCACAAAAACAACAATCTAAAATAAATCAACATTGTTTAATAGAGTATAACAGAATTTGGATTCTCCACAGCAGAACATTCATAATATCCTAGAAAAACACAAAAAATTACTCAACATACAAAGAATAAGGGAAATGTATGTGACCCATTCTCAATAGAAAAGACAGAGGAGTGCAACCACAAAATAATCTAAATGCTGGAATTGTTAGTCAATGAATCAAAAGCAGTGCTCAGTGAAGTAAAGATAAATGCACTCAAAATGAATAAAAACATAAGAAATCTCAGCAAAGAAACATAAAACATGAAAATGTGTGAAATGTAAGTTTTAAAATGAAAAAATAAAATATATTTAATAAAATCTCCACTGGGCTTAACAGTAGAACGTAGACAAGAAAAGATAATCCATGAAAATTACCCAATCTGCAAAAAAGATAAAGTAGAAATTATTGAAAATGAATAAATGGAGCTGCTGACTACTGAAGGCAACATTAATGGTTTAATGTAGGTGTAATTTTTGTACCAGAAACAGAAAAGAGAAAGAGAGCAGAACAAACATATTTGAAGAAATATTGGTCAAAAACTCTCCAATTTTTTTGAGACATTAATTTTCAAACTCATGAATTTCAGTAAAATCCAAAGAGAATAAATAAATATAGCTTTTAAAAGCCTACGTTTATGGTAAACTTTTAAAAACCAAGAAATAAAAAAATTCTTATATGCAGGTAGAAAAAAATTACATATTATATACAAGAAAGCACCATTTCTAATGACCCCCTATGTCTCATGGCAAATTATGGTGGCAAGAAGACAGTGGAACACAAACTTTAAAGTGTTGAAAGAAAAAAGAAAAAACTGGTAAGTCAGAAATTTATGTCCAGTAAAAATATATTTCAGAAAAAAAGGCCAGTTAAAGACCTTTTCAGATAAAAATAAATTTAAAAATTTTAGCCAGAGGATTTATATCTTGAGAAGAAATAAATGCTAAAAGTAATTCTTTGGGCAGAAGAGAAATTGTACCAAACAGAAATACGGATTTTTAGGAAAAAATGATGACAAATTAAGAACATCAGAACCTACGTGTGTCATTGTATGTGAGATGGGTGTTTTGAAGATAGCATACCATTAGATCTTGCCACTCTTTGCCTTTTAAATTGGGGCATTTAGCCCAGTTACATTCAAGAGTAGTATTGATATGTGTGGATTTGATCCTGTCATTGTGTTGTTAGCTGGTTATTATGCTGGCTTTTTTTGTGTGTGGTTGCTTTATAGCACTGATTTGTGTACTCAAGTATGTTTTTGAATTTGCTGGTAACGGTTTTCCTTTCTATATTTAGTGCTTCTTTCAAGATTTCTTTTAAGGTAGGTCTCGTGGTAACAAACTCCCTCAGCATTTGCTTATCTGAAAAGGATCTTATTTTTCCTTTACTTAGAAAGCTTAGTTTGGCTCGATATGAAATTCTTGATTGAAAATTTTTTTCTTTATAAATGTTGAATGTAGGTCCCCAGTGTCTTCTAGCTTGCGGAGTTTCTGCTGAGATACCCAGTGTTAGCCTCATGGGATTCTTTTTGTGTGTAACCTGTCCTTCTTCTCTAGCTACTATTAACATTCCTTATTTTGACCTTGGAAAATCTGACGATTGTGTGTCTTGAGGATGAACTTCTTGTGTAGAATCTTTTAGGGATTCTCTGTATTTTCTGAATTTGACTGTTGGCCTCTCTAGCAAGGTTGAGGAAATTTTCATGGATGATATCCTAAAACATGTTTTCAAAGTTGTTTGCTTTGTCTTTGTCTCCTATAGGGATGCCAATGATTCATAGATTTCACCTCTTTATATAACCCCATATTTGTCAAAGGTTTTATTCATTCCTTTTTATTCTTTTTCTTTATTTTTGTCTGGATGTCTTATTTCAGAGAACCAGTTTTCAAGTTCTGAGATTCTTTTCTCAGCTTGGCCTATTCCACTGTTAATACTTGTGATTTCATTGTGAAATTTTTTAATGTGTTTTTCAGCTCTGTCACATTCATTATCCTCTTTTTTACACTAGCTATTTCATCCTTCAGCTCTTGTATTGTTTTACTGTGATTCTTAGTTTCCTTAGATTGGGTTTTGCCATTCTCCTTAGTCTCAAAGATCTTCATTCCTATCCATATTCTGAATCCTTTTTCTGCAATTTCAGTCAACTCAGCCTGGTTAAGAACTTTTGTTCGATAACTAGTTCATTTGTTTGGAGAACATAAGACTCTCTGGCCATTTGAGTATCTGGAGTTCTTGTGTTCGTTCTTTCTCATCTCTGTGTGTAAGTGTTCCTTTAACTGCAGTATAGACTGAATAGTCAGTAGACTTCTCTTTTGGATGTTTTCACAGAGCTGAGGCTATGTGCAGGGTCTTTATTTGTAGCTTGTTTCTTGTCTTTGGTTTCACAGGGATGTATGTTAGTGAGGTATTTTTGATGTTGAAACTTTGGAGTATTATCTATCCAGGAAGCGCTGCTTAGCCATAGTGGTCAGTAGGTGGCCTCTTGCTCAGTTGCGTGGCTCCCCTATATTTCCTCACAGTTTCAGCTCTCATTGCTCTGGAAGTATGGGCCCCTCTCCCCGCTGAGTTCTGGCTGTAGATCATGGCTTAGTACTCCTAGGAGGCCCATCATGGCTCTGGGGTGATCTCAGGGTTTACATTTCCTCCCCAACCTGGAGGCAGCAGAGGAAGGGACTTTGGTAGTGGTTATGGCTAAGGGTCTTCTGCCTGTCTCCTGGGGGCTCCACTCCAAAGAGATGAAGGTCAGCAATTGTTCAGTGCGATCAGCCCAAGGTGGGTGGTCTGTACTGTGGGCATAATCCAGGGGTTTCCCTGCCTGGTGATGAGCAGAGGGAGTGAGTGAGACCCATAGGAAATGGACTGGCGTCCTCTTCTTGAGTCAGCTGCAGCTTGTTGGAGGTATGGATAAGACACTTAGGGTCTTTGCTCCATTGTTAGTCTGAAGGTAGCAGGGGTAGATTCCTATAGAGGCTGTGGTAGGGCGACTATCATTTGCCCCTTGGGGCTGGGGTTCCATCTCCAAGAAATGTGAAGTCGGGTGTTTCAGGATGCAAGGTTGGTTTAACATATGCAAATCAATAAATGTAATTCATCACATAAACAACTAAAGATAAAAACCACATGATTATCTCAATAGATGCAGAAAAGCCTTTCAATAAAATTCAATATCCTTTCATGCTAAAAAATCTCAATAAACAAGGCATTGAAGAAATATACCTCAAAATAATCAGAGTCATCTGTGACAAATATACAGCCAACATTGTGCTAAATGAGCAAAAGCTGGAAGCATTCCCCTTGTAAACTGGCACAAGACAAGGATGACATCTCTCACCATTCCTATTCCACATAGTATTGGAAGTCCTGACCAGAGCAATCAGGTAAGACAAAGATATAAAAGACATCCAAATAGGAAGAGAAGAAGTCACACTATCCTTGTTTGCAGATGACATGATTCATCTTTTACTTTTTTTTTTTTTTTTGCAGCAGAGGCTTGCTGTATCACCCAGGCTGAAGTGCAGTGGCACAATCTCAGCTCATTGCAACATCCGCCTCCTGGGTTCAAATGATTCTTCTGCCTCAACCTCCAAAGTAGCTGGGATTACAGGTGTACACGACCACAACTGGGTAATCTTTGTATTTTTAGTACAGACAGGGTTTCACCATGTTGGCCAGGCTGGTCTCGAACTCCTGAGCTCAAGTGATCTGCCTGCCTTAGCCTCCCAAAGTGATGGGATTACACGCATGAGCGTGTCCTACATGGTCCTACATGATTCTTTATCTAGAAAACCCCATAGTCTTGGCCCAAAAACTCCTTCAGCTGATAACTTCAGCAAAGTTTCAGGATACAAAGTCAATGTAAAAAAATCACTGACATTCCTATACAACAATAACAGCCAAGCCGAGAACCAAATCAGAAACACAACACCATTCACAATAGCCACAAAAATAATAAAATATCTAGGAATACAGCTAGGAATCAGAGAAGTGAAAGATCTCTACAGTAAGAATTACAAAACATTTCTCAATAAATTAGAGATAACACAAAAAAATGGAAAAACATTTCATGCTCATAGAAAGAAAGAATGGCCATATTATCCAAAGCAGTTTACAGATTCAATGCTGTTCCTATCAAACTACCAGTTACATTCTTCACAGAATGAGAAAACTATTTAAAAACTCATGTGGAAGGGAAAAAGAGCTCAAATAGCCAACACAATCCTAAAGAAAAAGAACAAACCCAGAGTCTTCCAATTACCTGACTTCAAACTATACTGTAAGTCCACAATAACCAAAACAGCATGGTACTGGTACAAAAACAGACATATAGACAATAAAACAGAATAGAGCACCCAGAAATAAGGCCACATACCTGAAGCCATCTGATCTTTGACAAAACTGACAAAAACAAGCAATGGGGAGATGATTCCCTATTCAATAAATGGTGCTGGGATAACTGGCTAGTCATACGTAGAAGATTGAAACTGGACCCCTTCATTACACCATATACAAAAATAAACTCAAGTTGGACTAAAGACTTAAATGTAAAAGACAAAATTATAAAAACCCTGGAAGACAACCTAGGCAATATCATTCTGAACATAGGCACGGGCAAAGATATCATGATGAAGATGCTGAGAGCAATCACAAAAAAAAGCAAAAATTGCCAAATAGAATATAATTAAACTGAAGAGCTTCTGCACAGCAAAATAAACTATCAACAAAGTAAACAGACAACCTACAGAATAGGAGAAAATATTTGCAAACTACACATCTGACAAAAGTCTAATAACCAGCATCTATTAGGAACTTAAAATTTCAAGAAAAAGCAACAACTCCATTAAAAAGTGAACAAAGGACATAACAGACACTTCTCAAAAGAAGATATACATGTGGCCAACAAGTATATTAAAAAAGCTCAATTTCACTGATTATTAGAGAAATGCAAATTAAAATCACAATGGGATACCATCTCACACCTGTCAGAATATCTATCAAAAAGTCAAAAAGTAACAGATGAGTCAGGGTTGCAGAGCAAAGAAAATGCTTATACACTGCTGGAGAGAATGTACATTAGTTCAACCATTGTAGAGTGTGGTGACTCCTTAAAGAGCTAAAAGCAGAGCTATTGTTTGACCCAGCAATCCCATTCCTGGGTATATACCCAAAGGAATATAAATTGTTCTACCATAAAGACACATGCACATCAATGTTCACTGCAGCATTATTAACAAGAGGAAGACATGGAATCAACCTAAATGCCCCTCAATGACAGATTGAATAAAGAAAATGTGGTACATACACATCATGGAATATGATGCTGTCATGAAAAAGAATGAGATCATGTCTTTTGCAGGAACATGGATGGAACTGGAGGTTGTTATCCTTAGCACACTAACGCAGGAACAGAAAGCCAAATACCAGATGTTCTCATAAGTAGAAGCTAAATGGGAAAAAGTCATGGACACAAAGAAGGGAACAATAGACACCAGAGCCTACTTAAAAGGGTAGAGGGTGCAAGGAGAGAGAGGATCAGAAAAAATAACTATTGGATATTAGACTTATCACAGTGCTTGTGTGACAAAATAATCTGTACAAACCCCTATGACATGAGTTTACCTATATAACAAATCTGCACATGTGTCCCTATACTTACAATAAAAGTTAAAAAAGAGGAAAAAAAGAAAAAGAGACTGATTTGGACTTCTGACTTCCAGAGAAGTTAGAGAATAAGATGTGTGTTAATTTGAGCCATCAAATTTGTGGGAATTTGTTACCGTGGCCATAGAGGACAAATAAAATGATGTAAATATTGTTTGGTGCTAAATCACCTTATTGTACAATTTTATTTGTTCTGGCTTTAATGATCACTAACCTGTCATTCAGTTTTAGTTTAAATATCTGGCTTAGGCTGTCTTCATCTGTCCATCAGCCCTGTAAACTATCTCTCTGTTTAATTTTTCCATGTTGCTAAACATGCCAAATAATCTTTTATTTTCCATTTCTTTTGCCCTAAAAAAAAAAAAATTCTCTATAGAAAAAAAGAAGAACATCAGATATGGTAAATATCTGAGTAATTATAAAATACTTTTTTTTCTTTTCAAGTTCTTTAAAATATATATGGTTATTTAAAGCAAAAATTATAAAATTGTCTTTTTGAAGTTTAATGTATGTGAATGTAAGATATATGACAATATAATATGAAACATTGCAGCAGGTAACTAGAATGACCTTTATAGTATATATATATATATATATTTATAAAGTGATACAATATTACCTGATTGTGGAATTTGAAAGTTTGGGAATATGTATTTTAGTTCCTGGGGAAAAACAATAAAGAAATAATATAAAGACTTATAGCCAAAAGGCAAGAGATGGGTTAAAATAAAGTAATAAAAATATTTCAAATACCCAAAAAGAAGTTAAGAAAAGAGGAGCAGAGGGACAAAAATGGAAGGGAACAAATAGAGAAATCTAAGAAAATAGACCCAATTCCCACCAAACAAATGATTACATTGTGTATTAATGGTCTAAACATTTTAATTAAAGGCAGAGATTTTCAGAGTGTATAAGAAGACAAGATCCAGAATATAGTTAACAATAATATGTTGCATACATGTAAATTGCTAAGAGGGTAGATCTTAAATACTCTCACCACAAAAAAAGATAACTATGTAAGGTGATGGATACGTTTATTAGCTTATTTTAATCATTTCAAAACTTCTATATACATATATTAAAATGTCATGTTGTGCACCATAAATATATACAATTTTTGTTTATCCACAGTATTAGTTTGTTCTCATACTGCTATATAGAAATACCTGAGACTGGATAATTCATCAGGAAGAAGTTGAATTGCCTCATGGTTCTGCAGGCTGTATAGGAAGTATAGCGGTTTCTGCTTCTGGGGAGGTCTCAGGAAGCTTCCAATCATGGCGGAAGTCAAAGAGGAATTACAGTCATCTTACATTGCCAGAACAGGAGCAAGAGGAGAAGGGAGAGATGCTAAATACTTTTAAACAACCAGATCTCATGAGAACTCTCTCACTATCATGAAAACAACACCAGGAGATGGTACTACACCATTCATGAAGGACCTCTCATGATCCAATTACCTCCCACCAGGCCCTACCCCCAATTTTGAGGATTACATTTTGACATGAGAATTGGGTGGGGACACAGAGCCAAACCATATCATTCACTATCTCTTAATAAAGTTGGGGGAAAAAAGCAAAAGAAGACAATATCCAGTAATGTGTTGTCTAGAAAAGATGCATTTTAAATATAAAGATACATATTAGGTAAAAGAAAATGATTTAAAAAAAAATAAGACAAAATTGGCTCTATTAGCATCAGATGAAGTATACTTCTAGACTGAGAATATTATCAAAAATAAAGAGGGACATTTCAAAATGATAAGAGATTTTTATCAGAAAGTCATAACAATATAAGTGAATAAAAACAAAGCCTCAATATACATGAAGCAAAAAGCAATTTTATCATCATAATATGAGGTTTCACCTCCTCCATTCTTGGTATGTCTGTTGTCTGCTGTCTCTGGGCCACGCTGTGATGTGGGGATGGTGGTGGGGGTTTAGGAGCTGCTAAGCCTGAGTCTCATGCCACTGAGTAGACAGCAGGGAAAAGCTGGGTTCCATTGCTAATGACTGTACTGTGGGTGGATCAGCCCACCTGCCATTGCCCGAGTTGTGGAGTGGGGGTTAAGACAGGAGATCTGAACTCCCCATTGAGACTTTGAAGCTGTTTCTGCAGGTAGATAGTCAAATCAGGTGTTGACCGTGGTTGTGGTGCTAAGGTTGGACTTTCCACTAGGTCTTAGTTGGGCTTTTCTCTGGTCCTTTTTTTCCCCACCCCAGAGATAGTAAACCTTATTTTCTTTCTCTGTCTATGTCTTCTGGCAGTTCTAGAGCCTCATATGGGAAATAAAATGGGAAATAAAAAGGAAACCCAGGAAATTGATCATGGTGGTGTTCTCAAGTCCTGAGGTAGAGTTTGAGTCAGTCCACCTTCTTCTTTCCAGCTTTCAAAATCTTTTTTTCATTGAAAGTTGAATTATTTCTAGAATATTTAGTTGTATTTAGAAGAGACAAGCAGGGAAAAATGATGCTGTATTTTTCCAGAATAGATAGCCTCAGTATTCTCTTTTATGTTTAAATTATCTGATCTTAAATTAGTGAGAAATATTCTAATCCGTTCTTGTGTTTTGTTTTTTTTTAAAATATAGTCTTCGTAGTCCTTGGTAGGTCCCTTGCTTCTGAAGACAACAAGTTTTGTGTTTTTTTTTCATGCAGTTATGAATATATATCCAGTTTAGGCCAATAATAACTATAGCAAAAATTATAGTGGATTTGGAAAGACAGACTTTTGCTATCCTAAAAGAATTAGCAGAGGTCAAGCTACCTCTTCCTACACTTCAATTAGAAATACTTCCAAGCTTGTCTAACCCGCCTTATTTTGTTGTTGTTGTTGTTCTGTTTTGCTTTAGGCTTTTAACAGCCTGAAGCCACAATTTTTAGTTTCTGTCTCTAGTGATGAGGGTAAGAGAGGGATGAGGAAGGGGCTTTACTGGACCAACCAGAAACAGAAACTAAGAACCCATGACTAGTATTTTCTCCCTTGGACACCTCTGCAGAGGTTTGCCAGAAAGTTTGGGTCGAGAAGAGACACAGAAGAAACCAAATTATTGATGATATGATTGACACACTGAGTCACCCTGTAAGTGCACTAACTCTTCCAGTTGTATAGTATATAAAACTTCTAGTTTTATATATTGATGTATTCATTAAGAAAAATTCATTGAATTTGCTGTTATGTGTATCTGAACATATGCCAATTTCTATTATGTGAAGAACACTGCAGAATAAGTGTTAAAACTAGATAGAGCTTTTTACCTCATCCAACAGTCCTTTCCATAGAGAATATTGATGGTCAGACCACTAAAGGGACTTGCCTAAAGTCTCATAGCTGGGACTGCAAACTTTAGATGAGAAATATCACTTAGAACACCTAATCAGGGATCCATGCTTGTAGTAGTTCTAGATAATTTTGATGAGAATGGAAAATTTAAATCTGTTCTTAATAAATAAAAATTGAAATATAATATTTTTCACAAAAGATTAATTTAGCTGTTGTCTCCAATGCAAATTTCTCATTTTATACTAAATGAAACAATATCAAAATGAAGAGCCCAAACTCCATATATGGTAAACTCTAGTAATAAATCCTTTGAATCATTATGTAAAATACATTGGGCCAAACAGTTATTAAGTACAAATATAATTGAGAGGCTCCGTGACATTAAATAAATAATTGGAATTCAAGCAAAATTATTTTTATTGAACTTCAGTTAGCTAAAGCAAGATGGGATGTGTAAAAGCAAAAATCACATAAAATCCTCCTGTTGTTTTCAGGTCAGTTTTTGTGAGAACAAAAGAAAAACTAAAGAAATGTAATTGCTCTAAGACCTGAACTTGCTCAGCTTCTTATTCCTCAGGATCAGTTTGAAGACCACAGATCCTCCTAGGCTAAAACGAACACTTGTGTATTTCTACATTGTGAAAATTCAGATATGCTTTTCAACTCTTTAATTCATAAATTATTATTTAAATCCAATTCTCTGAGACTGTGCCACCAAAATATTGGTGTGAAAAGTTAGTAGTGGGAGAAGTTGGTGAATACTTAGAATAATACTACATATATATGAAAAACTTAATAAGTAATTCATAATGAAATTATTGAATAAAAAAGAGGGTAAGACAGTTTGAAATGTGCATGAAATCACATTACCGCAATCAAATCAACAGTCAATTTCTGCCAGCAAACACAATATTATTGAAAACCAAGAGCAGCAAAACAACTCAACAAGAACATTTTCTTCACAGTTGCTCACAGAAATATGTCCATCTTGTCAGCTTTCTCATATTATTAGTGTTAATACCAGGTGATGTGCTGAAGACATGGTGTGTTTGTAATTAATTTATAGTTTATGTATAAACTTAACTTTTTTTGCCTGATACGGTTTGGCTCTGTGTCCCCACTCAGAACTCACCTTGAATTGTAATAATGCCCATGTGTCAAGGGCAGGGCCAGGTGGAGATAATTGAATCATGGGCGCAGTTTCCCCCATACTGTTCTCGTGATAGTTAGTGAGTTCTCATGAGCTCTGATGGTTTTATAAGCTTCTGGCATTTCCTCTGCTGGTACATTCTCTCTCTTGTCTGCTGCGATGTAGGACTTGCCTTTTGCCTTCCACAATGATTGTGAGGCCTCCCCAGCCACATGGAACTGTGAGTCGAATTAAACTTCTTTCTTTTGTAAATTACCCAGTCTCGGGTATGTCTTTATAAACCTTGTGAAAATGAACTAATACAGTAAATTGGTATCAGCAGAGTAGGGTGTTGCTGAAAAGATACCCAAAAATGTGGAAGCAGCTCTGAAACTGGGTAACAGGAAGACGTTGGAACAGTTTGGAGGGCTCAGAAGAAGATAGAAAAATGTCAGAAATTTTGGAACTTCCTAGAGACTTGAATGGTTTTGACAAAAATGCTGATATTAATATGAGCAATAAGGTCCAGGCTGAGGTGGTCAGATGGAGATGAGAAACTTGTTGGGAACTGGAGCAAACGTGATTCTTGTTATGTTTTAGTAAAGAGACGGGCAGCGTTTTGCCCCTGCCCTAGAGATCTGTGGAACTTTGAACTTGAGAGAGATGATTTAGGGTATCTGGCAGAAGAAATTTCTAAGCAGAAAAGCATTCAAGAGGTGGCTTGTATGCTGTTAAAGGCATTCCATTTTAAAAGGGAAACAGTACAAAAGCTCGGAAAATTTACAGCCTGACAATGCGATAGAAAAGAAAATCCCCAGGGCCTGTCGTGGGGTGGGGGGAGGAGGGAGGGATAGCATTAGGAGATATACCTAATGTAAATAAAGAGTTAATGGGTGCAGCACACCAACATGGCACATGTATACATATGTAACAAACCTGCACATTGTGCACATGTACCCTAGAACTTAAAGTATAATAATAAAAAATTTACAATTAAAAAAAAGAAAATCCCACTTTCTCAGGAGAAATTCAAACTGGCTGTAGAAATTTGCATAAGTAACAAGGAGCCAAATGTTAATCTCCAAGACACTGAGGAAAATGTCTCCAGGGCATGTCAGAGGTCTTAATGGCAGCCCCTCCCATCACAGGCCCAGAGGCCTTGGAGGATGGTTTCCTGGGCCAGGCTGTGTGCAGTCTACGGAACTGGTGGCCTGTGTTCCGCCTGCTCCAGCCATGACTAGAAGAGGCCAAGGTGCAGCTCGGGCCGTGGCTTCAGAGGTCTGAAAGGCCCAAGTCTTGGCAGCTTCCACGTGGTGTTGGGCCTGCCAGTGCAGAGAAGTCAAGAATTCAGGTTTGGGAACCTCCACCTAGATTTCAGATGTATGGAGATGCCTGGATGCCCAGACATAAATCTGCTGCTGGGGCAGGGTTCTATGGAGTACCTCTGCTAGGGCAGTGCAAAAGGAAAATGTGGGGTCAGGGCTCCCACACAGAGTCCCCACTAAGACATTGCTTAGTGGAGCTGTGAGAAGAGGGCCACCGTTCTCCAGACGCCAGAAAGGTAGTTCCACCTGCAGCTTGCACCATGTGCCTGGAAAAGCCACAGACACTCCACGCCAGCCTGTGAAAGCAGCTGGGAGGGAGGCTGTACCCGGGGAGGGAGGCTGTACTCTGCCACGGGGGCAGAGCTGCCCAAGACCATGGGAACCCACCTCTTGCATCAGTGTGACCTGGTTGTGAGAAATAGAGTCAAAAGAGATCATTTTGGAGCTTTAAGATTTGACTGCCCCACTGAATTTTGGACTTGCATGGGCCCTGTAGGCCCTTTGTTTTGGCCAATTTCTCCCATTTGGAATGGCTGTGTTTACCCCCATTGTATCTAGGAAGTAACTAGCTTGCTTTTGATATTACAGGCTAATGGGCAGAAGGGACTTGCCTTATCTCAGATGAGACTTTGGACTGTGGACTTTTGGGTTAATGCTGGAATGAGTTGAGACTTTGGGAGACTGTTGAGAAGGCATGAATGGTTTTGAATTGTGAAGACATGAGATTTGGGAGGGGCCAGGGGGAATGATATGATTTGGCTCTGTGTCCCTACCCAAATCTCACCTTGAATTGTAGTCATCCCCACGTATCATGGGTGGGGCCAGGTGGAGATAATTGAATCATGGGGGTGGTTTCCCTCATACCATTCTCCTGATAGTGAGTGAGTGCTCATGAGATCTGATGGTTTTATAAGCATCTGGCGTTTCCCCTTCTGGTACATTCTCTCTCTTGCCTGCTGCAATGTAAGATGTGCCTTTTGCCTTCTTCCATGATTGTGAGGCCTCCCCACCCAGGTGGAACTGAGTTGAATTAAACCTTTTGTAAATTACCCAGTTTCAGGTATGTCTTTATCAGCAGTGTGAAATCAAGCTAATACATTGCCTAAGCATATAAAAGGAAGAGAACTTTCACGTGTAATTAGGCGGTAATATCAACCCTTCCTCTATGTTGGGGGCTATTAATTTTATAATCATCATTTGAATCTCCTTACAGCCTTTGATTTAGAAAGGGCCTAGAAAATATGAGAGCTTTTTCAAGGTCACCCACAGCTTAGAAAAAAGAAAATATTGCTTTTATGTATAAATATCTTCTTATTGTCACTAAAGAAGAGAACACATAGAAAAGCTGTTAACTGTTTCTAGTGGATGGTATTATGTTCTCTGAAGATCCCCTCTATAAGACCAGTGCCTCCCCCCACACCCAGCTGCTGAGAGTTTGCTAAAGGCTCAGAGCTTCCTTTATCCCCAGAGAACTACCATAGGAATAGAAGACATGGAGAATGCACCCCTCAATCCTGCAGGGTTAGATATATTCATGACTGGAATCTGCTTCAGCCTGATCCCACAGGAGCTCTGGTGCATAAGTTGTACTACAGAGCTGTACCACCTTGAGTTGAGGGGTCTGCTGTTTGCACTCTCATATCAATTACTCATCAGTTGCTGTCTATGCCTGCAGGAGTGGAGGGGAA
This sequence comes from Homo sapiens, assembly GCF_000001405.40. Taxonomy (NCBI): domain Eukaryota; kingdom Metazoa; phylum Chordata; class Mammalia; order Primates; family Hominidae; genus Homo; species Homo sapiens. Next base: position 35,144,624 of record NC_000003.12, on the reverse strand, counting down.
CATTCTCCCTGTCTTCCATGGTGTTTCTCTCATTTCCCATCTCATGAGAGCAACCTATCCCCCAAACAAATCACTTTCACAAGATCGTCTGCCTCTGGTTATGCTTCTGATCAACCTAATTGAATACAGTTTTAAACGGGAAACCTGATGTGTACTTGACACAAGCCCTCACTCCTGGCAAACCTTGGTCTTCTAAATTCCCTGAGACTAAGGGAGATTCTACTGTGTCTTCTAGAAGCTTTCACTCAAGTTCCCAAGAACTCCATAATACCTCATAATTTAACACATATTCACTAGAAAAAAATAGCCATGCTCTTGGGCCCTTCCAGTATCCAGATTGTCACTCCAGCCCTGCATAATGACCAAATGCTTTGCTGATTTATATTTTTTCCAGAAGAGGCACTTGCCAAAGTTAAAACTGATTCTTAGCCAAAAACCAGAATCTGCAAATGCCTTCAGGAAGAAATCTGCTGGCCATCCTTTGACTTACAAAAAAAAACTTCTCCCCTGTCTGGAACTTTTCTGCTTCCAAAGCACTCTGATGTATTTAAATATGGATGTTCCTGTGAGTGTGTGTAATATATTGAGCATTTGCTAGTTGCTGCAACAGAAGCACTGTCTTCTCCAAGTCGTATCTAGAAATAAAAGCCTTTTCAGGTTTTACTTTTTTTCTTAGATCCAATTTATGAATTTATACATTACTAAGTAATTGTCCAATTTATCTAAATTGTAAACATATTGCAATGTTATTTACAGTATTAGTAAATTAAAGTTCTATACATTTAAAATTAAATTATATTTTGCTTGCATTATTATATATTATTTATACTGTTTTCAGATTAAGTAGTCTTGCTTCGTATTTGTCAATCATTTAGGTTTTTTAAATTTCTTTTTGTTTTATGTGTTTTATCATCTTTAGTTGGATACTTAGGTCATTGGTTTGCCGTTTGGTTTTTTTATAAAAGCTTTTGGGCTGAGACAATAGGGTTTCCTAGATGTAGGATCATGTCATCTAAAAACAGGGATAATTTAACTTCCTCGTTTATTATTTGAATGTCCTTTATTTCTTTCTCTTACCTGATTTCGCCAGCCAGGACCTCCAATACTATGTTGAACAGGAGTGGTGAGAGACAGCATCCTTGTCTTGTGCCAGTTTTCAAGGGGAATGCTTTTCCCCATTCAGTACGATATTGGCTGTGGGTCTGTCATATATGTCTCTTATTATTTTGAGGTGTGTTCCTTCAATACCTAGTTTATTGAGAGTTTTTAACATGTAGATGTTGAATTTTATCAAAAGCTTTTCTGCATCTATTGAGATAATCATGTGCCTTTGTCCTTAGTTCTGTTTATCTGATGAATCACACTTATTGATTGGCGTATGTTGAACCAACCTTGCATCTCAGGGATGAAGAAACTTGATCGTGGGGGATAAGTTTCTTGATGTGCTGCTGGATTCAGTTTGCCAATATTTGGTTGAGGATTTTTACATCAATGTTCATCAAGGATTTTGGCCTAAAGTTTTCTTTTTTTGTTGTACTTCTGCCAAGTTTTGGTACCAGGATTGTGATAGTTAATACTGAGTATCAACTTGATTGGATTGAAGGATACAAAGTATTAATCCTGGGTGTATCTGTGTGGGTGTTGCCAAAGAGATTAACATTTGAGTCAGTGGGCTGGGGAAGGTAGATTCACCCTTAATCTGGTGGGCACAATCTAATCGGTTTCCAGTGAATATAAAGCAGGCAGAAAAATGTGAAAAGGAGAGATGGGCCTAGCCTTTCAGTCTACATCTTTCTCCCGTGCTGGATGCTTCCTGCCATTGAACATTGGACTCAAAGTTCTTCAGTCTGGGGAGACTGACTGGCTCTCCTTGCTCCTCAGTTTTCAGACAGCCTATTGTGGGACCTTGTGGTTGTGTAAGTTAATACTTAATAAACTCCCCTTTATATACATACATATATATGTATATACATATATACATACATATATATGTATATACATATATACATACATATATATGTATATACATATATACATACATATATATGTATATACATATATACATACATATATATGTATATACATATATACATACATATATATGTATATACATATATACATACATATATATGTATATACATATATACATACATATATATGTATATACATATATACATACATTCCTTCTATACTTGATCTTTTGATCAAGTATATATATATACATATATATGTGCATATATATGTGTACACATATAGGGTGTGTATATACATATATATATGTGTGTATATATATGCGTGTGTATATATATATATAATTCTGTCCCTCTAAGAGAACCTTGACTAATACAGATTTTGGTACCAGGAGTGGGGTCCAGAACAGGAGAAGGCTCTGGAACAGGTCCAGGCTGCTATGCAAGCTGCTCTGCTAATTGGGCCATATGACCCAGCAGATCCAATGGTGCTTGAAGTGTCAGTGGCATATAGGGATGTTATTTGGAGCCTTCGGCAGGCCCCATTGGCGAATCACAGAAGAGGCCTCTAGGATTTTGGAGCAAGGCCTGCCATCTTCTGCAGATAAATACTCTCCTTTTCTGAGACAGCCCTTGGCTTGTTACTGGGTTTTGGTGGAAACTGAACATTTGGCTATGGGTCATCAAGTCACCATGTGACCTGAACTACCTATCATGAACTGGGTGCTTTCTGACCCACCCTGCCAGAAAGTGGGTCATGCACAGCAGCATTCCATCATCAAATGGAAGTGGTATATACGTGATCAGACCCTGGCAGGTACTGAAGGCACAAGTAAGTTACATGAGAAAGTGGCTCAAATGCCCATGGTCTCCGCTCCTGCCACCCTGCCTTCTCTCCCCAAGCCTGTACCAATGGCCTCATGGGAAGCTGCTCCCTATGACCAGTTGACAGAGGAAAGGAAGACTAGGGCCTGGTTCACAGACGGTTCTGCATGATATGCAGGCACCACTCCAAAGTGAACAGCTGCAGCATTACAATCGCTTTCTAGGACATTCCTGAAGAACAGTGGTGAAGGGAAATCTTCCCACATTTTTCTCCCATGGTGGATTCTTCCTGCCCTCGAAGGTCAGACTCCAAATTCTTTAGTTTTGGGACTTGGACCAGCTCTCCTTGATCCTCAGCTTGCAGACAGCCTATTGTGGGACCTTGTGATTATGTAAGTTAATACTTTCTAAACTCCCCTATATATAATTTTGATAGTTTTTCAATCTATAAACATGGTATACCTCTCTATTTATTTGTCTTATTAAATTATTCTCAGAATTATTTTATATTTACCAATAAAGTGATTGTGACTTTATTAAATTTATTACTATTTTATTATTTTTATTAATATTCTTTTTAATTAACAAATAATTATATATATTGGTCAGATACAATGTGATGTTTTGATATATGGGAAATGATTAAATAAAGCTAGTTACCATATCTATCATCTCATATTTTTTGTGGTGAGACATTTGAAATTTACTTAGTTATTTTGAAATAGTATTGTTAACTATAGTCACTCTGCCATGCAATATATTTCAAACGTTATTCCTCCCTTCTCTCTAAAACTGTGTACCCATTGATTTACAACCCCACATTCCTTTCCTTCCTCCCTCAACCAGCCTCTGGTGACCATCATTCTACTCTTTAACTCTATGAGTTCAACTGTTTTAGGTTCCACATACAAGTGTGATCTTGTGGTATTTGTTCTCTCTGGACCTGGCTTACTTCATTTAGCATGAAATAACCTGTCCTCTATGTTCATTAATGTTATCATGAATGACAAGATTTTCTTCTTTTTTAAGACTGAATAGTATTCCCTTGTGTAGATATACCACATTTTCTTTATTCATTTATCTGTTAATAGATACCTAGGTAGATTTCATATCTCAGCTATTGTAAATATTGCTGCAATGAACTTGGGAATGTAGCTATCCCTTGGACATACTGATTTTAAATTTTTTGTCTATGTACCCAGTAGTGGGACTGCTGATCATATAGTAGTTCTAATTTTAGTTTTTGGAAGATCCTCCATACTATTTTCCATAATAGTTATACTAATTTTCATTCCCACTATGAATGTATGAGTTCCCTTTTACCTGCATTTCACCAACACTTCTCTTTCATCTTTTTGATAAAAGCCATTCTAATAAAATGGTTTTAATTTGCATTATTCTAATTACTACTGATGCTGAGCATATTTTCATGTGCCTATTGGCTATTTGTATGTCTTCTTTTGAAAAATGTCTGCTCAAGTTTCTTGCCTATTTTTTAGTTGGGCTATTTCCTTGCATTGAAGTGTTTGTGTTTCTTATACATTTTGGATATTAACTCATTATACATATGGTTTGCAAATATTTTCTCTTATTCTGAGGGTTGTCTCTTCATCACATTAATTGTTTCCTTTGCTGTGCAGAAGCTTTTTAGTTTGATGCAATCCTATTTGTTTGTATGTGTTTTTGTTGCCTGTGCTTTCAGGATCATATTTTTAAAATAATCACCCAGAACAATGTGCTGGAGCTTTCTCCTATGTTTTCTTCTAGCTGTTTTACAGTTTTACATCTTATATTTAAGTCTTTAATCTATTTTGAGTTTTTTTTAATATATTGTGAGATAAGAATCTAATTTTATTCTTCTGTATGTGGATATCAAGTTTCCCCAACACCATTTATTGAAGAGACTGTCCTTACCCCTTTGCATATTCTGGGCATCTTTCTCAAAAATCAAGTGACTACAAATGTATAGGTTTATTTCTGGGCTTTCTATCACATTCGATTGACCTGTGTTTCTGTTTTTAGGCCAATACCATGCTGTTTTGATTACAATTGCTTTACATTTTGAAATTAAAGAATGTGATGCCTCTAGCTTGTTCTTTTTGCTCAAGATTGTTTTGACTATTTGGGGTCTTTTGTAGTTTCATACAAATTTAAACATTGTTTTTTCTATCTCTGTGAAAAATGTCATTGGAATTTTCACAGGGCTTGCATTGGATCTGTAGACTAGACAGTAGGAACATTTTAACAATAGTTATTCTTCCAATCAATGAATATGTTATATTTTTATTTATTTTTCCTTTTTCAATTTCTTTTGTCAGTGTTTTATAGCTCTCAGTAGACATGTCCTTTCATCTTGGTTACATTTACATGTATGTGTGTTTTTGTTATTGTTGCTGTTGTAAATGGGATTGTTATCTTAAGTTGCTTTTGGGATATCTTGCTGTTACTTATAGAAACACTACTAATTTTTGTATGTTGACTCTGTATCCTGCAGCTTTACTGAATTTGTTTATGAGTTCATCAGGTTTTTTTTTTTTTTCCAACAGTTTTTTTTTTCTTTTGGTGAAGTCTTTAGAGTTTTCTATATATAAGATCATACAGTCAGCAAATAGAGACAACTGTGCTTTTCCCTTTCCTGTTAGGATACCATTTATTTTTTTCTCTTGATTAATTACTCTGGCTAGGACTCCAATACAATATTGTTAAAAAGTAGTGAGAGAGGACATCTTTGCCTTGTTCCTGATATTACAAAAAAGCTTTCAACTTTCTACCATTGAGTATGTTTTTAACTATCATCTTGTTATATATGGCCATCTTGTATTCAGTTACATTCCTTCTATACTTGATCTTTTGAGAGTATTTATCATGAAAGGGTGTTATGCTTTTTTAAAATTTATTAAGATGATCACATAGTTTTTATCCTTCATTTGGTTAATGTGGTACATCACATTTACTTATTTATATATAACCTCAGAAAATGAATTTGCGTATGTTGAACCATCCTTAAATCCGAAAAATAAATCCCAAAAATAAATCCCACTTGAACATTATGAATTATTCTTTTGTTGTGTTTTTTAGTTTAGTATGTTAATATTTTATTTAGAATTTTTGCACCTATATATATTAGAAATATTGGCCTATGGGTTTCTTTAATTCTATTGTCCTTCCCTGGCTTTTGTATCAGACTAATGCTGGCCTCAGAAAGTGAGTTTGAAAATATTCCCCCTATTTTATTTTTTGGAATAATTTGACAAGAATTATCATTAGTTTTTTTTAATGTTTGGTACAATTCAGCAGTGAAATTTTCCAACCCTAGGTTTTTCTTTGATTGCAGACTTTCTATAACTGATTCAATGTCCTTACACATGATTGGCCTGTTCAGATTTTCTATTTCATCATGACTCAGTTTTGGTAGGCTGTCTATGTTTAGGAATATATTAATTTCTTTTAGATTATTAAATTTGTTGGCATATTTTTAAAATAATTGTTCATAGTACTTTCTTATGATCCTTAGTATTTCTGTTGGATTAATTGTAGTGTCTCCTCTCTCATTTCTGATTTTATTTATTTGCATATTTTCTCTTTATTTTCCTAGTTAGGCTAGCTAAGGGTTTCTTGATTTTATTTATTTTTTCAGAAAACCAATTTTTACTTTTTTTTCTATTCTGTATTTTTTTTTTAATATTTGTTCTAATCTTTGTTATTTTCTTCCTTCTGCTAACTTTGGGCTTAGTTTATTTTTCTAGAGCTTTGAGGTATAACATTTGTTGGCTTATTTGAGATATATCTGGGTGTGTGTGTGTGTGTGTGTGTGTAATTCCACTGAGATATATATGTGTATATATACATATATGTGTATGTATATGTGTGTGTGTGTGTATGCCTTCATTGCTATAAATTTTCTTGTGCTCTGTGGTCTGAAGAGACTACTGGCAGGACTCTGTGGTCAGGTGTAGCAGCTGGCTTGGGTCTGTGATTGCCTCTGTGTAGGCAGGGTCTCTGCAGCTGCTGATCAGCCACTTTTGGTAGGCCAGAGCCTCTGCTTCACAGATATGCATGGACTTAGGCTTGTTTCCAGATCTAGGATAGCCTTAAATAGAACAAAAAGGCTTTGCTGTGTCACAGCTCAGCCTCTGGATCTGAGTGAAACCAAATGCTGTCTCCATGGACAATTGATGGCCTATACTTGTCTGCCAGGCTGGGGGATGCTTAAGGAGAACACCTGAGCTGGGTGGGGAAGCTGGCTAGTGACTCAGATTTCTTTAGCTTAAAATATTCAGTATGTCAAGGTGCTGTATTTAGGGGTAGTGTGTTCTGAATCCCATCACCAATTAGAAATTTTAAAATTTTACTATAGTCTCTAACATTTCCTTTATTTGCTTTAAAATAAGTAAATATTTTATATTTAATTAATTCCTTCTCTCTGAATACCAAAAAAGATAAAATTCCTTATTCTGGAGCTACAACTCTCAATATGAAAACTCTAAGATTAAGCCTTTCTCAAACACTGATGCTGAGTAATGGGATGGTGGCATCAAAGGAGCGGATAGGGTGATGGTTTTCACCATCCCATATCAGAGTATTTCTCCTTAATTTAAGACTTATTTTTCAATGCTATCTTACTGCAGCATTGGACTTTTATGATGGCTTTTATGTTTTACTTCTTAATGCTTGAAATGGGTATGAAGTAAGTTTACTCATTTTATTTGTTTTCATTTAACATGGAAGGGACTACAAGATAATATAGTTTAATAGTTCAGTTTTGCTCCTTCAACTGCTTAGAGGTTGCATTCTACTATCTAGAATTGAATATCCTTAAAGCTGGGATTCCCCAATATATTTTGCCCCATAATTGCTCTGAAAAAAACCTGTTTTCACTGCCAAAATGCATAGCAAATATCAAATAACATTAAGACTAAAATAATTGTGTTATAATTGTGTAGGCAGTATTTCATATTACTTGTTCTTGAATGATTAAATTATAGTTTTAATCATCATAGAAGAAAAAATTGAGTAGTGATTTACACTGTAAATGTATATAGCAGGTGTGTTGTACATGCCCTCAACACATACACCTTTTGGACTAATAATAGTTAATATATCCTTTTTCATATACATGTAAAAGTCTGATTCACATTGTAGAAAGACAAGTAAAATGCAGTCACTTCCTAAGTAAATCTTGTAAACGCAGTTGAATATTAAATCTAATTCTAAGTTTTCTGGAAATCAGTGTAAGCAGAGAAGCCTGATTTTTACTTGAAAGAGGAAAGGAAGCAACATATTAGCTATATTCTTGCTACAAAAATTTTAAGTAAGTTTATAATATAAAACTGCATGTGACCATTGATTAATGCAATGATAAATGTTTTCAAATGAGAATATTGTTTTCTGTGGCTTTATTTCCTGATTTACTTTTGCTACTTTGTTATATCAAGCCTTAATTTAAAACAATTCTTAAGGTTATATTATTTAAACTTATTCAGGAGTCCAATTTATCTCTTATTTAATATATCTATTTATCTACCTATGATTCCCAATTTTTGTTTTCAAATAATTCTCTGTAGAAAATATTTTTGCATTTATAGAGTTTTGGCATGACCCCTTCTTGAATCATTTCCAGTATTTTGGAATAGTCACATACTGTGTACTTTTTCATTAAAGGATCTCTTATACCCTGTTTAACTTTATTAATCCAAGTTCTTGTAACTAAAATTGGACTTCTGGAGCTCTCTTTCACATATAATTTTTCCATAAAAACCTAATAAATTTACTTTGGGGAATGCTTCTATAAAGACCTCATTTCAATTGCTTTATACAGACTTTATTTAAAAAAATCTCATAGTTTAACATTTGATTAATGCCTACTTCTATTGTTTTTAATTGCCCTGTCCTAAAGGAGCGTCATTATGCTTGACATATTTTTTCTTCTGTCTCATAAAATAAAATAAACCAATCTTACTAATCACTTATTAATGACTTAATAATAAACTTGTTGAGTGGATTGTTATAATGTATATTCCTGAATCATAAAAATATTATTAGCCAAAATAGTCTAGCTACAGTAGAATTTGTAAAAAAAAAATCTATTAAAGTGACAATGTAGTGAGGTGGGGGGAGGGGGGAGGGATAGCATTAGGAGATATACCTAATGTTAAATGGGGAGTTAATGGGTGCAGCACACCAACATGGCACATGTATACATATGTAACAAACCTGCATGTTGTGCACATGTACCCTAAAACTTAAAGTATAATAAAAAAAAATTTAAAAAATAAAATAAAATAAAATGACAATGTAATCAACAATATGGAATTTTTAAACTTTCAGAATGTTGAACCTGATGCCTAGACTCAGCATTACTAAGCAAATTTTGTGACATATGTAAGTATATTCCTTTGGCAAGAATTACTGATGATATATCAAAATACAAAATTCCAGTGTTATCTTTTGTAACAGTTTCTGGGGATTAGTTTTCCCCCAAAGATTTGCAACTCTTTTATGAAATGCACTTAACTAATAGAGTTCAGCACTCCTATCTAAAATGAGAGCTTAGTGTGAGGCTATTCACATAATAACATTTAAGAATGATTTTCTATAAAATAAATAGGTGGCCTCTCTACTTTCACAAAGCAAGTGGGCACAATTAAATTTCCACTGACACATGTCTAGATAAATTGGAAAGTGTTAAAAAAGAAAGCTTCAAGTGATTTTTTAAAAAATAGAGTCTACCTTTCTTACTGCCTCACAGTAGAGGAAGAGTAATTCATACCTTTAAATTAGCTTTCAGTAATAGTGAAGGAAGCCCTGAATGAAAGTAATTATCAGGTACATAATCTCGTTAACTTGAAATAGAAGTAAACTTGGGAACTCCAAGTCTGAATATTAGCTTACTAAATCTGTTCATAAAGTAAAATACATCATTCAACTTTTCACCTATATCACCAATGATGTACATATAGGAAATAATTTTGTAATCATTAATGCAAAATGTGGACAACATTATTAAAAGGCTAGAGAAAATAAATTTTGGACTAAAGATAGTTAATACATCCAAGAAGCATGCATCAGGATGCTTCAGAAATTTCAAAAAATAATTTTATTTTAAATTAAAATGCTTAGAAATTCTCTCCTCTTTTATATTGTTTTCAAGTTTACAAATTCTATTATTCATAAGTTTTAAAAATATATAAGGTGGAAAATAAAATCCCACTTTTAACTTTGTCACACTCTTTTAGCATATATCATTTCTGAGCTTCTAGTAACATCTACTGGGTGTATAAATAATATTTGTCATAAAGGCAAATATATACTATGTAGATTTTTGCAACTTATTTTTTCACTTAAAATGTCATTGGTTCCAAAAATTTGTCACAACAGTTTGCATAAATGCACTTCCTCTGATGATTGAAGAATATTTCATGTCAGTGTAGTGTAATTTATTTATCCAGTATTCTATTGAAGGATATTTAAGTGATTTTCATTGGTTTTATTTTATAGATAGCATCCCAAGAACACATTCATACATTCTATTCTGTGTATAAGTGAAGGATGGTGTTTCTCTGGGGCATATGACTAAAAGTAAACTTAATAGGTCAATATGTATGTGCATTTTCATTTTTTATTGATACTCACCAATTTTCTTCTTAAAGTAACACTAATTTATACTTTTGCTAAATCTAATAATTTCCTCTGGGAATGGAGTGATTCAGTGTAATCCCATCTGTTAACAATGCACTAATGTTATTCGGAGCCAATGAGAAAAAGTTGACATTTACATAATCCTGTTTTAAATAATATATATCTTTTAAATAAATTTTTATCTTTTTACCAAATGTATTTAAAATTTTCTCAAGTACTGCTGATTCTACTTGCTAAATATTTTTACAATCATTTCACTTCAGCACATCTCTACTACCATCATGCTAAACAAAGGTATCATTATCTCTAGGATGAATTACTATGGTGTTTAAAGACTGATCTTTTCTGGGTCCTCTAATTCATTTGTTTACCATCTACCAAAATAAAAATTTTAAAATACATTTTAATATATATTGTAAATTCTGCAAAGATGACTGTCAGCAAGATCTTCTATATATGCATAATCATTTTCCCATTAAGAGGTGGTCTTTGTCCTCACCCCTTGAATTTCAGCTGTCCTGAGACTTGATTTGATCAGCAAAATATGGCAGAAATTCTGCTGGTTCTGGGTCTCAACTGTTTTTCTTTGTTCACTCTAGCAGAACATGGCACCCTTAGAAATAAGTTCATACACTCCTCTCAAGAAAGAGAGAGAGAGAGCATATGTAATATCCTTGAAAACGAAGTAACTCACTTGGAGAGGAAAAGATGGCATGGAAGTAAATCAGACTTTTTTTTTTTTTTCTTTTTTCTTTTTTTGAGATGGAGTCTCGCTCTGTTGCCCAGGCTGGAGTGCAGTGGCGCCATCTTGGCTCACTGCAAGCTCCGCCTCCTGGGTTCACGCCATTCTCCTGCCTCAGCCTTGCAAGTAGCTGGGACTACAGGTGCCCGCCGCCACGCTGGGCTGATTTTTTGTATTTTTAGTAGAGACCGGGTTTCACTGTGTTAGCCAGGATGGTCTCGATCTCCTGACCTGGTGATCCACCCGCCTCGGCCTCCCAAAGTGCTGCGATTACAGGCATGAGCCATCACTCCTGGCCCTCACTTTTCTTCTAGTTCATGTTGCTTGAACAGGTGTTTCTCCTTTTTTCTTGAATATTTCACATATTCTGATCTGTTTCCAAAATTATTTTGCCTTTTTTTCTTCAGTTGATTAAACCTGACTGAAACCTCTTTAATACAGTTCTTGGCCCTAGAATACAGTTTCAATAAGCAGATTAAAATACATGTCGATAGAAATAGTCATATAGAGAGATTGTGACTAAGGTTAGTTTTCCCAGAATCAGAGGCTGAGACAGGAACATGGGTACAAAATGATTTACTGAAGGAGCTGCTTTTTAGAAAAACACATCTGTGAGGGAAAGAAGGAGGACAGAAAGAGTAAAAGAAAAAAGCAAAGGTGTCTTAGAGTCTCAGATTGAGTCTATCCTTGGCTCTACCCATGAAGGACTCTGGAGTATAATCTGTATCACAAGTTTTTTGTTGTTGTTGTTGTTGTTGTTGTTGTTGTTGTTTTTTGGTCTTTCGGCAAGGGAGATAGCCTCTGGTATACCCCATGAGTCAGGCATTGGCTTCGCAGGTGGATGAAGGTTATAACTACCAGGTTGGGGTATCTCCATTTATCTGCGGACAGTTCTTCAGAGAAGGGAGCAGACTGTGAGTTACCAGCAGCCACACACACCACACACAATAGGCAGGGAATGGGAACACTGGGAACATTGGTCCAGGAAAAGGGACTAGGAAAGGCACCAATACATCTGTGACAGATGAAACCCAATTTAACATTTAAATATAAAATAAAGATAGTATTCCACTGAAATATACTATTAGAATATAAGATACAAATACATGTTTAAAATATAATTTATTTTCAAATACTGGAGGCTATACATATCAGACTGTGGAAGAAAGGGATAAAGAATTGGCAAGAAAAAATGATAACATAGAGCCAGTCAGAGAAAGTGAACTAGCTAAAGATTCCATCCCCTAACATGTAGTGTACATACACATACACACACAAATGCACACATGTACACAATTTTCTTAAAATGCATGCATATAGCATATTTGAAGTGACAGTACTGGAATATGTAAAGGACAATGTTCTTTTAATATTCCATTAAGTACAATTATTGCTACTGTTTATCTGTGGATGTATTTGGAAACTGTGAAATAAACTTACAGAAAGCTTGTATAGATACTTTTGTGACCTTGTGCTTGGATGTCATAATTATTGGGTATTACAGTGAATGAATTTTAAATATGTTCGCATCAAGATGTTAGGTATCTTTGAACATTTCACTCCAAAAAGGTTTGAAATATGTTTTTATGACAATAGAGAGGGACAAACTGAAGTACTATCATTAAGTGCTCTTACAAAAGAAGGACACAGGGCATCATCTATTTATTATACAGGAGATTCTCTTGGAATTGCTGCAGAATTTTCTATTTTGAGTAGTCACAGGAGGGGAATTACAATATTATGCTGTAGCAAAAGAAATCTTTGCATTACATATCCAAATAAATGTTTGATACCAACACTTGTTTTTCATTCCTTACCTCTCTAAATGCATCAGAAACTACTTTTTTAGGTCCAAAATATTTGGAAATAATCCTGATTTTCTGAAGCCTCAGCTAGTCTTTTTTTTTTTTTTTTTAATTATTTGTTTTTTAAGACATCTTGGAGCTGCTTTTGGCTCAGAAACACTCAAGATTTATTATTATACCTTCTGCAATTGAATACATTTTACTTGAATTTTATTCTGATCATGAATATTTTTGTCTTGCTGGATGTTGAATTAGACACAGTTCCTGCTCTGAGCCTCACTGTATCACCCAGGAAATAGCAGCAATGTCTATGACAGAATGCAGAGTGAAGACCACTCATCCTAACTGGAATGGAGTAACTCTTGAATTGGGTATCGGGGGCTCTGGGTCATGAATGACAACTGTTTCTACCTGCAGAAGCTTTGAAGAAAAACTGAAGTTCTATTTTTCACTTTACAGATGCTCCAGATGTGGATCTGTGGTCATTCCTCACCTCTGTCTCGTAGCAGTTGTGTCAATTTGATCTCATCCTTCACCATCCTAAATCTCAGTTTACTTGCCTCTAAAATGGAAATGTACAACTTTGCATACCTATCACACACTATCACCCCAGTGCCACAGGAGAAATAAGCTATTTTTGCTCAACTTTTTATCTGCTTGACCCTCGACCCTGGCCATTATGTCTTGGTAAACTGCTTGGCATTTTTCAACCCATCTCAGAGTTTTCCCTTTGGAAACATTTTTAGGCCCTATTTGGCAGAAGTTGTTGCTCCTGTGTATATAATACCATAACCACTGTAACAGAATGGGGAGGTAGAATTGGATATTAACACATCTTTGGAGAGCTTGTTGTGTGCTAGGTATTGTGCAAATGATATTCACACATTTTCTCAATTAATACCAAAACTTTAAGTAGGTGATGATATCTCCTATTATCCAAATGAGAAAATAGCCTCTGGTGGTTAAAGTGATAGAGCTAGTGATCAGGAGAGTTCACATTACTCTTTATTTCAGACGCCAGAGACTATTCTCTTTACACTAAATAGCATTCAGTGTGTTGCTTCATTCTTTTTTTACTCCAAATTAAATATCCTTCTTGATTTTTTTTAAGATTTCATATATATGGCATTCCTTTTTAAATAGCTCAACTGAGATATAATTTATGTAACATACAATTCTCTAAAGTATGCATTTAAAGGTTTTTATTACATATACAGATATGTGAAAAATAACTACAGTCATTTAAAGAACATTTTCATCAAGTCAAAAAGAACTTTTTAGCTATCACCTTTTAGTTATCAATCTTCTCCCAGACTGATATGGTTTGGCTGTATCGCCACCCAAAATCTCATCTTGAATTGTAATAATTCCCATGTGTCAAGGGCAGGACCAGGTGGAGATAATTGAATCATGGGGGTGGTTTCCAGTTTCCCCATACTATTCTCATGATAGTGAGTGAGTTCTCATGAAATCTGATAGTTTAATAGGGACTTTCCCTCCACTTCACTCTCATTCTTCTCCTTGCTGCCACCTTGTGAAGGACGTGTTTGCTTCCCCTTCTCCCGTGGCTGTGTTTCCTGAGGCCTTCCCAGCCATGCTGAACTGTGAGTCAATTAAACTTCTTTCCTTTATAAATCACCCAGCCTTCGGTATGTCTTTATTAGCAGGATGAAAACGGACTACTACACAGATCTGAGTAACCACTAATCAATTTTTTATGTTTGTAGATTTCCCTCTTCTGGAAATTCATATGAATGAAATTATATAATAGATTATATCATATGTGGACTTTTCTGACTGGCTTCTTTTACTTAGCATAATGTTTTCAGGGTTCATCCAAGTTGCAGCACGTGTAAGTACTCCATTCCTTTCAATGCCTGAATACGACTTCATTTTACTGATGTACCTCATTTTGTTTACACATTCATCAGTTGATGGGCATCTGGCCTCTTTCTAGCTTTTGGTTATTATGAATAATGCTCCTATAAACATTAATATGCAAGTTTTTGTGTATACATATGTTTTCATTTCTTTTTGGTATATACCTAGGAATTAAACTGTTGGGTCATAAGGTAACTTTGTTTAGTCATTTGAAGAACTCCCAGACTATTTTCTAGTGTATGCACCATTTTACATTCCCCCCAGCAGTTCTGATTTCTCCACATTGTTGCCAACACTTGTTATTATCTGACTTTTTAATCCTAGCCATCCTAATGGGTTTGAAAAGTTACCTCATTGTGGTTTTAATTTTCATTTCCCTGATGACTAATGATGTTGAAGTTCTTTTCTTGTGCTTATTGACCATTCATACATCTACTTGGAGAAATGTTTATTCATATTCTTTATCCAGTTTTAAGTTGGATTATTTGTCCTTTCATTTTTCTTGATAATTATTTTAAATCAGAAAATTTTTTAATTTTTATTGTTAAAGTATTCATCTCTTTGGCTCTACACTTTCCTCTTTCCCTATATTGATAAAAGAAACTCATGAAGTTCAGTGCTGGCACATTACTGACAAGTGGATTCTCATAAAGTTTCTTTGTATAATTTTATATATTTTTTACAATTTTATTAAACTGAACTAGACAAATTTTCATGGTTGCTGGGAGGATCCTGTAGGATAATTTAGGTCAATGAGGTTTGGGGCAACTAAAGTGCTATGCAAACACCTAGGGCCACATGTTATCTTCTAAGTTCACCGGAATAAAGAGGATTTCCAAGGGTCTGAGGTGATGCATGAAGAGGGCTTTCATTTTTTAATTTTAATTTTGTCGCTTTGCTAGAAGTTTTATTATGAAATAGTGTTGAATAATATCAGTCTGTTTCTGCATCTATGAAGATGGTTCTATTTATTTCTCCTTTAATCTGTTAATGTGGTGAATTCAACTGATTGCTTTTCTTTTTTTATTATTATTATAATAAGTTTTAGGGTACATGTGCACAATGTGCAGGTTAGTTACATATGTATACATGTGCCATGCTGGTGTGCTGCACCTATTAACTCATCATTTAGCATTAGGTATATCTCCTTATGCTATCCCTCTCTCCTCCCCCCACTCCACAACAGTCCCCAGAGTGTGATGTTCCCCTTCCTGTGTCCATGTGTTCTCATTGTTCAATTCCCACCTATGAGTGAGAACATGCCGTGTTTGGTTTTTTGTCCTTGCGATAGTTTACTGAGAATGATGATTTCCAATTTCATCCATGTCCCTACAAAGGACGTGAACTCATCATTTTTTATGGCTGCATAGTATTCCATGGTGTATATGTGCCACATTTTCTTAATCCAGTCTATCGTTGTTGGACATTTGGGTTGGTTCCAAGTCTTTGCTATTGTGAATAGTGCTGCAATAAACATACGTGTGCATGTCTTTATAGCAGCATGATTTATAGTCCTTTGGGTATATACCCAGTAATGGGATGGCTGGGTCAAATGGTGTTTCTAGTTCTAGATCCCTGAGGAATCGCCACACTGACTTCCACAATGGTTGAACTAGTTTACATTCCCACCAACAGTGTAAAAGTGTTCCTATTTCTCCACATCCAAAAGCAATAGCAACAAAAGCCAAAATTGACAAATGGGATCTAATTACACTAAAGAGCTTCTGCACAGCAAAAGAAACTACCAGCAGAGTGAACAGGCAACATACAAAATGGGAGAAAATTTTAGCAACCTACTCATCTGACAAAGGGCTAATATCCAGAATCTACAATGAACTCAAACAAATTTACAAGAAAAAAACAAACAACCCCATCAAAAAGTGGGTGAAGGACATGAACAGACACTTCTCAAAAGAAGACATTTATGCAGCCAAAAACACATGAAAAAATGCTCACCGTCACTGGCCATCAGAGAAATGCAAATCACTGATTGCTTTTCAAAAGTTAAATCAATCTTGAATTCCCAGAATAAATGTCACTTGGGTTATGATATATTTTATATATAGCTTTTATAATATTGTGTGTTATTATAATTTGATAATATTTTGTTTAGCATATTTGTGTCTATTTTTCTGAGATATATCAGCCTACAATTTTCTTGATGGCTGTAATTTCCTTGTCAGCTTCTTGTGTCTGCAATACATTGGCTATATAAAATAAGTGTGGAAGTGTGGTTTTTCTGTTTCCTGAAAGAAGATTTGGTATCATTTGTTTCTTAAACAGTTGGGAAAATTTACCAGAGTAGCTATTCTGTCTTAAAGTTTACTGTGTAGAAAAGTTTCTAAATTATTTTTTAAAGAGTTACAAGAATATTTACATTTTCTATTTATTCTTGTTTCTATAATGGTAAGTAATGTTTTTTTGACCTTTTTCATTCATTAATTGTTGAATAATAAGTATAAAGTTGTTTATAATCTCATCATTTTAATGTATTAAAGATCTGTAACATATCATCTTTTTCATTTCTAATATTGGAAATTTGTATTATCTTTCTTTTCTCTTGATTAGTTTTCCAAATAGCTTATAAATTTTATTGATTTTCAAGGAACCAGTTAAAGTTTTTTTTACTAAACTATACATGTTATTGTATTTTCTGCCTTCTATTTTGTTTATTTCTGGTTTTACATTTCTTACTTATTTGTTCAACTTGCCGAGAGTTTTGACCATTAGTTTTCCATCTTTTTCTAATGTATGTATTTATAGTTAGAAATTTAGCTGTATCTCTTAAGTTTTGATACATATTTTTTATTTTATCTGTCAGAATTTAAATTAATTCTTTAATAATTTTTCTTTGATCAAAAGGTGATTTAGTACTTTCTAAACTTACTTTGAATTATTGATTTCTAGCTTAATTTTACTCTGTTCAGAGAAAATGCTCATTATCATCCCAATCCCCCTTCATTATCCTCAGAGAGTTTACCTTTTTCTCTGCTAGACAGATAAGATTGGTAGCTGCTCACATCCATTCATTCCAGAATGGAAGCAGATGGAGGTTAAGATGAGTCATTATCTAGGCTCATTTCACCTCTTGTTTTCTCTGTCTAGGGAAATACCTGTGATATGTTTGTTTAGCCCCTCCCTCTATTGAGACTTTGTGTTCATACTGGGAGATTGAGAAAGACATCATTTTACATACCTATTCTAGGCCTCCAATATCCCATGGTGCCCCGTTCCCCCTGAAAACCGTTATGTGGAGAAAACCGACGGTCTTCCAGGTTCCAATCTGCCATGCTAGCCCATGTAGCTGTCAAAACTCAGCTGGTTCCTTGTTTTCATAGCAGAGCCACGCTATTACCAGATAGATTCTCTACCTGTTTCCAGATTTGGCAAATCTGTTGTTTCAGCTGTCCTAGGAAAGTTCTTTCTTGTCTAGAATTTTAGTTTATCCAATTTTCTTTGCTTCTACAGCTTTCTTATATCTTTGATAATGTGGTGTATCCACATTTTTGGCTTTGGGGGCTGTTTAGATGTTGCTGTAGGATAGATGAGTGCCACTACTTACAAAAATCTACTTGAAAGCAAAGTCCAGGTCTGCTTTGGAGTCACCTTTGTAGTTTCTTATATTTGCTTGGCCTTGTTCATGGCCTCTTGATTTCTGGTTAGTATACAAACCGAGCTGAACAAGAAGCCTCTGCCTCCCTCGTGTTTTTTATACATACAAATGACAGATTAAATATAACAAGAAATATTTATAAGAGATTCAGATAATTGCCAACATAAGTATGAATTTCCAATGTACCAGTAGTGAAGATAGACTTCTAAGGCTTAGCAATAAATTGGAAATGAAGCCAAAAGAAATGTAGATTATTGCAAAGAGATATATACCTTGAATCTGGGATGAAATATCCACAAGAAATTCCTATGTAGTGGAGAGTAGGTAATAATCTTCTTCCCTCTCAAATGCCAAAGAGAAGACAACAACAGCAGCAGTAGCTGCTACAAGGAAAGCCTTAGATAATAAGATGACTAGAACACTCTCATTAGGCCACAGCTAGGAAACATCAAGCCTAAGCTAGGTTTTGGTATGGAGTGCTAATCTCGATTACTAAAATTGTGGATACCTGAATCCAAGAAACTAACTGAAAGTTAATCCTGAACAAGTGAAATATATAGGGCTCCCATAGAGGAGAACTCATAAGTAACTCACAGGAACATTTCCATAACCCAGTACAATAACCTGAAGATTAATTCCAGCTAAAGGGGAGATTGCAGAAACTTACAAAGCACTTGAAGAAATACACTAATATTAAAAATCAGTAGATGAAACAAATCTGCACCTCGTGAATCACAGATCTAAAATGTAATTTTAATCTGGCATGTATTAAAGAGAAAAACAACAAAGTTTCCACTATGATGATCTGAATATACTTCTGGTACAAAAATCTAGAAAGGCTAGGGCAAAAATAACAAAACATATTTTAAATGCATAAAAGAGCACTCAAGAATGAAAAATAAATCAGCCAGTGCTGAAATGAAGAGGAAACTAAAACCATAGTTACAAGCATCCCCTCTTCTTCCATGGGGATGGAGAGGAAGGGAAGAATGACAAGTAGGTCCTTTGCCTCTATCAAATTTGGGTTTGGGTTTCAGTGCCAATGGAAAGACAAGAAACAAGGCCTGGGGATTACCTCAGGAGTGATATTGGAATTGAGATACCAGCACAAAGCAGGAATCTACAAAGGGCTGTAGGAATTAGAAAAAAATACATCTCCTTACTAGCACAGGAGGATCAATACATCTCTTCTCTCTTTTGGAAATGACTGAGAATTTTCTCCTGAAAAATGATACATTACATTTAAGATTTTCTTATTCTTATTAATTTTATGAGTTTGCATCCTTCAGTGTATCTTTTCAGCCCGTATACCTCTACCCATCCTTATAACAACTGGAGTTTCAAATGATCAAACCACAGAAGCTTGAGCTTTATTTTACCCCATGCTACCCAAATCAGCAGTGCCCCACTGACTTCTAATTGTTCAGTATTTTTTCACCCACCCTGTTAAGATTTGGAGGCCATTTTAAAAACAAAGAAAAATATGACTGCTTTGCTGAAACTCCTTTTTTTTTCAACCCAGATTTCCACATATTCAGTTGGTAAAGAGAGGAGTGATGTTATTACAAGATGAAAATATGTAAGTTCATAGAAGGTCTTCCCAATGCATTAATGATTTGCAGCATCTAGGAGTGTTTCCTCACATGTAAAAAGATAGCTTTAACAGTATATAAAGACACATTTTTAAAAAGGGAAGTCCTACGGAAATTATTTTTTTTCAGTTGCTGTGGCACACACATCATAACAAGATCCCCAATGAATTGCATCTTTATATAATCCCCGCTTCTTGGATGTGACTAAAAACTATGACTTCCTTCAAACAAATATAATGTGGCAAAGTGATGGGTTAGTAGTTCCAATGATTACATTCCTTAAGACTGTAAGGAGTAAGAGATTATGCTGCTGGCCTTGGAGAAGTAAGCTGCCATGTTGTGAGAGGGGCTACGAGAAGGACACATGGGAAAGGACTCCGGAGTCTCTGGAAGCTAAGACAGCCCTCACTGACAGCTAGCAAGAAATAGGGTTTAGGGGTCTCAGTCCTGCAATTGCAATGAACTGAATTCCAATAACTATGTGAGCTTGGAAGGGACTCTAAGCTCCAGAAAGAAGAATAGTCTGGCTGACACCTTGATTGCAGTTTTGAGAGGCCGGGAACAAAAGATCCAACTAAGCCATGCAGACTTCAAACCCACGGAAATGGTGAGATAATAAATGTGCATTGCTTTAAGTACCAAAGTTTATGATAATTTGTCACATAGCAATAGAAAACTAACAAATTTGTTTTAGTGGCTTGAAAAACTACCATGCCTTCCATCACGCTAAATTATATGAAAACCTGGGAATACAGATGAAAGAGCTGCAAAGGTATTTCCCTCAGATTTAAGTTAATTGAATGTGAAGAAGTCTACACTGTAGATTAGATATTTAGTTTTGAAGAAACTTTCTTTCTTATAAGTAAATGACCTCAAGGGCCTCATTTTTAAGGAAGAAGCGCAAGTCCCAGTCTAAAGTTGCAAAGGATCAGCTGGTTGAGATTTTATCATAATGATGTTGATGACAGTAGAGATTTAATTGTGTTAGGGTTTTGGTTTAGGTTGGTTTTCATCTTTAATAGTTTTTTCCAGTGCTATGGTTATAAAGTTTCATAAAGTTTTAACGGTTTTATTCTACTCTATTTTTCCAATAAACCCTGCAATTTTTACTGTGCTATGTTTTTCCAGAACACACACATATGTGACATTATATTAGAAACATCTGTATTTTGAGCCTCTTCCCTACAACAGACACACAAAAGACATCAGAAGCCTAGGATCACAGGTACCTTCTCCCTCAGATTTTGTCTTCCCCAAGGCATTCTGAGTGCAACAGAGAATTGATGTCCTGTGCATGTTCTCCTAAGACCCATCACAAAGATTCAGGTAAGCATGAATCCAGTGATGGATAGCCGTTATGCTCAGTGTTTGAATCTCCAATAACCCTTCACCACCTTGATACATATTGCATTCAGTGCTGATAAAGATCCCACATTTTCATGCAAACTCTCACTTTGTATGAAATAAATTACATGAACTTTGTTTTATTGCTTGTTTCTTATCTCCTAAGGTTAACTTAAAATATTTATTATATATCCCTTTACAGAAAAAGTTTGCTGACCTATGGGCTGTAAGATTGATACGCTGGGCCAAAAGATTGCACACTTTTAGATTGTCTGTTACTCTCACCTGATTTCTATTCCAGGGTAGGGCGTCAAGTGAGCACCTGTACTATATGATAACCACTATCTACCCAAGGATACCTTAAAGAACAGGAAATGCTTCCATTAATCAAATGCCACACTCTTCCCAACCAAGTAAGAAAAGGATTGAAAGGATTAAAGGATTCTCTTATTTTGGTAAAATAAGCAATTTTATCTTTGGGAGAAAGAATGATCACTAGCTAGGTTTTGTTCCTTACATCCACATTTATGTTGATGTGTATACAGTACTCTATATGCCACGTTGAAATTTTTATGTCATATATTCACAAACATATATGAATGTCACATAAAATATATGATATAGTTGTCATCTCTATCCTCTCCTAAAATAAATCCACTAGTCACAAGTAATTCTTGGGTGTTAATTCGTTATTTACCTTTCCCCTTGAATAACAATTTGTGTAATTTGTATTCCTTTAAATGTGCCTCTACCTTCCCACCAAATACGTAAATTGAAAGAAGTTAGTCACCTCCTCTCTGAGTTATTTAAAGAAAACTCAGTTGAAAGATATTAGGTGAAAAAGGTTAATGTTAAAATAATGCTGGCAAATGGTGGCTAATACAATTGAAATGATGAATGATCTTTTGAATTTTGTCTCCGGTGGAGATGCAGGGTGCTGATGAGCTCGATGTGCGGTGCTGCTGTCACCTATTTGTCATAATTACAGAATAGATTTCAGGTCATTTACCTAGAAATAGTGTCTAGAGTTTATTGTTTAAATGGAAACCTTTCTGTGTCTAGAAATCTTTCTGTGATATTTTATCATCTGAGATAGATGAGAGCTCATCCCTGACAAATCAAATGAAGCTGTTATTAGTTGGGAAATTGTATGTTCTGAAAAGTCTCATACTTTTTCAATAATTTTAAATACTGTGTGGTTGGCTATTTTCTCTCTTGTCTCTATAAAGGTGAAGAGATTTCTATGTGTTGGTAAATACATGACTGCACTTGACTATTCTTCCATGTTTTCTGCTTAGCATGTCTAGCCTTCAGTAGTCTTAGGAGACAGCTTTTCCAAATCTGACACCAGCTCATCCTCTCAGTCTGAAAGACTTTTAGGAAGGTATAGAAGTTGTCTTGAACAGTATCAGTCACATCGTAAACATCTCACTTCTATTAATACATGATATATTTTCCCAGCATCCATATATTTATAATGAAAACAAAAAAGCAAAAAACAAATTAAAAATGCCAAACAAATGAAGACATCACTACTTCCTCTCCATCTATCACTATCTCCACTTCACAGATGCCCCTGTTTATAGTTCACTGAAGGGACAGAAACTATCAGAGGAACATATAAACAAGCTTCTACTAAATAAACTCAGCCACCTACATCTGAGCTCACATGCTTCACCTTTTTTCCACATCAGGATGGACTACCTATGCTTTTATTGAAGGCTACTTCCTCTGTTTGTGCTCTAGGTTTGACAATATAGTTTTTGTCACTACTGGATGACTCCTATCCATGTTAAAACAGTTTCTTATTTGAACACGTGGACAAGCCGTTAACAGTACAAACAAAAACCTCTCTGGAAAGACTTTATCTCCAAATACAGTATTATTTCTCTCCTTCCCCTTGTAGCTAATTTTTTGAACAAGTTATCTGTCATAACTTCCATTGCTTTTCTCTTACTCTTAATGTCAGTCAGGCTTTGCTCCCCCAACTCTGTTAAAATTTCTTCTATCAAGGCCTCCAATGAATACTGTATTGCTAGATTCAACGGTAATGTTAAGTTCTATTGTTGCTCTGTCAAGCAGCATCTGATAATATAATTGCAATTTCATCTTTTTTCCACCTTCCTGTTGCTTGTCTTCCAGGATACCACATTCTCTGCTTTTCTTCTGCTCCCTCTCAGTCTCCTTTGCTGGTTCTTCCACATCTCTCTGACTCCTTCATGTTGGCATACTCCACTTCAGTCTTTGAACATTTTATCTTTTCTACCTACATTTATTCCCTTCCTAATTTCATAAAGTTATATGGCTTAAAATTATCTGTGTGCCATCAACAGGCACAGTTTTGTAACCTGCTACTTATCCTCTTAAGCCCTGGAGCCATGTACCGAGCTACAACTTGGTTCTTTCCTTATTATGGAAGAGAAATGTTTATTGATTGACAACAGAGTTCTCTGCTGCAACTAAGAGATTATACAGTTCTTTTCTTTATTTTGCTCTTAACTATTAATGGTGAGGGTCAAATGTGTGAAACTACATGTATGTTCAACTGCCTACTTGACATTCTCTACTTGGATATCTGATAGGTTGTTCAGTCTCTTCTTCCATCCCATTTCTGCCCCTCCTATAGTCTTCTCTATCTTAGATAATGGTAACTTTATCCTTCTATATGCTCATCCAGAAAACTTTGGCCCTGTCCTTAACTCTTCCTTCTCATGCCCTATATTCAGCGAACTATTTTTATTTTTTCTTCTTGATAAGGCTGCACATACCTTCTCTTCCATTATCAAATTTATCACCATTAATATTTTATATTTCTTACTTTATTTTTCTACTGATTGTCTCACCTGCTTACATATAATCTCCAAACAATGTCTGACACATAGGCTCTTGATAAACATTGATCAAAGAATCTCAGCATGAAGCCCAACTAGAATTGCAGAAAGAAAAAAAAAAGAACATTGTGTAATTTTCTAGATGATCCAGGATAAGAGAGTGACTAAGAGACAAAGACTTCAGTGGCTTAAGTTTTCAACACTATTATTATTAATTTTTTTGCCATGGTATGTTTTAGTCATCTGTTATGTAGGGTACAAATAAAGCTGCTATAACAGACAGGCCACAAAATACAGTGATGTAAGTAGGATATAAATTTATTCAGTTATTGAACATATGAGGGCAGCTATGCTGTCTTCAACACATGGCTTTTCTCTTTATAATCTAAGATGTGGATTTGGCTTATGTCATCTCCAACCAACAAGAAGAAGTAATGAGCAAGGGTAGTTCATATATCTTTGTTTGAACATCATGACCGAGAAGTGATACGTATGCTTTGTTTCTTTCCCTTTGTCCAGAACTTATTCACAAGGCAACACTAATGACAAGAAATGTAGAAACACATTTTCCAATAACCCTGGAGCCATGTACCCAGCTACAACTTGGTTCTTTCTTTATTATGGAAGAGAAACGTTTATTGATTGACCACAGAGTTCTCTGCTGCAACTAAGAGATTATACAGTTCTTTTCTCTCTTTTGCTCTTAACTATTAATGGTGAGGGTCAAATGTGTGAAACTACATCATTCTCAGTTTAACTTTTACTTTCACTCAGAGAGCTAAAAGCAATGGCTAAAATGAAACATGATACAACAAAAGAAGCCACTAAATAAGTTACATACCAAAATCATAAAATATTGTAGGGGGTTAAGAAACAGATGAGAACAATTAAAACTTCTCCTAGAGTGAAAGTTCTATATTATCACAAATTTTGTCTGCCTTATTCACTGACAGATTCTAAGCACATCAAACCCAGTGTCTGGAAGAAATATAAATGGACAATTAATCTGCAATAAATAATGAACAATTAGTTTTAAATTCACTTTCCTAAAAGGATGTGTCACAAAAAAGGCAGGTGATCCTCAGAGAATACTAACGATGATGAAATTTTTGAGATAATATTGCCCATGTCCTAAATTTTATAGATAACAGGGCAATATTCACAGTGGTGAAAGGACATGATGACCAAGGTCAGAAAGCTGTTCTAAGGTATAGTCAGATGTAATGCTATGATTTTCTGATTCTTAGGGTTCTTTTCCTTTTATGTTAAAGCTCTGTTCCTGTTTCTTTCTCAGCTACAGCTTTTAAGCAGGGCTGCTGTAGTTCTATTCATTTCTCACATTATGAGAGCATTTTTGTAGATGTCTTCTGGAGTTTTGTGCAGCCTTCTTTTCTAAAATGTTAATACATGTTCTATACTGGTAAATGCCTTAATCTTTATTATAAATTCCTTAATGTAGATTCTCCTAGAATAACTATTAGTTGCTAATATTTATTGAGATATGCAATGTTCCACTTATAATTCTAATTACTTTTAAGTACTAGTATATTTAATCCACTTAACAATCATGTGAGATAAATATCATAATTATTATTTTATTTTACACACAAAATAAACTGAAAATGAGAGATAAAATTTACTGGTTCAGTGTTAAAAAGCCAGAGTTCAAACCCAGGAAGTCCTTCTCTAGAGTAAGCTCTTAATCACTGCTCAGATCCTCTCTACTTTACATTTTATCTTTACCTTCTACCTCATTTCTTGTGCTCTATTCTTTTTCTCCTGATGGTCCCTTTCTTCTCCATTTAAATCTTGACTTTAAAATCTTAAAACTTCTAGAGGATACTGGGAAGATCATAAAATAGAAAGCGCCACAAATATTATGAGTTTTTTAAAAGTACTATGAATTTGTGACAATAAATTTGATAACCTAGATCAAATGGCCACATTTCTAGACATGCAAAACCTACCAAGACTAAATCACAAAAATGAGATCATCTGAATAGACCTATAGCTAGTAAGGAAGTTGCATCTGTAATCAAAATCTCCCAGTAAAGTCAAGTCCTAGACCTGATGGCTACACTGGTGAATTCTACTTAATATTAAAACAAAAAACAAACAAACAAAAACAAAAGCCTAAAACCAATTTTTTCCTCAAACTCTTTCAAAAAGTTGAAA
The DNA here is from genome assembly GCF_000001405.40 of Homo sapiens. Classification (NCBI taxonomy): domain Eukaryota; kingdom Metazoa; phylum Chordata; class Mammalia; order Primates; family Hominidae; genus Homo; species Homo sapiens. The sequence continues at coordinate 35,118,208 of NC_000003.12, read as the reverse complement.
AGAAATATTTTCTAATGCATTTAGTGAGGCCAGCATTACCTGAATACCAAAGCCAGACCAGAACACCACAAGAAAATTACAGACCAATTTCTCTGATGAATGTCAATGCAAAAATTCTCATCAAAATACTAGGAAACTTAATTCAGCAGCATATTAAAATCTCAGCAAGAGCAAGTGAGATTTATTCCTGGAATGCAAGGATTGTTCAACACAGAAAATATATATGTAATACACCAGATTAACAGAGTTAAAGGGGGAAAAAACACATAATTATCTCAAAAGATGCAGAAAAAAAGACAGTTGAAAAAAAAATTCAAAACTTTTTTATGATAAAAAGCACTCATCAAACTAGGAGTAGAAAGAACTAACTCAACATAAGAAAACCTCCATGTACATAAAATACCAATGAACATCATATATTCAATGGTAAATGACTAAAGCTTATCTTCTAAAATCAGTAAAAAGGCAAGGATGCCCACTTTCACCACTGTCATCCAACATAGTACTGGAAGTTTCACCCTGACCAATTAGACAAAAAGAAATAAAAAACATGCAAATTAGGGAAAAAAAGGTAAAATTATGTCTATTCATATGTGATATTGTATGTAGAAAAATATTTTACAAAAAATACATTAAAACCGATATACTTATTCAAAAAGTAGGATAAAAAGTCAACACAAAATTTACACTTTATACATGAACAATGAATAATTTGAATAGGAAATTTAAAAAGCAATTCTATTATGATAGCATCAAATAGAATAAAATATTTAGGAATTAACTTAAGGAAGTGAAAGACTTGTACGATGAAAACTACAAAATACTGCTGAAAGAAATTTTTAAAGGACATAAATGGAGAAACATCCCATGTTTACTAATTGGAAGACTTAATGTAAAGAAGTCAATACTACCCAGAGCAATCTACAGATTCACTGCAATCTCTATTAAACTCCCATGATGCTTTTTTCTCAGAAATAGGAAAACCCATCCAAAAATTCATATGGAATCTCAAAGGACCCAAAGTAGTAAAAACAATCTTGAACAAGAAAAACAAAGCTTTTAAGACTCACAATTCCTGATATCAAAGTTTACTACAAATCTTCAGTAATCCAAACAATTTGATATTGACATAAAGACAGATATATAGACCAACAAAAGGAAATAGAAATACTAGAAACTTTCATATGTGTGGCAATTATTTTCAATCGGAGCATCGAGACCATACAATGCAGAAAGGAATCTTATTTCAACAAATGGTACCAAGAAAACTGAATATCCACACACAAATAGATGAAGTCAAACCCTTACCTAACACCATATACAAACTTAACATGGATGAAATACCTAAGTGTAAGACTAAAAATATGCAACTTTTAGAAGAAAACTTTTAGGGCAAAAACTTCACAACACTGGATTTGGCAATGCTTTCTTAGATATGACACCAAAGACACAAGCAAAAACAACAAAAATAGACAAATAGGACTTCATTAATTTTTAAAAATTGTGACTCAAAACCGCTATAAACAAAGTAAACAAGCGACCCCCAGAATAGAAGAAAATATTCACAAACCGTATATGAAAATGGATTAATATCCACAATATATAGAGAACTCATAAAACTCAACAACAAAATAAAACAAAAAAAAAATCAAATAACCTGATTCAAACATAGGCCAAGAACTTAGATAGACTTTTCTCCACAAAGATATACAAATGACTAATAATATCATATGAAAAGATGCTTAATATCACTAATCATTAGGGAAATGCAAACGAACACCAAAGTGAGATTTTACCTCACATACCAATATAGTGCTATATTAGGATAACTACTGTATATATTTTTTAAAAACAACAGGTGTTAGCAAGTATGTGTAGAAATTGAAACCCTTATGTACTGTTGGTAATCATGTAAATGGTACAGTCACTCTGGAAAGTATGGTAATTCCTCAAGAAAATAAAAATAGAATTACAATATCTGGGTATATTCAAAAGAACTGAAAGAAGGATCCTGAAGAGATATTTGTACACCCATGTTCAGAGCAGCATTATTCAGAATTGCTAAAATGTGGAAGCAACCAATGTTTCTATCCACAAATGGATAGATAAGCAAAATGTAATATATACATACAATGTAGGATTATTCAGCCTTAAAAAGGAAGAAAATTCTGCCAAATGCTCCAACATAGAGAAACCTTGAGGAAATCATGATAAGTGAAATAAACCTATCATAAACTGATAGATACTGTATTATTTTGTTTATGTGAGGTAGTTAGAATAGTCAAAATTACAGAAAGAGAAAGTAAAATGGCGGTTGCCAAGGACTGTGGGGGAAAGGGAATCGGAATTTATTGGTTAAGAGGTACAAATTTTCGTAAAAGAGTTCAGGGATGGATGGTGGTGATGGTTGCATAGGAATATGAATGTATTTAGTGTAATTTAACTGTACACTTAAAAATAGTTAACTTGGTAATTTGTATGTAAAGTTTACCATAATAAAAACAGGAAGATACATCATTTCTTTTAATTTCAATCTTAGATTCAGAGTAAAAACTAAAGTCAAAGGTATTGAGTTCTTTTTTTTTTCTTTTTTTTCTTTTTTTTTTTTTTTTGAAACAGAGTCTTGCTCTGTCACCGAGGCTGAAGTACAGTGGAGCAATCTTGGCTCACTGCAGCCTCTGCTTCCTGGGTTCAGGTGATTCTCCTGCCTCAGCCTCCTGAGTAGGTGGGACTACAGGCGCATGCCACCATGCCCAGATAATTTTTGTATTTTTACTAGAGACGGGGTTTCACCATGTTGGCCAAGCTGGTCTCAAACTCCTGACCTAAAGTCAGGTTGCCTCAGCCTCCCAAAGTACTGGGATTACAGGCGTGAGCCACAGCATCCGGCCTTAATTGAGTTATTTCTGACATCCATGGACACAACATGGCTTAAATGGATTCTTAGAAGCTAGAAATCACTTTACCAACTTACCAGGCAAGTCAATAAGGAAAATAATAACATTTAACAAACATCAAAAAAACAAAGCGTCAAAATAAAGTGCCTCAAATAGAAGTTTAAATCTTATATTGGTTACAAAATGACTCTAGCTTTGTTTCTAGTGACATTAGGATATTTCCAGTCATGTTCTCTTGCTGGTTAATTCCCATTTCAAGGTTGCGTTGTCTCTCTTCCAACACAGTCTGTCACTATCAGCTTTTCCTTACCCAGAAATCTCTCTAGACATTATTGCCCATTCCAATCACCTACAATCCCCCTTTTCTTCCCTAAGGAGAGAGATTTCTTCTTTCAAGCCATATGTGTGAGTGCTATTTTTAAGAAAAATATAAAACTGTTGCTATTTCCTTAAAAAAAAAAAAACTCTTAGAAGAAACAGAAAAAGATTTACAGAGACTGGTAACTAAGCAACTGAAGTAAAAATCTAAATCATGTCATCTTGTTAGTGAGATTTGAGAACACACTGAGCATCCCCTACTGCCTCACTAAAGGTCATCATTGCTACGCAGCGACATATCTTCTAATGAAGTCTTCATTACACAGTCATTTGGGCACTTGTCAGCCATCCTGAATTCTTTGATAAACCAATAGTTCAAAGTGTGAAATTTGTTGTGATATTAACTGGTACAAAGTAGACTTTAGAGAGAAAATATAATGTCAATATCAAAGTAGGTCCCCCAAGTTTTAACTCTGGGCAATTCAGAAATGGTAATGAAAAGCAACAGACTCCTGTGCTTTGCATGACAGAGAATAGTCTCACAAATTATAGGTATTCAACCAGTATTTAGGCAATATGTAAACATATTAACATGCAGTGACTATCTGTTATCCACCAGGTACTGTGATTTGTGTGTTAATATATACTATTTTATGTAATTCTCAGGTCAGTTCTGTATTATTACTCCAATTTTATATATAAGAAAGAAAACTGCTCAGTGAGGGATGAAGCTGATATTAAGCTCATGTCTGTTTGATTAAAAGGATAATGCTGTTTCTACTGCTATACATTAGTTCATTCATCAAATATTTATTGACATTCCTCTTGGTGTAATAGTTCTTAGTATAGCTATTTGAAATACAGTATTGCTTATCAAGAAGCCTCTCTCTTGTTGTATAGCTACATTGAAAACTCTAACAATTATAATACAGGGAACTATGTGATAAATTTGACGGGAGTTTTACAACCTAAATGCAAGAAGTACAAAAGAAAGGCTCCACATCTCTGTGATTTGTCTCATGTGACAAAGTTCAGCATTATACAGACTCTATAAGATTGTCAGCCCTAGGTTGAAGGATTTGTGAGGATGAACATTAGGCCAGCCAAGTGGTTATACATCATCTCTCTTCCAACATGCACCAGAACATTATTTAGATGCTGTCACCTCAGCAGCCACTCGATCCTCCTCTTTAGCTCATATTTGTTAAGTGAATGACTTAAACAAAGCCTTTATTTTTTTTTTTGAATGGCAAGATGAGAATGGGCATTGGTAATGCTCATTGTCATTTGGTAGTGAAAATGCTACTCCTATATATGAGTTTCTCTAAGTGAGTTCCTCAGAAGAGGAAACTGATTTTCTCAACTTTCGAGAAACAAAACAATGGAGTGGTAGATACTGATTGGAATAGGATCATTATTACTGACAGCTCCAAATTAGAGCTCAGTGTAAGAACCTAATGGACCTGCTAATTGAACTTCAGAAGTAGCACCATATACCCAGCCAGTTTCAGAACACTTAATCTAGGTAGGCTAGTTGTCAACTTGTTCCAAAAGAGAGGTTGATCTGAGTCCAGCAAAATAGACCTATCTGCTCATTTACCAACGAGATGTCATACCACCTACATACACTGAGCAAGAGTAAGATAAGTGAAAGAAGACTGTAAGCACAATTTCAGGAGTGGAAAATAATTATTCCTCTCTAAAAACATATGGAATAAATTGGTATAGATAAAAGTCTGTAGGCCAGAATGGCATTTAGGAGGACATTGGGAAAACCTATGTGAAAACTAATAAAAATTACCTGACCAATAATAAAAGCTAACATTCCTTGTGTCCTGCCAAGTACTTCATATCACTTAATTTGTTTGATTTTTCAGCTAGCCTATTAAACTTTATTATTCAAATTGTTTATATTAAGTGATTTATGCATCTAAAAAGTAGTGCAAATAGCACCTGAGACCAGATAGTCAACCCCCAAACTCTTCCTCTGAAGAGCTATACCCCACTGCATCTGAAGTAGGGGATGTGACATCTCAGGAATAAATGTAACTAAGGATGTCTCTAAAGTGAAGGTAGAAATAAACCAAAGATAAATCAGAGGTTTCAAGCCTTGATGTATAAAATTACTATTTTGCCATCAAGAAAATCAATATGTTAAAAAAAGGTTTAGGGGAAAGGAAGATAAGTCTTGTTTAAGTTATCTTTTATTTGAACTCTTCAAAAGACATGTAGGACAATGTTCGTTGCAAATGTGAAACTAGAGATTGAGATTTAGAGTCGGGTTCAAAGTTATGGATTCTGGAGTGAAAAGAAAGTCAATCAGCGTTCATTATGTATTGCTTCATTGATCAGAATTATGGATACATCTCAGGATCATTTAGAGTTCAGAAGCAATGGGAAGCATCGGAGTAGAAGGGATCTGTGTAAAAGAGGGGAAAAAAAAACTTGGCACAGGGGAGTAGAAAATGGCCAACTTATAAGGGTGGGAGGAAAAAGAAGTACCTAAGAAGAAGCTAGTAAAGTAAAAATCTGAGAGATATAAGATCCAGGAAAGTTTATGACAGAGCAGCCCAGGGAATAAATATTTTTGAATAAAAATATTAGTGTTAACATATCTTATTGAATTGTTGAAAGGAATGGAAAAGAAAATTTGATTTAGTGATTGTGATTGTCAGGCTCTGGATGAATTTTATAAGAGGCTTACAACCTCAGAAAAAGGAAAAGAAGTCTTGGAAAAAGGAAAAGAGTTTGAACTTGAAATTTGGATGTTTGAGGCACATATGCAATTAATTAGCCTTCTGAAATGTTTGACAATAAAATAATAATGTGATAATAGACAGCAGCTAAGAATATATCACTAGCCAGATAGTTTTTTCTTAAAGGGATATAAGTCCATTATTGTAAGACAGAAAAGAGCCAGAATAAGAGAAGAAAGAGAAAAAAACACCACCAGATGAAACAAGTTTCCAAACAGATGTAAAAGTGTAGAAAGAAGGGCACCAACAAGAAGAAAATCAGTTTCCTGTGATTCCCCTGTAGATTTCGTCTCAGTCTCAATTCTCATAATTCTTTTCTTCTAAGGGGTCCTTGGGCTTCAACTTACATTTTAATCCTTTTATTTGAGCTGAAGCCCCCAATTTCTCAATTGGTCTAATTTTATTTAAGATTCGTAGTAAGTTTATAGTAAATATTCTTAGGCACACCTCCTTTTCCTAACAGCAACCACATAGAATGATGCACTGAAGCAAGCTTAAAAAGCAGGCATGTGTGGCTTCAAATCAAAACTGATACTCAGCAGACCTCTGATACTAAAGCCTTTTAGCCTCGACTTCACCATCTGTAAAGTGAATATAAATATGGTAGTTCTATAGGATTGTGAGAAATAAGGTAATACTGAGTAAAGCATTTGACAACAAATAGCTATCTAAGGAATACCAGCCCTCCTCTTCTACTTAAGAATTTTTGTACAATTCAGTATGATAAAATATGGAAAGATGATTCTTTGGCAGTGAGAATTTAATAGCAGGAGTTAGAGAAGGAAAAGAAAAGATGAAAATGCATGCTCAATTTCCTGTGACTCAATAAAGGTGATAGTAAGGTTGTCAGGTGAAGATGAGGGCAGAAAGGGTGAATTGAAAAATTTACCAGGCAGAAACACTATAGAAGAACCACTTGAAGAAATCTCTTTGTGTTTGTGCATGTGTATGTTTGTGTGTTTTATATTCTAGCAAATAACACAACTTTGTGGCAAAATCCTAAATAAACATAAAATAGCTTAGTAGAAATATGCCAGGCCTTGGTGTTAGACGTTTGTTTTTTTCTAAGTCTCATTCATTCCCATGTTCAGCAAATTATTTTTTGAGTTTCACATAATTATCAGGCACTGTGCTAAGCAGTAGAGATATGGAGGTAAAGTATACTCTACCCTACTCTCAGTGATCTTACATCCCAGAAGAAATAGACATCTTTAAGCAAGTAATTAATGGGTTATAAAAAACTTCTGAGGGGTTTCCGTTTCACTACATTGAACAGGAATCAAATATTCAAGAAGGCAAGTGCCTGTGAGTGAAAATGAAATAAAAAGATTCACAAATGAAGGAAAACTGGGAGAATTGTTTTTCAGGATATATGATCTATAAAAAATAATGAAAGTTATTCAGGCTGAAGAGAAATAACACTGAAGGGAAACCTGTATCTTCAAGAAGAAAGAGAAACAGGATAAGTATCGGTGTAAACATAAAGTATATTTCTTAAGTTATTTAATTTATGCATGACAGTTTAAAGCAAATGTTGATAGAGGTGTTGATGTATGTAGATGTAACCTATCTGAAAAACTAAATATAAATTACCATGGGATGATCAAAGGTTGCAAGTCTTCTACATCTTGAAGCGGTACGATCTTAACTTTAAGTAGATTGTGAAAGGCAATGCATAATACAGTTTTTTAGAGCATGAATAAAATAACACAGAGATTGAGCAAAAATGCCAGTAAATAAATTAAAATGAAATACTGAAAAATATCTACATATTTCAAAAAATTTTAATCAACCAGACAAAAAATATATATATATGAAGTATCTAGGCATGGAATTTATTGTGTTAAATACTGGAGTACACCAAAGACTTGGCTAGGTACAATCTCAGCCCTCAAGGGACTCATGATCCAGAAAAGAAGATAAGTATTTTAAACTAATAAATGTGCATATTAACTTCAGGAACATAGCTATTTCAGGCAGGTGAGGGAAGAAGGAATGAGATTGGAGAATTTATACTTACACACACACACACACACACACATATATATATTCACACACGTGCATTAATACATATATCTGTGATGTGTGTATCAGGGTCATTTTGAGTTAGATAATTCTTTGGTAGTTAATCATGCATTGTTTATTATTTAGTGTCATCCTTACATTCTTCTCATTAGTATATATAGACACATACATAAACATGTATATGTGCAGATAGATACGGACAGGTATAGTGATTACATGTAAATGATGTTTATTAGAACATAATGTTAATATTAAAATCAATATTAATACATATTAATATTTGTGTTCTTTTTATACTTTAAGTTTTAGGGTACATGTGCACAATGTGCAGCTTAGTTACATATGTATACTTGTGCCATGCTGGTGTGCTGCACCCACTAACTCGTCATCTACCATTAGGTATATCTCCCAATGCTATCCCTCCCCCCTCCTCTTCCCCACAACAGTCCCCAGAGTTGATGTTCCCCTTCCTGTGTCCATGTGTTCTCATGGTTCAATTCCCACCTATGAGTGAGAACATTCGGTGTTTGGTTTTTTGTCCTTGCGATAGTTTACTGAGAATGATGATTTCCAATTTCATCCATGTCCCTACAAAGGACATGAACTCATCATTTTTTATGGCTGCATAGTATTCCATGGTGTATATGTGCCACATTTTCTTAATCTAGTCTATCATTGTTGGACATTTGGGTTGGTTCCAAGTCTTTGCTATTGTGAATAATGCCGCAATAAACATACATGTGCATGTGTATTTATAGAAGCCTGATTTATAGTCCTTTGGGTATATACCCAGTAATGGGATGGCTGGGTCAAATGGTATTTCGAGTTCTAGATCCCTGAGGAATCACCACACTGACTTCCACAATGGGTGAACTAGTTTACATTCCCACCAACAGTGTAAAAGTGTTCCTATTTCTCCACATCCTCTGCAGCACCTGTTGTTTCCTGACTTTTTAATGATCGCCATTCTAACTGGTGTGAAATGGTATGTCATTGTGGTTTTGATTTGCATTTCTCTGATGGCCAGTGATGGTGAGCATTTTTTCATGTGTTTTTTGGCTGCATAAATGTCTTCTTCTGAGAAGTGTCTGTTCATGTCCTTTGCCCACTTTGTGATGGGGTTGTTTTTTTCTTGTAAATTTCTTTGAGTTCATTGTAGATTCTGGATATTAGCCCTTTGTCAGATGAGTAGGTTGCAAAAATTTTCTCCCATTTTGTACGTTGCTTGTTCACTCTGCTGGTAGTTTCTTTTGCTGTGCAGAAGCTCTTTAGTTTAATTAGATCCCATTTGTCAATTTTGGCTTTTGTTGCCATTGCTTTTGGTGTTTTAGACATGAAGTCCTTGCCCATGTCTATGTCCTGAATGGTAATGCCTAGGTTTTCTTCTAGGGTTTTTATGGTTTTAAGTCTAACGTTTAAGTCTTTAATCCATCTTGAATTGATTTTTGTATAAGGTGTAAGGAAGGGATCCAGTTTCAGCTTTCTACATATGGCTAGCCAGTTTTCCCAGCACCATTTATTAAATAGGGAATCCTTTCCCCATTGCTTGTTTTTCTCAGGTTTGTCAAAGATCAGATAGTTGTAGATATGTGGTGTTATTTCTGAGAGCTCTGTTCTGTTCCATTGATATATATCTCTGTTTTGGTACCAGTACCATGCTGTTTTGGTTACTATAGCCTTGTAGTATAGTTTGAAGTCAGGTAGTGTGATGCCTCCGGCTTTGTTCTTTTGGCTTAGGATTGACTTGGTGATGCGGGCTCTTTTTTGGTTCCATATGAACTTTAAAGTAGTTTTTTCCAGTTCTGTGAAGAAAGTCATTGGTAGCTTGATGGGGGTGGCTGAATCTGTAAATTACCTTGGGCAGTATGGCCATTTTCACGATATTGATTCTTCCTACCCATGAGCATGGAATGTTCTTCCATTTGTTTGTATCCTCTTTTATTTCATTGAGCAGTGGTTTGTAGTTCTCCTTGAAGAGGTCCTTGGCATCCCTTGGAAGTTGGATTCCTAGGTATTTTATTCTCTTTGAAGCAATTGTGAATGGGAGTTCACTCATGATTTGGCTCTCTGTTTGTCTGTTGTTGGTGTATAAGAATGCTTGTGATTTTTGTACATTGATTTTGTATCCTGAGACTTTGCTGAAGTTGCTTATCAGCTTAAGGAGATTTTGGGCTGAGACGATGGGGTTTTCTAGATATACAATCATGTCATCTGCAAACAGGAACAATTTGACTTCCTCTTTTCCTAATTGAATACCCTTTATTTCCTTCTCCTGCCTAATTGCCCTGGCCAGAACTTCCAACACTATGTTGAATAGGAGTGGTGAGAGAGGGCATCCCTTTCTTGTGCCAGTTTTCAAAGGGAATGCTTCCAGTTTTTGCCCAGTCGGTATGATACTGACTGTGGGTTTGTCATAGATAGCTCTTATTATTTTGAGATACATCCCATCAATACCTAATTTTTTGAGAGTTTTTAGCGTGAAGTGTTGTTGAATTTTGTCAAAGGCCTTTTCTTCATCTCTTGAGATAATCATGTGGTTTTTGTCTTTGGTTCCGTTTATATGCTGGATTACATTTATTGATTTGTGTATATTGAACCAGCCTTGCATCCCAGGGATGAAGCCCACTTGATCGTGGTGGATAAGCTTTTTGATGTGCTGCTGGATTCGGTTTGCCAGTATTTTATTGAGGATTTTTGCATCAATGTTCATCAAGGATATTGGTCTAAAATTATCTTTTTTGGTTGTGTCTCTGCCAGGCTTTGGTATCAGGATGATGCTGGCCTCATAAAATGAGTTAGGGAGGATTCCCTCTTTTTCTATTGATTGGAATAGTTTCAGAAGGAATGGTACCAGTTCCTCCTTGTACCTCTGGTAGAATTCGGCTGTGAATCCATCTGGTCCTGGACTATTTTTGGTTGGTAAGCTATTGATTATTGCCACAATTTCAGCTCCTGTTATTGGTCTGTTCAGAGATTCAACTTCTTCCTGGTTTAGTCTTGGGAGAGTGTATGTGTCGAGGAATTTATCCATTTCTTCTAGATTTGCTAGTTTATTTGCGTAGAGGTGTTTGTAGTATTCTCTGATGGTAGTTTGTATTTCTGTAGGATTGGTGGTGATATCCCCTTTGTCATTTTTTATTACGTCTATTTGATTCTTCTCTCTTTTTTCTTTATTAGTCTTGCTAGTGGTTTATCAATTTTGTTGATCCTTTCAAAAAACCAGCTCCTGGATTCGTTAATTTTTTGAAGGGTTTTTTGTGTCTCTATTTCCTTCAGTTCTGCTCTGATTTTAGTTATTTCTTGCCTTCTGCTAGCTTTTGAATGTGTTTGCTCTTGCTTTTCTAGTTCTTTTAATTGTGATGTTAGGGTGTCAATTTTGGATTTTTCCTGCTTTCTCTTTTTGGCATTTAGTGCTATAAATTTCCCTCTACACACTGCTTTGAATGCGTCCCAGAGATTCTGGTATGTTATGTCTTTGTTCTCGTTGGTTTCAAAGAACATCTTTATTTCTGCCTTCATTTCATTATGTACCCAGTAGTCATTCAGGAGCAGGTTGTTCAGTTTCCATGTAGTTGAGAGGTTTTGAGTGAGATTCTTAATCCTGAGTTCTAGTTTGATTGCACTGTGGTCTGAGAGATAGTTTGTTATAATTTCTGTTCTTTTACATTTGCTGAGGAGAGCTTTACTTCCAACTATGTGGTCAATTTTGGAATAGGTGTGGTGTGGTGCTGAAAAAAATGTATATTCTGTTGATTTGAGGTGGAGAGTTCTGTAGATGTCTATTAGGTCCGCTTGGTGCAGAGCTGAGTTCAATTCCTGGGTATCCTTGTTGACTTTCTGTCTCGTTGATCTGTCTAATGTTGACAGTGGGGTGTTAAAGTCTCCCATTATTATTGTGTGGGAGTCTAACTCTCTTTGTAGGTCACTGAGGACTTGCTTTATGAATCTTGATGCTCCTGTGTTGGGTGCATATATATTTAGGATAGTTAGCTCTTCTTGTTGAATTGATCCCTTTACCATTAGGTAATGGCCTTCTTTGTCTCTTTTCATCTTTGTTGGTTTAAAGTCTGTTTTATCAGAGACTAGGATTGGAACCCCTGCCTTTTTTTGTTTTCCATTTGCTTGGTAGATCTTCCTCCATCCTTTTATTTTGAGCCTATGTGTGTCTCTGCACATGAGATGGGTTTCCTGAATACAGCACACTGATGGGTCTTGACTCTTTATCCAATTTGCCAGTCTGTGTCTTTTAATTGGAGCATTTAGTCCATTTACATTTAAAGTTAATATTGTTATGTGTGAATTTGATGCTGTCGTTATAATGTTAGCTGGTTATTTTGCTAGTTAGTTGATTCAGTTTCTTCCTAGTCTCGATGGTCTTTACATTTTGGTATGATTTTGCAGCGGCTGGTACCAGTTGTTCCTTTCCATGTTTAGTGCTTCCTTCAGGAGCTCTTTTAGGGCAGGCCTGGTGGTGACAAAATCTCTCAGCATTTGCTTGTCTGTAAAGGATTTTATTTCTCCTCCACTTCTGAAGCTTAGTTTGGCTGGATATGAAATTCTGGGTTGAAAATTCTTTTCTTTAAGAATGTTGAATATTGACCCCCACTCTCTTCTGGCTTGTAGAGTTTCTGCTGAGAGATCTGCTGTTAGTCTGATGGGCTTCCCTTTGAGGGTAACCCGACCTTTCTCTCTGGCTGCCCTTAACATTTTTTCCTTCATTTCAACTTCGGTGAATCTGACAATTATGTGTCTTGGAGTTGCTCTTCTCGAGGAGTATCTTTGTGGCGTTCTCTGTATTTCCTGAATCTGAATGTTGGCCTGCCTTGCTAGATTGGGGAAGTTCTCGTGGATAATATCCTGCAGAGTATTTTCCAACTTGGTTCCATTCTCCTTGCCACTTTCAGGTACACCAATGAGACGTAGATTTGGTCTTTTCACATAGTCCCATATTTCTTGGAGGCTTTGTTCGTTTCTTTTTATTCTTTTTTCTCTAAACTCCCCTTCTCGCTTCATTTCATTCATTTCATCTTCCATCGCTGATACCCTTTCTTCCAGTTGATCACATCGGCTCCTGAGGCTTCTGCATTCTTCATGTAGTTCTCGAGCCTTGGTTTTCAGCTCCATCAACTCCGTTAAGCACTTCTCTGTATTGGTTATTCTAGTTAAACAGTCTTCTAAATTTTTTTCAAAGTTATCAGCTTCTTTGCCTTTGGTTTGAATTTCCTCCTGTAGCTCGGAGTAATTTGATTGTCTGAAGCCTTCTTCTCTCAACTCGTCAAAGTCATTCTCCGTCCAGCTTTGTTCCGTTGCTGGTGAGGAACTCTGTTCCTTTGGAGGAGGAGAGGCGCTCTGCTTTTTAGAGTTTCCAGTTTTCCTGCTCTATTTTTTCCCCATCTTTGTGGTTTTATCTACTTTTGGTCTTTGATGATGGTGATGTACAGATGTGTTTTTGGTGTGGATGTCCTTTCTGTTTGTTAGTTTTCCTTCTAAGAGACAGGACCCTCAGATGCAGGTCTGTTGGAGTACCCAGCCGTGTAAGGCATCAGTCTGCCCCTGATGGGGGGTGCCTCCCAGTTAGGCTGCTCAGGGGTCAGGGATCAGGGACCCACTTGAGGAGGCAGTCTGCCCATTCTCAGATCTCCAGCTGCGTGCTGGGAGAACCACTGCTGTCTTCACAGCTGTCACACAGGGACATTTAAGTCTGCAGAGGTTACTGCTGTCTTTTTGTTTGTCTCTGCCCTGCCCCTAGAGGTGGAGCCTACAGAGGCAGGCAGGCCTCCTTGAGCTGTGGTGGGCTCCACCCAGTTCGAGATTCCTGGCTGCTTTGTTTACCTAAGCAAGCCTAGGCAATGGCGGGCGCCCCTCCCCCAGCCTCACTGCCACCTTGCAGTTTGATCTCAGACTGCTGTGCTAGCAATCAGTGAGACTCCGTGGGCGTAGGGCCCTCCAAGCCATGTGCGGGATATAATCTCCTGGTGGGCCGTTTTTTAAGCCTGTGGGAAAAGCGCAGTATTCGGGTGGGAGTGGACCTGATTTTCCCGGTGCTGTCTGTCACCACTTTCTTTGACTAGGAAAGTGAACTCCCTGACCCCTTGAGCTTCCCAAGTGAGGCAATGTCTAGCCCTGCTTCGGCTCACGCACGCTACACGCACCCACTGACCTGCACCCACTGTCTGGTACTCCCTAGTGAGATGAACACGGTACCTCAGATGGAAGTGCAGAAATCACCCGTCTTCTGCGTCACTCACGCTGGGAGCTGTAGACCAGAGCTGTTCCTATTCGGCCATCTTGGCTCCTCCCAATATTTGTTCAATATAGTCAATGAGATCTGGTACATATAATATTTTCTCTACTTTAAAAAATTTATAATATATTTAAATATTACAAATAATTAATGAAAATATGCAAAGGATAATCAATTCTACAATGGAAAATGTAGAATTAATGTACTTGAAATTATTTGGGGGCCAACAAAAGGCTAGGTCAGATTTTTAAGTTGACTGAGAATTAGATGGACAAATAGACTGTAAAAACTGTGTTTTAATTAGTTTGTAGTAGGCTGTAGTGTAAGTGCTCTAAATTTGTTCCACTTTTTCAAGTTTGCCTCGAAAATTTTTGATCTCTTGCTTTCCATTTTGCATTTTGGAATTGATTTGTTAATTTTCAATAATTTTCTGCTGGGATGCTGACTGATATGCGTTAAATCTATAGATCGTTTTGAGGAGAGTTGTACCATAACAGTATTGAGTTGTGCCATCTATGAACATGATATTTTGATGTTCTTTACTTTTTCTTAATGATTTTAGTTTAAGAACACTAAAAGTTAGATAGAAGATTTGTACAACTTTTATTAAATTTATTCCTTTGAGCCATTTGATGTTTTTGTAATGGTACTTTTTCTGAAATTCATTTCTTAATTCTTTCTTCCTGATAGAAACATAATTAATTTAATAATAAGTTGTATGTAGTAAACTTTCTACACTTCACTCATTAGACACTCTGAATGATTTTCTGTTTCTTTAAAGAGCAATGATTCTTTTATAAGGCAGTTATGAATTTGGAAGTACTAGTTTGGAAATGTGCCTTTTCTTATGCATGCAAGTGGTTGTACTTCGGATTTTTCAATATTGAATTTCATTTTGTCAGTATAACAGCAACATGCTGGACTATTGATTATATGATATGTCTACATGTTAGTAAATTAACACTTAAAGGAAATATTATCTGGAAGCCCATATTTATGGAAATAGTAGATTAGGATAATTATCCTGATAGCAGCACTTGAAACTTCACTGTGTGCATGGTAAAAACAACTTCTACATAACTAAATTTCAAGAGATGCTAGATCATCACTGGGACTCCAAATTTAGGGATTAGATAAATAAACCAATGGATTCTAAAATAACAGATAAACACTTGCTAGAGATTGCTAAGAGCTTATGGCTTGAACTGAAGTGTTTTTAGTGAGCCTTTACATTTAAAGAATGGAATAAGTAAGATATTATAATGAAATTACTCTAGCCTCCCAGCTCTCTCAGATCACCTGGTTCTTTCCAAACTTCCTTCTAAAATTAGCCCCTTCTTTGTGCTTGAGTAACTACTTAGCCAAGAAACATCACCTCCTTAGTTACCTTTAGGCAACAAATAATAAGAAGAAGAAGGTGAGGAAGAAAGTTGTTGGTCCCTTCAATCCATAAGAATTGTCTGGTTTTATGCCTAGCTTTTAAGTCTTTAATTCATCTTGAATTAATTTTTGTATAAGGTGTAGGAAGGGATCCAAACCCAAGAAGAAAACCTAGGCAATACCATTCAGGACATAGGCATGTGCAAGGACTTCGTGTCTAAAACACCAAAAGCAATGGCAACAAAAGCCAAAATAGACAAATGAGATCTAATTAAACTAAAGAGCTTCTGCACAGCAAAAGAAACTACCAGCAGAGTGAACAGGCAACTTACAGAATGGGAGAAAATTTTTGCAATCTACTCATCTGACAAAGGGCTAATATCCAGAATCTACAATGAACTCAAACAAATTTACAAGAGAAAAACAACCCCATCAACAAGTGGGTGAAGGATATGTACACACACTTCTCAAAAGAAGACATTTATGCAGCCAACAGACACATGAAAAAAGTGCTCATCATCACTGGCCATCAGAGAAATGCAAATCAAAACCTCAATGAGATACCATCTCATACCAGTTAGAATGGCAATCATTAAAAAGTCAGGAAACAACAGGTGCTGGAGAGGATGTGGAGAAATAGGAACACTTTTACACTGTTGGTGGGACTGTAAACTAGTTCGACCATTGTGGAAGTCAGTGTGGCAATTCCTCAGGGATCTAGAACTAGAAATACCATTTGACCCAGCCATCCCATTACTGGGTATATACCCAAAGGATTATAAATCATGCTGCTATAAAGACACATGCACACGTATGTTTACTGCAGCACTATTCGCAATAGCAAAGACTTGGAACCAACCCAAATGTCCAACAATGATAGACTGGATTAAGAAAATGTGGCACATATATACCATGGAATACTATGCAGCCATAAAAAATGATGAGTTCATGTCCTTTGTAGGGACATGGATGAAGCTGGAAACCATCATTCTCAGCAAGCTATCATGAAGACAAAAAACCAAACACCGCATGTTCTCACTCATAGGTGGGAATTGAACAATAAGAACACCTGGACACAGGGTGGGGAACATCACACACTGGGGCCTGTTGTGGGGTGGGGGGAGGGGGGAGGGATAGCATTAGGAGATATACCTAATGTTAAATTACAAGTTAATGGGTGCAGCACACCAACATGGCACATGTATACATATGTAACAAACCTGCACTTTGTGCACATGTACCCTAAAACTTAAAGTATAATAAAAAATTTGTCTGTAGTCTCAATTTGATATTTTACATATCTAGTCTTCAGAAATAATTTAATGTTAAAGCTTCTCTTTCAGCCAGCTCAGGCCCACTGAAGGTGGAAAGCCTGCTGAGAATAGGGGACAAAATTTGGCTTTTTCATTAGTTTCTCTGCTTGCTTCAGCTTCCTAACTAAGCTTCAATTCTTGATTACTCCACTGTTGAAATGGGAAGGGAGAATAAAAGAGAGCACAAACCGTTTTACTTGGTCCACTTTGAAATGTGTCTGTCATAACTTCTTGAGGCACGTGTTTAGAGTTGAGTCGGTTTCATGTGGAATAATAGTATAAATTCTCTGAAGATCTCCACTATCTCTGGGGATTCTCTAATGTGGAAATTCTTTGGTTGCTCACTCAAGTCTCACTCTTTAATCCTCCACAGTTTTATCTCCACCAGAATCTCTCCCTTGGGGTCCCATTGCTCACAATGTCTTATATCTCTCTCTCTCTCCTTTTTTTTTTTTTTTTTTTGAGATGGATCTCACTGTTGCCCAACCTGGAGTGCAATGGCATGATCTCGGTTCACTGCAACCTCTGCCTCCTGGGCTCAAGCAATTCTCCTGCCTCAGCCTCCCAAGTAACTGGGATTACAGGCATGTGCCACCACGCCTGACTAATTTTTGTATTTTTAGTAGAGACAGGGTTTCACCATGTTAGCCAAGTTGGCCTCAAACTCCTGACCTCAAGTGATCTGCCCACCTTGGCCTCCCAAAGTGCTGGGATTACAGGCCTGAGCCACTGCATCTGGCCTCTCTCTGTCTTTTATACAATCTTAATTCCTCCATCTTTGCTTCACTGGAAACTTGCCTTTTTCTTCTGCCACAGGTTCAAGTGAATTCTTTTCCAATTGGCAGACCTCGCCTTTGCTGGCACAGAATTGTGGCCAGCCTCTTTCTCTTATTGCTTAGAAGTGAGTCTGACCTCCTGGGGCTCAAAACTCCAACACACGCTATCCAGATCTCCAGGTAGATCTCTGAAGTCTCTTTTTCTACACTGAGGTAAGAGAAGCAATCTTCATTCAAAAAAAAAAAAAATCCCACTGATTTTCTGTATTTTCTGTCATTGTAAATGGTACAAACAACCAAATAAACAATACAAGAACATATTAAGATTAGAAAGGCAAAATTATTTTTCCCAGTTCTTTATTATAACTTATACTTAAATTTTTAATTTTCATCAAGAAGTTGAGAGAAGTGCAGTGTGAAACTAAGGGAATAATGGAGAAGAAAATGGGATGAGATAGAAGAGAAAAAATTGAAGAGAAGTGGTTGAGGAAAAGATAGATATAGAAAAGGACAGAAAATATAAGAAACATGGTTAAAAAAGATTTTACTGACCTGGGGGTTTCAAATTGATCAGTTAGATAGATATAGTTACTATTTGTTCTATGAAATTTTCACTTCTTCTGCTCATTTAAAATTAACCTGCCTTCTCACCTAAGCCTAAACAGAAATTAATTGTCTCCATGGAAACCATCCGAATGTAGCAAATCATGGAAGCATTAAAGTATACCTCAAAGAACACACATGCACACACGTTTGTGAGAAATGAAAATCTTTTTTAAATTTTAACTTACAGCTATGATTTGTCGTTGGAAATGAATTCTCATAAATATTTTAGATGAAACATCATTGATTATTTTACAATTTATTTGGTGTTTTTCTAATACTCAATAAATTAAATAAGACTCTTCAATAGGCTTAAAAGGGGAGTATTTTACAAATATATACCATAAAGAAGTATAGTATTGAGTAAGCTATTGTCTAAGAATGAACTTGTTAAAAAATCTCGAAAGTGATTTAGTTTCTCAGTGAGCAGACAAATGAATAAAATAAAAATATGCCTGAAAATATTTTCTGTCATTCTGAGACTCACCTTTTACTCTGTGAGTGGTATCTTTTATGAATGGGAGTTACTGATTTTCATGTAGTCTGAAGTACTATTTTAGCTCCATTGTGTTTGTTTCACACAATATTACGTGATTTAAATACAATGGATTTAAAATGAACTTTGATATCTGGCTATGCCTTTAATCAATATTCCTAGTTCTTCTTAAGAAATTAACGGGCTATTTTTCCTCTTTATTCCTCCATGTTAATTTTTGGATTCGAGTTAATACAAAGGATCACACTGTCACATCAGACTCACATGAATCAGAAACCTTACCTAGTATCAAATTTTATAAGAAATTTCAAGACTATAAATAATCTCAAAGCACAGGTCAAGCAGGGAGAAATCGAGAACCTACCAGGTTCCCTCTGTCAGCATCAAAATGCTCTCTGGGCCCAGATAAACATAATAAATCTCTAAGCAAGATGTGAAGCTATGAAATATCTCCATATTATGCTCAGTTCCTTAAACAGTTTACGTAGAGTCATGCCCTATTGGTCTAAAACATAGTTTTTGTTTGTTTGGTTTTGGTTTTGGTTTTTTCACCAAAAGAAATCCCAGATAACCAGGTATATCCTGAAAACATAATTGCATAAAGTGTTCCTCACCAGCGAGTGCCATTGCCTTATTTGTATGTAGGTTTTCACTAGAACATTTATAAGGATATTAGACGTAGTCATTTCCTTTCTTTACCAGCATCATCCTCAAGTGAAAAAAGACTGAATTACAGACCTGCTGCTTAGCAATTTACCTCCAAAGACTATCTTGCCTCGTTCCATAAACAATTGTTATGGTAAAGTGATTAAAATATAGTTTATTCATAGGTTATTTTGGATTAAATCCAAATTTATTCATTAACCTATGAATTCATTTATTCATTCATAGATTAATATCGATTAAATCATCTTTAGGATATTGAGTCTTTCTATACTGACACATATCTGAATCTATTTGAGAACCATTATCTGTCTCTAAGTATTCTAATTATTTTTTCTATAAGATTCTGTAATATCTTATGAATAATATATTTCTAAATATGTGTACATCATTGTTAATATTAATTCTTTCTCACTTTCTATTAGATGTTATAGGTGTTTATATATTACATATATTTTATATCCAATGACTATAATAAAATTCATTATAATTAGAATAGTTTATCTGAAGACATTATACAATAATAGCAATATATTTTGCAATTTATGAGATTCTAATTGAAACTCATTTATTTGTCTTGCCCTATTATATTGGCTAGTATCTCTAGTACAATGTTGAAGAGACAGTAATATAGCAGTTACCATTGATTGTTCCTATTTTTCATTATAAATACTTAAAATAGTAGAATAACATTGTACTATCAATGACTGTTACCATTCCCTAGTCTGTTAAAATGTTTAATTAGCTCAAAAACAAGAGTTAAATTTTGTTAAACACGTTCTACATCTGATTATGTGATAATGTGAACTTCCCCTTTAATCAATGAACATGTTGAGTTGTATTTTTGATAGATCTTTTTTAAATAATATGCTATTATTTTATTATTTAACAAATCCAAAGTACTAGATTTAGTCTGCTAGAATTATTTGTGTGTTTGATTGGCCTTTAATATACCTTTCTGTCTTCTTATCTGAATTTACATGAAGACTATGCTTGTCCTTTTTAATTGCTGGGTGTTCCCCTTTTTTACAATTCCTGTTACATTTGGTATAATATATAATTCATCTTTACTTGGAAAGTTTATTCAAACTTTTTCTTACAAATGTCGGGTTATGTTATTTTTGTTTCTTAAAAAACTTTTTTTTTCAATAGTTACATACATGTGTACTAAAAAAGAATTTCATCTAGCCAGTAATTTCTCTTCTTTATAGACCGTAACTATTTTAAGAATCTTTTACATCCTCATATCGCCATATTACATATGTTGTATGTATCATATTACATGTTGTATGTAAAAAAAGTTTATTATTTTTAAACATTTGTTTTATTCTATTTTAGGAGGTTATTCACACTTTAAATAATAAAAATATTTCTCCTCTGAAATCAGTTAAATTGCAGGATACAAAATTAACATGCAAATATTACTGATATTTCTGTAATAAAGCATTTCTGTAGGCCAACAATGAACAATCTGAAAAAGAAATCAAGAAAGTAATCTTGTTTACAAGAGTTACAAATAAAACAAATTACTGAGGGATAAACTTAACCAAAGAAGTGGAAGACCTTTGCTATGAAAATGCTAAAACACTGATGCAAGAAACTGAAGAGGACACCAAAATGGAAAGTCATTTCATGTTCATGGATTGGAAGAATCAATATTGTTAAAATGTCTATACTACCCAAAGCAATCTACAAATTAAATGCAGTTCCTATCAAAATACTGATAAGATTCTTCAGAAAGTAGAAAAAATAATAAAAATTTAAGTGGAATCACAAAGACCATGAATAGCTAAAGCCATCCTGAACAAAACAAACAGAACAGGAAGAAGCACATTATCTGACTAAACTACAAAGCTATAGTAACCAAAATAGCATGGTACTGGCATAAAAACAGACACAAAGACCAATGGAACAGAATAGTGAACCCAGAAATAAATTCATACATCTGTAGTTATCTCATCTTTGACAAAACTGCCAAAAGCATACATTGGGGAATGGACAGTATCTTCAGTAAACATTGCTGGGGCAACTGGATATCATATGCAAAAGAATGAAAATAGATGCCTATCTCAAAACTGCCAAAAGCATACATTGGGGAATGGACAGTATCTTCAGTAAACATTGCTGGGGAAACTGGATATCATATGCAAAAGAATGAAAATAGATGCCTATCTCTCACCACATACAAAAAAATGAGATCTAAATAGATTGAAGAAAAATTGAAAACCTCAAACTAGGAAACTACTAAAAGAAAACATTGGGGAATCTCTCCAGGACATTGCTCTGGGGAGACTTCTTGAGTAATACCCCACAAGCACAGGCACTTAAAGCAAAAATGGGATGACATCAATATAAAAAGCTATTGAATAGCAAAGAAAACAATCAATAAAATAAAAAAGACTTCTCAGTGAATGAAATAATATTTGCAGATTATCCATCTGAGAAGGGATTAATAACAAGACTAAGGAACTCAAAAAGCTCAATAGAAAACCAGAGTAATCTGATCTAAAAATTCAGAAAAATCTGAATAGATATTTCTCAAAAGAAACATATAAATTGCAAATACGATATGAAAAAGTGCTCAACATCTCTATCATCAGAGAAATGCACATCAAAACCATAATAAGATATCATCTCATCTCAGTTAAAAAAGCTTTTATACCAAAGACAAGCAATAACAAATGCTGGAAATGTTGTTGAGAAAAGGAAACCCTAGTACACTGTTCATGGGAATGTAATCTAGTACAAACACTATGGAGAACAATATGAATGTTCCTCAGAAAACTGAAAACAGAACTATCATATGATCCAGCAATCCCACTCCTGGCTATATACCCAAAGGAAAGGAAACCAGTATATCAAAGAGATATCTACACTCCCATGTTTATTGCAGCACGATTCACAATATCCAAGATTTGTAAGCAATCTAAGTGTCCACCAACAAAAGAATGGATAAAGAAAATGTACATATGCACAATGAAGTACTGTCTAATAATAATATCTTAGGGTACAGTGGAGTACTATTCAGTCGTGAAAAATAATGAGATTTTGTTACAAATATGCTATACATTTATTATACATAAAATTCCACATTAACATGTAATTATATTTATCCAGCCATCTTTCTATATTTTCTATCATTTGTGAAATTTTTTGCTTCCATTGGAAATCACTCAAATCATCTGAAAATTGTGGTAATGTTAACTACTCTTTCTCAGTACTTATACTGGATATTTTGTCCATCTACTCCTGGCTATTTTTTCTCTTATTTATGTCTTTTTCTTTTAATAGACCTCTGAAACATTTTTCTGTTTCTCATATTTTATTAGAAATTAATATTTTCCCAATAGCCACATGTGTTCCTCATGGTAAGGAAATATCTATATTATAAATTTTATTGGGGTATTCTATTAAAAGCAGATGTCATTTCAAATTTCTTCTTAGGACATACACAGATTTCTATGGAATTTTTGTTTTTCAATCCATTTATATGGTAGATTTTATTAATAGATTTCCTAATACTGCTCTATCCTTGAATTTCTGGAAGAAAGCTCAGAACCCTAGAATAAAGTAATGGTGTCTTGCCCTGTAATTATAGCACCGAATTATGCATTTTTTAAAATTGTTTTTTGGCTGGGTGTGGTGACTCACACCTGTAATCCCAGCACTTTGGGAGGCCAAGGTGGGCAGATCACCTGAGGTCAGCAGTTCAAGACCAGCCTGTCTAACATGGTGAAACCCTATCTCTATTAAAAATACAAAAATGAGCCAGGTGTTGTGGCATGTGCCTGTAATCCCAGTTACCCAGGAGGCTGAGGCAGGAGAATCACTGGAACCCAGGAGGTGGAGGCTGCAGTGAGCCAAGATTGTGCCACTGCACTCCAGCCTGGATGACAGAGCGAGACTCTATCTCAAAAACAAAAATAATAATAATAGTTTTTTATTTCCATAAGTTACTGGGGAACAGGGTGTGTTTGGTTACATGAATACATTCTTTAGTGGTGATTTGTGAGATTTTGGTGTACTCATCACCCCAGTAGTATACATTGCACCCAATTTGTACTCTTTTATCCCTCACCCACTTCCCACCATTTCTCGATGAGTCTCCATTGTGTCATTCTTATGCCTTTGCATCAAGATAGCTTAGCTCCCACTTACGTGTGAGAACATACAAAGTTTGGTTTTACATTCCTGAGTTACTTCACTTAGAATAATAGTCTCCAGTCTCATCCAGGTCACTGTGAATGCCATTAATTCATTCCTTTTTATGGCTGAGTAGTATTCCATATATATATCACAGTTTATATGTATATGTGTGTGTATCTATCTATCTATCTATCTATCTATCTATCTACCTATCTATCATCTATCAATATGTATGTATATCACAGTTTCTTTACTTGTTGATTGATGGGGATTTGGATTGGGTCCACATTTTTGCAGTTGCAAATTGTGCTGCCATAAACATGCATGTGCAAGTATCTTTTTCATATAATGAATTCTTTTCCTCTGGGTAGATACCAGTAGTGGGATTGCTGGATCAAATGGTAGTTCTATGGTTAGTGCTTTAAGGAGTCTCCACACTGTTTTCCATAGTGGTTGGACCAGTTTACATTTCCACCAGCAGTATAGAAATGTTCCCTTTCCACCACATCCATACCAACATCTATTATTTTTTGATGTTTTGATTATGGCCATGCTTGCCAGGAGTAAGGTTGTATCATATTGTTACTGTGATTTGAATTTCCCCGATCATTAGTGATTGAGTACTTTTTCATGTTTGTTGGCCATTTGTGTATCTTCTGTTGAGAATTGTCCTTTGGGTCCTTAGCCCACTTTTTGGTGGGATTGTTTGTTTATTTCTTGATAATTTGCTTGAGTTCATTGTAGATTCTGGATATTAGTCCTTTGACAAATGTATAGATTGTGAAGATTTTCCCCCACTCTGTGGGTTGTCTCTTTATTCTGCTGACTGTTCCCTTTGCCATGCAAGAGTGCTTTAGTTTAATCAAGTCCCAGCTATTTATCTTTGTTCCTATTGCATTTGCTTTTGGGTTCTTGGTCATGAAATCCTTGCCTAAGCCAATGTCTAGAATAGTTTTTCCAATGTTATCTTCTCGAATTTTTATAGGTTCAGGTATTAGATTTAAGTCCTTGATTCATCTTGAGTTGATTTTTGTATTGAGAGATGAGGATTCAGTTTCATTCTCCTACATGTGGCTTACCAATTATCCCAACACCATTTGTTGAATAGGGTGTCCATTCCCCACTTTATGTTTTTGTTTGCTTTGTTGAAGATCAGTTGGTTGTAAGTATTTTGGTCTATTCCTGGGTTCTGTATTGTGTTCCATTTATGTGCCTATTTTTGTACCAGTACCATGCTGTTTTGGCGACTAAGACATTAAAGTATAGTTTGAAATCAGATAATGTTATGCCACGAGATTTGTTCTTTTTGCTTAGTTGCTTTGACTTTGTGGGCTTTTTTTTTTTTCAGCTTCTATATGAATTTTAGGATTTTTAAAAATAATTTTGTGAAGAATGATGGTGTTATTTTGATGAGAATTGCATTGAATTTGTAGATTGCTTTTGGCAGTATGGTCATTTTCACAATATGGATTCTACTCATCCATGAGCATGGGATTTGTTTCCATTTGTTTGTGTTATCCATGATTTTTTTCAACAATGTTTTGTAGTTTTCTTTGTAGAGGTCTTTTACCTCTTTGGTTAGCTGTGCTCCCAACTATTTGATTTTTTTTTTCAGCTTTTTTAAAAGGGATTGAGTTCTTGATTTGATTCTCAGCTTGGTCGCTGTTGGTGTAAAAGAGAACTACTGATTTGTGTACATTAATTTTGTATGCAGAAATTTTGCTTAATTCTTTTACCAGTTCTAGGAGCTTTCTGAAGGAGTCTTTAGGGTTTTCTAGGTAAACAATCATATCATCAGCAAACAGCCACAGTTTGACTTCCTCTTTACAAATTTGGATGCCCTTCATTTCTTTCTCTTATTTGATTGTTCTGGCTAGGACTTCCAGTACTTTGTTGAAGAGGAGTGGTGAGAGTGGGCATCCTTGCCTTGTTCCAGTTTTCAGAGGGAATGCTTTTAACTTTCCCTATTTCATATTATGTTGGCTGTGGGTTTGTCATAGATGGATTTTATTACATTGAAGTATGTCCCTTGTATGCCAATTTTGCTGAGAGTTTTAAGCATAAAGTGATGGTGGATTTTGTCTAATGCTTTTTCTGCATCTATTGATATGATCATCTGTTTTTTTCAATTTTGTTTATGTGGTGTATCACATTTTATTGACTTGCATATGTTAAACCATCCCTGCATCACTGGCATGAAACCCACTTGATCATGGTGGATTATCTTTTTGATATGTTGTTGTATTTGGCTAGCTAGTATTTTGTTAAGGATTTTAGCATCTATGTTCATCAGAAATATTGGTCTGTAGTTTTCTTTTTTGGTTATGTCTTCTCTTGGTTTTGGTATTAGAGTAATCTTGGCTTCATAGAATGATTTAGGGAGGGTTCCCTCCTTCTCTGTCTGTGGAATAGTGTCAATAAGATTGGTACCAATTCTTTGAATGTCTGGTAGAATTCTGCTGTGAATTCATCTGGTTCTGGACTTTTCTTGGTTGGTATTTTTTTTATTACCATTTCAACCTTGCTGCTTGCTATTGGTCTGTTTAGGGTATCTAATTCTTCTTGATTTAAGTTAGGAAGGTTGTATCTTTTCAGGAATTTATCCATCTCTAGGTTTTCTGGTTTATGTGCAGAAAGAAGTTCATAGCAGCCAAAATAATCTTTTGTGTTTCTGTGGTGTCAATTGTAATATCTCCCATTTCATTTCTAATTGAGCATACTTGGATTTTCTGTTTTCTTTTCTTGGTTAATCTTGCTAATGATCTATCAATTTTATTTATCTTTTCAAAGATCTATTTTTTTGTTTCATTTCTCTTTTTTATATTTTTGCTTCAATTTTATTTAGTTCTGCTCTGATATTGGTTATTTCCTTTCTTCTGCTGTGTTTGGGTTTGGTTTGTTCTTATTTCTCTAGTTCCCTGAGGTGGAACCTTAGATTGTGTGTTTGTGCTCTTTCAGACTTTTTGATGTAGGTGTTTAGGTCTATGAACTTTCCTCTTAGTGACACCTTTACTGTATCTCAGAGGTTTTTTGATAGGTTGTGTCACTATTGTCATTCAGTTTGAAGAATTTTTTAGTTTCCATCTTCATTTCATTGTTGACCCCGTGATCATTCAGAAGCAGGTTATTTAGTTTCCATGTATTCGCATGGTTCTGAATGTTCCTTTTGGTGTTGATTTTCAGTTTTATTCCACTGTGGTCTGAAAGAGTGCTTGATAAAATTTCAATTTTCTTAAATTTATTGATGCTCATTTCATGGCCTGTCATGTGCCCTATCTTGGAGAAAGTTCAATGCACGGTTGAATAGAATGTGTATTCTGCATTTGTTGGGTAAAATGTTTTGTAAATATCTGTTAAGTCTGTTTGTTCATGGGTATAGTTTAAATCCATTTTTTATTTGTTGACTTTCTGCCTTGATGACCTGTCTAGTGCTGTCAGTAGAGTATTGAAGTTCCCCACTATTATTGTGTTGCTGTCTATCTCATTTCTTAGGCTTATTAGTGATTGTTTTATAAATTTGGGAGCTTCAGTGTTAGGTGCATATGTATTTAGGATTGTTGTGTTTTCCTGTTGGACAAGACCTTTTATCATTATATAATGTCCCTCTTTGTCTTTTTTAACTGCTGTTGCTTTAAATTTTGTTCTTTTCTGACATAAGAATAGCTACTCCTGCTCACTTTTGGTGTCTATTTGCGTGGAATGTTTTTTTCCACCCCTTTACCTTAAGTTTATATGAGTCCTTATATGTTAGGTCTGTCTCTTGAGGGCAACAGATAGTTGTTTGGTGAATTCTTATCCATTCTGCAATTCTGTACCTTTTAAGTGGAGCATTTAGGACATTTACATTTAATATTAGGATTGAGATGTGAGGTACCATTCTATTCATCATGTTATCTGCTTCCAGTATACCTTTGTTTTTTGTTTATTTTTTAATTGTATTTTTGTTTTATAGGTTCCTGTGAGCTTTATGCTTTAAAGAGGTCCTCTTTTGATGCATTTCCAGGATTTGTTTCAAGATTTAGAGCTCCTATTAGCAGTTCTCATAGTGCTGGCTTGGGTAGTGGTGAATTCTCTCTGCATTTGTTTGTCTCTAAAAGACAGTATCTTTCCTTCATTTATGAAGCTTAGTTTTGCTGGATACAAAATTCTTGGCTGACAATTGTTTTGTTTGAGGAGGCTGAAGATAGGGCCCTAGTGCCTTCTAGCTTGTAGGGTTTCCAGTGAGAAATATGCTATTAATCTTATAGGTTTTCCTTTATAGGTTACCTGGTGTTTTTGCCTCATAGCTCTTAAGATTCTTTGCTTCATCTTAACTTTAGATAACCTGATGACAATATGCCTAGGCAATAATATTTTTGTGATGAATTTCTCAGGTGTTCTTTGAGTTTCTTGCATTTGGATGCCTAGGTCTCAAGCAAGACTGGGGAAGTTTTCCTTGATTATTCCCCCAAATATATTTTCCAAACCTTTAGATTTTTCTTCTTCCTTAGAAATACCAATCATTCTTAGGTCTGCTCATTTAACATAATCCCAGACTTCTCGGAGGCTTTGTTCATATTTTCTTATTCTTTTTTCTTTGTCTTTGTTGGATTGGGTTAATTTAAAAACCCTGTCTTTGAGGTCTGAAGTTCTTTATTCTGCTTGTTCGATTCTATTGCTGAGGCTGGAGTATTTTGCATTTCTAAAAGTGCGTCCATTGTTTTCTGAAGTTTTTTTTTTTTTCTGTATGCGCTCTATTTCACTGAATATTTCTCCCTTCACTTCTTATATCATTTCTTTTTAAATTTCCTTACATTGATCTTCACCTTTCTCTGGTGCCTTCCTGATTAACTTAATAATTAACCTTCTGAATTTTTTTTTTCATGTAAATCAGGGATTTCTTCTTGGTTTGGATCCATTGCTGGTAAGCTAGTGTGATTTTGAGGGGGCATTAAAGAACCTTGTTTTGTCATATTACCAGAGTTGGTTTTCTGGTTCATTCGCATTTGAGTAGTCTCTCTCAGAGGGAAGGTCTAAGGCTCAAGACTGTTGTTAAGATTCTTTTGTCTCATTGGGTGTTTCCTTAATGTAGTACTCTCCCCCTTTTCCTAAAGATGTGGCTTTCTGAGAGGCGAGCTGTAGTGATTATCTTTCTTCTGGATCTAGCCACCCAGGAAGTCTACCAGGCTCCAAGCTGGTACTGGAGATTGCCATGAATACTAGCACCTGCTCCAGTGCAGGTGGCAGGGTAGTGAAATGAACTCTGAGGGTCCTTAACTTTGGTTGATTAATGCACTATTTTTGTGCTGGTTGGCCTCATGCCATGAGGTGGTGATTTCAAGAGAGCATTAGCTGTGGTAGTACGAGGAGGAACAGGTAGTGGGTTCCCAATAGTATATGCCCTTTGTCTTCAGTTACCAGCATGAGTAGGGAACAACCATTAGGTGGGGGCAGGACTAGGCATGTCTGAGCTCAACTGTCCTTGGGCAGGTCTTGCTGGGGCTGCTGTGTGTAATGGGAGTGTGGTTTCCAGGTCAAAGGAGTTATGTTCCTGGGAGGATTATGGCTGCCTCTACTGTGTCACATAGGCTCTCAGGGAAGTGAGGGAAAGCAAGCAGTCATAGCTCCCACACAACCCAGAGAGCCAGTCTCACTCCCACTGTGCCCCATCCCCCCCACCCCACCCCAGCTACCTGCTTGCCAGCTTCAAAAGCCAGCATGGCCTTTGTTCTTTCCCTGCCTGTGGAGTCTGCATAGCAGATTCTCGCCCTCCCCCAGGTTCTGACCAGGAGACTTCTGGATGGGTTCAAATTGTTACAAAGTTCAGCTGGAGGTTTCCTTCTCCCTGCAGCATTTTTCTAGTTCCTCTGGCAGCCCTCCTGAAGGACCCCTGTGAGGCAAAGGAGAAATGGCTTGCTAGGAGACCCAGTGAGACCACAGGACTTTTTCATCTGCTTCCTCTACCCCTGTATTTCACTCTGCTATCTAAATTGACTCTGCTTCAGGTGAGATCAGAATATTTTCCCATAATCTAGAACTTAAGTTTCCCCAGGGGGAATGGGTGTTTGGGGATAGACATTCTCCCTTTCCCACTTCCACAGTTTGGGAACTCACAGTAATTGGGGTGTCTCCCAGGTCCTGCAGGAGCAATCTGCTTCCTTTAGAGGGTCTTTAGGTTCTCTTGGCTTTCCTAATGTATTCCTGCAGTCATTCTGGAACAAAAGTTCACAATGCGAGCCTCCACAGGCTGCTCTGTCTGTCCGCATGGAAGCTGCAATCTAGTCCTGCCTCCCGTCCGCCATGATCTCAGAAAAAGCTGAATTATGCATTTTTGTGATTTAAAGATACTCCCTGACATAATTAGATATGTCATATTTCCCACTTCAAAGATATATTTTCAAATTAAAGGAGTTTATTACACAGGAAAACTATATATATATAATATATATATATATATAAAAAAACACATTTTTTCATTGACCTTTAAAAAAGTTTGCCTTATGTAATTGTGTATATATAAATATACACACACATATATACTTTCACATACCTACAGAAATATATGTCTTTATGTCACTTAACAATTTCCTAAAATACTTACATATGACAATATTTTTTATTTAATATTTTTAGGAAGACATCTTCTTGGTTCATCAGTAGTGTAAATAGAGACTGAGAATTTTTTGTACCAAAATAGTGCATTGTTTACTGTGGGTATTTGACAACTGCTGAGGTTCAATGTCTTTATAAATTTTCCTAACAATATCCACTTAATTGCACTAATATTACAACAAACAGTATTATTTAGTTAGTTCTTTCCAGTAATAGGATGATTGCCACACACATTTTCTAATTGAAAATGTGGCAACAATTATTTGAAGTAGTTACTGTGATTACCCTATTTTCCAGATGACAAGACTCAGTCCCAGAGATGTTAAATGAATTGCCTGTAGTCTCCCATGTTTTAGCAGTTAATCCGGGAAACTGAATAACTTTTATATCAAAACCCAGGTCTTCCCGAAATATAAGACAGCCAGAATGACATGGCTGACTTCTATGTCCTTCAACATATATTATCCTGACCCTTTAATTAGCCTAAAATACCTAATTTTCTTATTGTTTCTCCTCCCCCCCTCACCTATCCCCTTTTTATACATCTTATAGGTAATTCTGTAGTTGCTTGCAATGAATGATTCTATGTACTGTATTTTGAAATGCAAGTGTTGATTCATTGATGTTTTAGTAATATTGATAATGTAGAATTGAACTGAAAATGGGATTTCATGTAAAGTTTACACAATCCTTATGTTGCCTTTGATTTTTCAATATTAGGAATCTAAGCTCCTTAGCTGTAAAATAAAAAATAAAAGTTTAATCTCAGAAAATATATTGATAGTTATAATTATTAAAACACTGAACGCAAAACATTTGAAACAAATCTGATATTTTATTGTCATTTAAAAATTCTAAATTATGTTATAAAAATTACTGGTATGCTGATTTCTAAGGTTGTGTTTGACCATTCAGGGCTTTCTCTTGGCCTTAAAAATTCTCAGTAGTAGTAGTAACTCTCTTCCCTGACGACTTATTTGGTTCTATCATTTCAAATATGAACATATCAAAAATTCAAGAGAAAAGGGATGAGAAATAAATGATTTGTCATGGCACAAAAGAAGGTACAAAATGATGATGTCCAAGACGTAGTGACAGTTCTTAATCTCTGTAACAGCAGAGAGGTAGTGAAGAAATAATCATACTCAATTGCAACAAAGGGAATTTGATGAAATAACAAGGCCATTTGCAAAGAATGAGTAGATCAATGGTAGGGCCAGGGATTTGAAAAAAGATTTTAAAATGTTTTGAGAAAACTCACACTCTTAATTTTTAGAACTTCAATTTCTTTGTTTAAAATAAAATCTATCCTTCTTCTTCTTCCAATAACTTGATATTCCATCATTACAGAATGTATGAAAGTTTTCTAATGGATTCATTTTTCATGCTCTAGAAGAAGAAATGATACTATACAATCAACTTACATTGCCTTATCTACTTCCTCTCGGTCTCAATTTTAGGCATATGGACTGAACTTGGCACTAGTTTTCTGTCTGGGCTCAGCTACTTACTATAAAAACTGAAGTAATGTCCTCCATGTTTGATATATGGTAACTAGTCCTGAAGTGACCAACATAATACAAATGGAAAGTAACTAACATTATATGTCCTAGTGTTTCCAGTGTGATCTTTCTAAACTTCTATTGTGTTTCTTAACATTTTTTATTGCTCCCTTTTTCCTTGGATAAAATATACATGCTTAGGCATGAAATATTAGACCTATCATTTTCACTAGCCTTATCTCATCACTCTTGTTACATTTTCTTAAGCAGACTACAGTGTGCTATTTGTAAATCACAGATTATAACTTGATATATATTTTATTGTCAAGCCATCAGATATGTGCATTTACTTGACATGTTACTCATGTCAATGCCTTCTAACCAAAGACCATCAAGAGCATACCAACAGTTGAATAAATTGAGTTTAATCACTCTCTGCAGAGAGAGAGAGAGACTATGCACCATGGGGAATTGTGTAATATTTGGACTTTGGTTGGGTGACTTGAGTGTGGGTCTAAGGGAATGGGGATTTGTTCTAGACTGGATGCTTTCAGAAAGTGGGAACAACTTTGTGATTGAGTATCTCAATTAATCTTATTTATAGAGACAGAGAATGAAGATAAAGTTGTAATTTGTAAAGAAGTAGTAGTCACGGCTGTGCACAGTGGCTCATACCTGTAATCCCAGCACTTTGGGAGGCCAAGGTGGGTGCATCGCTTGAGATCAGGAGTTCAGGACTAGCCTGCCCAACATGGAGAAACCCTGTCTCTACTAAAAGTACAAAAATTAGCCAGATGTGGTGGTGGGCACCTGTAATCTCAGCTACCTCAGAAGGCTGAGGCAGGAAGATTGCTTGTACCTGGGAGGCAGAGGTTGCAGTGAGCCAAGATCATGCCACTGCATTCCATCCTGGGCGACAGAGCAAGACTCCATCTCAGGAAAAAAAAAAAAAAAAAAAAAAAGTAGTAGTCACTTGTTTTAGCCAAGAAGGAAGATCCTTGGCATTTCATGGGTGGTATGTTGACCCTGTTTTTGTGTAGCTTAAAATTATGAAGTGGCCTCATTTGGTATCATTGTGTAATGATAATTTTATGTGTCAACTTGGTGAGGCCGTGGTACAAGATATTTACTGATGGTATTCTAGATATTTCTATAAAAGGTATTTCGAAGATAAAATGAACATTTGAATCTGTAAACATTGATTAAAGAAGATTACCCTTTATAACATAGAATAAAGGCTATTGTGGTAGAAAAGGCCAAGTGGAGGCCACTAGAATTACCTCTAACTAGGGAAATAGTAAATGAAGAGCAATGCCACAATCCTGAAAGGATTGCAGAGTTTAGTTTCATCATCAAGGACTTAAAGAATGCGCAGGTTTCCCATTCACATTACATCCCCATTCAACTCACCTATTCAGCATGTGCAGAAGGGATAGAGGCTATGCATAGACTCAGCAACATGCACTTCTATTCAACAAGTCTTACCTATCTATGGCCACAGCTGAGTGTCCATCATCCAGTAGCAGACACACTGAGTCTCCTATATAGCACCATTCTCAAGGGTGGTCAGGCAGCTACGTGGTAGATCTGGTTGCCTCGTGGTCTACTTCCATCATGGAAGAGGCACTGTTTTGTTCTTAGTGGAATAGACACTTACTCTGAATAAAGATTTGCCTTCACTGCATACAATGCTTCTGCCAAAGCTATCATCCATGAATTACAGAATTCATTATCCATCATCATGATATTCCATGCAGCTTTATCCTGATCAAGACGCTCATTTCACAGCAAATGAAATGCAGCAATGGGCCCATGATCATGACATGTACTAGTGTGTTAGTATGTTCTACAGCATCCTGAAGCACTTGACTTGAAAGAATGCTGGAATGGCTTCATGGCCTTGGACGACTCAGTTGCAGTGCCAGCTAGATGGAAGTACCATGCAGGGTTTGGGCAAGGCTCTTCAGGAAGCTGTATATAATCTGAATCAGCACCTAATACATGGTGTTATTTCTCTCATAGTTAGGATTCACAGGTCCAGTATTCAATGAGTAGAAAGGGGGATATTCAATGAGTAGAAAGGGGAGTGGCACCACTCACGATATTCCTGGTAATTCACCAGCAAAATTTTCCATCCTGTCACTGCAAAATTATGTTCTGTTGACCTAGAAATTTTAATTCCAAAGGGAAGAATGCTTCTACTTGAAGAAACAATGACTCCATTGAATTGGACATTAAGACAGCCATCTGACTACTTTGTGCTACTCATTCCCTGAATTAACAGGCAGAGAAGGAGGTTACAGCGTTGGCTGGGGTAATTCATCCTAATTACCAAGGGGAAATTGTACTGCTACTCACAATGGAACTGAATAAATATGTCTGAAATACAGGAGATCTCTTAGGGTGTCTCTTAGTTATACTGTGCCCTGTTATTAGTCAATGGAAAACTACAACTACTAAATTCAGGGAAAATTATTAAGCCCAGACCCATTAAGAATGAAGGGTTGGGTCAACCCATCTGGTAAAGAGCCAGAACCAGTTGAGTTACTTGCTGATAGTAAAGGTAATAGAGAATGAGAAGTAGAATAAACTAGTTATAAATAACAGCTATGCAGGAAGATGTCATCAGCTACAGAAATTAGAACTGTAATTGTCAGGAGTATTTATGAGTATTTCTTCCTTATTTCATCACATATATATATTTGTGTGTGTGTGTGTGGCAACTCTTTTCATTTTCTTCTCTCTCTTATTGCATTATCATGTATCATAACATGTAGTGATTTTATGTAATAGTATTTAAGTTACTATGGATATCAAGGAGAAGAATGATCCTTACGCAAGGACCTTGAATCCCCTCCTAGGAAAAGTTTCATGCATTTTTAGTTGCAAGCAAAATAGTTTTATCACGTTAAGTGGAAACATAACTGACTTATGTCTTAAATCAGAGATGAAGTATGGCTAGGCCACAGTACCCAGATATTTGGTCAGATATGTCTGGATATTTTTGTGAAGAATTTTTTTTTAGGTGAGATACATGTTCAAATCATTGTTTCTTAAGTAAAAATATTATTCTCCGTAAGTGTCCCGCAGTCAATCAGTTGAAGAGCTTCAGTAAAGGACTGACTCCCTGCTGAAGCCTCCACAAACTTGTGAGCCATTTCCTTGAAATCTCTCTGTCTCTCTATGTATATATATGTATGTATATTTGTATCTTTGTGCATGTGTCTATATATGCACACATATGTGCAGGTTTGTATAACCAATATTGTATAAATTGGTTCTATTTCTCTGGAGAACCCGGATGATGACACATCACCTGATACACATTTTTTAATCATTTATTGATCTCCCACTAATGTGTAAGCATTATTTGCTTACAGATTATTCTCCTTTGTTCAATGTTTTGTTAGAATGGTGTGCAGCCCATGGTTCAGGGTCACTAAACATCTGTTGAATGAGTGGAGCAGAGAGAAGTTCAGTAATGTGTTTAACATAAGGCAGAATATGATCCCAGGCAGATTTAAGCAAGAGCTCAAAGATTAACCATATAATCAATATGATATAGGTCCCTCAACAATGCATATTCATAAAATTGTCAACTTTATTTTTAATAGTGTATCTGAGGCTGGGCATGGTGGCTCATGCCTGCAATCCCAGCACTTTGGGAGGCTGAGGCAGGCAGATCACTTGAGGTCAGGAGTCTGAGGCCAGCCTGGCCAACATGGTGAAACCCCATCTGTACTAAAAATACAAAAATTAGCTGGGCATGGTAGCAGGTGCCTGTAATCCCAGCTACTCAGGAAGCTGAAATATGAGAATTGCTTGAACCCGGGAGGCGGAGGTTGCAGTGAGCCGAGATCATGCCACTGCACACCAACCTGGGGGATAGAGCAAGACTCTCCAAAATTTAAAAAAAAAAATAGTGTATCTGAATAATGGGATTGATGATTGATAATGTGAGCAAATTGGACGCAGGAAAAATAATTTTGATTGCTTTTTTAAACTTTAATGGAAGGTTTACCTTAGTATTATAAAATAGAAGCATTTCCCCTAAATGTATTCATGTGAATATCTTAAAGCAGCAGCATGATTTCTAATCTCATCCAGAAGTCACATGTACATTAATGTAAGGAACACTTCATCTGTAACCTAAATGTTTACATGACAAAGAAAAAGAGAACAGGAGCTAGATAATGAAAGGAGAGACTGCTTCTTATTAATATAGTTTAACAGCTGATTTACATTTCTACAATACAACTTTATATTCAATATTCTAGCTGGCTTTCCAAGGCACAAAACAAACATGACAATATTACATTCATAATTTCAGTGTTTCCTGTGTCAAAAGTCAGTGTAATACTTGCTGGCCTATCTGGAGCACTTCTTATGAAGGTTGTATTTATTCCGCTTGTTGAGATGAAAGCTGTAATAATAAAACTGTCATGGGGAAGGAAATTGTCCTCTCTGAGGCTGTGTTATAAAGTATTGCTGAGTGAAGTGGGTTCTTGTTCTTTCTTCAATCATTACCAGCATCATAGACACCAACTTCAGGTCTTAGCAAAGCACATGCAGGCATCTCTGGGTATAGCTGTACTAGATTAGCTAAACCTGTTTTACTAAGAGGGAATATAATTCCAGAGAAGAGAATAGCAACATACATGGAAGGCTATAATTAATCTTAATATTAGTAATGACAGTGTTGCTCATGATAATAATGATAAGACCAGCAGTTACACTTACCATTAACAGAGCAGTTCATACATGCTAAGCAGTGTGCTGATGGCTTTACCTATACCAGCTGACTTAATCTTTACAATTACCCTTGTGAGTAGATGTTACCAAAATGATTTCAATGACAAGAAAACCAAAGATCAAAATTATTCAGTCACTTGTAAAATCTGTGGCAGATTTCATGCTCCAAAGCGTGTGTTACTGTTAAAGTACATTGGAATTTTTTTCTCTCTCTCAGATTTGAGAAAGTTATTGATTTATCTTTTATTTGTAGCCACTTTTGTGCAATTTCTATAGAGATCTGTATCCTCAA
This sequence comes from Homo sapiens, assembly GCF_000001405.40. Taxonomy (NCBI): domain Eukaryota; kingdom Metazoa; phylum Chordata; class Mammalia; order Primates; family Hominidae; genus Homo; species Homo sapiens. Next base: position 35,081,454 of record NC_000003.12, on the reverse strand, counting down.
TAGCTTGACAGTCCCAAATTCAATGTGACCCTGCAAAAAATTCACATTGTCAGGACATGTGAACTCTTATAGAGATTTGGAAAATAATGAGTATGATATATATATGCGATATATTTAATTAGCATGATCTGTCCCTACATATATACATATACATATGCATTATATATACATGTATATACAGTTGACCCAATAACTTGGGCTTAAACTGCATGAGCCCACTTATATGTACATTTTTTTCAGTAAATATATTGAAACATTTTTTAGAGTTTTTTAACAATTTGAAAAAACTCATAGGTGAATCTTGTAGCCTAGAAATACTGAAAAAATGAAGAAAAGATTAGGTATGTTATGCATACACAAAACATATGTAGACACTAGTCTATTTTATCATTTACTACCATAAACTATAGGCAAACCTATTATAAAAAGTAAATATCTATCAAAACTTATGCACACACTTACCAGAAATGGTGTCAAAGTTGAGATAAATGTAAACAAATGGAAAGATGCAGTATTAAATTGTAAATGCATAAAATTACTGCTCTAATATTTCATAGCCACCCTCTGTGACTACTGCAGACAGCTCAAATGTTGCAAGTGTCAGCATAAAATGCCCTATGACTCTGATCTCTACATGAGAAGTTCATCTTTCCAGTAAGTAGCATATCTCAGTTAAAAGTGATCTCTCGCCGTTCTAGTGTATTTTTCATAATATTTAATGTGATATCATAATTTTTCATCATATTTAATGTAATATGATAAGCATTGAAAATCACAGTCCCATATAAAGTGCCACTAGTGATGCTGGAAGTGCTCTCAAGAAGCAGAGGAAGGTCATGACATGACAAGAAAAAAGCTGAATTATTTAATATGTATGGTAGATTGAGATTTGCAGCTGTGGTTGACCACATTTCAACTTAAATAAATCCAGCATAAGGACCATTGTTAAAAAAAAAAAAAAAGAAAAGAAAAGAAAAAGAAAAAAATGTGTACTCATTGCTACATTTATGCCAGCAAAAAATGAAAACCTGCACTTTTCCTAAAATACCATTCTATTGAAAGTGCAACTTTTATGTGGATGCAGGATTGCTATAAGAAAGACCTACTTATAGACTCTAGATTTAAGAAAAAGTAAAGTCATTATACAAAAACTGAAAGAAAAAAGATGATGAGGCTTTAAAGCTGGATAATTTAATGCCAACAAAGGATGGTTTAACAATTTTAGAAAGAGATTTAACTTTTAAAAAATGTTAAGATAGGGCTTGGCACGGTGGCTCATGCCTGTAATTGCAGCACTTTGGGAGGCCAAAGTGGGCCGATCACAAGGTCAAGAGATCGAGACCATCCTGGCTAACATGGTGAAACTCCATCTCTACTAAAAATATAAAAAATTAGTCAGGCGTGGTGGCACGTGCCTGTAGTCCCAGCTACTCGGGAGGCTGAGGAAAGAGACTCACTTGAACCCGAGAGGCCGAAGTTGCAGTGAGCCGAGATCACGCCACTGCATTCCAGCCTGGGCAACAAAGCGAGACTCCCAACTGAAAAAAAAAACAAAAAACAAAATGTTGAGATAACAGGAGAAGAAGCTTCTGACCAAGAAGGTGAAGACAAGTTCCCACATGGCATTCATTAAGAAAATAATTGAAGAGAAAGGATATCTTTCTGAACAAGTTTTTAATGCAGATAAAAGTGACTTATTCTGGCAAAAATGTCACAAATAACATTTATAAGCAAGTAAGAGATTAAGCACCAGGAATTAAGGCAGGAAGGGATAGGCTACATTTACTCTTTCATGTAAATGCAATCATCAGGTTTATGGTCAGGGCTGCTTTTATCTGTAAAACTGCTAACTCCCAAGATTTGAAGGGAAAAGGTAAACACCAGCTGCCAGTACTTTCATTGTAAAACAAGAAAACCTGGACAACGATTGCCCTTTTTCTACACTAGCTCCATTGATATTTTGTTCCTGAAGTAGTCAGGAAGTACCTTACCAGTGAGGGACTACCTTTTAAAGTTCTTTAGATATTGAAGGACACCCCTGACAACTCAGAACCCCATGAGTTAAACACCAACAGTGAGCAAGTGATCTACTTGTCCCTAAATATGTCTGTAATTACACCTCTAGACCAGGAGGTCATAATGACCTTTAAGGTCCATTACGCACAACACTTTATGGGAAAGATTATCAACACTATGAAGGAAGACTCCGATAGAGGGGAAATCATGAAACTCTGGAAGATTTACACCATCGAAAATGCCATCATTATTATATAAAAAGCTATTAAAACCATCAAGTCCCAAACAATGAATTTTTGCTGAAGAAAACTGTGCTCACATGTTGTGCATAAATTCACAGGATTTAAAATGGAGCCAGTCAGGAAAATCATGAAAGAGATCATGGATATGGCAAAAAAAAAAAAAAGAGTGGGGACAGCTGAAGGGAATTAAGATATAGATCTTGGAGAAATGCAAGAGCTAATAGACACCACAGCAGATGAATTAACAGATTACATAATGTAAATGAGTGCTTCCAAATTAGTATTTGACGATAAGGAAGAAGACATAGAAGAAGCAGTGCTGGAAAACAAATTGACATTAGGCAATCTGTCAGGAGGGTTTTGATTGTTCAAGACTGCTTTGACTTCTTTTATGACATGGACGCTTCTATGATATGGGCACTGAAACTAAAGCAACTGGTGAAGAAGGATTGATACCATACAGAAACATTTTCAAAGAAATGGAAAACCAGAAGAGTTAGAAATTACAATGTATTTCTGTTTGTTAAGCCAATGTGCCTGCCTCTCCTGCCTCCTATTCCAACCCCTCCACCTCTGCCACTTCTGACAGAAAGATCAAGTCCTCTTCTTCCTCTTCCTCAGCCTACTCAACATGAGGACAACAATGAAAGCCTTTATGATGATCCACTTTCACTAAAAAAATGGTGAAGACATTTTCTTTCTTATGATTTTCTTAACTTTTTTCTCTAGCTTACCTTAGTGTAAGAACAGAGTATATAATACATATAACATGCAAACTATGTGTTATCAATGCCTTATTTTATCAGTAAGGCTTTTTAGTCAACAGTAGACTATTAGTAATTAAGTTTTGGGGTTGTCAAATGTTGCACATGGATATTCAATTGTGCAGGAGGTGGCACCCCCAACCTTCACATGTTCAAGGGTCAACTATATGTCTTCTTGCACATAGAACTTTAGGACTGAATTGTCTTTATTATTATTTAAAATTAGGAAGATCATATTAGCTACAGACAAAATAAACTCATCCCTATTTGATAACTTAAGATTGTGTTACTTATATTTCCTTGATGTTTGACTGATCAAAGTATATATACAAATTCCAACTTTTTTGATAGTCACTGCATAATATATTTAAACTTATTTTTTAATAAAGATGCTTATTTTCCCATTAATCATTTTATTTTTCATTGACACATAATAATTGTACTTATTTATGGGGTACAATATGATATTTTGATGTATGTAAACATCATATAATGATTAAATAGGGGCAATTACCATATCTATCACTTTAAACATTTATCATTTCTTTGTGGTGACAAAATTCAAAATCCTCTTTTCTAGTGATCTTGAAATATATACCACATTATTATTTGCTATAGTCACCCTACTGTGTAATAGAACACCAGAACCTATTCTTACTGTTTAACTCTAACTTTGTACCTATTGACCAATCTCCCCCAATACCACATCTCCTCCCCTTTCTCCAGCCTCTACAATCACTGTTCTACTGTCTACTTTCATGAAATAAACTTTTTAGACTATACAAGTGAATGATAACATGTGGTGTCTTTCTGTGCCTGGCTTATTTTACTTAACATAATGTCCTCCAGGTTCATATATATTGCCATAAATGACAGGATTTCATTCTGTTTTTAAGGCTGAATGATAGTCCATTTTGAATCGTGTGTGTGTGTGTGTGTGTGTGTGTGTGTGTGTGTGTGTACACACACCAAATTTTCTGTATCAATTCATCTGTGGATGGGCATTAAAATGATTCTATATCGTGGCCATTGTGAATATCACTGCAACAAACATGGGAATGCAGATGTATCTTCAATGTACTGATTGCATTTATTTGGATATATATTCAAAAACAGGATTGCTGGATCATATGGTAGTTCTATTTTTAATTTTTTTGAGGAACTGCTATACTGCTTTTCAAAATAGCTTTACTAATTTGCATTGCTACCTGCAGTGTATAAAAGTTTCCTTTTCTCTGCATGCTTACCAGCATTTGTTATTTTTGTCTTTTTAGTAATAGCCATTCTAACTTGGGTGAGGTAGTATTTTATTGTAAGTTTGATTTGAATCTCCAATGATTCCTGATGTTGAACATTTAATCATATATCTGTTGGTCATTTCTATGCCTTCTTTTGGGAAATTTCTATTCAGATCTTTCACCTATTCTTAAATTGTGTTATGTTTTGTGTGTGTTCTATTGAGTTCTTTGAGTTGTTATATATTTTGGATATTGACATTTATCATGCACATAGTTTGAAAATACTATCTCCTATTATGTTGGTTGTCTCTTCACTTTATTATTTCCAGCTGTGCAACAGCTTTTTAGTTGGACATAATTTCATTTGTCTACTTTTTGCTTTTTTTTTCCTGTGCTTTTGAGGTCTTATATAAAAATGCTTGCCCAGCCAAATTCCATGAAGCATTTCATCTGTTTTCTTCCAGTAGTTTCATAGTTTGGGGTCTTATATTTAAGTCATTAACCCATTTTGATTTGATTGTTATATATGGTGAAAATCTGGGATCCAGTTTTAGTCTTCAGCATGTGACTACCTGGTTTTCCTATCACTTTTATTGAAGATACCATTATTTCCCCAATATGTGTTCTTGAAAACTTTGTTGAAAATCAGTTGATTATAAATGCATTGATATGTTTTTGGGGTTCTCTATTCTGTTCCATTGCTCTGTGTGTCTGTTTTATTCCAGTACCATTCTGTTTTGTTTGCTATACTTTGTAGTATATTTTAAATTCAGGTAGTGTGATGCCTCCAGCGTTGTTCTTTTTGCAAAAGATTGCTTTGGCTATTTGGGTTCTTTTGTGGTTCCATATGAATTTTAAGATTATTTTCTGTTTCTGTGAAGAATATCATTGGTATTTTGATCAGGATTGCATTCAGTCCATAAATTGTTTGGGGTAGTAGGACCATTTTAGCAATATTAATTCTTCCATCCATGAACACAAGATATTGCTCTATTTATTATGTCCTCTTCAGTTTTTCTCATCCCGTTTTATAATTTTCATTATAGAGATGTTTCACCTTCTTGGTCAAATTTATTCCTAGGTATTTTTCTTTGGCTATTGTAAATGAAATTGTTTTATTGACTTATTTTTGAGATTGCTTATTATTGGCATATGGAAACACTACTGATTTTTACATGTTGATTTTATATCCTGCAGCTTTACTAAATTCAGTTATTATTTCTAACCAGTTTTTGGTGGAGGTTTTTGCATTCTATACACATACACACACACATCTTATATGCATGTTTATATATATAAATGTACACTCATATATGTATATATATAAATGTACACTCATATATGTATATATATAAATGTACACTCATATATATGTATATACAAAAATGTACACTCGTATATATACACACACACATACATATACACTCATGTCTTATCCACCTCTTTCACCAAAACAACTTTGAAATTTAACATCTCAGCAGATTGCTTATATTTTAAGGATGGCAAGGTGGGGTAGCATTTAAAGCAAGGCAAATCTGAGTGTGAATCTCATTTTTACCAGATATTTGGTGTATAACCTTGGCTGAGGTAAAGGTTGTACAAGGCCCCATACAGGTATCTTTCAGGGAGCTACAGACGCTATAAACATCATGGTTTACAAAGAACCGTGTGTTAAATGCTTAATGTCATGATAAGCAGATAGTATTTATCTCTTCCTATGATAGGCTCAGTGGTATGAAGAGTGATCATGGATTTTGGAATTATAATAGTTGTATCAAGTCTAGATTTTTGCCATTCCATAGATATGTGACCTAGAACATTTTAAATACCACATTAATATTTTTAGATAATCTGTAAAATGGAGATACACAAATACAATTATATACTGCAATTAAGATTAAAAATATTTCTAAAAACATTTTATAATGTATTTCAGAATAAAAAATAACCTACCAAAATTTTTCTAAAATTCACACTTTAAGCTAAAATTCAACACCAACACACAAAATCAGATCTACAGCTCCATGAAAAAAAGAGCAGAGATCTTGGATCATTTTTTGGTACTAGAAAGTAAGAAAGCGTTCAAAATGGTATGGAGATATATTGAAGAGAGAACAGGAGTCAACCAGGAAGTGTTTCCAAGAGACAAAGCTGGAATAATTTGAGCTACAAAGTAAATAACAATATTATTGAATTAAAAGACATCCAATAAAAGTAATACATATAGGGATCCAAATGGAAATAAATAAATAAACGGATTTAGATAGATAGACAGGTAGGTGATAGATAGGTAGATAGACTGGTACGGAGATAGAGAGATGGATAAATGAGCAGAGTTATCTCTTGTTTAAAGAACATCAAATGTAGAAGGAATTATGGAATAAAAAATTATCAGCAGAACTCAATACTAATAATTACCGTCTGCAAGACTTAATGATGAATAGTAACATTAGGGGTTCAGAGTTTGAGGAGAAAAAGGTTATTTACAAAGTCTCAAAGTATATCTCCCAAGATATTTGTTCATTGCAAAGGGGAAAATAGTAGATTTATCGTGGAGAAACCCAGTAAACTCCACCTTAACCAAGTGATTGAGGTAATATCACCAATAAAAGGATGTGTTGGCATCATGTAACCTGATGAGATATACTGAGAAGAATGCATCATGTGTCTGTATCCTTTTAAAAAATAATCATCTAATCATAAGAAAATATTAGGCAAACTTTAATTATGGGACATTCTATAAAATAACTCTCCAGTACTCTTAGAAAGTGTCAAAGTTGTAAGAGACAATAAAAAATTGATGGTCACAGATTGAAGGAAAAAATAAAATTTTTTGTATAATCTTGATAGAGAAAAAGAACCTTAAAAACTAATGCATTCTAAATAAAGTCTTTAATTTAGTTGATAATGTTGTACTGATACTAATTTTGTAGTTTAGAACATTATACCATGGCTGTGCGAAGTGTTGACATTAGGGAGAGGTGGGTGAAGGGTAGGTCAAATATCCCTACATCATACTGGCAAAATTTTTTATATTTAAAATTATTTCAAAATTCAAAGTTTAAAAATCAAGTCTTCTTAGTCTCCATATTGATGCATTTGAAAAGAAATATTGATTTTCTTAATAATGGAAAAATACCATTAAAAACAATAAAAACACTACTAAATTCTTTGAAAGACAGCTGTCAAGACACATTAAGAGCTAAATAAAGAAGAGTATAAAACTTTGTAAAAGGCAAATAAGATCTCATAATAAAGAGATATACCATATTTCTGTATATAAAGCTTCAAAATTATATGCAAATGCATTTTACATAAAACAATCTATAAATTCAATATAATTCTAATTCAAATTCTTATAGCATATATTATGGAGCTAAATGAATATATGCATTATATATGTATTCATACAATGAATATATGTATAATGTATTATAGCATATATTATATTTGTATATCAAGCATATACTATACTTATACAGTATATATTAGCATAATAAAATACTATTATACATGATGTATTCCTCACTTGAGGTATTATACATTATACATAATTTTACATTATGTATTTCTCACTTGAGGAATACATAATGTATTATAAATAGTAAATAAAAATGAGGAACGATTTACCTTTCCAGATATTAGGAGCAAAGTCTTGCCCTACCAGATGTTCTATGGCTTTATAGTCTATAAATCTATGGTAATTAGAACAATGTAATATTTGCACTGGAGAAAAACAGATGATATGAGGCTCATGTAATTACATATAGCAGAGCTTAAGAGCAGGGCAATGTTGTTCAGCCGTTAATGACATGGGCATTGGAACCAAATTAAAAGAATTGATTAAATGTATAATTTTTATATTATTGGTAAATGTATTTAACCTCCCTGGACCTCAGCTTCCTCATCTGCAAAACGATTACATTAATATTAAACTTATGTGTTGATATGAGTATTAAATTAGATAAGTTACACAGAGCATTTAACAGAGATTTCCCCAAGGGAAGCAATCAAAATGCTAGGCTGTTATGATTTGTTATTCTTATTATTTAATAGGAATAGTATTTAAAACACTTGGAGTAGGACTGGAATTAGATAATTTTATTTTCTTTAAAAATATAATAATAATAAAGTATAAAGAAGACAAGTAATGTTCAAAATTTCTTAAGAATCTCTTAGAGCTTGCAAAGATTCTATCTGTTTCTGAAGAACATACTAAGATTTCTGTGTTAAGTATTTTCAATCATAGCATTCTGCCTTAGAATTTTAAAACACATTGTCCATAAAATACAAGGAGAGCTGACATGGTTAGAACCTTGGTCTCACAGAACACAATACTTAAGTTGATACATATTTTCTTTTTTTAATGTTCATATATTTTCAGAAAAAAATTTCTACATGTTAATATTGTAAAAATAGAGACTGAATGGTGTATGTTGTAACTATCATCTGAAATTGGGTTTTGCGTTCATTCACAGAAAACATATCAAGTTCTTGGTAAGGATGAGCCATTTCTGCATTGTGTTTAAGCTAAAACAAGCTATTGAAACAGCAATATTTTTTAATTCAAGCAATTGGCTGGGCATGGTGGCTCATGCCTGTAATCCCAGCACTTTGGGAGGCTGAGGTGGGTGGATCATAAGGTCAAGAGATTGACACCATCCTGGCCAACATGGTGAAACCCTGTCTCTACTAAAAATACAAAAATTAGCTGGGCATGGTGGCATGCACCTGCAGTGCCAGCTACTCAGGAGGCTGAGGTAGGAGAATCGCTTGAACCCGGGAGGCGGAGGATGCAGTGAGCTGAGATTGTGCCACTGCACTCCAGCCTGGGTGACAGAGTGAGGCTCCATCTCAAAAAAATAAAAACAAACACAAACACAAAAAAACAAGCAATCATTCAAACAAAAGTCAACCAAAAAAAAAAAAAATCCTAAAGTGTTATCTCTATCCAATAAAAGCTGTGAAACTTGAGTTAAGGACTCTGTCATAGCTCCAAGCTCCAAATTTGTGATGAAATTACTAATTATCACCTACAAAATTGAAGTGCTAGATGGGTTAAATTCTAGTTAGAAATGCAAATCCTCATCAGGATGAGACTATCCTAATGCATTTGTGATCTGTCTAGGCTCTGTATGATTACCAGGGGACACACCACAACCCTATTTCTCTGTTCAGATCACTGTTGACAATTCATGTGAGTGTAGAGCAGTTGTCAGGGATCTTATAAAATATTGTGACTCATCGCATCAGCCAATAAAATGAGTTCATTCATTAACTTACTCCTTTATTGAGAGCCTTTTATGTGTCTGGTACCATCTAAAGTGCTGGGTAGTGAATGTAAATGAGAAAGTTTTCCCCTACAAATTCTAATGGGAATATAGAAAAATCAAGAGATGGTTACAATAAGTGCTATCAAGTGCTACAGTGTATTATATTGGAAGTGTATTAAGTGCTACAAGATTACAGACCGGGTGGCTGGTGATGCATAGCGTAGAAAAGCACTGAATCCTAACTGCAGCACCAGGGGATAACTTTAAATAGATGGCATATTACTACACAAGACATTATTTAACACTTCTCTCAACTATGGTGGTCAAAAGGTAACATGGTTCAAATTTAATATTTCATATGTGAGAGACTATAGAGTATAATACATTTAAAATAAGAATATTATAGATTGCAGCTTCAGGGTTTGAAGATAGGTTACATGTATAAAAAGTTGAAGTTTCCCACTGTAATGGTGTGGCTTGAGGTGGGATGTAAGATGAAAAACCAGGAGACAAAAAATTAAATTGATATGTTTAATTGATGAATGGAATTAGTTAGAAGGTAAAGAGTCGAGAGTATTATCTCCAGAATCATAAGTAGTCTTTCATTTTAGGGTGGAAGAGAAAGGGGCTAGAACTATGATGTTGAATATAGTAGCCACTAGCGATGTGTCACTATTTAATTTAAATTAATAAAAAATGAAACAATCAGTTCCTCAGTTACACTAAACATATTTAAAGTCCCAAATCAGCAGTCCCCAAACTTTTGCACCAGGAACTGGTTTCCTGGAAGATATTTTTTCCACAGAAGGGTTAGGGATGGTTTCGGTATGAAACTTCCACTTCAGATTATCAGGCATTAGATTCTTATAAGGATCATGCAATCTAGACCCCTCACATGAGCAGTTCACAATAGGATTCACACTCCCGTGAGAATCTAAGGTCGCTGGTTATCTGACAGGAGGCAGAGTTCAGGTGGTAATGCTTGCTCTGGCCACTCACCTCATGCTGTGCTACCTGGTTCCTATCAGGCCACAGGCCAGAGACAGGTACCAGTCCCCAGCCCAGGGGTTGGGAACCCCTGTCCTAAATAGTTGCATATAGCTAGTAGCGACCATGTTGAGCAGCACAGACATAGAAAATTTTCAGTATTGCACAAAGTCTTGTTAAATAGAATTAATAAGAGATTCCAACCTACCTATTATAATTCTACATATATAATATAATTTTATAATCTATACTTTTATATTATAGATTTTACAGATTATAAAATTATAATTTTAGAATATATGTAAATAAATTATGATTTATTTATAAATAAATGTATATATATAAGCCAGAAGGAGAAGGGAAATTTCAAGAAGTGAAAGGGGAAAGTGAATTCCTTTAGGCACAATGGAAAAATCTTGGGAAGGAAGAAAAGAATGGAAGCAAGGGATGCTACAGGAAGACAAGAAGAGCTTGAGCAAAGTGAGGAAGAAATATCTGCCCTAGGAGTGGAAGGCTGGCAGTTGCATCAGGGGTGGCATGAAGGTTTCCAGATGCATTTTTCTCAGGGTAATTCTGGTGAAAAAGGAACTCAAGCCTGGGCTGACTGCACTCTCAAAGGAGGCATGCTTCATGTCAGCTGAGCTACAGAAGGGCACTCTCTGCATGTTAGGAGTGACAGCAGCCTTCCCTGGGGGACAAGGTATGAGAAGTGCCAATCTCTTTCTATCAAGATTGTTCTCAGCGGGTTAGTCAAAAGTCGCAAAGGCTCCCAAACATTCTGCCCAATGTTTCAGGTTTATAATAAATGCCATTTTTACAAGGCATAAATAACACAGATATTTCTTAATCGTGGATATTTAATGCTTTAGAGAATTGAATTAAGGCATTGTAAATTCCATTTAATGCTTGGAGATTATGTGAATTTATTTACATCATTAGCCTGAAAAATCTTGCAAGGTACTTTCCCTCAAGATCACTAGATGACTTTGGTTGCATTTTTTTTTTCAAAATTTGATGATTTATCAAACTCATATTGAGTCCATTTTTTTGTGTAGGGCCTTGTGTGGGATGTTTATTAGGATAATTTTATTTCATCTTCACGTGAATATCCTCAGTTATATATTATTATGCCCACTCAAGAGAAGATTAAAATGAGGATCAGAGATCAGTTAGTTATTATCTTATGGGTAGCAGGTATCATAGTCATGATTTGAAGGTTCACTTCCCATCCTCTTTTTCTCATTAATTTATTCATTCATTCAACAGGTATTTCTTGAGGGGCACTACAGGCCATGCCCTTTCTAGATACTATGGAGATATCAGTGAACAAAACGAAGCAACAAAGCCCCAGACTCTGTGAGGGAAGGAGGCAATATCTGAATTTTTTTTTAAAATAATGTCTGTGAGATTAAGTGACATAAAGAATATAAAACAGAGTGTGGGAGACATAAAGTATTGGAGGAGTAATATTTTATATAAGTGGGGAAAAAAACCTCCTCTCAGATGAGTTTACATTTGAGCAGAGACCTGAATGCAGGGAGAGAGTCAACTGTGAGGGTTATCTGGTCTAAGAGAGGATATCTGGTAGGGAAAAAAACAGCATGCAGGCCAGGGTGGGTGGGAATAAGATAATAAGGGAGAAGAGAGGAGAAGACAGAGAGAGATACCTGGAGGTGAGAAATTGTGAGGCCTACAAAGACAGAGTAAGGACTTTGGACTTTACTCTGAATGAGAAAGAACCCTCAGCAGGATTTGAACAGAGGATGAAGTGATACAACTTATTTCGAATAGTCTCCCTCTGGTTGTTCTGATAAGAACTCAATGAAGGGGATTGGGGTAGAAGAAAGGTAATTAGTTGTGGGTCAATTGTAGCAATCCACAGGGACAGTGGATGATGACTTGGACCAAATAATGAGACAGTGATTTCTGTAAATGCTGTAAAGGTAGGAAAGAGACCATTTGCTGATTGATTGGATTAGGAGTGAGAAAGAGAAGAGTCAAAGAGAACTCCAAGTTGTGTTGATCTAAACCAATAGCAATGTGGTGTTGTGATTTATAAAGATGGTGAAGACAAAGGTCAGGTTTAGTGGTGAAGGGAAATCAGGAATGCTGTCAAATAAATGATGGAGATCTCCTTGTAAGTAACAGAGAAAACTTAATTGGCAAAAGATTAAACAAGATTTACGTTGAGTTATTACTTACCTAAATGCTGCCTACAGTGGGAATGTGAGTTTCACTGTATGAAATTCTGGGCTGGGCACAGTGGCTCACGCCTGTAATCCCAGCACTTTGGGAGGCTGAGGAGGGCAGATCACGAAGTCAGGAGATGGAGACCATCCTGGCTAACACGGTGAAACCCCATCTCTACTAAAAATACAAAAAATTAACCGGGCATGGTGGCACGTGCCTGTAGTCCCAGCTACTAGGGAGGCTGAGGCAGGAGAATTGCTTGAACCTGTAGGACAGAGGTTTCAGTGAGCCAAGATCGCACCACTGCACTCCAGCCTGGGAGACAGAGAGAGACTCTGTCTCAAAAAAAAAAAAAAAGAAAGAAATTCTGTCAGCTCCTTTCAACACCAGTGAGTGGATGAATGGGGTTGTTCATCTTCAAACTTGTAAGCTTATATGCCTATTCCAATCACCAGAAAAAATTAGAAAGAAGGAATTACATATAGAGTTCATGCAAGCACTTCCTTCAGAGAAAAACAAAAACATTAATTTAATTTAAAAGTTCTCTGAATATCCCATATGATACTCTGTCTAAATCTCATTGGTAATAACATAATCACATCGACACACATAGCTGCATGGGCTTCAGGAAAATACACCTTTTTTTCTGAATGAGTATATGTCTAGCCATTAATTTAGCTATTGTAGAAGAAACAGAGAACATATGTTGTGGGAAAGACAGCAGACATTGGCACCATCATCAACCATTGCAGAGAACAAAAGTAGAAAAGGAGAACTGAAAGAGAAAAAAAGTGCACGTGTGCGCGCACGCGCACACACACACACATACATACACACACACATAAATATATATTTGTGGTCTATTAGCACTTAGGTAAGTTGGATTTTAGAGTATCACAAAAGGATAAAACTAATTCAATAATTTCTCATTTGTGATGGAAAACTCAAAAGTATTGAGTTTTGATAATGATGATCTAATAAACATACGTACACTCTCTTTTAATTGAACAAGAACTTTCATGAAATAATGTTTATTTTTACCAGGAATAATGCATACTTATATATTTTTTCTTTTTTCCTTACCTTTCCTTCCTATTCTTTTATTTCTATTATATTTATTATGTTAGAATACTGAACATATAGAAGAATGGAACAGAATAGAGTCCTGAAATAGAGCCATATATGTATGGCGTGAAACCCCATCTCTACTAAAAATACAAAAGATTGGCCGGGCGTGGTGATGGGCACCTGTAGTCCCAGCTCACTCAGGAGTATGAGGCAGGAGAATGGCATGAATCCAGGAGACGGAGCTTGCAGTGAGCTGAGATCATGCCACTGCACTCCAGCCTGGGCAACAGAGCAAGATTCTGTCTCAAAAAAAAAATCTGGAAGAAAGAAATCCATACAGACATAAAAGAGGTAGTAGTTCTCAGGACTCATGAGGGCGAAATGTGGAGGGACTATCAAAGTGCATTGGGCTTATTTAGGGAGTAATAAAAATGTCCTAGATTTAGGTAGTGGTCATACAACCCTGTGAATGTACTAAAAGTGACAAACTTCACATTTCGAAATGGACAATTTTATGGCTTTTAAATTACATCTTGATTTATTTATTGAGCATGACTAAGGGGCTAGTGAATAAGTGCCGTTTTACAGTAAATGTTGTTTTATAACAACCTTGGAAAAACTTGTAAACTAAAACCAGCTATACAAAAAATTGGGTGGGGTCAAGGCTGTGCAGTGCCAAACCTAACATGCCTTGGTCCTGTCCCTAGGTTCTCTTTCTCAGACTGTGGACCATCTCCCAATTGCTCAGAAGTTTATCTGCTCATAGCTCACACCTGCTACCCTTCTCTGGAGAATTGGCTCCATTAGCAATAACTACCAGCTGGTTACAAGTAGTGACTGTCTAATATTCCACATGTTAGACATCTGGCCAGACCTCTTCTTTCAAGAAAGGACAATCCTTCAGGATAATTTATGCTTTTGAGGCCCCTTTGGATCAGATCCAGCTTCAATCTGAAAATTTGCTTTTTTATCAAGTTCCTAGTTGATGTTAATGATGCTGGTCTGGGAACCACACTTGGAGACCCACTGGAATAGACTTTGCCTGACACACCATCCTCACTCAGCCCCTTCCCCTTTACTATCATTAGGTCTTCACTTCCTCTTACCCTACAGGTTTTCCCAGTAAAAGACACCCTCAAGCAATGATATCAGTCTGAATTCCTCTATCCAGCTCTGCTTCTAGGGAATGTCAATTAAGACTGCATTAAATTCAAACGTCCAAATCATTTCAACAAAGCAAATGGAAGTTACTTTTAGGCCTTCTGCAAAAGATCTAGCTGCCTTTCACTTTCATAAAACAATCATCAATGAGACCTTGAAGAAAAGAGAAAATAAGCAAAGTGCAGCTAGCTATTTAATGTACATCAGAAAGTTACCATTTAAAAAACTGTAGGAAACTAGTTTTCCAGAACCATAAGTTTCAGGAGAAGCTATAAGAAAATGCAGATTACCAAAAAATAATGAGCAAGATGGTAAAACTATAGAAGAACTAGACTCTCATAGTATTTAATTTGGTAATTGCCCAAACTACCACTCCCTGCTCCACACCACCACCCAATGTTGTTTTCTTTGCCTAACAATTCAGGCAGGATAACTTGCCCAAGGTCATACAGCTAGATAATGCCAGAGCATAAGTCCTTTGATACCAAGGCCTCAACTTTACTGTTTCTCAACTTTACGGTTCTCCTTGTTGATTTCTCAACTTGACTGTTCTCCTTGTTTATGCTTGCATCTGTGCATTTCACCCACAAGGGATATTCTATGCTAAAAAAACAGGGGTCTCATTCTTCATATTTATTCCATAGTATCCACCAAAGCATCTCTCTTGTAAAATGTGGGTTCTTTATCAGCAGAGATTGCTGGACTTTTTTACCTCTGTAATTTCATGGTCAAAAACAACACTCTTTGTTGGATAGAAATGTGGATTGATAAATGGGTGGATGGATGAACTTGAATGGATTCTTAGCCTGCCTGGCTGTGAATATAGTTTTCTTAAATCAAGGCTCTAAAACAGTGAAAGGCACTAAGGCTCCGGTTGCCCTCATGTGTCTGGGAAACTGGTCCTAATACTGCAAGTTGTCCCTAATATGATCCTGGAACACCTCTGCATATTGGCTCTCTCACAGGTAAATGGGGCTGAAGATTGTGTTTTTTCCATTACAGGATTGCTGCAAAAACCACTGGTGCTGTGTTTTTAAAAATACGTTAAAAATACACCTTCAAGCCGGACATGATGGCTCACACCTGTATCCCAGCACTTTGAGAGGCTGAGTGGGTAGGTCACTTTAGGCCAGGAGTTTGAGACCAGCCTGGCCAACATGGTGAAAACCCGGCTCTACAAAAACATGCAAAAATTATCCTTAACTTACACCTTTAATCCCAGCTACTGAGGAGGCTGAGGCACAAGAATTGCTTGGACCCAGGAGGTAAAGGTTGCAGTGAGCCAAGATCACACCACTGCACTACAGCCTGGGAAACAGAGCAAGACTCTGTCTCAAAATAAATAAAATAAGTACATAAAAATAAAAATACACCTTCAAAATAGAGAAAAGTGTAAAAAGTGTGAATAACCATGGGGAGAAATATGAATTAAACAGAAATAGGAAAGAAAGAAAATTAAGAGAAAAACAGACTGGCATGGTGAAGAAAGAATGCTACACATACTTCACCTTAAGGGTTCTCTCATAAAGAGGTTGCCACACACGCTCAGGTGGAGGCAGCGTGGGGTTGTGATAAAACTGGGCTGGATCTGGTAGACTTGGCTTTGAGATCTGCTCCAGTACTCACTGTCTATGACTTTGGACGAAGTATATAAGCCCTGTAAAATAATGAGGCTTTAATTCCCGACCTACTTATTACTGGGACTGCTAGAGCCTGAACTGAGCTCGTGTATGAGAAAGAATTTTTCACACTGTAAAGTGAAGTGCTGAGGTAAGTTGATATTACCTGTAACCTGTAATTGACATTATATAACAGTTTACAGTAACCACTGTTAAGGTCCCTGCCTTTTCTCCATGATGCCCACAAATGAGTGTCCTGCTACCTCAAAAAAAAAAAAAAAAAGTTTTTTTCTGTCATCAAACAAAGGCTTTTCAAAGGCTTTTTATCCATTTCTAACACTCCACAGTAATAAATTCTCTTGCCTTTTCCTGTTTCCAAGCCAGGTGCTCGTTGGTGCTTTCTCCCTCATCTTTCACACAGCTTTGTCTGGCAAAGAATTGTCACAGCAGTTCATTAATCTTACCATCTCCTGTGTGGCAGGTGGTGGTCCATTTTTTTATTTCTCTTTTGAGGATAAAGTGCAGAAAGGTAAGGGGGGGATTAAATGAAATATACCAGGTCACTCTGTAAGTCATTAGCAAAAAAAAAAAAAAAAAAAAAAAAACTAATATGAGAGATCACTTCACCAGCCTGAAAGTTGGGACTCATGACCATTCATTCACTACAACTTTGAAATTTTCTGATTCCAAAATATTACAGATATTCCTTTTTTTTTTAGAGGGAGATATTTTCTTTCATTGCTTATTGGTGGTTCATTTAGAAAATCATTCTAAAGACTTCTGTTTATCCAAACATGATCTCTTCAATCTTTTATTGGAACTTGCACCCAGTGACATTTAATTTTATCTAAATATGATATTTTCAATCTTTTATTGGAACTCACAACGAATGACTTTTAATTTTGAGCAAACAATATTGTTGTCATTGGGAGCATATTAGTAGTGCTTGTAAACTTATAAGAAAAATGTTCTATCATTAAAATCAATAAAAAGATGCAGAATTATTGCTTCCGTTTTTCCTCTACCACCAATGTGTTTTGTTCTGTTCTGTTATGGTATTTTTAGAAATATTTAGATAAGTATGAGAAAGGAAACCAATGTTTCAAATTTCCAATCATTTTGATATGTTAGTCTCTAAAAAAGTAAACTGGGCACTGTTATTTCTAATTTTTTTCTTTGTTTGAAAAATAAATATGAAATTTAGAGGAATCAAATAATTTACTCAAGACTACCAGGCCAATCAAGTTATTAATCTGGTATTTAAATTGGTATCTTTCAGGAACCAAAATCACAGTTCCCTCCAATCAGAAATAAGCATCCTTT
This sequence comes from Homo sapiens, assembly GCF_000001405.40. Taxonomy (NCBI): domain Eukaryota; kingdom Metazoa; phylum Chordata; class Mammalia; order Primates; family Hominidae; genus Homo; species Homo sapiens. The sequence goes on along the minus strand of NC_000003.12, from coordinate 35,063,573 downwards.
CTTGCTGGATTAGCCAGAACTCTTTGAATTGTAATCAATAGAAAGCCCATTTAAGTTGAGTTAAACCAATACAGGAAATTATTGGAAAGATACTGTGGTATTTTTTATAACCACTGCAGTCAGGTGACAAGCTGGGCCTCTGGCTTGAGTGCTAAGAGATGCCTTATTTTTTTGTCTCTCATTTCTGCTTTTCTCTTCGGGCCCACTTAAATATCTCAGAATTCTTCCTTCTAAATGGAAATAAAAATAATAAAGAAGAGTTTTACGAAGCTCATGCTTAAGGCTTTATCACCAGAGAATGATAAGATTTTAAGCCCTAGTTCAAATGTGGAAAAATTCGGAGAATATTTCTGGTCTGTTTTGGTCCCATACTGACTTCCGAACAAGACAGGTACAATGATAGTAGTGCAAATAAGAATAAGTCCAAAATGAACATGTGTGTGTGAGTGTGTATAAATATGGCAAAGGTCAAACAGACACTCACTACAATCATTTTTAGAGTCTAAATTATGGCCAAAGGAACAGACCAATTACATTTCTTTGTCTCAAACTTTTTACACCAAGGTAAGAATAGATTTTGAATTAAACTTAAATATTAATGAATTTTCTTTTAATACATTAGTTCTAAGTACACAAAAATTTTGTGTTGATGAATGGAAACACTTGTCTCAGTTAAGTAATCAAATGCACTTTTTGTTTGAATTATCTGAACATTTACCTAAAACAGTAGTTTGTTCTACTTATAACTGCATCATCAGACAAGTATGTATGAGTACTCAGCCCTATTTGCCAATTAAATTTTTCTGCACTGTTAAGATATGTTCTTACTATACAAATGTTCAATATTTTCCACGTTGGTTTCAACAACACTACAATCAACATACCCATTTTAAAGTTCCAATTTAACCTTATACTTTTTGTGCAAGTTTCAATCTGAACTAAAACGATATCATTGTAATAACAGTGCTATTATTTCTGGTATCCCATAGTAGAGGTACAATTATACTTGTTAACAATCTGGAATGCTTTTAAGAGTCCTGTTAGGAAAGCAAATCACTCTGGAGTATTAAATATGTCTCTAATCTATTTTTAAATTACTGTCTAAATATAAACAAAGGAGAAAAAAAATACCTTCAGTCTCTATGTGGTTCCCTAGGGTCAAACACCCTAAACAGGAAGAGGAGCGCTTGGTGCTGATAGCTTTTCCACAAGTATGCTTTGTCAAAGTTCATCCTATTCAGTCTGGAAAATGATAATTAACGGATTTTGTTCCATTGTCCTATCTGAAGTCCTATGGACCTGCTTGAAACAGGCATTCTTCACAGGAGAGTTCTGTTTACCATACCTTAATAATAGCTTGGCATTTTCAAAAGAAAACTCACAAAAAGAAAAAGAAAATACTGCTGTATGGAGAAAAGATGAAGTTGTTGTCAATATAAAAGCGTAAAAATCAGGAAATACTTCAATATTGAAGCAGTGCACAGCTTTTTTTTAAATGCCTTCATACAAAATAATGATGCCTCAAGCATTCTGAAAAGGAATCCTGAGTGGACAAATCTTTTATCTATAGTGAACTTTCATGATAGCATGAACCTTATGAGTCTCACAATTCTAAATTACATGCAGTGTCATTTAAAAGGGGATACATCCCAGCTAATTTTGAGGTATATGGAGTATTGCTCTGCTAAGGCATTCACCAGAAACTTCAGGCAGTTCTACAGGATTAGAAACTCAAAATGCCAGCCATCATCACATCTTTGGTGATCAGTAGGTATTTATTACACAACAGGTGGAGCTTCAGGACATTTCCAGGTCACAAAATGGCACCTGAATATCCTCACCTCTTAAAAACATTCCCAGAAACATAACTGGATTAAGGAAGTCTTATATTCCATGCATACTTTTTTAAGGCTATTTTTATATCTACCTATCTCAACGTGGAAACAAAATAAACAGAAAACATAGGTTTCCCTTGTGATTTATAAAGGCCAAATCTTTCAAACACCCTTCTAATAAAGTTTCCAAGCTTTCATTTAAGTGATGGATGTATGTATTTAATTATTCACAATGATGAATGATAACATTGAGGTACAGGAAATGATGATTCCTTGACTTAAATGTGCCTTATGGAGTTTTGAGACTAAAAACTATGACATTCTCAAATATTGCCAAAGGCAACTTTCAGTAGAAAAATGACTGGTAAATTATTTTCCTATCTCCGGAACAGATATACTGGGGCATGATAGAAAATATAAGTTGTATATTAGAAATCACCAGTTTCAAAAATGAGCCTTCTCTATTCTAGACAACAATGAACACTGATGATTTGAGGATATATCAGTAACCATGGAGAGTAACAATTCACATTTGTATAGCACTTTAGTATTCTCAACGCATTTCCTGTTTGCTATTGAATTTAATCTTAATAATGATACTCTACGACAGGCGTTATTAGCCCATTTTTTATATGAAGAAACTGAAATTCAGTACATTTAAAGAGAAAAGTAGTATATAATAGGGAAAAGATATGGAAATGGGAAAAATAAATATAAAGGGGTAAATTCTAGATTTGTCACTAAGTATGTGAACTTATTACTTAAAATCTCAGGCTATGATTTCAATATCTGAAAATGATTATAATAGCCATTCACACAATTTTGTTGTTATTCTTAGATAACCTTGCAAGCAGAGTGCTCTGGCCTTGCTACAAATTTTTTCCCCTAGGGGAGAGGTAGGATAAGGAGTCAAATCTTACTCAGAGAGAAGATTTCATAGTTCATATGAAATATTGTAGGCAGGCGTAGATATGACCTAGGAATCTTCTTATACAAACTAAGTCCCTCACTGTTGGCCAGAACCGGATTGGTTCTACACTCCACAGGAATATCTCAAATATCCCTGCTTTATGGACCAGAGTCTCTAAGGCTTGTTTCCTAATATAAAGTGACCTAAAAGTCAAACATTCTGTCATATTCCAACCCATTGAAATTAAAATAATACAGCACTTATGTCCTGGTGATTGGTTGATGGATTGATTAATTTATACACTCATTAAATTAGATAACTAAGCCTTCACAGCATTCTATGCATTGTGTCCCACACTTACAAATTCTATGTAATTTAATTTCTCCAAAAATATGGTGAAGTGCATACTTTACCTGGTTCACAGAAGATAAATCTGAAAGTCTTCCTGAATTCTGGGACAGCTACAATATATTATCTCCTTAAATAATGAAGAACAGATCCTCCAAGGTAAATAGTTATTTGGTGCTCTATTGAAAGTTGGTCAACTTCTTTCAAGAGCTATGAGATTATGTGAATATTGCTCCTTTTAAAAGACACAAGTATTGTCAGCAATTCTGGAGAAGATAAAGAACATGTCAATCTCTAAAATGCCTAGTGCTCTGCAGACTTCTTGGGTATCTCATAAACCTGTTGTCAGTTGATTGGACACAGGGAACCTGGGACTTAGATAGGCTCAGATTGGCAAAGTAGGACATGCTGGCAGTTTCAGGATGATATGAGAGCATTTTGATTGTGCAGACGCATGTAACTTTTAAGAGAACATTTTATTATCTAACCTTGGAACAAGTAAATGGAAATAGAGAAGATTAAAATAGTCTATGGAGTATTTGCAAAGCAGCTTCTTTGCTGTGTTAAATTTTTCCTGGTCCCATTTGCAAAGGATCACTGGACTTTGGGGGAATATACATGTTTCTAAAATATGAACACATTAGAATTGGAAGAGACCTAAGAAAGCATTTAACCCATGACTCCATCTTGTAAATGTGGGCTGTGAGGCCTAGCACAGGTAATGATCTGTTTAGTTAAAACTAGGACCTTGGTCTACATTTTATTTTACTGGTCTCCTCTGAATCATTTTGGGAGATGAGGTAATATGCATTAAATAAAAAATAAGCAAAATCATAAATTATAAATGTTTTGTGTTCAGAATGAAGAGATGAGATTCAATACATTTTGCTGGACATTTTAGCATAAAAAGAAAAATTCTGAGTATTAGTTACAGTTATCCTAAAAGTAAAACATTAAGTTACCCTGCACCATGCTGAGAAATGTAGTAAGTGTTAAACATTCACAGAATAAATGATTTCAAAACCATATTTAGCTAAACTAAAAAAATATATATACTTTGGATAGTTCCTGGGCCAAATACTTATTCTACTTTTTTTGAGGGACTTGCTCAATAAATTATTAAAATGGCTAAGTAAATATATTTTTTATAATCTGATTATAATGCTCTGACATGTTGTAAAATGACCACTTGGGCAAAGAATAACTGCAATTATGAGTTCTTTGAAAAGTAAATTACCCTTACCTATTCAGTGAAATGGGATTTTTATTTTTAAAAAACCACTTGGTTAGCTTGGTTCTAGTTGCTGAATACTCCAGAAAACTGCATTTGAAAAGTAAATTATATAGTTATGACTTAATTAATTAGAAAGCATTTAATCTTTTCTCTCCTACCTGTAATGCAGTATTTTCCAAGTTGTGTTTCTTTTCCATGGAGACTAACATACTGAGAGATTTTTTATAACTTTGTAATGGAATAAAAGAAAAAAATTCCATTATCAAATAAAAATTGGAACACTTTTATAATATATTTTAATAGATTCACAATGCACTTTACGATTGCAGGAGCTCTTATAATTTTCTCTTATAAAGACAAATTAATTTTCTTTAACCTTACAAGTGTATCTCATCTCCCTCCACTATTCTCTGTGAGCATATTTATCAGTTATCATCCCTCACCTGGATGATGACAGCAGCACCAGCATTCATCTCTTCACTTTTATTCATATCTGCAATTATATACACCAAAGCCAACATTTACAGACATAAATCAGGCCTTTTTTTTTGCTTAAAAATTATTTAATGGTTCAACCAGTTTTTATTATATTTCAGATAAAATGATATTTTCACCAGGTCTTCAAGAATCTATGACCATGGACCTCACATTTGAGCCATGCATCAGAATTATTTGAAGGGCTTGTAAAAACAGATTGCTGGGCAACATTGCCAAAATTTATGACTCAGTAAGTCAAGGACAGCTTGATAATTTGCATTTATGGTAAGCTACCAAGTGATGCTGATGATTGTAGCCCAGGAACCACACTTTGAGGAACACTATCCTATAAGTTTAGGTTTCTCCTTCTATTCCTTATCTGGTCCCCTGATTGCTGCCCCCTATTACTAGGATACAGCCACGCTGGCCTTCTTCCAACCACATTTTTCCTCCTGAAATTTCTTGCCCTACATATTGACATGGTTAGCTCCAAGCTGTCTTTGAATTGCAAGACAAATATCACATCTTCAGACCCATATTTCTTAACCACCCTTTCTATATTTGCTCTCCTACCAGAGGCCCTAGAAACTGATTTTTATCATATTGCTCTGTTTTATTAAATTTATAGCATTTCTAACTCTGAAATTGTTTTATTCTTGTCAATCCCACTAAAATATACTACCTGTGAGAGCGTGGACTTTATCTGTCTTTCCATTCTGTATCTTTAAAGCCTAATTTAGACATAAACCCTTATTATCAATGAACATTTATTATCAGATAATAAGATAGTAGTTTAGAAAAAAAGTCTGGGAATTGTTACCTCTACTTGGTGGGAAGCTAGTACTGACTTAACATTTATAGCTGCAAAATTAAGGAACAGTCCAGAAAACATGCTCATTTCTGACACCAACCACAGAATTCTGGGGTCCTCAAGACCAGCCCCATATTGAATAATTTGCTTAAAAGACTCACAGAAGATATTCAAAGCTGTTATACTCTCAGTATGATTTGATACACTAATACAATACAGATTAAAATCAGCCAAAGAAAAAGTTGCCTAGATCAGAGTCCAGGAAAATTTCAAGCATGGAGCTTCCAGTTGTTCTTTCCCCATGAAGTCATGGACAACAATAACTCCTCCCAGCAATGATGTGTGCCTGTATACTTGGGTATTGTTGAGCAGTGAAGCTCACCCAAGACAGTGTCTGGAGTTTTCACTGGGTCTTGATTACACACACGAGTGGCTTTCCATATGGCTGAACTTTAGTCTACAACTCTTCCCAGAGGTACAACAGATCCCATCATAAATTGACTATCTAATGTGCCTCAAGGCTGCCATGAAAACAAAGATACTTTTACCAGGCAAGATGTATCAAGGATCTAGAGATCACCTCCCAGGAGCCGAAGGCAAGGGACCGAACTTTCTTTGCATAAGGTTAATTCTGAACTACTCAGTGGCTCTACAAATGGAATAATAACATATGTATGTCTCTTCAGCATACAGAAATACTTTTGAAAAAGTTGTTTACCATTCTTTTACATGTTCGTTCATTTACTTGTATTATATACTAAGTTGAGTCTCTTTTCTTCAAAGAGCTCAGAATCTTATAAGGAAGACAAACATGTAAACAACTGTCACAAAAGAAATGAGACGTTTTGTAGAGTTGAATAGGGACTAGTTAACTTAGAAAAGGAGGAATTTGGAAAGAGAGAGAGATATCATGAAACTGGGTCTTCCAAATTGTGTGGGAATTTTGGATTTTAGCTTTATTATCTATGAACTGAAGCAGAGATTATCGAGTTGATATCTGCAGTAATGCCCTCCAATTCATTCACACCTCTACTTGAACATGTGGCTTGCAGATACTTGAAAAGTACTTGCTCATTTTGCACTTTTTTTTTTCTGTATTCTGAGGATACCATGAAAGAAGTATACACTAACCCACTAGAAAATAAAAGGCTACAAGGAGGAGAACAAAGTCTCCCTGGCTATTAGCCTCTCAAACACCAGATGTATGAGTGAGGCCAATTTACATCATTCATTCATCAGCTCACCTCCTAGCTGACCACAGACAAATCAGTAGAAATCAGCCAAGGGGCCAGGACCAGGAGAATTAGTCACCCAACCCACAGACTTGTGAGAAGAAGAAAATACAGTTGTTCTAAGCCACCAGTTTTGTGGTGTTTTATTATTCAACAAAAGCTACATAGATGCAGACTACATGTTAAGATAGTTACTCTTACATCATATAGGATATAGAGTCAAAATCGTCTATATTTCTAGGGCCAAGTTTATTTTAGCCTGTGCAGGTGACGAGGGTAAGATAGGTCAAAACATTTTGGGGGTTCTTATTTCAGGAAAAATATCAATTACAAACTAAGAATAAAAATTAATGATATTTTGTGCCCAGTTGTTTCTTTATTGGGTCATAGCACCCTACTCAAAATGTGCCCATATCTGAAAGCAAGTAACAGGAGTATATTAAGAAGTCCAAGAATAAGGCTGGGCGTGGTGGCTCACGCCTGTAATCCCAGCACTTTGGGAGGCCGAGGCCGGCGGATCACCTGAGGTCAGGAGTTCGAGACTAGCCTGGAGAACATAGTGAAACCCCATCTCTACTAAAAATATTAAAATTAGCCGGGCATGGCGTGAACCCCGGGGGGCGGAGCCTGCAGTGAGCCGAGATCGCGCCACTGCACTCCAACCTGGGCGACAGGAAGACTCCGTCTCAAAAAAAAAAAAAAAAAAAAAAAAAAATTAGCTGGGCATGATGGCGCATGTCTGTAGTCCCAGCTACTCAGGAGGCTGAGGCAGGAGAATTGCTTGAACCCCTAAGGCAGAGGTTGTGGTGAGCCAAGATCACCCCACTGCAGTCCAGCCTGGGCAACAGACCGAGACTCCCTCTCAAAAAAAAAAAAAGGTCCAAGAATAAAATATTTTCATAATACTATACAGAATATTGCTTAGTTCCATTTTTCATATCTAGCTATTGTTTTATCTCAGTAAAATGCTCCAGTTATAAATAAGAATGCAATAATCAGAAGGCAATTAGAAACATTGTCTTTCTAACTCATAGCTTGTTTTGCAAAGCACATTAATTAAATTATTTAAAATTCACACACTGTTTCCAGTTTCACTCTTAAAATGTTTTCTAACTCAATCAGAGCCTACCTGTAAAGAAAAGCACAACAGAACTTGCTTGAGAGGGAAAAAAAAAATATTTTGGTGTTATATGTGTTGAATAAGAAGAAAATAGTAAACATTCTGCAGAAAACAGTTTCCAGAGAAATCTTGGAGTCTCTAGAGGTACCTCAGATAAATCTCAAGTAAGCATCAAACTTTTAAAGAATTATCTAAGGCAAACTGGAAAATGAAACCCTGAGAGAGTTTCCCCAACTTGCCTCACTCTTCTTCAGGTGTATCAGGATCTGCTGATATCTTGCCTTTTGCTGAGATGCTGACTTGGATTTTAAAATGAGACCTGCTCCCCAAAGCCCGAGAAAGGGTAGAAATAAAGGCCTTCTGCAAAACAAACTTGATATGAGAGAGATTTCCCTGTGGCTTTAAATACATTGTGGAGACCAAAATAGGTCTCTTTGAAATCAACATCTACCTAATCATTTGCCGTTTGAGATTTAGTGACCAATTGCTGTTGTCAATGTTGTCATAAATGTGGAACTTCTGAACTTCATTTAACAATTTTTCTTTTAAGGGAGGCTTGAAATGGCATACTGATTTGATGTGGTGGTTTTTGATGATTACAAAGAATGGCTATTTTCAGCCTACTTGTATTTCGAGTTCCTTGTAGGAACAAATGCTCTACAAGCCCATTCTCTTTCCGTTTTGACCTCAGGTCTTTCGTGCAGATGTATGTGCTTGTGTGAAATAATTCAAGCTACAGATTAATGAATTTTGATTAAAATTAAAATATAGCCCAATATCTTGACCATGTGGTTTTTAATAACTAGCAACTCTCTTTCCTGTCAAGAATGAGATGGGCAAGTATAAAAAGGTATTTACATTCTATTGAATGTTATATATCCAGCACTTTAGAAAGCTTCTTAATCCTTCAACAATTTGGTGAAAAAATATTGTAATCAGAAATAATCAAGGCAAGAAACATCGTAGATTAAAAAAATATGATTGAGACCATATGCTTGAAAAGAAATACAAATACCTGATTACTGTAAATACCTTAATTCTAGAACAATACCTTCCAACAATTTCACTAAAGCTTTAGACAGTGAGTAATCATTAATAACATCCATTTTTAATATTGAAAAGAAGTAATAGTATAAAAAAAGCATATCTGTGGTTAGTCTATTCAAAAAATATAAAATATAATACACAATTATATACAAATTAGCAGGTATTAAAAAATAAAAGGAAAGATACATATATGCAACATATTTAGAGGTCATTTATTTAAAATTACTGTTTTTTAGAATACTTTTGACATTGTATTTGTTCATAGGTTAGATTTTAGTGCTTATATTTTCTCCTAATTTATTATTTTGTTTTTTAACTTTTTATTACATATATGTACATAAAATGCACAAAATCATAATTGTAAAGTTTGATAAACTATCATAAAATGAATATACCATTAAAACATCACCCAAGTCAAGAAAGAACATTACCCATATCCCAGAGTCCTTCTTGTAACCCCTCTAATTTCTACCTACCTTTTCCTATCTACCTTATACTACTATCTCATACCTAAGCTTTGCTTGTTCTTGAACTTCACAATAATGAAAATAGGCCATATGAGTTCCTCTGTTTATGGATTCATTTGCTTGACATTGTATTGGAGAAAATCTATCCATGTCGTCATATGTAGCTTTAGTTTATTTTTATTGTTGTATTTATTCATTGTATGCTGATAAAATTTTTCTTTCACAAATATTTTGGTACATAAACACACATGTGTATATGTATATATACATATATAGAATTTATTAGAAATATACATAGATGTGCAAACATTGGCTTTTAGGGCATTGATGTGTCCAAACTTAATAAACAATGCCTAAAATTTTAACAAGATAGTTGTGCTAATTTATATTCTTGCCAGCAGTGTATAAGGGTTCTAATGTTCCATTTCCTTATGAAAACTTGGTGTGGTCCATCTTTTTCTTTTAGACTTTCTAGTAGGTACATGGTTCTACTTGTTTATATTTAAATTCCTACTTTTAAAAAATAGAGAATGGTGAAACCTCATCTCTATTAAAATTACAAAAAAAAAAAAATAGCTGAGCATGGTGGTGGGCACCTGTAATCCCAGCTGCTTGGGAGGCTGAGGCAGGAGAATTGCTTGAACCCAGGAGGCAGAGGTTGCAGTGAGCCAAGATCTCACCACTGCACTCCAGCCTGGACGACAAGAGTGAGACTCCATTAAAAAAAATAGAGAATATTTTTTCTCTATTTGTATTGAATATTTGGATAAAGATAATTTTTCTGAAGAGCCTGTTAAAAATTTCCTACCATTTTTTTTATTGAATTGTTTTTATTTATATTGAATTGTAGGAGTCCTTTATGTATTTTGGAGTATGAGCTTTTTACTTGATAACATGTGCTTTAGATAGCATCTCCCCCTCAGTGGTAGATGATGAGTTATAAGGAAAATTTGAAACTCAGATCAAGTAGAGTCTTGAGGGTAATAGTAATGTCTTAGTATTATATTACTATTCCATCAAGTATGATGGAAACAACATATTTGATCATGGGAACAACATAACCTGACTTGCAGTTTTAAAAAATTGTTGCAGCTACTGAACAGAATATACAGTTTAGGCAATATAAAGTGGAGGCAGAGAAAGCAGATATGGTGTAGTGGTTCTCTGACTTCTTTTACCAGGGGTAATTTACACTTTGGTTCAAAAATCCACACCTTAATATTTAGAGCAGCTTTATTCATAATTGGCAAAAGTTAGAGGCATCCAAGATGTCATTTAATATGTGAATGGATAATCAAACTGTGGTACATTCATGTAATGTTATTTATAATAAAAAGAAATGAGTTATCAAGCCATAAAAAGACAGGGGAAATTTAAATGCCTATTGATAAATGAGTTAATGTGTTTGAGCAGGTGAATGAATCAAAGTGTAAAAAAAACGCTTTGAAAAGATTGTATACTATATGATTACAACTACATGACAATCTAGAAAAGGCAAACTCATGGGACACTAAAAGACCATGATTGTCAGGGATTGGCAGGGTGCTGGGGTCAGGATCAGAAGCTGAGGAGAGGGATGAGTAGGTCAAGAATAGGGGATTTTTAGGAGAGCGAGAGTATTCTGTATTCTGATGTAATTAATGCTGGATATATGACATTATGCATTTGTTAAAACCCATAGACTATACAACATGATAGTGAGCCTTAATGTAGGCTGTAGACATTAGTTAATGTGTCAATATTAGTTCACCAACTGCAACAAATGTATCGAATCAATGCAATATATTAATAATAGATGAAACTAAGAAAGTGGGAGAAGGAATATATAGGAACTCTTCATTTTCTGTAAACTTATAACTGCTCTAAAATAAAGTATCAATTTTAATAAAAAGGTATGTGTATATGTGTGTTTACAGTTATATAGTCATATATGCATGAAGACAGATATCTAGATAGATAGGTAGATAAGTAAAGACCATAGACAATTTCAATAGACAAACATTTAGTTGGTAAAAATACTTGAAACAAGATAAAATTAATGTCTATAATATACTAAGTATTCTAACAAATTTGTGCTAAATTGATAAAAATTTAATGAAAAAGAGAAGATGTGAATATACACTCCAAAAAAAAAGAGAAAAATCCAATGGTCAGTAAAGATTTACAAAAATGTTTAATCCCACCAGTGAAAAAGGAAATGAAAATTAAAACAATAATGAAAGAGCAGTTGAACCCATCTGATCCACAAAAGTTAAGAGTGCTAGCATCTACTATTGAAAGTGATTGGAAAAATGGGTTCTCTTATATCCTGTTGGAGGAGAAACAATTGATACAGACATTTGAGAAAGCTATCTGGTGATATCTATTAAAATTAAGAATGTATCTATTTTTAAAATCCAGGAATCTCATCCATGAAATCTAGGCCTCAAAAGCAAAGTGTACAGAGTCAAAATAATATAAAATATGTTTAATATATGGAAAGGGATAAAAACAAGATATGCAATTTTCTTTTGCTAAGGAAATTGTGGAATAAATTGTTTTATGGTTCTAAACTAGCTGTAGATTTGTAGAAGTATTACATAGAAGTATATGATCCTAACTAAACAATGCGGAAGACCTTGCACAAATCAGCATACTATTACATAACTGTGGGAAAATTGTGTATGGATATACACCAGGTTACCATTAGTTACAGGGAGAAGGGACGCCATGGATAAATGGAAAAGGTTAGCCACTTCCACACACACAAAAGTACACTTAAAAAGATTCTATATTCATAAATAAATATATATATATATAAGCTTATTTCCCCAAAGAGATACGTGAGAGAATAGGCATAAAAATATTAATGGCAGTTGTATCAGGAATGTGGAATTTCTGGAGATCACTTCCTGACTGATATTTTTCAATCACTGTTAATGTTTACAATTATAACTAAAAATATTATAAAAGTATTAAAAATACACCAAATATGACTAATTTTGTGATAAAATATATACAATAGGCCTAAGTAGTTTTTTGAATTTGAAAGTAAAAATACAAACACACTACCAGCAAAAATAAAAGTGCTGCTGCTGCATTTTTATTCAATCATGTGACTAAAAGTATCTCTACTTTTCTAAAAAATTATTTTACTATATTGAAATACTATTTTATAATATAAGTTTAATTTTTCTTAAAATACATATTTATGAAAGAATCATAAACTCATTAAAGCCTGTGATAAGTTGAAAATTATGATTGTGAAATTTTATTGTGTATTTACAGTATTTAGTGTGGACTGGAGGACTACAGCATAGGTACAGAATGAGTAAGACATAAATGTATACTTTCCTGCATGCATATAATAAGTTGCGTACTATTGCACCGTATTCCAATTAACGAACAGTCAAGAAGCGGTTGGTTAATGGTACAGTAACTTCCTTGAGGCAGTCTCGCTGGAGTTTAGAGAAACTGAAGTATTCTGGTTGGCTCCAAACGTTATTTCCTTTTAGAGCTTTTAAAACTAGCCTCATCACAACCTCCTAGAGGTGCTTAATGGCAATAAGAAGATTCTTTCTCCTCAGAGATCTGAACATAAACTATGGAGCCCTTTCATGATCGCCCCTTGCCTCATCAGGGGTGTCAGATGAGGCCAGGTCTTGAGAGTTGTGGGCACCAAATCCAATGGGTCACTCCTGTGTACCCCCAGGTTTGATAACCCAACTCTGCCCCTCACGTTCTCTAACCAATGTTTAGTTTGAGATATTTCAGTGCTCCCTTTCACTCCTTCAGCTCTCCAAACCTGGGCTGCCAGTTCTATATATTAAACCTCCCCTGTTTAAGACACTTAAAATTTTATTGTATTTCTCACATATACTTAATTATATTATCTGGAAAAAATAATAAATGCATATGAGAAAGCACACTATTAGTTCAAGGAAATAAGAGATTAGCATTCCCCAAGATGCAGAATCCCAAAGTAAGAAAGTAAAGTGGTGACAGAATTGACTTCACATGTATCATATGAATTGTAAAAATTTCCAGAAGAGTGTGATGTATGACAGATATCGCAACTGTCAACATGACTCTCACTACCATATAACCTGAGAAAACTCATGACAGCGCTAGGGGAGTCCATTGTCCCGTGAGACAAATTAGGATTTGAGTTATAGCTTTTGTATAAGTGGTGACATTTCAAGCTATATATATATATATATATACACACACACATACACACACATATATATGTAAACCTTATATTTATGTACATATGTTTAAGCATAAATAACAAATAACCAACCTGCGCCCTGACTTTCAAAACTCTGAGATCTGCTGAATTAATTAATTAATCAATTAACATGTTTTTAATGTCCTCAGGAAATCCTACTGAGGACCTCAGTTTAGATTTCTTGTATGTACTATAAGCACAATTCTAGCTTTGTAGCTTTGTGAGTTGAATAAGTATCTGTATTCTCTTAGTCTCAAAAGAATACCAGTGTTTTATGTGTGGTGGGGGGGGGGCATGCATTTTTTTCCCAAAAGAGTATAAAACATTTTAAAATTCAGCTATCTCCAGATAGCTGTAAACACATATGATTTTTTTCTGGCTGCTTTCATGTGGTTCTGTGTAGTTGTGTACCTGTCATTAGTTTCAAATGGTTTACATATTCCAATTAATGCAATTTTATTGCATATAATCCTGAGGCTTTTCATAAACCAATGGCATTTTACAACTTGGCCAAATAAAAAAACATATAATGTTATAAACTTCTACTGTGTTTTGGCAAACACGGACATTCACACACTCGCTCTCAGTGCAATGAGCCCCACATAAAAATGTTTTATTAAGTACAGACTTTAAGTGTGTGGAGCTATGAGTCTATCAGTATTAGCTCACGTAGAGTCTTGTTTTGTTCAAGAGGTTATTGTGGAATGAAAAGAAGTGGAAGGAAAGACAGAGGCTGTCCTTGTGCAGAAGAATTTTGAGAAGCTCAAATACCACCCCTGCCATGGGAATTGGCCCAGAACAGGCAGACCAACCACTTAGTTTCTTCTTGTCCTTTTCTCTCCTCACTCAGTTACATCAGTTTTGTCAGCAGCATTTAAAGACCCTCAGGAAGCTTCAGCGTCTGGAAGCTAGAAACCTTTATATCTGTCAGTGTAAAAATTGACTTTTTACTATAGATATGAAGAGAATCATGATTAGAATGAGTTTATGATTCAACTCTACAGATTAGAATCAGGAATATAATGCCCTGTGTCTGTAACATCGCTTCCTTTGATTCCCTTTGTTCATTAGACCAAACATGCGTTGAAGTGTTGAGTTCCTAATCCATGTGAAGGCATCAATCCCTAAACTGGGATATATAAGTAGGGTAAATGTTGAGTAGGACATTAAACATGACCCTTGGAGCTCAGACAGGCAAAAAGACTTTTCAGGAGAAACAGAAACAGGCCAGAGCTTTTCGTTGCCATGTCAATAGAAATGGATTTAAATCCCAGGAGATTCTCAAATCACAAGCAATCTCTTTACTTTTTTTTTTTTTTTTTTTTTTGCCCTGGGATTTTTGATGAATACTGGGGTTTTGAGGGAAGCTGGGGTGTTTAACTGTGAAGGTGGAGAATCTCCTAAAATCTCATGAATCGTACAAGATAGACAAAAGGGCCTAAAGTAAACACAGAGGGCATTTTGCCCTCAAAACATTTGTAACTAAAAGTGAGTTAAATAAATAAGCTGCCACCAGCTCAACAAAGGTCAATGTTTTTGTTGGATTGAGATGATCAGCTTCTATTGTGTGTAAGTGATAGTAGAAAGGATGTGTAGTCTCTATGGGGAAATAAAAGGGACCTCAGGTCTGGCCCTTTTATACACAATATCCGGCACATAACAACAATACCAATAATAATTATAATAATAAGAACATATAGAGAAATAATAAAAAATGACTTAAATCAAGATAAATCATTTCAAACAAAATAAATCACAAAGAATTAACCTTTGGAATATATAAATAATGCCTACATATAAATAAAACAAATTATCTGAAGAGAAAAATGGACAATTGTCAAAAAAGGAATGGCAATTGTCAGAAAAAGAGTTCCACAACATATATGTGGAAAAAATGTTCAATATCATTAGAGAAGTGAAAAAACGTAGTTTTATATCCAGTAATTGTTATGGGTTAAATAGTTTAAATTGTTACAATTTTAAAAATACAAGCATTAGCAAGAATGTGAATCAGTCCAAACCCTTACTTTCTGCTGTAATGTCAACAGGTACAACTACTTTGGAAAATTGTTTGGCATCACCTAGCAAATGTGGCAATGTTCATATCCAATAACCCAGCAATAAAACTCGACAAAGTTTGAATATGTGCCCCAGGAGACATGTATAAGAATATTCAAAATGGTATTGTTTTTCTTAGCAAGGAATTGTTAACATCCAAGTGGTTATCAATAGAAGAATGGATTAATAAATTGTAGTACAATCAATTACTGAGCAGTATTGAAAACAAAGTGGGATGGGGTGGGGGGGCAGGACAAGAAACCTACTTCTTGACTCCATTAAGACAAAAGCCAAAATTGACAAACAAGTTGATAAATATTTAAGAAAAAATAAATAGCAGATAAAACTGTAAAGTATAAGATTAATTATAAGGCTAATTAACTATAAATTCAGGAAGATAAATATCTCTGGAGAGAAGGTGGGAAGACATAAGAGAGGAACACAAACAGACTTTCAGAGTCAATATTATTATCCCATTTCTTAAACAAGTAATGGATACACGAGCAATAATTTAGTTATTATTCTTTACACTGTGTCTTTTGCATTATAGATTATAAATGAATATTTTATATTTTTGAAAAAGAACTTCTTTGGATAGGTGTAAATGGGAATGAAGACAGCTTGAGGTGGCAATGTCAGTTTGGGTATCTGATTTCTAATCTGTACAAATCTGTTATGTGTGATCTGTACAAATAACAGATCTTCTGTATTCCTTAGTTGCCTTATCTCTAACATTGGATGTAATAATAGCATCAGTGTTTTCCTTTAAGATATTAAATTTGTTCATCACACAGCCTAACATGATTCCTGGCAAAGAGTACACACTTGCTATATATTGTTTTGCAAATCTGTGCCTGAACATATACAATATCACTACTTTATAAAGTGTTGCAAGTCATAAAATATAATGAAAGCCCCTTTCAATTTGTTTTATATGTCTATCCTAACCTGATGCCAAATTATTACAAGGATAACACAAAAACTCAAATGTATAAGCCAAATACAGACATGAACAGAATAAAACATACAAATAGACCTCTAATCAACAAATCTATATGTATATTTAAGGATTACTATATCAAGCAGGATTTATTTTAGGAATGCAAAGGTAGTTTAATTTCAGCAAATATTAAGCTATTCTAATACTTTAATAGATTCAGAGAAATTAAAGCACATAATGATTTCAATCAGAGGCCAAAAGAAATTAAACATTTGACATATGTAGCCAAAATTTATTTTACTAGGTAAAAAAAGGGAATTTTATATATTTCCTAATATCAAAAACATTTTCTACTAGAAATTTAATAAAATAAAAATTTAATGCTGAAATGACGATAGGTAGATATACAGATAAAGATTAAAGTGCATACATTCTGATCAAATTCAAATGAGGAGAAATATAACAAAAACTATTGCAACTACCTTTTTAAATTGCAATGAAGTGTATAGTAGATAGAAAATAGCAAGATAAATAAATACTATTAAACATTGGAGAAGTAGAAAAAATGTCACTTCAATTAATATGATTTTCTACATAGAAAATACACTCATTTAGGGATGTAGGTGGAAACAAAAAGGCCAACATAACTGAATCAAATCTTTCCTGGATGCCAGCTAAATTGGAAAATTTAACTGGAAAAGTGAGCCATTCGGAGTAAAACTAAAACTTTGGCCAATTCAGGAATGACTTAATTATAAATATGAAGGGTCTGTCATAAAAGCAAGGACCCTTTGATGAAAGAGATTAGCATAAATAGACATACCATATTTCTGGTTGCAAATTGTCACTACTGTTATTCAGGGTTAGGGTTAGGATACAGTTAGGGATGTCAATTATCCCCCCAATGAATCTTAATGTTCAGTTTAATTCAAAGTCCCAATAAAATGTTAAAAAATATCAACAACATCCTGGGATACTTTATGCTGGAGATGTCAAAAAGCAAACTTTTATCGTGATAAAATGATAAGAGACAGGGTTGACCTTTCAGGCTTTAAAATGTACTATAATTGCTATATACAATTTAAAATGTACTATAATTGCTATATACTATAATTGCTATATAGTTACTATATATAACTAAAAGTATTAGTGAAAAAAACACAAAACAGATACATAGAACATAATTGAGTTCAGAATTAGGCCCACTAGTTTATAGAAATTTAATTAATTATAAAAGTGAAATTTCAAATTATTATCAAAAATTTAGGGAAGTCATTAAATAGTGTTGACATGAAGTTTGACTACTGCACACATAGGCTGAAAAAGAGAGGTAGACTGATGACAGATAGGTAGATGGATATAGAGTAAAGAGAAGGTACAAATAAAAGTAACGCTGTGTGAATATATGGTAGTATTAAAGTATTTTAGGGGATAAAATACATGTAACTTGGTGATAGCAAAGTATTTTAAGATGCAGAATCCCAAAGTAAAAAAGTAAAGTGGTGACAGAATTGACTTCACACATATCATATGAATTGTAGAAATTACCATAAGAGTTTGACATATGACAGATGTGGAGACTTGTTTGTGACATAGATATGAAATACAAATTCATGTTCATAACCAGCAAAAATCTCTCTCTGGAATAAAAAATAGGAAAGGGGCATATAATATATGCAATTCGTCATTCACTTCTTACAAGACCATTTCCCTAATAACACAAATCACTTCTGCCTCCATCTTCCACTCTTTGAAAAGGTTTTTCCCTCCCCGTTTTATTTTTTATTGTAAATCAAAACACCATTCTACTATTTTCCCTATGAAAAGATTAAGTTGACAGTAACATATTGGGCATTATTATGAATCAATGTTCACAATCTCTCTCTCTTGTTCAGAATCTCTCTCTCTTCCACACACACTATATACATATATGGGTGTGTATGTATGTATGTGTGTGTGTGTCCACTGCCTTTGCTAAGGTTCTTATGCTAAAGTTAAGATATTGATTAGGAATAAATGATGACCCTGATATTTAAGATGGGAACATTTCAACAGATACAAATGAAGTCGAGAACTTTGAACTGAAAATCCTCCTCAATCTCCCTTGCCAGCAGAAGCAATTCCTCCACATTATATAGAAAACTAGCCATATACTGTATTGCATGAAGACATTTTAATGATCTTACCCAGGGCAAGTACTTCACAAGAGGATGCTATTTCACCTCTGGGCCCAAATGTGCTACCCTCTATTGCTTCCTGTGTGACAAAGTGACTTAACTGCCTACATTTGTTGTTGTCATTGGTTCCTCCCTGTAGCCAGGCCTGACACACAGCTCAGCAGAGGGCAAAGGTTGAGGCTGGGCAAGAAGCTGAGACATTTGGTGTTTCCCTCAAAGTTGGGGCTTGGTGTGCCAAAAAGTAGGAAGGCAGAAGAGCAGAGCAGAACCCAGCTGAAGTCTGCCTGGGACACAGCAACCTCAGATCAGAACGGGGGCAGGGTGGCAGATGGGATCTCAGGACCCAGGTGTGCTGGTTCACAGCTGTCCTCTGCACATGGGCTTTTGCAGCTGACAAGGAGGATGGCTTCAGGGAAGAAGAGCAGGAAAGGTCCTGGCAAAGCAAACTTTATTGTTTCCCTGTGGTCAGGCTCTTCTCACCAGGGCCTCCTCACATGGGAGAGTTGAGTGAGAAGAGGATCTTTTGTCACTTTCTCCAAAACACTCCCATTCTATTTAGACTCAGATGGAAGGGGCAAGGTAGGGGTACACCCCATGACCACAGCACAGCCCAAGGAAGGCCCACTCTGCATGCTGGTCTCACAGGCCCTCTCTTGATCACCGCAGTCAGGCAGTTCCTGGCTCCTTATTTCTTGGAACCTGGTTTCTTAGGTTTGAGTATGGGTTTGTTCTTTCTCACAGGGCTCTTGTCTTTAAGATGGATCTCAATCCTTTTTCCAGCTCCTCGCTCTTAGCAGTGTTGTCAGCTTCTTGGGTCCCCCACCTTTGACATGTTTGATAGAGGTTTCCTCCTTTAGAGACAACTATTCTCCCTCCTCCTCGTCTTCCTCTCCCTCCTTTTCTTCCTCTTCCCAGGTTAGGGCTAAAGTTTCATAACATCTTTAGTCACTGAAGAACAGGGATTTGGAGCAGCTCAGAGTTAAAAAGTGATTGGAGGAGAAACAGAAAAAATTATATTCAGCTCCAAGAGGAATCCAGGGAACACACTGGTGGAAGTTAGATCTTCAGTGTGTTAGACCAGGGATTCAGGACCTGGGAGTGAATCTATAAGTTTTCTCGGTATACTGAACAAGACTGAGAGACCAGAACTTCTCTAGTATAAAACAGAGAAAGAAATTAGAATACACAGGACAGTAGGAATGTTGGAATAGACCTACCTCTCAGGGAGTTTGAAGAAAACTGTCTTTACCAAGGCATTATGAAAAATTCTCATGAAGGGAATACCAGCATCCTTCGTAAACCTCTATTGTAGTTGGTTGTCTTCTGTAGTTGCTTCAGTCTAGGTATAAATGGGGCTTGCCTTTCATCATTACAAATTTGAGTTCCATATTTTACTGAGAATAATATGATCGTTAAGTGGCAAATGCCAGACAGAGGCACTTAATTATTCCTGGCAAGGTGGCTGCCATTACTGCAATAATCCACAAGGACAGAGTAGTAATCAAAGTGTTTTGACATTCAGTAATATGTGACAGTGACTAATTTTTCACAGGGCCTATAGGAAGAAAAATAAATGAGTAGCCTTCTAAGATGTTATTTATTCTATGTAATCAGATAAATCCTAGATCTGTAGAGTTAAACCTGATTTGAATCTCCATAGTTACTGAATAAGATTGGAAAATCAGTGCCTGGGAAGTCTAAGGAAGAAGTACGTACATGTTCCTCTTAGAATGGAAATAGAATAAGTATATATTTGTGCACCATAAAAAGGCTCACAGGTCACATTCACTGTGGCTCGGGCTATAAATAACCAGATGAACAAGAGGACTTTATCCTGGGGTTGTCAGTAAACTTCTTTTTTCAGTCAGCTCAATGTTTACTTAATGGACTTATGAACAAAGTGTCCATTTTGGCAGCCATGGAGGCTTCATGTAGGTTCAACAACATGAAATCCCCCTCCACCATAGCCGATCTGACTGCTGCACCTGCTGAGTATCCAAATTGCCAATAACACAGGTCAACTTCAAGCACTGATATGGCATTGTTCCCAGGAATGGTGAGGGAAGAGGAGGAATCAGCCAGCCACCTAGTGATAGGTTGATTACATTGGACCTTTTCCATACTGCAGAGAATAGCAATCTGTCCTTATAGAAATAGATATGTATTCTGAATGCAAATTTTTCTTCCTTGTGCATGATTTTTCCATCAGCCCCATCTCACCCTGACAGAATGATTTCATCTCTGTCACAAAATGATGCTCAGTAGTACCCTCCACTATTTCACAATGTTGGACAACATCATTTTACAATGGAAGTAGGCAAGAAGCTTAAGACCTTTGGCATTTATTGATCTACCATGTGTCCCATCATCCAAAGGCAATTGGCTTTCTGCAATGGTGAAATGGCCTACTGAAGGAAAAGTTCTAGTACCAGCTGAGAGATACCACCATGTAAGACTGGGATTCTATTTAAATAATGTGGAATATTCTTGAAAAGAGTGACAAATATATCATAAATTCCATATAGTAAGAATATATGAATCCACCTATTCAGGGTTGATATAGGAGTGGCCCTACTCATCTAATAATGAATTTACAGAATTTTTGCTTCTTTTCCTAAATCCATGAACTTGGTTAATTTAGAATTCCTAGTGCCTACTTCCTAAGAAAGGAATATTTTTATCAGAGAACATGTCCATGGTACCCCCCAAAATTGAAGTCTGAGAATATTAATCTGCCAATTTGGTCTTCTTATGCTATTGAACTCTTACTCATAGTAGAAGTCTGAGGTGAACGGTTCCATTTGTCAAAGGGAATCGCACTGTTGCTACACAATAGGTGCAAGAAAGATTTTTTTGGAGCCCAGGTTATTTATGTGAGGACATTTAGAACTTTAACATTATTAACTGATGCCCTAGTAAATCACCTCAGTGATTATCCTGGATTATATTTGCTATTTAAATCTTTTGGGTAGTAATCTGCTCATGAGTATTTCTTTATTAAAACATCTATAAAAATTGAACAATTATAAATTCTGAATAGAATTACATACAAAATCTTATGTGAACAAGCAGGAAAGGAAAGAAAAGAAGTAAGGTTTTAATCTGAGCTTTAAAATACAAAAAAAAAGTGTTTACAAGGTAAAAAACAAAGTGTATGACAATAAAAAAACATAGAAAAATAAAGTGGTTGAGGTAGACAAGTTGTTCGATATGCCCCAACCATTGTATGTTTACAATAGCAGATGGGGTGGACAGGTAGGTCTAAAGCCTTCTGTTATACTCTCTGGACTACATCCTGAAGATGATAAAGAATCATGCAGAGAAGTGACATGATCAGATATGCATTTTAAAAAGATGTTTGGAAGCAAGCACCTTGGAGGATAATAAATATTCATTGAATGAGTAAATAATTGGAGGAATAAGAATACAAAGAATACAGCTAGGAGGTTATTAAAATTGCTCAAGGAAGAGATGCCGAGAGCTGGAAAAACATTCTACAGTATATATATTTATACATTATCAAATCTATATCCAGTCTTTTATGGCCTTCCATTAGGCATAAAATATGGTGGGTAATGCTGGAAATGGTTGTCAATTCCAGATTCTCCCATGCCATCTTTCAAAGAATACCTATGTAAGAAGAGCATCTACAACTTAAAACAGAAAACAAAAACAAAGGTAAAAAGGAGATTTTACCTCTATTCTAACTTTAAAAATACAACGATAAACAGTTTACTTTTCTGTCCAAATGTTTGATGAAATTAATTGCCAGCACTGTCTGCACTTAGATTGGTCAAATGCTACTCAAAACTAGCAGCATTATTTTTTGTAGTAAATAATATCATTACCATAATATTGGCTAGTAATACCTACATATTATTGAAGTATAGGTTCTAGGCAGATAGTTCAAAGAATCGAAAGGTCATAGAATTACTCATGTATGGCAATGTGAATTGCAGCTACACTGACACTTTTTACCCTTGTGAACACATCTACTGTGAAGTCTAGGGAAAAGTCATTTGATTTTATCTTATGTTTGGCAGAGATAGGGGGTGAATTAAGATGGGCAACAGCAATATTTATTTTCTATTATCATCAATGCTTTTTTATCTTATGTTTGGCCGAGATAGGGGGTGACCATCATAATTTAAGATGGGCAACAGCAATATTTATTTTCTATTATCATCAGTGCTTACCATGATTATATTTCAACAGCATGCTGATAGCTTAGTTTTGAAGCATGCAGTATGTGTTCTCCCACACAGTAGAATTTCCATAGGCAAATCACTTAACCCCGCTGAGCTACACTTCCTAAAATTGTAAAAGGAGGGTACTAATACTTGGAGTATATTTAAGAGGATTAGAAATTGACTTCAGTGCTAAGCAAAGTTCCCACTGCAGAACTATTATTCAGGCTTAAGTCTTGCAGAGACAATTTGAAAAATGAGATTCCATTTATTTAAAACATGGGTATTACGTGTGGTTCTAGGGAGCCTCTAGAAAGACCAACCTCTTGTTATTCATGTGCTTGTGTCATCCCCTCCCTTTGAGTGAACACTGGCCTTGTTGCTTGTTTCTAAACCAATACAATGTGGCACAAGTGGTAATTTATTGTGCAGTAATAGGTAACTAATACATATGTATATAAAAATTTACATTGAAAAGACTCTAAACTTGTTCATCAGTACAATGAGAAATATATCTGTACAATGGAATACAATACAGCAATCAAGTGAAATAAAAATATTGAAGTTTAAGCAACAATGCAGATGATACAAACACAACATTGAGCAGAAGAACAAGACACAAGGATATATATGGGAGGTGTGAGTTACATAAATTTTAAAAACATGAAAACTTATGCTGTTTAGAGACTGTGCTCAAGGTAAACTGCAAGTTAGGCAAAATGATAATTATGTGACTATTTAATATTGTGCCAGAGCTTCCAATAAGCCCAACAAAGATTGTAAGCCTCTTAAGAATGTAAGTTTGCTCATTCACTAGGAACAACTGATTTGAGCCCAGATGTTTTAGAAGCCTGTAAATTTAGATGTTAATTTGTAAAATCAAAAAGGAAAACAAAACAAAACAATAATAATCATGATTTTTTTTTCTGTCTGGTAGAAAAGATAACCCCAAAAGTTACGCTTTTTAATTGTACATAATTTATGTAGGACATAACTTATTTCATTTTGTATATAAGTTAGCAATCTTACTGGTAACCATGATCTTGTCAAACATGAAAAATTTTAAGGTAAATTTTATCCAAATAACTGCACTTTATATGTTGGAAACAATACTGACCAAGTCCATTCAGGAAAGTATGTTGGGACCTGATTTATGATATTTCATCTTCACAAAAGTAAAGAAGGTCACTCGCTGGAAGTATAGAAACATTGCTGAATTTTGGTAATCTTAGTCATAGTTGCTGCAAGTAAACCCTAATGACAGTGACTTGGATGGTTCTTGATCCTGACCTCAGAGTAAAAGAGTTGATACTGGCCATTCAAATATTTACTTCAAGATAGAAATGTTTGGAAAAACAACAAACAAAACAAATAAAGAAACAAACAAAAAAAACAGCTCTAGAGGCCTTACGAAACTTCCAGGGAGAAGCTAATCCTCCTACCTAAATGTCGTATTACTCTAAGGAATTTTAGGTTTGTTAATTAACATTTCCTAAAGCATTTGAAGAAATGAATTAGGACAACTAGGTAGGAAACACACTACAGAAGCATAGGTTCAGGGACCACTGGAACTAGTTTATACCAAATCGTGTTCACCATGAAATTTTGCTTTTAAATGTCTTCTCCATAGAAAAATCCATATAGTGAAAAATGAAAAATTATCTGTTTATCTGGGTAATGGGTATACTAAAAGCCAAGGCTTCACCACTACACAATATACCCGTGTTTTAAAACTGCTCTGGCAGCCCCTAGACCTATAAAAATCAATTGTAAAATGATTCCTTTCTTTCTCTTTCTTTCTTTCTTTCTTTCTTTCTTTCTTTCTTTCTTTCTTTCTTTCTCTTTCTTTCTTTCTTTTTCTCCTTCCTTCCTCCCTCCCTCCCTCTCTGTCTCTCTCTCTTTCTTCTTTCTTTCTTTCCCTCTTTCTTTTTTTCCTTCTTTCTTTCTGTGGCTGATCATGGCTCACTGAAGCTTCAACTTCCTATCTGCCCACCTCTTCCCCTAATTTTTGTATTTTTTGTAGAGATGGGGTTTCACCATGTTGTCTAGCCTGGCCTCTGACTACTGGGCTCAAGTGATCGACCTGTCTCCACCTCCCAAACTGCTGGGATTACAGACAAGAGCCATCACACCTGGCCAGCATGCTTTCTTAAATAGTCAGAAAAAAAGAAATAACGTCAATGGTTTCAGAAATACTTTTGGTAAATTTGATTGTTCATGTATGCTTAATTTTAAGCTTATGTCTAGTTTTTCTTACCTTTAAAGACTGTAGAAAACAATTGTCTAAACTAGAAATTGGCTAGTGAAATTAAACATCTTTTCATATGCTTATTTGTCAACTCTATATCTTATTCAGTGAAATGTCCCTGTCTTTTGCTCATAATCTAATTAGATTGCTTCTTAATGGTAACTTTTGAGAAGGCTAATTTATATATATTGTAGGTGAGTCCTAGTTTACAAATATTTTCTCCTATTCTGTCTCTTATCTTTATTATCCTAAAGGGTCCTTTGCAAAGAAAAATATTTAATTTTGAGGAAGTCCAATTTCCCAAGTTTTTATTTTATAGATCATGCTGTTAATGTCATGTCTAAAAATGTTTCAGCAAGCCTTATGTCCTGAGGATTTTTCTTCTGTGTTTTCTTCTAAAAGTTTCATAGTGTTATGTTTAATATTTAAATCGATGAGTTAATCTGTTTGAGTTAATTTTTATCCATTGTGAGGTTTAAAATGAAGTTCATCATTTTGGCTATGTCTGCTATGATCTGAATATTTGTGCCATCTCTCCCAAATTTATATGTTGAAACCTAATCACCAAGGTAATAGTATAAGAAGATATGGCCTTTGGGAGGTAATTAGGTTATGAGGGCTCTGCTATCATAAATTAATGTCCTTATAAAAGAGGTCCAAAGAAGCTTGTTTGCCCTTCTGCCATGTGAGGAAGTAGAAGGCACCAAATGTAAAGAAGAGGTCCTCACCAGACACTGAATCTGCTTGCCCTGATCTTGGACTCCCCAGCCTCCAGAACTGTGACCAATAAAGTTCTATTGTTTATAAATTACCTCGTCTGAGGTATTTTGTTATAATAGGTTATAATAGCCCAAACAGACTAAAAGCTTCAACATCGTTTGTTGAAGAGACTATCTGTCCAATGTTGAATTCAGCATTGAAGTAAAAAATCAGTTAGCTATGCAGCCCAGTTGTAATGTACTGGTGAATACATACACAAAATGTGGCATATATATACAATAAAATACTATTTGATCATAAAAAATGAAATGTTGATACTTGGTACATGGCGAATGAAACTTGACGACATTATGCTAAGTAAAAGATGCCAGTCACAAAAGATCCCATTCCATTTATGTGAAGTGCCCAGAATAGGCAAATCTACAGAGACAGAAAATAGATTATTGGTTGCTTAGGGGTAAGGGGTAAGAGAGAGAGACAGAGAACTGGGAATGGAGGGTATAATTAAAGGCTATGAAGTTTCTTTGTGAGGTGATTAAAATGTTATGAAACTGATTGTGATGCTGGTTGCACATATCTGTGAATATTCTAAAACCAATTGTGCTGTCTATTTTAAAGGGCGAATTGTTAAGTATTGCACTATATCTCAATGAAGCTGTTAAAAAATGAGTTATCCATACTTGCATAAAGCTATTTTTAGATATCCTATCATTTTCCATTGACCATGTTGTCTATCCCTTCAATCATGAAATCTTGATTACTGTAGTCTTATAATAATGTTGAAATCAGGTAGCATTTTTTTCTCCTATTTTATTCTTTTTTTGAACTTTTGCTATTTTACTTCCTTGCCAATTTTTTTAAATTTTAAAATAATCTTGCCTCTATGTCAAATGAAATAATATTGAGATTTTATAGCAATTGTGTCAAATTTGTATGTCGAGGGGGGAAAAATTGACATATTTTACTATGTTAAGTTTTCCAATCCCTGAACACAGCATGTGTCTCCCTTTATTTAGATCTTTATTTTTTTAATCAGCATTTTGTAGTTTTCATCACAGAAATTCTGTACATTTGCTTAGATTTATATCTAGGAGGATCACTTTTTTGGACCTGTTGTAAATAGTATCATATTTTAAATTTCAGTTTTCAGATGTTTATTGCTAGCTTATAGAAACAGAATTGAGTTTTTTTTATTGGTCTTGTATCCTGTGAACTTAATGAATTCACTGATAGTTCTAGAAGTTTTTGTAGATTCCTTTTTGTGTTGGCTGGAAGCCCCTCTCTCTCTCTCTCTCTCTCTCTCTCTCTCTCTCTCTCTAGAGAGAGAGAGAGAGAGAGAGAGAGAGAGTCAGTCCTGACTATTACTATGGCACAGAGAAGGGAAGTTCGAAGAAGACATTCTCTCTGTGTTTATTTTAGTCAGCCATGTCTCCCACGGAAACACTTCATTTCTACCCCTCATAATCCCTCATACCCATGCCATGAGATTCAAATTATTTTCCACACTAGATAATTGAAGGTGAGTTATGGAAACTCAAAGTTTCTGAATAGAAATTCTTTACTTGAAGGAAAGGCAGATTTTGAAGCTAAAACAGCCTTCCAAATCCATGAGGAAAAGTCAAGTCCAAGATGTAAAGGGCCTGAATGGAGCGCGTCTGAGCCACAGGTAACTGCTAAAAAATATGCAGCAAGACCAAGTCCAATAGTACTACTGTTTTAAAGAAATAAACATATTTTTAAACCCAAACTGCTTGCTTTTTGAGCAGGGTAAGTATGATGGTCTAAGAGAATAGTACATGTAGGTTATGGAATAGAGTAGAATAGACAGACAATCATTTTCCCCCACCTTTTTTTTTTTTTTTTTTTTTTTGTATTTGGTGTTGAAACCTAGCTCATAAGTCAAAAGGTCAATGGACACAGAGCCAGATCCTAAATGTCTCCATGGAAGCTGATGTCCAATCTGTGTGAAATTCAGTTCACACCCCCTTGGTCTCCATCAATCTATTCCTGATGACCAGAAAATACACTGGAGTTCGAAAGACCACATGAATCTTACTGTCTTCCCTTGAGAACCTTCCCCTTGCTGTTTTCCCCTCTTCTATCTTGTTTGACTCCACATTCCAGTATCTTTCTGAGAGGCTGCAGTGAAGGAAGATGTTGCTGAGGTTGACAAAATGTGACATAAGTTCACCTTTTGAGAAAGGCATCTGCCTTCAAATATGGCTGTCCAGTCCTGAAATAATCCATGGGGCATTATGCGAGTGGGGCATGAGCTGTAAGCACCATTTCACCACTGGACCAGAGACGAAAATTAGCTTAATGAAGGCCAAGAAGATGCAGTCTAGCAACAAATAGAACATGTCAGAATCAAAGGTATAGTGGATGGTGGAAGTAGACGGTAGCACAGCAGAAAGTATAGATGAATGGCCTAGAAATTTCAGATTGTCTTTATAAGCTGGTATTGGCTGGGGAAAGGTTAATAAGATATAATAGCAGTCACCTGTTTTAATGTTCAAGGATATTGATTCATCATCTTTTGTGTAATCTACGGATCTGTGGTCAACTTTATTTTTATTTTTATTTTATTTTATTTGAGACGGAATCTCACTCTGTCGCCCAGGGGAGTGCAGTGGCGCGATCTCGGCAGACTGCAAGCTCCGCCTCCTGGGTTCACGCCATTCCCTTGCCTCAGCCTCCCGAGAAGCTGGGACTACAGGCGCCCGCCACCACGCCCCACTAATTTTTTTTTGTATTTTCAGTAAAGATGGGGTTTCACCGCGTTAGCCAGAATGGTCTCCATCTCCTGACCTCGTGATCCACTAGCCTGGGCCTACCAAAGTGCTGGGAGTACAGGTGTGAGCCACTGCGCCTGGCCGTCAATTTTAAATAATAGGTTCAAATTCATTCCAATAGTTTTGTTCATATGCTGGTTCTTGCCCTGTTTGACAATTTCTTTGAAGTCTACCAATATTAATCCTGCATCAGAAAATGCTTTCTCTTTATGCATCTGTACATCTGTATGTCTACAAACACACAAACACATGCATAGAGAGAGAGATATGTATCCCTTATCCCTCTCTTTTCCTCTCTTTCCTTACGTATTAGGATGACTTCACTCCTTCCTAACTATGGAATGCTAAAGGATTGTGCTTCAGTTTTCAGTATTTTGTAAAATCAATAGTGAAATGACTAAAAATAGCCTCCCAACTTTCTATCTGTCTCCTGGGTCCTTACATCACAAAATGGCTGTTAATGAATCTTATAAAGGGCTTAGTGAACATTAATATTAGACTACCTGTAATGATGTGTTAATTAAAATTAAGTCCCTTTTACATTTAGAATGTGATAAGAAAGAAAATTTGACACAGGCAAAACATCACTATGAATTTTAATTTAAATCAGTTTAAAAGTGGACACATTTTATATAATCACAATTGTCCTGTAGACAGGATGCCTCCCTGATTTGATCAAAAGCAGTGCATTACAGCAAAGGGTGACTACATGCCATAGAGCAGTCTCTCATTTCTTGGTATCAACATACCAGTGTCACTATAATTATGAGTTTAATATTTAAAATTTGTTGATTTCATATTTGTATGCATGGATGCTAACTAAAATTAATTAATTTTAATTGCGCACACAAATTTAACATCAGACTCATTTTCCAACATACTATTCCTCACTGATTACGTATCCTGTAAGATTCCTTTAATTTTTAATTTTGTACTTTAAAGTCAAATAATAATATGTATTTCTAATTAAGCTCACTCACATACCTCACTGCTGATTAAACCATGTTTTAATATTTTATGACACCAGTCACCTTTAATTTCCCCATTTGAATAGCTCCTGCCTCTCTGTGCTTGTTTTCCTTGTCTCCTATATCACAATGTGAGATCTAGGAGTGTTTTCTTTCCTGTTTCTGTTTTATAGCTGAGAAATGTTCTAAATTTTTGCTCAGAAAATGAAGATGAAGTAAGAGAGTAAACAGCTTTAAAATGACTAGGCAATTTTATTTGGTTATTCCATGTATTAAATGTTGTTTTTATAGGTTACCCTATGCTTCCCTGTCATTTGTAGAGAGGTAAACATTTTGTTTTTAAAAGTTCTATGATCAAATCTTAGAGAAATATAATATAAATATTTCTGACAACAACAAAGTTGTGACTATAACATTATAACTTGATCTTTCCTTTGCAATAAGAATTATAAAATAATAAAATGAGAAAAACAAGCAATGGGGAAAGGATTCCCTATTTAATAAATGGTGCTAGGAAAACTGGCTAGCCATATGTAGAAAGCTGAAACTGGATCCCTTCCTTACACCTTATACAAAAATTAATTCAAGATGGATTAAATACTTAAACGTTAGACCTAAAACCATAAAAACCCTAGAAGAAAACCTAGGCATTACCATTCAGGACATAGGCATGGGCAAGGACTTCATGTCCAAAACACCAAAAGCAATGGCAACAAAAGCCAAAATTGACAAATGGGATCTAATTAAACTAAAGAGCTTCTGCACAGCAAAAGAAACTACCATCAGAGCGAACAGGCAACCTACAAAATGGGAGAAAATTTTCGCAACCTACTCATCTGACAAAGGGCTAATATCCAGAATCTACAATGAACTCAAACAAATTTACAAGAAAAAACAAACAACCCATCAAAAAGTGGGCGAAGGACATGAACAGACACTTCTCAAAAGAAGACATTTATGCAGCCAACAGATACATGAAAAAATGCTCATCATCACCGGCCATCAGAGAAATGCAAATCAAAACCACAATGACATACTATCTCACACCAGTTAGAATGGCGATCATTAAAAAGTCAGGAAACAACAGGTTCTGGAGAGGATGTGGAGAAATAGGAACACTTTTACACTGTTGGTGGGACTGTAAACTAGTTCAACCCTTGTGGGGTCAGTGTGGTGATTCCTCAGGGATCTAGAACTCGAAATACCATTTGACCCAGCCATCCCATTACTGGGTATATACCCAAAGGACTATAAATCATGCTGCTATAAAGACACATGCACACATATGTTTGTTGCGGCACTATTCACAATAGCAAAGACTTGGAACCAACCCAAATGTCCAACAATGATAGACTGGATTAAGCAAATGTGGCACATATACACCATGGAATACTATGCAGCCATAAAAAATGATGAGTTCATGTCCTTTGTAGGGACATGGATGAAATTGGAAATCATCATTCTCAGTAAACTATGGCAAGGACAAAAAACCACACACCGCATATTCTCACTCATAGGTAGGAATTGAACAATGAGAACACATGGACACAGGAAGGGGAACATCAAACTCTGGGGACTGTTGTGGGGCGGGGGGGCGGGGAGGGATAGCTTTAGGAGATATACCTAATGCTAAATGACGAGTTAATGGGTGCAGCACACCAGCATGGCACATGTATACATATGTAACTAACCTGCACATTGTGCACATGTACCCTAAAACTTAAAGTATAATAATAATAAAATAAAATAAAATAATAATAATAAAATGAAATTAACATTTGGTGAGTACCACATGCAGAGCTTCACAATTTAGGATTTTGTTGTGTCCTTAGAAAATGCCAGAACTAAGAAGAAATAAAGAAAACACAGCCAAAAGAACTAAGGGCCAGATAGGTTAAGAAGAAGTGTGCTAGAACACCCTGTTCCTAAGGAGCAGAGCCAGGTTTCAAAGCCAGCTCTTAAAAGCCCATTCCATTCCATTATAGACCCATATTGCCTTCTGTCCTTCTAAACTAATTAGCTGCCCTAAAGTACTTTTTGAAATAAATTTGGATTCAAAGGTATTGTTATCAAGTCGGTGCTTTAGGATATATTGGTTAAAGTCCTTTGGGTGCCACATTATTAGTGGTAGGCTATTTACTACCTTTGTTCTTCCTTTTTCCTCACTTCCCTTCCTGCCTTATTTAGTACTCGTCACTTCAAGTCATGAATGAGAGGAGAATAAGAACAAACAAGAGGAAGTAAGTTCACAGTCTTCTTTAAACTTGTGATGATTCTAGTTTCCTATCATGAATTATTCTGAATAACACAGATTTAAATACTATGAGTAAGGTGATTCTTTTAAAAATGAAAGAGTTACATGGACCTTGGTTAGAAAAACAACAAGAGGATGATGATGAAAATAAAAAACAATGAACAGACAGAACATAGGTGAAAAAGTTAATTAGGAAAACAAAAAAAAATGTGGTTGCTATGGTTAAAAAGAAAAATGAAAGAAACAACTATTGTTTCAAAATGTGAAAATGTGGTACCAGGAAACCAACTAAATTGAAGGTAAAGAAAATTACATCATAGAGCAAGAAAGAGGAGAACAAATAAGTTGGACTACATCAAAATTAAAAATCTTGTGCTTCAAAGGATATTGTTAAAAGATTTACAGAATGGAAGAAATATCTGCAAATCATATATCTTCAGATTATATATATGATAAATGTCTAGTATCTGTAATATTTAAGGAATATTTACAGCTCAATAACAAAAAGACAAAAGACGCAATTAAAAAATGGGCCAAAGGCTTGAATAGATATTTCTTCAAGAAGAACCAGCAAGCCAACAAACACACGACAAGATACTCAATGTAATTAGTCATTAGGGAAATGCAAATCAAAACCACAATGAGACACCTCTTTACACCCACTGGAATTGTGATAAATAAAAAATAAAAGGAAAATATAAATGTTTGCCAGGATATAGAGAAATTAGAAACCTTGGACGTTGCTGGTAGGAATGTAAAATATTGCAGCCACTGTGGAAAACACTTTGGAGGTTCCTCAAAAACTTAAGCTTAGAATTACCATATGACCCGGTAATTCCACTCCCATGAATATATCCAAAATAACTGAAAAAAAATACTGAAAAATACATATAATGACATGTTCACGGCAGCATTATTTACAATAGCCAAAATACAGAAACAACTTCCATGTCCATCAATGAATTAATGGTAAGCAAATTGTGGAATGTTCATAAAATGAAATATTATTCAGCTATAAAAAGGACTAAAGTACTGATTATGGTACAATATGAATGAATCTTAAAAACCATGTGCTAAGTGAAAGAAGATAGACACATATCACATATGAGGAGCAACTGCTTAGTGTGTACAGGTTTTCTTTTGAGATGATGAAACTGTTTTGGAATTAGGGAGAGTGGGAGTGGTACAAAATTGTAATTATAGTAAATGCCACTGAATTGTATCCTTTAAAATGGTTAATTTTACCATATGTTAATTTAATCTTAATAAAAAAGAGGAAAAAAATAAGAAGAACTATATGATTTATACCAGAGAAGAAAACACATACCCAATAGGCTAATAGATGGAAAGAGATTAGATAAACATTTTATATTAAATTTATTCTTTTTAACAATGAAGAAATCCCATAAAGCCAAAAATTGTGATTGAAAATTCTTCAAAGTAGCAAAGCTATAAAGAAAACTATATTAAAGTCACAGAAAAAAACAATATCAAAAAGAAGCAGATAATGTCAAAAGAAAATATAAACATTCTAAACATCTACATGATAAAACAAGAAGTTCTGAATAAAGATCTTCATGAAATTATTTTCAATAGGCAATAAGTGGTGAACCCATGATTACATAGAAGATAGGCAATGAAAAAATAATTTATAAAATTCTCCAATTTTACAAAGTTCAAGAGACTATGATTCCGCATTTAAACTAGCATTTTTAGTTAGACCATATTCTTCATAAGGTTCACAGCCCTCTGTTGGGATTCTAATCTGACTCACTAAGAAAGCTCAGGTGTAGTGTCATGGGCAAAAGAGAAAGACTAATAGTTCTAGTCCAGGCCAGAGAGAAGGAGATGGGGGAAAGCTAGGACTGGAATGGTACTGAGTACAGAGTCACAGTGGAGAAAAGTGTCTTCAAGATTCCCCCCATCAGGGGACCTCCAAATGAGGGTTCCTGGAGTAGAGATACTGAAGAAAAAATAAATGCATGACTGATAGGGTTTGACTGTGTCCCCACCCAAATCTCATTTTGAATTCCTATGTGGTGTGAGAGGAACCTAGTGGGAGGTAATTGAATCATGGGGGCAGGTCTTTCCTGTGCTGTTCTCATGATAGTGAATAAGTCTCACAAGATCTGATGACTATTTAAGGGGGAGTTTCCCTGCACAAGTTCTCTTTTCTTGTCTGCCACCATGTGATATGTGCCTTTCACCTTCAACCATGATTGTGAGGCCTCCCCAGCCATGTGGAACTGTAAGTCCATTAAACCTCTTTCTTTTGTAAATTGGCCAGTCTCAGGTAT
The DNA here is from genome assembly GCF_000001405.40 of Homo sapiens. Lineage (NCBI taxonomy): Eukaryota > Metazoa > Chordata > Mammalia > Primates > Hominidae > Homo > Homo sapiens. The sequence continues at coordinate 35,029,241 of NC_000003.12, read as the reverse complement.
GTCTTTATCAGCAGCGTGAAAATGAAATAATACAATAAATTGGTACCAGTAGAGTGGGATACTGCTGAAAAGATATCCCAAAACCTGGAAGTGACTTTGGAAATGGGTAACAGGCAGGGTTTGGAACAGTTTGGAGGGCTCAGAAGAAGATAGAAAAATGTGGGAAAGGTTGGAACTCCCTAGAGACTTGTTGAATGGCTTTGACCAAAATGCTGAAAATGATATGGACAATGGGATCCAGGCTGAGGTAGTCTCAGATGGAGATGAGAAACTTGTTGGGAACTGCAGCAAAGGTGACTATTGTTGTGTCTTAGCAAAGAGACTGGCAGTATTTTGCCTCTGCCCTAGAGATTTGTGGAACATTGAAATTGAAAGAGATGATTTAGGGTATCTGGCAGAAGAAATTTCTAAGCAGCAAAGCATTCAAGACGTGACTTGGCAGGAGTTCAAGACCAGCGTGGCCAACATAGTGAAACCCCATCTCTACTAAAAATACAAAAAATTAGCCAGTCATGGTGGTGGACACCTGTAATCCCAGCTACTTGGGAGGCTGAGGCAGGAGAATGGCTTGAACCCGGGAGGCAGAAGTTGCAGTGAGCAGAAATCATGCCACTGCACTCCAGCCTGGGTGACAGTGCGAGACTCTGTCTCAAAAAAAAAAAAAAAAAAAAAAAAAAAAAAAAAGGAGGTGACTTGGGTGCTGTTAAAGGCATTCCATTTTAAAAGGGAAATGGAGCATAAAAGCTTAGTAAACTTACAGCTTGAAAATGCAACAGAAAAGAAAATCCCATTTTCTGAAGCGAAATTCACGCCATTACAGAAATTTGCATAACTAAAAAGGAGCCCAATGTTAATCCCCAGGCAAATGGGGAAGATTCCTGCAGGGCATGTCAGAGGTATTCACAGCAGCCCCTCCCATCACAGGCCAGGAGGCAAAGGAAAGAAAAGGGTTTCTTTGGCCAGGCCCAGGGTCCTTGTGCTGTGTGCAGTCTAGGGACTTGGTGCCCTGTGTCCCAGCTGCTCTAGCTGCTCTAGCCACAACTTAAAGGGGCCAAGGTACAGCTCAGGCTGTAGCTTCAGTGAGTAGAAGCCCCAAGCCTTGGCAAATTCCACATGGAGTTGAGCCTGTGGGTGCACAGAAGTCAATAATTGCGGTTTGGGTACCTCCTCCTAGATTTCAGAAGATGTACAGAAATGCCTGGATGTCCAGGCAGAAGTTTGCCTCAGGGGTGGGGCCCTCATGGAAAAATTCTGCTATGGCAGTGTGGAAGAGAAATGTGGGGTCAAGCCCCCACAGAGAGTCCCTACTGGGGCACCACCTAGAGGAACTGTGAGAAGAGGTCCACCACCCTCCAGACCCCAGAATGGTGGATCTACTGACAGCTTGCACCATGCACCTAGAAAAGCCACAGAAACTCGACACCAGCCCAGCAAAGCAGCCAGAAGGGAGGCTGTACCCTGCAAACCCACAGAGGTGGAGCTGTTCAAGACCATAGGAACCTACCTCTTGCATCAGCATGACCTGGATGTGAGACATGAAGTCAAAGGAGATCATTTTGGAGCTTTAAGATTCTACTGCCCTGCTGAATTTTCCACTTGCATGGGGCCTGTGGCCCCTTTGTTTTGGCCAATTTCTCCCATTTGGAATGGCAGTATTTACCCAACGGCTGTACCACCATTGTATCTAGGAAGTTACTAACTTTTGATTTTACAGGCTCATAGGTGGAAGGGACTTGCCTTGTCTCAGATGAGACTTGGGATTGTGAAGTTAATGCTGAAATGAGTTAAGACTTTGGGGGACTGTTGGGAAGGCATGATTGGTTTTGAAATATGAGGACCTGAGATTTGGAGGGGCCAGGGATGCAATGATATGGCTTGGCTGTGTCCCCACCCAAATCTCATCTTGAGTTTCCATGTATTGTAAGACGGACTTGGTGGGAGGTAATTGAATCATGGGGCCAGGTCTTTCCTATGCTGTTCTCATGATAGTGAATAAGTCTTATGAGATCTGATGATTATATAAGGGGGAGTTTCCATGCACAAGCTCTCTTCTCTTGTGAGATGTGTCTTTCACCTTCTTCCATGATTGTGAGGCCTCCCCAGCACCGTGGAACTGAAAGTCCATTAAACCTCTTTCTTTTGTAAATTTCCCAGTCTCACTTATGTCTTTATCAGGAGCATGAGAATGGACTAATACAATGACAGTATGGCTGTTTTAGTCCCCTTTGCATTGGTATAAAAGAATACCCAAGACTGCATAATTTATAAAGGAAAGAGGTTTATTTGGCTCACAGTTTTGCAGTCTGTACCAGCATGGCAACAGCATCAGCTTGGCTTCTGGTGAGGCCTCAGGAAGCTTTTACTCATAACGGAAGGTGAAAACAGCAGGCATGTCTCACGGCAGGAGCTGGACTGCTGACTTACTGCAAAGGATATTCTGCATGTTTGTTTCCTTTTATCTTGAGGTCCTTTGCAGATTTGAAAATACTGTGATAGATATTACCATATTGATTTCTCACAATAAGATATAACTATTCCAATTTTCCATGTGAGGAATTTTCAAGGGTAGATAACTTCCTCATGGCTAAAATACCAGGGAACAGTCAAACAGATAAAAATTAAAATATTTTGACAAGTTCAATGCTTTTTTGAGAATCATCCACAGCATGCGAGCACAACTTCTTCTCTTATTTAAGGCAGCATGTAATATTCAGGAAACAAATTTCACGAATAAAAGTACTTCAGATTCTGATTCTTAAAGTAAACTTTGGATTGACCATTTGGTCTTTTCTTTACTCGTAATGTCTTTTGAATATTTTTAGGTTGAGTTCCACCTGCTTAGAGCAGCTATTTCACCTTCTGTATGATAGAATCACTGGAGAAACTCAGGTGGAAGACCCAAGCAAGATAAAATTAGACATACGGTATTATTAGAATTCCTTTACATTTGAATTAATCTCCAGACTGTCAGTAGATTCACCATTTTGGGAAAACCATGATATTGGATTTGGGTCATGTAGAATAAACTAAACTGCATGTTTGTTACCAAAGATTTAGGCTTCACACTTTCTAGGTTTCATTTCAATGCACATTAACCAGGGTCTAATATACAATAAGCTTTGGTGTTAGAAAGCTAGCTGGTCTATCACTAGAAATTATATATTTCTCAGAGAGCTGTGACTCAGAATTGAGAGTTAATGCTATCTCTACTCGTAGTACATTATCAGCAAATGAGAGAACATTGAATTTTTTTCTATGTCAGAAGACACTAATCCTGAAATCTGCTTATCCAATTTGACTCAGAAGACGAGGAGGACAAAAGAGGAATATGATAGTTAATTTTATGTGTCAACTTGACTTGGATAAGGGATGCCTAGTCATCTCTTAGAACATTATTTCTGATGTGCTGTGAGGGTGTTTCTGGAAGAGGTTAGCATTTGGAACAGTAGACTGAGTAAAGAAGATCCACCCTCATCAGTGTGGGCAGTCATTGTCTAATCCGTTAAGCTGAGCGTCAGATAGAACAAAAGGTGAAGGGGAGGTAGATGTTCTCTCTCCCTGTGCTGGGGCATTCACCTTCTCCTGCACTTGGACATAAGAGCCCCTGCTTCTTGGGCCTTCAGATTTTGATACTTGCAATGCACCCCAAACCTGCCCCTTCTTTTCTGGTTCTCCAGCTTGCACATAGCAGATTGTGGGATTTATGCTCCTCCATAATTGAGTAATCCAATTCCCATAACACATTTCCTCTTTTATATATTCTTATGTATCATATTGGTTCTCCTTCTCTGGATAATCCTGACTAATACAAGAAATATAAGTAAATATATGATATGGCTAATTTCAGAGGCCTCCAGATTCTTCATAAAGATTACATTTGTAGAGTTAAGTGGATTCATATCTTTACAATATCTACTAAAATATGTCTTAAAACATTAATCAATGACAAAGCATTCTTACCATACATACAGAGAGTCATAAATACAATCATTCACCTGATTAAATAATTTCACTTCCAAGAATCTGTTTTTCCAGTGATTGAAATGGGTCAAAACTTATGTACACAGGTGTTTAATTCAGTGTAATTTGTAATGCCAAATGAATGGAAACAACTTTTTAAGCATTTAAGGTTATCTGTGTCTTGGATGCACATTACTTTTTTTCATACATTTTATCTTTACTTGTCCATTATTTCACTGAAAGATTGGAAGTATAGAAACATCCTTTCCCCCAGAAAAGTGTTCCTCAATCATCTTATTTGAAGATCAATTAGCACCTGTTCTTTATAACCAATATTCTGTATGTTTTATTGACCTGCTTTATTCCCTTCCTTCTCTCTCTCTCTCTCTCTCTTTCTCTGTCTCAGTTTTTCTCTCCCACCATGAACTTTATCATGCATACTTCTGACCTAATTGACTGTGATGCTATCCTCTTTTTATAGCAGGTATTATAAGCAAAATTTGGTATAAAAATTAGGGAACTTACCATCAAGCCAAAATATTAGTGAGCACCTTTCTGCAAACCAGGATGGCAGGCAGGCAACTTTATTTGGTGTTTTTATTATTTATCCTCTAGTCCTTAATTATACATGTAGCTGTTGACACTTTAATTATTTTTTTTTATCTTTCCTACATTTCTCTCTTCTACCTTTACAAGAAGGCAATCAGGTTACTACTATTTTCCTCCTTTAGTAGCTTGTACAAAAATAATAATAAAAGATAAAAAAAAACAGAACCTGATTTGAAGTGACAAAATACCTTAAAAAGATGATGATAGGAGATCCACATGGAAAGGGACTTGAAGATGGTGTTTTAAGTCTGGAAAGAAAGAGAACTTTAACTCAAGGAAAAGTTCAGAAGTTTTGGAGATTAGTAAATTTGCAGTTAGCTGAGAACTTGAGCGCCACCTTGGGAGGTGTTAAGATCTCTTGAGGATTGACCCCCTGGTATATTTAGGACAGCTTGACTCAAGATGCTTAGATTTTTAGGCATCTTAAGTAATCTTGTGCCCAAGCTTGGCAAAGAAATAGCACAACAAGAAGACTTACCTGATGAATGGTGAGACAACAGGTAAATCAGAGGTTAAAGTGTGGAATAGATTAATGATGACAGAGATCATTGCTTGCTGATCCAGTGCTTGCACATGTCTTCAGATTTTGTATATGTCTTCAGATTCATTGTGGCTTCACATTTTTTTTTTTCCACTAGCAATAAGCAATGGCCACTGATTGCTCTGGGGAAGTCTACGATAATAATTACAGTAGCTGATATATCCTTACATAGAGCTTTATAAAGCAAAAAAATACTCACTTTCACAGATCATTTGTGTCTTATATTAACTTTGTCAGAAAATGAGGGATTATTAACATTTCCTATCAGTAGAATGAGAACCAGGGTGGCTCATATGACTTGCAAATATTAACACATCCAGCAGATACTAAAAATGTGTCAGAACCCCAAGACTTTAGAACCCCTATCTTGCCCTGCAGATACAGGTATAGGAATACTGTGGTTCTACTTTCTCTTGATATAACTCTGAGGATAGAGACAGACAACATGGAGACAGAGACCTAGTTTCTTCTTTACTTGCTTTATCTGTGACTTTCTATCTCACTTATCTTGAGGACCAAGAGTAGTGATGGGGTTCGAGAAATTCAGTGGAGCCAGGAGACACAGAAATAATCTAACAGCAAAGTATCAGAAGGCAAGTTTAAGAAACAGATGGGTTGAATGAAGTATATGTCTGAACATGTTGTGCAGGGAAGGAATAAGCAGATAGAAGTTAAAGCCTGAAAAAGAAATCTCAAAGGGAATGGGATATGTATGAAGTCTTCCTTCAGTTTGAGGCAAAGCAGTACATACAGCATGCTGACCCATACTTTTTTTTCTTTCTTTCTTTTCTCTTTTTTTTTTTTTTTTTTTTTTTTTTTGTGGTGGAGTCTTGCTCTGTTGCCCAGGTTGGAGTGCAGTGGCATGATCTTGGCTCACTGCGACCTCTACCTCCCAGGTTCAAACAATTCTCCTACCTCAGCCTCCCGAGTAGCTGGGATTGCAGGCTTGCCTCACCATGCCTGGCTATTTTTGTGTTTTTAGTAGAGATGGAGTTTCATCACATTGGCCAGGCTGGTCTCGAACTCCTGACGTCAGCTGATCCATCCACCTTAGCTTCCCAATGTGCTGGGATTACAGGCGTGAGCCACTGCTCCCGGCCTGACCCATGCTTTTCCTCGGACTCAATTTACCCTCTGGAAAATGGGACTAATAACAGTCTACCCTGTTATATTTTTCTGCAGATAACAAGAGAAAATAGATGTACACTTTAAAACACAAAATTGTAAACTATAAAACACTTTATAAATGAGAGTTAATTATTTCCTGTCTGTTCATATACAGAATGTCAGAGAAAATATAAACACTTTAGGTAGGGCAAGCATAACCTGTGGGAGAAAAAGTGTCAAAATGCTAATCCCCAAATTGAAATTTTTAGAACTGTGTATTTGCATATAGCTTAAAATCTCTTCAAAAATAGCTGGAATGCATTTAGTTACTTTAAAAAATCCCACATTGGGTTGTTATTAATTTATTATAGATGAGGCAATGTTTTCCTTTTAAAAAGTTCTCTTCTGTATTGTGCCAATGGCACCAGTAGAAAATTTAGAGTGTTTTATATTCCATAGAATATGCATAGCAGAATCAATAATAAATAGCATTTTCCACAGTATAGAGTATGAGCCACTCGCTCAGAGAGCAGAATCACTCACTTTTGGTGAGCTAAAAATACCTTGGTGACAGGTTTTAGAAAAGAAAGAAAAAGAAGAGAATTTTGTGTTCATTACCCAAGGGTAGAAACTTGTCTGAATGGTCTACATTGTCCTTAATTATGTCCTCTCAGTAATGCCGAACATTAAATAAACCCCAGCATAGTCTAGTACACATTGCTATGACATCCCTTCCCTAATGCAGTGTATCTTTCATTTTTACCAGAAAATGTCAGTGGCAAACACTTCTACTTCTCTCTCCAGAAAAATTTTGAACAATCCAGGGTAACATAAGATGCCAAAGTTTATTAATAAGAAGATGAAATAATTTTTGAATGAAGAAATGCAAAAATCTTAGTGAGTTTCTGCATGTGAATAACATCACTATAATCAGAGTGCTGAGTGTCTGCTCCCATAAGGGTTTGTCTGAACACATAAACAGCTACGTGGATTACAGTATCAGTAGCATATTTCCATAGCATTTTGGCATTTTCATAGGAATAACCAAAGAAAAAGCAAATTCCATAGGACATGGAATGGTGAAGCTGAACGAAACCTGTTTGATAAACTAATCAAGAAAAAAAAAGCTTGTAAACATTAGAGTTAGGTGAGCTTTAATGATTCTATCATGTGACAAATACAAAATTACAATTTATTACTATTTGTGTACCCTATGTCATACTAAGTACTTACGATTAGGTTGAAAAAATAAGCTAAATCCCACAGATTTTAAGTCTGAATTTGAAGGGTTAACATGAGGTTTTGATAGCAGGCAAGGGGAAAAAAAAAAATGAGTCTTCAGGAAAACAAAAATGTAAGTGCTTCAAATCTCATAACATCCAAATCCTGCATGAAAATCTATGGGTGAAGCATGACCGCTGGAGCAAATAAAATCAACACCATGAGCTCACCAGATATATTTTAAATATGTGAGCTAAAAAAAGAGAAATAAAGTCATGAAAAGATTAGAGGTTATATAACTTGTATTGGAAAATGTCTGGTTTTGTGGGAGTAAATTAGCACCTCGAACATTGAAGTTTAAATATTGCCTCAGCAACTCATTTAGCGGGTGACCTTGGACAAGTTCCTTTCTTTATTTGAACTTCAGTTTCTACCTGTATATAAAGGAGGTGATAGTAACTTCACTGTCTGCTCAAGAGTGTTATTGACAAGATGACCTCAGAAAGTACATGGGAAATTTCCTTGCAAATAAATTTGTGTGTGTTTGTAAAGTATTAATGGTAAACCTACATGTGTTGTGTGTGTGGTTAAAAGCAAATTTCTATGTCCAAATCAACAAGATTGATTTAATTCAATGCATGTCTTGTGAAATTTTCAAGAACTAAATAAGGTTTATCTCCAATCTGTTTAAAATTACACATGCACAACTAAATACAGTTTTTGCCTTGTTGGAAAATGAGACCATAATTTGTTTTTCTATTTGGTATATACTGAGTTTTTTAAAAAAGGAAAAATCTGAATGTTAGTAGGGCAAGCCAATATTCATTGGAAAATGTGAATTTATATGCTGTTTATTCTGATGGTTGCTGTACTTGAGAATAAGAAGGTGACAAATAAGTTCCATTTTCAGTATTAGAATAGCCTTTAGGAGCACAGACAGTGGAGCTAGTTTCTGAGTTTCTTCATTTACGTTCTGTGTAAACTTGAGCAAGTTAGGGTTTTTTTAATTGCATTTCCAATTTATTTATTTTTATTTTTTAACTGACATAATAATTGAACATACTTATGGGGTACATAGTGATGCAGCTGTGAGTGGTGGTATGTGCCCATAGCCCCAGCCACTTTGGAGGCTGAGTTGAGAGGATACTTAAAGCTCAGGCAGGAACTGGCATTTAGTTTGGGCAACATAGCTAGACTCTGCCTCTAATATAACTTAACGTATATATTACTTAACTTATTACTTATATATACTTATATATACATATACATATATGTTATATATAACTTATATATACACATATATAACATATACTTGTATATAACTTATATAATATATATTACTTATATATGGTATATATTACATATATAACATATATATATTATATGTATGTATATTACTTACCTTTTTGCCTTAGTGTTTTCTTCTGTGATGCCAATAATTGTAATAGCTCCCTTATAGGCTCATTGTAAGGATTACATAAGTTAACAAGACATATGGAAAGGGCTTAGAGTCTACTTGAAGCATAATAAGCACTCTACAAATTTGTGTATTAACTTAATCTGACGAGTGTTACTGATTCAAACATTGTTTTCTATCTACAATGGAGAAAGTAGAAAGAAAACAATAAGAAGTCGTATTTCCAAACAGCTTGAAGCCTATAGCACTAGATATTTTTGGGGAATGAGGTGTAGATTATTCCTAAATGTAATTTGAAGTGGGAAGTTTTATCAAACCAACTGAGGAGAGAGCAAAAGTGTTGGCTCTAGAAGATGCTGGGCAATAAAAATGTTTTTAGTAGAGAAAAAACACTGATCAATACATGTGCCTGGAAAGAAAATTATTGCCTTTGACCAAGAATACCATATTCACATTTGTATTTCAAAAACATGACTGATACAATTGGCAAAATGGGCTGAATAAGAATTATCCTTTTGGATGTTTATTTTTATTTTCTCTGTAAATTCATACAGCAACACAGAAATCTCTGAGCTGTCTCATTATAGAAGCAACTCAAGCTATTTTACTTAAGGGTACAGAGAGCTAGCAAGGGCAGAGATATCCAATATATTTCTTTTTTATTGAAAGGTAATTTGTAAATTGTCAAGTCGGTAAAGCACGAACTTAAAATATCACATTTCCAAAAGCCCAGGTACTAGGAAAATGTGATTAACAGTGCCTCTTCACAGATTTCAAAAGAGGTGGCTTGATTTTTTTTCTTTTAATCTTGAGTTCCAGGCACTTAGGCAATTACATGAAAGCACTTGGTTTGGAAATCTGGTGAACATTTCATCTCAGGTTCAAAAACACTCTTGTATGGTAAATTCCACATATTTAATCTATCTGGTACAAAGCCCAGCACAAATCATGAGTCTGAAGACATAAAACACAGCTAAATAGATGAAATCACGGTAATGTTAACAAAAAATTAGGTCATAATATCTATAAGATTGTTTGAACTACTAGGAAAGAAGATAACATTCCTACCAGGAGGTCCTTTGTAATTAAGGAGTCAATTATCTCTTTCTGAAAGATTAATAGAGAAAGGTTCTGCTCTAAAAGTGACCATGCATCTGATTTTTAAAATAGAAATCTGATTCTGCCGTTCTTCTGCTTACAATTCTTTAGCGGCCTTCACTGATTACAGCATAGACTCCCACTCCTTAGAACTAGCCCCATGTGCATTCCCATGCCCTGCTTGGCTGTCCAGGGTCTCCTCACCCGTGTGTCACTGACACTCTATGCTTCTCACAATAAAGTACCTGTTCTTAGCCCACTTTGCATGTCCTCTCTCTTGTGACTTCAAGAGTCAGGCTGACTTTCTCTGCCTGAAAGATATTAGGGTTCATCTCATCAACCATTCTTGAGTGGTAAACATAACCACTATACGTGTTTTAAATCCTGCACATCCTCAAATCCTGAGTCCAGTTATTGCTCTCTCTTAAAAACCTTCCTTAACCTCTGCTTTCTAACCTTCATAGATTCTGTGGAATCTGGCAGAACCCTGTGCTTCTAACCACGGACATAGAGTAAATGCTAAATGTTCATCTATCTGCCATCACTGGAAGTTCCTCTCCTTGGGTAAAGCACTGCTTTAAACTTTGTTGACATTAGCAATTTACAAATGCTTGATGCATAGTAAGCTCTCAAAATTGTTTCCCACTTGAGAAAACAATAGTTTTTGAATCATAAAACAAAAAGTTTGTATATGAAAGCCATATTGCTTTTCTGGAAGCATTCCTCCTTGCTAGAGACAGAGAGATATTTTAATTATGGTCCCCCTTCAATGATTTTCATAATCAAGCATTTGAGTATAATTTTGTGGAAGTACCAATGAGTCCACTGGACTTACTTAATTGTAATATAATAGTTTATTCTACTGTAGGCACCTTACTTTTTGCTGATGAGTTAATGGCAGTCTATTATGAGTCTATTAGGATACTCCTTATGGAACCAACACAGGAAACAAATGCTATAATTTGCAGATTAATGTTTAGTTATAAAACAAAAGACTTATTCTTTCTTCCAAATGTGTTTATGCTATTTGATATCTGTCATGGAGAATGGGACAATAGGGGAAGGACAAATATTACAGGAAAAGTATGTAAGTGCAGTCACAAGCAAAACTGAATGCACTCAGATGCTCAACTGGGAGCCATTTCAGACCCAGCTGATACTGATTCTCTCTACTTATTTGTGCCATGCCCTTTTCTAGATTAAATTTCTACAGTGCCCCATGACCTCATACCTGATATCGACACTCATAGAAACAGCATATGGAACTCATTTTTCAGTGAATGCTTACGATTTGGCAATAGACTATTCTTTTTTTTTAATCAGAAAGGATTTGGGCCTCTGAAAGTTAACCCCCTAAGTTAAAAAAATATGTTTCCGCTAAAAGTAAAGTTAGTTTGCATTTTGAATTCTACAGTGCATAAAGATGGCCTGATGAACTTTCACATATAGTAACTAAAAAAAAAAAGTATCAATTGAAGAACAGCTTAATGTGTTGTCTGTCACAGGCGGCATCAATTTGAAGGCCCAGTTCCTTACTTAGCTCACCAGAAATTCACTCAGATATAAATATTCACCTTCATGTCTACATTGTCCTACAAACAGCACGTAGACTTTGTTTTCCTTATATTGTTTCAGCTACTGAGAATATGTTTACGTATCTTAATTCAATTTTATTTTCTTCTTGGCCACCTTAAATTATTTGCAGTTTTATGGAGTCTCCCTGAAAAACCCATCTCTCCTTTCTTCAAAATATTTCAATACTTAAATATTATGTAATGACATCTAATTATACTTTCCATATAAAGGCAAGACATAAAATTCCAGGTTACTTACTTATAAACCCTCTAGTAATATATCAAACCTTATGGAGTTCCCAGTAGCTCCTTTATACATACTTGATGACTATTTTTTTCAGCATTGGAAATTCAATGAATTGATAGTCATCTAAATGCCTGTATTACTGACCCATCCCCCCTGGGGATATTTTTATTTACTTTAAAAAGTGAGTTGAAACAGCTTATAAAATTAATTACATATAAAATAAAGTACCACTTGGGAAAATTTAGTTATTGTACTTGATATTGAATACAGGTCCTGCTTATGTAACAAATAAAAAAAAATATAAATCCCACTTTAAGAAATACCAAGCTTATCGTGAGATTTAAACTGTTTCGGGCCAGGCGCAGTGGTCACGTCTGTAATCCCAGCACTTTGGGAGGCTGAGGTGGGTGGATCACGAGGTCAAGAGATCGAGACCATCCTGGCCAACATAGTGAAACCCCGTCTCTACTGAATATACAAGAATTAGCCGAGCGTGGTGGCAGGGGCCTGTAGTCCCAGCTACTCAGGAAGCTGAGGCAGGAGAATCACTTGAACCCAGGAGGCGGAGGTTACAGTGAGCCTAGATTGCACCATTGCACTCCGGCCTGGCGAACAGAGCGAGACTCTGTCTCAAAAAAAATAAAAAATGTTTCATGACACAAAGTTCTTCAAAAGTAGGGTAAGTTGGTACATACATATATTTGAATAAAATGTGAATGTCTTCATTTACCATTTTAAAGATGCACATACATTCTCCAAAAAGCATTTTTGGTTTTATTTTATTTATTTATTTATTTTTGAGATGAAGTCTCGCTCTGTGGCCCAGGCTGGAGTGCAGTGGCACTGCCACCCTGGTTCAAGCGTTTCTCCTGCTTCAGCCTCCTGAGTAGCTGGGACTACAGGCAAGTGCCACCATGCCCGGCTAATTTTTTGTATTTTTAATAGAGACGGGGTTTCACCGTGTTAGCCAGGATGGTCATGATCCCCTGACCTCGTGATCCTCCAGCCTCGGCCTCCCGAAGTGCTGGGATTATAGGTGTGAGCCACTGTGCCTGGCCCAAAACAGTTTAAATCCTCTCTCACCACTCCTATTCAACATAGTGTTGGAATTTCTGGCCAGGGCAATTAGGCAGGAGAAGGAAATAAAGGGTATTCAATTAGGAAAAGAGGAAGTCAAATTGTCCCTGTTTGCAGACGACATGAGTGTATATCTAGAAAACCCCATTGTCTCAGCCCAAAATCTCCTTAAGCTGATAAGCAACTTAAGCAAAGTCTCAGAATACAAAATCAGTGTACAAAAATCACAAGCATTCTTATACACCAATAACAGACAAACAGAGAGCCAAATCATGAGTGAACTCCCATTCACAATTGCTTCAAAGAGAATAAAATACTTAGGAATCCAACTTACAAGGGACATGAAGGACCTCTTCAAGGAGAACTACAAACCACTGCTCAATGAAATAAAAGAGGATACAAACAAATGGAAGAACATTCCATGCTCATGGGTAGGAAGAATATATATCATGAAAATGGCCATACTGCCCAAGGTAATTTATAGATTCAATGCCATCCCCATCAAGCTACCAATGACTTTCTTCACAGAATTGGAAAAAACTACTTTAAAGTTCATATGGAACCAAAAAAGAGCCCGCATCGCCAAGTCAATCCTAAGCCAAAAGAACAAAGCTGGAGGCATCACGCTACCTGACTTCAAACTATACTACAAGGCTACAGTAACCAAAACAGCATGGTACTGGTACCAAAACAGAGATATAGATCAATGGAACAGAACAGAGCCCTCAGAAATAATGCCGCATATCTACAACTATCTGATCTTTGACAAACCTGAGAAAAACAAGCAATGGGGAAAGGATTCCCTATTTAATAAATGGTGCTGGGAAAACTGGCTAGCCATATGTAGAAAGCTGAAACTGGATCCTTTCCTTACACCTTATACAAAAATCAATTCAAGATGGATGAAAGACTTAAACATTAGACCTAAAACCATAAAAACCCTAAAAGAAAACCTAGGCATTACCATTCAGGACATAGGCATGGGCAAGAACTTCAGGTCTAAAACACCAAAAGCAATGGCAACAAAAGCCAAAATTGACAAATGGGGTCTAATTAAACTAAAGAGCTTCTGCACAGGAAAACAAACTACCATCAGAGTGAACAGGCAACCTACAAAATGGGAGAAAATTTTCGCAACCTACCCATCTGACAAAGGGCCAGTATCCAGAATCTACAATGAACTCAAACAAATTTACAAGAAAAAAACAAACAACCCCATCAAAAAGTGGGCTAAGGATATGAACAGACACTTCTCAAAAGAAGACATTTATGCAGCCAAAAAACACATGAGAAAATGCTCATCATCACTGGCCATCAGAGAAATGCAAATCAAAACCACAATGAGATACCATCTCATACCAGTTAGAATGGCAATCATTAAAAAGTCAGGAAACAACAGGTGCTGGAGAGGATGTGGAGAAATAGGAACACTTTTACACTGTTGGTGGGACTGTAAACTAGTTCAACCATTGTGGAAGTCAGTGTGGCGATTCCTCATGGATCTAGAACTAGAAATACCATTTGACCCAGCCATCCCATTACTAGGTATATACCCAAAGGACTACAAATCATGCTGCTATAAAGACACATGCACACGTATGTTTATTGTGGCACTATTCACAATAGCAAAGACTTGGAACCAACCCAAATGTCCAACAATGATAGACTGGATTAAGAAAATGTAGCACATATACACCATGGAATACTATGCAGCCATAAAAAATGATGAGTTCACGTCCTTTGTAGGGACATGGATGAAATTGGAAATCATCATTCTCAGTAAACTATGGCAAGGACAAAAAACCAAACACCGCATGTTCTCACTCATAGGTGGGAATTGAACAATGAGAACACATGGACACAGGAAGGGGAACATCACCCTCTGGGGACTGTTGTGGGGTGGTGGGAGGGGGTAGGGATAGCATTAGGAGATATACCTAATGCTAAAAGACGAGTTACCGGGTGCAGCACACCAGCATGGCACATGTATACATATGTAACTAACCTGCACATTGTGCACATGTACCCTAAAACTTAAAGTATAATAATAATTAAATAAATAAATAAATAAATAAATCTCAAGATAAGCTTGGTATTTCTGAAAGTGGGATTTTTATATATTTTTTTATTTGTTACATAAGCAGGACCTGTATTCAATATCAAGTACGATAACTAAATTTTCCCAAGTGGTACTTTATTTTATCTGTAATTAATTTTATAAGCCACTTTTTAAAGTAAATAAAAATATCTCCAGGGGGATGGGTCAGTAATACAGGCATTTAGATTACTATCAATTCATTGAATTTCCAATGCTGAAAAAAATAGTCATCAAGTATGTATATTATAAAGGAGCTACTGGGAACTCCATAAGGTTTGATAAATTATGGGAGGGTTTATAAGTAACCTGGAATTTTATGTTATCACGTCTGGGATTACAGACATGAGCCACCGCACCCGGCCTATGTTGTTATTTTTTAACATTACAAATAATCCATGTCAAATGGGTATTTCTTTTGTTTGTTTGTTTGTTTGTTTGCTTGTTTTGAGATGGAGTCTCGCTTTGTGGCCCAGGCTGGAGTGCAGTGGAGCCATCTTGGCTCACTGCGACTTCCACCTCCCAGGTTCAAGCGATTCTCCTGCCTCAGCCTCCTGAGTAGCTAGGATTACAGGTGCCCACCACCACACCTGGCTAATTTTTGTATTTTTAGTAGAGACAGGGTTTCACCTTGTTGGCCATGGTGGTCTCGATCTCCTTACCTCAGTTGATCTGCCCTCCTCGGCCTCCCAAATTGCTGGGATTACAGGCGTGAGCCATGGCGCCCAGCCTCAAATGGGTATTTCTTATTTCAAAATAATGACAGAATGTCATTAATTCTTCAGGAAGTCAGAACAATGTGCTTAATGGTCATTTGTTCCTAATAACCTACTAAACTATAAGAGTTAAGCTTAAAGAACTGACTGAGATAGGTAATGCACATGCCTTAGATTTGTTTTCTTTTCAATTACCTCAAATGAGCCTTTAAAAAGTGCAAAGTTGCAGTCAATTCATGGATTAATTTTCTATTGAATGCCGAATGCTCTGTGTTATAGATTAAATGGGATTCATAAAGTTATGAATAACAATTATTTAGGGTGAATTCTTTAAAGAAAGTTCAAGAGCGTGACTTGTATGTTTTCCCAGATAATGAAAAAGAATGCATTCTAAATACACATTTAAAAATCAGAAAGAGAAGTCAATGGATTAAAAAATGTATTAAAGTAAAATATAAGCATTTCAATTATGCTTTAGTGGACTAGCATTGAAAAATTAATAATACAACTCTTCATATTAATAACAAAGGAAAAGAGTTATCCAACCAGACATATAAAAGATTTTTGTACAACAAAATATACACACATATTCATATACATATATGTGTGTTATTGTAATAGGGATAAAATATTTCCTGTATATAAATTTCAAAGTATTGCCAATGTCAAATATAATCATAAAAATGTAGAAAAATGCACACTATATTTAACCTTCCACCACATATGGGGCCAAATTTAAAATCTTTACAATGGCTCATAATGCCCTATACTGTCTGACCCTCAGTTGCATCTCCAACATCCTTTTCTCACATTCATTGTTGCAGTTGATTGCTGTTCTTTAAACATTCCAAGAGTATTTCCTGAGGGAAGTTTCTATTTCCTTTGTTTGGAATTTTCTAAAGGAGTGAAGGGCTCACTCCTTCAACTAATCCAAATCTTTCCTAAAAAGTCACCTCCTTGGAGAACATCTTCAACCATCCTCCCTAATAGTGTACTTTATTTCTTTCCCTTACACACTCTTATTTTCCTCCATACACTATTTAATGCTTTGTCATACATTTTCTTATATATGACTTGGTTTTGTTAGCTGTTTCCTTCTAATGGAATCTAAATTATTTGGGAGTGGTCATTGTGTCTTGCACACTGGTGCATTGCATTGCCATGCCTGGAAGACTGCCTGGCACACAGGGCTAAATCAATATTTGTTAAATATTGATAAGTATTTTTACGTAAGAAGGGATTACACATGTTTAATTGTGAAACTCCTCATGAAAACAGGATGCTAGATAAAGGAAAGTTGAATTAAAATATTAAAATAAGAGTGAGATTGTTAAACATCAAGAACACAAAACTATTAGCTTTAGACATGAAGAGGTAATTCTTTCATGATAACAACATAAAAAGAGAATGGGTATAGAATCTAGTAAGCTTATAAGTTTTATATTAGAGGGCTGCAAAAATTATAATCTGATAATTCATCATGGTATCAATCTGCATCTTTATCAAATTCTTTCAAGTCACTGAGCTACTTAGATGCAGTCCAGCAAAAGGTGGAAAGTTGGATTCATCAGTTAGGATTTTCCCAGTCACTGTGATAGTAAGGCAATGGGAAAAGATGTGCAGATATTGGAAAAAATAGTAGTGACAAACCATTAACTGCAAGCTTGTTAGTGAAAGCTGTGGTAGTTTTATCGATCAAATTGTGTTTTTTCAAAATTTGTACATGGAAGTCCTAACCCCTCATACCACATACCACGTAATTATGAAAGGTTAGGACTTCCATGTATAAATTGTATATTTGGAGAGTGTTTGGTCTTTAAATTAAAATGAAATTATTATGGTGAGTCCAAGTCCAATATGACTGGTGCTTTTATAAAAATAGGAAATCTGTATGCAGGTACAGAGAAAGACCACATAAAGACACAGGAAGAAGATTGCCAATCACAGCCAGGGAGAGAAGGCTTAGAAGAAACCAAACCTGCTGACACTTTGATCTTGAACTTCCAGCCTCAGAACCGTAAGAAGATATATTTCTGTTGTTTAAGCCACTCTGTCTCTAACACTTTGTTATGGCATCCCTAACACGATTATAGATAGACTATAAAACAACAACAATAACAAAACCAAAAATAAACAAACCAAAAACAGGAGGATTATCTATAGATCCCTGCATACTAGAGATCCATCATACTGAAAATGAATTAGAAAATGAAAGGAATTTCATTTTCATTTCATTTTCTAATTCATTTTCATTATGAGGAAGTGAAGTACGACAAGAGGAAATTTAAATCAGAAAAACTGAAAGCATCACTTGGTAGGTGAAAATAAGGACAAGAGTATGCTTATTTGGTTGGGTGACTAACTATTTTTAAATTACTTTTTGACAGATATGTTTTAATGCCACATTGAGTTGAAAAAAATCAATCCATCTGTTTTTGATTTATAAGTCACTTGATTTTGTATTTACTGGAATGTAGGTCCTTTTGGATTTAAGAATACTGTAGTTGGTTCTCAAATATCCGATTTCTTAAGTGTCATGTGGGGAACATATTAAAATGTATGGAGCCAAGTCCCATCTTCCTGATGCTAGAGTTTTTAGAAGGAGCATTGTTGCAAGAACCACATTTTGAACAGCGTGGAGATAGAGGAAATGGTGAAAAGTGTAAACACTATGAGGAAAGGAAGAACAGAATACAAATTAGCTTGATGGGGACTCTTTATGCCCTTTGACTGGTGCAGAGGGCATTCAGTGAAGGTGACTTGAAACTTGAAGGCCTTACTGTTTTCCAGAAGAAGGTTGATAAACAGCTCATGGAGCCCGAAGGTGTTAGTGTAATTCACCTACAACTCTTGTCAGGGCAGGTACCTCAGAGGAACAGCATAATCAGGGGAGTACCTACTACAGAGTTCAGCAGAAGAGGAGAGAGAAATAGATTCTCTGTGACAAATATATTATAAATTGAAATTCTGTATGAGAGCATTTGAAGTTAAAGCTTAAGTACTATTTTTTAAATTGCTCGAAAAATATCTAAATCCTGTACTTGTTAATCTTCTTTGTGTATTTAGGGAAATAAAGAATTTAAATAGGCCGGGCGCGGTGGCTCACGCCTGTAATCCCAGCACTTTGGGAGGCCGAGGCGGGTGGATCATGAGGTCAGGAGATCGAGACCATCCTGGCTAACAAGGTGAAACCCCGTCTCTACTAAAAATACAAAAAATTAGCCGGGCGCGGTGGCGGGCGCCTGTAGTCCCAGCTACTCGGGAGGCTGAGGCAGGAGAATGGCGTGAACCCGGGAAGCGGAGCTTGCAGTGAGCCGAGATTGCGCCACTGCAGTCCGCAGTCCGACCTGGGCGACAGAGCGAGACTCCGTCTCAAAAAAAAAAAAAAAAAAAAAAAAAAAAAGAATTTAAATATACCTTCTTTAAATACCTCGAAAAACATCTTCCCATAGGCTGAAAATTGCCTAATATATTTTTTGATTTTTTAAAAAAAAATTATTCTCAAAAATATCTATTGAGGGCTTTCCGTGTATCAGACACTCTTCTGGATGCTGAGAAGACTTCAGAATACAATGCATC